>NC_000012.12:1424730-2839460 GCF_000001405.40 Homo sapiens | reverse complement strand
ACAGACATTTTCCAAGTGTTTTGGACGAGAATACGCTCACTTCTTCTACTCCTAACGGTTCAGAATTGCTTAATCTTCCTGAATAGTTGGACGAAGTTTCTTCCCCCTCTGTCTCATTATTAGAGACCAATGGAGTTATTCCTTGTTGATTAATTATTTGGTTTTTTTTTGAGCCGGAGTTTCACCCTGTCACCCAGGCTGGAGTGCAGTGGCATGATCTCGGCTCACTGTAACCTCTGCCTTTCAGGTTCAAGTGATTCCCCCACTTCAGCATCTGAGTAGCTCGGATTACAGGCATGCGCCACTATGCCTGCCTAATTTTTGTATTTTTAGTAGAGACAGCGTTTCACTACATTGGTTAGGCTGGTCTCGAACTCCTGACCTCAAGTGATCCACCTGCCTCAGCCTCCCAAAGTGCTGGGATTACAGGCATGAGCCACTGTGCCCAGCTAAATTGTTTTTTTTTTTTAATTCTCTGTTAGGTAAAAAAGTTATGAGGGGAGGAGACTGAGCTGTCATGGGCAAGGCCGGGCCGCTCGCCTAGCCTCACAACACTCCCCACATTCTTCACTATCACAGCAAAGTGGTGTCTACAGTCCTGCAGAAAGGCCTCAGAGCTTTATATTGCTAGAACAATATATCCCACTCTTCTGGCAATCTGGGGGAAGGGCAGAGACTATGCCTTGTATTTACAAAGGAAGAAACCAAGAAACACAAAAAGGCAAGAGAGATTCTCCTTACTGCGGAGTCTGCCCCAAGATGGCAGTGAGACAGTACTTGCTTGGGTTACAGAACACAGGGGCCAACTCTCTCCCTACTCCACAGCTACATTCCAGAGAATGGCATTTTCGGAGCACAAGTGGTTTCCAGGGCCAGGCAACAAAGGACTTATCAGACTAACTGGAAGAGAGAAGCTGATGTCCCCAAACCCACTCCAAACTCCAAACTCCAAAGTCTCCATTCTATGCCCCAGGCACATTTACTCTTCCCTGGAGTGCAGTGTACAGACCTGAGCTCACTTGAGAGCCTGGGACAGCCCATCCATGTTGGCAGGCTGGCTCCCTAGAGCCAGCCATCTCATCCTTGTGAGTTGATAATTTAGCACAACTCCCCCAAAGGATGCATTAGTAAAGGACTCTTGAAGATGCTGAAGAATTTTCAAACCAAAGGAATGAATTGCTAAGAATAAAGTAAGTTGGAGGAGATGCTTTTCAGCTTGGGGCCTGCCCAGCATCACGCTGTGTGTCACTCAATAATCTATCAATTATAGATTATAGTTAATCCTGTTGAAATGACTACAGGAACCCAGCAAAACATGCCAGAGGATCCTCTTTGACCTCTATCCCAAGCAAACATATGGTGGTAATGGATGTCAAGACATGGGAGGGAGCTAGAAAGTTCCACTAAAGCTAAGTCTAAATGAAGCTCGGCTCTGGGTGGGGCAAATCTTGAGAAATGGCATCCTATTGCAGTTTGGTTTTCTTTCCGTGTTTATCATCTCTATCAGTATTCTCCTTTAGGCACAGCGTAAATTGAACAGACCTTGGGAGAGAGAACACAAGGACTGGACCACCTGCTCTGCTATATCATAACTGAATCTTGGGCATATTTTCTAAGAATTTTTTTCTTTTAGAGACAGTGTCTCGCTCTGTCACCCAGGTTGGAGTTCAGTGGTGCCATCATAGCTCACTGCAGCCTCGAATTTCTGGACTCAAGTGATCCTCCCACCTCAGCCTCCTGAGTAGTTGAGACTATAGGTACATGCCACCACACCTGGCTAATTTTTAATTTTGTTTTGTTTTTGTTTTTTGGGTTTTTTTTTTGAGACGGAGTTTCACTCTTGTTGCCCAGGCTGGAGTGCAATGGCACAATCTTGTCTCACTGCAACCTCCTCCTCCCGGCTTCAAGCAATTCTCCTGCCTCAGCCTCCCAAGTAGTTGGGATTACAGGCGTGTGCCACCATGCCCAGCTAATTTTTTTTTTGAGACGGAGTCTCTCTCTGTCGCCTAGGCTGGAGTGCAGTGGCGTGATCTCGGCTCACTGCAAGCTCCACCTCCCGGGTTCACGCCATTCTCCTGCCTCAGCCTCCTGAGTAGCTGGGACTACAGGCGCCTGCCACCGCGCCCGGCTAATTTTTTTGTATTTTTAGTAGAGACGGGGTTTCACTGTGTTAGCCAGGATGGTCTCGGTCTCCTGACCTCGTGATCCGCCTGCCTCGGCCTCCCAAAGTGCTGGGATTACAGGCGTGAGCCACCGCGCCCGGCCATGCCCAGCTAATTTTTTGCATTTTTAGTGGAGACAGCGTTTCACCATGTTGGCCAGGCTGGTCTCGAACTCCTGATCTCAGGTGATCCACCCGCCTCAGCCTCCCAAAGTGCTGGGATTACAGACGTGAACCACTGTGCTGGGTCCTAAGACTTAATGTACTAGTTTCCTGGGGATGCCATAACAAAGTATGTATCACAAGCTTGAGTGGCTAAAACAATAGAAATTTGTCATCTTACAGTTCTGGAAGCTGAAAGTACAACAGGAAGGTGTTGGCAGGGTTGGTTCCTTCTGACAGCTGTAAGGCAGGGTCTGTTCCACGCCTCTCCCCTGGCTTCTGGTGGTTTGCTGGTCCTCTTAGGTGTTCCTTGGCTTGCAGATGCATTATCCCGACCTCAGCCTTCACGTGGCGTTCTCCCCATGTGCGTTTCTCTCTGCGTCCCACTTCCTCCTTTTAATAAGAGCGCAGTCATATGGGAGTAGGCTCATCCTAATGACCTCATCTTAACTTCACCATATCTGTAAAGGCCCTATCTCCAAATGAGGTCGCCTTCTGAGGTACTAGGGGTTAGGGGTACATTTGGGGGGTGAAGGAAACAATTCAACCCATAACACTTTCTTTCCCTCTAAATGGGGATTAGAATACAGTATTTCTTCATATAATTGCAGTGGTTGTGAAAGTGTCTCAAAGAGGCTTGGTTCCTAGAAGCTCAGCAGACATCTGGTTTGTCTGAAAGTACATGTGCCTTGGAGCTGTCTGAGTCAGACTGCACCCTTAGGGAGCAGGGCTCAGGTGGGGTAATCACCCTGTGAGCATCCAACACAGGTAAACAGGTGCTTGGCCAATGCGTTTCCCTGATGGTGAAGAGGAAAGGCTGGAGAGAAAAATCTGCTGATAAGCCAGGGCTAGAAAAAGTCTGATACCAAGTCCTGGAGAGGATGTGGAACCTCAGGAGCCCCTGTGTGCAGCTGTCTCAGTGTGCACTGGTAAAAACACTCTGGCAATATGCCAAAAAGGCAAAGCTGTATATGGGATGCCCCAGCAATTCCACTCCTAGGTGTAGGTGTATACTCTAGAGAAATGCCTACATAGGTGCCCCAGGAGATGTGTGCAAAAATATTCATAGCAGCATTGTTTGTTAGACCTAAAAATGAAAAATAACCTACATTTCCTCAATGTCATGCATGCATCTAATGGAATACTATGTTACACAGCAGGTGAAGTCAATTAACTAGAGCTGGGCATACCGTATGGATGAATCTCACTAACAAAAACTATTCAGCAAAAAAGAGCAGATTGCAGAAGAATAAATACAGTGAGTAGGACAAAACCAACGACATATTGCTTAGAATGCATATGTAAGTATTTGCATAAAGAATATAAAGAAGTCTGGGCCTGATAAACACCAATTTCAGCAGGCGGAAGTGGAAGTGCACAGGGAGCTTCAACAGCTTATTTTTTAAACTGGTGATGAGTGAAGAGTACTGGTTATCTTATTCTTTATAACTTCTGTATATTTGAAATGCAACATTTTTTAAAGAGCCAGGACTTGAGGAGAGTCATATAAAGGAGACTGAGATGCCAGGGACAATTTCTACTCGTGGGAAGATTCAGAGTTGTTCCTGTCATTCCCTGGAACCCAGAATCCAGAGTCAATTAGTTAAAGACTCTGACATCTGCTAGGCGGGAGGCAAGAGACCTAACAAGGTAAGGCTAGGGGGATGAGAGGAGGGAAGGACGCTCTCATGCTGCCCCTCTTTGATCTGAACCCAGTTACTGGCCTGCGCGCCAGCCCTGGGCTGCAGATAATGCCAGGAGAAAACAGCTGGGCAGTCCTGGGAAGCCTGGGAGGGATGCAGAGGAGGGCGGGGGCCACACACGCTGGGAGGTGCACTAAGGCTGCTGCCCCCACACAGTGACAAGCGCTTCCTCGCAAACCACCTGGCACGGGCACCCTGACAGTTTACAGCACTGTCTCTCACTCTCCTTCTCTCTCTCTCTCTCACACACACACACACACACACACACACACACATACGCCCCATCCACCGCCCGCTCTGACCAGGACCCCAGCGTTGGGGATGCGGCCAAGTCAGCCAGCTGTGGGCCCTGCCAACCCTCCCTCTCTTCTAGGACTGGGTTTTTCCAGCCGGAGTCTCACTCCCTCTACAGCAATCTCGGGAAATTGGAGACTGACGCGGCTGCTCCTGCATGTTATTTATTTTTCCTCTTTCCCTCCCGTGGAGACCCTCCTGTTGGAAAGAGAGCTGCAGCACGGGACAGAGACAGGCAGGAAGAAGCAGAGAGGACTCGGTGACGCCCCCACCGAGCAGCCCCTGGCCCACTCCTCCAGCAGGGGCCATGAGCACCAAGCAGGAGGCCAGGAGAGATGAGGGAGAAGCCAGGACGAGGGGGCAGGAGGCACAGCTTCGAGACCGAGCCCACCTGAGCCAGCAGCGCCGGCTCAAACAGGCCACCCAGTTCCTGCACAAGGACTCGGCCGACCTGCTCCCGCTGGACAGCCTCAAGAGGCTCGGCACCTCCAAGGACTTGGTGAGGCATCACCCCTCCCCTGCCAGCGTCCCCTGGCCTTTTCCTTCCACTTCCCAGATCCTGAGCAGGAGGCAGGACCAGAAAGTGCAGACCCTCAGCTTTCAGGTCCCGCTCCCTTGCTGAGATGGGGAGAGGTCATCCTGCCAACTCAAGGCTCTTCACCGGGGATGTTCCCATGGTTTGGTGGCTCTGAGGGTTCCTATTCTCTCATTGCTTGGCTTCCCTTTTTCCTCTAATGGCCCCAAACTTGAGGGTGGTGAGGAGCTAGGCTGTTTAGAAGTGGGGGCTTACAGGAACACAGGAACCCTCTAGAGTGGTCACTTACAACCAGGAGGGCCTGGAGGACTGGCCAGTTTAGGGTTGTGACTTCCTGCTTCCCCCGAACCACAGGTTCCCCAGACCAGGTCTGTCTATCCACTTGTCCTTTCTCCTCAGAATCAAAACATCGGGGGTCTCCATCCTTCCCAGGGCATCAGGGTTTTGTGTGGCTCTTGCCGGGGGCCCCTGGCCGCCTTGAGTGCTGCTCCCCCAACTCCTGAGTGGAATGGACCTTCCAGGCTCCTCTCCTCCCATCCCATGTCTGCAGCAGCTTTGGCCTCAGAGGAATGGGGCAGGGGAGTAACAGTGAGGATGTGAGTGGGCGGCGGAAAACTGCAGATTCAGGCATTCCCCTCTGAGAGGCAATGCTGACAAGCGGGGCTGCGCAGCCACTTCGCTTGGGATCAGATCCTGGCTCTGCCATTTACTAACTTGTGCAATTGACTTTACGTCTCTGTGCCTCAGTTTCTTCATCTGTTAAATGAGAATCAAATCAATCATAGGATTGTTGGGAGAGTTGTTAGAGCTAATATATTTAAAGCACTTAGAACAGTGCCTAATAGCAGGCACTATCTAAATGCTATTATTATTATTCCCCCAGCTATTACTCCATTTAGTCTGAGAAATATTCCTGGCCTCTGACCCGTGGAAGAGAGGAAATCCTTTGTAGAAAGGCTTGGGAGCACTCGGTTCCCTGTCCCCTCTCCTAGTCTGAGAAGAGGTACTCAACCAGGCCTGTACTGACAGGTTGGAAGCATGTCTGCAGGCCTGTGCTCCACCAACTGCTTCTCCCCGGGAACCTGAAGGCCAGTGCAGCACCTCGCCTTTCCCTACTTAGCTCCACCTTTCCAGACTCCTCTCAGCCTGGGTTGCCCCCACCAGGACCACAGCCCAGAGGTCTGGCAATTCCCTAGCTCCCAACGAGAAAAGGGATTGCACTGAGACTTAATTCAGGGAACTGCCAGGGGCTTATTCCTACTTGCAGTGGCAGCAAGCATAGCTGAAAAACAGGGATGGAGCAGGGAAGCGGGTTCTTCGGCTCTCAATGGCTGGAACCTACTGGGGACCATCCTACATGTGTTTGGCCCCAGGAGAAGGTGCTCTACTGACATTGCCATCCCGGAGTGGCAGGTCCCGCCTTCTAATGAGAAAGTCCCGGGCTTTTCACCTCTCCCCTCTGCCTAGGATATCCCCAATTGATCCCTAGCAGTTACCTCCTATGGCTCTGGGAGCAAAGGCACAACAGGCAGGGAAGACCCCATCGTCTCCCTCCCTGGGATGGCTGAGGAGCAAACTGCACAACAGCGGGAGGGGCCTGAAGCCTGTGTTCATCGTGGGAAGGTGGAAGATGGGAAGTGCAGAGCCAGTCTCTCCAGCCAATCCCAGAGCTCGCTGAACTTTTCCCAGCACTGGGTCTACTGCTGGCAGCCTTGCTGCCAGGAGCAACCCCAAGGGCCTCATTAATCTAAGGGTAGAAAAACAATCCCAGGATCCCAAGGAGAGAGGGCAGGTGGAGAGGTGCATAGAGCCTGGGGGAAGAGTCAGTCTGCAGCAAGCATTTATTGAGTGCCTACTAGATGCTGAGCCATGCCCTGGGATATAAAAATGAGTGAGGTAGACTCAAGCGCTCTCCAGGCTAATGGGGGAGTAAAATCCATACATAACATTTGTGAGAAGCATGGAAAAGGGAGCTAAGACAAGGGACCCCAGCTTGGCGTGTATGGAGAGAGGAGCATGAAGAACTCAGAGAGGGTATCCTGGAGAGGGTACATCCTGCATTATAGGATGTACACAGAATCTCAAACTTAAGATACAACCTCTCTCTCAAATAAAGTGTGTTAAGCCAGTCATCCAGTCTAGCCTCGAGAAGAGTGAGGAAGAGGAGTTTCAGGAAGAGAGGAGAGAGGAGAGAGGAGTGAAGACATGGAGGCAAAAAGCGGCCTGGTATGAGCGGTGCTTCTGGGGCCCATAAACAGAGTGGCAGGGAAGGAGGCACGGCCCGGTCATGTGGACTGTGGATCACCTTCAAAAGCTTGAGCTCTATCATGAAAGCAATGCGGGGTAGGGTGGGGGGTCTTTGATGCATTTTAAATAAGAGAAGACATGGTTAGTTTCATGTTTTACTTTGGTGCTTCTCAAACTTTAACCTGCACATGAATCACCTGGGGATCTTGTCACAATGAAACATCTGATTCGGTAGGTATGAGAGTGCATTTTTAAGAGGCTTCGAAATGATGTTAAAGTTGCTGATCTGAGGACCACATTTTGGAGTAGCAAGGTTTTTAGCTTCCAGGCTGAAGCTCCAAGCAGATGTATTTGAAAGGTAACAGGTCTGGAGACAGGTTATGAACTTAAGAAGGTGTTCCAAGGATCCGAGAGAGCTGTGGGGAGTCTGGAACACAGGCAGTAACAGAAAGGAAGGATGGAGGCCAGGTACTGTGGCATATGCTTTTGGTCCCAGCTGCTCAGGAGGCTGAGGCTAGAGAATGCCTTGAGCCAAGGAATTAGAGTCCAGTCTGGGCAGCATAGCAAGATCCCATCTTGAAAGAAAAGAAAAAGAAAGAAAAGAAAGAAGAGAGAGAAGGAAAGGAGGGACAGATTGATTCTACACAGGAGGCAAAACTTATAGAATTTGGGAAGTGACTGGATGGAATGGGAGTGGTTGTAGATGAGGGACAGGTCAAAGATGACTCCCAGCATCCTAGTTCTTAAGAGTTTTTTTTGTTTGGTTTTTTTTTTTGAGACAGAGTCTTGCTCTGTCAACCAGACTGGAGTGCAGTGGTGTGATCTTGGCTCATTGCAACCTCTGCCTTCTAGGTTCAGGTGACTATCACACTTCAGCCTCCCGAGTAGCTGGGACTACAGGCACATGCCAATACATCTAGCTAATTTTTGTATTTTTAGTAGAAATAGGGTTTCACCATGTTGGCCAGGCTGGTCTCGAACTCCTGACCTCAAGTGATCCACCCACCTCGGCCTCCCAAAGTGCTGGGAGTACAGATGTGAGCCACCACGCCTGGCCTAGTTCTTGAGTTTCTTACTGTTTTTCATCATACCATCAACCCTGGGATCTGAAGCCCATTGAAGGATGAGGTCAGAGGGGAAGAAAAAAAAAACCCTCCTAGTTAAAAAAAAATGTAAGTTTGAGACAAAACTTCCCCCAAGCATACTAATTCCTGAAATGTCCCTTCGGCTACTAAGTCAGTTTAACAGAGAATGGACCATTCTCCTCTTCCCATTTCTTCACTGCTGAGCAATCTATGGGTGTCCAAGGAAAACGGCATGATTTGATACTGGGGCTTACTCTGCTCTCATTATCTGGGACCCTAGGGTAAACTCCTAGGGTAAGGCTCAGGGCTGGGGGGGTGGGGGGAGCATCCTGGGGTATCTAAGTGGGGTAACTGAGCAGCCTGGATGCCTGGGTTTAGAACTGCCTACCTTCATTGTTTTGTGATGGAGCCAGCAGCCGCGCAGTGTGATCCAAAGACGCCTGGTGGAGGGAAACCCGAATTGGCTTCAGGGGGAGCCTCCCCGGATGCAGGACCTGATTCATGGCCAGGAGAGCAGGAGGAAGACCAGCAGGACAGAGATTCCAGCTCTTCTGGTCAACTGCAAGGTGAGAGGCCTCCCAGGGACACACTTTCATTAACAACCCTGCCTGCACTCACTTCACCTGCTCTCCTTTCTGCTCTGCCCTGATGGGAGAGGGAGGGAGGGAGAAAGGGCACCTCTCTCCCTAGCCTGGACCTAACCAGGATCCTCTACCTCCTTCCTCCCTGCCCCAAGCCATGTCTCCTCGGTGCAACTCCATCTGTCACCACCATTACTCTGCCCCCCTTCCTTGGTCAAAATACAATACTTAAATTAAGTAAGTACTCCTCAGTGTGCTCTACACAGACAAATGGTGTGTGTGCATGGATAACGTAATTCTGGAAAAAACTCATGTGTTCTAAGGCATTGGCCCTGTAATCTCTGGAACCACTTAACCACTCAGTCACTATTGAACATTCGCAATAAATTCCCACTGGTCCTCGGCCACCGTCTTTGCTCTGTGCTTCTTCTATGTGGATTGCTCTTCTTGCTCTCCAATCATTCTGGGTCCGCATTCTGCAAGCAAAAGCCCAGCTCAGATGTTACCTCCTCCTTGAAACCTTTTCTGATTTCCCCAGTAGGAAACAGCCTTTCCTCCCTCCCAACCTCTAAGGCATGTTACTCACGTCCTTTTTTTAAAAAAAAAAATTTTTTTTGAGACAGAGTCTCGCTCTGTCACCCAGGCTGGAGTGCAGTGGCATGATCTTGTGTCACTGCAGCCTCTGCCTCCTGGGTTCAAGCGATTCTCCTGCCTCAGCCTCCTAAGTAGCTGGGACTATAGGCCCACACTACCACACTTGGCTAATTTTGTATTTTTAGTAGAGATGGGGTTTCTCCAGGTTGGTCAGGCTGGTCTCAAACTCCTGACCTCAGGTGATCCATCCACCTCGGCCTCCCAAAGTGCTGGGATTACAGGCGTGAGCCACCGCACCCCTCGACTTTTCCGGTCCTTTTGTTTATTTTTTAGAGACAGATTCTTACTCTGTCACCCAGGCTGGAGTGTAGTGGCATGATCAGAGCTCATTGCAGCCTCAACCTCCTGGACTCAAGCGATCCTCCCACCTCAGTCTTCTGAGTAGCTAAAATTACAAGTGTGCGCCACCACAGCTGGCTAATTCTTTTTTTGTATTTTTAGACTACCACGTTGGTCAGGCTGGTCCTGAACTCCTGGCCTCAAGCGATCCTTCCACCTTGGCCTCCCAAAGTGCTTGGATTATAGATAGGTGTGAGCCACAGGGCCAGGGCATTCACATCCTTTTATAGACCATAAAACTTTCTGCCATATAGTAGAGTTATATTATACTTCCTTTAGACTCCTGAAGAATAGCATTCATTGATATACCTTCCGGTAACATATCTTATAGTAAATACTCAATGAATGTTTGGAATGAGAAAACGATGTGTGTGTATATCCAAGCGTATATCAAAATGTCTATGTCCCAAAGTAGGTGAAGTTGTCTTCCTTTGTTTCCAATAGCGAACTTCTTGGTTACTCATATCTGAGTTTCCTAACAGGGATTCCAGTCTTCTCATCCTTCCTCTATTCCTAACCTGGAGTTTTCGAACCAGGAGGCCATCAAACTCCCAAGGATTCCTCTAAACAAACAAATCACCGTTTCTCCATTTCTGGCAGATCTTCCCCAAACTTATGAACCCATCACATATAACCACTTTTTTTTTTTCCATTTTATTTTTTGTAGAGACAGAGTCTTGCTATGTTGCCTAGGCTGGTCTTGAACTCCTGGCTTCAAGTGATCCTCTTGCCTCCAAAGTGCTAGAACTACAAGCATGAGCCACCGCACCTGGTCCACTTCCTTTTTTGATTTATTTATCTGGGAGTTCTGCCCCTATTGTATGAGTCTCATAAAAACCAGTTTTTTTGTTTGTTTTGAGACAGAGTTTTGCTCTTGTTGCCCAGGCTGGAGTGTAATGGCGTGATCTTGGCTCACCACAACCTCCGCCTCTCGGGTTCAAGCGATTCTCCTGCCTCAGCCTCCCGAGTAGCTGGGATTACAGGCATGCGCCACCACACCCAGCTAATTTTGTATTTTTAGTAGAGACAGGGTTTCTACTAAACCCTGGTCAGGCTGGTCTTGAACTCCCGACCTCAGGTGATCCACCCGCCTCGGCCTTCCAAAGTGCTGGGATTACAGGCGTGAGCTACCGCGCCTGGCCCCGATAAAAGCCAGTTTTAAAGACAGTTCATTTTCTCCACTCATTTCTAGGAGGGAATCATCAATGGGCTGGGAAACTGAAGGATCCAATTCCAACCCATTCTCCTAGGGACTCACTGATTCACCACGATTCTTCTTTCTTAGTGCCAGGACCAGCTGCTTAGAGTGGCCGTTGACACAGGCACCCAATACAATCGGATCTCTGCTGGATGTCTCAGCCGCCTGGGGTAAGAATGTGGCCCAAACAAGCAAGTGGGGGACAGGGTTTCTTTTTGGGGTGATGAAAATATTCTCAAATTAGATAGTGACGACAGTTGCATATTTTATCTCAATAAAGCTGTTATTTAACAAAAGAGTGGCTAGAAGACTCTGGCAGAGAAGGCAAGGATTTAGACCCCACGTGAGGTCAGGGGTTGGAGATGAAACCATAGTAGAGAGGGACACCTGCTGATTAATGGGGTGGAACCCTCTAGGGGCTGTGGTAGCCATAACCCTTGCTTCCCAACCACAGGTTAGAGAAAAGGGTCCTAAAAGCCTCAGCTGGGGACCTGGCCCCTGGGCCCCCAACCCAGGTGGAGCAGTTGGAGCTACAGCTGGGGCAGGAGACTGTGGTGTGCTCGGCACAGGTGGTGGGTAAGTCCCCCCTTCTGCAACAGCCCTGGTGCTCACCTCACCTTTCTCTTTGGGGTGGGGCAAAGGCTGAGACTTTCACTCCCTGCAGCACGAGGAGTTCCCAGAGATGTTCTGACTATCCCCCATCTCTGTGCCAGTGTCCTCGGATCTGGGGATGGGGTGGGCAGAGAAGGAGCAACGGCTAAGAGGAGGGCAGCAGTGACCACTGGGAACCCTCAGCCTCTTCTGTTTTCAAATTGTTCCTATAGATGCTGAGAGTCCTGAATTCTGCCTGGGCCTGCAGACTCTGCTTTCTCTCAAGGTAAGGCACCCACTCAGGGCCTGACCCAAAGCACTGGGAAAAAGTAGTAGAAGGCACAGGTGTGGAACCTGGACCAGGTTCTGATGAGAGTGACTTAGAGATGGGCAACTGTCCCTTTGCTTCCTTAGAGGTTCCTTACTTACCACCAAGTGAAAAATCAAGAGAACTGGGTCACCCCCTTCAACAGGAGTCTAGGGAAATGGGGATGGGGGAAGAGCAAAAGGCAGGTGGAAGCTGTGGGAAGTGGGAGGGGGAACAAAAGGAGCAGGCCGGGAGGCAGGTGGCGGGCTGAGGTGACCTGGCATGACTGCTCTACACCCCGCAGTGCTGCATCGACCTGGAGCACGGAGTGCTGCGGCTGAAAGCCCCGTTCTCAGAGCTACCCTTCCTGCCTTTGTACCAAGAGCCTGGCCAGTGACTGCTGTCTCAGTCAGTCCCCAGAGGGAAAGACCTTGCCTTAGAAGAAGAGGCGTGTGGGGAACGGGGGCTCTTGAAGCCAGGTAGCTGGGGACTATGGTGTCTGCCCTTCCAATCACCTCCCTGACCCCTGCTGTCCCATTTTCCCCAGCTGGCCGCATTCCTCTCTGCTTCTCAGCAGCTGTCCTACTCCCCAGGACGAGTTTTCACTAGAGGGCCCACGATGCCAGGATTCTGATTCATCTTCCTCCCAAGAAAAGCAAAGCCAAATCAAGACCACAGATAGGAACCTAAGCACAATGGGGTGCCTGCTTGGGCTGGGTCGAAGGCTCTGCTGACTGCTGTCCTTGTCCATCACCCAATACCACCCCAAACACAACTCAACTTCCCACACCACCATGTCTCTCACCACACCTTCTGGGCCTCATTATCTCCCACAACTAGACCGCCATGCCTCACCAACCTATGTCCCTGGACCTCCTGGTGTCTGCCTCTCGGAGTCTGTGCACATCTGCTCACAGTTGAGTGGGGGAAGAAACAGCCAGAATTCAATACAACAAAGAGCGGGAGTTAGTATAGGAATGTCCATCTCATAAGGCTGAGAGCTATTTTTTCCTGTGGCTGCAAATGTCTGAAGCCAGTTAGTTTGATTACCCTGTGCAAAACCTTGGACATACTTCTGCTATTAACGCTATAGGTATTTATCCGTTTCCACTGGCTTTTTGTACCCACCGAGCCCCTGAGCCTTGCGTGTGTGTGTGTGGAAGAGCCTTGTAGAGAACTGCTCCTGTGAGGCAGACAGGACAGTGAGGTTGTCACCACTCAGACTTCACCTATTCAGCATTCTTTCTGATTTCTAGAACTATCCACCTCATTAGGCCTTCTTCCTATCCCCATCTCTGGCCTCTTGAGCTTAAGCTTGTATTGTCCTGGAATCAGTGGCTTTCTAACCCCCTGCCAGGCTTTGCCAAAGCAAAAAGACAGAGGCTTTTTTTTTTTTTTTAAAGTTTGGGGTCTGTCAGGAGACAGAGGCTTTTTTGAATTCACTGTGAAGAGAAGAACCCGAACCTTAAGACGCCAGATCCCTGAGAGTCTTTCTGGCTGGTTTGAGTCTCTCAAATCATGGATTAGGAGTAAAGAAAGAGGCCAGGCGCAATGGCTCATGCCTGTAATCCCAGCACTTTGGGAGGCTGAGGTGGGTGGATCACTTGAGGTCAGGAGTTTGAGACCAGCCTGGGTAATATGGCAAAACCCCATCTCTACTAAAAAATACAAAAATTAGCCAGGTATGGTGGTGAACACCTGTAATCCCAGCTACTTGGAAGGCTGAGGCATAGGAGTTGCTTGAACCTGGGAGATGGGGGTTGTAGTGAGCCAAGTTCGTGCCATCGGACTCCAGCCTGGGTGAAGGAGTGAGACCCTGTCTCCAAAAACAAACAAAAAAGGAGCAGAGAAAGACAGTGGTACAGCTAACCTGAACAAGGGAACTGGGACCGTTGGGCTGAAACAGTCTTGAGCCTGGGGTTGACTGGGTTAGAGAAGAACCGGGATGCAAGGAGCTGCCTGTGACACCTGGCCTGCCCTTTCTCAGCTGCCTCCCCTGCCCTTTCTCAGCTGCCTCCCCTGCCCTCAGAAGGAAAGGAGAGGGCTCACTTATCACTTGTGCCATAGCACCTGGTCTCAAAATCCTAAAAGCTTTCCTCGCCCTCACTGCCTTGCTCCACAAGGTCCACTTTCCTGGGTCTTGTGCTGTGCCTTTCCTTGTCTGCCTCCTGCTGCTTCTGTAACTGCAGACCCCAGGCCCAATGGCAAGCCCTCGGCTCAGCTGCTTCTCCATTGGAATAAACTCTTGTTTCTCTATGTCGATGTTCTTCTCTGGTCTTCCTCCCTGCCTATCAAGAGCTGAGTGATAATTGCCCATTGTCCCTTACAGAAAGGAAATGTAAATGTGGGCCCTTGCCCAGGCTGACCCATCTGACTAGGGTCAGTATAATTGAGAGGAATTTGAAAGCAATGGCTTTCAAACTCCTCGACCACAGCTTACCACAGCAGGAATACATTTTACATGGCACTCAGTACACACATGCACATATGACTAACAAAACAATACTTACCTACACTGAGAGCAATGTACTCTGCTATTTTCTATTTTACTTTATTCTATTCTACCTATTTAAAAAATGCTGGCCATAATCCACCAAAGGACTGCAACCACAGTTTGAAAAACACCGATTTAGAGCATAGAGAATCAAGAACAGACGGCACATAAATGACCCAAGATATAATTCTGATTGTGGTCTGGATCATAAACCCGCATCACATTTTAAATGTCTATTGTCTTGGAGACAATAAGCTGTTTTATGGGGGAATGGGTGGGTGGAAAAATGGGAGCAGGGCTTCTGAAGCTGACTAATACCTGAAGAATACGGCAACGTGAGAAAGCACTGACCCGGCTGCTTTGGTAAATGGAAGAAAATCATCTCAGGGTTGCTAGGAACATGGGTAAGACCAGACTGTAGAAAGATCCTTCAAAACAAAACAGTTTGCCATTCCTTTAACAATTACTAACGTCAAGAACTTGGAATTGTGCCACGGAAGACAGAGCTTAAGATGGGGTGGAGCCCTTACCTCCACTGCTCCCCTGGGCCTAAAGCCTGGTTTCCTTATGGGTGTTGGGGCCACACAAACAAGTCTCTGTTTTCAACACAGTGACAGTGGGGAGTGGGTCATGTCCCAGATGATTTGGAACAAGGCCAGGGTCCTATGACCCTGCTGGCATGATGGGTGAGGTCCATAAGGAAATGGGCAGAGGGTCAACTTGTCTCTTCTTTCACCGAAAAGACTGCGAGGTCTATAGTTCACGGTCACCCTAGGGCTGCTGCCATCTTTCATGCCCAGAGTCAAATCCTGCATTTCTGTAATGCATATTCCCTATCCTGCCAATACCACAGATACCTTTAGGGGGTAGGGTGGGGGTTCAGAAGAATCCTTCACCAGCTATGAGGCAAGTACAGCTAGGTGGGATCCTGGAGGCTTGAGGGAGCACACTGTGGTGGCTGGTCTGGATGGTAGAGCGTTTGGTGAAGCAGGGCACGAGTCACAGGGAGGTCGTCAGGATCTGAGAGCCAAGAAGGGGTGGGTAAGAGGCTGTGGGTCTCCTGGGCACCCGGGCCACTGGCTTTTCTGGGACTCACCCACGCCCAGCTCCTGCAGCATGCTGTGGGTCTCCTGGGCACTCGGGCCACTGGCTTTTCTGGGACTCACCCACGCCCAGCTCCTGCAGCAGGCTGTGGTACTCCGGCTTGGTCTCCAGCAGTTTCACCAGATTGGTAGACTCCATCCGCTCCAGCTGCACCTCCCAGTACACATAGATCTTCTGGTTGAAAGTGACATATACGAGGCAGGGGCTGTTGCGGCCCTCTTTGCAGGCGTACAGGCCTGGAAGATGTTGGCAGGGAGATAAAGGTCAGGAAGTTTCAGTGCCGACAGTGGGGGGCAGACAGCAAGACACAGACCTCCGAGTCAGCACTTTCCATCCTCCCACTGATGTCAGGAAAAAAATTAAAGGTTATTTCTTCTCTGTTGGGAACTCAGTAAAACAAGTAAGATGGGAAAAGACCTGGCTCACTTCAGATGTAGAAAAACCATAGTAACAAAACCCGGGCAGAATAGCATCCAAAAAGGTGCTATTTATTGCTTTTCCCATCTTAGTGATATCCCTGGAGTGATGAGGGATGGCATTGCTCGCCCAAGGGCGAGACTAGCAAAACACGATCAGAAAGTAAAGCTTCTCTTAGGTGCCAATCCCTCCTTCCAAATGCATCCCCCAGTCACCCAGAGAGTGAGTGCTGCCTCCCAAGGCCCCTGATTTGGAACTAATGAAAATGCTCTAGGAGAACTTTCTTCACAGAGACCTGGCATGCTGAGGTGGAAAAGAACTTCCTGATGTCTTCACACATCCCAGACAGATGACAGAAACTCATTCCATTCTTTAAAATATTCGGGGTGGAGATGTTACTGTCTTTTATTTCTTCTTATTTAAAATTGTCAAGATGGCAATGTAGTGACCACCCCTCACCCCCAAACAAAAGAGCTGAAGAACTCACGGTGAATGAAGACTTACATCACTCACCCCTCACCCCCAAACAAAAGAGCTGAAGAACTCACTGGTGAATGAAGACTTACATCAGGGGATACGTCAGAAAGGGAAGTGAGGGGCAAACACTTCCCTGGCATGCCTAACACGCCTATCTAACTTAAGTGTGGTTAGAAAGGGGCCATGGGGGCGGGGGTCACCTGCACAGAAGGCACGGATATTTTCATCCACTTGGAAGCGGACGACGGTGCGGTTGTGATCAATGATATATGTCTGTCCATCCCAGGCGCATGCAACTACCTCCTCATGCCCGTTGCCCTGAAAAAGGACAGAGACAAAAGGAACATAAAGGAGCTGTGGACTGGATTCTGGATGACAAACAGCGAGCTGGGGAGGAATTTCACCCGTGGGTTCGGCAGTAAACGCAACTGTCAAATGAGCCACCTCACATAATGCTCACAGCCACCCTAGGAAGTAGGCAATTTTATACTGAGGAAACCTCAGCTCATAGAAATAGAGTCACTCACCCAAGGCCACTCAGCTAGGAGGCAGCAGAATCAGGATTCAAACCCAGGTCTGCCTCTTCTCCTAAACCAACAAGCATGCCTGATGGCAATATAAAGTATAGCCCCTACCTGCTGATTCAGGGGCCACAGTGATATTAAATAGAGATTCATATATGGACAAGAAAAACCTACAAAATATGCCTCTGGAGTTGGGATGAATAACACACTTCCAGGCTCTTACAGTAACTTTTCTTTGGGGCTACTACTTCTGCTGAAGTTATGGAAATGACAGACTTCTAACAGCACAGTATAGCATTAATTATGGTCGAGTAAGAGGAAACAAACTCGCTTCAGATGGATTTAGACCTATCTAAAGAGACTTACGGCCAGGCACAGTGGCTCATGCCTGTAATTCCAACACTTTGGGAGGCTAAGACGAGAGGATTGCTTGAGCCCAGGAGTTTGAAACCATATATAGTGAGATCTCATCTTTACAAAAAGTTTAGGAAAGTTAGCCCAGTGTGGTGGCACACGCCTGTAGTCCCAGCTTCTCAGGAGGCTGAGGTGACAGAATGGCTTCAGTCTAGCAGAAAAGGTTGCAGTGAACCAAGATCATGCCACTGCACTCCAGCCTAGGTGGTAGGGGGGAGACCCTGTCTCAAAAAAAAAAAAAAGGAAAAAAAAAAAAGAGACAGAGACTAAAGATAAAGGTTGGGAGTTCCCTGGGATGTGAGAATAGCCTGATTATTCCAAATCTCATCTCTCCATGTGGAAAACGCAGGAATGCTCTGCTCTGCCAGGTTTTCCACTCACGGTGACATCCAGTTTCTCCAGGGCAAAGAGCTGGTGATCCACCTGCACTGACCACAGCAGCTTGTCTGCTTCTTCCATTTCTTCCATGAGCTTCAGTGTCCCTGCCGGGGGAGAGGCAGGCTGAGTGTGGGTGGGATAGGCCCCGAGCAGACCCTACAGGCATACAGCCCCCACACCCCATCCTAGCATTGCTCACCATCCAGGGTGCACAGGGCAAAGAGGCCAGAGCCACTACTCTCAGTGCCGTGGCCTGTGAGGACCAGAGGAAGAATATGTAAAGGGCAGGGCAAGGTCAGAGCCTACGGGGAGAGGGGTGTTCTGCAGCAGCAGGGGAAGGACAGGGCTCGAAATGAGGGGAAAGCTATGGATCTCCACTCCTCCAGAACTGACGGCTACCCCTCATCTCCCTCCCTCACACCCACCACACTTTCACCTTGTTTGATGTTGCCAATTAGGTGAGTGGAGACATTCTTGTTGTGGATACGGCCAGATGTCTGGTGCAGCACCACGTCTCGGGCAGCTGGGGTCTCCCTGTGCACAGCAGGTGGACGGATCAAGCGGGAGACCAAGTGAGCTGAGCTCTCCAGCCCTTTGTAACCCCTATCCCTGCAAGAGCTTCTGGGATTTGAATCAGCTTAGAAACCTACCACTGACCCTATCTGGCCCATGTGGCAAACAGAAAAGACAGGGATGGGGCTGCCAGGTTGGAATCTCAGGACCTCTTTCAGGTGCTACAAAGTTAGAGCCCAGGATTCCCTTGGTCTTAAAGTAATCTTCCCCAGTGGGGCAAAGGTGCTTGGGTTGGGACCTAGATGAGGCAGCTCTGCCAACTGCAGACCCATTTTACTACCATGTGGCATCTGGGAGCCCATCCTGCTTCCATGCACCCCCACACCATCCACTGGCCTGTACCCCCTTACCTACTACCATCCGTGGGCCCTTCAGAGGCAGGAGGGGACCCAGTGTCCTTTTTCCAGGTACACAGTAGAATTGCATACGCACAACCTGGCTGAGACACCATCAGTTCAGGAAGACCCAGTGGCCCCAGAGTCACTGAGAGGCTGTCCACCTGCACCAGGGAATGGGATTAAAGGGAGACGGAGAGAGAAGGAAGTGGGTCCCTGCAGAGAACGGCAGGGGGCGGTGGGTGGGCGGGGGCGGGGGCAGGGGCAGGGCAGCAGTCCTGGGAACAGCCCTCTGGGCTTCAAGGGTAGCAGCAGGAGGAAGGATTTCGAGTTTCCAGGGCTCCTGCCTGGCACCGTCCTCTCCACACAGACCACATGCTTTCCCCTGTGCATGTCCCAGCTGGGGTCTAGGTCCTGATGCGGCCCACTCCACACCTACCTTCACACTCCTCATTCTTAGCCCAACATGCCCTTCTCTTTGCCTGTTACTAGCAATTTCCCCTAAGCCCCTGATTTGAAATGGTCTTTGGATCTCTCTTGACAAGGTGACTTTTCACTTCTCCCCACCCTGGCCCTGTCCCATGACTGCTCTCCCACTACCTCCTCCAGGAGACCTTCCTCCCAGCTCCCTGGGGCCTTGTTCCCCAGAGTCAGCTTCTTACCTGACCCTCCAGCATCCATTTCTTGAGGGACACCAGCTGCCCTGTCAGATGTTCAGGACCCTCACCTAGCTCCTCCCAGCGGAAAGCTCGCACCACACGGTCTGTGTAGCCCACCACCAGCTCACGACACCCATCTCCATCTGTGGGCATGAAAGACAAGATGGGCTCTGGAGTCCCACGAGCAGCCCCCGCTCCTCTGCTAACAGTGGCACCTTCCAGCCAGTGCGGCTTCACACCCGATCTGCGGTGCTACTCACTTCACCCTCAGTCTGCCCCCGCCCCTGCCTGTGTTTGCGGCATCTTGCCCGTCCATTTGGTCCATCTGTTCCGCAGCTCCTATCCGCTCTCTGCCTTCATATTACTTCTCAAACATGCAACTCAAAGTGTCCCAATTCATCCCACGTATCTCCCACCACCTACAAGCCCCCTATCTGGATGGTTCCCTTGCTTGCCACTTTTTTTTTTTTTCACCAAATGTTACCTTCTCAGTGAGGATTTCCCTAACATCTCCATTTAAAATTGCTACCTCTACCTCGACACTCTAGCTCTTTCTGTGAATTATTTTCTCCATTGCACTTACTATATATTTTTTTTTTTTTGAGACAGAGTCTTTGTCACCCAGGCTGGAGTGCAGTGGCACAATCTTGGCTCACTGTAACCTCCACCTTCCGGGCTCAAGCAATTCTCCTGCCTCGGCCTCTAGAGTAGCTGGGATTACAGGCATATGCCACCACGCTCAGCTCATTTTTTTTTTTTTTGAGACGGAGTCTCGCTCTCTCGCCTAGGCTGGAGTGCAGTGGCGCGATTTCGGCTTACTGCAAGCTCTGCCTCCTGGGTTCATGCCATTCTCCTGCCTCAGCCTCCCAAGGAGCTGGGACTACAGGTGCCCACCACCATGCCCGGTTAATTTTTTTTTTGTATTTTTAGTAGAGACGGGGTTTCACTGTGTTAGCCAGGATGGTCTCGGTCTCCTGACCTTGTGGTCTGCCCTCCTCGGCTTCCCAAAGTGTTGGGATTACAGGCGTGAGCCACCGTGCCCAGCCCAATTTTTGTATTTTTACTGGAGACGGGGTTTCACTATGTTGGTCAGGCTGGTCTCGAACACCTGAGCTTAAGGGATCCGCCTGCCTTAGCCTCTCAAAGTGCTCTCGAAGTGCTGGGATTACAGGCGTGAACCACCGTGGTCGGCTGCACTTATTTTCTTTTTTTTTTTGGAGACGGAGTCTGTTGCCTAGGCTAGAGTGCAGTGGCATGATCCTGGGTCACTGCAACATCCGTCTCCCGGGTTCAAGCGATTCTCCTGCCTCAGTCTCCTGAGTAGCTGGGATAACAGGTGCCTGCCACCATGCCTGGCTACTTTTTGTATTTTTAGTAGGGACAGAGTTTCACCGTGTGGGCCAGGCTGGTCTCAAACTCCTGAACTCAAGTGATCTGCCTGCCTTGGCCTCCCAAAGTCGTGGGATTATAGGGATGAGCCATCACGTCTGGCCGTGTACTTACTACCTTCTAATATACTACTTAATTATCTTACAAAATGTATAGTTTTTCTTTTCTTTTCCTTTTTTAAATAGAGACAGGGTCCCACGCTGGAGTGGAGTGCAGTGGTGAGATCATAGCTCACTACAGCCTGGAACTCCTGGCCTCAAGTGATCCTCCCATCTCAGCCTCCCAAAGCGTTGGTATCACAGGCGAGAGGCAGCACACCTAGCCTATATTGTTTCTTTTCTGTTTCTTCATAATAAGGCCCAGGAGGGCAGCAATTTTTGTCTATTTATTCACTATGGCAATTCCAGTGCCTTGAGTGATGCCTGGCTTATCATGGGAGCTCAGCACATAACAAATGCATACATGAATACGGATTCTCCCTCTCACCCCAATCCCTTGGGATATGCTCTAGTATCCACTGACTCCTACTCTCCTGGCTGCCTGCAAAGGTAGGCATGCCCACCGATGTCGCTGATCAGCATGACCTTGGTGTTGGCAGGGATGTGCTGCTTGAAGACTGGACGCTGCTCCTCTCCGATTAGTGTCTCGTGGTGCCCAGAAGCATCCAACACCTTGGCAGGTGTCAGGTCAAACAAATGAAACCAGCCTTCAGCACTCACTGCCACCAACAGGTTCTAGGACAAACAGAGGTATAGTAGAGATGGACTGGGGAGGGAGTTTTGGAAACAAGCCTGATCATCAGATCACAGAGGTCAGAGCTGAAGCCTTTAACCTTCAACTGATTTCCACTGTGAGCTAAGAACCAAGGAAGGTCCCCTATAGTTCTTACCTTTCCTTTATTACACACGTCTCCAACCCCAACGCAAGTCAGCTGTAAGAGAGAAAGGGAGGCTCAGGGAGACGCTAAGGGAGACCAGTACTCCCTGATCTCTGTGAAGCAGGAGGAGCGGGCAGGTTTTCTAATCACCATCGCTCACTGAAGACTTTCGCCATATGAACCATGGTGATGGTCTTTATTAACGGCGTTACTGTGCTGTAGGTTTGGTTTACCCAGACAGCAACATGAAGACCTGAGGCGGTTAAGACAACCTGCACTTAAAATAAAATAGAAACTCTGTATTTAATAGAGCTAGGCTATCACATTTCTAGACTTACTCAAATTATTGCCCCCATTTTTGACTATACTTTAAGATTAGACAACCTTAGGCAACTTCCATAAAGTGTCAAGGAGTACTCCACGACACAAAAACACCCCAGCCCACGCACGCGTGTGTGAGGACAGATGGGAGCACTAGCTGGGGGCTGCCCTCCCTGAATCAAATTGGCTGCAAGTCAGTGGCTGGGCCCAGTAGCTAGGGAGTCAGGACACATGGGTGAGCACCTGTGTGGGGCTCACCCTAGGTGGTCCCTGGACAGAAGGGATCCCTTCCCCCCTCCAGGCCCAGGGAAGTGAATACTGACCATTCCCTGGCAGGAACAGGTGAGCCATGGCCGACTGTCATCATTTTTATACACAGACACCTTCCCGCTGGTGTCTCCCACCACCAGTTCATTTAACTTCAAATGGAGAGAGAAGAAAGCGTTAGGATGGGACTCTGCTGAACCTCTTCAAGCTCTTCTCTACTTAGCCTAGCCAAGGGTAATCACAAGACCTCAACTTGTATCTTCATCTACTTTATTAAAAGTCTGGCCAGGTGCAATGACTCACACTTGTAATCCCACTACTTTGGGTGGTGGAGGTGGGTGGATCACTTGAGGCCAAGAGTTAGAGACCAGCCTGGGCAACATGGCAAGATCCCATTTCTACAAAAAAATTTAAAAATTTGCCAGGTGAGGCCAGGTGCAGTGGCTCATGCCTATAATCCCAGCACTTTGGGAGGTGGAGGCGGGTGGATTGGTTGGTTGAGCTCAGGAATTCGAGACCAGCCTAGCCAACATGGTGAAACCTTGTCTCTACAAAAAATACAAAAATTACCCAAGCATAGTGGTGCATGCCTGTGGTCCCAACTACTCGGGACACCGAGGCAGGAGAATTGCTTGAGCCTGGGAGGTAGAGGTTGCAGTGAGTGAGCAAGACTGCACCACTGTACTCTAGCCTGGGTGACAGAGTGAGACCCTGTCTCTCAAAAAAAAAAAAAAAAAAGAAAAAAAGGCCAGGCGCAGTGGCTCATGCCTGTAATCCCAGCATTTTGGAAGGCCAAGGCGGGCGGATCATGAGGTCAGGAGATTGAGACCATCCTAGCTAACACAGTGAAACCCTGTTTCTATTAAAACTACAAAAAATTAGCCGGGCATGGTGGCGGGCGCCTGTGGTCCCAGCTACTCGGGAGGCTGAGGCAGGAGAATGGTGTGAACCCGGGAGGCAGAGCTTGCAGTGAGCCAAGACTGTACCACTGCACTCCAGCCTGGGCGACAGAGCGAGACTCTGTCTCAAAAAAAAAAAAAAAAAGGCTGTGTGCGGTGACTCACGCCGATAATCCCAGCACTTTGGGAGGCCGAGGCGGGTGGATCACATGAGGTCAGGAGTTCGAGACCAGCCTGGCCAACATGGTAAAACCCCGTTTGTACTAAAAATACAAAAATTAGCTGAGCGTGGTGGTACACACCTGTAATCCCAGCTACTCGGGAGGCTGAGGCAGGAGAACTGCCTGAACCCAGGAGGTGGAGGTTGCAGTGAGCCGAGATCGTGCCACTGCACTCCAGCCTGATGACAGAGCGAGACTCTGTCTCAAAAAAAAAAAAAAAAAATTATCCAGGTGTGGTGGTGCACACCTGCAGCTTCAGCTACTCAGGAGGCTGAGGAAGGAGGATCACTTGAGCTCAGGAACCTGAAGCTGCAGTGAGCCATGATCGTGCCATTGCAGTCCAGCCTGGGTGACAGAACAAGACCCTGTCTCAAAAAACAAAACAAAACAATCTTTTGAGGCCAACACAACCATAGTTTCCCAGTTCTTTATTTCCATTTAGGGGTGTGTGTGTTAGGGGGCAGGAGAGGTTACAGGAATTGAGGCTACACACAATCTATGGCCCACCCCAGAAAAGTATGCGACCTGAACAGCTCTAGGTTACACATGCCTGACTTTGGCTCTTTGAATTTGCCCATTACAAATGGGACATGTTTTGAAAACAGCCCAAGATGGTGGAGTTTTGGAGAATCTAACTTCAGACCTCATGTTTAATCAGGGGCCAAATAAAAAGACAATGTGAACTCTTGGGGCCTTCCCTCCTCTAGCAAGGCCTTTTGATCTTGAGGTGTATGTGGGAACCACAAAGGATGGTGGGGCCTGAGGGGGCAGAGCCTGAAGGGGCTGCTCCCCACTCTGGGCCTCCAGTGCCCTCAAGTGATGGCTAAGCTCTAGAGAAGGGAGGTCCCTGTATGGAGCCTCTCCACCATTTGTATCTGGGTAGCTGCCCTTTACAGGGGCTCACGATGTTAACCAAGTGGCTTCAAACCCCACTTCCGCAAACTGCTTTATGATCTCCTCTTGGGGGTACAGCCAACATCCCCTTCCTGTTCCCAGAATACATTGAACTAATACTCTCAAGAAATTTAGTTCTAAAGGCAACAGAGATAAACAGGTGAACAGTAAGGAAAAGTTAGAAACAAATTGGAATTTATTTGAATCTTTGATTTCTGGCTGGGCGCGGTGGCTCACGCCTGTAATCCCAGCTACTTTTGGGAGGCCGAGGCAGGCCAAGGTTCGCTTGAACCTGGGAGGCAGAGGTTGCAGTGAGCCGAGATTGTGTCACTGCACTCCAGCCTGGACAATAAGAGTGAAACTCCGTCTCAAAAAAAAAAAAAATCTTTATTTTTTAATTGTTATAATTGTTATGGGACTTTCTGGTGAGAATATCAGATCACAGAAGCATAAAACTGGTTTTTTTTAAATCAAACCTATTACTTGACGTTTCTTATTTCTTTTCTTTCTGTTTTTTTGTTGTTTGTTTGAGACAGGGTCTCACTCTGTTGCTCAAGCTGGAGTACCGTAGTGTGATCATGGCTCACTGCAGCCTCAACTTCCTAGGCTCAAGTAATCCTCTCGCCTCAGCCTCCTGAGTAGCCGGGACTACAAGCATGCACCACCACACCTGGCTAATTTTTTCTATTTTTTTGTAAAGACGGAGTTTCCCTGTGTTGCCCAGGCTGGTCTCGAACTCCTAGGCTCAAATGATCCTTCCATCTCAGCTTCCCAAAGTGCTGAGATTACAGGCGTGAGCCATCACACCCGGCCAGTGCCTACATTGTTCTAAGTGTTGAGAATATAGCAGTGGAAAAAACAGATTAAAACATTCCTACCCCTATGGAGCTTATAGTAATGGAGCTTACAACTCAGGTGAAAAAAAATGGTAGTATATCTAACATTGCAGAAGTGAGTGTGTAATAGTGTAATTCTTTCAGATAAGTACAATTTCAAAAAAGCTGGTGCTATAAACCTATAAAAAAAGGGAATGCTTTTAAACAAAGAAGGCAATCAGATAAAATGGAAAATAATGTATATCTGAAGGTGCTTTGTCAATTTACTGTTTAAAAGTATGGCCTGGTGAGGTTGCTTACACCTGTAATTCCAGCACTTTGGGACACTGAGGCCAGTGTACTGCTTGAAGCCAGAGGTTTGAGAACAGCCTGGTTAACACAGTGAGACCTCATCTCTACAAAACTTTAAAAAAATTAGCCAGACATGGTGGCAGGCACCTGTAGTCCCAGCTACGCAGGAGGTTGGGGCAGTAGAATCATTTGAGCCCAGGAGTTCAAGGCTGCAGTGAGCTACGATTGCACCACTGCACTCCAGCCTGGGCAACAGAGTGAGACCCTGTCTCTATAAAAAACAAAAAAATTTTAAAAATTCCTCCTCTAATTTTCTCATAAAATTGGACTGCTTGGCAGTTCATGAAGAAACACGAAAGCCCAGAAAACATAACACAAATTTATGAGAATAACTCTTTCCTCCCCAGAGAGGGTAGAGCCAAAAAAGGCCTCATAAGATACCTTCTGCATCACAGCACTAGGGGGCGGTGGGAAATAAGTACAGGACAGTTAAGGAACTGTGAAGCAGGGAGGCCGAGTAGGAAGATAGGGCAGAGGGTAGAAGGGGGCAATACAGTGCTTTGCATTAGAACTATGAAATAGATGATAAATGAAAAGATAAAGTCTGCAAAAAAAAGAGCATCAGACACTATTCCCTTTAATGCTCCACCGGAGAATCCTCTCCATACTTTAGTCAATGCATCTCATTACATTTTATTATCCGGTGACTATTACACAGCTTGATTATGAGCTATCTGAGGACTGGAACTCTCTCGTTCATTTTTGAATTCCTAGAATGTAGCAGAGTCCTTGGTGCATAATGAGCAGTTCAGTAAAGATTTGCAGAAAAACAGAATAAAATACTAACACCACCACCACCACCACTAACACTTAAGTGAGCACTAAACTGTGTGCCAGGCATTGTTTTACCTGCTTGACCTGTGGTAATTTATTTAAAAAACGAGAAGGGCTGGGCACGATGGCTCAGGCCTGTAGTCCCAGCACTTTGGGCCAACATGGTGAAACCCCACCTCTACTAAAAACACAAAAATTAGTCGGGCGTGGTGGCGGGCGCCTGTAATCCCAGCCCCTTGGGAGGCTGAGGTAGGAGAATCGCTCGAGCCCGGGAGGCAGAGGTTGCGGTGAGCCGAAATCAAGCCACTGCACTCCAGCCTGGGTGACAGACGGAGCCTGTCTCAAAAAACAAACAAAACCTCCCAAGGAACAAAACCAACCACGAACACTGAAGCTATCAATAAAGTTTTTCTCTCTAGCGCTCCAAACTAGCCACAGCGCGCATGCTCACGCTCACGTGGCACGCTCGGGCGGCCTCTTCCACTTCCCTTGCCCCGTCCCTGCACAGATCCAGGCTGTCTCTTGCGGTGCGCATGCACCTACCGTATCGTTATCAACGTCTCCGAGGCAGATTGCGTGCGGGAAGAGGCTCCCGCTGAACTCCAGCGCCACGCGCTGCACGTAGCTAACTGACCTCATGGCACCTCCAAGAGCAGAGGGAGCGGAGAGGCCCAGTAAATATTCCCTGAACCCCCGTCGCGACAGCCGCCAGAGCGGAAGGCCACCTAAGGCAGCAAGTTACGTCACTGCCTGAACCTCCAATCTCTGCCTCTTCCTCCTTTAACCTTACAGAGGAGGCGGGTCTTCCGGGCTTGGAGGCGGGCTTCCCAACTCTGATGTGAGTGACAGGCCCACGGGCCACTCCTTTTCTCCACAGGGCTGCAGACCGTGGGTAAACCAACCCTGACGGGGGTCGATCTGTTCCCTTGGCAACAGGGCTCCCAAGGGCTTGACCTAATAACCTTGACCTTTTTCCTTTGTTTCCCTGGCAATGAAGATTCCTAGCCATCAGACCATTCCTGAGAATCTTACTAATCTTCGTAATAACTGATAATTGCATGGTTTTGAAAAGTGTTTTTAAAAAACTACCCATTAGGAGTGAAAACAATGTAGTGAGTTGCAATCAGCATATAAAAAATTAAATACAATAGTAATATACCAAGTGACTCCCAGGTAGTAAGGTAAGTACAGTTTTTGTGAAACTCTTGTTTCAATTGTATATACTTATATGTGTATACTGGCTTATAATGTAAAAAAAATTTTTTTTTTCAGTGTATGTGTTTTCTGGTCAATAGTTTAAAAGCCACCTGCTGCAAAGCACATTTCACATATTTCACATAATTAGTTCAGCCACTATGCGAGCTTTTTTTTTTTTTGGCTGAGGAAAACAGGTTCAGCAAGATTAAGTAAAATGGCAGAAGGAAGGATTGTGGGGCGGGGTGCGTGCTCAAACCAGAATTGTTTGATCCCAAACCCTAGGGCCTCTCCATCATTTACTATCATAGTTCGTAGGAGAGTCTTCAGGCTGGAAGTGAAGGTTGCCTGGATTCCGGATCTGCTCTGTCTTGTGGCCCCCCAGCACAAAGCTCTTGCATCTCAACCTCAGTAGCCTTACTCTTGTAGCACAGATGGGACTGTCACTCTCATGGCTGGCTTCTTGGGATACTTTCTTTCCATGTTGAATCCAGTTCTGCCTTTCTTTGGGGTGCCTCGTCAATCAGGGCAATATTTATGAAATCATACAGGTGTTCAATACATTTTTAGATTTAGGTCTAAAAACCCAGGCTGACTCGCACTTGGTGTTTCAAAAAAAAAAAAAAAATGATTCTACCTTATCTGGGATTTTGGACCAGGGGCTGTTCCTTTTTATCTTTTTTTTTTTTATTTTTATTTTTATTTTTTTTTGAGACAGAGTCTCGCTCTGTTGCCCAGGCTGTAGTGCAGTGGCGCAATCTCGGCTCACTGCAACCTCTGCCTCCCAGGTTCAAGCAGTTCTCCTGCCTCAGCCTCCCGAGTAGCTGAGACTACAGGCGAGCGCCACCACGCCCAGCTAATTTTTAATTTAATTTAATTTAATTTTTTTTTTTTTTGAGACGGAGTCTCGCTCTGTCACCCAGGCTGGAGTGCAGTGGTGCGATCTCGGCTCGCTGCAAGCTCCGCCTCCCGGGCTCAAGCCATTCTCCTGCCTCAGCCTCCGGAGTAGCTGGGACTACAAGCGCCCGCTACCACTCAAGGAGAATTTTTTGTATTTTTAGTAGAGACGGCGTTTCACCGTGTTAGCCAGGATGGTCTCGATCTCCTGACCTCGTGATCCACCCGCCTCGGCCTTCCAAAGTGCTGGGATTACAGGCATGAGCCACCGGCGCCCGGCCGCCCAGCTAATTTTTGTACTTTTAGTAGAGACGGGGTTTCACCATGTTGGCCAGAATGGTCTTGATCTCTTGACCTCTTGATCTGCCCGCCTCGGCCTCCCAAAGTGCTGGAATTACAGGCGTGAGCCACTGCGCCCGGCCCCTTTTTTCTTTTTCTTTCTTTTTTTTCTTTGAGAGTCTTGCTCTGGAGTGCAGTGGTGCGATCTGGGCTCATTGCAACCTCCGCCTCCCAGGCTCGAGATCTTGTGTCTCAGCCTCCCAGGTAGGTGGGATTACAAGCGTGAGCCACCATGCCCGGCTTGTCCCTACTTTCTATGTCTGTACATAGTGGGAGGAGGCTGGAGGGCAAGACCTTTTCTTGGGGGAAGGGGGTGGCAGATTTTTTCCTAGATGTCCCAGTGGATCTGACAGCCAGGTAAGAAAGAACAGCAGGTCAGAACAGTAAACTGGAGGAAGTCTGGACAAATACTGGAGACTGCAGATATATTCTGAAGCTGAACTGTGTTACAAGTTCATATTTCTGGTTGTGTACTGTGGGATGGCCAGGTCCATTAAAAGGCACTGGGTCCCACAGGTATTCCTGGTGCTTTGAATACATTTTCTCATTTACAGAGCAGTTGCATGCTCCCTCACCCCGTGTTCTACCCCATCTCTATTCTCTCATCCTAGTTCAAATCCTAAGCTTCATATTAGGCCTTTAAGGGGTGGGAAAACCAAAACCAGTATCAAAATGTTCACCTCTAGGTTGGCTGTGGAGGCTCATGCCTGTAATTCCAGCACTTTTGGAGACTGAGGCAGGCAGATCACTTGAGCTCAGGAGTTCAAGACCAGCCTGGACAACATGGCAAAACCATGACTCCACCAAAAATGCAAAAATTAGCTGGGCATAGTGGTGCATGCCTGTGGTCCCAGCTACTCAGGAGGCTGAGGCGGGAAGATCTCCTGAGCCCAAGAGGCAGAGGTTGCAGTGAGCCAAGGTGGTGTCACTGCACTCCAGGCTGGGTGAAAGTGAGACTCTGTCTCCAAAAAAAAAAAAAAAAAAAAAACTTTACCTCTGAAATGGTTTTTTCTTTCTTTCTTTCTTTTTTTCTGAGGCAGTCTCCCTCTGTCACCCAGGCTGGAGTGCAATGACACGATCTCGGCTCACTGCAACCTCCGCCTCCCGGGTTCAAGCGATTCTCCTGCCTTAGCCTCCTGAGTAGCTGGGACTACAGGAGACTGCCACCACGCCCAGCCAATTGTTTTTGTATTTTTAGTAGAGACGGGGTTTCACCATATTGGCCAGGCTGGTCTTGAACTCCTGACCTTGTGATCTGCCTGCCTCGGCCTCCCAAAGTGCTGAGATTATAGGCATGAGCCACCACGCCCGGCCTCTGAAGTGGTTTTAAAAAAATATATTACTAAATAACTCAGAACAAGAGATGAGATCACCCAGCTTCTTTCATCAGGTGCCTTGGCCTGACCCAGTTATCTAAGATCAGACCCCAACCCAGGATTCCCCAGTGCCTTAGTTTTATCTTCCTCATCATTTGGGTTTCTTGGTCTGGATCTTTCTGTGACACGGGGTGTCTGTTTTTAATTGTAGAATATGTTTGCCATGAAGGTCATGTAATTATGATCACAACTTCTTTTTTACTTTTTTTTTTTTTTGAGATGGAGTCTCGCTCTGTCGCCTAGGCTGAGTGCAGTGGCACGATCTCAGCTCACTGCAAGCTCTGCCCTCCGGGTTCACGCCATTGTCCTGCCTCAGCCTCCCGAGAAGCTGAGACTACAGGCACCCGCCACCACACCCGGCTAATTTTTTGTATTTTTAGTAGAGAATGGGTTTCACTGTGTTAGCCAGGATGGTCTCAATCTCCTGACCTCATGATCCACCCACCTCAGCCTCCCAAAGTGCTGGGATTACAGGCGTGAGCCACTGTGTCTGGCCTTCTTTTTCACTTTTTTGAGTTTCACTCTTCTTGCCCAGGCTGGAGTGCAATGGTGCGATCTTGGCTCACCGCAACCTCCGCCTCCCGGGTTCAAGCGATTCTCCTGCCTCAGCCTCCCGAGTAGCTGGGATTACAGGTGTCCACGACCATGCCCAGATAATTTTTTTTGTAGTAGAGACAGGGTTTCACCATGTTGGCCAGGCTGGTCTTGAACTCTTGACCTCAGGTGATCAAAGTGCTCGGCCTCCCAAAGTGCTGGGATTACAGGCCACCATGCCTAGACGTATGATCACAACTTCTATACCACACTTTTTGGCTTTTGTCAAGAGAGCCAAATAAAGTTAGGCAGGAAAGATAGGTCTCCAAGAAATAGGGCACAAGTGAAGTCCTTCCATGCCTGTGCCTCTCCCCACCTTGCATCAGTTACTTTAAGTCCAGTGAGTGTTTTGTATGACTAGGCATTGTCAAGCCATATGGACAGATCCCTGGCTCCACAAAGAGCACTCCTGGTCTTGGCCCCTTTCTAGTTGGAAGGTTGCTAGGTCTCTTTGGGCACCATCTAAACTCCATCTTGTCTAAGCCAAGCACTCTTTCTGCTGGTTTTTGTCTTGCTCCCCAAAACTGTCTAATTAGGGTATCTTCCTGGTTAGGTGACATGGATACAGTTATATGAGTGGCATATTCTTTACAAACAATAGAAATCTCCATAGGAGGGGATGGGGGGATTAAGTGGGGAGCGTTTCTTTCTTTTTTTTTTTTTTTAAGATGGAGTCTTACTCTGTCGCTCAGGCTGAAGTGCAGTGGCGCGCTCTTGACTCACTGCAAGCTCCACCTCCCAGGTTCACACCATTCTCCTGCCTCAGCCTCCCCAGTAACTGGGACTACAGGCTCCCGCCACCACACCCAGCTAATTTTTTTTTTGTGTGTGTATTTTTAGTAGAGACGGGGTTTCACCGTGTTAGCCAGGATGGTCTTGATCTCCTGACCTCGTGATCCGCCTGCCTTGGCTTCCCAAAGTGATGGGATTACAGGCGTGAGCCACTGCGCCCAGCCAGTGGGAAGCATTTCTAGGAAGATTCTTTGTGTACTTCATCCTCCAACAGTAGACAGAATGGTTTGTGTTTGCCCAGGGTGCCCAGGTAAGAAACAGGGTCTCCAAGTATCTTTCAAAACATGAGGCCCAGAGCCTCACCACCTTGGGGGCAGGGTCCATGGCTTCTCAATGGGCTTGGTTTGGCTTATATCACCATTTCCCCCTCCCCTCTCTCATTCATGGTACACCTTAGCATATTAAACTGTTGGAAAAGTTAGGTTTTTTGTCCTAGAAACTGGCAGAGTAGTGTGGGGCAGCTCTGCACCGGGTGAAATGCTGTTATTCAGAGCTCTACTAAGTCTCACTGCCTTCCTCAAGTTTGCCCCTGTTAAAATGCACCACCAACTCTGGGACGCTTTAATCCTAGAACTAACTCATCAGGATTGTCTGCTCAAGACTACTGATGGATGAGAAGTTCACTGTCACTGTGTCACTTAAACATTAGGAGACAGGGTTAAAACACAAAGAATGAGGAAGACGTTTTGGAACTAGATTAACACTGTAAAGACTAAATGGCCACCAAACTGTTGAATTTAAAATGGTTAACTTTGTTTCACCTAAAAATGTGAATTTCACCTAAAAAAATACAAATCAGTTTATGTCTGATGCACTTCTAAAACAGGAGACTGAAGATCCAATGGAATATAGAATATACATGCTGATCCTCTCTTCTAGCCACAGGACCCTTGACATTCACAAAGGCATTGCTTTTTCTTGATCATCCCTGAGACCATTCACTCTTACTTTGCCTCTCAAATTGGTATAGCATGGCAGGGCACAATGGCTCACGCCTGTAATCCCAGCACTTTAGGAGGCTTAGGCAGGCAGATCTCCTGAGGTCAGGAGTTCGAGACCAGCCTGGCCAACATGGTGAAACCCCATCTCTATTAAAAGTACAAAAATTAGCTGGGCATGGTAGTAGGCACTTGTAATCCCAGCTACTCAGGAGGCTGAGGCAGGATTATTGCTTGAACCTGGGAGGCACATGTTGCGGTGAGCTGAGATTGCGCCATTGCACTCCAGCCTGGGCAACAAGAGCTACACTCTGTCTGGAAAAAAAAAAAAAAAGCTGGGCATGGTGCCATGTGCCTGTAGTCCCTCCCAGCTACTCCGGAGGCTGAGTTGGGAGGATCTCTTGAGCCCAGGAGGTCGAGGCTGCAGTGAGCTGTAACTGCATCACTGCACTGAGCCTGGGCAAAATAGTGAGACCCTGTCTTAAACAAACAAACAAACAAAAAAACAAAAAAAAGAAAAAAAAAATAGGCTGGGCGCAGTGGCTCACGCCTGTAATTCCAGCACTTTAGGAGGCCAAGGCGGGTGGATCACCTGAGGTCAGGAGTTCAAGACCAGCCTGATCAATATGGCAAAACCCTGTCTCTACTAAAAATACAAAAATTAGCCAGGCGTGGTGGCGTGCGCCTGTGGTCCCAGCCACTTGGAAGGCTGAGAGAGAATTGCTTGAACCTAGGACGTGGAGGTTCCAGTGAGCCAAGATTGCGCCACTGCACTCCAGCCTGGGGAACACAGCAAGACTCCATCTCCAAAAAAAAAAAAAGAAAATAAATTAAATTAAAAAAATTGGTAGTGTTATTTAGCACAGGATAAATTAATGTTTTTATTATTTCTAGGTTTTCTAACTGGGGATAGTTAATGCATCCACATCATCTGAGGTTGGCAAACAGCTGGGGAACTGTAGCCATAAGGCAGCAATAATGAATTCCAGAAAGAGAACAAATTTTCCTTACTTACAATGTCCAGACTCTTACATTGGTTGTATTCAGCACTGCCCTTAATGCATTGTCGTTTCAACTTGTTTTAAGGTTCTGAGGTGTTTTGCATTTGGAAAGGGAAAATTAGTCACTGAGACGTAACAGGAATAAGGTTTGAGAAGTTCTGCTTTCTAACTTTTTCCAGTAATGACATTTTCTAAAAAGATACTACACTTTACTAGTCCTGCATAAAGTGCCTTTCACATATTTTTTCTCCAATGGAAATGGAATACAGTCCTCCATTCACCCTCAGGGTGGCGAAGCTGGCATAGAGTGAGGGCAAGTGTTAAGTGCACTTTGCCAAGCCTTGCAGGGTTTTGTGGGCCATGATAAGGATTCTTTAGCCTAAATGGGATGGGTAATCATTGAAAGTGATTTAAGTACTCGGAGGGACACGATTGGGATGCAGTACAGAGTGAACTGCAGGAGGGGCAGGAGGGAATCCCAGATAGGAGCCTGGGATTTGCAGGAGAGCAGGCTGGAGTGCATGGTGATGGGAGGGAGCGGTACTAGTATGGAGGGAGTAGAAATACTTGGGAGATAAAATTCATGGAACTCGATGTTAGAACCAGCACTAGGGCAAGATAAACCCTATTTTAAATTTTTCTAGAGACCACTTGCAAAGCTTGTTAAAAGCTCACAGTACTGCTTGCTACTAACTTTTCTTTCTTCAGGCACATTTCTCTGCATATAGAAAGATTTAAGTGTCGGTAGGCAGGGACAACTGACTGGGAAATGAACTTGTAGCACTGACCCAGGGCAGACTTGAGTATGTGGCAGGATTATTTTTAGGCTGAAAGACTTGTAGGCATTTTAACAAAACATCCTCACTAGACAGTTTTAATGTTACATAAACTAAGACTTATCTCTAGATGTTCCACGGTTACATGCAGTTTTACATTCTTGGAATCCTACAGGATGCAGAGCTGGAAGAAACCTCAGGAATGCTTTCGATTTTGCAGATGAGGACAGAAGCCCAGGACTTGCCAAAGGAACCTCATGGGAGAGTCTGGATTAGTTCAGAGACCTCACCTTTCCATTTAACTTCTGAGTCTTGGTTTTCTTATCTGTAAATAGGGTTATTAAAGTTATACCTTCTTTGTAGGATGGTTGCAAGGATTCAGTTTCACTCATGTGATGCTGTCAGTACAGTGCTAGGCTTACTCCATAAATGCTTGAGTTAGTGATTATTGTTGGCTGCAGGCGTAAGAATCTACTACTTTTGAAATACCAAGAGGACCCAGACACAAACCACAAACACAGGGCTGTGATGTGAGGTAAGCCCAGTAAGAAAGCAGTTACACAGGGACTTTTTTAAAAAAGAGATGGTCTCACTCTCTTGCCCAGGCTGGCGTGCAGTGGCACAGTCACAGTTCTCTGCATCCTTGGTGTCTTGGGCTCAAGGGATACTCACACTGGGAGACTTGTACACCCCAATTTTAATCCTGGCTCCAGCATCAGCTGTGTTGTATGACTTGGTGAAAATTTTCACACAGAAATACATCTTCCACCATTATACATTTCTTCTGGAAGGAACTATACAGGCATGTGGCTAAGCAGACAACCACATCGCTGTTGGGAAAGGACTGGAGAGCTCACAGTAGGAGAGAGGGATGAGGGCAGACACGGGCTCTGGCCTGGAGCCAGGATTATCTGGAGGCAGCTCAGCATGACTGGCTTGTGCTGCCTGGCTTCTCCCAGGGCCCCATCATGCCATAGGAGTTAAGGGTCAAAGCATAGTTAGAAAAAAAGCACAAGCCTTTTCCTGTTAAGGCTGAGAAGGAAGCTGGACGTGAACACTCTGCTTTACTCTTAACCTTAATCATGTAAGTTATCTGACAGGAGGAGGTCAGTGACACCAGGAGTTTTACCTTGTTAACAAACCAAAATGCAGATACCTCTGCCAGATCAGAGGTAGGCAGAAGACCAATTCCAACTTCAAAATGAACATGCATGGTGTCCCAGTCTTCTAGATCTTTATACTTTCGTCTTCCTAAGTGTCAGGGAAGAAAACCAGAGGCACTAAAACTGCCAGGTTGCTGGAGGGAGGGAGTGCTGGGAACCTTGGGCGAAGCCATAGACACAAATCCCAGCGGCAGCCTGTGCAGTGCTCAGGAAGCCATGCATGGTGGGGCTGCTTCCTGCCCAACTATGGCATCTACATGAGATGCTCACTTATTTAAGCTCAACTGGAACTAAGTGGGTGACCCCTTGATTGTGCTACTACCCATTATGTACCCACCCATACCCACCACTCCAAGGCTGAACAGAAAGGGTTGTCTGACACCCAGGTTTTATTGTTTCCACTTTATTGCTCAAGCATGGAACTTGAGGCAAGCCTGGACCTTCAGCAACGTGCAGAGAAGAGGCTGAGGGGATTTTGGGACACAACCTGGCCGAGAGGGGAAACTGACAGGGGAAATACCAGAACAGGGAACAGGGGGTGGTCACCATGACACCAGAAGACATCATCAGCCACACCGTCGGGGGTGAGGAAGGGAACAGAGAGAAGAAATGGCATAGCAGTGGTTTTTCCCATGTCCCTAGCACCCACATGGAGGCCACATTTGGAAATGGACTGGGAGAGGGAAAGGATGAGGAAAACGGCTGCCCAGGAGTCTCCCTCTCCACCCTGGGTTCTTATCAGACCTCATCCCTACCACTTGCCTCTTCTACCCTTAGAAAATGGACCTAACAGAGGGAGCAAAATAAATTAACATTCTGATGAATATATATGGATGGACATATGTTCATGTGCAATGGAGGAAGGGAAGAGGGGCTGACACCAGCTAAAATGATTCCCCACCTCAATCCCCCAGCCTACACCTTTCCCCCTTCCCCTAAAGCCACCATCCAACCAGATAGAAAAATAAAGGTCTAATTCACTCAAAATTCTTCAGTTTTTACAAAACTAACAGGGTGGAGTGGGGAGACTGGGGGGCAGGCAGCCGCAGGAGTAGGGCTGGTGGAGAGGGGCTATGCTTCTGTCTCCACCTGAGACTGGCTCCCTGCCGTGTTGCTCTTCTGCTCCTCCTTCATCTCTGTGTCAGTGGGATGGTCTCCTGAGGAAGCCTCTGCCTTGGCCTGCAAGGAAGATGAACAGCAAACGGGCTGACTTCCCAAGTGAAAAAACACACACTTAATTTCCAGCAGAATTACACAGATACACCCATTCTCCTACATCTGTCCTAAAGCTATACCTGTATAGGCCAAGCCTGGTGGCTTATGCCTGTAATCCCAGCACTTTGGGAGGCTGAGGTGGTCAGATTGCTTGAGCCCAGAAGTTTGAGATCAGCCTGGGCAACATGGTGAAACCTCATCTCAACAAAAATTACAAAAATTACCTGGGCGTGGTGGCATGCACCTGTAGTCCCAGCTACTCGGGAGGCTGAGACAAGAGGATCACTTGAGCCCTGGAGGCAGAGGTTACAGTGAACTGAGACTGTGCCACTGCACTCCAGCCTGGGCGGCAGGGCAAGAGACACTGTCTCAAACAAAACAAAACAGAACACTTGTATATGTACAAATTATGAACTCATGAGGTTATTCACTGCAATGCTGTTCTAAGCAGCACTGTCCCGTATGGTAGCCACTACTGTAAGTGGCTAGTTCAAACTCGTGTTTTTAGTGCAAAATATACATTGGATTTTGAAGATGGTTTGAAAAATACACAAATGCAACTAAAATTTAATTCCATTTGTTTTTCACCTTTTTAACATGGTTACCAGAAAATTTTGAATTACATGTGGTTGATACTGTATTTCTACTGGACAGTGCTGGTTTAGAACACTGTTTAAGACTGGCTGGGTGTGGTGGCTCACACCTGTAATCCCACCACTTTGGGAGGCAGGGGTGGGCAGATCACTAAAGTCAGGAGTTCGAGAGCCTGGTCAACATGATGAAACTTCGTCTGTACTAAAAATACAAAAATTAGCCGGGTGTGGTGGCGGGCGCCTGTAATCCCAGCTACTCGGGAGGCCGAGGCAGGAGAATCGCTTGAACCCAGGAGGTGGAGTTTGCAGTGAGCCAAGATCATGCCATTGCACTCCAGCCTGGGCAACAAGAACGAAACTCTGTCTCAGAAAAAGAAAAAAAATAAAACCACTGGAAGACTAAAAAGGGACTGATTGACTAAGACAAGCCATATCCATACAATGGAATACAATGTAAGCCTAAGAAAGAATGTAAAAGTTCTTTAAATACGGATGTAAAATAAGCCTCCAGCTACTATTACGTGAAAAAAGCATAGTATGCGCCAAATCATAGGTGGAGCACGTTGCCTGTGTTAGGGGAAAGGGAGGAAGCAACAGGAACGTCTGCCTGTGCCTTGACGCAATACACTGGACCATCCAAGACCCTGAAGGGGCAGCTGCTTCTGGTGGGGGAGGCAGACTTGACTGTATACTTTGGTACAGTTTGAATTTAACTAAGTGTATTATTTATTTAATCACACACAAAAAGCATCTCGCTTTTCTTTTTTTGAGATGGGGTTTCATTTTGTCACTCAGGCTGGGGTGCAGTGGTGCCATCCTAAGTCACTGAGGTCTCTACCTACTGGGTTCAAGTGATCCTCCCACTTTGGCTCTGCAAAGTGCTGGGATTGCAGGTGTGAGCCACGGCGCCTGGCCCACAAGAAAACATAAATCGGGAATTACACTCAGGGCAACCAACCCAACTTCTGGGGCTTGTGGGTAGGTTTCCCGCACTGATCACAGAACACTGGCCCCAACAGCAGGAACACGTGCTCCTTAATGCTCCAGGGAAAAGGCAACTTCTGGTTTCCGGGATTGGCACAGACAACCAAAGGCACAAAGAGCCCACAGTAGCCAGGTTAAGTGGAGGGATGCTATTCCAACTGTTCCCCACCCCAATCCTCACCTTGTTCTCCTCCTCAGCCAGCCTCTCAAACATATTGGCATAGAGCTTCTTCTCCCGGGCAAGCTGCCTTCGGATCCGCTGCTGGCACACAGCCAGCTGGGTCTTGGCGGCTTTGTTGTTGGGGTAGAGCTGCAGGACCTTCTGGAAATCAGCCCGTGCCAGTTCAAAGTCATTCACGGCCAGGTGGGCCTCTCCCCGGCGGAAGAGGCCCTTCTCGTTGTTGCTGTCCAGTTCTAGGGCCTAAAGAATGCAGAGAGGAAGCCACATTGTGGGAGCTCAGGGCTTGTAGCTCATCTGGCCTAGACTGGGTTCCAAAGGTACCCCTCAGGAGGATGAGGAGGAATGCAAGTGGCTGGCTGCACCCCAGGAAGAACAAGGCCTGAGGCATTAAATGGAACAATCCAGGGACCTCATTTAATCCAACAGGCAGAGAGGGAAGACAGCAGGTCTTTGGATGAAATAAAGACTTCAGACATTAACATTCACTTTAGAATAAAGCAAGTAGGTAAGCGGAGAGGCTAAGAACCAAGGTGGAAGAAAACTCTTTATGTGATTCTTCCCATTCCGTGTCCTCCTCCTTCTTGCCAACTGCTTCCCACCAAAGCTAAGGTTCTTGCTATGAATACTTGCATCCGTGCCTTTGGTCTGTAACCTCAGAGCTCCCACTGATCCACCCTGCTATCCCTGCCCTAGTCACCAAGGGGAAGTTTCAGACATGCTGGCAGCTCACCCAACTCTGCCTGTGAATGCTGCTTCCATGACCTCTGAGGGGGCCTCACCTTGTTACAGCTTTCAATGGCAGCAGAGAAGGCCTGTAGTTTCAGATGACACATGGCCAGGTTGAGGTGAGAGGCCAGTCGAAGGGCCTGTGCTTTCTGTGCTTCCTCATTGGAAAAACTAGACTCATATTCCAGCCAAGACACGATCTTCTTATACTGTAGTAAAGCTTGCTTGTATTTACCTTCCTGGAATGGGAGAGAGGCTCAGGCACCTGGCACAGTTTCAGTGGTACTAGGCTCTTATACCCTGCAGACATCAGTGACACATGGCCACAAGAGGTTCCTGCTCCCACCCTTCCCACTGGCAAGGCCAGCAAGCTCACATATATGAAGTGAAGATGGCAGGTGCCAACCTGTCCACTTCTTGGCAGAAAATGATCTCAGTCACCAAGGGAAGGGGAGGCTCAGAGCAACTCTTCCTGGGAGTGTCCTTAGGACAATGACTGTTGGCTCACCTTGAAGTACACAGTGCCCCGCTCTTTCACTATGGTGCTCTGTTCCAGCTTCTCTTCTGAATTCATCTCCCAAGACTCCTTGGCCTGCCACACCCCAGGAGAGAAACAAAGTTGTCAGCTACCCCAGAGTCACGTACAGGGTGGAACTTGACTTTAGATGGGAAGACCCTGAGCAAACTTACCTTTTCAAAACTCTTGAGGTGTAATTCATATTTCAGCTCAGCATTTGGTGGGATTTGGAACTTTTCCTTCCCAACACTGCCAAAAGCATAGCTGGAGGGGTGAAAAACACTATGTATCATCTTGGCAACACTTAACCTGCTCCAGGCTGAAAAGGCTTCCTGTCCATTTCCTGGAAAGTACCTTCCCATCCCTTGAGACTTGGTTCAAATGTTTGGCAAATCTTCCCTGGCCTCTTCACACTGTCAGATGGTCCCTCAGCATCCTTCATACCCTTCTAATAACTTACAGCCAGGCAGCAGTGTGATTACTAATTTAAATAGCACCTCACTAAACAATGAGCTAGAATTAGAAGGCAGAAACAATGTTCTATTAGTCTCTGAAGCCCTATAGGAATTTTCAGCAGTGCCTGGCATGTAGTAGCTGTTTCAGTAATGACTGAAATGAATTAATGGGAGAGGAAAATCTTGATGGCAGAGGAGAGAATCTGTAGCAACTATGACTGAAAAGACTGGGCTTAGATCCAAGGAGATGTAGACAATTGGGCCATACTTCTAAGTACACTGAGGATATCATAATGGTGTATGTTTGGTGTGGCCAGAGTTAAAAAGGATACAAACAGCTGGTTCTACAATTCATTTTATATCTTTGATCTTGGTTTGCCTGCCTGCCTACCCTACGAAGTGCCCACCCCTCACCTGGGCTTGAGGTACACGATGGAATGTTCTCCTTTCTCCATGCGCTGAATGGCCCTCTCCAGACCATAAGGCAGATCCAGGTTCTCCCCCTCGCCAATCTCAAAGCGGAGCTCCCGCTGGTCAAAGAGCTTGTCCTTGTAGTACCCTTCCAGTGCAACTGGCATGAAAGAGAGGCAGTGTACCAGAGTTGTAAGAGGGCAGGTGACTGAGGAAGGATGCCATCAGCCTCCCTGCATCACCCCCATCATCCCAAGATTCTCCTGTGTTCTCAAATCTGGAGTGATATGAAGAGAATATGGTCCAACCCCTCATTTTATGGACAAGAAGATAGGCTCGGAGAACGGAAGTGTCTTGCCCAAAGCCACACAAGGCCTAAATATCAGAATGAGAATTGAAAGCCCAGACTGTACTGTCTCACCCTCCACGATAGCACCCTCATTGGGCTTAGCATAGCCTTCACCGCGAGTCTGTATTCTGCGAATGATTCCGCCATCTTCCTCTTCCGTCAGATCTTCTCCCTTAAACTCAAACAACTCCACCTGTGGGACAAGATGTGACACAATTCCTTCCCATGCTAACTCATGGGCAGTGAAACACAATCTTTCTCATCCGAGAGAGTCCCTACTAACTGCCAGGCCGGATCTGACCACAAGGGCAGTCACAAGGAGTTGGGTAGAGTGGCACTTTTTTTCAGTTCTTGGGAGCTGCCCTAATCTCAACTTTGGTAGAGGTGGGCAGACTACATAGATTTCAGTTAAGCTGAGGAGAGCAATCTATTTGCTACCTGCTCTACTAACACGGACATATCAGGACGCGTCCCAGATAATCCTAATTCACACTACCTGATAAGCCCAACCTGGTAGGTATTAGAAATGATTACCCAACATCTCTCAGCAGTTTCTCAGTATTCAAGGGCCCACGGATTGGCTCAACCATTTTCAGATTGAACAATGTCAAGTTCTATCTCCTCAGTGAAGCCTTTTCTCAGCCCTTGACCCACAGGGGAGCTACTGCTCCCTCTTCTGGTCTCTAGAGCACCAATATTCTGTACTGCCATTTATAACGGGACATAGTTTCTGACATCCCGACTCCTTTCAGTATTCTTCTGGGTACCGCTCTGGAGATAAAGATGCCTTAACCCTGACCATGCTTTGAGTCTGGAGAGGGGCTTGTGCCTGCCTCTTCCCACCCGAAGCTTCTATTACTTCCATTACTAGCAGCAGCAGAGCCCTCTGCATTTCTCCTCCCATAAGGCCAGACCCTCAGCCTTGGCTACATTGTCTCCAAGAAGCAGGAAGGGCTGGAGGGCAGCCAGGCATTGGGCTGAGATAAGGCCTGGCTCTTAGCCTGGATCTCAGTGACCAAACACTCACCTCAAATACAAGCGTGGCATTGGGGGGAATCTTTGGAGGACTGCCTGCTGAACCGTAGGCATATTCTGGTTTGCAGGTGATGTGGCACACCTCCCCCACCTTCATGGTGGCTATGGCAATGTCCCAAGCCTTGATGACCTCCCCTGCAGGTACAGAAGCAAACAGGACCGCCTTAGCAGGGTTCTGATTCTGGGCTCAAACAGTGCTCCTGAAGAGTTACTGCACCACACTCATGGGGAAGCTGGACATCCTTTAGAAATGGGACCAGAAGGTGAGGTACCTGGTTGTATTAAGTGCTACCAGGTCTAAGAACTGTAAAAGATCACGTGACCCTGAACAAAAGAGTTTAAGATGCAAGACAGTCCACCTTTGAAGGGGGAGTAAGGTGTTGGGAGGTGATGAGGAGAAGGGGAGACAGAGATCAATATAGTTACAGAACGGTAGAAAAAAAAAAAAAAGAGTGACCGAAAGAGTTAACAGACTGTGATAAACCATTCCTCCCTGAGCTTGGTCCTGAGAAAATGGTTTCTGCTTGTGACAGCTTGTGTCCACCTCGAACCTATCCTACCAGCCCACTGACCACGCCTACCTTTTCCCAGGTCAAAGGAGAATTTGTCCTTGCGATCCAGACTGGAGTCAAACTTTGTGCCATCTAATAGCCAGCCAGTGTAGTGGACAAAGACTCGGTCCCCAATCATGGGCATCTCTGTACCTGTGCCCTCTCTCTTGATGACCTGGGAGGAAGGGGGAGAAAGTGAGTACCCCAGGGTTTGGGGCAGAAAGGGGCACCAGCACTGCCTGCAAGCCTCCAGAGGGAACATAAAGGGACTTCTCTGTGTTCATCCTCCTCTGCCTACTTGTCCCTCCAGATTCAGTTACTAGCAGCTTGGCTTATGAGTCAACTAACCTTCTTGTCTTTCTTGAGGTGCAGCAAGACTTGGTTTGAAAAAGGAGACAAAAGGCTGAGAGATCTGAGTTCAAGTTTCCGCTGTATGGTAAGTTTTTAAAATTCTCCACACTTTATTTGTAAAGCAGTGATGATAATCCCTATCTCCTACAGTTGTTGGAAGATTAGACCAGTAAAAGGTTGAATAATAGATTATTATTATAATCGGCAAAGGGGGAAGTATTTATGCCACACTTCCTCCTTCTTCCTTCATGCCAGTGGTCGTCAGACTAAGGTCTGGTTTGGAGACAGGAGAGCGAGAGGAGTATGAGTGAAGAGAATAGAAACAGTTCAAAACAGGTAAGGAAGAAACCAGGTTATAGGTGAACCCGGAGGCTCTCCATGGGACCTTAAACTCTGACTTGGGAGCTGAGTATTCCTCTGGTAGTTAGTCCAGGGCTGGAGTATTTCCCAGAAACGTAAAGGCTTCTTTAGCGCCACCTGGTAGGTGTGTGGTTACCCTCCAAGGGAAAGCTTCCACGAAGAATAGACAGGGGCTTTGAGGAGTAGAAAGGTAAAAGGGAAGGAATGATGGATCAAAGGGGAAATGAGCTTTCCTGGAATAACAATCTCGTAGAAAACGGCAGGACGCTGGAGCGAGAAGGGGAAGTCACATGCCACAGGAGAGCCGCTGGAGCAGACGCTTGAGGTCCCCAATAATCTGGTGCAAAGACAGATGCACTTCTGGACCAGGTAAAGGCCCCCTGAGGTGGGTGCCGCACACGCGGAGCTCAGCGGTGGGAAGCCAGGATGAGGACGCAGCAGCGGATGGGGAGAAGGCATAAGACGCAGGCTGGGAATTCACCATCTCTGATTCTCCCTGGAACCTGCTCCGACCCAAGGCAGGTTGTCCTGGCCCAGGTCAAGATGCCCTCCCCGCAGCTCCCCAGGCTATTTGTAGTCGAGCGGTCACTCGGCGGCAGGCTCCACAGCAGAGCGCCTCCTCCCCGCCCCACACCCCGCAGCCCTGGCTCCGGGAGGCGGCGGAGGGGGGAGGGGACTACAGCTCCCGGCATGCCCCGCGCCCGGCCTCCCCGGGGCCGAGGGAGGGGGCGCCGCGCGGCGAGTGGGGACCTCGCTGGGTCCCGGCGTCGGCAGGGGACCCCGGGAGGGCGCCGGAACCCTGTCGCGCCTGCGTCGCACAAAGGCCGAAGGGCCAGGAAAGCACTGTGGGGAGTCGCTCCCCGTCCTGGCCCGTGTTCCACCGCCCGGGTGGGCGAGCCCTGGCACCGCCACCAACGAGGCGGCCCGCGGCTGGCAGCTCCGCTGGGGCCGCGAGGTCGGGGGCGGCGTGGCGTGGGAGGCCCGGCCTGGCCCCGGGCTGCGGCTCGGGTGCCCGCGGCGGTCGCCTCGCCCCGCCCCTCTCCGCCGCCCCGCGCGCGCCGGGGTGGGCACTGCAATCCCGACCCCCTGCCCGGGCCCGGGCGCTGCCGGCTGGGGAGCCTGGGGCCTCGGCCCGCGCACCTAGGCCGCCCCCCTGCCGAGCGCATGGCCGGCCTCGGTGCCTTAAACGACGCAGCCCGGTCCGGGACGGCGATGCCACCGGCCCCCGGCGGGACGGCCGCGAGGCTGCAAAGGCGGCCGCCTCGACCCGTGCCCGGCCGCGGGCTCCGGGCGCGGCGGAAGGGCGGCCCGCGGGGCCCCGGGTTCCGACGCCTCCGCAGGCCCCGCCGCCCCTCACCTTCAGCACGCCTTCGTCCTGTTTGGGGCTGATGTCCACTCCCTCCATGGGCAGCGGCGCCGACTGCGCCCCGCTCTCGGTCGCCTTCATCTCCTCGGCTGTCATCTCCGCGCGGCGCGCCGTTTATCCGGGAGCTGGTGCCGGCGCGAGCGCACTCTGGGCCGCGGGCGGGGGCGCTACCTGCGGGGCGTGCGGGAGGCCGGGCGCGGCGGCACTGACTGCGGACCGCGAGGAGGCTTGAGCACCTCTGCACGCGGCGCGAGAGCTGGGGTAGGTGGGTCAGGAGCGGCTCGGGGAGCGATTGGTCCCGCCCCGCCGCGAGGGAGGGGCTGGGAGGAGCGGGAGCGCAGACAGAGGGGGCGGGGTGCAGAACTTTCTAGAGACGGCGGGACTGAGCCGGTTCGGGCTCAGTGCTGCGGGCGCTTCGGAATTTTTTTTTCTTTTTTTTTTTTTGGTTCTTGCCTCCTTCTGGCTGCCTGCCCCCTCCCCCTTCTCCTGGGACCCTCGGACTCGGGATCTCCCCGGCGGCCTCCCTTGGCCCTTCCTCCCTCCCTCCCATCCCCGCCCGCTTCCCTGTCTAACCGGATTCTTCCAGATTCTTCTCGATCGATCTCCCGACATCACTCCACCAGTCCGCTGCGCCTGCGGCGGGGTGTGGGGAGCGCAGGCTGCGGGATGGCAGTGGCGGCGCCCCCTCCCCGGGACCGGCCGTCACCACGGGCGGCGTGGCCTCTCTGCTATGACCCGCGTAGACCCTTCCCTACTTGGGGGAAAGAGGGCAAGGGCGTGCGCGGGGAGCGGGGAGTGAGTGGACAGCGCTGCCCCGCTGCAGAGAGCCGGGGAAAGCGACCTCGATTTCCCCAGATCCGAGAAGCCCCGGCCAGGCAGCGATGCCTCGCTCAGCGCCTGCAGATGCTGCGAGCAGCGGGGTTGGCAAGGCATGGCCCGCCCAGCTCGGAACTCAGATGGGGCACACACTCAGGGGACCCTTCCCGGCGGTAATAAAACTGCCGTTTCCGCGAATGCTTACAAAGATGGGTTCCCCTCACGAAAAAAGTCACTCGGTTTTCCTAAAGGCCCACAGAAGGAGTATTTTCTTCTCAATGTTTGCTTCCCGAGTGTTTTTCGACAGGCTGTGGAGCGCGCAGGTGCCGGTGTCACCTAAGCTATGGTCGTGGGACCTAGAGAGCCATCTAGAGAGGGGCCTGGTTTTGCTCAGCACCTAACCCCAGTTTAGCATAGTGCCTGGTGAGTGATGTCCCAATAGTTACTGGCTGCATGAATTTTCCTTTTTTAAATTTCTTTTTCCAAGTCTTGGCTGATTTTTTTTTCTTTTTTTTTTTTTTTTGAGACAGGGTCTTGCTCTGTCGCCCAGGCTGCAGTGCGGTGGTGCGATCTTGGCTCTCTGTAGCCGGGACTACAGGCGTCCGCCACCACGCCGACTAATTTTTGTATTTTTAGTAGAGACGGGGTTTCGCCATGTTGCCCAGGCTGGTCTCGAACATCTGGTCTCAAATGATCCGCCCGCCTCGGCCTCCCAAAGTTCTCGGATTACAGGCGTGAGCCACTGCGCCCAGCCTGAATTTTTATTCCAATAATAACTGTATTTTTGGACTTCCCGTTATGTGCCCGGCACTGTGCGATTGGACGCCATTAGTCTCATCAAACTAAATTGAAAGCTTTTTAGAGATGAACTTTCAGCGTCATAATGTGATGATTTATTGTAGTCCCTGCCGACGGAACTTGAAAGGGATGCAGAAGAAAAAGCCCTTCGCTTCAGCAATTTACAGCCCAAATGAGTTGAGCCATAATGAAGACGTCTCTTTAGGTGGCTGGAGACAGCTTCAGAGGATACGGGGCGCTGCCTCTGTAGGGGTTAAATCCACTACTTTTATGCAGAAGTAACAGTGCCAGGGGTCACCCAAACTCCGGGAGACCAGGATGGTGGGTGCTGGCTTCCGGGGTGGCAGTTTACCGCAAACTGTCCTTGGCTTGCACCTACTGATTCTCCACGTGTGGCGGTTTCTTTTCTGCGTCTTTTTCTTCATCGGAAGCGGACAGTGTGGGACCCCCCCTTTAATTCTGTTCGGCACGTACATAGTGGAGCCCTTCAGATTGCCTGCCGTTACATTAACACATAGCCTAATACCCTAGTGGAATGAGCATGTGCTTTGGAGTAAGGGACGTTGGGCGGCCCATGTGTTATGTTAGCTGTTTAAATTGGGGCAGGTTAGTTAATCTTCATGTCTCGATTTCTTGTCTGTAAAATAGAGATAGTAACATTTGTAAAAGAGGGTGATTTAATGGTTAAAAAAGCGGGAATCTGTGTATGGTATCTAGCTCAGTCCTCGCCTCCAACTCCGCAGCTGGTAAATAACGGTCGTTTTAGTGTGATCTGATAGGCGCTGCAGTGGAGATGGGGACAAAGGGCTAAGAAAACAGAGGTCTGTGAGACAGGGAAGGGCAAGAGGGCAAGGTTCCCGGTGAGAAGCTCTGTCCCCACACAGTGAAGGAGGAAACTAGGGGACCACAGGCAGAAACTAGGAGAAACCACAGGAGGAAACTAGGGGTCTTGAATCCTGGAGCAGGAACTTACTGTTTCTCTTAGAATATTTCCTGGTCGTTTATGTGATATTTTTCTGATCATAAAAAGTACATATACTGTAGAAAGTGTGCACGTGTTTTAGTCTCTTTCCTCTATCTCCTCACCCTTTCCCCAGGCCATTTAAGTTAGTATTCTCATTAAAGATGTGTAACCGGTACCACTCGAAATTCTTCCAAAATGTCCCCTTTTTTTGCGGGAGGAAGTCAGCACACTTTTTCTCATCCACCTTATCTGTAGGTGACTCCTGCTGGGATCAGAAACTTTGTTTTCGTCACACTGAGCCTCTTAGAGCTGACCTGGCTCAGATCCCAAACTCTGGGCCCATCATTTACACATGAAGACCCCTTGTTTCTACAGTTCATATCTTGACCTTCCTAGGCTGCCAATGCACTTAACATCCAAATAATTGTATGATATTTGGATCGTTCAAAAGACTGAAATGCATATAGGTGTGTGTGTTCATGTATGCATACATGTTATGCAGTATACCAGTACAATGAAAGCTGGAAATCTGTCACCCAGCCTAAGTTAGAATGTTCCCAGTATAATTTGTCAAAAATGTAATGCCAAAAAAAAAAAAAGCCGTTAAAGACCTTTACATATTTTCTTGTTAACTTTGGTGTCTGTTGATTGAGAAAATAGAAACTCTACTGACCAAAAAATACATATTTCTTTCTTTCTTTTTTTTTTTTTTTTTTTTTTGAGACGGAGTCTCGCTCTGTTGCCCAGGCCGGACTGCAGTGGCGTGATCTCTGCTCACTGCAAGCTCCGCCTCCCGGGTTCATGCCATTCTCCTGCCTCAGCCTCCCAAGCAACTGGGACTACAGTTGCCCACCACCATGCTCGGCTAAATTTTTGTATTTTTAGTAGAGACGGGGTTTCACCGTGTTAGCCAAGATGGTCTCCATCTCCTGACCTCGTGATCCACCTGCCTCGGCCTCCCAAAGTGCTGGGATTACAGGCGTGAGCCACCGTGCCCGGCCTCTACATACTTCTTAAAACATTTATTTATGTTAGTGATTTTAGTCCCATTTTCATACAATTTAAAAATAGTAGGCCCCTATGTGAGGCCTGTGCATAGTGAAGACCTGCGTGAAGGTTAAGCTCATGGGCTCTGGATTGGATTCTCCTGGATTCCAATTCCAGCACAAGCTCTTTACCTGGATTCAAATCTCAGCTTCATCATTGAACTCACCGTGTGAGTCCTGGAGGAAGGTTTCCTTGTCCCTAAAATGGCTGTCATGATAATGCCTTTCTCTCAGGGGTTTTCTCTGAAGATTAAATGGGTTATTTATTTTTTGGAGACAGGGTCACACGCTGTCGCCCAGGTTGGAATGCAGTCGTGCATCACAGCTCACTGCAGACTCCGCCTCCCAGGCTGAAGCAAATCCTTCCACCTCAGCCTCTGGAATAGCTGGGACTACACAGGCACAGACCACCATGCCTGGCTAACTTAAAAAAATTTTTTTTGTAGAGATGGGATCGCCCTGTATTGCCCAGGCTGGTCTTGAACTCCTGAACTCAAGTGATCCTCCTTGGTCTCCCAAAGTGCTGGGATTACAGGTGTGAGCCACTGAGACTGGCAATGGGATATTACATGTGAAGTACCTGAACTTGTATATGGTACACAGGGCGTAGGTGAGTGGTAGTGTGTGTGCCACATTTCAGCCTGTTGATTGCTGGAATATGCAGTTGTGTTTTTTGTTTGTTTGAGACAGGCTCTCGAGCTCTGTCACCCAGGCTGGAGTGCAGTGGCGTGAACATGGCTCACTGCAGCCTCAATCTCCCGAGCTCAAGCAATCCTCCTACCTCAGTCCCCCAAGTAGCTGGGACTACGGGTACATGCCACCACACCCAGTAATTTTATTTTTTGTAGAGACGGGGTCTCACTATGTTGCCCAGGGTGGTTTCGAACTCCTGAGCTCAGGTGATCTGCCCGCCTCAGCCTCCCAAAGTATTGGGGTTACAGACATGAGCCACAGGACCCGGGCCTTGGAATACGCAGTTGAAGATGTGGAAGACTCCAGCCCTGAAGTTGAAAGCCACTGGTCTAGATAAGGCTTTGCTCCATTAGTTCCAGAGGAGTGCTTCTCTTCTAATGTTAAATTACATCTGTGCTTTATGCACCTGGACACTTGACTATGAACTTGACTATCTCATGTAACTCACAGTAGCTTCACCTGCTGATATTCTGTCATTCCAACAAGACTGAAAGCCCCTTAAAGGTAGACTTGGTGTCAACACTTCCATGAATCCCACCATTAGCTGATCTCCTTGAGAGGAGGTAATGGGATATTTGGTGGTTGTCCTGCTGAAACAAAGCTTGTTTCCTTTTATAAAATCTAATTTCTTCCTTCTGATAAATACGCATATTTCTGTTTTGCTCTTGGGGAGATAGGAAGTAGCAAATCTTCATCCTACTGTATCTGTGGATGCACTGAAATTTGGCTTTGGCCTGGATCTTCAGAGGGTCAAATAGCCAAAGGTTGATTTCAGCATTATTTCTGTCTTCCTTGAACTTGTGTGTGATCAAGGATCACGTGGCCGGGTGCAGTGGCTCATGCCTGTAATCTCAGCACCTTGGGAGGCTGAGGCAGGAGGATTGCTAGAGGCCAGGAATTCAAGACCATCCTGGGCAACATAGTGAGACCCTGTCTCTACCAAAAACTAAACACAAAATTTTACATATGAAAAAGCATCATGTATGTGTCTAGGTTATTATCATATCTAATTAGCATAACTAGGACATGGATTGCCACTTGGGAAAAATAGTCTGAACGTCCATCATCCTCAGTTGAAAGTAAATGTATATTTAATATCATAAATGTGCACTGCAGTGATCACAAGAGCAATCCAGCAGCTGTCATTATTGAGAAATTAAGACATCATTGTTCCTTCACTATAACATCCAACTTCTATGATCAGTCTGCTAACTTTTAAAAAAGGTATGAATTGTAATAGGAACAATAATTTATTTGAGAGTTCATATTTATTCTTGTATCCTGGAAGTTCATTCTTTGTTGGTAATAGTTTTTGTTTAGTCAGATATTGACTTAAATATGTGTCCCTTTAGCATTTAGCCAAAATGTGTATTCACTGTATCTCTGAGTCTCACTCTTCACATAGGCTCACAGATGAGATGTTACGTAGCCCTTCTCTCTACGAGTAGCCTCCTCTGGGGGAGTTATTTTGGTTTTTCGTTGGGTTTACCTCCTCAGGTTTAATTTTCTCATGGGAAGAAAGGTTGCTGGAAGCCCTGGCCAGGGGTGGGGATTCTCACATAGATTCCTGGATAGACCAATCTGTCCCTCGTTAGACTCATACGCCCTTGGAGAAGAGGGGTATCTTTTTTTTTAAGGGGCCCTTGTTTGCTAGGGGCTTCATTGATTAATTATGTGGCACCCCAACCATCCTCTCTTTCCTTTCCTTGAGGGGAAAATGATGGAGAACGTCCCACAGCCCCTGTCCTCAGGGCTTGCCCCCTCCCCCCGCAAATTTATACTTCCTGTAGATGGCCAGCCGGTGGAAAGATGTTTATTGAGCACCTACTAGGTTCCTAGGTCTGTACCAGAGGCTGTGGAGTGCAGAGTCTGTGACATAATCTACCTTCCCTTAAGGAGCTTGCCTATAAAGAGAAGTAGAGCAGAACCCAGGACTAGCCAGTGTGGCACAGTTTCAAAGTGCAGAATGGCAGCATCTGGAAAAAGTATTCTGGGAAGTCCTCACAAAGAGCTAGAACTTGAGAAAGAGCTTGAAATATGGAAAATCATATTTACTTACTTTTAAAAGGACAAAACATATATCTTAAATGTATAGCTTGATACATTTTTCCATATGTATGTGTCCACAAAACTGTCACCCAGATGAAGATGTAGAAAATGTCAGCACCCTTAAGGCTCCTGGATGTTCCCTCCCAGTCAATCGTCATCTCCAATAGTAACGACTCTTCTGACCTTTGTCATAATAGATTAGTTGTATCTGTTTTGCACATCATTCAAGAGGGGTCGTACAGTATAGACTCTTTTATGACTGTCTTCCTTCCTTCCACATTATGTTTGTGAAATTCATCCATCTCGTGGCAGACAGGAGTAGCTCATTACCTGTCACTGCTTTGTAATCTTCCATGGTTTGAACACCCCACACTGTATCCATTCTATTGTTGATGACATTGGGGCTTCCAGTTTTTGGCTATGATGAATGAAGCTTCTCTGAATATTTTTGTACATGACTCTTGATGAACATACGTGCTTATTTCAGTTTGGTAGATACCTAAGAAGTGGAATTGCTGGGTTTGGGTGTTCCTTATATTTGGTTTTGGTAGATACTGACAATTGCCTGCAGTTGTGGTTCAGGTTACACTCCCACCGAATGTGTACAAGAGCACCAGTTTGTCCACACTCTTGCCAACACATGGTATTGTCAGTCCTTTTCATTCTAGTGCACCTGGGGGATGTAGAGCTAGATACATAATACATAATCTGTATTTTCTCGATAGCTAATTAAGTTGAACAGTTTTCATATACTTATTGGCCATCTGGATAGCCTCTTTTGTGAAAGACTTGTCTAAATCTTTGGTCCATTTTAAAGGATTTTGTTGGCCAGGCATGGTGGCTCACACCTGTAATCCCAGCACTTTGGGAGGCCGAGGCAGGTGGATCACCTGAGGTCAGGAGTTCAAGGCCAGCCTGGCCAACATGGCGAAACCCCGTCTCTACTAAAAATACACAAAATTAGCTGGGCATGGTGGCAGGCACCTGTAATCCCAGCTACTTGGGAGGCTGAGGCAGGAGAATTGCTTGAACCTGGGAGGTGGAGGTTGCAGTGAGCCGAGATCACGCCACTGCACTCCAGCCTGGACGACAGAGCGAGACTCTGTCTCAAAAAAAAAAAAAAAATTAAAGAAAAAAGAATTTTGTTGTCTGGTTATTAATCTGTGAGATTTCTTGATATATTATAGATAAAATTTGCTTTGACACACACACACACACACACACACACATATAGTAATGATCTTCTAGTCTGTGGCATGTCTTTTCACTTGCAAAATGTTTTTTTTTAATTTAACTTGTCCAGAGTTAATTGAAGCTTTTCTTAATTCTCAAAAAGCTGGTAAAGAAAAAGATGGTACTAAAAGAAAATCTGTATCTCACAGTGAATCTGATGTCAGCAAATCACAGAAGAAAAGAGATGCTGCTGACAAACCAAGAGGATTTGCCACAGGTCTTGATCCTGAAAGAGTAATTGGTGCCACAGATGGCAGCGGAAAATGGATGTTTCTCATGAGGTGGAAAGATTCAGGTGAGGCAGACTTCATGCTGGCAAAAGAAGCAAGTATGCAGTTTTCTCAGTTGTAACTGCTGTTTTTTTGGAGACGGTCTTGCTCTGTCGTCCAGGCTGGAGTGCAGTGGTATGATCTTGGCTCATTGCAACCTCCACCTCCTGGATTCAAGTGATTCTCCTGCCTCAGCCTCCCAAGTAGCTGGGATTACAGGTGCTCGCCACCACGCCCGGCTAATTTTTGTGTTTTTGGTAGAGATGGGGTTTCACCATGTTGGGTTGGCTGGTCTCAAACTCCTGGCCTCAAGCGATCAGCCCGCCTCAGCCTCCCACAGTGTTGGGATTACAGGCGTGAGCCACTATGCCTGGCCAGTAATTGCTTTTTATGAAGAGAGACTAACTTGGCATTTTTGTCCAGAAGATGAAACTCAATAATTGTTCACGTTAAAAAATATATATATGTGTATATATATATATGTGTATATATATGTGTATATATATGTGTATATATATATGTGTATATATATGTGTATATATATATGTGTGTGTATATATATATATATATATATAACATTTGGGTCTTGCTTTTTGATTTACTAATGTGACAAAATAACTACATTCTAATGAAAATCAAGTTTGATATGTTTGTTTTGAAAGTAGTGTTGGAAGAGTTGTTGGGGTTTTTTTTTCATCAGTAATACTGGTTACTTTGAACAAATAAATAAAAGATTTCTGTAGTTACTTCCTTTATTAGAAAAGAACATTTGATACCATGGTGTATTATTTCTTCTGCATTAAAGAACAGCTTTTCTATATGTTGGGGGAAATTTTCAGTCATTACTCCATTACTCCATCAGAACTTGTGTTTTTTTTTTTTTTTTTGAGACAGAGTTTCGCTTTTGTTGCCCAGGCTGAAGTGCAATGGCGTGATCTCGGCTCATTGCAACCTCTGCCTCCTGGGTTCAAGCAATTCTCCTGCCTCAGCCTCCCAAGTAGCTGGGGTTACAGGCATGTGCCACCATGCCCAGCTAATTTTTGTATTTTTAGTAGAGATGAGGTTTCCCCATGTTGGTCAGGCTGGTCTTGAACTCCTCACCTCAGGTGATCCGCCCGCCTCGGCCTCCCAAAGTGTTGGGATTACAGGCATGAGCCCCTGCACCTGGCCAAACTTGTTTTCTTATAAGCCTAAGGACCATCTAGATTTTTATTTATTTATTTATTTATTTTGTGTGTGTATACATAAAATGCACATGTAAATGTTTTCTTAAAAAAAATTCACCGAAACAAAAGCCACAGGCAAACCCATGTTTTTGAGATGCCATTATTCTAAGCAAGCTACGAGATGATCACTTCAAGTTAAAGTGAAAAGCTTCCTGAAGCCATACATTTCAAGGGAAATAAGTAATTCTACTTAATAGGACAATTTAAATCGGCTAATTTTAAAGCATCTATGTCTATAAATGAAGTGGTTTGTTTGCAAAATTCCTAAATGGAAAAATTTTATCACTGCCATCACTGGAGGTTTCCCCATCCAGATGAGGAAACAAGACACATCCCGGTGTGTTTTAATTAGCTAAACAAAACTGAGTTAAGTGAACATGTGACAGTTTCTCCAGTGGGCCATTCCTTAAAAACATTTTGAAATCTCTGTTGCTATATTGACTTAAAGTCATGATTCATGGAATATGTAAGACTTGGCTCATAGAAACCTAGTGAGATGGTTAGAGGTATTGGCAGTCTAGGACCTGCTGCCATAAATGTGTGAACAACCTTTGGTAATCTCAACTATTGACCTGTATGTTTCTTCTTTACCCCAATGTAGAGATTCAGTCAGGCTGGTGGGAAAAATATTAGGGATTGTTATAGAGATAGACAGAAATCTTCTTGGAAGGCCGAGAAGTTTGCATAATTTTGGTAATAGATCTGGCTAAAGGCAGCCTGGTCCCTTTACCTTTAGTTAAATAGATTAAAGTAGTAACAAAAGAATGTGGGGAAGTTATCTAGCTAGCTTGTTTACTCATATGGTCTTAAGATTAACCTTTGATGTACGGTGGGTGCTTAAGTGCTTTCTACTTGGGAAGTCCACAATGTCAATTACCCTCTAGTGGTATTGACTCAAGTCTTTTGTCAATAAATCTTTACCAATAAATGTGAGTCTCACTAGCTGGTCAGGGCTGAGTCGCAACTGTTTACAGGACTCTGCTGGAGTCTGTAAGCGGCTCGGAGACACTCAGCTGGACTGGCAAAGCAGAATATCTGAGTGTCAGTGTACTTCATTCATCTGTCACTGGGTCAGAGGTCTGCAAAGGACAGACCCCCTGCAGCTGGTGTCCCCGTGTGAGGAGTGCTACCACACCCCGACTCATTCCTTACATGTAGACTATTTTCTTTACTGGTTCAGCAAAAGCCAGGAAAAACAACTCTGTAGCAAGCAGAATGTTATTCGACTATATATTGTTTAATTTATTGTAAATACTGGTGAACAGTGGTCAATAAATAGTTTTATATTCCTTCAAAAAGAAAGAAAGAGCTTGCAGGGTGTGCATAGGTTGTCTGCAAACGCTGTGCCATTCTGTATCAGGGGCTTGAGCACCTGTGATGTTAGTATCTTCAAGGGAGGGTCCTGGAGCCAGTCCCCCACGTATACTGCGGACTGACTGTATTTGGATTTTGACAGAAGGCTGAGAAACCCAGAATGTCAGAGACAACCTCCCAGCCGTAGAAAGCCGAGTTAATATCAGGAGAAGCCAGTGGTTAAATTCACAGTCTTTTTACACACAAGAGCAAAACAAATTTTACAACAATGGTGGAAAAAACTCAGTGATCGCTCACTGAAGTGAATTAAAGGTGCAGTGATAGTTACAACATGGCAACCGCATATATTGACAAGCGAGATCTCATCCAAGAGTATAGGGTTTGATGGGGGGAGCGAGAGCCTCTCTGAGGATGCATCCTCCTTTGAAAGCACTCACCTCGCCCCTGCGTCCACGAACGTGGGAAAAGTGTGGGAGATGGCAGAGTCTCAGCAACCCCTCAATCCAGTTTGTCTCTTAGACAGCATCCATATCCCCCATCCTCCATCAGCTCCTTTTCCAGCTTCCCGATCCTGCAGTTGTTTTTGTACAGCGGAGAGGGAAGTGTCTGTGCTTAGGACAATGCTTCACATTGCCAGGAGAGGGCAGCAGATCACGCTCCCGTTCCCCGCGCTACCTCGGCGCTGTCCGGGATTCCGGTCAATTTTCAAGGGTCGTTGAGTGCTCATGGGAGCCAGGCTCTGTGCCAGGCACTGGGAGCGCAAAGCCAACTGAGATACGGGGCCCTACTTTGCAGGAGGCTGTGGTCTAAGAGGGCGAGGCAGCCATGGAAACATACAGGACCAGCGGGGCGAGGCGCTGGGGCAGAAGGCTCTTCAGGGGAGTGTGGGGTTCCCAGGAGGGGTATCAGAAAACACTCAGCAGAGGCCAGTCGCAGTGGCTCACGCCTGTAATCCCAGCACTTTGGGAGGCCGAGGCCGGCGGATCACTTGAGGTAAGGAGTTCGAGATCAGTTTGGCCAACATGGTGAAACCCCGTAGCTACTAAAAATACAAAGATTAGCTGGATGTGGTGGCTGGTGCCTACAGGCTGCTCGGGAGGCTGAGGCACGAGAATCACTTGAATCCTGGAGGCAGAGGTTGCAGTGAGCTGAGATCGCGCCACTGCACTCCAGCCTGAGTGACAGAGCTAGACTCTGTCTGAAAACAATCAATCAAACAAACTATACCCCACACAGCCAGCAGGAAGAGGTGCTTGAGCTGAGTCTTGGAAGCGGGTAGGTTTTTCCGGTTCCTAGGCCAGGCAGGGCACCCCAGGCAGGGGAGTCGGGGCTGAGTGTGATGCTACAGGGTGCGCTCAGGTTTGAACACAGAGCACTGGGGGCAGGAGGAGGATCTCAGAAAGGGGGAGGATCACGGAGGGCTGTCCTCCTTGGCCATGCTAAGACCTGAGACCTCCTGGGCTCAGGCCATCCTCCTGCCTCAGCCTACGGAATAGCTGGGACTACAGGCGTGTGTCACCATGCCCAACAAATTTCTCAATTATTTGGAAAGATGGGGTCTCCCTATGTTGCCAAGGCTGGTCTCAAACTACTAGGCTCAAGTGACCCTCCTGCCTCAGCCTCCCAAAGTGCTGAGATTGATGATGTGAACCACCACACTGGTCCAGTTCAATGATTTTTAGTATATTTGGTATATTTACAGAATTGTGCAACCATCACCAAAATCTACTTCTGGAACATTCTATCATCCCAGAAAGAAACTTGTGCCCATCAGAGTTACTTTTCATTCTCATCCCCAGCCCTAGGCAACAAGTTGTCTACTTTCTGTCTCTATATTAGGCTGTTCTGGATATTTCATATAAACTGAATCAGGCAATGTGAGTTCTTTTGCATCTGGCTTCTTTCATGAAGCATTGCATTGTTGAGGTTGATCAATGTAGTAGCATGCACCAGAACTTCCTTTTGATTGCTGAACAGTATTCCATTGTATGTTCCATGTTTTAATCCCTTTGCCCGTTGATGGGCATTTGGGTTGTCTTGACCTTTTGGTTCTTGTGAATGGTGCTGCCATGAACATTCACATACAAGCCTTTGTGTGGACATACATTTTCATCTTCCCTGGGTACATACTTAGAAGTGAAGTTGCTGGGTTTAAGGCAATTCTGTTTTTAACATTTTGAGAAACTGTCATACTATCTTCCAAAAAAGTGGCTGCACCATTTTATTTGTTTATTTATTTATTTAGAGGCGGAGTTTCACTCTTGTTGCCCAGGCTGGAGTGCAATGGTGCAATCTCGGCTCAGTGCAACCTCTGCCTCCCGGATTCAAGTGATTCTCCTGCCTCAGCCTCCCAAGTGGCTGGGATTACAGGCATGTGCCACTGCACCCGGCTAATTTTGTATTTTTTTATGGTGAAAAGATATACATATATTTAGAATTAGCCAGCTGGACTCAGTTTAGATGATCCCAATTTTGTTGGCAACATCCAAAGCATCATAATCAGGAGATGGCTGAACATACGCCTTCTTCTCTCCATCAGGCCGAATCAGGGTGTTGAATTGGGCCACGTCAATGTTATAGAGCTTCTTCACAGCCTGTTTGATTTGGTGCTTGTTGGCTTTAACGTCCTTAATGAACACAAGCATGTTGTTGTTGTCTTCTATCTTCTTCATGGCCGGCTCAGTGGTCAGCAGAAACTTAATGACAGCATAGTGGTCAAGCTCATTTCTCCTGGGGGTGCTCTTCCGAGGATCTTTGGGTTGCCTCTGGAGTCGCAGTGTCTTGGGCCACTGGAAGGTTGGTGACATGTAGATCTTCTGTTTTTTGTGGCTGTGGACACCTTTCAACACTGCCTTCTTGGCCTTCAAAGCCTTGGCTTTGGCTTTAGGAGTGGCAGGAGCTTCCTTCTCTGCTTTCAGTGCCATCTTGTGAAAAAGTAATTTTGTATTTTTAGTAGAGACAGGGTTTCACCATGTTGGTCAGGCTGGTCTCAAACTCCTGACCCAGGCTGGTCTCGAACTCTTGATCCACCCACCTCGGTCTCCCAAAGTGCTGGGATTACAGGTGTGAGCCATTGCGCCCAGCCTGCACCATTTTGTATTTTCACTGGCAGTGTATGAGGATTTTGATTTCTCCACATCCTCTCCAACACTCGCTGTTATCTGCTGATTGGTTATAGTCGTTCTAGTGGGTGTGAAGTGACATCTCATTGTGGATCAATTTACATTTTCCTAGTGACTAGAGATGTTGAGCGCTTTTTAATGTGCTTATTGGACATTCATGTATGTTCTTAGGCCAGGCACAGTGGCTCACGTCAGCACTTGGGAGGCCAAGGAGAGCGGGTCGTGAAGCTAGGAGTTTGAGACCAGCCTGACCAACATGATGAAGTGTTGGGAACAGGCCCCAAAATCTGGCCATAAACTGGCCCCAGAACTGGCCATAAACAAAATCTCTGCAGCACTGTGACATATTTGTGATGGCCATGAGGCCCACGCTGGAAGGTTGTGGGTTTACTGGAATGAGATTTTATCCATTTTAATGGGTTACTAGCTGCTAATCTGTCTGCAGCTACTTCAAGCACTCCAGTTCCTGGCACTAAGGTCAGGTGTGCCTGGCATGCTTTAAATATTTGTCCTTTTAATTTTACAATTAAATTTTTTTTTGAGATGGAGTCTTGCAGTGTTGCCCAGGCTGGAGTGCAGTGGCACAATCTCGGCTCACTGCAATCTCCGCCTCCTGGGTTCACACCATTCTCCTGCCTCAGCCTCCCAAGTAGCTGGACTACAGGTGCCTGCCAACATGCCCAGCTAATTTTTTGTACTTTTAGTAGAGACGGGGTTTCACCATGTTAGCCAGGATGGTCTCAATCTCCTGACCTCGTGATCCCCCTGCCTCGGCCTCCCAATGTGTTGGGATTACAGGCGTGAGCCACCGCACCCGGCCACTCTGTTGTCTTTTTAAAATATTGAACTTATTTAAATAGAGACGGGTCTTACTATGCTGCCCAGGCTGGTCTCAAACTCCTGGGCGCAAGTGATCCTCTTGCCTCGGCCTCTCAAAGTGCTGGGATTACAGGTGTGAGCCACCATGCCCTGCCCTGCTGTCTTGTTTTGGGAGGTTCCTCCTTTCACATCATCCCCTCTATTCCTTTACATTCTGAAAATCCGTACTCACCAGGCCCTCTTCTTTGAACCTCCTCCTAACTCCTGCAGAGTTAATTATGCCCTCCTCTGTATCATTTCAGAGCATTGTATGCACCTATAATATTGCATGCATTGTCCTATAAGTATTTGTCATTTTTACTCACTCTGAGTTCAGCATTTATACTAGATTTATCTTAAATGCTCTTATAAATATCAGCATATAGAAAATATTTGTTAAAAAATATTTGTTGTACTCACTAGAATTAGGATTTATCTACAAGCCTCCTTGCTTTTACTAGATCACTTTCTAATTTGTCAGTTTAAATGCATTTTTAAGAGAACATTCTTAAAAATAACATTTTAAAAGTGACAAAGTAACATGTTTATTTCAGAATATATTAAATATTTCAGAATATATTAAAAAACCCTTAGAAGAAAAGAAAAATTATATCTAAATCTACCATCTGGATATGTTACCATTTTGATGTATGCCCTTTCAGTTTTATCTGTGCATTCATATGTTTTTGTCTATGTACACATACATATGTGTATAGATATGTGTATATATGTGGTTTACACATACATAACTGTATAATCTGGATATACCTAACTCCATTATCCATATCATTGGATATGTCTAAAACAATGTTATCTATGCTCTTTATAACCTGTCTTAATTTTTTTATATTTAATTAATATGGATACATACTAGTTGTACATATTTATAGGGTACCTGTGCTATTTTGATGCAAGCATACAATGTGTAATAATCAAATTAGAGCAATTGGGATATCCATCACCTGACACATTCATCAATTCTTTGGGTTAGGAACATTCCAATTTCACTCCGTCAGTTATTTTGAAATATATAATATTGTTAACTACAGCCACCTTATCGTGCTACCAAACACTAGATCGCAATCATTCTATCTAACTGTATTTTCCTACCCATTGTCCATCTCCCTAACCTGTCTTTTGTAGCTTAGGCCAACTCCAGCCTGACACCTGATGCTGTAAGTTTTCACTGGAATTCAGCCAGGCTGCTCATTTGCATATAGTTTGCATATTATCCAGGGCTGCCTCTGTGCGGCAAGGCAGAGTTGAGCAATTGCTACAGAGACCCCATGTATGGCTCACAAAACCTCAGTTACTTCCTCTTGGATCCTGTACCGAGAAAGTTTGCTGAGCCCTGAGTCAATCATCCCACATTGACTGGATAGCTCCCTATACAGGGCTAGGGAGAGAGGGAAGTGCAAGTCACTCTGCTTGTCTTGGAGCTGCTTTCTATCTATGGGGAGGGAAACCCTCAGAACTGTTCTTGGGCGTGGTACGTGCTGCATTACCAGCAGGGCTGCATTACCAGCTATTGGAGCCCAGAGAAGAAGGGATTAGTTCTGCCTGGAGGGATTTCAGGAAGGCTTCTCAGAAGAGGCCAGGTTTGAATTGCACCTTGAAGAATGAGGCAGACATAACAGACCATTACATAACGAGCCAGGAGATTGAATCAGTAATAAAAGGTCTCCTATCACAGACAAGCCCAGGATCTGATGGCTTCACTGCTGAATTCTACCAAACATTTCAAGAAGAACTAATAACAATCCTGCTCCAACTTTTCCCAAAATCTGGGAGAAAATTATGAGGCCAAAACCAGAGGAGGACACTACAAGAACATTACAGGCCAAGATCCATGATGAACATAGATGCAAAAATCCTCAATCTAATACTAGTAAATCGAATTCAATAGCACATTAAAAAGATCATTCACCATGATCAAGTGGGAGTTATCTCAGGGATACAAGCGTGGTTGAGTGTACACAAGTCTATAAATAGGACATGCTACAGTCATAGAATGGAGGACTAAAACCATAGGATCATCTCTGTGGATGCAAAGAAAGCATTTGACAAAATTCAACATTCTATCATAATGAAAACTCTCAACAAATTTGATATAGAAAGACTGTACCACAATGCAATAAGGCTGTATATGGCAAGCCCAAAGCTAACATCATACAGAATGGGATAAAGTTGTAAGCTTTTCCTCTAAGATATGTGTACCCCCAGGTGCACTGCAGCACTATTCACAATAGCTGAGAAATGGAATCAACCTAAGCCTACATCAGCAGATGAATGGATAAAGGAAATGGGGCATATATATAACAATGGAATATGATTTAGCCTTTAAAAAGAAGGAAATCCTGGCCGAATGCAGTAACTCACACCTGTAGTCCCAGCACTTTGGGAGGCTGAGGCAGGTGGATCACCTGAGGTTGGGAATTCGAGACCAGCCTGACCAACATGGAGAAACCCCGTCTCTACTAAAAATACAAAATTAGCCAGGCATGGTGGCGCATGCCTGTAATCCCAGCTACTTGGGAGATTGAGGCAGGAGAATTGTTTGAACCTGGGGAGGCGGAGGTTGTGGTGAGCTGAGATTGCAAGATTGCACTTCAGCCTGGGCAACAAGAGCAAAACTCCGTCTCAAAAAAAAAAAAAAAAAAAAAAGGACATTTGTGACATGAATGAATACGAAGGGCATTCATAACATTAAGCAAATAAGCCAGAAACCACACAGAAAAGCAAAACCACACAGTGTCACTTACATGTGGAAGCTGAAAAAGTTGAACTCATAGGAACAGAGAGTAGAATGGTGGTTATCAAGGGCTGGGGGTGCAGGTTGGGGAAATGTTTGTCAGAGTTAAGCAGGAGGAAGAAGTTCCAGAGATCTGCTGTATAACACGGTGATTAGAGTTAACAACACCACAGTGCAGGCAGGAAAATTGTGAAGAGAGTAGGTTTGAAGTGTTCTCACCACAAAAAATGGTAAGTGTGTGAGGCCATGCATGTTACATAACTCAGCGTGCTCATATTTGAAAAACACTACATTGTGCACCATAAATATCCAAATTATATCCAAAGTATATCCAATTTTTCTTTTTTCCTTTTTTTGAGACAGAGTCTCACTCTGTCTGCCAGGCTGGAGGGCAGTCGTGCAATCTCAGCTCACAAACAAAAACCAATTAGAGGGAACAGCATGAGCATGGAGAACCTTTTCACTGCAGGGCCAGCTGTTGGGGCCACCTTTTGGGTAGATGAGAAGGTGCTGACTCCGTGGAGTGAAATCAAGGGGCAGAGAAAAGCCCTCTGTATGCCCTGGAAATGCTCCCGTGGCCGGAGCATCCTCCCATTTCATGGATGCTTGCTGTCGCGTGGTCCTGCAGAGCCTGCGATGACTGCTGCCTGGGGACTGCGATGCAGTCATGTTTTATAAAACACACAGAAGCACTGAAGAGCCAGGTTGCGTGAACTTTGGGAAAATGGTTTATCCGGTGATTCTTGGACCCCTTTGGAGACTCAGGGCCCTTTGAGAAGCTGGTGAAAGACACATTTGCACAGGATTTTGCACACAATCCCGGAGAGTCTCAGGCCCTGTGAAACTCATCCCTAATCCCCAGGTGCAGAACTCCTCTTTATGCTGCTGCAGTTTATGCCTTAGTGAGAAAGAATGACTAACAACAAGGTTTAGCTGGGGTGATGGGGAGTGCAGATTTCTGCAGGGAATAGGGATGTGAGAAGGGGCTCTGAGGAAAGAAGAGGCACAGAGAAAGAGAGCAGTGTGACCCAGGAGACCTCCGTGTGACCTTGACACACTGGCTCAAGGCCTAGGCTGGTCAGAATGCACGTGTCCTGAGTGGCCCTGCCCCCTTTGTCAAAGGCCACTGTGCGTGGGGAGAAGTTTCTGGGGCATCTCCGTAGGACATGCCCTGTGTGTTGGATGGACAAGCAAGCTACGTTTCTCAGCAGTCACTGCAGAAGACGACGGGGAGACAAATCATGGAGCAGTCATGAATCCTGGTGCGACTTGGCCATTTCCTGGAGGGTGACCCTGAGACCCAAGGCACTCGCTAAGAACTCTCACCGCCTTAACTCAGTGATGAGCCGTCTTTCCTGCGCGCAGGTCTTTGTGCGGTGCTCTTACACCTCTGTCCTCACAGCAGTCCTGGAAGGAGCATGCACAGGAGGCAGTGTGGCCAGGCTTCCTGTGCAGACCACTGGCGTTCAAGTGGTATTTACCGGGGGTGAGGCCTGGAGCCGATCCCTCGCCTTTCCGGAGCCGCCTCCTTCTCATCCGTAAAATGGTAACAGCGCGCCCGCCTCCCAAGGGTGGGACGAGGCTCAGTCAGGAGGATGGCCATGAAAGCACAGTGTGGAGCTGCATCCGTTTTCTCTTGATGTGTCACAAATTACCAAAATATGGACTCTTCATGATTGTAGGACTGAATTCCCTGTTTTCCAGCTGGATGTCAGCCAGGGGCAACTCTCACCTCAAGGAGGCCACTCATGTTCCTTGCCCTGAGGCACCCTCCAGCTTCGGAGCCAGCAATGCTTCCTCATTGGATCCCTCTTGCCCTTGAGTCTCTCTGCCTTCCCTTCCTCTGACCTCTAGGCCCAGATGTAGAACAGCTCATGTGGTTAGGTCAAGCCCACAGGGATCATCCCCCTATATAAATGTCAACTGCAAAATCCCTTCCCATCAACACTGAGATTACTGCGTGACTGAGTAACTGACAGAAGATGTGTGTATACCAGGGCCCTGGAATTTTGGGGGTCATCTCAGAATTCTGCCTCTGTTAGGCCGATGTTATAGGATTTTTATTTGCATTTTAAAATCATATTCCATTGTTAAATATATGCCACAATTTCTTTATCCATTTGTCTGTTGATGGATGCTTAGATTGACTCCTGTTTCTTTCAGGTCACCCAACACTTGCAGTGTTGGATTCCCTTAAGGTTTTCTTGGAGTAGTGAGGTTCTTTGAAAATAAGTGCAGCGTCTTGGGTGAGGGGTCCAGTCCTGGTTGTGTTGAGTGACGGGAGAGCTGCACCCTGGTCCTGCCTCGAAGGCTCGAGAGGGCCATGTGAAATCATAAGGGCTTGGACCAACCTGGAAGACATGAGGAAGGAGTACTTCCCTTGAGGCTGTGGAAAGGGCTGGGACGACCTGTCCTGACTCTGTCCTTGTGCACACAGTGCATTTGCCAGCTGGCCGAGACTCTGGCTCTCAGTGGCTGTGGAGGTGTTAACTTGGAGTCCCAGCTGGGGAATATCACAGGGGTGCTGTTCCAGCTGGTGGGTGCGGCAGGCCGGAGGCATCCTGTCCTTGCCCTCTCTCTTCTTTGGTGGTGATGACTTCCTCAGACCAGGTCACCATCTCCAGACGGTACAGGGGTCTTTGACATGGTGACCTTTGCTGCACACATTGCAGGCTTCTCTGAAACAGGCAAATGCCTGGATTCTGGGCACAGAGTGGGACGTTTTCCATGAGGTAACTTGGATACATCCTGTGTGCTTTCTGGGGTGACAAGCCTCTGTGGCTCCCCCTGGACTCTAGGGAAAAGGCAGAAGGTTCAAGGCCCTCCTTCAGCCCGTGGGAGGTGCCAGGTCTTCTGTGTTGTGGAGTAGGCAGAGGACAATTGAACATTTTGCAAAAGGATGATGCCTTCCTTATATTTAATTGGCTGGCCTCTGTCTTGTTCCCTCTGGGGCTGGGAGTGGATTCCTGGGCTCCACTTTTCTGCTCTCCTTACAGCCTGGTGCCATGCACTGCATGGCTTCATGCCTCAGTTTCCTCCTCCACATGTAGGATCCCTGGTTTCCATCCTCCTGGGCCTGAAGGCCTTGGTCTCCCTACAGATAAGTGGCAAATACTACTCGGATTGTTACTCCATGCTGAACCATAGCTTAGCTCTGAGGGCTTTCAACATACTGAGTAAGTTCATATGTTTTCCTAGCCATGTGTGTGCGTGTGCATATGTGTGTGCACATGCATGCATGTGTGTGTGCCCACATGTGAACTCAGGACCCCTTTAGTCTCTCCCTGGGCCGGAGTTGGGGCCTAGGTTCCTATGGGAAGGTGGGGGTTCCAACCTCCGAGACAAGATTCAAAGTAATTAATGAGAACTTTGCCTGAAATTGAGTGAATCAGAAAGGGCATAGCCATGGCCCCACCCCACCCCTATTGTTCCCACTGCCTCACCTGGGGCTGACTCCCCTTTCTCCTGGCATGATCCCTATTTCAGAAAGGTGCTTATGACAGGACAGCACTGATGGGCACAGTGTGCTGCCTGTGGGCAGGTATGTGGGGCAGGAGGGGCACCTGGCACATGCTCGGCACATGGCAAATGCTGGGTGGACCTGGTTCTCTTTCTTTTTCTTTCGTCCAAGTCATGGTCAGTGGTTTGCTGTGAGCATGATTTAAGCCTGGGTATTACCTCCCGTTTAAACATACCCCTGACTGCCCTGTATTCACATCCTTCTGATAGCCAAGTTATATGGCAGGGATCAGCTGGTGATTTTGCTGGAAAACATCGTCAAACCCGAGGAGTCTGCCAAGGCAGTGACAACCCCGCAAGTCTTCAGGGATGTGTCCTGTAGAGGGAGTGGGAATGGGGCATGGTCCTGGGGTTCTAGGACTTGATCGTTCCCAGGAAATCTCCTTTCTCTGGAGACAGTCTGGTATAGTAGTTAGAAGCACGATTTTAAATGCAGTCATCTCAGTGGGTTGGGATCTTGGCTGTGCTTCTCACTAGCTATGTGGCCTAGAGCAAATGACTTTTAGTCTGTGCCTCTATTTCCTCATTTGAAAAACAGAGGTAAAAATAATTGTTACCTTTAGGGATTTTTAGTGAGGGTGGAGTGAATAAATGTGAGGTGCTGAGAACAGGGCCTGCTCTGCAGCTGGTTTTATAGTGGTTTATCTGTGATTACCGCCTGGAAGAGCAGGCTTCACCTCCAGTCAGGTATGGATGTTAAGCTTTCGCTGTGCACTAAGCACTGTGACAGGCACGGAGAATACACATACAGAAGACAGCCCCTGCCCTTAGCGAGCTCACTGTAGGGTAGGGGGCGAGGCTGTCCACATGGCGACAGTGCGGGACAACATGCACTGGGCTGCTTAGACGGGAGCGGCGATGCCGACAGGAAGGCAAGCAGGAGGAGGTCAGGGAAGCCGGGGTGGGCTTTACAGAGGGGATGGGCCAAAAGTAGAGAGGAGCCTGTGACCATGGATCAGGACAAGGAGGCCACAGGGGAGAGGAGCAGCAGCTGAGGTTGGAAAGGTTGAGATGGACAGAGGAGAGGACAGCTTGGCTGGAGAGGCGGATTTGTGTGGGCAGTCATGGAGACCAGCGAGGGTTGGGGCTCAAATGCCCTCCTGTGGAAAGTACTGGCCAGGCTGGTGGGTTTCAGTGTGGTTGGAGGCACAGGGATGGCTGAGATGCCTGTGGAGACTCCACCTGGCCTTTGACGGCCGGGACTGTACCTGGTGTTCCTCCCGCCCGGCTGTCATCTGATGTCTCCCCAAGCAGCAGAGGCGGGGTGGAGGCTGACCTCCAGCTGCACGCCTGTGTTTTCTCTAGTGCCCCAGAGGGAGACCTTGAAGAAGGAGGTGATGAGTTCAGTGGTTCTGCTGATACAGAAAGATCTGAGACCTGTGAGCATAGAGGCCGTGTGTCTGTGCTGGGAGGGCAATTGCTTTCTTGAGACCCTGGTGTCATGTAAATGGAGAGGAGAGGGAGATAGGGAATGAGTAGGAAGGCACCCTCACCAAGCCAATTCAGGCTCAGACCCCTGTCCTTCAGTTCCATTTGGGTTCTTTAAAACCAGAGAAGAGTTTGAGAAGTGGAGAGGTGGTGCCTAAATGCCCCCTTCTGAGCCTGTTCTGTGGGCGGCACTGTTGTGTCCTCAGGGCTCCAAATGACACTGACTCAGGCCCCAAGAACCCACAGGTTTCTTGGGAGGAGAAAGCCTTGGGCTTCATGGCTGGAGTGGGACCTGAGAAGCTGTATTTTTAAGCAGCTCTGCAGTCAGGGGTGCAGGCAGCAGAGACTCCCAGCTCTGGATGGTGTAGGACAGTGCGTTGGGATAGCTGCAGCAGGGCATGCTGGTTTTGAGTGTTAAATAGAGAACAATGCATCAGCCTGAAAAACAAGGGCCCAATTTCCAGAAGGGTCACAGGAGGCTGGGCTCTTGAGGGCTGGGCCCTCAGGACTTGCCAGATTGCTTCCTGGCTTTCCCTACAGAGGCCAAAACACGAGACCTTTCCTTCACTTGGATTCCCCTCCACCAACACTCCTGCCAATTTCAGTATCTGCGGGCATATGAAGTATGGGAAGTAAGTTCTTGGAGTTCTCCAGGAGGATGACAGAGCTGGAGTGGATCGGAACTTCAGAGCAGAGGACAGAAGTGGGCAGGTCCAGTCACGGGTGGTCTGTCACAGCCACAGCACCCACTGAAGAGTCACAGTGGACTTGGAGTCAGGAGGCCTGAGGTCCTTGAAGACCTCCCTGACCTGCTCTGGTCCACTGTGTGCTCACCTGGAACAAGAGGCCATCCTGCAGCCCCTTCCTGTCATGCATGTGATGGTCTGTGACCCAAAGGTACACATGCCCCTGCTGAGCTTCATCAAGACGCTGGGGCAGCACAGCTACATGACTCTGCCCCAGGGGAACATCATCATCCACCACCTTGTTGGGCTCAGCCAGCCAGAGCCCTCAGTGAGCAGGACCTGGTGCAAGTGAGGGGACCGAGGGTGGAGTGAGCCAGGGGCAGGGGACAGAGAAGGGAAGGGGTGGGAGCAGAGACACAGAATAGGGGCCTGGCTGGCCTGACAGGGAGGTGCTTTGGCATCCACACCCCTGATCAGTGGGCCAGGGGAGGCCAATACCTGGGAGATTCAGTTGGCATTGGTTCCATGTCTTGATCCTTTCTTTTGTTTCTCCAGAATGAAGAAGATACCCAGCAGATGTGTGCCAAGATTCTACAAATGGTACATACAGGTAGGGCCAAAGAGGCCTCTCCATTTCCTCCTCCCCTGCCTCCCAAGATCACTATTCTGCCCCCTTAGACTGCCTTCTTCCTCCCTCCCCTCCATCTAGCCCCTTGTAGTGTCTCTTCCTCCCCTTCTGATCTCCATCTGTTTCTGCTCAAAGGTCGGGGTCTCTTCTGAGACGTGACTCAGTGGAGCGAAAGACGGGCATTGAAGGTAACTCTGGAGACCTGAGTTTGAGTTCCTCGGCCAGTTTCTAGCTGTGGACCCTTGAGTCCCTCGGCCAGTTTCTAGCTGTGGACCCTTGAGTCCCTCGGCCAGTTTCTAGCTGTGGACCCTTGAGTCTGTAGGTCAGTTTCTAGCTATGGACCCTTGAGTCCCTCGGCCAGTTTCTAGCTGTGGACCCTTGAGTCTGTAGGTCAGTTTCTAGCTATGGACCCTTGAGTTCCTCGGCCAGTTTCTAGCTGTGGACCCTTGAGTCTCTAGGTCAGTTTCTAGCTGTGGACCCTTGAGTCCCTCGGTCAGTTTCTAGCTGTGGACCCTTGAGTACATTGCTCTCTGGGCTGCACTTGCCCCTTCTGTAGGAGGACTGTGAATTCCTCTCCTCCTGGAGGCACAACTGCTCTCCCTCCAAGCAAGCCCTGTCTCCTGACCTTTAACATTTCCTCTTCTCTGGAATGTTCCCCAGTGAAGGCGATAACAAGTCGCACAATTTCAAATTTTAAGAAGCCCCTCTGTTTAAGCACGTCCTTCCTAGTGTGATTTTCTTTTATTTATTTATTTATTTTATTATACTTTAAGTTCTGGGGTACATGTGCAGAACGTGCAGGTTTGTTACATAGGTATACATGTGCCATGTTGGTTTGCTGCACCCATCAACTCGTCATCTACATTAGGTATTTCTCCTAATGCTATCCCTCCCCTAGCCCCCCACTCCCCGACAGGCCCTGGTGTGTGATGTTCTCCTCCCTGTGTCCATGTGTTGTCATTGTTCAACTCCCACTTATGAGTGAGAACATGTAGTGTTTGGTTTTCTGTTCTTGTGTTAGTTTGCTGAGAATGATGGTTTCCAGCTTCATCCATGTCCCTGCAAAGGACATGAACTCATCCTTTTTTATGGCTGCATAGTATTCCATTATGTATATGTGCCACATTTTCTTTATCCAGCCTATAGTGATTTTCATAAGGACCTTGGTTACCTTTTAGCAATAAGGGGTAAGAGAGGAGAGAGCGAGAGAGGGAGAGTCAGAGATGGAGTCAGAGACTCTGTGAGCACATGGGAAGAGCGGGCTGTGTGTCCAGGCCTCTACTGCCCCTCCAGGAAAGGGATCCAGGGTTGTGGGGTTGGAGAACTCATGACGGGGACTGATTTGGGCTTGGAGTTGAGGTCCTTGCGTGTCGCCTGCCAGGTGTCCCTGCCGGTACTCATAAACCTTCTATGCCAACCAAGCCACATCTCGGCCTTCGTGGTCCTCAGCAAGGCAGCCAGGAAGGTGGCTCTGCAGGCCCACTCCCTGGGGCCGCACCCTTACCTCAGCAGCTTCCATGGCAGGCGTGAGTACAAGGCTGGGTGGTCTATGGGGAGGGGCAGCCAGGAAGGCTCCAGCTGCTGCAGGCATGGAGGGCAGTGGGGGCAGGCTGAGGCCCTGCACGGGTGTGAGATGGGGAGAGGGTACAGCTCTGCGGTGGGGATGAGGCCACAGATTGAGCCAGGGCCAGGATGAGAAGGGGAAGGTCAAAGGTCAGGGAGCAGCCTGAGGCAATTAGCCCCTGGCAGTGGAGAAAGGGAGCCTCCTTTGGAAGGGAGCCACCGTAGAACCAGTTCCTTGTCACCTTTAGTCCTCTTTTCACAACACTGGCATCCAGGTGGAAAAGCACTCTTGTTAATTACAAACTCATGGCTGCACTGACAGTCCTGCTCCTTTGTCCTCTTTTTGCCCCACTCTGAGCCTGGCTCTATACTTGTCCCATCCTTGACCTCTAAACCCAGTGGGGCTAGAGAAGCGGTGAGGGTGTCTGTTCAGCACTTCCTCAGTGGTGTGGTCACTGTTGTTAAAGCTGAAGATGCAGTGGTGGTCTTTTTTTTTTTTTTTTTATAGCTGCTTTATTTGTAGTAGCCCAAACTGGAAGTAAACCAAATGTCTATCAAGAGGTGAACAGGTGAAATGTTCCATTATATCTGTGCAACATAGTGAACAATATAAGGAAATGAGCAACATACTGAGAAATATAAATAAATGAATTAATTATACATAGCAACATTGATGAATCTCAAAATAATGATGCTCTGTAGAAAAATAAGACAAAAAAGAGCACATGTTTCATAATTAGATTTCTATAAAATTCTGGAAATGACAATCATTTAAAATCATATAAAATTCTGGAAATGACAAAATTCTAAAGCTTACCCTATAGTGCATAATGAAAGACTGAATATTGTTTTCATAACTTTATGAACATGGCAAGAATGCACTCCCCTATCACTTCTATTCTGAAGGTCCCAGGCATTAGAATAAAGCAAGAAAAAGGAATAAAAGCATAATAATTTGGAATGGAAAAAATAAATATTTCTCTACCTGCAGGTAACTTGAGTGTTTACATAGATAATACTAATGAATATACAAAATCTATTGATTTAGCATTTGTAATATAGAAGTTAATGACTAAAAATTTATTTATATATATATATATATATATATATATATAAGCACGAGGTGATTGGAACATGCAGTGGTGGTCTTTAGGCTGAGTGGAGATGTCACAAGGCCTCGGCATGGACACTGATGCTCATTTCCTCTTTGCCTGTACTCCTGCTCTGAAGAACTGATGGGGGATGCCAGTGGGGGCTGGAGGTGGGCTCCCGGGAGCTCACCCTTACTGTGTCTTCTTCTGTTGCCCTCTCTTTAACTCACCCTCAAAGGTCATCTCCCCACAAAGACTACTGACCCACCTTGTGGATAGTGGTGCTGAGATGGACATGGTGTCATCCATCCAATCAGTTCACAGTAGCCCAGGGCCATTCCATTCCAGGCCTGATGCCAGATATGGAGTGAGGAGGGAGGGCCGAGGGTCACGGGGGTCCTGGGAAGAGGCGCCTCAGGCCAACGGGCTTGGAGGTGGGGCCCTGGGCACGTAGTGGTAGGACTGGAACAGGGGGAGGCAGAGGACATAGGGAGGGCCTGGCTGTCTTCTCTGTGTGGCCTTGTTGTGAGCTTCTCTCTGTTGACCTGGGACAAGTCCCCCTGCCTTTCTGGACCTCCTTTTCTCAGCAAGCATGTTTTGAGTTTCTTAATTTTCCCAGTGCTGTGACAGACATAAAGAACACGTGGAGAGACAGGATGTGCACCTGGCTTCGAGGGGTTCACAGTGCTAGTGGAGAGACAGGATGTGCACCTGGCTTTGAGGGGTTCACAGTGCTAGTGGAGAGACAGGATGTGCACCTGGCTTCGAGGGGTTCACAGTGCTAGTGGAGAGACAGGATATACACCTGGCTTTGAGGGGTTCACAGTGCTAGTGAGGGAGACAAACCTGGGAGTAACCTCACCACCCACAGTTAAAGGTGACAGAGGTACTAACAAGTGCAATGGGATCTTAGCAGAGCAATGGATAACTTGGCCTCCAGGAGTCACGGAGGGCGTCACAGAGGAGGTGGCATCTGAGGGCATTTTGGGGAACTTGTTCAGCAGGTGGAAAAGAATGGGAGGGCTCAGCTTCAGCTCTACCATTCCATGGGTTTGTTCTAATTTTCTTCTTTGCCTTCATTCTTCTCTGCCTCCCATTTGCTTCTCTGGCTGTTCAGTTGTTCTCCCTGAAGCCCTACAGAGAAAAGGCATTTGGAAAAAACACCCTAAAGCTGTTATATGCTCCGCATCCCATTGCCTCCCTGCACCCCGTCATCAAGTCAAATGTGGGCCAGCTGTGGATGTGGGAGGTTCCCAAGATGTTGCAGATCCTGGAGGGTGAGGGCTTGTTTGAAAGGGAGGAGAAGTGGGGCTGGGCTGTGGGGCTGACTGTGGAAGGGATGGAGTTCCAAGCTGAGGGATGAATCTTCCTCTGGGTGAGGAGGGGAGCAGCCTCTCTGTCCCTCTGGAACGTCATCTGGGTGGATCTGCTCATGTGGGCCACACTCCATGCTGGGCAGACATGCAGTCCAGAGTCCTGTGGCTCCCGTCTCTTCTTGTGGGTGGAGGACCCCGGAAGAGTGTGGGCTTTGAACCAGACGCACCCGTGTCTGGCCCCTGCCTATCCCTTGGCCTCTGGCATCCCTCTCTATAATATGAAGTCCCCTCTCCTCAGTGGCATTCCTGGGCTCTGCTCTCTGGTCACACCTCTGTCTCATCCCAGATCTTAGGAAGTTCCTGTCGCTCTCTGAGCTGGATAGTAGAACAAAGCTGCTTCTCACCTGCTACTGGAGCATGCTCTGCCTGCCCCCGTCAGAGGTGATGCAGAAGGAGGAGTCCAGATCCACAGAGGGACAGGCCAGTGTGGTAAAGAGCTCTTTGAAGGCTGTCAACTGTTGTTGTTTTTGAGAGGGTGGGAGGCTGTAGGCTTGGAAGTTTTATGTAAGGCCCTCTTGTCATCTCTAAGAAAAACAAAAAGGAAGGCCTCATCAGAGGAAGGGCTGCTAGGTGAGGCAGCCTCTCCTCCACCCAGGAGATTATCATTCTTCCACGGGGCACTCATTGATGATCACTGTGCCCCTGGAATATCTGGCCCAAAGGTGGACACTGACTCCCTCCCTTTATTTATTTCGTTATTATTATTATTATTATTATTATTATTATTATTATTATTTTTGAGATGGAGTCTTGCTCTGTTGCCCAGGCTGGAGTGCAGTGGCGTGATCTCGGCTCACTGCAACCTCTGCCTCCTGGGTTCAAGTGATTCTCCTGCCTCAGCCTCCTGAGTAGCTGGGATTACAGGCATGTGCCACCACACCCAGCTAATTTTTTGTATTTTTAGTAGAGACGGGGTTTCACCATGTTGGCCAGGATGGTCTGGATCTCCTGACCTCGTGATCCTCCCACCTTGGCCTCCCAGAGTGCTGGGATTACAGGTGTGAGCCACCGTGCCCGGCTGACTCGCTCCCTTTATAGCTGTCATACAGCTGAATCCAGGCTGGAAGGTACAGACATGACTTTCCTCAAGGCCCATGGGTGAGCCACTGCAGGGAACCCAGGGGTAGGAGACTGAGTCCCTTTCCTGCAGGGCCACCAGGGTTTCCTGGAGGGAGGGCAGGGGGTTCGTGTCTTCATCTGCATTCTTCTGTTTTCCTCCTAGGAACTCTTTCCTGCTCTCTGAGTATTCCTTTATCTTGACTGGTTGTTCCATTTTATTGATGCTATAGTTGCTTGGATTTCTTTGAGGATATTAAGAAGAATTTTTTGAAACAAGGGAGGGCAGGGTTTGTGTGTTCATCTGCATTCTTCTGTTTTCCTCCTAGGAACTCTTTCCTGCTCTCTGAGTATTCCTTTATCTTGACTGGTTGTTCCATTTTATTGATGCTATAGTTGCTTGGATTTCTTTGAGGATATTAAGAAGAATTTTTTGAAACAGAATGTTCTACTGTTTATGAAAGAGTTTGGTTTCTTCAGGGACTGTTGGCTTCGTGTGGTTCTGGTGGTGGTGGGTGGGCGTTTGACAGGGCTTCCTCGTATTTGGGGCAGGCTGGGAATCCTGGCTGCCCAGCAAGATTGGCTTTAATCTGGAGTTGGGTTTCTTTTGAGGACTTCGTTCTGCAGAGTGTGGTCTTTCCTTTTCTTTCACGCTTCTTGCCATTATTCGGGCCCACAAGTATCTTGTAGGAGACCTTCCAGGCATATCGCCTACTTTCTTGATAAGGTTTTGGTTTAAAGGCAAATACTCACTTTTTCTGGGCAGGTCCACATTATTCATGAAAGGGCAAGCGGGAGAAATGCCCTGTCCTGGCGTTTGTGATTGCCCTGCAGATGGCCAGGCCGGCCTTCTTTCTTCCCTGGTGCCAGGGACCTCCTAGTCATCGCTACTGACCCAAGCAGCACGCACCAGGAGCAGAGCCCCAGAATGAGCACAGCCTAGGGTGTGGGGAGCGCAGGGCTGGGGGAATCTGTCAGGGAAGTCTCAACCCAGTAGGATGAGCTATATCCCAAGCAGACATTTGTGCTTTTGTGCAAAAAACAGAGGACTCCATTCAAGTTCACAGCAGGAAGGCAGCACTTGGAAATGTATGGGACAAGTTGCAGGGCAGAATTTAGCAGGGAAGCCTTCCTGGGGGAGAGAAAGAGCCCAGCAGAGTTTAGGAGGAGGAAGGGGCAGTATTGAGGCAATACTCTGAGTCCCTCTTTCCTCCTCAGTCACTGTTCAGGAAGTCCCCACGGTCTCTCTGCAGGCTCGTGGGAGCTCCCAGAACTGAGACACACTGATCCAGGCCTGCTTGGAGGTCAGTGGGATAAGGCCCTTGAAAGTCGGTGTATTGGGTTCCTAGGGTTCTCATAATAACACGCCATAGCTGGCTGGCTTTAAACATCAGGTGTTTATTGTCTCAGTTGTGAAGACTAGAAGTTCAAAGTCAAGGTGTTGTCAGGGTGAGTCCTACTGGAGGTTCTGAGGCAGATCAGCTCCATGGCTCTCTCCTGGCTTCTGCTAGTTCCTGGCACCCTCTGTTCCGGGCCTTGTAGACACATCACTCAAAGCTCTGCCTCCATTTGCACAGGGCACATTCTCGTGTGTGTGTGTCTGTGATGTGTGTGATGTGTGTGTGTGTTCTCTTCCTAATAAGGACAGCAGTTATTGTACTAGGTAGGGCCCACTCTAATCCACTGTGAGCTCCCCTTACCTTGATCTCATCTGCAAAGACCCTCTTTCCAAACAAGGTCACCTTCTGGGGTTTAGGTCGACATGAATTTTGTCAACCCTGTAGAGCTGAGAACAGAGCAGTCAAGGGCGGGAAAAGAGATCAACCTGAGGATGAAGCTTGGGCACAGAACTTTGAGAGAAGTGTTATCAGGGTTAGGGTCTAAGCAATGTTGGTCTGCTCCCTTGGAGGAGAATTTTCCCTTCTTCCTTCTGCTCTTTAGCTAGGGCTGTGGCCACCTCCTCTCTGCTCCCTCCAAGGAATTAAAGGTTAGAAGCATGGGCTCTGCACTTCCCTACCCTGCAGGTCCAGAGCCTGGTTCTCCTGTTAGCTGTGTGGCCTTGGGGACTTATGCCACTTCTCCCTACTCCAATTTCTCTGGGAAAATGGGAGAACAGTAGTACCTGGTTTATGCAGCTGTTCTGCAACTGAGTGAGACAATGTTTATAAAGTACTTGGCTCAAAGGGTTGAAGTTCAGGTTCAGGCAGTTTGCCTATGTTTAAATTGGCTTGGCTGTGTTTTTAGAGATTTGGCTCACTTTATGCTAAGGTCAATGTGATATTCTGGCCTTCTCTTGATTACCCTGTTCCCCACTTACCACATGAAGCTTCAGTTTTCTTTGCAGTTCTTTTGTTGTCAGAATTGAGATCACTCAGGGTTACAGACAGAGTATTTTGTTCAGAAGTTACTGAGGTAATCGTTTTCTGTGTGGTTACAGCATGAAATTGATATAATTTAGATTTTAAAATTGGTGTTAAATTTTAGAATTTCTGTTCTCCTTTCTTAATAGAAGATATTGGTGATGTAAAGATTTACATAATTAAAAAGTTACAACTACAGTTGTACTCAGAGTAGTTTTGCTCCTATCTGGATCCTCTTAACCTGTTCCTCAGTCACCCCTAGGGAGAACCATATTCATTGGCTTCTGATTTGTCCTTGCCATTTTTATTGTGGAAAGAAGCAAATGTGTGTTTCTGGTACATTCTGATTTCCCTTTTTTTCTCACACAGTAGGTAGTGCAGTCTCTCCAAGTGCTCTGAATCTTGCTTTTATCACTTATGCACACCAGGTGGCAAATATATTCCTTATTTTTTATTGTTGCATACATGGTGTGGATGGACTCTAGTTTATTTGATCAGTCCCCTATGGATGGGCATTGGGCTGACTCTAATCAATGATCATGTTGCTACTATCTGCTAGTTCTCTTCTTAACTTTTTTTTGGATATAATTGTGGATTCACAGTTAGTTGCAAAAGTAGTAGAGAGAAAACCAGGGCATTGGCATCGGTTGGCTATTGTTAAGACTACGGACCTTGTTAGACTATGGACCTTATGCAGCTTTCAGTGTCTGTATGCGCTGTGTGTGTATTCTACGCAAGGTGATCTCATGTGTAGTATCTTGTAACCATCTCCACCCCTGCCATTGCCATAGAACTGTCTCGTCACCGAGTGGAACTCACCTCCCTTGTGATTCTCCTTTTGAGACTCATCCCCACACATTGCCCGTGTGTCCTTGGCAGCCACAAATCCCTTCTCTGTTCTCCTCCATCTCTAGTTTTGTCATATGGAGGATGTTATGTACATGGAAGCGTGTAGTGTGTAACCTTCTGTAAGACTGGCCTTTTTCACCAAGCTTCCTGCTCTTATGATCCTCCACGCCGTTGCCTGTATCAGTAGTTTATTTATTTTTACTCTTGTGTGGATATCCTAGAGTTTGTTGACTCCTTCACCATTGAAAGATATTTGGGTGGTTTCCACTGTGAGGAATAAAGTTCTTAGGAACATGCATGTACAGGTTTTTGTGAACCTGAATTTTCATTCTTTGGGGTAAATGCCAAAGAGTACAATTGCTGAGTCACATGGGAAGTCCATGTTTGTTTGTTTGTTTGTTTGTTTTTTGAGATGGAGTCTCGCTCTGTCACCCAGGCTGGAGTGCGGTGGCACGATCTCGGCTCACTGCAAGCTCCGCCTCCCGGGTTCACGCCATTCTCCTGCCTCAGCCTCTCCGAGTAGCTGGGACTACAGGCGCGCGCCACCATGCCTGGCTAATTTTTTGTATTTTTAGTAGAGATGGGGTTTCACTGTGGTCTCGATCTCCTGACCTCGTGATCTGCCCGCCTCGGCCTCCCAAAGTGCTGGGATTACAAGCGTGAGCCACCGCGCCCGGCCCATGTTTGGTTTTTTAAGAAACTGCCAAATTCTTCTCTAAAGTGGCCGTACCATTTTTCAGTCACACAGCGATGTATGAGATGTTCAGTTTTCTTGCATTCCTGCTAGCACTTGGTTGTTATTTTTTTTTTATCTTATTCAGTCTAACAGGCATAGTGATAGCTCATTGTGGTTTTATTTTGCATTTCTCTAATGGCCAGTGGTGCTGACCATATTTACATGTGCACATTTTCTGTTCAGCTACTGTGTTTGGTGAAATGTCTGTCCATGTCTTTTGTCTGATTTCTCATGGGATTTTTTTTAAATGTGTTGAGTTTTGAGAGTTCTTCCTAGATTCCAGATACAAGTCCTTTGTCAGATACGTGGTTGCGGTTATTTTCAATCGGTCTGTAGCGTGTCTTTTCATCCTCTTAATAAGACCCTTCACAGAGCAAAAGGCCTACATTTTCATGAAGTCCACTTTATCAGTTTTTATTTCTATGAATTGTTATTTTGGTGTCATCTCTAAGAACTAGGTGTTAACTATTTCCATGTTTTTCCTTACTCACTAGAGTCTTCTTTCTACATTAGGGGAAAAGGAGGTGCCTCTGCTACTCTTCCTACCCAAAGCACTGGACCCCCAGAAGCTGCATGCTGTGCTGGCCTGGCTGCCGCTCTCCCCATACTCCCCAAGCGGGGGGGCCTGGTCCCCCCTCCCACCACCTCCAGCTACACTTTCCTTTCTTAAAAAACCTAAAAGGCTAGTCCTCCTTCACTCTAAAGTTCTTTCAGGAATGCTTCTGAAACAGCATGTCTCAAACTTCGGCGAATTCCACCCAGAGTCATAAAGACGTTTCACGAGGAGACCCCCTAGATACATACATCTTTGGCAATTCAGCAAGTGTGTCACAGCACAGCACTTACCTTTGTGGCATTTGATGTACACTGATAGTTTTTATTACGCTATGCTGTGCTGTACTATTCTTTTCAGAGCCAGTCATAGCTGACCAAATGGATGTCACCACCTTCTAATGGATCTAGGTTTGCAGCTAAAATGCTCCAAAAATTCCAGCAAGGACAAAAAAGTCTCAGGCCTAGATTTGCCACCAGTGCCGTCTTCTGGGCAGCTTTATTATAAGTAATGTCATGAAACACTTGTCAATATATGTATGTGTGCACTGAGTCTCACCAGAAAATATACTTACCGTCTGTTGGTTATAGCCTAAAAAGTTTAAGAAACTATGTTTAGAAATTTTCCTTGTCAGGAAAGGCCAAACTAAAAAGGGCATTGTGTGCGTGTGTGTGTTTGTGTGTGTGTGTGTGTGTGTGTGCATGTGTGTGTTGGGGGCTCCCGTTCCTCTAAGACGATGACAGAGGCTGTGCAGGTGTTTTCTATGTGATCTCCTCTCCTCCCGCAAATTATTCCCAGAGGAGGGATCTCAGGGACCTGCCTCTGCCTCCCCAGACATGTTCCCACATTTGGGTCAGCCTGGGCAGAGGGCAGAAAAGCTCACATATCTGTGTGGCGAGCAGGCTGGGCTCACTGCAGGCCTCCCTGTCATCATTCATCTTCACTTCACAGGTCTCATCCTGAGACATCTCCTCCTGACCCACCATGGCTGCCTGGCTCTCCCGGGAGTGGCACCTACAATGTTCAAGATAGAGAAAAACATCAAGACCTGCCAGCCAGCCCTTCTCCCCTTCCCTCAGCAAGTAAAGCATCACACACGCACATATACGTACACACAGAAACACATGCACACACAAGCATAGACGCACACACACAGGTGCACACGCACGTGAACATGCATGCAGTTGCTGTGGGCTCATACTCTTGTGAGAGCCATTGAAGCCGTGGAGCCATTGAAGTGTTGAGATCGGGGTGAGGGTTGCATGTGAGAGGGCATTTGGTATAGATCCAAGGAGATCTGAGTCCTGACCCTAATTCACTTACCGTCTGGTCCAAGTCACTTAGCCCAACACATGCCTCAGTTTCCCTTTCTATGAAATTGGAGTGACATATGCCCTGCCTGACTCAGAGGCTTGTTGTGAGTCACAAATAAAGCAACAGATGAGACGGTGCTCTGAGGGTTGAAAGAGCCAGCTTTGACGGAGGGTCCTGAGTCCATAAAGGGCAGAATGGGCCCATGAAGAGGCTGCTCCCCGCCAACCCACAGCTGTGACAGCTGGGCCTTTGGCATTTGTTTGGCTGTAGCCGAGGTGTCCCTGGCATCCTACTTTGATGATGCCCTTGATTCTGAATCTGGATCCCTGGAGTAAAGACCCAGAGAGGAAGCCTCACCTAGAGGGGTTTGCTTTCCTGAGCAGAGGGCACTGAGCCTGAGTCCCTGCTAAGCCTGAATCCCTCCTGAGCTCCAGACCCTCCCACACCAGGGCGTGGATTTCCCTGCTGGGACAGGGTCTTCTGCTCACCGGGTTGTGTCTTCTTTAGCTCTGGACCATGAACTCTTCCTTTTCCTGTCTGAGCTCAGCTCAGTGCCTCCCTCCATCTTTATCCTCAGACCCCAGAGGGCATCAACATTGGGAAAAGATCCCAGTTCATCCTTTCGGAGCTGAGCACTAGTCAGTGCCCTGTCTCTGAGCATCTCAGGCAGGGTAGGGGCAGTTTTGTCTCAGGGAGGCCTACAGATCACTACTGGCCCCGCAGTGGGAAGGAAAGATGAGAGGTGGGAGCTCCAGAAGGATTGGGAGGGGAGGGAGGTGGAGTGGGCTTTGGCGAGGCACGTGGGGGAGGGGCTGGAGACGCAGAGCAGCAGCAGGCAGGCAACAGCACTTCTGGGGGCCACAGGGCACAGGACATGCTGGTCCATCCTCAGCACAAGCAATACTGGCACTGGAGCTGCCCTTAGCCTTGAGCTGCGACACAGAGGACAAGGCCTGGGAGCTGGGATGTGGGCTATGCTCCTCTTCTTCACCAAGCTGAAGCTTGGCTCCTTGTGTTGTTTGTACCATCTGCAGTGGGCAGAGGGAACCGACATTTCATGAGCACTGACTGGGTGCTGGGCACTGTGCCGGGTACTTTGCATGTATTTTGCTCTGTGGAGAGATGTATCTGTGGGGCAAGGAAATCCCCTGGGACCTCTCCCCTAGCTCCTCTAAACCTCCCTCTCCCCTTATGTCACAGAGAACAAAGCTTCACATGAAAATGCCCTTAGAGGGCAGGGACTTAATTCACCCTGAGATGCTAAAGACGGACATGGAGCCCTCCTTAAGCAGAAGCTTCATGAGGCCAGAGGGGAGAAGGGGTGTGGGGACTCAGCACATCCTCAAATTTGGCTAATTAAACCTGGAATTGATTGAGACATGTCTCAGTCACTCTTCTTAACAAGGTCAACCGAGGCACAACACCAAAGTCCACCTTTCGTGCCCACTTTTAAATAACAAAGGAAATTACAAAATATTTTGCGCTGAATGAAAATGAAAACAAAATTTGTGAGCTCCAGCAAAAGCAGTGCTTGGTAGGAACTTTACAGCTCTAAGTGCTTAAATTAATAAAGAAGAAAAGTCTAAAATTAATACTCTAAGTTTCCACCTTAGAAACCTAGTTTAGTTTCCATTTGCAGCTGTAATAAATTACCACAAACACAGTGACCCAAAACTACACAGATTTAGTATCTTACAGTTTCAGAAGCCAAGAGTCTAAACTGGGCTTCATCTGGCTGAAATAGAGGTATTGACAGCACTGTGCTCCTTCTGCAGGCTCCAGGGGAGAATCTGTTTCCGTCCTTTCCCAGCATCCTCCGGCTGCCAGCATTCCTTGGCTTCTGGCTCGCAGCAGCAATCACATCACTCCGACCTCTGCTTCTCTGGTCACATCCCATCTCTGGCTTGTTTTTTTTTTTTTAATTTTTTACTTCCATAGGTTTTGGGGGAACAGGTGGTATTTGGTTACATGAGTAAGGTCTTTAGTGGCGATTTGTGAGATTCTGATGCATCCATCACCCAAGCAGTATACACTGAACCCAATTTGTAGTCTTTTGTCCATCATCCCCTCCCACCCTTTCCCCCTGAGCCCCTGAAGTCCATTTTATCCTTCTTATGCCTCTGCATCCTCTTAACTTAGCTCCCACTTAGGAGTGAGAACATACGATGTTTGGTTTTCCATTCCTGAGTTACTTCACTTAGAATAATAGTCTCCAGTTCCATCCAGTTGCTGTGGATGCCATTAATTCATTCCTGTTTATGGCTGAGTAGTATTCCATCATACATATACCACAGTTTTTTTTATCCACTCATTGATTGAGGGGCATTTGGACTGGCTCCACATTTTTGCAATTGCGAATTGCGCTGCTATAAACATGCGTGTGCAAGTATCTTTTTCATATGATGACTTATTTTCTTCTGGGTATATATCCCTTAGTGGGATTGATGGATCAAATGACAGTTCTACTTTTAGTTCTTTAAGGAATTTCCTCACTGCTTTCAATCATGGTTGTACTAGTTTACATTCCCACCAGCAGTTAGAAATTTTCCCTTTTCACTGCATCCATGCCAACATCTATTACTTTTGGATTTTTTGATAATGGCCATTCTTATAGGAGTAAGGTGGTATCACACTGTGATTTTGATTTGCATTTCCCTGATCGTTAGTGATGTTACTCGTGTTCTCATGTTTGTTGGCCATTTGTATATCTTCTTTTGAGAATTGTCTATTCATGTCCTTAGCTCACTTTTTGATGGGATTGTTTGCTTTTTTCTTGCTAATTTGTTTGTGTTCCTTGTAGATTCTGGATATTAGTCTTTTGTTGGATGTATAGATTGTGAAGATTTTCTCCCACTCTGGATTGTCTTTTTACTCTGCTGATTGTTTCTTTTGCCGTGCAAAAGTTTTTTAGTTTAAGTAAGTCCCACCTGTTTCTCTTTGTTTTTGTTGCATTTGCTTTTGGGTTCTTGGTCATGAAATCTTTGCCTAAGCCAATGTCTAGAAGGGTTTTTCCAGTGTTATCTTCTAAAATTTTTATTTTTTCAGGTCTTAGATTTAAGTCCTTGATCCATCTTGAGTGGATTTTTGTGTAAGGTGAGGGATGAGGATCCAGTTTTATTCTCCTACATGTGGCTTGCCAATTATCCCAGCATCATTTGTTGAATAGGCCCTGCCTCCCTCTTACAAAGACTTGTGATTACTTTGGATCCACCCATATAATCCAGGATGAACTTCTCATCTCCAGACCTTTACTTTAATAACATTTTTAAAGTCCCTTTTGTCATGTACAGTAACACATTTATAGGTTCAGGGGACAAAGATATGGGCATCCTTGGGAGGTCATTCTGCCTACCAGAGAGGCAAATACCAAAATGGATAGACAAAGAAATAGAATACCTGAATAGTCCTGTACCTATTAAAAAACCTGAACGTGTAGTTTAAAAATCTTCCCACAAATAGACCTCTGGGCAGACATGGCTTCGTTCTGTCAAACACTTAAGAAAGAAATGAACCTTAACTCTTCACATTGAACACAAAAGTTAACGTGGAATGGATCATAGACCTAAACTTGAAAGCAAAAACTATAAAACCTCCAGCAAAACAAACAAACAAACAAACAAGAGAGCATGCTTATAACCCTGAATAGGCAAAGAATTTTTGATAGGACACAAAAAGCATGAAGCATAGAATAAAAATCAGTATATTTTCCATCAAAATAAAAATCTTTGCTCTTCAACAGATATTAAGACAATGAAAAGGAAAACCACAGGCTGGAAGAAAATATTTGCCATACATACATCTGACAAAGACTGCTTTCCAGAATGTAGTAAAAAGTCTTATGATATAGTTTAAATATTTGGCCCCGCCCAAATTTCATGTTGCATTGTAATCCCCAGTGTTGGAGGTGGGGCCTGATAGGGTGTTTGAGTCTTGGGGGCGGTTCCCTTGTGGCTTGGTGCTGTCTTCAGGATGGTGATGAGTTCCTGTGAGATCTGGTTGTTGAAATGTGTGTAGCACCTCCCCCCTCACTCTCTCTTGCTCCTGCCTTTGCCATTTGATGTGCTGACTCCCGCTTTGCCTTCCGCCATGAGTAAAAGTTCTGTGAGGCCTTTTCAGAAGGCACGCAGATGCTGGCACCATGCTTCCTGTACAGGTTGCAGAACCTTGCCAATTAAACCCCTTTTGTTTATAAATTGCCCAATCTCAAGTATTTCTTTATAGCAATACAAGAATGTCCTAACACATCTTACAACTCAAAAATAAGAAGGCAGACAATTCAATAGAAACAGTGGGCAAAGGAGATACACAAGTAAACAATAAAACACATGTGAAGATACTCAATGGTGTTAGTCACCAGGAAAACACTTATTAAAACCATATTCATATGCAACTACTTGCCCACTCAAATGCATTAAATAAAAAAGGGATGAAAATACCAAATGTTAGCAAGGATTTGAAATACCTGACCCTGTCATATGTTGCTGGCAAGAATTAAAAATAGTACCATCGGCCGGGCGCAGTGGCTCACTCCTGAAATTCCAGCACTTTGGGAGCCAGGTGGATAACCTGAGGTCAGGAGTTCGAGACGAGCCTGGCCAACATGACGAAATCCCATCTCTACTAAAAATACAAAAATTAGCGGGGCTTGGTGGCAGGCTTCTGTAATCCCTGCCACTTGGAAGGCTGCGGCAGGAGAATCGCTTGAATCCGGGAGATGGAGGTTGCAGTGAGCTGAGATCGCGCCACTGCATTCCAGCTTGGGTGACAGAGCAAGACCCTGTCTCAAAAAAAAAAAAAAAAAAAAGTACCATCACTTTGGAAAACAGTTTGGCAGTGTCTTATTCAGTTAAATACATATTTTTATGTAATCCAGCAATTTCAGTTCTATAATTTTAGTCTTGATAAAACAGATGAAATATGTCCACACAAAGACTTGTCCATTAATAATCACAGCCAAGGCTGGGCGTGGTGGCTCACACCTGTAATCCCAGCACTTTGGGAGTCCAAGGCAGGTGGATCACTTGAGGTCAGGAGTTTGAGACCAGCCTGGCCAACTTGGCAAAACCCCATCTCTACTCAAAATTCAAAAATTACCCAGGTGTGGCGGCGCATGCCTGTAATCCCAGCTATTCAGGAGGCTGAGGCAAGAGAAACACTTGAACCCGGGATGTGGAGGTTGCAGTGAGCCGAGATCGCACCACTGCAGTACATCCAGCGTGACAGAGCAAGACTTTGGCTCAAAAAAAAAAAAAAAAAATCACAGCCACTTTATTAAAAATAACCAGAACTTGGAAACAACCAAAATGTTCATCAACAGGTGAATACATAAGTGATGGTATATCTATTGTGAATACGACTCAAAAATAAAAGGAACAAACGAGAGATTCCCATAACAGAATGATTAAGCCTCAAAAGCACTATGCTGAGCAAAAAAGAAAGACATGAAGTAGTACATGCTGTATGATTTCCATTTATGTGAAATTCCATAAGAGGCACAAATAACATATATTGATGGAAAGCAGATCAGTGGTTAACTGGTGCTGAGGAGGGGAGGATTGACTGCAATGGGGCATGAGGTTACTTTTTGCAATAATGGAAATTTTGATTGTAGTGGTGACTACGGAGATGTATATATTTGTCAAAATTCATTGAACTGTGCAATCAAGATGAGTGCCTATTACTGGATATAAATTGTAAGTCAGTAAAGTTGATTTTTAAAAAATAACAGCAAGAAGTTAAAAAATGAAAGTTCTTGGTCCTCATTCTTAGTGATTCCAATACAGCAGGACTGATACAGGGCCCAGAAATTTGCATTTTCAGCAACCCCCATGTATAATTATGCTGCAGGCTGTTTCACTTATAGTATTTGTCTCTATCAGCACACAATCCTGGGCAACAAACCAAATAGGCAAGCAAAGAAAGTTCAGAAGAAAAGAGTTTGAGGTTTTGTGTGTCCTAGTTCCATCCCCCAACCTCCATTCTTTAGATGGAATGCTGGTCACTACCAAAGCATCCTCCAGGGTGCTGTTTCCCCCAACCGTGGGCTCAGCTGTGGATAAGCTTCCTTCATTCATTCTTTACAAAAGGAATTTTGCTAAGAAGGTACATGGGATAGAAGCAAAATAAAAACACATCAGAACTGCAGAGAAGTCATTGTATTTTCATAGCACGAATAACTTCCTATAAGGTCATGCAAGTCTGGCACTAGAAGGGGTTGGGTGGCCCAGCTCATTGGGCACATGGTACCCACAAATATGCCTATCCTGGAAGAGCAGGAGGTCAACAGGAGCCTGATGGGCCACCTGTGTAAAGAATGCAACAGCATAACAACAAATATGCTAACACCCACATCCCAGCCTTCTTCCTACCCTGCTCCTATAAAAGGGAAGAGAGGGTAATTTCCCTGCCAAATTAGATTAAACCATACTGCTCTGTTTCTGTTTGTTAGTCTTTTCCTGCTATCTGCTGTATCTTCCCCATCTGTGGCCCACTGTTGTCTCTACCTGTTGAAATCCTTCTCATTCTTCATGGTCCAGCTTGAATAACACCTCCATCAAACCTTATCAGATCATCATAGTCAAATGAAGCCTCTCCCTCCCTTAAGCCCTGTGGCACTTGGCTTGAAGAGCTCTTACAGAGATCTTGACTTATATTTTACTGATTCATGTGCATGACATATCTACTCTACTATACTGGAATCAATTAGATTACAGAAACAATAATTTCTTATCTATGCCTGGTGGAGATCCTAGTACATTACTTTGCACATATGCATCTGTCAGGTACTTTACATAAAATTATTATAGAAATGAATGATTTGGTTGATGCTGATTAGTATCTCTGAGCTTTTGCTCATGCTGCCCTTCCTTTCTGGAAAACTTTTCTCACTTTAAGAGTCACTTCCTCCTGTAGTTCATAAATGTTTGTCAAATAGAATGATTTATTCAGAAGTTTCTGGAAGAATTAGCCCTTGCTACAGAGGGCCTGGTTTATTTAGTTTGTGTTCCTAGTAGAAACAGCCAAAACCGTCCTGAGGTCTCACTCCCAGAGAAAACCCAGCATGAACAGTCTTCCCACCCCAAGTTTTATCATGGCTGAAGGAAGGAGCAGGACCAGATGCTCTTTAAGGTCGCTTAGAGCTCCAGGATCCTTGTGTTCCAGGGAATTCCCCAGAACAATAGATTGCTGCGAGCAAGAGGCGAGTGTGGGCTCTCCTCAGCGGGTCTCTAGATGGATTCCAGCCGCTGGAAGGCCTGGGCCTGGGAAAAGAATTTGCGCCCCTTCAGGGACCCACGCCTTCCTCTTCTCCAGCTCATTTCTCTCTTTCTTTGCCCCCACCTTCCCCTTTTCTTCTTCCTCTCTGCCAGCTTCTCCCCTTCTCTTCCTTTTTTTTCTGCTTCTCTTCTCCTACCGGCCCCACCGCACCTTCCCTGTATCACCTCTTCCCCTTCGCCTACTTTCCCGTCTTGCCAGTCAGATTCACCCTCCTTCTCGGGTCGCCTGCGTTATCCTGCTTCCCTCCCACGCCCCGACACAGGCTCCCTCTCGCTGGCCTCCTCCCTCTCCTCTCTGCCCAGCGGGAGGCAGAGCCTCCTCTGGACACCAAGAGACAGGAAGGGGTGCTCTGGGCCGCGGCCTCTCCCCGTGGTGAGTGTGTGACAATCGGGGTGGCGGTGACGCGGCGCTGGCGGCGGGAGGGAGGCTGGGCCCGTGGGAGAGGACCGCTGGGCTGCTGGGTTCCCGCGCCCTCGCGCTCCCAGGCGCCAGCCCAGGGGCAGGCAGGGCGCAGGCGGCGGTGGGTGGCATCGAGAGCCTGCTGGAAAACCCGGTGCGCGCCGTGCTGTACCTCAAGGGCTCTGGGCCATCCATCGTGCAGAACCAGCAGAGCCTCGTCCACATCCAGCGCCAGCGCATCGACGAGCAGGAGCGGCGGCTGGATGAGCTGAGCGCGGAGAACCGCAGCCTGTGGGAGCACCAGCAGCAGCTGCTGCAAGCCCACCCTTGTGCCCGCCATCGTCGTTCCCGGTACTGGCCTTCTGGGCCACTGCTCTCACCGTTGCCACTGGGGGCCAGGAACCTCTCCAGGACCAGGGACAGCGCTCACCCGCCGCGCCACACCCCGCGCCCGAGCAGACGCCGCTTAAGCACCACGGACAGCTCCTGACGCAGCCCCAGCCTCCTGGCGGCCGGGCTCATACAGCCCAAGCGCCCCACCAGCTCCCGGGACACTTGGGGCCGCTACATACAAGTAGAAGGAGGGGTCACCGACTCTCCTGCAGCCCTTCTTCAGTACAAATGCCCCGCGCCCTCGGCAAGGGCGTCCTGAGCAGGAGACCTGAGTGAGCGGGGAGGAGCAGATGGGCACTGCTGTGGTGGGAGCCAGGGAAGAAAGTGGGTGTGAGAAGGAAACGGGGAAATAGAATGCGCAGGAGTCTAAAGGACCGGGGTGATGTGGCGTGAAGGGGTGAGAAGACGCTTGGGGACAAAAGCGTGACAGGAGATTTGGGGATGACGAAGGAACGATATCTGTGCTTGAGAAAGTTTTGGAGAATGTTGGAGCAAAAAAGGAGTAACCAGACCATCGGTAGGGGCAAAGGAGGAAATAAATGGGTTTTAAGCGACTGGGGACGTTGAGAACTGGCGGATTTAAAGGGGACTAGACTGTCAGGAAGTTTGAGTGAAGACTAAACTGAAGAAAAGAGAACCACTGAAAGATTTTTTTAAGTTAGGAAAAATTTGGAAGGAAGTTTGGGTAGTAAAAGTATTTGAATGGAGAGTGAGATATGAAAATATGGAGACTGGGAAAAAGGCATGTGAAGGGCTTTAACAGGGCTGGGGCCCAGGAAGAATGGTACTCGGGTACAGGGTAATTCAGGAGGCAGAGGACATAGCTGAAAAGCAGGAGTGATGTGGGAAAGCAGGGGAGCTGGAGGCAGGGGAAGAGAAAGTGTAGCTCTTTACATGTTGCAGTGGGCATCACAGCCAGGAGTGGCTCTTTAGGGGAAGCTTTCTCTGCTCTGACCAGAGGGGGCACCTTTCTTCTGAATTCCTGCAGAGCTGAAGCCATGCAAGGAAGCATCCCATCAGACTAATGGAGGACTCAGGTATAGCTTGAGGACTTGGTCTGGTTATAGCTTTTTCCTTCAACTCAAGAAGGATTTCCATGCAAGGTCATTGGCCATCATGGAAAGGGAATGATGATACAGGGGACAGTTGGCGGATGGAGTTGGTATTTGGATGACCTGACTGTTTAAATCTTCCTGTTAAGGCCAGCAGCTGCAAACCTGATTTCCTCTTGGTTATCTGCTGATCACTGAAATCTCATCTTGGGTCCTGAGAAAAATGTTAACTTCCCAGGACCTAGGGCCTAAAGCTCTTTCTTCATTCATGAGGTCTGTGAACTAGGCATATGGGAAGAAGACATGAAAGGGGCTGGCATGCACTCTCCTCTGTACTGGAAGGCTGTGGCTATGTCAGCTGTATTTCTCTGGTTAGACAGGTCATGGGGAACAAAAGGGAAGAACAGCTGGAGGAAATCACACCTGGTCAGCACCTGGCCTTGACAATGGTTATGCTAAAGGGGATTGGGAAGGGGAAAGTAGAGCTGGGAATCTCATCTTCATATAGTTTCATGTGTGTTTTAAGTCTGGGGGATACTTGTGAAGATTTCCTGTGTTCCATAAAAGCTAATTTTCTTCTTGCATCTGCTGTAGAGTTAGAGAAGTTGGGTTAGGGCATGTTAGCTCACAGGGTAGGTTGACCAGAAGCATGGAATCGAAGAGGTGATGATCTAACATGATCTGGCTTGGCAGACCTACAACATTCTATTCAGGCCCCCAAAAGACGCTGTTTTCTACCCCAACTTCCTCAATGGCCCATTTGCGCTTCCCTCAGTCTCACATTTTTGTTGTTTTGGTTGTTGTTATGTTTACTTGTCTGGCAAAAGCAGAAAAACAATTTTCCCTCAATGCTCAAGTCTCATCAAAAAGGAACATTTGGAGGTGCGCAGTGGCTCACACCTATAATCCCAGCAGTTTGGGAGGTTGAGGCAGGCAGATCATCTGAGATCAGGAGTTCAAGACCAGCCTGGCCAGCATGGTGAAAACCTGTCTCTAATAAAAATTAAAAAAAAATTATTTGCGGGCAAGATGGCTGAGTAAGAAGAGCTCTGGTCTGCAGCTCCCAATGAGATCAGCATAGAAGGCAGGTGATTTCTGCATTTCCAACTGAGGTACCCAGCTTATCTCATTGGGACTGGTTAGACAGTGGGTGCTGCCAACGGAGGGTGAACAGAAGCAGGGTGAGGCGTCACCTCACCTGGGAAGCTCAAGAGGCCGGAGAACTCCCTGCCCTAGCCAAGGGAAGCCGTGGGGGACTGTGTCTTCAGAAATGGTGTACTCCGGCCCAGATACTATGCCTTTCCCACAGTCTTCACAACCTGCCGACCAGGAGATTCCCTTGGGTGCCTACACCACCAGTACCCTGGCTTTCAAGCACAAAACTGGGTGACCATTTGGGCAGACACCGAGTTAGCTGCAGGAGTGTTTTTTCATACCCCAGTGGCTCCTGGAACACAAGCGAGACAGAACCGTTCACTTCCCTGGAAAGGGGGCTGAAGCCAGGGAGCCAAGTGGTCTAGCTTAGCAGATCCCACCTCCATGGAGACCAGCAGGCTAAGGTCCACTGGCTTGAAATTCTCACTGCCAGAACAGCAGTCTGAAGTCGACCTAGGATGCTTGAGCTTGGTGGGGGAGGGGTATCTGCCATTACTGAGGCTTGAGTAGGCAGTTTTCACCTCACAGGGCTTCCAGGAAGTTCGAATTGGGTGGAATTCACTGCAGTGTGGCAAAGCCACTGTAGCCGGACTGCCTCTCTAGATTCTTCCTCTCTGGGCAGGGCATCTTTGAAAGAAAGGCAGCAGCCCCAGTCAGGGGCTTATAGATAAAACTCCCATCTCCCTGGGACAGAGCACCTGGGGGGAGGAGTGGCTGTAGGCACAGCTTCAGCAGACTTAAATGTTCCTGCCTGCTGGCTCGGAAAAGAGCAGCGGATCTCCAAGCACAGCTCTAGAGTTCTACACAGTGTAAACAAAGCTTCCGGGAAGTTCGAACTGGGTGGAATCCACTGCAGCGCGGCGGAGGCAAGGAAACTAAGAACGCTGAAAAAAGGTTAGAGGATACCCCTCCCCCACCAAGCTCAAGCATCCCAGGTCGACTTCAGACTGCTGTTCTGGCAACGAGAATTTCAAGCCAGTGGACCTTAGCCTGCTGGGCTCCATGGAGGTGGGATCTGCTAAGCTAGACCACTTGGCTCCCTGGCTTCAGCCCCCTTTCCAGGGAAGTGAACGGTTCTGTCTCGCTTGCGTTCTGGGTGCCACTTGGGTAAGAAAAAAAACTCCTGCAGCTAACTCGATGTCTCTCCAAACAGCTGCCCAGTTTTGTGCTTCAAACCCTGGGCCCTGGTGGCGTAGGCACCCGAGGGAATCTCCTGCTCTGTGGGTTGCAAAGACGGTGGGAAAGGCACAGTATCTGGGCTGGAGTGCACTGTTCCTCAAGACACAGTCCCTCACTGCTTTCCTTGGCTAGGGGAGGTAGTTCCCTGACCCCTTGAGCTTCCTGGATGAGGCGATGCCCCACCCTACTTTGGCTGGCTGTCCGTGGGCTGCACTCACTGTCTAACCAGTCCCAATGAGATGAGCCAGGTACCTCAGTTGGAAATGCAGAAATCACCAGCCTTCTGCCTTGATGTCGCTGGGAGCTGCAAACCGGAGCTGTTTCTATTCTGCCATCTTGCCAGCCACCAGGAGCTGGTTTTTTGAAAAGGTTAACAAAATAGATAGATCACTAGCCAGACTAATAAAGAAGAAAAGAGAGAAGAATAAAAAAGACACAATAAAAAATGATAAAGGGGATATCACCAGTGATCCCACAGAAATACAAACTACCATCATATATTACTATAAAAATCTCTATGCAAATAAACTAGAAAATCTAGAAGAAATGGATAAATTCCTGGACGCATACGCCCTCCCAAGACTAAACCAGGAAGAAGTCTAATTCCTTCTGAAATTCTGAATATCAAGTTCTGAAATCGAGGCAGTAATTAATAGCCTACTAATCAAAAAAAGCCCAGGACCACAAGGATTCACAGCTGAATTCTACCAGAGGTACAAAGAGGAGCTGGTACCATTCCTTCTGAAACTATTCCAAACAATAGAAAAAGAGGGAATCCTCCCTAACTCATTTTATGAGGCCAGCATCATCCTGATACCAAAACCTGGCAGAGACACAACAAAAAAAAAAATTTCAGGCCAATATCCCTGATGAACATCGATGCAAAAATCCTCAATAAAATACTGGCAAACCGAATCCAGCAGGACATCAAAAAGCTTATCCACCAGGATCAAGTTGGCTTCATCCCTGGGATGCAAGGCTGGTTCAACATATGCAAATCAATAAACGTAATCCATCACATAGAGAGAACCAATGACAAAAGCCACATGATTATCTCAATAGATGCAGAAAAGGCCTTTGATAAAATTCAACATCCCTTCATGCTAAAAACTCTAAATAAACTAGGTATCGATGGAATGTATCTCAAAATAATTAAGAGCTATTTATGACAAACCCACAGCCAATATCATACTGAATGGGCAAAAACTGGAAGCATTCCCTCTGAAAACTGGCACAAGACAAGGATGCCCTCTCTCACCACTCCTTTTCAAGATAGTATGGGAAGTTCTGGCCAGGGCAATCAGGCAAGAGAAAGAAATAAAGGGTATTCAGATGGGAGGAAAGGAAGTCAAATTGTCTCTGTTTGCAGATGACATGATTCTATATTTAGAAACCCCCATCATCTCAGCCCAAAAACTTCTTAAGCTGATAAGCAACTTCAGCAAAATCTCTGCATACAAAATCAGGGTACAAAAATCAAGCATTCCTATACACCAATAATAGACAAACAGAGAGCCAAATCATGAGTGAATTCCCATTCACAATTGCTACAAAGAGAATAAAATATCTACGAATACAACTTACAAGGGATGTGAAGGACCTCTTCAAGGAGAACTACAAATCACTGCTCAAGGAAATAAGAGAGGACACAAACAAATGGGAAAACATTCCATGCTCATGGATAGGAGGAATCAATATCGTGAAAGTGGCCATACTGCCCAAAGTAATTTATAGACAATGCTATCCCCATCAAGCTACCATTGACTTTCTTCACAGAATTAGAAAAAACTACTTCAAATTTCATATGGAACCAAAAAAGAGCCCATATAGCCAAGACAATCCTAAGCAAAAAGAACAAAGCTAGAGGCATCATGCTACCCGACTTCAAATTATATTACAAGTCTACAGTAACCAAAACAGCATGGTACCGGTACCAAAACAGATATATAGACCAGTGGAACAGAACAGAGGCCTCAGAAGTAACATCATACATTTACAACCATCTGATCTTTGAGAAACCTGACAAAAACAAGAAATGGGGAAAGGATTCACTATTTAATAAATGATGTTGGGAAAACTGGCTAGCCCTATGCCGAAAACAGAAACTGGATCCCTTCCTTACACCTTATACAAAAATTAACTCAAGACTGATTAAAGACTTAAACTTAATACCTAAAACTATAAAAACCATAGAAGAAAACCTAGGCAATACCATTAAGGACATAGGCATGGGCAAAGACTTCATGACTAAAACACTAAAAGCAATGGCAACAAAAGCCAAAATTGACCAATGGGATCTAATTAAACTAAAGAGCTTCTGCACAGCAAAAGAAACTATCATCAGAGTGAACAAGAAACCTACAGAATGGGAGAAAATTTTTGCTATCTATCCATCTGACAAAGGGCTAATATCCAGAATCTACAAAGAACTTAAACAAATTTACAAGAAAAAAACAACCCCATCAAAAAGTGGGTGAAGAATATGAATAGACAGTTCTCAAAAGAAGACATTTATGTGGCCAACAAACATATGAAAAAAAGCTCATCATCACGGGCCATTAGATAAATGGAAATCAAAACCACAATGAGATACCATCTCACTCCAGTTAGAGTGGTGATCATTAAAAAGTCAGGAAACAACAGATGCTGGAGAGGATGTGGAGAAATAGGAACACTTTTACACTGTTGGTGGGAGTGTAAATTCGTTCAACCGTTGTGGAAAACAGTGTGGCGATTCCTCAAGGATCTAGAACCAGAAATACCATTTGACCCAGTAATCCCGTTACTGAGTATATACCCAAAGGATTATAAATCATTCTACTTTAAAGACACATGCACACGTATGTTTATTGCAGCACTATTCACAATAGCAAAGACTTGGAACCAACCCAAATGCCCATGTATGATAGACTGGATAAAGACAATGTGGCACATGTACACTTTAAAATACTATGTAGCCATAAAAAAGGATGAGTTAATGTCCTTTGCAGGGACATGGATGAAGCTGGAAGCCATCATTTTCAGCAAACTAACACAGGAACAAAAAACCAAACACCGCATGTTCTCACTCACAAGCGGGAGTTGAACAATGAGAACACATGGACACGGGGAGAGGAACATCACACACCGGGCCAGTCTGGGGGTGGGGGAGCTAAAGAAGGGATACCATTATGAGAAATACCTAATGTAGATGACAGGTTAATGGGTGCAGCAAACCACCATGGCATGTGTATACCTTTGTAACAAACCTGCACGTTCTGCACATGTATTCCAGAACTTAAAGTATAATAAAAAAAATAATAAAAAAATTAGCCAGGCATGGTGGAGCATGCCTGTAGTCCCAGCTACTCGGGAGGTTGAGATGGGAGAATTACTCAAACCCTGGAGGCAGAGGTTGTAGTGAGTGAGATCACACCACAGCACTCCAGCCTGGGCGTCAGAGTGAGATCTGTTAAAAAAAAAAAAAAAAAGAAAGAAAGAAAAGAAAAAGAACATTCTTCAAAGACGCTAAGTGGTCTTTTCCTTAAATAGGGAGAAAGAAATTTTCCTTCTTTGGGGTAAATGCCAAAGAGTACAATTGCTGAGTCACATGGCAAGTGTATGTTTGGTTTTATAAGAAACTGCCAAAATATTTTCCACAGTGGCTGTGGGAAGGGAAGGGAAGGGAAGGGAAGAAAGGGAAGGTCTAGTCACACAAATGGTGCATGAGCTGTCCAGTTTCTTAGCATTCTTGCTAGCATTTGGTGTTTTAATTTTTTTTTTTTTGATGTTATCCATTCTAACAGGCATAGCAATAGCTCATGTGGCTTGAATTTCCATTCCCCTAAGGGGCTAATGGTGCTGATCATATTTATATGTGTGCATGTGCTGTTCACATCCTTTCTTTGGTGAAATGTCTATTCATGTCTTTTGCCCATTTTCTCATGGGATTGTTTTTTTTTTTTTTTTTGAGACGGAGTCTCGCTCTGTCACCCAGGCTGGAGTGCAGTGCTGTGATCTTGGCTCACTGCAACGTCTGCCTCCCGGGTTCAAGTGATTCTCCTGCCTCAGCTTCCTGAGTAGCTGGGACTACAGGCGTGTGCCACCACATCTGGCTAATTTTTTGTATTTTTAGTAGAGACGGGGTTTCACCATGTTAGCCAGGATGGTCTAGATCTCCTGACCTCATGTTCCTCCCACCTTGGCCTCCCAAAGTGCTGGGATTACAGGCATGAGCCACCGCGCCCGGCCGAGATTGTTTTTTTTTAAAATGTGTTGAGTTTTGAGAGTTCTTCATGGATTCTGGATATAAGTCTTTTGTCTGCTATATGGCTTGCAGATGTTTTCACTCAGTCTGTAGCATGTCTTTTCATCCTCTTAATAGGATCCTTCACAGATCAAGAGTCCCACATTTTGATGAAGTCCATGTTATAAGTTTTTCCACATATGAATTGTTATTTTGGTGTCATGTCTAAGAACTAGATGTTGAATATTTCTCCTATGTTTTCTTCTAAAAGTTTTATAGTCTTGCATGTTACATTTAAATCTGTGACCCTTTGGAACTAATTTTGATATTAGGAGGAATTTCAGGTTGAGGTTCAAATTTTGCACATGAAAATTCCATTATTCCCATAGCATTTGTGGAAAAAATGCCCTTTCTCTATTGAGTTACTTTTGCACCTTTGTCAGAAATCACTTGGCCATATTTGTGTAGATTCATTTCTGTACTCTGTATTCTGTTCCATTGGTCTCTGTGTCCATTCCTTCAATAAACCACATGATTGTGATTACTCTTGCATTAAAGTAGGACTTAAAATACTGTAGCACAGTATTTTCATCTAAATGAAACTAAATTCATCTTTTTACCTTCACTTTTGCATATAAATTTAAAAATCAGTTTGTCTATATAGACAAAATATCCTATGCTAGGATTTTGATGGATTTGTATTTAAGTTACAGATCAATCTGGGGAGAATTGAAATTTTTACTATGTTGAATCTTCCCATCCGTGAATATCTCTTCATTTATTTAGACCTTCTTTGATTTTGTTTATAGCACTTTTTAAGTTTTCAGAGTAGACAATCTTGTATACCTAAGAATTTCATTTTTCAGAAGTATTATAAATGTAATTTTTGCAACATTTAAAATTTCCAGTTATTTATTGCTAGCATGTAAGTATTGAATTTAGTATTGCATGTGTTGACCTTGTATTATTTCTGGGTTTTCGTCTCCCCCAAGAAAGTCAATTTTTTACACAAGGAAGTCACTCTGGTTCTCCCTCCATGTTTGTCTACGCAGTGTCCACCCTTCCAGGTGTAGGCAATTCCCTTATCTAGAGCTCAACCCCAGCCCTTGGGCCTTAACGGTGTGTGTCCTGGGGAGGTGGTTCAAGCATCCCCCGTCAATGTAGAGATGTGGCAGAAACCCGTTCACCTGTTATATTGGTATCTGGCTCCAGAAAGAAACGTTTCATTGCTTTGACATAAAAATAAATTGATGAATGAAGTTAAACCCAGAAGAAGCTTCGCAAAGAGGCCGTGTAAGCATCTGCCCATGGGACTCCCTTCCACGCACCGTCTTTCTCACTAGGTGTTGGGGAGGACAGGGAGCTGGGGCTGGGGAGGGCAGTGGGAAGAGGGAGCTTTGCTTAGTTACAGGGAAAGGTGCCCCATTCCTGACAGTTGTAGGACTCTTCTTTCCCTCCTATCTTCCCCCTCAACCTCTTCAAATCGTAGCCTCTGGAGAACCTGGACTCTGGCGGCTGAGGCCTCCCTGGGAGTGAGGTTTGGGCTTCCCCGCCTGCCTTTGCACAGCAGCCTGTGTCAGGTGGCACCTGGACAGCCTGAGGGGAGGGACATCAGCAGAGGGGGGACAGGGCGGCAGACACCCCCACATCCCACCAGCTAGGCTGAGGTGGCTGGGACAACACCCCCAGATGGAACGAGTACTCTTCTCACCTTCCCAAATAGATCTTTGAGATGTCAGCGGCTCCACCACACTGGTCACTGTAGGTGAGTGAGCTGAACACGTCCCTCCATGAACTGGGAAGAGACACAGAGGGAGTCAAACTATGCCCTTTTCTTGCCTCCATTCTCCCAGTCCTCTCTGTGCTGACATTTGCCTCAGAGGCAGATCTTGTTTAAAAAACAAAATTGGCCCAGGCTCCATCAGCAAGTAGTTTCCTCCCTTGGGATTTAAAGAGGTCTTCTGGGAATCAGCAGGCCCCTTTTGTGGCCTCTTTGCTGAATTGTTTCTAAATATATTTTAATTATTCTAGGCCTCTAGGGACAGAGATGCCGTCATCCTCCTTTGCCACCTTTTCTATGATGGTTTGATGAGGTTAAAAACCCCGACGACCAGGGTTCCACTCTATCCTTCTCCTAAACATTTGTTCTATTTCTTTGCCTTTAGGAGTGGTGGGTGTGTATTGTCAGGCCTATTGTAAAGGATGGTGTAAAGTAACCATCCAAAGGTTGGTTACTTTACACGTCCCTTTGGATGACTTCTGTACATAGCACTCTTGCTATGAGTAATTCCTTTGTAGAAATAGGCTCTATGGAGAATTGTCTCCTTGGACCCTTCATGTAGCTCACGACTTTTATTATGGAAATAAATGAATAAAAGCCTGCAATTGTGGACAGACACAAATATGCTTGGACATGGCTATCTCTGATCTTGTGTGGCTCAAAATAACTTACAGAGTCTTCATTTTCAGAGTGTTCTCACCCAAAAAGGTACCAACTTGGGCATGGAAAGACCTGTTTCTCCTGGACTCCTGGACGTGCCAGCCATCGAGACAGGGAAGACCCACTGATGTCTTCAGGATTTGTCCATCACCCTGGGGACTGTCTGGCCTGCTGGCAGGTGACAGTGGCCTGTCCAAAAGTGTGAGCTACCTGATGATGAACCAGATGCAAGGGCAGGACTGTCTTCTGAGAGATGTCTCCCCCTCGGTCCTTCTGTCACTTCAGACATTCCAGGTGGAAGGAGGCTCTTTGACCTGCAAAGCCAGCCAGAGAGCCAGGATCAGGGCAGGAAAACAGGACGCTGGCCTGTGACAATTCACACTCTGGTGGGGTGCCAGGAGCAGTAACTATGGCCCGAGACACTCCTCCTTTCCCCTCCCCTCGTCTGAGACGTATTCTGGTGTCCAGGGCTCATCCCTGCACACCCTGCCTTTGGAATGTTGTCTCCTTGCTTTGGAAATGCCCCCACTGTGTGGGGCTGATTTGAGGCAGGCCACAACGATTTCCCAATCATCCCTGACCAGTGTTCTCTAGGGAGTAACCACCGACCACATCCAGAAAGCGAGCGGTGCATTTACCTAGTGAGGCAGAGCGGAGGAAACCCCTCTTTGGAGATTGCCGGATGTCCCTCTTGTCCTCCTCTGGGAGCATCAGTTGCCGATTTTTGTCATCCTGGTAGGAGAGCCTGGAACAGAGAGCTCATGGGGCTTGTTCCTGGAGGCTGAGAAGTGGCCACCCATAGGGGCAGCTGCACCCCCAGAAAGCACTTTGCTCTGATCCTTAGTGAAGGGACGCCCACTTTGTGCTTACATGCAGGTTTGGGGAAGTTGCCTACCCAAGAAGTTCTGGCCTGCCCCTGGCATCTTCCAGGCCTGCTCAGTGGGAATGGCCAGCTCCTCACCCGCAGCCTGTCTCATAAGCCTGCAGTTCTGACTTGGGGCAGTGAAGGCACTCTGGGGTCAAAGGTGTTGAGAAAGCGGAAAGAATCCTAGGCCCATGAAGTTCTTTTGGGGAATGGCCTTGGCTCCCGTGTTTGCATGAGCTGATGCTGTTTTCCCCAGTGACCCTCAACTTTCACCCAAACTTATGCCCGTCCCCCGATTTCTCCCGCCCTGCCACCCCCTCATCAGCAAGAGCACATAAGCAGCTGCCTACAACCACTCTACGGTCACTCAGTAGGTGAACAGCAGGGCTGTGAGGGACCTCATGGGGCATCTAGTCTATGGCTTCCAGGCCTTTGATGGAAACTCGATGAGAAGTAGATTTGACAGCTTCTCATCACGCACAGACACACCTGATGGAATGAAGCCTCATGCCCTTTGCTTACCCTCAGTGCATGCATTGCACCCTGGTGAGTCCCAGTCCACTTTAGTCTGTTCTATTTTTATTAAAATTTTGATTCACAATCTCTGCTGGGTCAGCCTGCAGTTCAAGAAGCACAGCTGCATTCCAACCTCATTCCCAGATGAGACCACTGACTTGCTGGTCCCTGGTGCCACCCTACACCTCTGAGGGTGACTCCATGCCTGCTCATGGCACAGCACAGAGACTTGGATGATTTATAGATGTGCAGGAAGGCTGGTAGAGTGCAGACCGCAGTATTTATACCTTCAAGACTTGCTCTTACTCTCAGCTAGCTAAGGCCTCCCTATTATATTTTCTTCTTATGCAAATCACCCCGGCTCTTGCAGATCCAGCTAGTATTTGACCCTGTGCATGGTACCTACTAAGGTCACCCTGCCCTCAACCTTCTCTGAATGCCTGTACCCTTCGGGGTTCCGCCACTCTAGGGCAATTAATGAGAAACTCTCTGTGTTATCTTCCTCTCCTGAGACCCTCTTAGTTTACTAGTTTGTGGGATCTCCTTAAGGCATGATTTAGCAGGTGCCTCGGTGCACCAAGCACTCTAGAAAACCAACATAGGTTAAATTATATGCTTTTCCTGATTTCTAGGGAAGGTGGTCAGGTATTAATTTGTATTCCCTAAAAATCAATTTAGAGACTGTTATCTCATAAGGAGCTTTGGGTATTTCCCTTTTTTATATTGACTGTGTTTCACTTAGTCAGAAAAGTAGAAGGTCTGTCACCCCCACCGCCCCATTTTGCTGATGGGGACATGAAGGCACAGGGCAGTTGAGTGATTTGTCAAGCGCCGCTGGTTGGGACTCTTTCCATGCTTTTCCTTACTCACTCGATTCTTCTTTCTATGCTGGGGAAAAAGAGGTGCTTCTGCTACTCTTCCCATCCAGTTCCTGAGGAGAAAGCACTGGACCCCAGGAAGCCGCATGCTGTGCTGGCCTGGCTGCCGCTCTCCCCACACTCCTCAGGGTGGGGCACCTGGTGTCCCCTCCCACCACCTCCAGCCACACCTTTCCTGTCTTCAAAAGTCTGCAAGGCTAGTCCTTCCTCACTCTGACATCTTTTCAGGAAAGCTTCTAAACACTGTGTCTCAAACTGCTGTAAATGCCACCCACAGTCATAAGACGTTTCACAAGGTGACCCCCAGATACACACATCTATTGGCAATGAAACAAGTGTTTCCCAACACAGTGCTTACCTTTGTGACATTTGATGCATTCTGATAGTTTCTGTTGTGCTGTGCTGCGCTATGCTATTCTTCTAAGGGTTAGTCATAACCGACCAAATGGATGTCACCACCTTCTAATGGATCTAGATCCGCAGCTAAAATCCTCCAAAAATTCCAGCAAGGACAAAAATCTCAGGCCTGGCTTTGCCACCAGTGCCCTCTTCTGGGCAGCTTTATTATAAGCAGTGTCTTGAAACACTTGTGTAATTGTCAATAGATGTATGTGTACACTGAATCTCACCAGAAAACATTTTTATGACTGTTGGTTACAGCCTAAAACGTTTAAGAAACAATGTTTAGGAATTTTTCTGGTCAGGAAAGCCCAAACTAAAAAGCATCGTGTGTGCGTGTGTGTGCGTGCGCGCGTGTGTGTGTGTGTGTGTGATGGGGGCTCCCGCTCCCCTAAGGAGATAACAGAGGCTGTGCAGATGTTTTCTCTGTGATCTCCTCTCCAGCAAATTATGCCCAGAGGAGGGATCTCAGGGACCTGCCCCTGCCTCCTCACATCTGTTCCCACACCAGGGCTTGGCTGGGAGAGGGCAGCTCACATCTCTGTGGAGAGCAGGCTGGGCTCACTGCAGGACTCCTATGTTGTGGGTTCATCTTCACTTCATAGGTTTTGTCCTGGGACCCAACCCCCCTCCTGACATGCCATGGCTGTCTGGCTTTCCTGGAAGTGACACCTACAATATCCAAGACGGAGAAAAACATCAGGAACTGCCAACACTTTTCCTCTTTCCTCAGTAAGCAATGCATTAAACATGCACACATGTGACATGCACACACACGTGCACATCTGCACACATGTGCACACACGTACACATCTGCACACATGCACACACGTGCACAGCTACACACATGCGAACAGGTACACACCTGCACACACGCATACACACATGCACACATGCACACATGTGCAAACACGCATACACACGTGCACATCTGTACACACGTGCACACCTGCACACATGCACACACGTGGACATCTACACACATGCACACACAGTACACATGTGCGCACACACCTGCACACATGCACACACACATACATGCACATCTGCACACATACACACATGCACACACACGTACATATCTGCACACACGCACACACGTGGACATCTGCACACACTCATACATACATGCACACATGCACACTCACATACACATCTGCACACATGCATACACACGTGCACATCTGCACACACATGCGGACATGCATGCAATTACTGTGGCCTTGTACTCCTGTGGTGGCTGATGAAGCCATGGATCCATGGAAGTGTTAAGATTAGGGTGAGGCCTCCATGTGGCAGGTTGTCTGGTGTGGAGCCAAGGAGATCTGAGTCCTGACCTCAATTCACTTATCCCTTGGTCCAAGTCACTTAGTGCACCCCTTGCCTTAGTTTCCCTTTATATGAAATTGAAGTGACATTTGTCCTGCCTGACCCAGAGGCCTATAGTGAGTCACAAATGAGGCGACAGACGAGACAGTGCTTTGAGACTGGGAAGAGACAGCTTTGACAGTGGGTCCTGGGCTGTGCCATAAAGGGCAGGGTGGGCCTGTGAGGAGGCTGCTGTCCCACCCCCAGCTGCAATAGCAGGGTCTTTGGGCATTTGTTTGACACAGCTGAGATGTCCCTGGCATCTTATTTTGATGGTGCCCTTGATTCTGACACCAGCTCCCTAGAGTAAAGGCACAGGCAGGAAGCTACCTAGAGGGGTTTGCAACTCTCCCACACCAGGACGTGCCTTTCCCTGCTGGGATAGGGTCTTCTGCTCACAGGGTTGTGTCTTCTTTAGCTCTGGGCCACAAGATCTTCCTTTTCCCATCTGTGCTCAGCTCAGTGCCTCCCTCTGTCTTGCTTCTGACCCACTTTACCCTCAGACCCCTGAGGGCATCAGGGAAATATCCTGGTCCATCCTCTCAGAGCTGAAAGCTGGATCAGTGCCCCTGGCTTTGAGCCTCTCAGGCAGGGTAGGGGCAGTTCTTTCTCGGGTCGGCCTACAGATCGCCACCTGCCCCACAGTGGAAGGAAAGATGAGAGGTGGGAGCTCCAGGAGGATTGGGAGGGGAGGGAGGTGGAGTGGGCTTTGGTGAGGCACGGAGGGAGGAGCTGGAGACACAGAGCAGCAGCAGGCAGGCAGCAGCACTTCTGGGGCCACGGGGAACAGACTTGCTGGTCCATCCTCACCACAAGAAATGCCAGGGCCTCAGCTGCTTTAGCCTTGAGCTGTGACGCAGAGGACAAGGCCCGGGAGCTGGAACGCGGGCTATGTTTCTCTTCACCAAGCTGAAGCTTGGCACCCTGTGTGTTGTTTGTACCCACTGCAGTGGGCAGAGGGAACCGACACTTCATGAGCACTGACTGTGTGCTGGGCACTGTGCCGGGTGCTTTGCATGTATTTTGCTATGTGGAGAGATGTATCTGTGGGGACAAGAAAATCCCCTGGAGTCTCCTCCCCCAACTCCTCTAAACATCCCTCTCCTCTTATGTCACAGAGAACAAAGCTTCACATGAAAATGCCCTTAGAGGGCAGGGACTTAATTCACCCTGAGATGCTAAAGACGGACATGGAGCCCTCCTTAAGCAGAAGCTTCATGAGGCCAGAGGGGAGAAGGGGTATGGGGACCGAGCCAGGACCTCTCTGGAATGAGAGTCTCCTGACCTACTTTCAAGCAAGGCAAGTCGGAGAATTCCTTTCTGACCATGCTCAGGGGAGAAAGGAGAAGTGTGGGTCAGAGAGTGACCTTCTTGCTCCTGCCGTTTTCTCCATCTGCTTCCATAGAAAATACTCAGGAGGCCAAGGGGCCATATGTTGGGGTAATGGGTTCTGGGCCCTGACACTGTCCTCCTACCTCTCTGACCATTTCCTCTCTCTTCCTTTGTGGACTTCTCTCGCAGGTGTCCATCTCTGTCCATCACGGGGACTCCGCCAGGGAGGGTGGGAGGAGGAAGCCAGGGATCTGGGGTGATCTGAGGGCAGCCTGAGAGGATTGAATGAGAGGGAGGGGGCAGGAGTGAGGGCCAGCTGCATTGATTACATTGATTCATATGAAATTGCTGATATTTGATCATTTTTACCTCTAAAAATCATAATTTCATCTGGTTCAAACTAAAACGTCAAAGCTTGCTTCAGTAAGGCTCATGTCCCACTGGACTTGTAGCCAGACGGTTGGGAGTGCAGGGTGCTTACAGGAAGGTGACTGGAAACCCTGCCGCAGGGCTCCTCTGCACACTTTGTAGCATCGCGGTTACAGAAGAGAGGTGCAGGGGACTCATGGGGAATCCTATATAGCCACAAAGTCACGCTTTTCCAGCTGAAAAGTGTATAGCTGACTGAAAACATCTGTCACTATTGCAGGAGGACAGAGAAGTACAGCAAATCTCTGCATCTCCAAGACTGGGAAGCCATCTCTGGGGTGATCTTGCAGAGCAGGCCCTGTAGTTCCATCGTTGTGTGGATCTGCACAGCAGGCTGTAATGCAGAGCCACTGCTGGAGCTTTAGAAATAGAGTTGTCAAATGGGTGGTTCTTCAAAGATATGCCTACAAAGTTCTCTGCAAAAACAAAAGGCTTGCTATAAGGAAGACTCCACTGCAGGGCAGCGGATGAGCAGCTTACCACCTGTGGATCTTAGTCAAGTCAATCTCTCTGAGCCTGTTTCCTCATCTATAAACGGGGATGATAATGCCTACCTCTTAAAGACTGTGCATAGCTTGCTTGGGCTGTCATACTGAATATCACAGACTGGGTAGCTTAAATAACAGAAATGCATTTTCTCCCAGTTCTGGAGGCTGGAAGTCTGAGATTCAGATGCTGTCAGGGTTGTTTTCTGGGGAGGGGTCTCTTCCTGGCTTGTGGATGGCTGCCTTCTTGCTGTGTCCTCACGTGGCCTCTTCTCTATGTACACGCAGAGAAAGACATCTGTAACATCTGTTCCTTTTCCTGTAAGGACACTAGTCCTGTCAGATTAAGGTCTCATGCTTACAACCTCATTTAACCTTTATACCTCCCTATAGCCCCTATCTTCAAGTAGTCATATTAAGGGTCAGGGTTTCCATATGTTAATTTTAGGGGGACACAAATCGATTCATTATAGACTGTTTTGAGGCTCACAGGACATAGATTATGCTCCGAAAATGGTAACTCTTTGGATATGCGTCATCCAGGAGGCCTAACAGGTTGCAGGGAATGAGGCTGATGAAGAAAAATCTGACCAAAGACCAAGATATCCCCAGGTCCTTGGAAGAGAACTGAACATGAGCACCAGATCCCACTCGACAGCATCAATATTTCACCGCACCTGGATTTATGCTTGAATCCACTGTTTAATAACTACCTGTGGCTTTCTTTCCTTAGTGCCAACTTCTCTCTCACTTCCTGGATTCAGTCACCCCCCACCAACTGTGCCTTGTCTCCTTCCCTGCTAGTCAATGAGCTCAGGCCTCTGTCCTTGATGGCTTGGCTGTGAACAATAGCTTCCTGCCTGAACTTTTGCCTTTATCCACTCAAATCCACTCACACCACAGACAGGCTGATCATGTACAATGTAGACTAGATCCTGTCACTTCCTTATTTGAAATGTTTCAGTGACTTCTATGATTTTAAGATAAACCCAAGCTTGTTAACAGGCTCACAAGGCCGACACCACCCACTCTAACCCCCATGTCCCTTGGCCTGGGTGCTTGCCACTCACCTACAAGTTTCACCCTCAGACTCAGATGCTCCTGGGTCTCTGCCTCTTTCTCTGCCCACTCCTGTTTGCTCCCACATCCTTGCCCCGGTCTGACTTTTCAGATCCCAGATTCCAAGTCACACCACCCTCTGGGGCCTTTTCTTGGAGTTGGGTCAGGCTTCATGTGTCCACGGGGCACCTGTTCCTCCTGTCCTGACGGTTACCTCACCGCACTGATTCTCTGTCCGCTTTAGGCTCTGAGCTCCAGGAGACGGTTGGCTGTGCCTACAGTTTTGTTTATCGTGGTCCCTGGCACAGCGTCTGGTCCAGAACAGATGCTCAAGTACTGGCTGAATAAATTTTCCTTTATGAATCATTTTTAATATTTCTGCTCCTATGTTCACAGAAGGCTTATTCGCAATAGCCCAAAGGTAGAGACCACTCAAGCATTCCCTGATGAATGAATATATAAAAGTGTGGTCTACTCATACAATGGAATATTATCTACCCTTGAAAGGGGATGGAATTCTGACACATGCTATGACATGGATGAACCTTGAGGGCATCACGTGAAGTGAAATAAGCCAGACACAAAGGAACAAATATTGTATGAATTCACTTCTCCTTCTCCTTCTTCTTCTCCTTTTTTGAGACAGAGTCTTGCTCTGTTGCCCAGGCTGGAGTGCAGTGGCGTGATCTCAGCTCACTGCAACCTCCGCCTCCCAGGTTCAAGCAATTTTCCTGCCTCAGCCTCCCGAGTGGTGACAGTTGCCCAACAATGTGAACATGCTTAATGCCACTGTGTCATGTTGCCCAAAATGGGTAAGATGGTAAATTCTGTGTTACGTATATTTTACCCCAATAAAAATAACTGTACTAAAACACTGTTTATGCAATTCCAAGTGACAAAACTAAAACCCCCAGGTAATACTGTAGAGAGACAGAAATGGATCAGGGTCCCCTGCTAGGGGCTGTGGTCAAGATTCCAGAGCCCATGGTGGGCAGGTCGCATAAAGGTCCCCACCATGGCTGGTCTTAATGCCACTAGATGGCCTCAGGTTACTCTTCCACCTGCTCCAGACCCAGCTGCTCATTTTTGTGTTCATGTCAACTGAGATATTTAAAAAGAACACCCAGGGCTTCATGAAACTGTTCTTAGAGTCTACTCACCAGGCTGCCTGCTAAGCAAGAGTGCCTTGAAATAGGCTTTGCTGCAGGTCCAGAAAGGAAACGTCCTTAAAGGCCCAGCAGCAGACTGTTTCCAAAGATGACCATACCTGCAGCTCCCATCTGGCAGGATTTTTGCAAGAAGATCTTATCTCTCCTCCTATCAAGGGGGAGCGTCTGTCAGCATCCCTTTCCCTTCCCCTTCCCCTGAGTCTGAGACTGCAGAAGTGAGGTTGAGTGGCTTCTGAGGCCGTGCCATGACAGAAATCCTGTCTCTGGGGACACCAGTTGCCACACAACGAAGAAACTCAAGATAAGAGATTGAGTTAGGAAGTGTCCACTCTCACCACTCCTATTTAACATAGTACTGAAAGTCCCAGCCAGAGCAATCAGGCAAGGGGTCGGGGTGGGGGGACGTGTATGGACCAGGCAGGCATCGTGTGAGTGATCCTCAGCTTAGCCCAGCTGCTGGCCACTGGGACTTCATTCAAGAACACCCAGGCTGACGCTATGTGGGACAGAGTAGGCCAGCCAGATGCAGCCCCACCTGCTGGCCCATGAATCATTAGGAATAATCCACCATCACAGAAGTGCCTTGATAGGATTTCCTGCAACTTCAGGAAGGAAACGTCCTTAAAGTCCCCAGTGGCAGACTGTTTCCAAAGATGACCATACCCGCAGCTCCCGCCTGGTAGGAGTTTTGCAAGGAGACCTTATCTCTCCTGCCATCAAGGGGTATGGGAATAGAGAACCAAAACCATGTTTTCTACCAAATGGAACACACAGAGCGTAGAACTGTATTGCAGAGCACTCTGGCACGCCCCCTCCACCTTGTATTCCCTGTGATGCTATTAAACAAGAAACAAAAAACAACAACAACAACAAAAGGATATCAGCCTGCAGCTCCTCATCCCATGCTTCACCTGTTTCGTCTCTCTGTGCAGGTGTCTGGTGTGTGTCGGTAGGCACGCACAGTTGGCCATGCTGTTTGTCAAGCATGTAACATCTGTGGTTTTCCCTTTTGACTTTATATCATTCATTTACACACTTGACAAACATTTATTGAGAGCTTCTCTATGCCCATCACTGGGGATTTAGAATTAAATGGCTACATATTGTTTTTTCACACTTTGGGCTATAATTTATATCATCATTGCCTTGAAATTGCTTTTTGAGTTAAATACAAACTGAACCAGGTGTGTCTCTCCTTGTCTTTCTAGAACTTTTAGCTCCAAAGACTTTATGGTCGCTTATACTATGATCTGTGGTATCAAACTATAAAGTAACCATTAAAACTATGGGGAAAGGAAAAGAAATGTACCATGAACCCAGTGTAATAGAATTAGTCTAACTACCCATGTAGCTCTGCTATTCCAGGCAAGATAAAAACAAAGCACAACAGTGAATTAGTCATTCACATTGCTTAATTACAGCAGCACATCACCTGCCTGAAGAAGAGGGCGGTCAGACCTCACCAGGTGGGAGCAGTTGAGGGTGAATCTGAGGTGAGGAGCTGAAGGCAGCATGGAGGCTGGTGTCCGCTCTGCCAAGGGGCTTGGCTGTGAAGAGGACAGAGAGAGAGGGTATGTTGTGGTGGGGATGGGTGGTGAGATGGGAGACACTCTTTGGCTGCAGATGGGAAGACTGTAGAGGTAGAAATTGAGAATTTAGAGGGAGGGGGCTGACGAATGGTGCAGGGTCTCTGAGGAGGTCTGGGGCTGAGAACTGGAACACCCCCTGGACGGGCCTTCAAAGAGATGAGTTGCAGTATTTCCGCCTTGTGACAAGGGGGAAGAAAAAGGAGGTTTGTGGGTTTGGAAGGGTAGAAAACAGGCGCTTCCTGGCCGGCAGTTTCTGTTTTTTCAGTTTAAAGTATGAGAGGAGATGAGAGTGTGGGAGAGGGGAGTTGGAGGTTTGAAAGAAATGGAAAAAGTGCTGATACCCTTGTGGGACCTGCTGATGGTCTATTCCAGGTCAGACTGCCGCACATCTGAATCTAGGGGCAGATGGAAGAAAAAAACAGGTCCCAACAAGAGCATCCCCAGGGCCTTCGCCCAGTCTTCAGAGCAGGCCCCTGATCCCATAAACACCTGCCTTCTAAACTCTTGGAGATTAGGCCTTCAGGCTCTCCTGCACCTGCTTTTCTGAGCGTGGTGATTCGTGGAGACTTAGAGACAGGCAGGAGGCTCAGCTCATGGGGCCGCTTGGAAGATTCTGCAGGGTGGAGCAGTTGGTGGGAGGGGAGAGGTTGTCCTTTGAGTAGGAGACCTAAGGAGGAGAGGGAACAAGAGCCAGCCCATTCTGGAGGCTGCCCCCTTGATTCCGCCTGTGATCGGCTTGAATGTGATCTGATCCTTGGGAGTAAATTTAAAATATGCCGAGTCTTAGGTAGCTTTTAAAGAGACTCTTCAGCACTAGCTGAGATCATTATTCAATGAAAACCAAAAGCGCTATTGAAGAAAACACAACCAGCAAATAACATGTTGGCAAGGATGTGGAGAAATTTGAACCCTTGTGCATTGCTGGGAGGAATGTAAAATGGTGCAGCTGCTGTAGAAAATGGTGTGGTGCGGCCGGGCGCAGTGGCTCATGCCTGTAATTCCAGCACTTTGGGAGGCCAAGGTGGGCAGATCACCTGAGGTCAGGAGTTCAAGACCAGCCTGGCCAACATGGCGAAACCCTGTCTCTACTAAAAATACAAAAAGTAGCTGGGGGTGGTGGCGCGCGACTGTAATCCCAGCTACTTGGGAGGCTGAGGCAGGAGAATTGCTTGAACCTGGGAGGCGGAGGTTGCAGTGAGTGAGATCTCACCACTGCGCTCCAGCCTGGCAGCAGAGCGAGACTCTGCCTTAAAAAAAAAAAATGGTGTGATGATTCCTCAAAAGATGAAACACAGGTTTACTATATTATCCAGCAATTCCCTCTCTGGTTATTTACCCAAAATAAGCAAAAGCAAGGACTTCGACAGATATTTGTACACTTATGTCCATAGAAGGTTTTATTTACAATAGCCAAAAGGTAGAAACAACCCAAATGTTCAGTGATTGATGGATGGATAAATAGAATGTGATATATACTTATTGTGGAATATTATTCAGCTTTTAAGGGGAAGAAACTTCTGATGCATGCTACAACCTGAATGAACCTTGAAGATATGCTAAGAGAAATAAATTAGTCATAATAAGATAAATATTCTATGATTTCACTTATGTGATGTACCTAGAGTAGTCAAATTCAAATGAAATTCTTCTGAATTTGACTATAGAAGGTACAATAGTGGTTAACAGGGCCAGAGAGTAGAGACACAACATACCAAAATCTGTGGGATGCAACTAAAGCAATGATAAGAGGAAAGTTTATAGCATGAAACACCTACATCAAGAAGTTAGAAGAATGTCAAATTAACAATTTAATATTGCACCTAGAGAAACAAGAACAAACTGAACCCAAATCTAGCAGAATAAAAGAAATAACCAAAATTAGAGCATACCTGGATGAAATTGAGACCCAAAAATCCATACAAAGACTCACTACAAACAAAAGCTTGTTCTTTGAAGAAATCAACAAGATTGATAGACCATTAGCTGGATTAACAAAGATAAAGAGAGAAGTTCCAAATAAGCACAATCAGAAACGACAAAGGTGATATTACAACTAATCCCACAGAAATACAAAAAATCCTCAGAGAGTATTATGAACACCTCTATTTTCTATATACAAAGTAGAAAATTTAGAGGAAGTGGAAAAATTCCTGGAAATACATAACCTTCCAAAACTTCATTAGGAAGAAATCAAAACTCTTCACAAACCAACGCCAAGTTCTGAAATTGAGTCAGTAATAAAAAACTTACCAAACAGAAAAGCCTCTGACCTGATGGATTCATAGCTGAATTTTAGCAGACATACAAGAAGAGTTGGTACCAATCCTGTTGAAACTACTCCAAAAAATTGAGGAGAAGAGACCCCTTCCTAACTCATTCTATGAAGCCAGCATGATCCTGATACCCAAATCTGGCAAAGATCACAACAAAAAAAGAAAACTACATGCCAATATTTTTGATGAACATAGGCACAAAGATCCTCAACAAAATACTAGCAAATCAAATCCAGCAGCACATCAAAAGGTTAATTCACCATGATCAAGTGGCCTTTGTTCCTGGGAGGTAAGGCTGTTTCAACATATGCAAATCAATAAATGTAATTCACTACATAAACAATTAAAAACAAAAACCATATGATCATCTCAATACACACGGGAAAAGCAGCAGGTAAAATCTGACATACTTTCATAATAAAAACCCTCAACAAACTAGGCATTGAAGGAACATACCTCAAAATAATAACAGCCGTCTATGACAAACGCACAACCAACATTATACTAAATGAACAAAAGCTGGAAGCATTCCCCCTAAAAACTAAAATAAGACAAGGATGTCCACTCTCACCACTCCTATTCAACATAGAACTGAAAGTCCCAGCCAGAGCAATCAGGCAAGTGAAAGAAGTAAAAGGCATCCTAATAAAAAAAGAAGATGTGAAATTATCTCTCTTCACTGATTATATGATTCTATACCTAGAAAACCCTAAAGACACCACCAAAAGGCTCCCAGAGCTGATAAACAACTTCAGTAAAATTTCAGGGTACAAAATCAATGTACAAAAGTCAGTAGCATTTCTTTTTTCTTCTTTTTTTTTTTTAGATGGAGTCTCGCTCTCTCACCAGGCTGGAGTGCAGTGGCACCATCTTGGCTCATTGTAACCTCTGCCTCCTGGGTTCAAGTGATTCTCCTGCCTCAGCCTCCTGAGTAGCTGGGATTACAGGCATGCGCCACCACGCCCAGCTAATTTTTGTATTTTTAGTAGAGACAGGGTTTCACTGTGTTGGCCAGGATGGTCTCCATCTCTTGACCTCGTGATACCCCCACCTCGGCCTCCCAAAGTGCTGGGATTACAGGCATGAGCCACCATGTGCGGCCCAATCAGTGGCATTTCTGTACACCAATAACATTCAAGCTGAGAGCCAAATCAAGAATGCAATCCCATTTGTAATAGCCACACATACACAAAACCCACCTTGGAATACATCTAACCAAGGAGGTGAGAGCTCTTTACAAGGAGAACTACAAAACACTGCTAGAAGAAATCATAGGTAACACAAACAAACGGAAAAATATCCCATGCTCATAAACTGGAAAAATCAATATCGTTAAAATGGCCATACTGCCCAAAGCTGTCAAACTACCACCATTTTCACAGAATTATGAAAAGCTATGCTACAATTCTTATGGAACCAAAAAAGAGCCCAAATAGCCAAAGCAATTTTAAGCAAGAAGAACAAAGCTAGAGTCATCACACTACCAGTCTGTAACCAAAACAGTATGGTACTGGTAGAAAAATAGACACCTAGACCATTGGAACAGGATAGGGGACCCCTACCCCCAAAAGCCACATACCTACAACCATCTGATCTTCAACAAAGTTGACAACAACAACCAATGAGGAAAGGACTCTTTACTCAATAAATTATGCTGGGATAACTGGTTAGTTATATGCAGAGGAGTGAAACTAGACTCCTATATCACATACAAAAATCACATAGCATACAAAATTACATCACATACAAAAATTACATCACATACAAAAATTAACTCAAGATGGATTAAAGGCTTAAACATAAGAGCTAAAACTATGAAAATCATAGAAGAAAAACTAGGATATACCATTCTGGACACCAGCCTTGGCAAATAATTTATGATTAAGCTCTGAAAAGCAATTTTACCAAAGCCAAAAATGGACAAGTGAGGCCTAATTAAACTAAAGAGCTTCTGCTCAGCAAAATAAACTGTCAACAGAGTAAACAGACAACCTACAGAATGAAAGAAAGCATTTGCAAACTATGCACCCAACAAAGGTCTAATATCCAGAATCTAAAAGTAACTTAACAAATCAATGAGCAAAAATATCTCCAATAAAAAGTGGGCAAAGGACATGAACAGACGCTTCTCAAAAGAAGACATACATGCAGCCAACAAATATGTGAAAAAAGAATCAACATCACTAATCGTTAGAGAAATCCAAATTAAAACCACAAGGAGATACTATTCCACACCAGTCAGAATGGCTGTTATTAAAAAGACAGAAAATAATAGATGTTAGTGACATTATGGAGAAAAGGGAATCTTTATACACTGTTGATGGGGATGTAAGTTAGTTCACCCACTGTGGAAAGCAGTTTAGAGATTTCCCAAAGAGCTTGGACTTACCATTGGACCAAGCAATTCCACTACTGAGTGTATACCCAAAGGAAAATAAATCATTCCTCAAAAGAGACACATGTACTCATATGTTTGTTGCAACACTATTCACAATAGCAAAGACATGGAATCAACCTAGATGCCACCAACAGTGGACTGGATAAAGAAAATGTGGTATATATACACCATGAAATACCATGCAGCCATTAAAAATAATAAAATCATGTCCTTTGCAGCAACATGAATGCAGCTGGAGGCCATTATCCAGAGTGAATTAATGCAGGAACAGAAAACCAAATATCACATGTCCTCACTTATAAATGGGAGTTAAACATTGAGCACACATGAACATAAAGATGGGAACAATAAACACTGGGCTACTAGAGGGAGGGAGTGGGCGAGGAGGTAAGGGTGGAAAAGCTACCTATCAGGTGCTCACTGCCTGAGTGTAGGGATTATTCATACACCAAACCTTGGTGACACACAATTTACTTGTGTAACAAACCTGCACCTGTACCCCCTTAATCTAAAAGTTGAAAAAAGGGAAAAATTGTTAAATTCATGTATTTGTTCCTTCTCTCATTCATTCATTCATTTGTCAAGCATAATTAGTTCCTTATTAGATGAAAGCTCTGTGCTGGATGATATGTGCATTGTACATGTGAATAAGGCTTGATTCCTCATATTTAGGAAGAGGAGAGGTAAGATCTACAAATGTAATTATAATACAGTTGAGCTGTGTGGTGTCCAGAGGTGGACAGCCTTTATCACAGGCTGAAACAGAGAGAGAGGAAGAACCACATCATGGGAACACAAACACTCCCTGCTTAGGTTAGCTGTAGAGATATGAAACTGAGAGCCCGTGATGGATCTAAAACTTGAGCAGCCTTCTTGGACGTGCTTAGGATTCTTGGCAACTTCTCTCCCTTTCTGACCTTGAACTCTCTTTGCCTTTCTTTTTCTCCTAAGGTACTGTCAGAGTTCTCCTGGTCTTAGATTCCACTGGTCCCCTAAGAGTCAAAGGAGATGACTGCAGCGGCAGTGGCTGCACTGATCCCTGTACTGTACTCTGTGGCCAGCAACATCTGGCTACTACATTGGGTAGCAGCTGTGGTTTGGTTTAATTGCCATGTATGGAGTGGTGGGGTACGTGGTCCATGTGCCCTGGACCACCACCCGTGAAGATTCCCAGTGCCCTGGCAAAATCACCTATCCTTGCTTGATGGAGTATTTTGAAAAAAAATTTGGCAATCCTATAATGGGAATTTGGTACTTCTTCCTCTTCACAGTCCTACTCTTCCTTATGGAATTCATGGCTCAGCTTTGGCATAAGCAAGATGAAGGGGAATGAGTGGAGCTGGGAGCAGGTGAAGTGGAGGAGGGCTACATGGTGGGAATCCAGGAACACACCACCTCCCCAAAGAAATTCATCCTAAACTTCCACCAGAGAAGATGATTTTGCTTTTCCACCTCCTGTGCTTTCTCCTGCAGGTTGGCACCCAGCATGTGTTTCTGCTCCTTCTCCTGTTTCAGTGCCTGCCTGTGGTGAGCAAAGCCAATAACCACTACAGCACCGATGGCTGCCCTGGCCCCTCTCTCTGCCTGAGGTGAGTAACCCTGGAGAATCAGATGTCCATCCACACCCTCATCACCTTGTCCTGCATGGCCATCCTCTTTATGATGCATTCAGGGGCCTTTTGAGTTCTAAGTTTTGGATGATTGAAATTTGGGAGGGATAACACCTTTCTTACTTAAAGTCTTTTCTCCCTCACACAACGCTTGTGTTCCTGTAAATATTGTGTCTGGGGCAGGGCTTCCTCCTGCTAACCTTCTTTGGTTTTCTCCTTTAAAAAATAAACATTTGCTGTGCTATTAAGAGTTTTCTCTCTCTACAGCCAAGCTAAGGCTGTCTGAATACGGGTGGTGGTATGCAGTTGAGAACCTTGCAGAGCTCTTTCACGTAGGCTGTCTAATTTGATTCTCACATGAAGCCTGTGACACTAAGCTTTCTTCCAATGTCTCCAAATCCAGAAGAGTCCTTGTAGTCCTGGAACAAAGAGCTTTAGATCGATTTACTTGTATTCTGGCCTCTCTAGCATTGGTTTTAAATACAGAGAAGGCCATTATTCCCCAGAGAAAAATTCTCAGCTGTGCTTTCAGGGTAGGGTCACCCTGCTTCTTCCTCTTGGAATTAATTCCCCAAACTCTTAGGAGAGCCCTCAGTCTTGATGCCTCACTTGAGTTTCCAGTGAGGACTACATATACCTGGATGAGTACCATTGGGGAACAGGAGGCATTTTATAAGAATATTTACTGTACATATTGTGGCAATGCTGAAAGTCCCACCCCTTCAACAAAGGGACTCCAGTCTGAAAATTGGCTTAGGTCTGGCAAGGGGGTTAGAACGAGAGTCAGTGGAAGCAACCCAACTGTGACTTGCTCCCAGACCTGACCCATCTATCTTGAGATAAGCTGCAGCCTAGCTCAGGTCTACACTACGTTATTAACTACTCTTTGGGGCTCCCTGCCAAGTCCTGGTGTTTGCAAGCACAAGGGAGTTTGACTAGACATGGCAAAATCTCTTCACATTTAGAGATGGGCAAAGCTGGGGATTAGAATGAGGAGGATGTTTCAGAGAAGGTATGGTCAGTCACCTCATCCTGTGTTAGGCATATCACCCTCAAAAGTAGTTTGAGTGACCATGCTGTGCCCAAGGCTTGGGCTCCATCCAGGGGCTAAAGTTGAGATGTAGAGCAGGGGCATCCAGTCTGTGCTGTTCAAGTGAGCATGATGTTCACAGATCACCTGAGTGAAGAGAAATTTTCCCCTACTGTAGTCATATACACCTCAAGATGACCTGGTGATTTTCTGTGTCCTGGTGTCCCCATTGCAATCCTCTCCTTTTGCGTGCAGACAGAGACTGTGACTTGCTTCTAACTAATAGGGTATGGTAAAGGACGTCACTCCTGTGATCATAGTATGTTATGTGGAAGTCCATTTGAGTAGGGCAGAGCAAAAGTTTTCCTTGCTGGCTGTTAGGAAGTAAGTTGCCATGTTATGAGAAGGCCAATGCAGGGAGATACATGGCAAAGAATTGCAGGCACCCTTTTAGAGCTGAGAGTGGCCCCCAGCTGACAGCCTGTAGGTAAATGGAGACCTTGGTCATAGACGGCAAAGGAATTGATTCTGCCAACAACTTTTTTTTTTGAGACAGAGTCTTGCTCTTGGCACCCAGGCTGGAGTGCAATGGCATGGTCAACTCACTGCAACCTCCACCTCCCAGGTTCAAGCCATTCTCCTGCCTCAGCCCCCCTAGTAGATGGGATTACAGGTGCCCGCCACCATGCCCAGCTAATTTTTTTGTATTTTTAGTAGAGACGGGGTTTCACCATGTTGGCCAGGCTGGTCTTGAACTCCTGACCTCAGGTGATCCACCTGCCTTGGCCTCCTGAAGTGCTGGAATTACAGGCACGAGCCACCATGCCTAGCCTCTGCCAAAAATTTTAATAAATTTTGAAGTGGATTCTTCCCCAGTCAAGCCTCAAGATGAGAATATAACCCGGAATATATCTTCATTACAGCTTTGTGAGGCCACAGGCTAAGGACCCATGATTGGTCTCCCATATCAACTGTGAGATGATATATGTATGTTGGTTTAAGTTGCTAAGTTTGTGGACATTTGTTACACAGCATTAGAAAACTAACACAGTGACTCTGGGGCCCCTGCAATGGTACAGGAGCCAAGGGAAGCTGAGCGATCTCAGCATTAGGCATGTGTGGAGACATCCTTTTCTTTCCTCCCAGAAAACAATCCTCCTTCACTTCTTGCAGCAGCAAACCCAGCTTACTGCAAGAGGCCTGAGCAAGTCTTAGTAGAGTGTCCAAGACTGAGACCACTCTGCTGCTGCAGCAGCTCCTGTGCTTTCTCTCTGGATAAGAAAGCTCTTGCACAGGCCAGTCCTGCAAAAATACTCGTGGTCCTGAATAGATGCATTCCGTTGTACATTTAGGCTCAGCAAGGTGAAACTTGAGGTCCCAGTACAGTTGTGCACACAATTACAACTGTGTGTGTGTGGACTTACACAACCCCAGCAGGCACAAGACTCAGCAGTTAGAGCTGCTTGATGCCACCTTCCACACTCATCCTAAGCTGGGGATCTTTGTGCACTGAGTTACCTACACCACTGTGTGCATGGCCCTTGGAGTCTCCCTTTTGAAATGCAGTTGAGTTTGTGGGAAGGCCAGCAGGCACCATGCGGGTGAGGGTCTACCCAATGCACGCATGGAGTTATGTAGTCATTTAAAAGAGGGATTGCCTCTCAGAGATGTGGGACATTTTAGGGGTGAATCAGAACCAAGTGTTGCTGTATACCTAGTGCCTATAAACAGTTTTTGATACATAGTAGGGACTTGACAAACACTTTTTGGGCACACAGAGTATAACCACAACCGCTCAGTTAATCTTGATGTTTCTAGGGCTTGTAAGTAGTGGAAATACTGTTCTCAAGCATGTTCATTGAGAGTCAAACCTCAAAACTCAACATCTGGTTTATGTCACAAGTAACACTTTTATGTCCACTCTCCTGGGCTTATCCTGGTTGCAGACAATGGCCCCCAGTGGTTGGGTCTGTGCCATCTTGTTTCAAAGGATAAATGGAGGCTGCCTCAGAGGCTTCAGTTTAACCATAAAGGAAGGAAAGTTTGGACAGAAACAGCTGTCAGTCAGCAGCTGGGTTTGAACAGTTGATGGTCTAGATGAAGATTGTTCCAGGCAGTGACAATGGCAAGGGTCCTGACCCTTACTGAGATGGTCTATTGGTCAGGGATCAATAGGCACAGAAACCACAGTAATTTGAATGTTGAGACTTTAATACAAAGACTCATTAACTAGTTAAAAGTGGCTGACTACTTAACATGGTAAAAAGAAGACTTAGAATTGTCCAGAAGTAGCAATTTCAGAAAGCAGCTTTTACCTCTAGGGCTGAGGGAGAGAACAAAGAGTCTTAGCCACACTAAGAATGTGTGGCTGCCACAGAAACCTGTAGCCTTGGATGATTAAAAAAACTTGGCAGAATTCCTGGGTCAGAGCTAATCTGTAGGAGCAGAGCAACTTGCCAGAGGGTGCAGGCAGGAGCCAGTCCATGAGTGGGTGCTACCAAGCCTCCTGAAAACCAAAGAACCAGCTGCTGCGCCAAAAACTAGGACACCAGAAGGAATTCCTTTCTCTCTGCTATTGCCTCTCAGTGTCCTAGTATTAACTATTGACAAGTTGTAACATCAAGCCATCTGGTAAAGGAGAAATGTTCATAGGGTCCAGCTCCAGTATAACAAAGCAGAAAAAGAAGGGATGGATTTGGAGTTGGGAGGCAATACATTGATAACTGGCACAGTCTATCTGTTTGGCCACCCAACTTCTCTATATATCCTTCTATACACACATGCCCTAATAAGCTGAAACTGTCCTTTGTACAAGTGAAGTTCTCATACTCTTTCCAAAGACATTATATCCATTGCTGGCTACATTCGGTACTTCCAGGTTTAGTCACAGGCAGGAAAGGCAAATTCATATCCAGAATATGTGTCTGCTGTTGTGAGGACAAATCTCTGTTCTCTCAGTAGTGGAAGGAGAGCCAAGGTAATCAGCTTGCCATGAGGAGGCTGGCTGGTATCCCTGACGGATGGATCCTTATGGGGCTCGGTGTTGATATATTCTGTTAGTAGATTATGACCCATCAGGTGAAGTTCCCAGTTCAGTGGGGATGTCCGTATTGTTGAGCCCAGGAAGAACCTCTATCCCTGCCATGGCCATTTTGTTCGTGGGTCCACTGAGCGGTCAATGGGGTGGTTGAGGAAAGAAGCTGACTGATATTCACAGAGTGTGTAATTTTGTCCACTGGATTATTGAGAGCTTCCTTTGCAGTGAGTGCCCTTTGGTGAGCATTCACGTGGGACAAAAATATCTTCAGGCTGCCAATTCAGAGAAGAAGTCCTCCCACATATATTTTCCTCAGACTTCTTTCTCACCAGTATTTCAGTTCTGTTCCTTCCAAGTTCAAGACCATTCGAACTGTTAACAACTGCTCATGAGTCACGTAGATTTTTTATTTCTGGCCATTTCTCAGTCCAGCAAACTTGGCAACCAACGATACTGGGCAAAATTCTGCCCACTTGAAGAATTTTCCTTCACCATTCCCTCTCACTCCCATAAAGTAGCATTCCTTAGTGGAGTCTTATGCTGCAGTTGTCTACTTTTGTGTGGTCAATCTATCATGGAGAACATCTATAAACCAGTCTCAAGCTCTTTCTTCCTCAGGCGGTTGATCTTACAGAACTCCTCGTGATGTCCCACGCCTGAACTGGGAGAGAGAAGTTAATGTAGGAGGTGTTAGTATCAAAGGAATCTGAGTCACTGGTCCGTATAACTTGTTTCTTGACTTTCCTTGAGCCCAGATTTTGTATAGCATTTCTACTTGATGATGGATTGCTGCAGTGCACACCCAACCTTTTGACTAACATAAGATAACACAAAATTTCTGATAAAAAGCTCAGCCTCTGTGGTCCTAACATGCTATGAAGAGATCTCTATCAAGAGCCAGTAGCAAGTCAGAAGGTATTTCTCAAAAAGGAGAATATTCATCTGCAGAAGAGGGCATATATGTATTTAAAAATTTGAGAGGTCTGCACTGTGATTCTCCTATTAGTGCTTGCTGGAGACTCCAAAAACCTTACTGTTTTCCACAGACACAGAAAATATTGGATCAGCTTGATAATAAAGTAAGTGAAATAGCAATTTGCATTGTAGCCTGGACTTGGTACAGAACTTTCCCTTGCACTGATCGTTACTGAAAATTTTCAGACTTTTTGGTGACTTGGGTCAAAACCAGGACAAGGTGTTGCTTCCAAAATACAGACTACCAAGCCTTGCACCTCTGTGTGTGTGTGTGTGTGTCTGTGTGTGTGTGTCTGTGTGTGTGTGTCTGTGTGTGTGTGTCTGTGTGTCTGTGTGTGTCTCTGTGTGTGTCTGTGTGTGTGTCTGTGTCTGTGTGTGTCTGTGTGTGTGTCTGTGTGTGTCTATGTGGGTGTCTGTGTGTGTCTATGTGTTTCTGTGTGTGTCTGTGTGTGTGTGTCTGTGTGTGTGTGTCTATGTGGGTGTCTGTGTGTGTGTCTGTGTGTCTGTGTGTGTCTGTGTGTGTCTCCGTGTGTGTGTCTGTGTGCGTCTGTCTGTGTGTGTGTTTCTGTGTGTGTCTGTGTGTGTCTGTGTGTCTGTGTGTGTCTGTGTGTCTGTGTGTGTCTCTGTGTCTGTGTATGTGTGTCTGTGTGGGTGTCTGTGTGTCTGTGTGTGTGTCTGTGTCTGTCTGTGTGTGTGTCTGTGTGTGTGTGTCTGTGTGTGTCTGTGTGTGTCTGTGTCTGTGTGTGTGTGTCTGTGTGTGTGTCTGTGTGTGTCTATGTGTGTCTCTGTGTGTCTGTGTGTGTGTCTGCGTGTGTGTGTCTGCGTGTCTGTGTGTCTGCGTGTCTGTGTGTGTGTGTCTCTGTGGGTGTCTGTGTGTCTGTGTGTGTGTCTGTGTGTGTGTGTGTGCCTGTGTGTGTGTGTGTCTATGTGGGTGTCTGTGTGTGTGTGTTTCTGTGTGTGTCTATGTTGGTGTCTGTGTGTCTGTGTGTCTGTGTGTGTGTCTGTGTGTGTGTGTGTGTCTATGTGGGTGTCTATGTGTGTGTGTGTCTATGTGGGTGTGTGTCTGTGTCTGTGTTTCTGTGTGTCTGTGTGTGTGTCTGTGTCTGTGTGTGTCTGTCTGTGTCTGTGTGTGTGTGTGTCTGTGTGTGTGTCTATGTGGGTGTCTGTGTCTGTGTGTGTGTTTCTATGTGTGTCTGTGTGTGTCTGTATCTGTGTCTGTGTCTGTGTGTGTGTATGTGTGTGTGTCTGTGTGTGTCTGTGTGTCTGTGTGTGTCTGTGTGTCTGTGTCTGTGCCTGTGTGTCTGTGTCTGTGTCTGTGTCTGTGTGTGTCTCTGTGTGTGTGTGTCTGTGTGTGTCTGTGTGTCTGTGTGTGTCTGTGTGTGTGTCTCTGTGTGTGTGTCTGTGTGTGTTTCTGTGTCTGTGTGTGTCTGTGTCTGTGTCTGTGTGTCTGTGTGTGTGTCTATGTGGGTGTGTGTCTGTGTGTCTGTGTGTGTCTGTGTGTGTGTGTCTCTGTGTGTGTCTGTGTGTCTGTGTCTGTGTTTGTGTCTGTGTGTGTGTCTGTGTGTCTGTGTGTGTGTGTGTCTGTGTGTGTGTGTCTCTGTATTTGTGTGTGTGTGTGTGGTAAGTGGTGCTAGGTGCAGCAACTTGCCTTTCACCTTGGATGGGGATATCTCAACACGCTCCACACCTTTGGATTCCCAGAAACTTCACGGAGCTGCTGGGCTTCCAATTTGTGTGATATAGATCCTCCACCTTCTGAGTCATTTATGTCTTGCTAAGACATCCAAATGATTTACTCCTTCCTGCTTGTCAGACTCAATCAGCATAATGGTATTTTGTGTGATGTTTAGTGGATTGTCAAATGACTGGGATTTCTCTGGGCTGTATTATGGTAGAGGAGGAGAGCTGATGTAGTCCTGAGACAAGTCTGTCAAAATGTATTCTTGGCTCTGCCTAGTAAAAGCAATCTACTTCTAGTTATCTTTTGCAAATTAATGTGGAGGAAAAAAGCACTAGCTAGGTCCGTTCCTGCATACCAAGTGCCAGAGGCTGTGTCCATGTGCTGTAGTAAATATGCCACAACTAGGATAGCAGCTGCAATCAAAATTTCCTTCTGATGAAGTTTACAATAATCCACAGTTGTTCTTCAAGATTCGTTCAGTTTTTGCATGGCCCCAACAGGCATGCTAAATACAGACGTGTTAGACATCACCACTCTTGTATCTCTCAGGTCTTTGACGGTGGCACTGATCTCTGCATTTCCTCTAGGGATGTGATGTTCCTTCCATCTTGGTAAAGAGGGGAAGTTCTAGGAGCTTCCACTTAGCTCCTTGTATCACAATCACCCTTACCTTATGGGTCAGAGAGCTAATGTGGGGATTCTTCCAGTTTCTAAGCACATTTATTCTAATTATACATTCAGGAACTGAGAGAAGAGCCACAGGGTGGGTTTGTGGAGCAACCAAGGTCACTGTGAGTGGAACTTGGGCTGAGACTCCATCTATTACAGGGGGACCATAAGCTCCTACTTTGACTGGTGGGACACAATGATGTCATGAGTCCTTAGGAATTAGCAGCATCTCAGAGCCAATGTCTAGTGATCCCTAAGGAGTCTGAGTAGTTCCCTTTCTCCAGTGCTTGGTCACTCCAGTAAGGGACTGCAAATCTCTTGAGGGAAGTCTTGGAGGAATATTAACTGCATATACAATAGCAAAGCTTCAGAGTCCTGCCCCTTCAACCATGGGACTCTTGGCCTGTAAATTGGCTTAGGACTGGAAACTGGGTGAGAGACCATGACTTTTCATTGCAGTGACTCAATCCAAATCTTAAAAAAAATTTTATTATTATTATTATTTGTTTTAGATTTAGGGGGTACATATGCAGATTTTTTACATGAGTATATATTGTCATGTTGAGGTTTGGGCTCCTTATGATGCCATTGCTCAAGTAGTGAACATAGTGGCTGATGGTAGTTTTTCAACCCTTGCTTCTCTTTCAGAACCCCCAGTGTTTCTTGTTTCCATCTTTGTGTCCATGCGTACCCAACGTTTAGCTCCTACTTATAAGTGAGAGCATGTGGTATTTTGTTTTCTGTTCTTGAATTAATTCACTAAGGATGATGGCCTCCAGCTGTATCCATGTTTCTGCAAAGAACATAATTTCATTTTTTAAATGACTGCATAGTATTCCATGGTGTATATGTACCACATTTTCTTTATCCGATCCATTGTTGCTGGGCACCTGGGTTGATTCCATGTCTTTCCTATTGTGAATAGTACAATAAACATAAAAGTGAATGTGTCTTTTTTGTAGAATGATTTATTTCCCTTTGGGTGTATGCCCAGTAATGGGATGCCGGATAGAATTATAATTCTATTTTTAATTCTTTGAGCAATCTCCAAACTGTTTTCCACAGGGGCTGCACTAATTTATATTCCCACCAACAATGCATTGCCTTCTCTCCACAGCCTTGCCAACATGTTATTTTTTTGATTTTTTAATAATAGCCATTCTAACTGGTGTGAGGCGGTATCTCATTGTGATTTTGATTTGCACCTCTCTGTAGTTCTTGTAGAAATCTTAGATGTAATCTTAGAAATCCTAGATTCCTAGGTATTTTACTTTTTTGATACGTGTAAATGGGATTATGTTCTTGATTTGGCTTTCATTTTAAGTGTTATTGGTGAATAGAAATGCTACTGATTTTTATATATTGATTTGATATCCTGAGGCTTTGCCGAAGTCGTTTATTTGATGTAGAAGTCTCCCACTAGAATCTTTACGGTTTTCTAGGTATAGAATCATATTGTCAGTGAAGAGAGATAATTTGACTTTCTCATTTCCTATTCAGATGCTTTTTATTTCTATCTCTTGCCTGATTGCTCTGGCTAGGACTTCTAGTACTATGTTGAATAGAAGTGGTGAGAATGGGCATCCTTGTCTTGTTCCAGTTCTTAAAGGGGAATGTTTCCAGCTTTTGCCCATTCAGTAGGATGTTGGCTGTGGGTTTGCCATAGATGTCTTGTATTATTTTGAGGCATGTTCTTTTAATGCCTAATTTGCTGAGAGGTGTTTTGTTTGTTTGTTTGTTTTCGAGATGGAGTCTTGCTCTGTTGCTTACGCTGGAGTACAGTGGCACAATCTCAGCTCACTGCAACCTCTGCTTCATGGGTTCAAGTGATTCTCCTGCCTCAGCCTCCCAAATAACTGGGTTTACAGGCGCCTGCCACCACGCCCGGCTATTGTTGAGGATTTTTATCATGAAGGGATATTGGATTGTATTGAATGCTTTTCTGTGTCTATTGAGATGATTGTATGGTTTTTGTTTTTAATTCTGATTATGTAGTGAACTACATTTATTTATTTGTATATTTTGAATCATCCTTGGATCCCAGGAATAAAGCCCACTTGATCATGATGAATTAACTTTTTGAGGTGCTGCTGGATTCAATTTGCTAAGTATTTTGTTGATGATTTTTGTGTCTGTATTCATCAGGGATATTGGACGGTAGTTTTCTTTTTGTTGTGTCTTTGCCAGATTTTGGTATCAGAATGATGTTGATTTCATAGAATGAGTTAGGGAGGAATTCCTCCTTGATTTTTTGAACCAGTTTCAGTAAGATAGGTACCAGCTCATTTTTGCATGTCTGGTAGAATTTGGCTGTGACTCCATCTGGACCAGTGATTTTTTTTAGGTTTTTTATTACCAATTAAACTTTATTACTTCTCCTTCTCCTTCTTATTCTTCTCTTTGAGATGGAGTCTTGCTCTGTCGCCCAGGCTGGAGTGCAGTGGCACAATCTTGGCTCACTGCAACCTCTGCCTCCTAGGTTCAAGCAATTCTCCTGCCTCAGCCTCCCGAGTAGCTGGGATTACAGGCACCTGCCACCATGCCCAGCTAATTTTTGTATTTTTAGTAGAGACAGGGTTTCACCATGTTGGGCAGGCTGGTCTCGAACTCCTGACCTCATGATGCACCTGCCTCAGCCTCCCAAAGTGCTGGGATTACAGGCGTGAACCACTGCACCTGGACAATTTTATTACTTCTTATTTGTCTCTTAGGATTTCTGTTTCTTTCTGGTTCAATCTTAGGAGGTCATGTATTTCCAGGAATTTATCTATTTCCTCTAGATTTTCTAGTTGGCATACATAGGAATGTTCATAGTAGTCTCCGAGGATCTTTTGTATTTCTGTGGGATTAATTTTAATGTCACTTTTGTCATTTCTGATTGGGTTATTTGGATCTTCTCTCTTTTCTTCTCTGTTAATCTAGCTATGGGTCTTTCTTGTTTATCCTTTCAAAAAACAAGCTTTTCATTTTATTGATCCTTCGTATGGTTTTTTGGGACTCAATTTTACTTATGTTCTAATTTTAGTTATTTCTTTTCCTTTGCTAGCTTTGGAGTTAGTTCATTTTAGTCTTTCTAGTTCCTTTAGGTACAAGGTTCGGTTGTTAATTTGAGATCTTTCTATCTTCTTGATGTAGGTATTTAGTGCCCTAAACTTTCCTCTTAACTCTGCTTTTGACACATCTCAGAAGTTTTGGTATGTTGTATCTCTATTTTCATTGGTTTCAAATAATTCTTTGATTTCTGCCTTAATTTTGTTATTTATTCAAAAATCATCCAAGAGCAAGTTGTTTAATTTCCATGTATTTGTGTGGTTTTGAGAGTTTCTCTTGATATTCATTTCTATTTTATTTCACTGTGGTCTGGGAAGATGATTGGTATGACTGAATTTTTTTAAAATTGAGACTTGTTTTATGGCGGAGCATGTAGTTGATCTTAGGGTATGTTCCATGTGCAGATTAGAAGAATAATGTATATAATGTATAATGTATATTATATATGCGTGTGTTTTTGTGTGTGTGTATATATATATTTATACACACATATTGTATTAGTCCACTCTCACACTGCTATAAGAACTGCCTGAGACTGGGTAATATATATAAAACAAAGGTTTAATTGACTCACAGTTCTGTATGGCTGGGGAGGCCTTGGGAAACTTACAATCATGGCAGAAGGGGAAGCAGGCACCTCTTACATGGTGGCAGGTGAGAGAGAATGTGTGATGTCAAACATTTATAAAACCGTCAGATCTTGTGAGAACTCACTCACTATCAAGAGAACCGCATGGGGGAAACTGCCCTCATGATTCATTCACCTCCCACCAGGTCTCTCCCTTAAAACATGGGGATTGGCTGGGTGCGGTGGCTCACGCCTGTAATCCCAGCACTTTGGGAGTTCGAGGCGGGTGGATCACCTGAGATCAGAAGTTTGAGACCAGTCTGCCCAACATGGCGAAACCCTGTCTCTACTAAAAATACAAAAAATGAGCCAGGAGTGGTGGTGGGTGCCTGTAATCCCAGCTACTCGGGAGGCTGAGGCAGGAGAATTGCTTGAACCCAGGAGGCATAGGTTGCAGTGAGCCGAGATCACACAACTGCACTCCAGCCTGGGCAACAAGAGCGAAACTCCGTCTCAAAAAAAAGAAAAAAAAAGTGGGGATTACAATTCAAGATGAGGTTTGGGTGGGAACACAGAACCAAACTCTCTCTCTCTCTCTCACACACACACATGCACATACACATACACACATGAAAAGTGTATATTTAACTATCTTAATGTATGAGCTATTTTCTCCTGGGTCATACCGTGTGTCTGAAACATGCTGAGATTTGACTTGTGTTGTGGGTCTATGGGCAACAAGGGTTAATTACAGTGAGTCTTGAGGAGAAATAACAACTCTTTCAAAGCTTCTTCCCCAGATGATGTTATCATAGGGTTTTCCAGCAAAGGAAGGCTAGTCATGGTAGAAGTGATCTACTTCCACTGTCAAAGGTGATCAGAGTGTCTTGAAAATGTAAGATTCTCAATTTCATTAGAATCCTACCAGATTTCCCAATTCCAACTTTCAGGGTCTTATTATTTCTCCATCAGTTCCCTAATGTTTACATGAAAAACTTGTTAAGGCTGTGAATACCAGTGCTATTGTAATCTAGCCACTTTCACAGTTAAATGTGGTGTTCGATTTTCAGCAATAGTGGCCCTGTGGTTATGAGACGTGAAAATGTATTAAAACTGCCATGGAAATGTTTGGACTCTCAGACTGTGATCTTGAGCTTGTCCTTTTCTGTAAGTGCAGTAATGCATTCAGGAAAATCAGTTCCACACTGCAATAACTGTTGTCATCACTACTGCTGTTATAATCAAATTTAGTAGCCACTAGGGCTCCCAAGGCATTTGCTTTAGTTAGCACATCATCATAATCAACCACAGGTAATAATCTAACTTACTTATTGAAATGTCACTGTATGTCATGGATAACTAGCATCTGATTTCCCATTGGCAATGAACTCAGCACTTCCGTCAAACCCAAATCCATGACTAATCCAATTCTCAAATCCCATCTTTGAAAATCTATCTTCTCAGACCACTCCCAATACCAATGCTATAGCAGGGTTCAATCAGAAAACAGAAAACACACTAGTAATTTAAATGAGAAAAATTTAGTATTAATAATTGCAACTTGTGATAGGTGATTAATTATCAAAAGAGAAGTCGCAAATGCAAAAAGCAGCTATCTATCTCTAGGGCCGAGGGGGGCAAATTAAGAAGAAACTGAGAACTTAGAAAAGCTCTCCCTACCATCCACTTCAACACTGATTTGTACCTTTTTGGGAAAGAATGGCTGCCATTGGCACGCACAGTCTGCCAGTGGTAAAGAAATTTTCCAGAGAGCATTGGCCAGAGCGTTGGCTTCTAGGAGTGGCCTCTGGGTGGAGGAGAAACTAGTTAGAGGGCATTGGCAGGCTGGAGCTGGTCTGCAAGGGCTACTGAGATGAGCATGACCAGATCTCTCACATACCACTGCATGGGCTGCCATGCTTAAAAATAGCACACAAATTTGGGGAAAAGTCCCTTTAGCTTGCAATTGCCTTGCAGCGTCCCTTCAGGGCTCTCTATTGATAAAGCCTCTATTGACATTGAGTCATCTGGTGCAGGAGAAATGTTTACAGGACCCACCTCTAGTATCTCAAAGCAGGGTAAAGAAGGATGGATTTAGAGCTGCGAGGCAATAAACTGATACCTGGCACAAGAGTGAATAAAGTTGGTTGTTTAATGGTTGGAAAGAAGGCTACTGCAGCTGGAGGTGAGTGAATAGCACAGGGACAATGTAGGAAATGAGGTCTGAGAGCAGAGAGGTAGATGGAGTCAGGTCATGTAGGGTTTTATGGATTACAGCAAAGACTGGATTTTAATCCAAGTGTGATGGGAAAGCCTTGAACAGTTTAGAGCAGGGGTGTGGTGTGGTCTAATTTGTTTAAAAAGATCAGTCTGATTATTACGCGGATACTTGACTTTAGGGGACAAGAGTGAAGAAAAGGGAGGCTCCCGTTTACCAAATGCCAGGTAACAACTTATCCTGCATCTTCTGCAGGCTGCACTTTCTCTCCTGAGTTCTAACCAGGATGATCAAATGTCTTAGCTTAGTTGGCCTGCAACAACTTAGGGCTCGTGCTTTTTATTCTCAAACGTTATAGGCTGAGACCATGTTTTATATGGTCACCCTAGTTCTAACATTATCTCAAATCCTCTCCTTTCTTGAAAAGAAGCCTGGAATTTCAAGATCATTAGGTAGGATTTCTAGGAGTGACTGCTGTATCATTGCTATCTTTGGAGAATGACTGAAGTATGGGTAATTCCTCAGGACCTCCCTGCCAACTGCCCCACCTAGTGATAGGAGCCACTGGTACCAGACTGATTCCTGTTAAAATGCAAAGGCCAGTGAGGGAGAAAACACATAGTTTGTATCAACACCTAAGAATCCTTTCTTCTCTGCTATTTCTTCATACTGGCAAGCCCTAGCCCACTGGTATAATTCCTGCTGTTGAGTGTTGGCATTCCTCTAACTTAAGATGCCATAAATATGACTAAGGGACAGTCCCACTGACAACAGCCCTATTTTGAAGACCAGGATACCCACAAAGCATTTTGCAGAAGAAGCCTTTCAAATTTCCTAATAAGATGTCCAAAATGCAGCTATGTGCAGAAGATCAAGCCATCTGTTACTTCTCCTGGTCCTTGGAACAGAAGTCAGAACTCCTGCTTTAGCTGACTTCGTTGCTTTTCCAGCCAAATCAAAATTTACAGGTAGGTGAAACAGGAGGTTTGCCCTAGGATGCCTCTAGCTGTTTTACCTAACCCATTACTCTCCCACCTTTTGTCGTATTTTCCCTCCCTCTCCATTAATTTACCATAAAGCTGACAGCCTTTGGACCCATTTTCCATCAAACCGTGTTTTCCAGTCTTTTATTATACCCTCAGACCTTTGTTACCCACTATAAGGGAATGGAATGATAAAAAACTATACATTTCCTCTCCCAGTGACTTTGCATTTTAGAAGGAATCAAAGTCTGATACCAGTGGTCCCTTGATGTAAGAAAAAACTATGTGGGGAGCTTATCTAACATGCATATTGATGAGCTCCAATACCGAAGAATCTGGTTAAAAAGTTCTGGGGTGGGACCTAGGAATCCATGTTTTAATCAAGCATCTCATGTGATTTTTTTTTTTTTTTTTTTTTTTAGACGGAGTCTCGCTCTATCGCCCAGGCTGGTATGCAGTGGTGCAACCTTAGCTCACCGCAACCTCTGCCTTCTGGGTTCAAGCGATTCTCCTGCCTCAGCCTCCCGAGTAGCTGGGACTACAGGCGCCCACCACCACGCCTGGCTAATTTTTCTATTTTTAGTAGAGATGGAGTTTCACCATATTGGCCAGGCTAGTCTCGAACTCTTGGCCTTCTGATTTGCCTGCCTGGGCCTCCCAAAGTGCTGGGATTACAGGTGTGAGCCACTGCGCCTGGCCTCATGTGATTTTGATAGTTGTTTCAGGAGCCACACTGTGAGAGTAATGCCTCAAGTCGAAGGGCAGAGTCACTGATGCTAGAGTTGCATGCATAAGCTGTGAGAAGTGAAGGCTTTATTGAGTCCCAGGAGTCATGCCATACAGACAGTTGCACACAAATGTATAAACTGTCTTCTGATTCTAAAATTGTGTCACATGGTATGTCAACGGGGACATCACTGAAACACCTGGGCTAAGTGGCCACCATATCTTATGGGGTTATGTGAAATTTTGTTGTTATTAAAGCTGTTCAAGAGTGCCAAGTCCTGCCCTGCCTCTCCTCCCTGTGAGATTCCCTAGAAAATTATAAACATGAAATTACAGTCAATTAAAACTATAACTCCTATTTCATTATTAGCTGGAATAATGTTGAATAATGTGCAGCGTAGAGCTCTGTAAATGCTGGATTGCAGTCCAGCAGTTTGGTTCATGGTCAGTACAGGGTCTTCTATTTCACCACTTCCCACAGTCTGAATTCTCAAGTTGATATTTCCAAATGTGCTTCTGAAGAGCAAGAGATTGCCAGACTGCTGAGCCATTTACTTGGTAAGCCATATGATAATAGTGGGAGAGAGAGATAAAATAAGAGCTAGATATAGAGAGAGAGAATGCTTGGCTCTGCTTACTATTACTATATAGAGGATAAAATGGGCAGAAGTAGATCTGGTGCAGGAAAAGGTGGCTGAAGGCCAGGATAGACCTAAACAGCTGACACCAAATTATAAAGCAGAAGTGTGGCCCTACATACACGTTGGATGACTTTTACTCTGGTGAAATGCTTCCATGGTTTTTTAATTCCTGGCATCGGTTATACCTCCACTCTTTTTACTCTCATTCAAGAAAGCATACCAAAATGAAAAAGAGTAATTTCTTTATAAGTCTTGAATCTGTTATAGTTGATTAAGAATGTCATTTGCAAACTTTGAAGCTTTAATGATTACTGGTAACAACATTTTACAGCTGATTGTGATCTATCAATAGATTATGACCTAGTGTGCCGGGTTCTGGTAAATACACCTGCAACCTCTTCCTGGAGCCGAGGCAAGCAGCAATTTCAGATGAGGTCAATCCTCTGCTGCTCTCTCTAGTTCTTGAACTCCTCTTCCCCCACCCCATGCAACTCAAGACTCCAGGGTTCAGGCTCTGGGTGATGGGGCAGGGTGGAAGGAGGTTCTAGTGGGGAAGCAGAAAAGTTGGCTTACGTCAACTTGCAGAAGTTGGCTCTGTAATTCTCAGAATTAACTTGATCATCAATGGGGAGAGGTTAGGAGAGTTCCTACAACTGTATTCAGCTAATATACGTGTATTTTGGGGACAGATTATATTTTTTTAATTTTTAAATTGTGGCAAAATACACGTAACAAAATAGCCATTAAGTGGCATCAAATACATTCGTAATGTTGTGCAACCATCACCACTATCATCCCCAGAACTCTCTTCATCTTGTAAAATTGAAATGCATATTTTCACTACATGAAGTACCTCATATAAGTGGAATCATACAGTACTTGTCTTTTTGTGACTGGCTTATTTTTACTTAGCATAATGTCCTCAAGTTTCAGCCATGTTGTAGTATATGGCAGAATTTAATTCTTATGGCAGTTTTATTGTTTTGGGCCTTGCATTTAGGTATTTGATCCATTTTGAATTAATTTTTGTATATGGTAGTAGATAGGGGTCTGATTTCACTCTTTTTCATGTTGATATACATTTTCCCAAGAACCATTTGTTGAAGAGACTGTTCTTTCTCCCATTGAATGGTCTTGGCACCCTTGTCAAAGATCAGCTGACTATATACAGGGTTTATTTCTGGGCACTGGAGTCTATTCCATTGGTCTGTATGTCTGTCTGTATGCCATTATCATGCTATTTTGACTACTGTAGCTTTATAGTAAGTCTTGAAATCAGAAAGTGTGAGTCATCCAGCTTTGTTGTTTTTCAAGATTGTTTTGGTTATTTGATGTCTGTTGAGATTCCATATAAATTTTAGGATGGGTTTTTCTACTTCAGCAAAAAGTATCCTTAGGACTTTTGGTAGTTATTGCATTGAATCTTCAGATCACTTTCAGTGGCACTCACTCCTTAATAATATGAATTCTTCTAATCCACATACATGGGGTATGTTGCCATTTATGTCTTTCTTATTTCTTTCAGCAATGTTTTGTAGTTTTCATTGTATAAGTCTTTTATCTTCTTGGTTAACTTAATTCCTAAGTACTTTAATCTTTTTGATGCTACTGTAAATGGAATTATTTTCAAAATTCCTTTTTCAGATTTTTCATTATCAGTGTACAGAAATGCAACTGATTTTTGTGCTTTGGCTTTATATGCTGTTATTTTGCTGAATTCGTTTATTAGTTCTAACTTTTTTGGTGTCTGGAATCCTCAGTATGTTCTACATAGAAGATAATATCATCTGTGAACAGAGCTAATTTTACTTCATACTTTCTAATTCAGATGACTTTTTCCTTTTTCTTGTCTAATTGCTAGGGCTAGAACTTTCAGTACTATGTTGAATAAAAGTGGTGAAAGTGGGCATCCTTGCTTTGTTCCTGATCTTTGAGGGAAAGCTTTTTGTCTTTCATCATTGAGCGTGGTGCTCACTGTGGGCTTTACATATATGGCTTTTATTATGTTGAGGTAGTTTCCTACTATTGCTAGTTTGTTGAATGTCTTTATCATGAAAGGATATTAAATTTTGTCAAATACTTTTTCTGCACCAATGAAGATGATCATGTGTTTTCCCCTTTATTTTATTAATGTGGTCTATTACATTGATCAATTTTCATATGTTGAACCATCTTTGCATTCCAGGAATAAATTCCACTTGGTTATGGTGTATAATCCTTTTAATATGCCGCTGAATTTGGCTTGCTAGTATTTTGTTGAGGATTTTTGCATCAATGTTTATAAAAGACAGTGGTCTGTATTTTTCTTTTCTGGTAGTATCTTTGTCTGGCTTTGGTATTAGGGTAATGCTGGCCTCAAAGAATGAGATAGGAAGTGTGCTCTCCTCTTCAATTTTTTTTGAAAGAGTTTGACAGGTATTGATGTTCTTTAAATGTTTGGTAGAGTTTGCCAGTGATGCCATCAGGTTCATGGTCTTTCTTTATGGGGAGATTTTTGATTATTGATTTAATCTCCTTACTAGTTATAGCATGATGTGGATTTTCCAGTTCTTTGTAATTTAGTCTGGGTGAGTCTTGTTTTTCTAGGAATTTGTTTATTTCATCTAGGTTATCCAATTTTTTGGTGTACAATTGTTCATAGTACTCTTATAGTCCTTTTGATTTGTGTATAATTGGTAGTAATGCCTCCACTTTCATATCTGATTTTAGTAATCTAAGTCTCCTCTCCTTTTTTCCTTGTCTGTCTAGCTAAAACTTTGTGAATTTTGTTGATATTCTCAAAGAACCAATTTTGGTTTCATTGGTCCTTCTCTATTGTTTTCCATTCTCTATTTCATTTATTACTGTTCTAATTTTTATAATTTTCCCTCCTTTTTGGTTAATTTGTTCTCATTATAATTTCTTAAGTTGTAAGGAGAGGTTGTTAATTTAAGATTTTTTTTTTTAAATGTAAGAACTTATAGCTATAAAATTTCTCCTTAGCCCTGCTTTCTCTGCATTCCATAGGTTTTGGTATGTTGTGTTTTTGTCTTCATTTGTCTCTAACTATTTTCCAATTTCTCTTGTGATATCTACTTTTTTGATTCAATAGTTAAGAGTGTGCTGTTAAATTTCCACAAATTTGTGAATTTTCCAACTTTCCTTCTATTTTGGATTTCTAATTTCATCCTGCTGTGGTTGGAGAAGATACTTTGTATGATAACTTTTAAAATCTATTGCGATTTCATTTGTGGCTTAACATATGGTCTACCCTGGAAAACGCTCCATGTACTCTTAAGAAGAATCTGTATGCTTGTGTAACTGAATAACGTTTTCTGTATGTCTGTTAGATATAGTTGGTTTATTGTGTTAAGTCCTCTATTTCCTTATTTATCCTCTCTGGTTATTCTATCTATTATTGGCACTGGAGTATTGAAATCTCCAATTGTTATTGTAGAATTGTCTATTTCTCCCTTTGATTCTGCCTGAAGTTTTTGTTCCACATATACTGATGGTCTTTTATTAGGTGTGAAACTGTTTATAATTGTTATAATTTCTTGCTGTATTGAACCTTTTATTAACATATAATGTCTCTTGTAAGCTTTTTAAAATGTAAAGTCTATTTTTTCTCATGTTAGTGTAGCCCTTCCTGCTCTCTTTTGGTTACTATTTGCATAGAATATCTTCCCTATCACTCTTAGTCTGTTTTTGTGTCTTTGGATCTTAAGTGAGTCTCTTGCAGACAGCATATAGTTGGCTCATATTTTTCAATACATTCTGCCAATCTCTGTCTTTTGATTTGACAGTTTAATCCATTTAAATTTAAAGTAATTACTAATGAGGGACTTACTTCTGTTATTTTGCCATTTGTTTTCTAATACCTTCTTTTGTCCCTCATTTCCTATATTACTGTCTTCTTTTGTGTTGAGTTGATTTTTTTGGGAGTAAAGCACTTAAATTCCTTTCTAATTTTCTTTTGTGTATATTCTATAGCAACTTTCTTTGTGGTTACCATGGGGATTGTACTTAAACTCTCAAAATTATAACACTGTAATTTGAATTTATACCAGTTTAGTTTCAATAACATAAAAACTCTGCTTCTTTACTACTTTGTCCTCAGCCCTTTGAGTTGTTGCTGTCCCAAAATTACATCTTTATACACTGTGTGCTCCAAAACACAAACTAATAATTTTGGAAAATGCATTAGTCTTTGAAATTATGTAGAAAATAAAATGTTGAGTTACAAACTAAAGTTATAATAATACTACCTTTTAGATTAGTATTTTTTAAGTACTAGTCTCTTAAATCAAGTAGAAAATAAAAAGTGGAGTAGAAAAGAAAAAGCAGAGTTATAGTTGCCCATGTATTTAACTTCATTGAGATCTTTTATTCTTCATACAGCTTCAAATTACTGCCCAGTGTCCTTTCATTTCACCCTGCAGGAGTGAATTTCTTGCAGGGTAGGTCTAGTGGTAATGAACTCCTTCAGCTTTTGCATATCTGGGAATGCTTTAATTTCTTCTTTACTTTTGAAGGACAATTTTGCCACATATAGAATTCTTCTCTGACAGTTGTTTTTCTCTCTCTTTTAGCACTTTGAAAATACTGGCCTGCTGCCTTCTGGCCTCAAAAGTTTCAGGTGAGAAATTTTCTGTTAATCTTGCTTAGACTACTCTTGTGTGTGATAAGTCACTTCTCTGTTGCTGCTTTTAAGAGTCTCTCTTTATATTTCAAAAACTTAACTATAAGATGTCTTAGTATGGGTCTTTTTCATCTTACTTAGAGTTTGTTAAGTTTGGATATTTATATTCATGTCTTTAGTCAAATTTGGAAAAATTCCAGTTACTATTTCTTCATATGTTATCTCTTCTCCTTTCTTTCTCTCTTATTCTTCTTGGACTTCAACAATGTGTACATTAATCTGCTTGATGGTGTCCCACAGGTCTTTTTAGGCTCTGTTTACTTTTCTCAATATTTTATTTCTGTGTTCCTCAGACTCAATAATTTTCATTGTCCTATATTTAAGTTTACTGATTCTTTCTTCTTCCTGCTCAAATCTGACTTTAAATCACCCTAGCAAATTTTTCATTTCAAGTATTGTATTTTCAGCTTTAGAATTTTTTTTGTTTAAAAACAAATTTAGAATTTTTTTTAGGTGTTCTGTCTCTTTATTGATATCACCATTTGTTCATACATCTTTTTCTTGACTTTCTCTGTATCTTTCTTTAGGTTTTTTTTCTATTTTATTTTATTTTATTATTATTATACTTTAAGTTTTAGAGTACATGTGCACAATGTGCAGGTTTGTTACATATGTATACATGTGCCATGTTGGTGTGCTGCACCCATTAACTCGTCATTTAGCATTAGGTATATCTCCTAATGCTATCCCTCCCCCCTCTTCCCACCCCACAACAGTCCCCGGTGTGTGATGTTCCCCTTCCTGTGTCCATGTGTTCTCATTGTTTAATTCCCACTTATGAGTGAGAACATGTGGTGTTTGGTTTTTTGTCCTTGCGATAGTTTGCTGAGAATGATGGTTTCTAGTTTCATCCATGTCCCTGCAAAGGACATGAACTCATCATTTTTTATGGCTGCATAGTATTCCATGGTGTATATGTGCCACATTTTCTTAATCCAGTCTATCGTTGTTGGACAATTAGGTTGGTTCCAAGTCTTTGCTATTGTGAATAGTGCTGCAATAAACATACGTGTGCATGTGTCTTTATAGCAGCATGATTTATAATCCTTTGGGTATATACCCAGTAATGGGATGGCTGGCTCAAATGGTATTTCTAGTTCTAGATCCCTGAGGAGTTGCCACACTGACTTCCACAATGGTTGAACTAGTTTACAGTCCCACCAACAGTGTAAAAATGTTCCTATTTCTCCACATCCTCTCCAGCACCTGTTGTTTCCTGACTTTTTAATGATCGCCATTCTAACTGGTGTGAGATGGTATCTCATTGTGGTTTTGATTTGCATTTCTCTGATGGCCAGTGATGATGAGCATTTTTTCATGTGTTTTTTGGCTGCATAAATGTCTTCTTTTGAGAAGTGTCTGTTCATATCCTTTGCCCACTTTTTGATGGGGTTGTTTTTTTCTTGTAAATTTGTTTGAGTTCATTGTAGATTCTGGATATTAGCCCTTCGTCAGATGAGTAGGTTGCAAAAATTTTCTCCCATTCTGTAGGTTGCCTGTTCACTCTGATGGTAGTTTCTTTTGCCGTGCAGAAGCTCTTTAGTTTAATTAGATCCCATTTGTCAATTTTGGCTTTTGTTGCCATGCTTTTGGTGTTTTAGATATGAAGTCCTTGCCCATGCCTATGTCCTGAATGGTATTGCCTAGGTTTTCTTCTAGGATTTTTATGGTTTTAAGTCTAACATTTAAGTCTTTAATCCATCTTGAATTAATTTTTGTATAAGGTGTAAGGAAGGGATCCAGTTTCAGCTTTCTACATATGGCTAGCCAGTTGTCCCAGCACCATTTATTAAATAGGGAATCCTTTCCCCATTGCTTGTTTTTGTCAGGTTTGTCAAAGATCAGATAGTTGTAGATATGCGGCATTATTTCTGAGGGCTCTGTTCTGTTTCATTGGTCTATATCTCTGTTTTGGTACCAGTACCATGCTGTTTTGGTTACTGTAGCCTTGTTTGAAGTCAGGTAGCATGATGCCTCCAGCTTTGTTCTTTTCACTTAGGATTGACTTGGTGATGCGGGCTCTTTTTTGGTTCCATATGAACTTTAAAGTAGTTTTTTCCAATTCTGTGAAGAAAGTCATTGGTAGCTTGATGGGGATGGCATTGAATCTATAAATTACCTTGGGCAGTATGGCCATTTTCATGATATTGATTCTTCCTGCCCATGAGCATGGAATGTTCTTCCATTTGTTTGTATCCTCTTTTATTTCATTGAGTAGTGGTTTGTAGTTCTCCTTGAAGAGGTCCTTCACATCCCTTGTAAGTTGGATTCCTAGGTATTGTATTCTCTTTGAAGCAATTGTGAATGGGAGTTCACTCATGATTTGGCTGTCTGTTTGTCTGTTATTGGTGTATAAGAATGCTTGTGATTTTTGTACATTGATTTTGTATCCTGAGACTTTGCTGAAGTTGTTTATCAGCTAGAGGAGATTTTGGGCTGAGACAATGGTGTTTTCTAGATATACAATCATGTCGTCCGCAAAGAGGGACAATTTGACTTCCTCTTTTCCTAATTGAATACCCTTTATTTCCTTCTCCTGCCTAATTGCCCTGGCCAGAACTTCCAACACTATGTTGAATAGGAGTGGTGAGAGAGGGGATCCTTGTCTTGTGCCCGTTTTCAAAGGGAATGCTTCCAGTTTTTGCCCACTCAGTATGATATTGGCTGTGGGTTTGTCATAGATAGCTCTTATTATTTTGAGATACGTCCCATCAATACCTAATTTATTGAGAGTTTTTAGCATGAAGGGTTGTTGAATTTTGTCAAAGGCCTTTTCTGCATCTATTGAGATAATCACGTGGTTTTTGTCTTTGGTTCTGTTTATATGCTGGATTACATTTATTGATTTGCGTATGTTGAACCAGCCTTGCATCCTAGGGATGAAGCCCACTTGATCATGGTAGATAAGCTTTTTGATGTGCTGCTGGGTTTGGTTTGCCAGTATTTTACTGAGGATTTTTGCATCGATGTTCATCAAGGATATTGGTCTAAAATTCTCTTTTTTGGTTGTGTCTCTGCCAGGCTTTGATATCAGGATGATGCTGGCCTCATAAAATGAGTTAGGGAGGATTCCCTCTTTTTCTATTGGTTGGAATAGTTTCAGAAGGATTGGTACCATCTCATCTTTGTACCTCTGGTAGAATTCTGCTGTAAATCTGTCTGGTCCTGGACTTTTTTTGGTTGGTAAGCTATTGATTATTGCCTCAATTTCAGAGCCTGTTATTGGTCTATTCAGAGATTCAATTTCTTCCTGGTTTAGTCTTGGGAGGATGTACGTGTCGAGGAATTTATCCATTTCTTCTAGATTTTCTAGTTTATTTGCATAGAGGTGCTTATAGTATTCTCTGATGGAAGTTTGTATTTCTGTGGGATTGGTGGTGATATCCCCTTTATCATTTTTTATTGCGTCTATTTGATTCTTCTCTCTTTTCTTTTTTCTTAGTCTTGCTAGCGGTCTATCAATTTTGTTGATCTTTTCAAAAAACCAGCTCCTGGATTCATTAATTTTTGAAGGGTTTTTTGTGTCTCTATCTCCTTCAGTTCTGCCCTGATCTTAGTTATTTCTTGCCTTCTGCTAGCTTTTGAATGTGTTTGCTCTTGCTTCTCTAGTTCTTTTAATTGTGATATTAGGGTGTCAATTTTAGATCTTTCCTGCTTTCTCTTGTGGGCATTTAGTGCTATAAATTTCCTTCTACACACTGCTTTGGATGTGTCCCAGAGATTCTGGTATGTTGCGTCTTTGTTCTCATTGGTTTCAAAGAACATCTTTATTTCTGCCTTCATTTCATTATGTACCCAGTAGTCATTCAGGAGCAGGTTGTTCAGTTTCCATGTAGTTGAGCGGTTTTGAGTGAGTTTCTTAATCCTGAGTTCTAGTTTGATTGCACTGTGGTCTGAGAGACAGTTTGTTATAATTTCTGTTCTTTTACATTTGCTGAGGAGAGCTTTACTTCCAACTATGTGGTCAATTTTGGAGTAGGTGGGTGTGGTGCTGAAAAGAATGTATATTCTGTTGATTTGGGGTGGAGAGTTCTGTAGATGTCTATTAGGTCCTCTTGGTGCAGAGCTGAGTTCAATTCCTGGGTATCCTTGTTAACTTTCTGTCTCGTTGATCTGTCTAATGTTGACATTGGGGTGTTAAAGTCTCCCATTATTATTGTGTGGGAGTCTAAGTCTCTTTATAGGTCACTAAGGACTTGCTTTATGAATCTCGGTGCTCCTGTATTGGGTGCATATATATTTAGGATAGTTAGCTCTTCTTGTTTCATTGATCCCTTTACCATTATGTAATGCCCTTCTTTGTCTCTTTTGATCTTTATTGGTTTACAGTCTGTTTTATCAGAGACTAGGATTGCAACCCCTGCCTTTTTTTGTTTTCCATTTGCTCTGTAGATCTTCCTCCATCCCTTTGTTTTGAGCCTATGTGTGTCTCTGCACGTGAGATGGGTTTCCTGAATACAGCACACTGATGGGTCTTGACTCTTTATCCAATTTGCCAGTCTGTGTCTTTTAATTGGAGCATTTGGCCCATTTACATTTAAAGTTAATATTGTTATGTGTGAATTTGATCCTGTCATCATGATGTTAGCTGGTTATTTTGCTCATTAGTTGATGCAGTTTCTTCCTAGCCTTGATGGTCTTTAAAATTTGGCATGTTTTTGCAGTGGCTGGTACCGGTTGTTCCTTTCCATGTTTAGTGCTTCCTTCAGGAGCTCTTTTAGGGCAGGCCTGGTGGTGACAAAATCTCTCAGCATTTGCTTGTCTGTAAAGTATTTTATTTCTCCTTCACTTATGAAGCTTAGTTTGGCTGGATATGAAATTCTGGGTTGAAAATTCTTTTCTTTAAGAATGTTGAATATTGGTCCCCACTCTCTTCTGGCTTGTAGAGTTTCTGCCAAGAGATCAGCTGTTAGTCTGATGGGCTTCCCTTTGTGGGTAACCCGACCTTTCTCTCTGGCTGCCCTTAACATTTTTTCCTTCATTTCAACTTTGGTGAATCTGACAATTATGTGTCTTGGAGTTGCTCTTCTCAAGGAGTATCTTTGTGGCGTTCTCTGTATTTCCTGAATTTGAATGTTGGCCTGCTTTGCTAGATTGGGGAAGTTCTCCTGGATAATATCCTGCAGAGTGTTTTCCAACTTGGTTCCATTCTCCCCGTCACTTTCAGGTACACCAATCAGATGTAGATTTGGTCTTTTCACATAGTCCCATATTTCTTGGAGGCTTTGTTCGTTTCCTTTTGTTCTTTTTTCTCTAAACTTCTCTTCTTGCTTCATTTCATTCATTTCATCTTCCATCACTGATACCCTTTCTTCCAGTTGATCGCATTGGCTACTGAGGCTTCTGCATTTGTCACGTAGCTCCCGTGCCTTGGTTTTCAGCTCCATCAGCTCCTTTAAGGACTTCTCTGCATTGGTTATTCTAGTTATCCATTCGTCTAATTTTTTTTCGAAGCTTTTAACTTCCTTGCCATTGGTTCGAATTTCCTCCTGTAGCTCGGAGTAGTTTGATCGTCTGAAGCCTTCTTCTCTCAACTCGTCAAAGTCATTCTCCGTCCATCTTTGTTCCGTTGCTGGTGAGGAGCTGCGTTCCTTTGGAGGAGGAGAGGCGCTCTGATTTTTAGAGTTTCCAGTTTTTCTGCCCTGTTTTTTTCCCCATCTTTGTGGTTTTATCTACCTTTGGTCTTTGATGATGGTGACGTACAGATGGGTTTTTGGTGTGGATGTCCTTTCTGTTTGTTAGTTTTCCTTCTAACAGACAGGACCCTCAGCTGCAGGTCTGTTGGAGTTTGCTAGAGGTCCACTCCAGACGCTGTTTGCCTGGGTTTCAGCAGTGGTGGCTGCAGAACAGCGGATACTGGTGAACTGCAAATGCTGCTGCCTGATCATTGCTCTGGAAGTTTTGTCTCAGAGGAGTACCCGGCTGTGTGAGGTGTCAGTCTGCCCCTACTGGGGGGTGCCTCCCAGTTAGGCTACTCGGGGGTCAGGGACCCACTTGAGGAGGCAGTCTGCCCATTCTCAGATCTCCAGCTGCGTGCTGGGAGAACCACTGCTCTCTTCAAAGCTGTCAGAGAGGGACATTTAAGTCTGCAGAGGTTTCTGCTGTCTTTTGTTTGTCTGTGCCCTGCCCTCAGAGGTGGAGCCTACAGAGGCAGGCAGGCCTCCTTGAGCTGTGGTGGGCTCCACCCAGTTCGAGCTTCCCAGCCGCTTTGTTTACCTAATCAAACAACTAACTCGGCAATGGCGGGTGCCCCTCCACCAGCCTCGCTGCCACCTTGCAGTTTGATCTCGGACTGCTGTGCTAGCAATGAGCGAGACTCCGTGGGCGTAGGACCCTCTGAGCCAGGTGCGGGATATAATCTCCTGGTGCGCCGTTTTTTAAGCCCCATGGAAAAGCGCAGTATTAGGGTGGGAGTGACCTGATTTTCCAGGTGCCGTCTGTCACCCCTTTCTTTGACTAGGAAAGGGAATTCCCTGACCCGTTGCGCTTCCCAGGTGAGGCGATGCCTCGCCCTGCTTTGGCTTGCGCAGGGTGCGCTGCACCCACTGTCCTGCACCTACTGTCTGGCACTTCCCAGTGAGATGAACCTGGTACCTCAGTTGGAAATGCAGAAATCACCCGTCTTCTGCGTCGCTCATGCTGGGAGCTGTAGACCAGAGCTGTTCCTATTCGGCCATCTTGGCTCCTCCCCTAGTTTTTTTTTTTTAAACATCTTTAAGAGAGTTGTTTTAAACTCTTTGTCGAGTAGATCTGCCATCAGGTCTTTTCTAGGAGCAGTTCCTGTTAATTTATTTATTTTTCCTTCGAATGGGCCACACTTTCCTGTTTCTTTCTTTGCCTTGTGACTTTTTGTTGAAAACTGGACATTTGAATCTAAGAATGTGATAACCCTGAAAATCAGAGTTTCCTCCTTCCTTAGGGTTTGGTGGTGGTGTTTTTGTCTTTTTTAGGCCACTCAAGCATCGGCATGAGGTGTAAACTTCAGGTCTTCTTAGGTGTTTTCTGAGCCTGTTTCTTTCCCAGGGTATGTGCAGTCACTTTCTAATTTTCCTTGTATATGCAGTTGCTTTTGAGTGTCTTAGTCTTTAATGTCTGTCTCCCAAAGAAGGAAAAAGAGAAAAGTGAAGGGGGAAGAAGGGTGCTGGTTCTTCAAATTATCTGGAATCACTTCAGCTAGTGGTGGAGGGGCTTGCAGCAGTGGGGAGAGGTGCAACAAAAGTAGCTGCCCACCTCTGTGTTTGCACCTCTGTGATTAGAAGCAGCAATAAGTATCCTGAACAAAGATCCCTGAAATTTGAAGAACAGGATATTTTTAGCCCACTCTGGCCTCTACACGCTGTGTGCAAGGTGCTATTGGACAAGTGCTCAGCTGCCTGTATTATGAGATAAATAGTACTTTCTCATAATAATAATAGGTTCTGCTGGTACTATTTCCACCCAAGGAAGTCACACTGGTTATCTCTTCATGCCTGTCTATGCAGTGCTCACCCTTCCAGGAGTAGAAAGTGGGCTAGGGGAGGAGAGTGGGTTAGCTGCTACTGTACTAAGAGCTGAAATTGACCAAAATCAACCTTGATTTACTGTCCAAGCCTCCCCCTGAAAGTTGCAAACCTTCATTAGACTCCAGAGTTTCAAAATATTAATAGTTAAACAAAACAGATTCTGCCAGTGTATTTGTTGTCTATCGGGGAGGATTCTTGGTGCTCCTTACTCTGCCATCTTCCCAGAATCCTCTGGGACAAATTATTTTTACTTAAGGGGTTATTCTGAAAGGTTTATCGAAATCAGATTAAGTTATAATAACAAAAAAAAAGAAAAGCAATCTTACATTTGTATAGTCCTCATAGTACTTTATATATTATCATATCTCCCCCTCCTTTCTTCTCTCCTACATTCCATCCCTCTTCCCTTCTGTCCTTTCAAAACCAATTTCAGAGACTGCTTTTCCTGTCTAATCCATGTGAATTAGCCATTTAATTCCTCTGATTTTGTCTCCTTTTTAACTTTTGGCCATTTTTCTGTCAACTCTTTCATGAGAAGGAAGAAATAGGGGATGGGTTAACTGCTGAATGGACTTAGGTATTATCATTGGATTCATATTTCCTGTGTTCTCTCCAGTCTTCTTCCTTTTGGGGATCCCAGACAGTTGAGATAACTGAGTGAAGTTTGTATTTGTGACCTCTAGGAAACAGGAGAAAGGAAGAAATAAGGAAGAGGGAAGATACAATGAAGTCAATGTAGACATTGTTAAGAAATTTATTTGCAATTCTTATTTTTTGTGTTTTTTGTTTGTTTTTTAAATAACATCATTCCTTAGATAAAAATGCAATCTTACAGGAATATACAATAGTGTCTCACACAGAGATGACCCTGAAGCTCTCCTTGAAGGGTTGCCCCTTCTAGATTCCCTGGCCTTTCTCGAGGGTGAGAAGGCCCATCAGGCGAGGCCTCTGACAATGGGATTATTTGAGGATTACAAACTGTACAATGATATTTACAACAGTAAGACTGTGAAGTCGTGGAGCCTGGAGGGGAGGGTGTGGGGGTGTGTAGGGGTGTGGGGAATGGTGACAACGGAGGCACTGCCCATCTTTCTGTGCCTCTCTGATAACAGGCATGATACAGATTGGTTTGGGGGATGAAGGTGGGTTTGAGCTGGAGGACATGAGGGAAGGGGAGATTAGAGGAGCTTTATCTGGAGCGTTTCACAGGAGGAAAGTTTTGCATGGTAGCTCTGGTGGATTAAAATAAAACAGCAATATTATGAGAGTAATAGACCTTTCAGTGCTTCACCAACGGGGAATCTGTCGCCCTATTTCTTAATGAATGTGCGTGTTTTGCCATGGGTTATTCTCATCCACTACCATCACAGACTTGTCCAGACATGCTCATCTCTGTTTCCCATGGCCTCACTCCCACGAGGCTTGGGGGAACAGCATGCATTCTGGCCAGGACAGGACATGGCAATGGGGTGGTATATAACCTGGCTGGGATTCAAGAGATGGATTTCAGGTGTGGGTATGGGCTGCAGCTGGATGCATAGGTGGCCTGAGGCAGGAAAAGAGAAGGTGCGCACAGCTTTGGGATGCTGGAGACACCTCCTGAAGGGGATCTTTCTGCACAGGACTGTGTGTTTACAAATCATCTTCCCTTGATGTACAAGTTCTTTCCTTTTCCCCTTTTAAACATTGGTGTAGTTTCTCCATATTGGGAAGTCTTGGGGTTGGGGGCTATGTCCAGGACCCAGTGACCCACCCTCTTTTGCTTCTCTTGTGACTCTACAGGAGAGACTTCTCTTTTCTCCTGGCCAATGGCCAGGAGAGGTTTCTTCAAGGGGGTCCCTGAAACCTGCAGCCTCAGGTTCCTTGGCAAGGGAGCCACTGCTTGGCCTGGTGCCTGCTCACCTTTTTTTCCTTATTCCCTTGGTAATAAACTTGAGATCTCTAAGATTTCCACAATGGGAATTCTCCAGACCCAAACAGTGAATAAGAATCATTCTGTCCATTTCTGCATTTCCTCACATAGAAATGACCCTCTCTTAAAACTTACAAACTCTTCCACCCAGAGCTTTTTTTTTTTTTTTTTGGATAATGACCTTGGTTTGAGGTGCATGAGTGAATTTTAGAAATGAATGTACAATGTATGTCTGATTCACACCAGGGGAAGTGGCACAGTGCCCTTTCTGGGATCCCTACAAAGTCAAATTCCTTAGATCCTGAGAAGTGGAGTGCATGGGATGCCCTGAAAAGGTGGGGGTGTCCCTGTGTAGCAGCCAGTAACTGATCTGAAGGGAGAGGACTTGGCTCTGGTGATGTAACATTTCAAGCCTCTGTGTAATTACCTAGTCTTAGTCTTTTCTTCCTCATTCTTAGTAGAGACGTGGGGAACTTTCATGAAAAATGCTAATTCTGACTCCTCTCAGCGTGCAACAGATTTGTTACACTTCATCCACTCAGCTGCAAGATCTAGAGTGCTTTCAGAGGTGACTGGAAGAGTTCTCTAATACCCTACAAAGACCATGGATCTTTGCCACTTCAGGTGCTGTGGCTCAAACCTCTTAAAGTCATCCCAGGAAAAAGTGTTGATTGTAGTATTCTCTCAATGTATGTAAATAGAATTTATGTCATAATAATAGTAGGTTCTGATGGTACTACTTCCATCCAAGGGAGTCACTCTACTGCACCCTCCTTGTCTGTGTATACAGTGCTCACCCTTGCAGGAGCAGGAAAGTCCCTCATCTAGAGCTCAACCCCAGCCCTTGTGCCTTAACGGTGTGTGTCTGTGTAGTGAGGGGGGTTGTTCAAGCATCCCCCGTCAATGTAGAGATGTGGCAGAAACCCGTTCACCTGTTGTATTGGTATCTGGCTCCAGAAAGAAAAGTTTCATTGCTTTGACATAAGAATAAATTGATGAATGAAGTTAAACCCAGAAGAGGCTTCACAAAGAGGTCGTGTAAGCATCTGCCCATGGGACTCCCTTCCACGCACCGTCTTTCTCACTAGGTGTTGGGGAGGACAGGGAGCTGGGGCTGGGGAGGGCAGTGGGAAGAGGGAGCTTTGCTTAGGGACAGGGAAAGGTGCCCCATTCCTGACAGTTGTAGGACTTTTCTTTCCCTCCTGTCTTCCCCCTCAACCTCCTCAAATCGTAGCCTCTGGAGAACCTGGACTCTGGCGGCTGAGGGCCTCCCTGGGAGTGAGGTTTGGGCTTCCCCGCCTGTCTTTGCACAGCAGCCTGTGTCAGGTGGCACCTGGACAGCCTGAGGGGAGGGACATCAGCAGAGGGGGGACAGGGTGGCAGACACCCCCACATCCCACCAGGTAGGCTGATGTGGCTGGAACAACACCCCCAGATGGAATGAGTACTCTTCTCACCTTCCCAAATAGATCCTTGAGATGTCAGCGGCTCCACCACACTGGTCACTGTGGGTGGGTAAGCTGAACACATCCTTCCATGAACTGGGAAGAGGCACAGAGGGAGTCAAAATATGCCCTTTTCTTGCCTCCATTCTCCTCCCAGTCCTCTCTGTGCTGACATTTGCCCCAGAGGCAGGTCTTCTTTAAAATATGGAAACGGCCCAGACTCCATCAGCAAGTATTTGCCTCCCCTGGGGTTTAAAGAGGTCTTCTGGGAGTCAGCAGGCCCTTTTTGTGGCCTCTTTGCTGAATTGTTTCTAATCCTTGACAATGATATTTCAATTCTTGGCCTCTAGGGATGGAGATGCCATCATCCTCCTTTACCACCTTTCCCACGATGAGGCTAAAAACCCCGATGACCAGGGTTCCACTCTATCCCTGACCTACATTCGTGTTTTCTTTCTTTGCCTTTAGGAGTGGTGGCTGTGTATCTTCAGGACTCCATAAAGTAGCCACCATCTTTTGGGTGACTTCCAAAGTCCTCATTTTCTAGGTGTCACTGTTGCTCAGGAGATGAACTTGGGCATGGAAAGGTCTGCTTCTCCTGAGGTTGCCCCACTGTCTTCAGCTGCATGGGCAGGAGACATGCTGGGTGGAGAAAAGCTGGGAGAAAGTAACGGGTAGCTTCACTCCAGACAAGCACCTGGAATTTGGAACTGGGAAATAGAATGAGAGACATTGCCTTGTTCCTTTGAGTGGATTTCCCAGTGAGAGTGAGGCCTATTGGATTAAGAAGAAGGAAAGGGGTTATAACTAGTACCTTCTGAATCAAAGCTGGGAAAAATTCTCCAAGGTCTGGAAATGAAAGAGGCAGGGCTGGTCGGAGGACAAGAATTAAGTTGACCAAACTGCAGACCTTAAACTGTTGTTTCTTCAAGTCCCTTGGGCCCTTAGCCCCTGACTGTTTTCTCCTGACACTTGGGGGCTGTCAGGAGGGGTATGGAAGATGTGACAATTATGTTTTACAAGGTCATGGGGAAAATTCCATTTTAGGTGGAGAGTAGACATCACTTGGAAGATTGTGCTGTGGTTCATTGATGTCACTACTTGTGCCAGTCTGTTCTGATGACAGGCATCATACGCCAGTCTTATTCTAGTGGATCAGAAGGTCAAGCTAGGATAGTCCTCCTGCCCTAGACAGGGAACGCCTGTGTGTACCTCCTGGTAGAAATCTTGGGAACTTTTCAAAGGATGATACCTAAACTCAATTTCTAGAGGACCTTGATGGCAGTGAAAAGGAATCAAGAAAGTTTGGATGACTTGGGTGTGGATATCCATAAAGAAACTCTGTTTCTAGACTGTGTTAACCGGGGAGTATTGAGTACATTTCTCCACTTTGTCATGAATCAGTCCAGCAAGCTGTCATAGAGGAATGGACTGTCCCTTATTGTAATTTCTAGCTTACTTATATATGTGCCAAGAGGGGCTCAGGGAACACTAGGACTGGAAGAGATTTAATGGGTCAATTCTGGGTGAATGGTTGGGTCCTGTTTTCCCCAAAGCAGTCCCTTTTCAGCCACCACTGTTGACATACATTTGAAGGACACAGCACCAAAAGAGTGATGTTCTAGGGAGATATAAGTGAGCATTAGAGATGCCCCCACAAAAATCTGTTCCCACCCCCACTGTGAGCTCCGGATGCCTCTTCCCTTGTCCTGGCCCCCTCCCCGGCAGCCCAAACATTAGGGCAAGCCTGAAGGAAAGGCTGCTCCAGAGTGAGGAAGGGATGGAGAAAGGAGCACGCAGAGTTGACTTTCAGATGGATCAGGGTTTCACCAGTTCCTTTCTCGAGCCCCTGCTGTCCTTGTTGGGTAGAGCAACAAGAATCCGGAAGTGAGGATGCCCCTCCCTCCAAGCAGCCTGACTTTAATTTTATCCTCCCGGTTAGTGTACACTTTCCTAAGGAAGCCAAAGAGAAAATTCCGTGTGGTGGAAGGGAAGGGAAAGCCAGCTACCTCTTCCATGGGGGATGCGGATGACGGCCCAGTGACTGAGGGCTCATCAGAACGCCTCCCTGCACCTCACAGTGAAGGGCTGTTCTTGGAGAAGTACCAAATCAGATGACCAGAGCAGAGTGGACAGAGTGAAGACTGGAATAAAATAGGTCCTGGTCTCTCACAGCAAGAGGCGGTACAAACATACCCAGCAAACGATTTTGGAAAAATTGAGGGAAATGTAAGCAAACACAAGATATGCAAAACAGTAATGTCCAAACCTGTTTGTGGAGAGCAGAATAATGACTACACTGGTGATACCTTTGCTCATTGTGCAAACTAAAGAAAACTTGTTCCCTTTCCCCCAACCACATATAGAAAAGCACTTGAGTTCAAAGGTAAAGCTTGTCACACTCCAAATACAAAATGATTTACTTTACATGCAGCAAAATATACAAGAAGTGAATCCGAAAACCAACTTAATTCAATTCATTATATTCGCTTGGCACAATTGCAATTCAGTTTTAAAAAAATATTTGAAAAATACTGAAACTGACCTGAATTCAAGTATAACGGTTTCTTCAACAGAAACATTATCAATGCAATAAAACATTACACGGAATATATTGAAGCAAAATGCCTTCTTGTGTTTTTCCCTTAAATTTCTGTCTTTTTTTAAAATACAGTTTTAATGCCAACACAACTCACAATTGTATTTTTAAATGAATATTATTGCATTGTTTTTGCATATCTTGTGGGACAGAAAATGCAAAGAGTTACTGATTCCCGTTTCAGAAGCAGAGACAGTGGTTTGTTTTTGCTTTCAAACGGCCCCAGATTCAGATCTTCCCACAGCTAAACCAGAAAGGGGGGACTGCGTAGTCACTGGTGTGCACGGGCACATGGTGTGGGTGCATATACACGGGCAGGACATATGCACACAGACAACCCACCACACACACACGCGTCGCACACACTCGGAGACTCTCTCGCGCATGCTCCTCTCTCCCAAACCCACCTGTACACCCAGCATAAAAAGGAACCCAACTCTATCACCCACATGTGCAAGACCACATCAAGTGCATTGCCAGTTACCTTTCCATTAGATAACCGAACCAAACCAGAACAAAAATAGGTTACTACCTAAGGAAATGATAACAAATTATTGGGCATACACAATGGTTGGTAAAACTCTCCTGCAGCGGCTTCTATTGAACCTCCGTGGAAAAAGGAAACCACAACCGTTTAAATAATACAAGAAAACCAAACCCGATGTACATTGGCAAAAGTGAAAACAGAAAGGTGAGGGGGCTACAGGACTTTGTAAACACTCTTCTTCCTCCCCTCCCGCTGGGAAAGCAAAATAAAACATTTAAAAAAAACCAAAACCGAAAAGAAACTGCAACATGCTGTCAAGAAAAGTGTCAAACCACAAAACAAAAGAGCGCTCAGCGGAAGCTCAGCACCACCTGGTTGGGCGGAGCCGGCGGCGCAGCTCCTCCCTCGCGCTGCCTGCGGGCCGGCGGCTGGCCGGGAGCTCGGCGTGGCCCGTGCCGGTCGGGGGATCCCGTCGCAGGTGGGCAGGGACGGAGTGAGCCGCACCACTGCCGGCCCGACGCCCATCCCCAGAGCTCCGCGCCCCTGGAGGCCTCCTCCTCCCTCTCCGGGCCGGGTTGGGGTCCTCCTGGAAGTCCTGCCCCGCTCCCTTCTCCAAATCCGCAGGGCCCTGGCTCTAGGGAGACAGCGAGGCTCGTACAGAATATGTGCAAATGGTTTCTACAAGCAGAGTCGAAAGACACCCGTTTGCTGTAGGGTCCTTTTGGTGAGGGCGCGCGGGAAGCCGGGGTGCTCTCCCCGCGGAGGCGCGGCCGGGCCCGGGGCCTGCGAGCTGGGAGAGGGCAGGCGCCTTCCTCGCGCCCCGGGACCCTCGCCGCCTCCTCTCCCCGCCTCTGCAGACGCAGCCGGGCGCCTTCCTCCCGGAGGGCGGCTCGCGCACCCAGGCTCCGCGTCTGGTCCCAACAGAAATGAATGAAGACGCTGTTCCGGTTAACTCCAGGTCACGAGAACAGTGAGGCACTTCTGAAACGAACCCATTAGGAACATTGAAACAAATAAAAAAAAGCCCGCATCTGGCAGCGCCCACTACAGGCTGCTGACGTAGACCCTGCTGTCCTGGAGCTCCTCCTCACTCGGTCGACCCCGCGCGCGCACACAGCCCGCGTCCTCTTCGCCCCCGGCTCGGTCCTGCCCCGCGTCCCTGCAGTTCACAAAGGGTAAGAGGGCGCCATTGGGGCTCTGTGGGGCGCCCCCGCTGAGGATGTTGTCGGCCGCGCTCTCCATCTCCTCTATGGTCATGTCGCAGGCGTCGGCCAGCTCCTGGGTGGTGACCTCGATGAACTTGGGATCTTGAGCAAACTGCCCCAGTCCTTCTGAAATCAAGACCTGAAGGAGCGGGGTGGGAGCCATGAAGAACCAAAGGAACATTACTCCTGGAGCCCAGCTCTTCCCTTGAGGGCTAGAGCGAGGGGGTATCTGGTAGGTCACTTGGGGAAGTGTGCGTGTGTGCACGTGTACGTGTGTGTGTTGGGAGGGGCACCCATGGGGAACAAGTGGAGATGGAGCATCTGCCAGAATTAGGGATGTGCAGGCCAGAGAAGTTTTGGCTGGGGTGGTCAAACACTGTCATCAAATATATGAAGACTTGCTTATGGCCCAGCACGGTGGCTCACACCTGTCACCCAGCACTTTGGGAAGCCCAGGCAGAAGGACTGCTTGAGCCCAGGAGTTCGAGACCAGGCCCAGGCAACACAGGGAAACTTCGTCTCTACAAAAAATTTAAGAATAATTAGCTGGGTGTGGTGATGCACACCTGTGATCTTAGCAAGGCCAGAGACTGAGGTGGGAGGATCATTTGACCCCAGCAGCGCCAGGCTGCACTGAGCTGTGATTGTACCACTACACTCCAGCCTGGGTGACAGAGCGAGACCCTGTCTCAAAAAACAACCAAAACAAAAACCAGAGAAGGTTTGGCTCTCAGAGGGGCCGGGGGGTTGCCCTGATGCTGTATCAGCAGATCCCAGCCTGCCTCTCTCCTTTCTGACACCCACTGAACCTTTATACTATTCTTTCAGAGAAACCATTCTCCCTGGTGAAACTGCTGAGACAGGCCCACTGCCCATTGCCTGCTGCTGCCTTTCCAGGGGTGAGGTATCTGTGCAAACACGGCGCATGCCCCTGCCTTGCTTCTGCTGGGAAGGGCCAGCAGGTGACCCTTAAGCTTCTCTGTCCTCCCTACCGGCTGCTTAGTGCCTGGCTATGGGAAAATCGGCTCCTGAGCCAGCGGGTCGGGGGAAGCTGAGTGCAGCCTGGCACTCGCTCCTTTCAGGCATCTGTTTGTCTTGCTCCTTGCCCACGCCACTCATTCTCTCCTTGCCCTGCTTAGTTTTTCTTTGGCACTCCTGACCTTCCTGATGTGTTATATATGTATGTGTTTATTATCTGTCTCTCCTCACCATGATGTGAGCTCATGAGAGCAGAAGCTCTGTTTCTCAGCTGTGTCCCTGTACCTAGAACAGGGCCTGCACATGGTAGGCGCTCAGGGAAGGTCTGTGAAATGAATGCAGGATGATCGAGGCCACAGGAATACCAGACTTTGAGAGGTAAACCTTGGAAGCCACCTGGTTTAACGCCCCACCTCCTGCACCACAGCCTGACGCCCGGATGAGCACAGTCTCTGCTTGGCTATGTCTGATGATGGGGGGCTCACTACCTTTCAGGCAAGCCCCTCTCATCTTGGAAGAGCTCATTTGGGAAGGTCTTCCCCATGTGAGCTGAAATCTGTCCGCTGGTGGGCTGAGCCTGCCACCCTTTCCCCATCCCACCCGTTGCAGGTGTGAGAGGTGTATCGCACCCTCCAAAGTCACCTCCTCTCCAGGTTTTCTTCCCGAATTCCCTGAAACGGTTCTCCTAGGAAATGGTTTCTAGGAACCTTGCCATCCTGGTCATCCTCTGTTGGGTTTGTTCCAGTGTGTCAAAGGTCCCTAATAATGTGGTGCCGGGATTGCACTAGATGCTCTGACCAGGCAGAGCACAGTGGGACTGAAAGCTCGCTTGTTCTAGGCTAGTGGCTCTCAACCTTGCTACACGTTAAAATCATCGAAGAGCTTTAACAATCATCAGTTAATCTGTCCCGGGTTTCCAAAGCTCCCCAGGTGATGCTCACGGGCAGTCAGGCCTGAGCACCTTGGATCTTGCCTGTCTGTGTATAAAGGCAGCCAGGCTCACATTTGCATGTCGAGCAGCTGCAGTATAAGGGATAAGTTGCTCAGTGGTTTCTGCCGCCCTCTGCAGTGGGCCCAGCCTCAAGAGAGCCCATAGCATCTTGTGCAGTCATGGCTTTCCGCACACGAGCCCTCCTGCAGCCCTGAGAGGGAGGGTCTTTCGGGCTCAGATATTGACTGCAATGAATTTGGCAAGAGCCAGGTGCTCCCTTCTCAGCCCCGCATGCCAAGTCCCCTTGTTGCCCGTGGCCTCTCCCCCCTGCCCATCTGCGAGTCACCTACCGCTTCCACCAGGCTGCTGGCACTGCCGTGGAACTGCCTCCCTGGGGCCCCAGCCTGGCTGGGCACCATGAGGGAGACGGGCCGGACTCTCCGGGCGGCGCTGCTGCCCCCGCCACCGGGGGTGGTCTCAGCCCAGGAGCCGCAGTGGATGGATGGGAAGCTGCTGTTGAGTTTCTCACTGGACTCGACCCCCTCAAGCCGCAGGGTGGGGACGGGCTGTGGGGGCCAGCCTCGGCTGCCAGGTGTGGCTGGTGGGGTGGCAAAAGGCCTAGGGAATGAGGCAGGGGAATGGCTTCTCTGGAGGAGGGGGCTCAGGCCTGCCACTGCCAATGCCTGCGGACACACAAGGAGTGTGAGTTAATAGGAGTGGCCGACCCCAAACAAGGCAGGCCCCTGCTTCTGAGCAAGCACTGCTTTGCAGCTGCTGTGTCCAGCTAGCTCCACCTGCCTGGTATTCCCATGCCATTATTTTCCCCTGTCGGTCCTATCTCAACCTGGCATGACTTTCAACTATCTCAAAATACATCTTAGGATCATCTGGGTCTGAAGTGATCTCTTTCTCCTGTAACTTCTGAAAGCTGGGATTGGGTGAAGTCGTGGTAACCTGCTTTTAGCCCTGGCCTGGTCACCTGTCAGCTGTGCATTCTCTCGCTCTTGGTTTTGTCCTCAATAGAATGGAGAGCAGGGTGAGGCCTGCATGTCTGTAAAGCCAGAAAACGAATGCTGTCTATCCATCTGCCCTGTGGGGCTGGTGTGAGGCTCAAGCGCAATGAGGTCTGTGAAGAAGCGCTGTGCACCTCACAAAGAGTTGGGAAAACCAGTATTTGTGGTTTTAGTTCTCACAGTTAATGGGGCCATTCATAATGCCCTGCCAGTCTCTAGCTCAGGTTGTCTTTGAGCCATTGTTAAATCCGGTGCTGTATTGTGATTAAAAGATTCAGGGCTGGGAGCAGTGGCTCATGCCTGTAATCCCAGGACTTTGGGAGGCCAAGGCGGGCAGATCACCTGAGGTCGGGAGTTCAAGACCAGCCTGACCAACACGGAGTAACCCAGTCTCTACTACAAATGCAAAATTAGCCAGGCATGGTGGTGCATGCCTGTAATCCCAGCTACTTGGGAGGCTGAGGCAGGAGAATCACTTGAACCCGGGAGGTGGAGGTTGTGGTGAGCCGAGATCGTGCCATTGCACTCCAGCCTGGGCAACAAGAGCAAAACTCTGTCTCAAAAAAAAAAAAAAAAAAGTCACACGGTACGCCCTCTGTCCCTGAATATTCTTGAGCATCCTGAGGGTAGGGACCAGGCCTGTCTGGCTGTTGCCATGACAACCTGCCAGGGCAGAGGCTCTGCAGGGTGAGCTGCTCTGATGGGATGTGCTCCCGGGAGAGAGCGACACTGTGGTGGGGAAAGACCACCTCTAGGGTCACAGAGTACAGGAGGAGAAAGAGATGAAGAGGAGAGTTTCGTGCCTACCAGTACGACAAGAACAGATAGGTGAAATCGACTTCTAGAAATCTTTTAAGATAGCACACACAGTGTCCCCACATCCTTCCACCTCCTGCCCCTGCCCATGGTGGTCCTCAGCCTGGGGCTCCTGGGTCCCTGGGAATCTGAGAAAAGTGTAAGGCCATATTCATTATTTCAGAAAGCCCAGTGGAAGACAACACCACACAGGCTAAGAAAACCTGTTTATTTTTTGGAGCTGAAGTACTATCAACTCAGCCAGGCCACACTGGCCATCTCATGCTGATTATGACTTTTGATTGGCAGTTGAATGCCTTTGGGTACAAAGCATAGGTCTATTTAAAACATAGGTCCATGCTATAAAAGAGTATAACTTTAATAAGGTCAGAATGTTGGGAAACCCAGGTTTAGACCTCAGTTTGCCTGGGGTTAATAGACTGGCCTTAGATAACACTGAAGTTCAAAGATACTAAGGCATGTTTGGTCCTGGCATCTTGGATTTCACTGTCTCAGCTGGAGTCAGCCATGCCAAGAGACATTTCATTTATGGAATCTCCCTGGACCTGCTTCCCACGGATGTCATTCCCTACTCTTGACCATGTTGCTGGTGGGTTCTTTAATCACTTCTTTATGTCACTGGATGGATTTTTGTGTGGCAAAATTTCCAGGTATATTCAAACTCTAGGTACAAGTACATCTTCCTGAGTGCCCTGAGGCATAGGCCAGTGTCAGAGGCGTCAGTGGCATCTGTGGCAGCCTAAGAAGAAAGCTCAGGTGGAACCTGCAGCTGTGGGTCCTCAGGATCACACAAAGAGCTCCTGTGCACCAGCACTTCCTAGGCCCCCACCTGCGATGCTGCAGACCTTGCCGTGGCCCTCACCTGCACAGGAGTGTGAAGCCCTACAGGGATGGCTCTTAGGGCAGGGGCAGGACGTGCCAGCCATCTGAGACAGGCAAGACCCACTGAAGTCTTCAGGATTTGTCCGTCACCCTGGGGACTGTCTGGCCTGCTGGCAGGTGACAGTGGCCTGTCCAAAAGTGTGAGCTACCTGATGATGAACCAGATGCAAGGGCAGGACTGTCTTCTGAGAGATGTCTCCCCCTCGGTCCTTCTGTCGCTTCAGACATTCCAGGTGGAAGGAGGCCCTTCGACCTGCAAAGCCAGCCAGAGAGCCACCATCAGGGCAGGAAAACAGGGCACTGGCCTGTGACAGTTTACACCCTGGTGGGGTGCCAGGAGCAGTAACTATGGCCCGAGACGCTCCTCCTTTCCCCTCCCCTCGTCTGAGACGTATTCTGGTGTCCAGGGCTCATCCCTGCACACCCTGCCTTTGGAATGTTGTCTCCTTGCTTTGGAAATGCCCCACTGTGTGGGGCTGATTTGAGGCAGGCCACAACGATTTCCCAATCATCCCTGACCAGTGTTCTCTAGGGAGTAACCGCCGACCACATCCAGAGAGCGAGCGGTGCATTTACCTAGTGAGGCAGAGCGGAGGAAACCCCTCTTCGGAGATTGCCGGATGTCCCTCTTGTCCTCCTCTGGGAGCGTCAGTTGCCGATTTTCGTCATCCTGGTAGGAGAGCCTGGAACAGAGAGCTCATGGGGCTTGTTCCTGGAGGCTGAGAAGTGGCCACCCACAGGGACAGCTGCACCCCCGGAAAGCACTTTGCTCTGATCCTTAGTGAAGGGACGCACACTTTGTGCTTACATGCAGGTTTGGGGAATTGCCACCCCAAGAAGTTCTGGCCTGCCCCTGACGTCTTCCAGGCCTGCTCAGTGGGAATGGCCAGCTCCTCACCCGCAGCCTGTCTCATAAGCCTGCAGTTCTGACTTGGGGCAGTGAAGGCACTCTGGGGTCAAAGGTGTTGAGAAAGCGGAAAGAATCCTAGGCCCATGAAGTTCTTTTGGGGAATGGCCTTGGCTCCCGTGTTTGCATGAGCTGATGCTGTTTTCCCCAGTGACCCTCAACTTTCACCCAAACTTATGCCCGTCCCCCGATTTCTCCCGCCCTGCCACCCCCTCATCAGCAAGAGCACATAAGCAGCTGCCTACAACCACTCTACGGTCACTCAGTAGGTGAACAGCAGGGCTGTGAGGGACCTCATGGGGCATCTAGTCTATGGCTTCCAGGCCTTTGATGGAAACTCGATGAGAAGTAGATTTGACAGCTTCTCATCATGCACAGACACACCTGATGGAATGAAACCTCATAGCCTTTGGTTACCCTCGGTGCATGCGTTGCACCCTGGTGAGTCCCAGTCCACTTTAGTCTGTTCTATTTTTATTAAAATTTTGATTCACAATCTCTGCTGGGTCAGCCTGCAGTTCAAGAAGCACAGCTGCATTCCAACCTCATTCCCAGATGAGACCACTGACTCACTGGTCCCTGGTGCCACCCCACACCTCTGAGGGTGACTCCATGCCTGCTCATGGTACAGCACAGAGACTTGGATGATTTATAGATGTGCAGGAAGGCTGGTAGAGTGCAGACCGCAGTATTTATACCTTCAAGACTAGCTCTTACTCTCAGCTAGCTAAGGCCTCCCTATTGTATTTTCTTCTTATGCAAATCACCCTGGCTCTTGCAGATCCAGCTTCCATTTCACCTTGTGCGTGGTACCAGTTCAGGTCACCCTGCCCTCAACTTTCTCTGAACGCCTGTACCCCTGGGGGTTGTACCACTCTGGGGGTAGTGAGAAACTCTGTGTTATCTTCCTCTCCTGAGACCCTCTTAGTTTCCTAGTTTGTGGAATTTCCTTGAGGATGGAGACTGGGTTCTTAACAACCTAGCAGAGTGCCTGGTGCACCAAGCACTCTAGAATAACCGAAATAGTTTAAAATATATGCTCTTCCTGATTTCTAGGGTAGGTGGTCAGGCATTCGTTTGTATTCTCTAAGAATCAATTTAGAGACAGTTATCTCATAAGGAGCTTCAGGTATTTCCCTTTTTTATATTGACCGTGTTTCACTGAGTCAGAAAAGTAGAAGGCCTGTCACCCCCACCGTCCCATTTTGCTGATGGGGACACGAAGGCACAGGGCAGTTGAGTGATTTGTCAAGTGCCGCTGGTTGGGACTCTTTCCATGCTTTTCCTTACTCACTCGATTCTTCTTTCTATGCTGGGGAAAAGGAGGTGCTTCTGCTACTCTTCCCATCCAGTTCCCGAGCAGAAAGCACTGGACCCCAGGAAGCCGCATGCTGTGCTGGCCTGGCTGCCATTCTCCCCACACTCCTCAGGGTGGGGCACCTGGTGTCCCCTCCCACCACCTCCAGCCACACCTTTCCTGTCTTCAAAAGCCTGCAAGGCTAGTCCTTCCTCACTCTGAAGTCCTTTCAGGAACTGAATGGACTGACATGCTGGGAGGGGTCGGTGAGGGCTTCCCTCCCGCCCTGGGCCCCCGTGGGGCTCCTCCCTGTCTGCATCGGCAGCTCCAGGGTTCCCTGGCGGGGCTGAGAGAGGACACACCCTGCATCGTGCCTGGCCACGCTTCACTGTGCTGCCGTTCCAGAGTGGGACAGTGGCTCCCAGCAGGTGGCACAGCCCCCCAGCATCCCAGGTTCTTGACATGCCTGCCCTCCAGCTCAGAAAATAATAGAGAAGTGGGAGCTTCTCTCTAAACCCCTGGAAAAGTGTCCATCCAAGGAGCAGGCACACCTGCCGCTGGCCTGCCTGTCCCTCCAGAGGGCCCATTTTCAAGTGGCTGCACGCAAGCCCATGGGACCCAGGCATTACCCCCTGGGGAAAACCCCATGCCTCAATTTCCCTTTCTACAAAATTGAAATGACATATGCCCTCTCTGTCTCAGAGGCCTGTTGTGAGTCATGTATACAGTAACAGATGAGACAGGGCTTTGAGGGTGAAAAGAGCCAGAAAAGCTTCGGAAACACTGTGTCTCAAACTTCTGTGGATGTCACTCTGTGTCTCAAACTTCTGTGGATGTGACTCAGAGTCATAAAGATGTTTCTCAAGGAGACCCCCAGATAGCCACATCTGTTGGCAATTAAGCAAGTGTTTCCCAGCACAGCGCTTACCTTTGTGACGTTTGACGCATTCTGATAGTTTCTGATATTGTGCTGTGCTGCACCTGCTTTTAAGGGCTAGTCATTAGTGACCAAATGGATGTCACCACCTTCTAAAGGATCTAGAACTGCAGCTAAAAATACTCTAAGAATGGCAGCAAGGACAAAAATCTCAGGCCTGGCTTTGCCACCAGTGCCCTCTTCTGGGCAGCTTCATTATAAGCAGTGTCTTGAAACACTTGTTTAATTATCTATATATGTATGTGCATACTGAGTCTCACCAGAAAATATATTTATGACTGTGTCTTACAGCCTACAATGTTTATAAAACAATGTTCAGAAATTTTCCTGGCGAGGAAACCCCAAGCTAAAAAGGGCATCGTGTATGTGTGTGTTGTGTGTGTCTGTGTGTGTGTGTGGTGTGTGTGTGTTTGTGTGTGTTGTGTGTTGGGGGGCTCCCATTTCACTGAGGAGATGAAAGAGGCGGTGCAGATGTTTTCTCTGTGATCTCCTCTCCTCCTGCAATCAGCCCCAGAGGAGGGATCTCAGGGACCTGCCTCTGCCTCCCCACATTTGTTCCCACACTTGGGTCAGCCTCAGCAGAGGGCAGCAGAGCTCACATCTCTGTGGAGAGCAGGCTGGGCTCACTGCAGGCCTCCGTGTCATGGTTCATCTTCACTTCATAGGTCTCATCCTGAGACGTCTCCTCCTGACCCGCCATGGCTGCCTGGCTCTCCCGGGAGTGGCACCTACAATATCCAAGATGAAGAAAAACATCAGAAACTGCCAACCTTCCTCCACTTCCTTCAGCAAGTAAAGCATCACACACGCACACACATGCAGGTGTACACACGTGCACAAACACAAGCACACACACGTGAACAGGCATACAGTTGCTGGTGCTTTGTTCTCCTGTGATTGCTGATGGATCCATAGAAGTGTTCAGATTAGGGTGAGGGTCCCATTTGGGAGAAGGATGTCTGCTGTGGATCCAGGAGTCCTGACCCCAATCCACTTACCCTCTGGTCCAAGTCACTTGGTCCACCTCATGCCTCAGTTTCCCTATGAAATTGGAATGACATATGCCCTGCCTAACTTAGAGGCTGCCCCCCACTCACCTCCAGCTATGACACCTGGGTCTTTGGCATTTGGCATAGCTGAGAAGTCCTTGGCCTCTTATTTTGATGGTGCCCTTGATTCTGACACTGGCACCCTGGGGTAAAGGCACAGAGAGGAAGCCTCACCTAGAGGGGTTTGCTCTCCTGAGCAGAAGGCAGTGAGCCTGAGTCCCTGCTGAGCCTGAATCCCTCCTGAGCTCCAGATCCTCACACATCGGAACGTGCCTTTCCCTGCTGGGACAGGGTCAGGTCATCTTTAGCTCTGGACCAAGGCCTCTTCCTTTTCCTGTCTGAGCTCAGCTCAGTGCCTCCCTTTGTCTTGCTTTCTATAGACCTTGCATGCTGGGCCCACTTTATCCTCAGACCCCTGAGGGCATCAGAGAAAGATCCTGGTCCATCCTCTCAGAGCCGAGTGCTAAATCAGTGCCCTGGCTCTGAGCATCCCAGGCAGGGTAGAAGCAATTCTCTCTCTCGAGGAGGAGGACTGCAGACTGCCACCCGCCCCGCAGTGGAAGGAAAGATGAGAGGTGGGAGCTCCAGGAGGACTGGGAGGGGAGGGAGGTGGAGTGGGCTTTGGTGAAGCACGGAGGGAGGAGCTGGAGACGCAGAGCAGCAGCAGGCAGGCAGCAGCACTTTTGGGGGCCACCGGGCACAGGACGTGCTGGCCCATCCTCAGCACAAGCAATGCTGGCACTAGAGCTGCCGTTAGCCTTGAGCTGTGACACGGGGACAAGGGAGCTGGGACGTGGGCTATGCTCCTCCTCTTCACCAAGCTGAAGCTTGATGCCCTGTGTGTTGTTTGTACCATCTGCAGTGGGCAGAGGGAACCGACATTTCATGAGCACCGACTGTGTGCTGGGCACTGTGCCGGGTGCTTTGCATGTATTTTGCTATGTGGAGAGATATATCTGTGGGGACAAGGAAATCCCCTGGGGTCTCCTCCCCCAGCTCCTCTAAACATCCCTCTCCCCTTATGTCACAGAGAACAAAGCTTCACATGAAAATGCCCTTAGAGGGTGGGGAATTAGTTCACCCTGAGATGCTAAAGACGGACGTGGAGCCCTCCTTAAGCAGAAGCTTCATGAGGCCAGAGGGGAGAAGGGGGTATGGGGACCCAGTACTTGGGTCCTCAAAGGCCGTGGAAGGGGAGTGAGGTTGCAGAGAAGGATGAGGCCCCCACAACAGGTGCAGGCCCCCAAGACTAGATGCCTAGATTAGATCCTCTCCTATGCAAAGCCAGCCCTTCAGGCCGGCACATAAAATCCAGTGCCCAGCACACTGCCCTGTGCACACAGAAGGCAGCAGTGCAGGCCTCATGAATTGAAGGATGCCCCCAGTGCTGCTTCTGGGTGGCTAAACCAGCCAACCTTGCAGAAAGGAAAGCAGACAGGGAGATGGTCCTTTTAACTGGCCTGTCGTCTGACACAATTAAATGCCTGAGTCCCATGGGCTTGCATGCAGCCCTCTTGAAATGGGCCCTCTGCAGGGACAGGCAGGCCAGCGGCAGGTGTGCCTGCTCCTTGGATGGACACTTTTCCAGGGGTTTAGAGGGAAGCTGCTACTTCTCTATTATTTTCTGAGCTGGAGGGCGAGCATGTCAAGAACCTGGCATGCTGGGGGGCTGTGCAGCCTGCTGGGAGCCACTCTCCTACTCTGGAAGAGCAGCACAGTGAAGCGTGGCCAGGCACGATGCAGGGTGTGTCCTCTCTCAGCCCCGCCAGGGAACCCTGGAGCTGCTGATGCAGACAGGGAGGAGCCCTGCGGGGGCCCAGGGCGGGAGGGAAGGTCCCACCATCCAGCATGTCACAGCAGTGCATCCTAGAGCACAGGGATGAGAGGACAAGGAGAAAAGAGTGAGTCAGGAGTAAGAGGTACAGTCAAGACCTCCAGGAATGATCCTGTGCTGGGCAGAATGGGCCAGTGCTACAGATGGCGCCTCCCACAGGGGATGCCCTCTCCGGGAGGCTGGCAAAGGGGCTCCAGGGAAGCAATGGAAACACCATTCCCATCTCGGCTGGGAGAAAGGCCAGGTTTGGGCAGAGACTCGGGGAAGGGCAGACGGGATGGTTTCTGTTGTGAAGCCGGAACACAAACATCTGATGATCACATTCTGCCACTCAGGAAGTGTGGGAGAGGAGAGGGCCCTGTGGGAGAACCAGCGCCGCAGGCCACTGCTGACTTGCCCTGAGCCTGCCAGGTCTGATCAAGGGCAGGACTTGGGAGACAGCATAGTGCCTCCTGCTCTTGCTGGAGTCTGGGGCAGCAACCTCCTGGAAGCTTGAGGGACAAGTGGCTGGCCGAGGCCTCCGTCTCCTCCACTGTCTCCTGAGGGTTGCAGCACGTGGGCCCTGTGTGCCGCCTGGGGTGGCCAGCCTCCCACTTACCTGTTGGAGCTGAGCTTCCACGCCACCTCCTGCACCCGGATGGCAGGGGACAAGGGGGGCCCGTGGCCCTCCACAGTGCTGACCGTGCTGGGGTAGCCGGCGGGGCGAGGGAGGCGACCCAGGGCGGTGTTGTTGGCGTTGTTGATGTTGGCGTTGGAGCCGGTGGACGAGTAGCTGCTCGGGGTGAAGGTGGAGTCCACCAGCTTCTCGTGGGATGGCGACTCAGTGTCGCCCTGGCTGCTGCCCGCCTTGTTGATGTGCAGCGGGCGCTGAGTGGTGAAGGTCTGGGGGAAGGCGCTCCGGCCGTCGCTTTGGTAGTAGCTGACGTGGTTGCCGAACAGGCCACCGGCCCTCTGTAGGCAAGAAGGAGGGGTGGGTGGAGAAGCCCCTTAGCACCCACTCCTCCCAGAGAGCAGCCTCCACAGCCAGGTCAGGGAAGTGCAGGGCCTGGGAAGGCGGGCTGCCTTCTTTCGGGTAGGCACAGCCCTGCTGGGAGCCAGGAGCACCTGAGGACCTTCTTCATGCCTGGCTGCTCCAGAGAGGGAGGGACCCGGAGTCTCAAGGCTCTGGACTCCCCTCTGCAGCAGCTGGGAGAACCCACCCACCAGTGGGGATGGGATTGGGCAAGGGGCTGCCGCTGGTACGAGCTGCCCTGGAGGTTTCCAGTGAAGCCCCTGAAGGCTGGGAGTGAGTTTCCAGGGCACGTCTAGGATGGTGGTCCCTAAGAGCAGCCAGCACACCGTGAGGGCGGGGGCTGGGAGAGCGACCAGAAGATTCTAACCAGATTTAAAAAATGGAAACCCAGTGTGCTCACAGAGCTAAAAGCTGGTTGGCCAAACGGTTTTGAAAATGAAGAATTTCCTGCATGATGGTCTTTTTCCCCTCGGGGACTCAGAGAGATTTAAAACCAGGAGCCAATGTTTTTCCCCAGTATTCTTTTCCTTGTCCTGGGGAAGTGGGCAAGTAGCTATTTGCACGGTTGTTCCAACCCTTGACATCAGAGCATCCCTGGGCCTTGGTGACTGAGGCTTTGGTTTCTGGTGTCTTGTCGGGTTGTGTCACCACCATGCCATGTCCCTGAGGCCACTCAGTGACGAATGTCTCCCAGTGACAAGAATAAGGATGAGGAAGAGACGGAGCAGGGGCAGGATGGGCTCAGCTTGCCCCCTGTGTGTTCCACAGCCTGGGAACTGGGCCCGCGGCCGGGAGAGAGCGGTGTGAGCAGGGTCCTGCACAATTATGGCTGGCAGCTTCTCCCTTGCTATAGAAGGATTTGTAACCAAACACCAGCGTGGTGAGGCAGGCAACACAAATGAGTGATAAACGCCCCTTATTCTGGTACAGCCGTTTTAATTTTCACTATTGCAACTGCTGGGCAGCTTCAGTCTCCAGGAAAGGAGAGGGAAAGGGGAGTTCTGGAGGGGTCTTGGAGACCTGGAGAACACACGCTATGCTCCATCTCAAAGGGCCACCGCCTCTAGGCTCCGGCCCTCTGCTGCCCTGTGGGAATGCAAGCTTAATATTACCAGGTCTCCTGACTTTTCCAAAGAATGCCAGAAGTCTTGATTTTCAAATATTAACAAACAAAACAAGCCTGCAGATTAGATGTGCCCCAGGGGTGACCACTCTGCAACTTCTAATGCAGAAGTTTCTCCTAGGAAACATTTCCCTTAGGAAGGCGGTTCCTTCCCGCTTCTCTGAGAGCCAGTGACACTGAGAGCTGCTGTTTCCAGGGAGCCCTGCCTTGGGATGGAGTCAGGCTTGGAAAAGGCAAAGGGGTGAGGAGACAGCTCATCAGGAAGAGCCTGGAAGTAGCCCTTTCCTCTGGTGCAGCTCCTTCCCCTGGACGTTCCCCGCAAAACCCCAGCCCAACCTCTTGCTCCAAACTGAACTTTATAGGGGTCGAGAGTGCGCCATGGCACCACCCACCCTGAAGATGTCATCTTCAGAAGCAGCGGACACAGCCTCCTTCATGGCCTTGTCCAGCTCCTCCTCAGCGGTGAGATCTCCAGAGATGGCCCGTCGGATCTCAGGCCCGATGTCATGCAGTGTGCGCAAGCCAGCCTGGAATCCAAGGGGAGGATGGTGAGGACCACGCTCCCTTTCCTCCAAGCTCCCCAGCCAGCCACAGCCTCGGGCCAAGACCTGTCCCTCCAGGGCCCTGGCATCCTCCACCCAGCCAGTCGACCCTCCGGAAGGTTTGTGTGTGTGTGAACTGGGGGCTGGGCTGCCCTCTGATGGAACAATCCACTCGCCCATCCAGGAGGGATGAAGGCTCATTAGGACGGGGCACCAGGGGTCAGGGGCTGTCACGGGAGCCTCAGTGAAGTATTTGAGAGATCTGGGGGCTATGACAGCAGGCAGAACCATGGAGGGCAGTCGGTGGGTGGCAGGTAGGGAAGGGCACATCACCCCCTTCTCACAGCCATCTTTGGAAAGGTCTGGAGCTCTCTGAAAGGTTCCCTCTGCAGGGACCTGGCCTCCAGCCTGCTGGGGAGGGACCGGGACCCTGACTGGAGGTCAGAGGCAATGACCAGGACCTTCCTGGAGTGTGGGCCCGCCCCCAGGCCCTCACCTGCAGAGACAGCGCGTTCCTCTGGGAGGGCTTGCCCACAAGGCCCTGCTCTTTGCGCTTCTTGAACTTCCGGAAGTACTCCTGGATCAGGAACGTGGCGTAGAACTTGCCAACGGTGACCTCATCATCTGAGACGTATGGAGAGGGGAGAGGGGGTAAGAGGGGAGCAGGGGAATTCAGTTGAACTTCATTCATTTTTTTTTTCAGCATCCAAAACTTTTTAAAACTTTAATATTTTTGGAGAGGTAATACATTCACATGGCTTAAAAAGAGAGAAAAAAAACCATAAAAAGGCTTATGGTCAAAAGTCTCTCCCACCACAGCCCTTATCTGCCTAGTCACCACCTCCTGTAGATCATCTAGTTTCTTGAGTATTTTCTCAGAGATTCTTAGTGCAAATTAGTTATGTAAATCATCAAACATATTATCTCCTGTTTTTTTTATGCAAAAGGTAGCCTACCATCAAAATTATTTCCCGCTTTTTTTTTTTTAACTGAACTGATACATTTGATTCCAGAGCTTCAAATGTCCCTCATCAACTGGCCACTCTTCCAAGTGCAAGTGCAAAACGGTTCAGCTTAGCTCGGAGGGAGGGGCTGGTGGAAGGAGGGCTTTCTTCCCATGGAAGTTTGGATTTTTCTTTCAAACCCGATTGAGTTTTTGTGCCAGGTGGCTTGGCTGCATCCCTGCTGGGCTGGATACCCAAGATTATATGTGACATCATCAGTCCCTTTCCTGGGAGTAAACCTGATGGTGGAGAAGCCATAAGTTCTTAGAGGAAACATTTCATGCCTGGGGAGGAGCCCCTTGGATCTACCTCCTGGTTCTTTGTGAAGAGATGCCACGGGCCCAAGAGACAGCTGGGGATTAAATCTAGGGGCTGGTGAGGGTTCTCCTCCTCCTACCTGTCCCTCCAAAATAGCCACATCCATAGCAGTGATGACCCCTCCCTTCTCTGGCAAGCACCCCCTTTCCACGTGGGAGGGAAAAACCCAGGGTCCCCTGTCCAGCATAGTCAGGAAGGAAGAACTGCATGGTGGGACAAGCCTGGAGTCCTACCTGGAGTCCTAGGTTCCCTGGGGCCTGGGTTTGAATCCTGAATCTGCTGTGGACTCTCCAGGTAACCTTGGGCCAGCAACTTAGCTTCTAAGAACTTTAGTTCCCTGAGCAAACTTCACAGAAATGTTGTCAGGATTCAATAAAACGATGTATGTAAACATCACATGGCACTGGCGAGATTTTCGCTTAGCCCAAATCCGGCTTTCCCTCTGGCAAATGGTTCTCAACACAAGTGGTGTCGCCTCTTAAGGAGGGCACAGTAAATGTGTGGGGTGGTTTTTAGTTGTCGGGGTACTGTGGGGGTGCCACTAGCATTAAGTAGCTCCAGACCTGTCCCTTAAAGTGCAGGCATGTTCTGCAATCACAGCTTTGCACTCTGCATGGCTCTCAAGCTTATGCCACACATCCATGATTCTGCTTAGGAGTCTCTGGGCTCGGAACATAATTTCATTTTGCAAATGAACACAGGACATTGTTTTGCATGGTTTTAACACACCTGACAATTTCCAGGAATACAACTGCTGTGTAAATTGAGGAAAACTATACTTTGGATTATTTAAACTTGGCCAAGAGAGGTTCGCATTTTGGAAAACTGTATTCCTGATGGCAATGCTCTTTAGGGTGTGTGGGTCACTCACCGTAAGTGTCACATCACGGTTGTTCTGCATATGTGTAAGTATGTGTGTGTGTTTATGTGTGGGGGGCTATTTATACACACACTTATTTAATATACTGATTTACCCCTTATTTCAAAATGGCAAATCAAAGTGTTGACAGTATTCAGTATTGTCTTGTTTCCTGTGAACCCAGCCGTATGTGTTGTAAGTGGGTGCATGAGAAGATCTCATCAATTAAATGTACCTGCTGGTATAGTTATGCCTGAGTATTTACATATTGGAAACATCTGCTTTTAATAGATTTTATGTTAGAGTGAAGGCATTATATTAATATTTTGGAAATTATATGTATAGGAAAGTTATATTACCTATAATTTTCATTCAGGATCATAGTAAAGGCAATATAAACTCTTTGCTATAAAAAGGGATTTGAGGCTTGATAGGGTCAAGAAACACTGCTCTTGGAAGAACAAAAAGAATGTCATCCAAGAGGGGAGGAATCTCAGGGGATTCTCGTTTGAGGGCCTTAGAGCAATCCTACAGCAATCAGGTTTATGGGAAACCTATACTTTGTGGAGTTTCTTTAGAAGTTCTGCCAAACCCCTAAGCATCAGGGACTTGCCTGTTACCCTATGTAAAAAGCAGGGTTGTACCAGATTTCCAACCTGACTTTCTGTTTCTGAGTTTGTGCAGGGCGTTGCACCTGCCTCCCTTCTAACCAACAGGGCCTCTGAGCCCCACAGGAAGGGTCTGAAGGCAGACCTCCAGCAAGCCTAGGGGACTCAAGAAGCAAGTCTCAGGGGATGCTTCCGCATTCTAAGGGTGCCACAGCTGGAGGAGAGGCAGGCAGAGGGGGGCACGGCCAGGCAGTGGCCAAGGTGCGGGAGTCCAGGGAGCACTCACCACCTGCAGGGGGCACCACCTGGTCCAGCAGCTTCATGCTGGTCCGCTTCCAGATCTTCTTGATGATCGCCCGCAGCTCCTCATTGGCTTGTTCTAGGTTCCCTGCAGGGCGGAAAGGATCCTCAGCCCCTTGGTGGGCCTCTGATGGGCTGGGTCCCTCTGCGTAAGGTAGGAAGCCACAGATGGTGGCATCTGCCCCACGCAACCCTGACTCATCAGTTTCTTTCTTGCTTGCTTCACTTCTCCCCAGTCTTCCCATTTTCCACCTCCTTCCTCTTCCCCTTCCTCTGTCCACCTTCCTTCCTTCCCCCTTCCCTCTTGTGCCCCGTCCAATGCCATTCCTGTCCCCTTCCCCCTGCCTGTGGCTCAGGCCAGCCAGGGGGCCCCTCCACCGGCACTCAGTGCTCTTCCTTGTAGACTGAGCCCAGCCCCTGGGCAGGAACAATGGCGGCCATGCGCTCACCAGCTGGAACACGTATGGCCCTGCCACGGGCAGTGGGGGGCTGGTCCCCATGGGTGGCATTTCTCATGGACCTCCTTCGGCAGTCACAGGGAACATGGATGATTGGAGGGTACATCTGTCGATGAGGGCTCTGTCCCGAGTTCCCCTACTTAGATGCCTGCCTTATGCAGCCTCTGGGGTCCTAGCCTTACAGTGATGAAAAAGGAAAGCTGAGCCTTACAGCTGTAAGGGCAGATGTAGGGGACAGGATTCTAAGATGCTCCTCATCAGGGTACACATGCTGCCAAAGCCCTGGGCCCCTGACCATCATAGATTTTACTCCTGAGATTAGGTTATATGGCACACGGCACCTATGACCTAAGACAGGGAGGTTAGGCAGGCCTGACCTAGTCACATGAGCCCTTTAAAGGCAGAGTTCTCTCCAGCCGGCCTGGAAGAAAGCAAACAGTCATGTGGGCTGAACTGAGAGAGGCAGCCTCTAGGAGCAGAGGGGGTCCCCAGCTGTCAGCCAGCAGGAAAGTGAGGATCTCAGGCCTACAATTGCAACAAATGAATTCCACCAACAACATGATCTCCCCCAGAGCCTCCAGAAGAGACCATGGCCTGATCAATATCCTGGATTTGCCTTATGAAAGCCCAGCTTCACCACTGCTGGACTTCTGACCTGCAAAACCATGAGCTACTAACGGGGTGTCTTTTTTTTTTTTTTTTTTTAGACGGAAGTTTGCTCTTGTTGCCCAGGCTGGAGTGCAATGGCGCGATCTTGGCTCACTGCAACCTCCACCTCCTGGGTTCAAGTGATTCTCCTGCCTCAGCCTCCCAAGTAGCTGGGATTACAGGCATGGGCCACCATGCCCAGCTAATTTTATATTTTTAGTAGAGATGGGGTTTCTCCATGTTGGTCTCGAACTCCCAACCTCAGGTAATCTACCTGCCTCAGCCTCCCAAAGTGCTGGGATTACATGTGTGAGCCACCGTGCCCAGCCAACGGGGTGTCTTTTTAAGCTGAAAAGCTTGTAGTAATTTGCTTTGCAGCAGTAGGAAACCAACACGGGATGTTTACTGCTCTCGCATAGGACCGGCAGTCCAGTATTGTGGTTGAGGGCTCTTGTGTCAGACTGCCTGGGTTCAAATCCACCTCTGGGGCCACAGGGCAGAGCATGCAGAGGTGGCAGTAGAGGGATTGACGGAATCCCGAGCTCCCCAAATGCCAGATCCAAACAGGACCTGAAGGCAGGGGACGACTCCTGGGCCTTCCAGCTGCACAGATGATCAGTCCCCATCACGGGAGAGGTAGCTGGAGGTTTCTGACACACGCAGTGCAAGATCCTAACACACATGGTATTCAAATATACTTAGCTTCGGTACTGGGCTGAATAGTGTCCTCCCAAAATTCATGTCTGCCTAGAACCTCAGAATGTGGCCTTAGTTGGAAATAGGATTTTCACCAATGTAATTAGTTAAGGTGAGGTCATCCTGGATGAGGGTGGGCCCTAAGTCCAATGTGGCTGGTGTCCTTCCAAGAAGAGGAGAGGACACAAGACCCTGGAGGCTATTTGAAGATGGAGGCACAGATGGCGTGATGTGCTGTGAGCCAGTGCACACCAGGCATCATCCACAGCCCTCAGAATCTGGGAGAAAGGGTGGAACAGACTCTCCCCAGAGCCTCCAGAAAGAACCAACTCTGCTGACACCTTAGTTTTAGGTCTCTGGTCTCCTAAACTGAGAGAACTTTCTCTTGTTTCCAGCTGCCCAGTTTGTGATCATTTGTTACAGCAGACCTAAGAAATTAACATAGTTTCCAAAAGGACCTTTCATTTTTTTTTATCAGCCTTAATTTATTCTCATGATGGTCTATGTAATTGTTGAAGTTCACCGACAATTGTTTCATGTCATCTAAGTATTTTTCACTATCTTCCTTTTATGTTCCAAGAGAGAAGCTTGTTTGGCTTGGTACTGGACTTGGGATGAGAGCTCTTCCTTCTACGTTCCAAGAGAGAAGCTTCTTTGGCTTGGTACTGGACTTGGGATGACAGCTCTGCTTCTCTGAGGTAGGTGTTAATTTCGCCCCAATTCCTTCCACGCTGAGAAGTCTGAAGGGTGAGGACTGATGCAAGCCTCATCTTCACAAATGTAGATGTCTTCTCACATTTCTTTCTAGTTGCTTCCAAGACTTGACTTTGTCTTTCTTTCTTAGGATTTTAACAAGTTTGTGGAGGGCCCGTGTCTGATGAAGGCTCACCCTTGGGTGGGGGCGTTTCGATTTTAACAAGTTTATGGAGGGCCCATGTCTGATGAAGGCTCACCCTTGGGTGGGGGCGTTTCGGGCCCTTTGGTAGCTGTTCTGAAATGTCTTTGTGTTTAAAAGATAGTCTGTAATTCTTGACAGGATTGTAGTTCCCACATGGCTGGCTTCTCCTCTTTTCTCTGGAACTCTTATTTCCTCAGAATTGGGTCCCTGCATTTGACTGGTCAGTCTTTCGCATTGTTACTAGCTATTGGTCTTCCTTAGTTGGCATGTGGTTGGCTTTGACAGTGAACCTTCGACCCTGCTGAATTCTTGCTTCCATACCTCCCTGCCTTTTGTTCCTCTAGGGAACAAAATCTCACATCCTTAATTTACATCAATCTTTAAGTATTACAGCATATTCCTCCTGGCAGTCATTTATATCGCCTCTCCTTCCCTCTGAACATAGGGGAGTAACATTCCTTGCAGAACATTTGGAAAGTAAAAAAACTAAAGGAGTAAGGTGGATGTCACTGCTGATCTTTCTACTCATGATAATCAGTGTTAGCATACGAACACATTTCCTTCCCAGTTTTCTTCCTTGTTATACACACATATGTGTGAATTAAATGTGTGTTTTGGCCGGGCGCGGTGGCTCATGCCTGTCATCCCAGCACTTTGGGAGGCCCAGTCGGGCAGATCACAAGGTCAGGAGATTGAGACCATCCTGGCCAACATGGTGAAACCCTGTCTCTACTAAAAATACAAAAATTAGCCGGGCGTGGTGGCACGTGCCTGTAATCCCAGCTACTTGAGAGGCTGAGGCAGGAGAATGGCTTGAACTAGGGAGTCAGAGGTTGCAGCAGGCCGAGATTGTGCCACTGCACTCCAGCCTGGCGACAGAGCGAGATTCCATTTAAAAAAAAAAAAAAAGTGTGTTTTGGTTTTCTGGCAGTCAGAAATAGGCCTATTTACACCCATTTCAGATTGAGTGATTGCATTGGCTACTGATGGTATATTTTTTAAGCCTTTGCTCTTTTTTTTTTTTTTAATTTAGTAGCAGAACTTGTCCTATTTTTATTATTTTATTTTATTTTTTCAGATGGAGCCTCACTCTGTCGCCCAGGCTAGAGTGGGGTGATCTCGGCTCACTGCAACCTCTGCCTCCCAGGTTCAAGCGATTCTCCTGCCTCAGCCTCCTGAGTAGCTGGGATTACAGGCACGTGCCACCACGCCCGGCTAATTTTTGTATTTTTAGTAGAGACGAGGTTTCACCATGTTGGCCAGGATGGTCTCAATCTCCTGACCTCGGGATCTGCCCGACTGGGCCTCTCAAAGTGCTGGAATTACAGGCACGAGCCAGCACGCCTGGCCCCTATTTTTATTTTTTAAAAATCAGCTAATTATTTTGACTTGTGTCTTGGTGGACTGGTTCTTGTTTCACTTCATTTGAAATGTTTCTGTTATTGTTTTTGAAGGATCTAACGGAGAGAAGGCCCATGTCTGGGTTATTCAATGAATTAAATTCCCAGATGTCATCACCTTTCTCTAGTCTACCAATGGAGCAACTGAAGTAGAGAGAGAGTAAATGGCTCATACTCATGTCATTAGTGAGAGAGCAGGGACTCGGATTCGAGCCTCCCACCTGCCCGGGGCTCCTTCTGTTGCCCCGAGGAACACACTGACGGACAGCCTGAGCTTTAAGCTGGAAGTGTAGGAAGGGGAAGGAAGCATACTGCTTGTCTCATCTGTGTTTTCTGTAATTACTACACCAGTGGGTTTGAATCATCTCTGTAGTTGGTTCAAGATGCAGATTCCTGGGCCCCATGCTCAGGGATTTGGCATCAGCAGGTCTGTGTGGGTGCCTGGGACTCAGTAGCTTAAACAGGTACCCAAAGCTGATTCTGCAGCGGTGGTCTTTTGACCACGCTCTAAGAAACACTAGACACTCCAAGGCTGGACACTCTTGGAGAGAAATGGTATCTTGTTAGGTGTGTTTAATACAGCCTTTCCCATAGTGGTTCGCAAACTCTTATCCATCATAAAGCAAGCAGATTATCTCACTCAGGCTGCTGCTAGCCCTTAGGGTGCCTTGTGAAAACTAGAAGGGCCCCTCCAGGTGGACGCAGCCCTGAGGGAGCCCGGTCTGACTAGGTGGCACAGGTGAGGTCTGAATCCTCACCTGTCCGCTGGCTAAGAGCCTTAAGCCAGGCTCAGCCCGCACAATGTGTGCGATGACCTCCACCACGGCCACCACTTGTCACTGTGTCCCCTTTCCCACACGTCTTCCCAGCACAGTCCTATTAATTTAATGAGTTGAGCATTTGAGACACCCACCTGTAGCCAGTGTAAGTTCTTTTAGACAGGGGTTGGTCCTGCTTCAGGTAACACCCGTCTCCTTCTGTTTTGTGAGCTATACCCTCTGACTTCAAGATACCACCCAGAATGAGTCCCAGAGTTTCATGGAAAGCTAGAGTTCAAAATGAATAAGCTAGAGCAGGCTTGTCTAACCTGCAGCCCATGGGCCACATGCGGCCCAGGACGGCTTTGAATGTGGCCCAACACATATTCGTAAACTTTCTTAAAACATTGAGTATTTTGCAATTTTTTTTTTCAGTTCATCAGCTATCGTTAGTGTATTTTATGTGTGGCCCAAGACAATTCTTCCAATGTGGCCCAGAGAAGCCAAAAGATTGGAAACCCCTGAGCTAGAGGCAGGGAGACCATTCAGGAGCAAAGAAGTCATGAGCAGGCTGGGGCCCTGCGATGTCCTGGAGCGCACGTTACCCCCGTATCCCAGCTCGGATGCTGTCTGGGGCAGGAAGTTCCCTTGAGCACTTTGCAGGCTGCCGAGCTCCTCTCTGATTGTCTGCTAGACCTTCTGAGTGTCTCTCCCAGTGCCCACGGGCGACCTTACCTTCTGTTTTGATCCTCAGGGCCGTCCTGACCAGGGCAAACAGGGTGGCATTGAACATGACTGTCCCGTCGCTGTTCAGAGGCATGTTCATGGAGACCAGGCGCTGCAGGCGAAGAGAAGCAAAGCTGGTGATGATGGCAGGCGGTGCTTAGGGGACCGCAGAACACCGTGGCAGAGTGATATGGTTTGGCTCTGTGTCCTCGCCCAAATCTCATGTTGAATTGTAATCCCCAGAATTGGAGGTGGGGCCTGATGGAAGGTGATTGCATCATGGGGTGGATTTCTCATAAATGGTTTGGTACCATCCCCTTGGTGAGTGAGTACTCATGAGATCTGCTTGTTTAAGTAAGTGTGTGGTCCCTCCCCCTTCTCTCTTGCTCCCTGTCTGTCCATGTGACGTACCTGCCTCCCCTTTGCCTTCCACCATGATTGATTGGAAGCTTCCTGAGGCCTCCCCAGAAGCAGAATGCTAGTGCCATGCTTCCTGTACAGCCTGCTGAACTGTGGGCCAATTAAACCTGTTTTCTTATAAATTACCCAGTCTCAGGTATTTCTTTACAGCAGTGCAAGGATGGCCTAATACACAGAGGATGCTGGGGGTGACACGCAGCTTGTGTGGGTGTTGCTGGAGTGGGCAGGGAGTGAATGCTCCCTGAAGCATTCCAGGGAGAATCTTGCCTTTGCCACAACTACTTTTGACCCTCCTCGTGGAGTGGGAGAGGTATGAAATTTGTCCTCATTAGACCTTCACTTCCACAAAAGGATGTGAAGGCCACCCAACTTTGCGCCCTGCTCGAAAGTCTGCTCAGGCGTGCAGGTGTGCTCTCCACTGGCAGCAAAGACCGGCTGTACGCCAGCATGTGCTGGGAGCCCACCTGCCAGGCAGCATTCGTCCACAGCCCAGAGAAGAGAAAGGATCACAGGAGCTTTGCCTGCAGGAGATGCTACATGTCCTCTCTGTGTATTGACAAATATGCTTCTGCATCAAGTTGGAGCAGAAGCTTGCTGACACTGGATAGTGCTGTCTTGCCCTCTTCTTTCCCAGCACACACCCCCAGAACAGGCTTCCCTGGCACGGAGCTCTGGTGTGGGGCCTTCAGCATGCAATGGGTCATGACGAGCAAGCGCGGTGTGAAGCTCACCACAGCGTCCATGCCAAGGGCATGCTCAAGGGGGGCTATTTGTCAGCTCACACGGTGACCTCCTGCTAATCTCAGTGTCTAGAAGGGTTACACTTCTCCTGAGTGACCAGATCTTGATGAGCCTCATGGACGGTGTGAACTGTATCTTGGCCACCGGAAAGTTTCGCACCCAGGCTTCAGCCTGCCCAGGCCCGTCCGGAGGCCACAACGGACGCACTTTAGCCCCCTCCAGGCTGCACCCCTCCCCACCCTTGCCTTGCATGGTGTTTGTACCTTGCATTTATTTTATGCTCTTTTCTGATATTTTCTATGCCCTTGGAAATCTCTTAAAATCTGTTTTTGTTGTTGTTGTTGTTTGTTTGTTTTTGGAGCAAAGTGGAGGCACAAATGAGAAGAAACTCAGTAAACAGAGCACAAGTAGAAGGTTCTATGTTCCCTCAATCTGCGTTTTCCATGAGTGGATTCTCACAGAGCCGAATCCTCCTGCCATCTGAGTTTCCTCCTCTCTCCAGCCCTCTGGTCTCCCTTCCCCCAGCTCTCTGTCAGCTCATTATTGCCCCAACAAGGAGCACGGAATGGCCACGGTGGAGAGGAGGGAGAAAAGGAGCGTGGAGTGGCCATGGTGGAGGGGAGGGAGAAAAGGAAACGACACTTTTTTTTTGGGTCATGGTCTCACTAAGGAATCTGATTAAAGTGAGAAATCCTCTCCCTGGTAAACTTTGTATTTTAGTGATTTTATGAAAAATTTTAGGACTCAAAGACCCCTGAAGTCAATGCCTGGGCTTTCTAATGGCCTTCCAACTCCAGGAAAAGAACGCCGAACCCCTCTAGCCTAGGCTGGGAAGTCTCCCACCCCAGGATGCCCGGATGGTGCAGTGGGATGGACTGAACAAGTCCTTTATCCAGGACTGGGTCCCTGGCTCAGTAGGACAGGAGGCATTCACTCTGTTATTCCCTCATAGAGTCTGAGAATTTAGAGCTGGAAGGACCCTTAAAATGTAATCTTTAGGCACATAAACTAGTATGTTCATTCCCTTAAAGGATCACAAGAAATGGGCACTTCACTTCCCCTATTTTCCCTCTCCCTCCCATGAACCCCGTTATCTCTTACTTTGCAAGCCACGCGGTGAGGGCACAGCTTCCCAAAACCTAGTGGCGGCTGAATCCGCCGGAGGAGGGTCACCACATCCAGGTGTTTGATACGACCCCTAGAAGAGGAGGGAGAGGAGGGACAGGGCATCAGAGAGCCACGGTCTCTGCCAGCAGCCCAGGACGCATGCGCCTGAGGGGTAGGGCCCACTCATATGGGCAACACTGCACAGTGTGGTAGCCCTATTAGTCACACTCAGTACAGAGTTGCAGAATTGCATGACACAGCCCCAAACCAATATACATATACACGTGTTTAGATTTTAATGAATCATTTTCTGCCCATGCTATGTTCAAGGTGGAAGGGATTTTAGCAGTGCAACAAAATTCTCAATATATACTTGCTGATTGAATGAACTAACCTTCTGACCAAAAGGTATTTACTGAGGGTCAGCCGAATGTGATTGATCTTTAGACCAGAAGCGGGAATGGAATCAAGATTTTCCCCGGCCCTACCTATCCTAACTTGAGCACTTACTAGTTATTCCTGATACTAGAATTTCCTATCCTTCCATTCAACTGAATATAGTAGATATATTATTTTCTTTTTCTTTTTTAGATGGAGTCTTGCTCTGTCGCCCAGGCTGGAGTGCAGTGGTGTGATCTCAGCTCGCTGCAACCTCCACCTCCCAGGTTCAGGCAATTCTCATGCCTTGGCCTCCTGAGTAGCTGGGATTATAGGCATGTGCCACCATGTCCGGCTAATTTTTGTATTTTTAGTAGAGATGGGGTTCACTGTGTTGGCCAGGCTGGTCTTGAACTCCTGGCCTCGAGTGATTCAACCACCTTTGCCTTCTAAAATGCTGGGATTACAGGTGTGAGCCACCCCACCCAACCTAGTAGATACATTCTTGACTTAATTGAAGGTGCCGGGCCTCCTCCTGCTGGCCCTTGACCTTTCACCCTAGGGTGTGATACAATCCAGTGTTTCTAATTGATCCACCCAGTGTTGGCCAACCTTGAGCCCCTCCTGCAGGTATGGTCAGCTATACCCTCTCTCAGCTTGGGGAATCAGGATTTCCCTCTGGGAACTTACTTGGCTTCAGGGTCATACTCTGCCCAGATTCTTTTAAACTCATCCAGGTGGTGGGGACCAAGGATGGACCAGTCCCTTGTCAGGTAGTCAAAGTTGTCCATGATGACAGCTACAAAGAGGTTGATGATCTGTGGGGAACAGTACAATGAGGTGCTGTGAGAAGACCTTCCTACACACCTGCCTCTGGAACCCCCTTGCCAGCTGGGGCCTACTGATGGCAGAAGCCAACATTTCTAAAGACCAGTCATCCATCCTACCAGCCTGAGAACCTGGGTCTCTTGGACATAAACTTGACACAGTTTCCCTGAGAGTTGTGTGTGATGAACCCACAGGTGGGCTGGACAGCTTCCCTCCTACCGAGCTGCTGGGCAGGGCTGTGCAGGACAGAGGGGGACTTTATCCCCTTTTCCTCACTCCTCAGCAAGATGCCAAAAAAGTACAGTTCTTTCTAGGCCCCCACATGTCCCCGTTGTCCTCTGGGACAATGCCACCATGACAACAGCCAAGAACAGACAAGCAAGATGCTGGTGGAGCTCACTCTGGCCCAGGGCTTTCTGCCTTTCTCTCCATGTGGCTGGACACTCCTGCCAACTTAGTCTTCCCAAGCCAGCTCCTCTGATAGGGTTGCCCTGACCATGAGCTGCAGAGATGGACGGTTCAGACTGCCCTGGAACTGGGCAGTCATGGCTGCTGGCTGTTGAGTTCCCCCTTGGCTTACCAGGAAGGCACAGAGCATGTAGAAGCTGATGAAGTAGAAGACAGCAAAGCTGCTACCACAGGGTGTTTCACCCTCCGTGCTGTTGCTGGGCTCGGACTCTGGGGCACACTTCTTGCCTGGCATGCAGGCCAGCATGATGTCCTGCCAGGCCTCCCCGGTGGCACACCTGGAGGGGAGGGAGAGCCACGTTCATGCAGCCCATCCTACAGATGCCAAGGAGGGCCCTCTGCATCCCTCCCCACCTGTCCCTTTCCTCCTTCCCCAGAGGGAGTTACTAAAATGAACTTGATGTTCATCATTCCCTGAATGCTCTGATATATTTGCTAAATATGAAACACATAGCATTATTAAAATTTTATATAAACAGTAACAAATTGCACCTTTTCCGAAAACTTGCTGTTTTTGCAATCCATGTGATGTTTTTGAGACTTAGCCCTTTGGATGTATTTTAGTTCCAGTTCATTCACCTTAACTGCTGTACAGGAGTATGCTCTATGAACTTACCGTAAAAAAATCCACTGTCCTGTTAAGGAACATTTAGGTTTTTCATTTTTTCTTTTACTAGTACAAATAACACTGCAATAAACATGCAGATTTATATCTTGGGTATCCACTTAGAAGTGGAATTGCCAGTTAAACTACATGCATCTTTATTTTTACTAGATATTCCATGACCTCCAAGGATTTGTCCAACTTAGACTCCTATTACCAGTGTAGGAGAAATAACACTACTGTACAAACTCATCAGTTCATTAGTGAATTGTTTTAAATGTTGCTCATATAATTTGTGTGAGATAATATGTCACTGCTGTTTTAATTTGGTTATAAAATGATTAGTGGGTTGAGAACTTAAATTTTATCTTCCATTAAATTGCATGTTCATGTTTTTGCTTGTTTGATTCAGGTTGTCTTCTTGTTCGTTTGTAGGGTGCTTAAGATACTCTATTCTCTGGCCGGGCGCGGTGGCTCACGCCTGTAATCCCAGCACTTTGGGAGGCCGAGGTGGGCGGATCACGAGGTCAGGAGATGGAGACCATCCTGGCTAACATGGTGAAGCCTCGTCTCTACTAAAAATACAAAAATTAGCCGGGCGCGGTGGTGGGCGCCTGTAGTCCCAGCTACTTGGGAAGCTGAGGCAGGAGAATGGCGTGAACCCGGGAGGCGGAGTTTGCAGTGAGCCGAGATCACACCACTGTACTCCAGCCTGGGCGACAGAGCGAGACTCCGTCTCAAAAAAAAAAAAAAAAAAAAAAAAGATACTCTATTCTCTATTCTTTTTTAAAATTTCCAATAGTTTTTTGGGAACAGGTGGTTTTTGCTTACACGGACAAGCCCTTCAGTGGTGATCTCTGACATTTCGCTGCACCCATCACCCAAGCAGTCGTCTTTGATCCCTACCATCCTCCTGCCCTTCTCCGAGTCCCCAAAGTCCATTACATCATTTTGCAAATGGTGCTGCTATAAATGTGTGTGTGCAGGTGTCTCTTTCACATAATGACTTCTTTTCCTCTGGGTGGATACCCAGGAGTGGGACTGCTGGATGGAATGGTAGGTCTACTTTTAGTTCTTTAAGGAATCTTCATACTGTTTTCCATAGTGGCTGTACTAGTTCACATTCCCACCAGCGGGGTAAAAGTGTTCCCTTTCCACCACATCCATGCCAACATCTATTATTTTTTATTTTTTAAATTGCAGCCATTCTTGCAGGAGGAAGGTGGAGTCTCATGGTGGTTTCGTGTCTATTCTTAACCCTTTGTTAGTTATATGCAACAGAAATATCTTCTTCCAATTTGTGGGTTGTCTCTGGTATTATTTACGGTGTATTTTGGTGAATCTAAGTTTTTTATTTCAATGAGGTCAAATTTATAGTTTTTTCCTCTATGTTCTGTGCTTTTTGCATCACGTTTAAAAAATCTTTCTCTATTTTAGGTCATAAAGACATTCTTTTCTGTGTTCTTCTAAAGGTTCTAAAGTTTTGTTTTTCCGCAATAACTTATTGACCTGAAATTTATTTTCATGTTTGATATGAGGTAGAAATATGCTTTTATTTTTTCTGCATAGATAAGTCATTTTGTTAATACTATTTATTGAATAGTACATCTTCACCTACTTAATTGAAATATTTCTTCTGCCGTAAGTTGTATTTGCGTAGATGTGTGGGTCTTGTTCTAGCCTTGTCATTGCATTCCTCAGGTTTATTTGTTTATCTTGGTACAGAAGTACTGTGTTGTCTGCATAGTAAGTTGCCTTATAGTAAGTCCTGCCCTCTCACAGTGCAGGAGTCCTGCCAACCTGTTGTTCTTCAACATTTGTCTTGGCTATTCAGTTTCCTTTTCTATTCCATAGACACTGTAGAATCAGTTTCAGCCTCTGTGAATAATCCTGTTGGGAGTCTTATTAGAATTGCACTGAGATGTCAATTCATTTGCAGAATCCTGACATCTTTATGATATTAAGTCTCCTGGCCAGAAACGTGGCATCTCTCTCCTTTTATTTTGTTGTACATTTAAAATGGTATAGTTTCAACATTATATTTTAAAAGCTATGTCCATTTGCTGCTGATATAGAGGGAATACAATTGATTTCATATTACAGAATATTTGCTAAACTATCCTATCAGTTTTAGCAATTTTCTGTAATTTTTCTTGTATATATACACAGGCAATCAACTTTTTTGGCATTTAATTTTGTTTCTTCCTCTCCAATTCTTATCCTTTGATTTATTTTTCCTGTCTTGTTTTTTTTTTTTGAGATGGGGTCTTTCTCTGTCCCCCAGACTGCAGTGCAGTGGCGCAATCTTGGCTCACTGCAACCTCCATCTCCTGGGTTCAAGAGATTCTCCCACCTTAGCCTCCTGAGTAGCTGGGACTACAGGCGCCTGCTACCACGCCCGGCTAATTTTTTGTATTTTTAGTAGAGACGGGGTTTCACGGTGTTAGCCAGGATGGTCTCGATCTCCTGACCTCGTGATCCACCCGCCTTGGCCTCCCGAAGTGCTGGGATTACAGGCGTGAGCCACTGCGCCCGGCCTTTCCTGTCTTATTTTATTGGGTAAGAGTTACAAAATAATAACATTGAAAAAGTGATAGCATAAGATCTTGTCTATTACATTTACTAATTAGTTATTACCAGTACAGGAAAGCAATTATTTTTCTTTGTTAATCTTTTAATCTTCCACTTTATTAATTCTATTGTCCTAAAGGGTTTTTAGTTAATTTGCATGGATTTTCTACTTGAATTAGCCTGTTGTCTGCAAACAATGACAATTATGTGTACATATTTTCATATTTATAACTGCTTGCTTTTTTCTCTTTTTCTCATTGGCATTAGCTTTATATTAGTCTTATGGAGTGGGTGAAGAGGTTTTCTACATCTTTCTGTTCCTGGAAAGTTTATATAACATTGGAATGATCCACTCCTTGATAGTCTGGTAGACCTCACAAATAAAAATATTGAACCTTGGGCCTTTTCAAAGGCTAAATTTTCAACTACCTTTTCAATTTCTGTTGTAGTTGTTTTTTTTTAATTCTTAAGATAATTTTATAATTCTTATTTTCTACATAAAAGCGTCTGCTTCATTTAGGTTTTCAAATATATTTGCATATTTGTTCATGATGTTCTCTGTCTTCTTTTTAAAAGTCTGATATTATTTGTCTGCTACTCTTAGAAAAATCTTGTGTGTGTGTGTGTGTGTGTGTGTGTGTGTGTGTATGTGTGTGTATGTGTTTAGAGATGGGATGTCACTTCATCACCCAGGCTGGAGTGCAGTGGAGCCATCTTAGCTCACTGTAACCTCAAACTCCTGGGCCCAAGTGATCCTCCCGCTACAGCTTCTCAAGTAGCTGGGACTACAGGCACATGGCACCACACCTGGCTAATATTTTTATTTTTTATTTTTAGAGATGGGGTTTTGCTGTGTTGCTCAGGCTGGTCTCATACTCCTGGTCTTAACTGATCCTCCCACCTCAGCCTCCCAAGTTGTTGAGATTACAGGTGTGAGCTGCCATGCCTGGTGAAAATCTTATTTTTGATAGACTCAGAAGCTCTCAGTGAGCATAGCCTCCATGTCTTGGAAATCTGTTCCTGGCATTTTTCTTTGGTCTCCTTCATTCTCTTGGCCAAAAGTTTAGCATATTGTTTAACCTCTTCCTTATATTTATTTATTTGGAGACAGAGTCTTGCTCTGTCGCCCAGGCTAGAGTGTAGTGGAACAATCTCGGCTCACTGCAACCTCCACCTCCCGGGTTCAAGCAATTCTCCTGCCTCAGCCTCCCGAGTAGCTGGGATTACAGGTGCCCGCCACCGTGCCTGGCTAATTTTTGTATTTTTAGTAGAGATGGGGTTTCACCATCTTGGCCAGGCTGGTCTCGAACTCCTGACCTCATGATCCACCTGCCTCGGCTTTCCAAAGTGCTAGGATTACAGGTGTGAGCCACCGCACCGGGCCTTACTTATTTTTTTTTTTAGTGTTCTGTTTCTTCAGAGCAATACGTCAGCATTTGTGTTGCAGGACATGTGGAGTAAGAAGATGCCGAGTCTTGGGTGCTTTGGTCCTGGGTTCCTGACATCCTTTGTTTAGGGGTTTACTCACTGATGGACATCATCTTTATGGAGAATGAAAAGTTATCGGACCGTGCCATCTCTTTTGGACCCCAGGTGAAAAGGCACAGTAGTATCAGTCAGTCTAGAAATATCTTTCTCTCCCCCCCATCTTTTTGTACAAAAACCAAATTAAGAAGTCAGACTGGCACCCACAATGCAACTCTGAACAATCTGTGCTTTCCTTCTGCAGTTCTCCTTGGTCTATAACAGAATGCCCCGTATGCAGTAGCAGGTGGACACAACCACAGGTCAGGACACACTGCTTCATAGGGAAACCTCGCTTGTCATTTGTACCATTGATTCCACCCACATAAGCCTTCCATTCTTCACCCAGAGTGGCACCAGCGACTTCTGAGGCCATATGCTTCTCATAAAAGGTATGGTTTGCATTCACTGTCCACTTCAATGAGTTTCTGGCAGCCACTGGCTGGGAAGGAGACTTTCTGCTTCATCTTGAAGTAGATGATCACCTCTGAAGTGCCACAAAACAGAGGCATGAAATTCTCTTATCATTCTAAAAATCACTTCCACATCTGTAATTATGTTGCTTTTTGCATTTCTGATGTTGTTGTGTTTTTTTTTAAAAAAATTGGATTTGATGGTTTGTCTGTTTATTGGTCTTTTCAAAGGATCAGCTTTAGGGTTTATTGATAAAATCCATATTTTATTAATTTATGCTTTTATTTTTAAAAATGCATTCCTTCATATTCTGGGATTATTTTACTATTCTTTTCCCCATCTATTAGCTTATTTAATATACAGCTTTTTAGATAAATAAATAAATTTCAGGCTCTGAATTTTTTCTTTGGTGCTGATTGATGCATCTCATACGTTTAAGATCTGGTGCCCTGGCCCTCATTTCTAAGTACAGTCCTGTGTCACTTAACAGTGGGGAGATGCATGGTTAGGCAATTCTGTTGTGCAAACAGCATAGAGTGGACTCACACAAACCTAGATGCCGTAGCTATTACACACCTCAGCTCTGTGGTACAGCCTACTGCTCCTAGGCTACAAGCTTATACAGCATGTGACTGTACTGAATATTGCAGGAAACTGGAACACAATGGTAAGTATTTGTGTATCTAAACATATCTAAACACTGAAAAGGAACAGTAAAAATAGGAACAGTAAAAAAGGAACAGTAAAAAATATTTAAATACGGTGCACCTGTAGAGGGCACATACCATGAGTGGAGCTTGCAGGACTGAAAGTTGTTCTGGGTGGGGCAGTGAGTGAGTGGTGAGTGACTGTGAGGGCCTAGGACATGACTGCACGCTACCGTACACCACTGGAGACTAGAAACACTATAAACTTAGGCTACACAAATTTATAAAAAGTACTTTTCTTTCTTCAGTAATAAATTAACTTCAGCTTAATGTAACATTTTTACTTTATAAACTTTTAAATTTTTTTTAACTTTTGGACTCTTTTGTAATAACGCAACTTAAAATACACATTGTACAGCTGTGCAGAATATTTTTCTTCATATCCTTATTTTATGTTTTTTTAATATTGAACTTTTTTTTTTTAATTTTAGCTTTTTGTTAAAAGCTGAGACACAAACCCACACATTAGCCTAGGCCTACTCAAGGTCAGGATCATCAACATCACTGTCTTCCACCTCCACATCTTGTCCTATCGGAAGGTCTTCAGGGGCACTAACATGCATGGAGCTGTCATCTCCTATGATAACAATGCCTTCTTCTGGAATACCTCCTGCAGGACCTGCCTAAGGCTGTTTTACGGTTAACTTAAAAAAAAATAAGTAGAAGCAGTACACTGCAAAATAATGATAAAAGTATAGTGCAGTAAAGACATAAACCGGTGACACAGTCATTTATTCTCATTATCAAATATTATGTACTGTACATAATTGTATGGGCCATACTTATCTATGACTGGCAGCACCACGAACACCTGAGTAAGGCACTGCACTGCATTTTGATGCTATAGCGTCACTGGGTGATAGGAAGTTTTCAGCTCCATTTTAATTTTAGGCAGTCTGTCATTGGCTGAAATGTCATCATGTGGTGCATGACTGTAGATTGTAGTTTCAGCTTTGAGTTACTAAGAAGAGTGCCAAATTTTTAAGTAGATTTTGGAGGGGTTTTTGTTTTTATGGCTAATTTCTAATTTGGCTATATCAAAGTAGGGGCAGTTGTAGAATTTGTTAAATTCTTTGTGACTTAAATCTTGGCTAATTTTTGTGAATGTTTCTGAGGTGTTTAAAAAGAATGTGTTTTTTTTGGCCATTTACTGAGTATAACTCGATAAGTTCAAGTCTGTTAATTGTATTATTTAGATATTCTTTACCCTTTTTTCTATTTTGGTCTATTTGGTCTGTCATGCTCTACCTGTATTAAATCTTCCACTGTGTGTGTGTGTGTGTGTTCTCCTTATACTTCTATTGGTATGTAATTGATACATTTCCAAACTATATTGTTAGGCTCATGTAGTTTTATGACTATTATATATTTTTGATGGATTATACCTTTTATCAATATAAAATCCCTCTTTGTCTTGTTTAATGCCTTTCACCTGGAATTCTATTTCTTCTGCTACTGCTATTATTACGTCTACATTGTGAGCCTTACATGGTATTCGTTTTTCCATCCTTTTATTTGCATTTTCTTTAGGCCATTTTGTTTTACTGTAGCTGTTATAAACAGGCTAGAGCTAGATTTCTTAAAGCCAACATCAGAGTATCTATGTTTTAATAGTGAACTTTACCTCAATAAGTTTAGCAATTATTATCTTTGTTCTTATTCCTGCCATCTCATTTTATTATTCTAATTTCCATGTTTTATTTATTTTTCTACTTTTACTTTAGCTTCCTTTTGATGGATTGCTAAGTTTTATCCATCCATTTTTTTCCTCTAGTGGTTTAGAATATATACATTCCATTTCTATTTTTTTAGTGATTGACCTTTAAATCTTTAACATATATATGTATACACACTTTTCCCTTAGTTATGTACAGAATTAAACAGTATATACTCTTATCCCCAAACAAGAGAAGAATCTTAGCATGGTTTCATGTTTCTCATTCTTCTACCACCTCACTTCCTACCTTGTAGAGATAACATAAAATATTACTTCCAAATTGTCATTAAGGTTTTGTACATTTTCCCCTTAACAAGTATCTAGACTTTATATAAACTTTATAATGTCCTTGTTCATAACTCATAACTATAAACTTCATTATTTTTTACTCATATCATTACTCTGCTCATTCTATTTCTTTGATTCATTTTTCATTCTGTGGAAGTACAGCCTGAGTAATTGCTCCAGGGAAGACTTATGTTGGGGAGTAAACTTTATGGGTCCTTAAACACTTGGAAATGTCTCTATTTTGCTTGACTACTGGAATGCTGATTAGACTGTATTTAGAGGGCCAGATTCAAAAATACATTTTTCCTCATAATTTTGAACATATTATTCCATTGTCTTCTATTACATATATACTTTTGTTAATGAGAAGTCTAATGCTAATGATGATTTTGAAAGTAATTCCCTTTTTCCTCTTTGGCAACACTATTTATTAACAAGGCTGTTCTTTCTCCACTGTGTGTTCTTGGCACCTTTGTCGAAAATCAACTGGCTGTAAATGAGTGGGTTTATTTCTCAGGTTTCTCTCCTGAGCCATTGCTCTATGTGTCCGTTTTTATGCCAGTACCATGCTGTTTTGGTTACTGTAGCTTTGTAACAGATTTTTATATCATGCATTGTGGTGCCTCCAGCTTTGTTCTTCTTGCTCAAGATTGCTTTGGCTATTCAGGGTCTTTTGTGGTTCCATATGAATTTTAGGATTGTTTTTTCCATTTCCATAAAAAATGACATTGGCATTTTGATAGCAATTGCATTGAATTTGTAGATTGCTTTGGGTAGTATGGTCATTTTAACAATATTAATTATTCCAATCCATGAACACAAGATATCTTTCCATTTATTTGTGTCACCAACTATTTCTTTTATCAATGTTTTATGAGTTCTCAGTTTAGATCATTAAATTTATTCCTAAGTATTTTATTTTAGTTTTTTGATGCTATTGTAAAAGGGACTGATTTCTTAATTTCTCTTTCAGATAGTTCATTGTTAGTGTAAATAAATGCTACTCATTTTTGTGGGTTGATTTTGTGTCCTGCAACTTTACTGAATTAGTTTATCAGTTGTAATAGATTTTGGTGGTCTTTAGGATTTTCTATATATAAGATCATGTTATCAGCAAACAGAGAAAATTTCACTTCTTCCTTTCCTATTTGGATAACTTTTTAAAACTTGCTTAATTGCTCTGGCTAGGACTTCCAGTATTATTATGTTGAATAGAAGTGGTGAGAGTGGGCATCTTTGTCTTGTTCCTCATCTTAAAGGAAAAGCTTTCAACTTTTCACCACTAAGTATGATGTTAGCTGTGGCCTTGTCATACGTGGCCTTTATTGTGTTGCAGTACCATCCTTCTATGCCTAATTTGTTGAGAGTTTTTATCATGAAAGGATGTTGAATTTTGTCAAATGCTTTTTCTGCATCTATTGAGATGATCATGTGGGTCTTTTTTCCTTCATTCTGTTAATATGGTGTCTTACATTTATTGATGTGCATATGTTGAACCACCCCTGGAATGAAACCCACTTGATCATGATGTATCATCTTTCTCATGTACTATTGGATTCAGTTTGCTAGTATTGTGTTGAGGATTAAGTGAGGATGACGCCCAGTGCATGTGGACATAAGCGCCCAGCACGGCAAATGGCACAGGTGCTGGTATAGTGATAGATATCTGTACTTATTGGACAAGAAAACTGAGGTTCAGAGAAGTTAGATATCTCACTCAAGGTCACAAAGCGTGTCGGCAGGTTGGCTTTGGGCCTGTTCAGATTCCAAGCCAGGCTGCTTTTAGCATGTGACTTTTGCTCCCCTAATGGTTTTGTCTGGTTTCCAGCAGGTGTGCCAGTGCATAGTGGGTTGCTCTGTGGAAAGTTATCATAAATGACAATGGACCCACTGGCCTCCTTGTCAGGCAGAGAGCAAGCAACACATCCTCTCCCTTCCTACTCCCCGGGAAGCAGTTCCCTTTCATTCTACCACCAGGCCACAGTGTGGCACCATGCAGGTGTGTGTGTATCTGTGCACCTATGTCTTCAGGGACCCACCTGAAGAGGAGCAGCACGGCCTGGGGGAAGGTCTGAAAGTTGTTGTTCCGGTTGATCTCTGTGGTATCATTCAGGGCAATTTTCCCAAACACCTAGGAGAGAGAAGGAAGAGGTGTTCAGTGATTTGTGGACAGATAGGGTCCTAATTTCCCACCATTGTTCAATGGTCTCTTCAGGGGTCTCAGGTGTCCCTGGAACTGGCTGCCACAAGCTGAACAGTCTTCCCATGCAACCTGGCAGGCACCTGCTGCCCCACCCAGCCCCTGAGCCCAAATCCCTACACTGGACAAGCATGAGAATCAAAGTGCCCACAGCCTCAGGAAGGTCCCTGCAGCCCAGTGGGAGCTGGGGCTGAGAGCGGTGGATGCTGGGACCGGGATCCTGCTTCTGACAGGACACAGGACGCACTGCGTTATTTTCTTTGCTATTTCAGTTCTGCATGTCCAAGCACTCTTTCAAATTTAGTTCTTGCATTTTGGAGTGATGTGGAGTGAGTGATCTGAGGCTAGGGCAAGCTTAATGCATTCCTGAAATCCCTTTTCTTCCTGGTCTTTTAAAGCTGTGCTTATCTTAGAAACTGCCACCTTTATCAGGTATCAAGGTAGCTCTTTTAGTCTCAAAAGGTTTTGGCAACTGAATCTTGGGTCTTTCTGCGATGAGCAAGTAGGGGACTTCCTGAAGGAGCGGCCGAGGAAGCGCTTTGGGCTAGTGTGGGCGCCCTGCCAAGTTTGGCCTTGGGACTCAAGCTGGAGCCCCAAGACGGGAATGGAGAGCCCTAGGTTTGCGGTGAATGGTGCAGTGGGCACCTGGGAGGGGAGGCCCCAGAAAACTGCTGCACATTTGATGCGGTGAACCTTGTGTTGATTTGGCCCTTCCTTGCTTCCTTCTTCCCTCCCTCCCTCTCAGCCATTAGCTTCAAATGAATCTGGTTGGGGTAACTCTCAGGCCCATCAGACCTGGACACAAACAGGGGTGCTGGACACAAACAGACACACCTTGCTGCTGTTTCTTGAGAAGGGGCTGTGTCTGTCCCGAGGCCCCTTGCATAACTGGAGAGTGTCTTTCCTCTACCAAGAGCAGAACCCAGGCCTCGGGGAGGGAGGCTCTCTGGGCTGTGTATTCTGTACCGGGACATTCTCCTGCTACCTACAGGAGATCCATTTGGGGAAAGTTCCAATTCCTGTGGCTTTTTGGGCCTCAGAAAATGGAAGAGGAGGGAGAGGGACAGTCAGGAATGAAAGGGAGAAGGGAGGGAGGAAGGCGTTAGGGAATGTGGTGCTGGGAACTGGGGAGAGACAGAGCGGGAGGCCAGGAGCCCCGTGGTGGGAGCCTCCCTACCTGCATCCCGATCACCGCGTAGATGAAGAACAGCATCACGATCAGGAGGGCCACATAGGGCAGGGCCTGGAAGGAAGTGCAGGAGACTCCCATGAGGCTGGAGTGCAGAGGCCAGCTGGGCCCCTTCCCAGGGAGCGCCGCATCCCTGTCTCTGCAGCCATCAGCTATTGCCCGGTTTGGGCCGGGGGACACTTCCAAGAGTCCCACAGGACTACGGGGAACCTGCGAGAAGGTCTGAGAAACCGGAACTGACTTCCCATTTCAGCTTGGTTTTCAAAGCAGGCCGCAGAGTAACGATATAGTGCGACACTACCTGGGCAAAACAATCAAGAACGAGCAAAACCTCCTCCGACTACACATGTGCGGTGTGTCTGTACGAGGCAGGAGAAATCGTGGAGGACAGCACCCCGCTGACTGTGGTTACCTGTGGAGGAGTGGGGTGGTGGCAAGTTACACCCTTTCTTTACACAGCTTAATTCCATCCCACTAGTTGTAGTGAGCGGGTATTACTATTGCAATGGAAACATTTAATAAGGAAAAATTTAAAAGAAAGATCATGGGTTCAAATCCTGTTTCTGCCACTTTCTATCTGTGAGGGTTGGGGCACTTAACTTCTCTGAACTTCAGTCTCCTCATCAGAAAAATGGAAACAATAATAATACCTCTCAGCGGTTTTGTGGTTGAAAAGATTTAAGGCTTATAAAGTGCTTAGTGCAATGCCTTGCAGAGCTGGGTTCCATACGCTCTATTCGCTCCATGCATTATCTGCCTGGCAACTCAGACAACTAATTTTCCAGAGCCCCCGTGACTTCTGGGGACAGGCCATGGTCCCCAGGATGGGAGGCCCAGCCCGTGTTCCCGGGCGCCGCTTCAGCCGTGGCCACCGGTCACTAGAGGGTGCCGTCAGAGCAGGCGCCAGCTGCCTGGCCCGAACGCCTGCGCCGCCATCAGGCCCTCGCAGTCACCCGGTCTGTGCCTCTTCCCAGCCCCAGGAGATGTCGGGGGGGCAGGGAGAGTATGGCAACTCACAGCCGTGGGTTCCGCGTGCACCCAAGTACAGAGTCAGCGGCAGTCCTGCTTCCGCTGGTGTCTACTATTCCGAATCCCCAGAGCCTGGGCTGAGCTGGGCTCAGAGTGCAGGAGCCCCAGCTCATCACTAGGCAGGGGTCAGCCTGGCCATTGGGAGCTCCCTCGAGAGCCTTGGATGGTCAGTCCCTGGCAGGAGGCTGCTGGGGGCAGAGCGGGGACGGGCATCTTTCCTCACCTGGACCAGGCCCAGGCATGCCCTGTCCCCGGGCAGGGACTGGCCAGGGTGGGGCACACAAAGACCATCTTCCCTGACAGATTCTCGTCTTGGAAAGGCTGAGAGCGGCCCCTCCATGGGGGGAGAGAAGCCTGCGTTCCGCCAGCCCAGGGAAGCATGAAACCGCCTTCACGGGTTCTGCGCTCATCTGGGGGAAGTCAAGTGACCCAAGCGCTTTGCTTCTCCTTAACTTCAAACCTACAAAGACTCCTCCGAGCTGGCAGGGGCTGATTGTCACTCTGTTTTAATGGGAAAACAATGGCTGAGCGGAGGAACTGATCACATGGCCAGGCAGTCCTGGGCCCATTCGAAGGGCCTCTCTAGCCGAGCGGAGGACACCAGGGTCCTGCGACTCTGGCCGAGGACATGACAGGTGCTGTCAGCAGATGCTGCTGAAACGCCTACGGGGAGGAGGGCGATGGCCAGATTCTGGAAATGCTGAACTCGAAGGGCCATAGCGGTCACCAGGTTGTCCAGGCCCGTGTTTTTCAGGTTTGTTCCTTACCACAAAACCCCTTTGTCCAGTAAATTCTTGTGCAGAAAGACATAAACGATGGTTAAAAGTAAGGCAGACCCTTTCTGCCTCCCCTTAGCTCCCATCCCTCCTTTACCACCTGGCCTTCTGGGGCTCTGAGCCTGCCTTGGAAACCACATGCTTCGTCTAGGCCTCTCGGTGCGGAAACAGGGAGCCAGGCAGAGCGGCCGAGTTCTGCCACACAGAGGAAGGAGCAGGGCCCCAGAGTGGAGGGCTCCTCCTTGTGTCAGCTGTGTTCTGGGCCACGCGGCAGCCCTGCGATTCCCCGGGCCGCAGGACATGAGGGGCGGCTACCTGGAAGGACTTGATGAAGGTCCACAGCAGCGTCCGGATGCCCTCCCCACGGCTCAGCAGCTTCACCAGACGCATGACCCGGAACAGGCGGAAGAAGGTGATGGAGATGCGGGAGTTTTCCTCTGCGTTCTGGAACCCGTCGGCAACAGGAGGTGCAGTTAGCACAGCAAGAGGGGGGTGAGAACAGGAGGGCCCCTCCGAGAAATACAGACCTCAGTGGCAGTGGCGGAAGGCAGGCCAGGGTTTGCTGCACTAGACTTCCCCCTCCGATGGGAGGGCGGCCGCCCACTTTAATGAGTGGACAGCCCAGCCCCATGGTCTCTGCAGAGCTAGACTGTGCCCAGGCCGCTGGGCTGTGGTCCTGTGTTTTTATTCTCCCCGATTCCCCTTCATTCCTAGTTCTTAATGCCCTGGATGGAGGACAGACGACTCCATCAGGAACTACCATAGGCTTTGGAATCTTCTAGGCCCAGAGCCAGCTGCCCTGGGAACCCCTCCTCTGCACTGCTGAGGAAGCAGTCCTAGCCTGTCTCCCGTTTGTCTGGGCAGACAGTCCTGTGTCCTAAGTGGAGCCCAGCACTCTCCGAGGATGTGGGTTGGTGGCTGGCCTCTCTCCCAGCTGTAGGTATGCGTGGATTTGGGGGTCCTGGTGGGCTGCCCCCTGAAGGACCTCATGCCCCAGCTGCTTGGGACTCCAGCACTTTCCTTGTATCACCTCCTTCTACTTTCCACAGCCCCTGTCCCAAAGGGAGGGATTACGGGTGCTACTCAGTGCTGGAGAGGGTCTGGTTTGCAGCCCTTGCTCCGAAGCTGTTGCCCTCCTACTCCCCTCTGCCCTGGGGCCTCTAGGAGGCTCCAACCCTTCAGGCTGTACAAGACCCTGGAAGGGAGAGGGGCAGCGTAAGGGAGGGGAGGCCTCCCTTGCAAGTGAGGCTTCTGCAGATGGTCTCCCTCAGGGGCCCTGGGGAAGGGGAGAGGGAAGGTGAAGGGGAGGAAGGGTGGAGTGCAGGCCAAGGTGACTGGAGGTGCTTGGGCTGCTGCTGTTGGACCTGGGGGAGCCTGGGGGCTTGGGCACATGCCTGGCCAGGGCTCAGGGGGCAGGACGGGCTGCCCTGCGGTCCTCTGCCTCCAAACCTGAGAACATGAGCTGACTCCCCACTTGGCCCTCCTCCTGCCCACATCGGCCTGGTGAGCAGGAACCCAGGAGGAAGCCACTGCCAAATCCGGAGCTAGTGCAGCTCACCCAGACCTGCGGGCACCGGGAGAGAATGGACCCTCGGGGCTTCCTGTTACTGGTCCCGTCCACACCTCCCGCGAGGTGGGAGGGCTCAGGTTGTTACTAGGGCCACCTGGGCCCTCCCCACTCCTTGCTTTACCTTGCCTTTTATCTTTAATTATTTCTAGGTCAGACTCTCACTGGCAATATCCAGCGCTAAAGCCCTTCTAACTGCGCTGCCTGCTCTGGCCCACCCTGATGAGGCGTCAGAGGCCGCTCCCCTCACTATGCAGGACAGGAGATTATGAGGGAAGCAGGGAGACCCGAAGGCAGCCACCACTCTGCCCAGAAGCAAGCCAGAGACCTCTCCTGCTTTCCAGATCTTCCAAACAGGAGAAGAGCAAAAATATTTCTTATATTTCAAAATTAGAGCTGCCTCAGTTCCTCCTAAGGCTCCCGTTCCCCTCAAGGCAGGGGACAGACAGGTGGGACTCGGGACCTGCTGCACGGGTACCTGAGGGGCTGGGTCAAGAGCTGCAGGCAGCAGCCCTGTCCTGCCCTGGGCTCTTCCCTGCCTGTGTGTTCTGAAGCCTTTGATGACCTTAATCTCTGTATTTCTATCACCTGTGTATCTGCTTGAACTTCTATTTTCACTCCTTAAAAGGAGGTTGTGTTTCCCCAGAGGAGTATGCAGAGGAGGCTTAGGATTTTATAACTCAGCTGTCAGTTCCACCGTGTTCGAGAAAGGAGAAAAAAAAGAACAAGCTTAAGTGGAGAACTTTAGCTGCAAGTGTCAAGAGTTTGAGAAGTTGGTGCCACAGGGGCATCTGGATCTGCTCAGTTAAAAAAACAAAATAAACAAACAAAAAAACCCAAAAAACGCCAAACACCAAGCTTGCAGCGTGAATTCCATTCCACTGTTCAGAGCCCTCCCCTGTGGCTGCAGTTTCCTAATGCTGCTCGAGAAGGAGAATAAACTCACTGCCATTCGGATGCACCAATTTGCTCTAATAAACCAAATAACAATGCAAAAAGGAGGCAGATCCAGATGGCTGATCCCAGAAGCAGAGTCCCCAGGAAGCGGGGTAGAGCACCCGGGCTCAGCCTTTCCTGTGGCAGCCTTGTGGCCAGGCAGCGCCAGGCTGCACTGGGGAACACATCAACCCACCCAAGCTTGCCTCGGCCTGCAGACTTGGTGGCTTGGTCAATCAACCCCACTGGTCCTTCTAAAAACTCATACTTGGCCCGGTTAGAAATGCATAACGGCAGCCTTTTGGAGGCGGCTGGGCCAAGGAGGCTTCAAGGTCACACTGAATGGCGTCTCTTTTATCACTTCAACCAACGCGAATCAGAGACTCCTACAACAGGAGTGGTCCAATCAACGGAGCTTGTTTTTCTGCTTCCAGCTTGCTGCGGAACAGTGGCTGCAGCCTAATTTTAACGGACTTCAGGAATTTAGAAAAATGCAAGGGATAGCAAGGTTGGAGTGACTGGAAATTCAATCACGCGCTCAGTAACAAATCCCAGCTGAAACCTTTTATGGTGGCCTTTCACTTGAAGCACAGGGAAGCTAGGAGCCACAGACACTGATTAACAGGAATCATCGTCCACCCTTCCATCTCCTGCCTAGAGCACCTGTCTTCCCTCCTTACCCTGGAGCCCTACCATGGCTCTCATAGGTACCCTCTGCAAATTTCTCCTATCAGATTAAGGTTAGAGGCTTTGGCCGGTGGAGTCCTCAGGGTGTTTAACAGGAAATGGACCTCGGGTCCCATTCTCTCCCAGTGGCTTGTTAGATAGTCAAGATCACAGTGAATTACCACCCCAAGGAAAGCTCAGGGGTAAAACACCACCACTGCACAAACAGCATCTTCACAGCTCACACGAGAAGGGAACAGGCAGGCAAGGCACACGGCAGACACAGTGGCCACATGCAGTGAGAGCCAGGCAGGGCTCCCAGGGACTCTGGAGTTCGGGGTGGGGAGAGTGGGGGTGTTAGAGGGGGACACGGAAGCCGGGAGCATGGTCGGGAGGGTTGGTCTTACCATAGAGGGAGAGCATTGGGTATGTTCAGCTGGCTTTAAAGAAAGGCAGATAGAGATAAGCTGTAATGAGTCTCCCATGAAGATGCCCGGTATTCTAGGTCTTGGCTGACACGGGAGCAACACAGTGGCAGAAGAGGGCAAAAGGAAACAAGTGAAAGAAACGTGAAAGCGTAGGCCTGGCAGGTCCTGGGGCGTCCCCATGAGTGTGGGGTCTGTGTTGCTGGGTCTCATGTCAATCAAGGACCCACAGGCATTCTCCTACCTATGCCCTTTAAATAACTCACATTCATAATATTATTAGATAAGCAGATGAGGTCTTTGGGATTTTGTGGATGGAGGTTTATAATTTTTTTGTTTGGTTTGGTTTTAGAGACAGGGTCTCAGCTCTGTTGCCCAGGCTGGAGTGCAGTGGCATAATCACAGCTCACTGCAGCCTTGAACTCCTGGGCTCAAATGATCCTCCCACATCAGCCTCCCTAGTAGTTAGGACTATAGGAACGTGCCACCATGCCCGGCTAATTTAAATTTTTTATTTTAATTTTTTTAGAGACAGGGTCTCACTATACTGCCCAGGCTGGTCTCAAACTCGTGGGCTGGCCTCAAGCGATCCTCCTGCCTTGGCCTCCCAAAGTACTGGGATTACCGGTGTAAGCCACTGTGCCAAGCCTGTTTTAATTTGTTTTTTATTAGCCATTGTTAACCTATGAGGACTTAGGCTTTGTGCACTTTAGCTTACCCCAGGCAGGGCCAGCTGAAGGACAGAGGCCTTGCTGACCCCAGAGCCTATCCTTGCCCACATATATTTAAACAAAGCAAGGGCAGTGGCCTCTCAGGTTTAGGGGAGACCGACTTCAAGTCAACACTGAGGAGGGCCTCCAGAGGTGGCCTCAACCCACTCCATAATGGGGCTTGTTCTGAAAGCTCAGGCTCAGGCAGGAGATGGCCTTGCTTAGCTGTTGGTCTATAGGTGCGGCGAGCCCTGACCGTTGGCATGAAATAATGACTGTTGAATTGTTTTCTAAACTTGAAAGCCCTGCACACAATTTAGGACACTAACACCCCAGGAAGCTGTTCTCACGGGTCTGACTGCTGAACTCATTTGGGGGTAGGAGCTGAGGAAACTGGCCTCTGGTGAGTATCCCAGGGCCAGCCCTCTCCCCGAGTTCCTGGAGCCTGGATCTGGGAAGGTGCCCTTACGTTTTGGGCTCCAGCACAGAGGGCTCAGCCCCGACTGATCTTGACCATCTGAGCTGCTAACTCTTTCTAGAAAGTCAGGACTTGGCTTTTACTCTCCACTTTCAGATGGTTGCTCTTGTATTTCTGTTTTTAAGGTACAAACAAGGAAAATGTGTTATGGAATTTTTGAAGGATGGAAATGTGCACAACTAGACATTTGCTTGCAGCCTGAAAATATTTCTTGGGTAACAGATTTCTCAGCAAATTCTTTTTTTTTTCATAGCTAGTTGGTAGGATGCCCTTTTAGGGGATGGTGGAGATATAGGGTGAGGTGAGGGAGGAGAAAGAAAGGGACACTTCTCTAGGCTTTACAGAACACTCTAAATCTGGATCTCTAGATCTCAGCTTCTGCTTCATGAAGATTCCACCTGCCAGGTCAGTCCTTGTGATTGCAGGGTGTGGGGTCCCTAGGATTTGGCTAGCAGACTGAGATTGAACACAGAGACAAACATAGGCAGACACACACACGCGCACACACACACTCTCTCTCTCTCTCTCTCTCTTTCTCTCTCTCTCTCTCATACAGGCATGCACAGAAGAAATTTCTTGGCAAAGCACCTAAACCCCTTTTGCTCTGGTGTGTGATAGTTGCCCAGGATGGTCAGGTCTAGCTATCCACTGGCACCTTTCTGCCCCGCTCCTGGCCCAGTGCTTGAGCTCCCTTGCTCATGGACAAGGAGTTCTGTGTTTCTCAGGCTTCAGTGGGGCAGGGAGGGAGGTCCAGAGGGAGGTAACCTACACCATGTTAACTCCTGAGTGTTGGGCAGAGCTCCCAGGAAGCTTGAGCCATTGCTGGCCTCTTGGATCCATCCTGAAAACCATCACAGCTGCTCATCACTTCTAAGAACCCTGGGCAAATGCTTGAAGGTCTTCTGGGTCAATCCCAGCCTGAACAGGACCAAAATGGAGATAATTCTGACAACGCACCCAGGTACTTGGCTTGCCTGGCCTAATTGAACCAACCTCTAGGCATCAAAAAAACAAAAACAAAACAAAACAAAACCAAAAAAAACCTGTTTTACTTCTTAAACATTCAGAATCCTTCATTTGGGATTTTTAAACATTTGTCTTAACTGTCTTTTTTCTTGTTGCATTTTATAGCTCCCATTTAAGACCTCATTTATTTAAGTCATATTTCACTTCAAGACTTGACTTTGGATCTGTTCAGATAATCTTGATAGTATTTTGTATTTTAGTAACATGTATTGATTTAACATTTCCTATGGCATGTCTCTATAATGGCAGACAAGAGAAAGTCAGGAGCAGCTATGAGGACAGTAGAAAGAGGAAGAATGAGGACGCTCTGAGATGTCTGTGTGGCATTCTCCTGCCCCGGTAATGACAACTCTCCAAAGAGACCAACTTTGGAAGAATCTAGAGACTCAAAGATTAAGTTTTTCTTGAGCCTTAAGCCATGCTGTTCACAGGGCATTTTTGAGTAGCTAGGACACTGTTGCCTCTACCACCGCTCACACCTGTTTCCACATGAGGAGCTGTTTACAAGGTCCGTGGTCTCATAAATGAATAACCACTCGCGATGAAATCAGAGAGCAATCCCTGAGTGATTTCTACATGGTAACAATAGGAAGCAGCCTAAGCCACAGCCCCTGCCCCCAAGGCCCCCGAGGTCTACTGATGCCCTGGGCGTTTCCTACATGATCCCACGTCATCCTTAGAGTCTTTGGTACCCTTTCGCCTTGGCAAATGAATCCCCTGCTGAGATGGAAGGAGAGATTGGACTTGCTGGAGTTGGACATCTGTGGTATCCCAGGATCAGCACTTTTAGTTTCTGTGGTTTGCCACTCTCTTTAAATACCAAGTACAGCCCCTTGAGAAACTACAAAGCATCAGTTCTACCTTTGGATGTAAATTCAGAATTTGTTGGTAGCCATCAATACTTGGGCCATTAATCTCTGACCCCTTCCCAGATTTGCTGCCGGTGCCCTGAGTTAGTTTGTAGTTTCTCCCATCTGTGGTCTTTCTTGGGGAAGAAAGGGGCCGTAGGATTCCCTGAAGACATACACCCCCAAGCCTGGAGACTGCATTCCCCTTTTAGGGCAGCCAACAGAGCTGCTTACATAACCTGAACATTCTGGCTGATTTTTCATATGGCACTGTCTCCACTAATGGTAGGCGTGGAGAAATTTCTGAGCAGCCAATTCTTTCATCCTTGTTTTCTAATGATCTGGTAATTTTCAATGATTTCATGATATTGGGGCAATTAACTTAATTTGTTCACGTAATTGATATAAATGAAATGAGGTTATTATTCCGTATCTGAGGCAGAGGTCGGGCATTTTCAGAGACAGCGAGCTCTGGTTAGTGGTTCCAGATAACAGGCTCAGGGCAAACAGAAAGGAAAGACGATTTCCTTCCTTCAATATGCTTATGCAGATTGCCTTGTTTTGGCAGAACTGGCAGTGAGGAGGGGAGTGGTGCAGGGCAGCTAATGAGAGGGAGGTCTCTGGAAAGCTGTCTTTCTGAATTAAGTTCAGGGTCAAATGAGAAGTAACACCTCAGTGGATGAAGTCTTTGTTTCTGGAAGGCACTCACTATGCACTTATTTTCATTGGAGTGCCAGGTCTAGGCCACATTTAGGATGCTGAGGGGCGATACTCAGGGAATGCCAGAGGCCAGCAGAGACAGGATCCTCCCAGGTGGAGGATTTTCCCACCAGGATGGTGTGGGAGGCCGCAGGATGTGTTTCCTGGTTGCCACATTACATGGTCTCTCTGGAGACTTAAAAGGTAGTTGAAAAATAGCTCTTCACCATACGAAAAAAAGTTTTTTAAAAATTATTATTTTTTTAAAGCACAGCCAAGGGTAAGAATTATAGAAATTCAGGGGCTGAGCAGTAGATCTCTAGGCTGGAATACCCAACCCAGTTGTCCTCCACAATACTCTCCTGCGGTCAGGTGGCCAGAGAGCATTGTGAAGGGGGCATAAGCCATGGCTGCATTCTCCTTGGCAGGCTGATTTTGAAAGGTGCAGATTACCTCTGATCTCCTCCAGGGAAGGCTGGTCTTAGCCCTACAGAAAACGGCTGCCCAATTCCAATGGCTGCCATTGAGACAATGCTATGACCTCAGTGTCACTAAGATTCCACGCACCTCTGAAACAGATGTCAAAAGTAATGTCATGGGAGTGTGAGTCTCTAAATAGTGGTCCTGCTACAGAACCCTTGCTATATTTTTTAAAATGTCTTGTCCAGAACTTAGGGAGGTGGATCTGATATAAATTTCATTCCAAGCCACCTGAAGGTCTCCATCCAGCCAGTACCCCCTCCCCATGCTCCGCTTCTCCGCTTGTACTACCTCCAATCTCAATTTGACCTGCAAGACACAACAGCTGGTTCTGTTGGGGGGTGTCATGGTGTGGAGGAAGACCAAGGGGTGGGGCTTTGAGGGAGAGACCTCGGAGGTGATCTAGGTTGGGAGGAGGTGGTCAGGCTGGTGCAGAGAGAGAGCTGGGAATGGCAGGGGTCAGGGGCTGCTGGAGACATCTGACGCCAACTTCATGGCCAGGAGCCAGCAGGTGTAGGTTAAGGGTGTGTGTGGGGGGATCCTCACGATCCTTTTATCTCCCCTTCCCACCAGGAGAAATGCACATCTCAGGAGGAGTCGGGAGGTGCTGAATCTTGGAGCCACTGGGTATGGCAGCGGGGCAAGACATTTTAAGGAGGCCAAAGGCAAACATGTTTTAAGCTGCAAGCCTTCTAAAGCTGAATGAACAGGTACTTGCTAAGAGAGGCGAAGGTTAAACAAACGTTAGCTGGGATAGACAGAAGCTGAGGGTAGAGGCCATGGCTTTCAGACAGAAGAGCAAATGAATGAGGTATGCGTAGTTGAAAGCAATTCTAAGCAGAATTCCCATTTTGGTTTGGTGTGAGTGGAGAGACAGAAGTGATGGAGGAGAAGAACTGAGCAGAAGAAGACAAACAAAGGGCAGGGAACGCACCAGGATAAAGCTAAAGATGGACAGGGACCATGGAAAGGACTCTGTCCCGGGCCACCACCCCCAGGTCGGAAACCCACGGGCTTTTGTGTTTCTCCAAAGTGGAATTCCAGCTAGAAGGAGAGGGCCCTTCTTGCCTTTCTTGTGTGTTTGGAGTTACAGACACTGAGTTGAAATGCCCCTTCAGAACTCCCCTCGAGGGGTCTTTGGCCCCAAGGGGACTGGCAGCCGGGCTCCCAGCGTGGGGCTGCAGCTCCTGGCCCTCTTTTGCTCTTCCTGCTTTGTGTGTGAAGCTGTGGATGGCTGAGAGCTATGCCCTGTGCTACTGGCTGCAGTGACCAGTTTGCTGGCTGGAAGTGGCTGAAGCCTCAGGGTCTCACTGTTATCATGTGCAGCCTGATGGCTCCCAAGGTGTTATTACCTGCCAGAAACACACACTAAACAAGACTGATCACAGAATTGCCTGGGAGTTTCATCTTCCCCTGGGAAGGACAGCCCAGCGTCTAGTCATTCAAACAAACCAACCAACCTCCACCAACAAAAAGCCCATGAAGAATAAACGAATGAAATCAAGGTGCCAGTAGTACTAACTACATCAAAGAATTCCTTATGCCAGAGGGAGAGGTCACAAGATAGAGAAGAAAGGCAGAGAAACAGAGTGGGTGAGGCAGGGCGGGGCAGAGACTCAAAAAGGAAACAAACAGATGATTCCCTGGGTGGGAGCACCAAATATGAGAGTAAGTGGGCATCAACAGAAGTGGCCATGCTTCTCGAGGCACCCTACGTATCTTTGAGCCTTCCTGTGTCTCCTCACTACCAGCTCATGGCATCTTCTAGGTGCCTTTGCTTTACGAGCTTTCTGGAAAGAACCCCAGCAGCAGGTTGCTGAGCCTGTAGGAACTGAAGTGTCAGACACTGGCCAGGTACAATCAGTTGTCTGGCCACAACAAAAGGTGTGCTAGGCAACTTCCTCCCACCCTTACACGGAGGGGAAGGGAACAGAGGGCCGTATGTGGGTTGATAAGATGAGAACAGGAAAGGAAAGAGCATTTGAGGGAAACAAAAAGTGACACAGTTTGGGGCAGAAGGCAGAGGGCAAGGGGAGCCTGGATGGGTCAGAGCCGCATCAGGACCTCGGCAATCTCACACAGCTGAATTAACAACCCAAATTGGATGCCTATAAAAAAACAGGTTCCCATGACCTTTCGGGTCAAACCTGCAGGGTACTTCTCAAGGCAAAAGCTTTTGAGAAGACTTGCTGCACCAGGCCACTTCTCAGGCCCGTCTCTCTGTCTGCACCCCCTCAACCCCACATCACACCAGTTCACACAACAAGCCTCGCCCTAGACCTTGAGATCCGGGGCATTCGGCCTCCTCCCAGGGGACTGCTGATGGTCAGATGCTTCATCCCACTTCTAGGAATGAGGGTGGCTCTGCTAACTCTCTCAAGGGCCAGCCATACTCTTAAGCAGAGTAGAAAACAGCCTTTGTGGGGGGATGGGGAGGGACCTCACAAAAGTAATCTCCCCACTCAGGGGTCACGTTGCTAAAGGCTCACCTGAGATACAATAAACATTCCACCTGCAGGTTGAGCATCGCCTTCTCTTCAAGGTACAATGATCTATTAGAAGGGCAGCTCACTGAGTTGCTACCACCCAGCATGAATGACTGTGCTGGAATCACTTCATTTTGAAACAAGGCATCTTGGTAGCATTAGGTTTGTTGGGGGTGGGGGCTGTTGCCGAAAGTGGGAAGAAGCTGGAAGGGACTCCGAGGGCAACAGGAGGCTCCAGCAATGAGAAGGGGGGCTGGAGGGAGATGTCAAGGATAACCTCTGCCCCACCCAGCTGTCCTGAGACCACGGAACTTGATTTAATCTATGTGTCCTAGAACCAGCTCAGGCCACACCCACCAATGTCATCTAGACAATGGTTGGCAACAGCACCCACTGGAGCCCCCTACTGACCGGGAGTTCCGGTCAGCTTGCTGTGAAAAACCTGTGAAAATGAGCAAGCTGTTTCCTGCCTCTGGCCTTTTGTGTCCTCATCTAGAAAATTTGTATATCCTCAAGCAACATCACACAGCGGGTGCTCAAGGTACCTTTGAGGAATAAACAAATAAGGGTTTGGGCTAGGTGGTCTCTAAGGTGTGTACACCCTAATGTCCTTGGACAAATCTGCTTTCTGACCACATCTCTCTACCCTCCTTCCTCATCACAGCTATGGGCAGTGGGGGGCACTCAGCCTTGCCTTTCTTGTGCCCATTCTGGCCCCTTCTCTGCCATGGCAGGGGGCAGGAGGCGTGGTTACAGCCACAAAGGCAGACAGAGACAGCCAGGCCCACTGTCCAACGCAAGCACTGTGGGTTGCAGGCCGAGAGAGAGGGCTGGAGTCGTGCAGGCTGAGCTGACTCACCCCTGAGGGGGTGGACGTGCAGCAAGTAGCTCTCTCTATGACTCAGGACTGACTGCTTTTCCTCCATCCTTCCAGGACCCAGAGCCAGAGAGGAGCCCGGCTTGCTTGTGATTGTTGTGGAGAGTAGTGAGTGACAGTTATAGGAAGTTGTGCCTGGGGGCCTATGGTGGAAAGATACTAAGGTAGAAAGGCTTTCAGGGCCTGAAGGTGGGGAAGACTTGGGACCAGTATCCCGACATGCTGATCCCTGGACACTCTCTGCCCTGCCTTGTCGCTGCTTGCTCCTTCTGGCCCCCCTCCTCCCAGTCTCTTTCTTCAGCTGCAGATGCAGATGCCAACTGGGCAAAGGGAGTGGTGCTGCTCTGCGCCTCCTGGCGTTTGCCTTCTGTTCCCTGTAACCAGAGACACGGATCCGGGTGTGTAGCCTGCATTCTGTCTGAGCATCCCAGGGGGATCCCAGGCTTTGTGGATCCAGCATCCGCAGCATCAACCGACACAGAGAAGTCAAGTCAGGCAGCTCCGCCCCAAGTCCCGTTGCCAGGAGGCACTGAATGAGGAGTGCAGGAGCCACTGGGCCCTGCCCTTCAGTGATGCCCAGGCCAGCCTGGCCCAGGGATTTAGCCAGCGGGCACTGTGAAATGCAAGAGCCAATTCTTGGACAGAAATGAGTTTGAATCCAAGATTTGCCTCCCATTCACCGTGTGGCCTTGGGCAGATGTTCGTCCTGTCTGAGCCTTGATTTCCTCATGTGGAGAGTAAGCACACGGGTTTCATCCGATCATGTGTATGGTGTCCTCAGCATGATGCCTGATCCGTGCTCATCAGGTCATCCTCATGTCGGTCCTCTTCTCATGTTCACAGCCAGTGCCACCTTCGCTTAGCTTTATTTCCCTGCTCTGGACACTCCTGTGCATCGTGCAAAGCCTCCAGCAATTCCTCCTGAGAGCTGTGCCCAGAAGCTCCAGGGCCAGTGTTCTTTCCCCTCCCTGTGCCTGCTCTGCTCCCCGAAGGTCTTTCTCCTGCTCCTTTTCTCTGGAGAATCTCCAGGTGAGCTCCACCAAAGCCAAGGGAGCCTGTCCTCCCTTGCTGCCCTTCAGCACTGTGGCTTCAGGGATTATCTCTATGCAGATGATTCCCTGGAGGAAGCATCCCCATGACACCATGGGCGCCTGATGACAGGAAACACCACCTCAGAACCCAGCAAGGCAATGGGGGCAATGAAGCATCCACCTCCAGCTGTCAGAAAATGCCCAAGTCAGAATCACTGCAGGCTAGAGTTGCAAGAGACCATCCTAAACCTCTCACTCCTCACTTTTGCATTCAAGGAAATTGAGGCCCAGAGAATGGAGTTCATTGCTCTAAGTCACCAGAGCTGGAAGCATAATCAAGGCTTCTTCATTGACAACTTGGGAATGTTTCTCTATGTCCATAATGCAGGAATTCAGGCTGCCCAGCACTTTCTATTGTTCAGTATATTTTAAAATACAAAATGAAAAAGAAGTGTGTCGGGAAAGGCTGTTGGCCCAAGCAGTCAAATTAATTCCAGTTTGGGATGTTTAGGGAGCAGTTTCTGGTGCTGTAGTAACTTTCACGAACAATCACAGGAAAATATGATTTCAGACCCAAGCACTGAGGAAGAGCAAGAGGCTTCCCTAGAGCAGCAGGACATCGCACTCTTACCTCCCCGGCTCACAGAGGAAGAAAAGCTCGGATTTAGACCCAGGTGATGCATTGGCAGGAGAAGGGCCGGGGCCCATGGCTCAGATACTGAGGCTGAATTCAGCATGACCGCACGAGGGGGCCTGAAGACGGTCCTCTTGTGACACCTGGCAGTTGTTCAGCGGCATCTCCCAGATGAACAGAAGTTTGCGGGTCCCGATCTCCTCGCGCCAGAGGCCCTGGCCCAGGCCTCTCCGCTCCTCTGCCTCTTGTCGCTTCTTCTTCTCTAGTGCCGGGGCTTTGGGTACCATCTTGTTGTGAATGACTCCATCCCCAGGCCTCTGACCTGTGTGTCCACCTGACATCTCCCCTCCAAGGGCTAACAGATACGTCAAAACTGTGCTCTGGCATTTCCTAACTCACACAGGCCCCGCCTCCAGCCCGCCTCCTTGCCTACCTGCTCCATCCTCCTCTGATTTAGGCCAAACCTCCCAGTCCTCCTGGGCAATTCTCCTCCTGCCCCCATGCAGTCTGTCAGGAAACACTGTTAATTTTGCTTGCAAAACAGAGTGACGGGCTGGCCATTTTCCACCGCTTCTACTGCCACAACTTTGCTCCACGCTATGCATCTTCCACCTGGATGACTGCATTTGCCTTCTAAATGATCTTCCAGATTCCACCCTTGACTCCTACAGCCAGCCAGAGTGGTCTCTTTAAAAACCAGTCGGGTCACGTGACACCTCTGCTCAAAGCCACCAGTATGTCCCCTTCTTGCTCAGAGTAAAAGCCCAAAAGTGGAACCTGTTAGTTACCCCTCTGCTACCCTCACCTCTCCTTTCCCAGCTCAGTCCGCACCAGCCAGGTTGGCTCCTCCTGCCCTGCTACCTCTTCTCCCGATCTCCACATGGAGAATCCTCAATTCCTTCATGCCTTTGCTTTGTTCAACTGTCACCTCCTTAAGGAAGCCCATCTTATTTAAACCAATGCCTGCCATCACTGCTCCCCAGCACCTTGGAGCCCCCTTATCTGGCACTACTTTTTTTCCTAAAACGTCTATCATCTTCTAACACACCGTATGAGTTCCTTATTTTCTGTCCTCATTGCATTGTGAATTGTCTGATTATTCCCTTCTACAATGCAAATCTGTGAAGGCAGGGGCTTTTGGTTTGCCAGCTGATGGATCCCAGGTGCCTCAAACGGTGCCTGACGTATAGGAAGTGAGACTCTAAATGCTGTGGATTGAATGAATGATGGTTCCTGAGAGGGAGGGCCCCATAGCCCGGAAAAGAGAAAAGGTGAGACGAGTTTAAATGTGGGGAATATTTGGAGGAAAGTTAGGGTGGATAAGGCATCTGGGGAGGGGTTTAGGAGTTAAAGATGGCAGGTTACAGGTGAAACGCCCTCATGGATCACACTGAGGCTAACAATGTAGACTCTTTCCAAATAGACCATATCCCTGGGAATATATGTCTTGTGATGAGAGGATGACTAAAAATACCTGGGAAGGCCCGGAGCAGGGCCCAGGGATGCAGGATTTTCTGAAGGATCCCATGGGATTGGAAGAAAATGCTGGGGCCGCCCATACGCTGCTAATGCCCTGGAGGCAGAATCTAGTGGGAGGGAGCGACCTTGCTCAATTAAGCTGCTGTCCCTCACACTGGCTGCGATGTGAGCCCAGGGTCAAGCCGGACTGTGCTTTCAGAGCAGGCCCCTCAAGGCCCAGAGTTATGGGCCGTGGTAAGTGTGTGTGTGCTGGCTTTGATCTGGTTGTACCTGTTGGCCATCTCTATGGGTCTAAGCATATCTGGGAAACAGGGCTTTCGACTGTGGGTTGTAAGTTATAATTAGACTAACCAAAAGGTCTTGGTTGGAGACTAGGCCCTCCGAGTGACACCAGCAGTAACTTTGGAAGGAATGTCATTTGCCTGGGTGCCACAGTTCCTCCCATTCCACAGTGCTTTACCAGTTTATATAGAGTTTTTAAATAGATGCTCTTATTTGAGCTTCAAAACACACTGCTGTAAATACCACATTCCTCTGACAGATGAAAAAACAGAGTCTCTGGGCATGTTGGTAACGCTTTGACAGGAAGCAGCAGCAAGACTCAACAATCTGCCAGTTTTCTGACTTCAAGTCCAGCTTTCTCCTCTCCCAAACCGCCTTCCTGCCTTGGGGGATGTTATGTTTGTTCTTTTGGTTCGGAAGCCATCAGTTGTGTGGGAGAGGGAGAAAGTGGCTCTGAAATAGGTGTTGGGTCTCAGGACACCTCCTCTTGCTGTCAGTCACATGCACAGTTGCCACCCTGTCCCCCGACAATCCTTCAGTGGGACTTCAAAGCCACAAATGCCTCAGCCCGGAGCATCTCAGTATGGGAGGACACAGGGGCAGCGGAACTCTCAGGGTGGCTGATTATTGCTTATTTAGAAAGTGGAAAAAACCCTGTGCTTATTTAAGATATCAATTACAGAATGTAAGTTCTGAGTAAGTCGTGGCTAGTGGCAGTACACCAGGAGGGACAGGTGAGGTTTCTCTTTACCAAAAGGCACTGTGGAGTACAGAAACCAGGAATTCTGGCCTAGCAGGAAGTGAGCTGGCCCCAGGAGGGCTAGGCTGACTCTGAGGCACTGGAAAGGTACTTAATCTCTCCATCATCACCTTTAGCATCAGCAAATTGGGGATGAGAATTCTTACCTGTCAAATTTAAAGGGTAGTTTAGAGTTGTCAGATAAATGCAAAGTGACTTGTAAATAGAAAACCACTATTCCAATGTCAGGAGCTGCTGGACGGGTTCAGGCCCCCTCCCTATCCCCAACAGAGCCCCCTTTTCTGTATAAATTTTATATCCTAGAAAATGCTTTTTTGTTGTTTTTTCTTTTTCTTTAAAGACATGAATAGTTTGGGAGAAAATTGCAGACTGAGCGATGGGGCCTTGGTGACTGTAGGAAGAACCCATAGGACCCCCAGAGCTGCAGTGGGCCACTGTACAGGGGGGCAGCTTGCGGTCACCTTTCTGCGTTTTCCTGCTGTGGGGCTCTCGGCCCCTCTGCATAGATTTTAATGTGGCTCTGCACTGCTGTCTGGAAAGGAAACCTCCTGAGGGCAGAGCCCACTGCTGCCCTGTCTTTCCTGTTTCTCTCCCTGCAGTGTCTCCCACGGCTGAGCACTGCATGGCACAAGCTCTGGGCACAGAAGCTCTGGCCTTTATGTGTATGAGTGGGAACAGCAACTTGGGGCTCATCCAGCTGCAAAACTGGGGTCCATTCAGAAAGGGGAGAGGAGTCTCAGAGCACGAGTAGGAAGACTAATTTTAAAAAAATGATCTGAGGATTTACTGGGAGAAGTTAAGAGAGAGTGCACATACACACATACACTCACACACATACACACATGCACACATGCTCACACACACACAGACATGCACTCACATATACACACATACACATACACACACACCGGACAAAGACAGTTCTCAGAGACACAGGGAGACAGAGGGGCCATGGTCTCTGGAGCTATAGGGTGAGCAGGGTTGGGGCACCAGACTACAGCGGGGGACATATGACAAGTGTGACAACCGCTTTCCATAGTCCATCTGCTAAAAGAGGAGCAGACAGGGGTCTCTAATCTGGAAGAATCTGGCAGGCAAGATAACACGGCAGTGTAACTGACTGAGAGCAAAAGATGGAGTGGAGAGGGGAGTAAGGGTGCATGGAGGAGCTGGGGGTGGTGGGCTGGGTAGTTCCAAACATCTTAGATCAAAACTCTAAAGCATCTGCTCTGTGCTGTTATTCAATAGTTCAGTGCATCAAAAGTCTATGCAAACATTACCAAGTCTCTTAATTAAGGAAAAATAATAACGAAAAAATTAAACAACACATGTTAAAGACCGCAAGAAGGCTTGCCTATAGATAAAGAGAGATTTAAACATGCCAGGTAACAGAAAAGACATGTGCAGGAACTGGTAGGAACTGTATAGGAGGAGGCACCTCTTGGGAGAAGGAGGTGGCAGGAGGCCTTGCAGAGGCTGGGGTGCTGTCTGAGGCTCGGGAGCCAGAGGCAGGGGTGTGAGAGGTCAGGGGTCGAGGGCAGGGGTGGCAGGTGCATGTGGGAGTGAGGCGCTCACATGGGGCCTGCTTCCACAGCAACTAGGAGGAAAGGTCCACCCAGAGCAGCTCTCAGTACGTCACCCACCACCTCTAGAGAAGAGTTCAGACATGACTGATCCTCCCCTTCTCGTTCCTCTTCCAAATGAGCCTGCAGGGACCTGGATGCCTGCATGGGCTGCTGATGTTAAATGAAAACAGAGCCCATTCAACCCGAGATCATGGGTGGTCCTTGGGCGAGGGTGGGCTATGGCTGACGGTGTAGGCTGAGTCTTAGCCTTATCTCAGGGTGTTCCACTTTGAGAGAGCTCCCTTCTGAGATGCTGTGGGGATGCAAAGGAGAGAGTAGGGAAGGCAGTGGCTGGAGGAGAAGGTGGAGGTCAGAAGAGGTTTGGGTCCCTGCCCCAGCAGCTGCCCAGAGTGGCAAACATCCCCTCATGTTCTCACTCCACAGCTCCCAGAGCTGCTTCCTCCGATACAGTGTGAGTCATGCCAGGCTGATTGTATGGGAGAGAGAAAAGATGCAGCAATCAGAACTTAACAGAAAAGGGGAAGGCCTAATGCGTTCCAAAGTTAAAAAAAAAAAAAGATTTCAAAATAAAGCAACAAGGAAAAAAAAACCTTCAAACCAATTCAAACAAACAAATTAAAAAAAAAAAATAAGAAGGTGGGGAGAGAAAATAAAATGAAGGAAACAAACCGGGAAAAGGCAAATGAGTGTTAGAGCAGGCACGGACGGTTAGGGACAGACGCCATGTACTTACGTTTACCTCGGTGATTGCTATATCAACAATGCTACCCACAACAATCAAGGCGTCAAATGTATTCCATGCATCACAGAAATAGTGCTGCATGGGGCAGAGCAGCCGGGGAGAGAGAGAAGAAGAACCAACAAGAAAGGACAAAACAAAACAAAAGGGAAGAGGAAAAATGAAAAAAAAAAAAAAAAAGGTATGGAAAAAGGGAGAGAAGAGAAAAAAAATGAGAAAAGAAAGAGGTTACGTGGGCATATTAAACACTCTCTTACCACTCTACAGTTCTGGCAGCTCAAACCTGGATAACCTGGTTTTCGCAGGGTGCAGAGGCCTGACAAAAGCTGGGTTAGTTCAAAGGTGGCGTGGGGCTGTGGCCGCCCCGGGGAGCCGGGCGGTGTGTCCCCTGCACCGCCACTCCCTCTGCTCAGCTCCACGCCCCAGCCCGGCAGCGCCGGGCAGAGCTGAGGTAAATGGAAAAAAAGGAGGAGAAGCTCCCACTTTTTTTCCCCCACAGGACGACGGCAGGTTCAATAAAAGGCATGACTGGAGGCGGGTAAAAACAGGAAATTAAAAAAAACATAAAAGAAGGTAAACAGAGAGAGTGAGAGAGAGAGAAATAGACGAGGCAGAGGAGGAGGAATGAGGAGGTTTCCTGGGGAGGGCAGAGTAATACTCACATTAGTCTCACTGAGAATGACGTCAATTATGCTGCCAATTACGATGAGGAAGTCAAAAACATTCCAGGGATCACTAAAGTAACCCTACATAAGGGAGGGCAGGCAGGATGGGGATTAAAAAGGAATATTAGACAGACAAGAACAGAGCAACACCACCATCAGAATCATCGTCCAGGCACCTCCGTGTTGCCTCTGGAGTTCCGGACGCCCTCACCATGGCCAGGAGCCCAGGAGCACCAGCAAGGAAGGAGCAGCAGGGAGGCGACACTCTAACCCTACTGCCCGCATTCCCTCGGTCACGTGGCCCCCATCCTACAGATCCACCCACCCTACCCCTTCTCCACAGAGGCCCTGTCCACGTCCCACCAGGGGCAGGAGTGGGTGTGGGGGGCGTGGGTGGTGCAAATCGCCAGGCGGCAGGATGTGGCTACTATGCTCTCTTCTCAGTCCACGCTGAGCATCTCCTGCACCCCCAGTCCTCTTCCAGCAGAAGGGCCTGTCTGGAGGGAGGGAACACAGGTGTGTGACCCCTCAGAGGGTAGCGGGCTCGGTCCTATGGGTGAAGCTGGGAATGAAAAAGGCTTTGAAAACCACAGCCATCAATGTGGGCCGCAGGGTGGCAGGTTATCTGGGCTCACTGGTGACTCATATAAAGCTCAAAAATAAAAGAAGGACCAAATTGTTAAAACAAGATCCATAATAAGTGCAACTCTTGCAGATCAAATCAGGGTACCCTAGTTCCTGCACTGGGTGCCCCAGTGTTTCCAGGGGCAGTTCCAACCCTGGCAAAGACTTTCCTAAGGGAAAGGAGACAGAGGCAAGGCTGGGCTCCTACTCCGGGAGTGTGTTATGTGGCTCTTGACAGGGCTTTCTGAGGCTTTCTAAGCCCCTCCCCAGGTTCTTTCATGGTCATTTGGAGGTAGGGTCCTGCTGAATGCAGACGCCGCGCAGAGGGCACGCGGTGATCAAAGCGTTTCCTGAGGATGGGTTTGCTAGGGATAGGCTGGTAGGTTGGGGGAGGCTGGCTGCCTAGAAGGGGATGAAGACAGTGGTGCCCTGAAGGAGAGATTCTGGCACAGAAGGGGAAGACCAGTATCCTGACTTTACCACTTGATTCTGTAGCTATGGATTTTGTTTATTTTTCACCATGTTTGGAGAAGAGAAGGGACGAATGTTCTTAAAAGACTTTTTTCATGTACTTGGACAACAGGTCAACCAAGGAATGGGCTGTCCCAGAGGCCCTATAGGACCCCAGGTGTCCTGGATGAGTGGACTCTTTAGCAGATGGATTTCTTGGGTGTAGGAGGTGTAGGGGCCTGCACAGCGATGTTCTGTGACTGAATGGGTGCATACACCCCCAGCTACAGGCGATCATATTCCCCATACACCCCCAGCTACAGGCGGTCATAGTCCCCATACACCCCCAGCTACAGGCGGTCATATTCCCCATGGGTGGAGGGGGAAGGACCGAGTACTACAGAGATTTGTCTTCTTTAAGAAAAAACATTCACGCCTTTAGTTTAGAAATGGTCTGCGAAGGGGACAAGACAGGGCTGGCCACATTTTTTCAGTGGGACCAGTATTTGCCTGCCCTCTGGGCTTCCAGGAGGTGGAATTCTGAGGTCGGAGTGGGGTATGAAAGCATGAAGCGTCCTCCGAGAGGTTCCCCAGATCTCTCCCCAGCTCACTTGAAGGCTGCCAACTTTTCCTCTTCATTTTTTACTCACAAAGCCAAGAATCTGTGTTCTTCCCTTTCCTCCCAGCTCTATCCAGCTCCCTTAACTTCCCACTTCCCAGCCATGCCCTCTTTCCAGAGGGACCGAAAGACATGCTGTCCTGGGGCTGTTATTCTTAGCGTGGGAGGTCAGGTCACAGGGAAAGGGGCCTTTCGGTTCCCAGGCATTTCTGCCGAAAGAAAACAGAAACGCCACCCCGGAGACTGGACAGCCAGGATGGGTGAAGCAGAGATTAGCTGACCAGGGCGTGGGTGAGGTGAGGGTCAGCTTCAAATCAGGGCTTTCTTGTTGGCTTCCCAGGGTATTTTTCTGAATATAGTGGAGCCTATGAGGCAGAGAGACTTCTTTCTCCCATTTAAGTCACATGCTATGAGCAGGAAATAACCAATTCGCTCTCAGGTTCTCAGATATCATTCACAGGGCAAAAGGAGAATAGTGATTTTGGGGAGAGGGAAATAAGAAGTGAAGACCCCAGATGAACTACAGCTATGCATAAGACTTAAAATTAGATTTTGGAAAACACTGGGTGACCCTCTCGATATGAATACTGTCTTTGTGGGGTAGAGCTATTTCAGAAGGGAAGGGCAGGGAAGTCAAGGAAGAGAAGGGAGACAAACAAGAACAAGAGCAGAATCCAGGAATTCTCTGCATCAGCCTAGAAAGCGTGCAAGAAAACATTATTTCGGTGTGGGAGGAGGAGGAGAGAGAGGAAGGTGTGAGTGTCAGTGCTCAAGAAAGGAGGATGAGTTGGAATCTTCATCCACCAGAGAGACCTGAAACAAAATGGGTAAGTTGGCCTTGGTCTGCAACACCTCTAAGATGGAGAAAGGAAAAGGAAGAAATGGACAGAACAGAGCAAAGGTTTGGTGTTGAAAACCAGAGAAACACACACAGTTAATCAGCGGGCACACCAGGGTGAAGGGCTGAGACCTAAAGGAACCCTGTTAACCGCCTGGCTGTGCACCCCTGGTCACCCTTTCTCCCAGATTTCTTTGTATATGTGCAGACAGAAGGCACAGCCCCCTCTTTCTTGACCATGGGAGCCCCCTCCTCCCATGGCTCCACGCTGGCTCTCACTGGATTGGCACTGGCTGGGCTCTGTTGGAGTTAAGGCCTTGTGCCTCACACTTGTCCTCAGCAGGCTGTGCTACTCCAGGCTTTAGACTGACATCTGTTTGGTGGCACACTACCTGGGAGCTGCAGAAACCAACCAGGTTCCTTGTCGCTGAGAGCTCCTGTGCCCCAGCCCTGGGGGATTTCCACAGAGCTGGAATGCAGTGGGTGAGGGTACATGTCTGGGCACAAACAGGGTCCCTTTAAGAGGCAGCTCTTCACCCTGACCCATCCTCCCACCGTCCTGCCTTTGGTGCCCAGAGCCCCTCAGTCCTCCAGCTGGACCATGAAGACAATTTCAGGGCCAGCTTTCAGGCCTCCATCCCCATTGCCCCTTTGTCCCCTCCTCCCACTATTTCAACAGCCCCTTCCTCCCACTTGGACCACACCCTGCCCAGAAACAAGGCCCAGGTCCTTCCTGCTGGTCCCCAAGTCCCCAGGTGGTTGGGTCCTAGGAGGAATACTTTTCCCAACACTCTCGGGAGTGGAAGGGCTTGATGCTGTCTCATCTCTCTTCTCTCTGTTTTTGCCCGCCCCCTCGGTTGCTGGAAACCATTAGTAATAGGGGTTTTAAGGGTGTAATGGAGAAGGGAGGGTGGGAAAAAAATCATACACGTCTTACGAAATCAGTCTGACCTGGAGTCTGGTTATACCTGTTGCCCCTTATTTCTCTGGTGACTGTGTCCCAAATGGTTGAGAAGTAAGGGGTTGGAGAAAGGGTTTTCCTGGCTCTCCTTGAAGTGGCAAACCAAACCTCTACTGTCCAGCTCCTCAGAGCCACGCAGGGCGGGCTGCCCAGAAGGGAAAGCGTTTTTGCAGCTGGAAGCCTTGCCCTCGCCATCCCCCAATCCCACAGGCTGAGTGGATTTCCCCCTTCCAACTCCCCACTCTGGAGATGTGTTCATAAGATGGGCCTCTCCTCTGGCCATCTCAGGGCAGGTCCCAGTACCTAGGCCTGAGTGCCAGAGCACCTCCACTCACTGATAGGGGTGGGCTGAGAAAATGGTCACCAAATTGTTATTGACATCAGAAAATCATTGCTGGGAAGGAACAACTGCTGCAAAAGCATCATAGGATGCATTTCACATGCACGAGAATTGTGGATTTTCTTCCATTTTGGTTGTCCATGCCCTGATTTGGCTCCATCGTTGGAGATATACCAAGTTGAAAGAGGCAGCATACTGGTGAAAAGCTTGATCTCTGGAGGCAGATCTGGATTCAGACACTACCTCTGCCACTGACTAGCTGGGTAGCCTTGAACAAATAACTTAACTTCCCTATACCACTGTTTCCACACCTAGAACATGGGATAAAGCACAGAGTTGAGGTGAGGGTGAAAGGAGACCATGCATCCAAAGCACTCAGAACTTGCCATTTCTTCTGCTCCCATCCACAAGGCACATGTGTCCTGATCTTTTATTGCTTTCTTCTGGTCCCAGATACTGTGTCTTAACTGTGGGGCCATGGTCCAGTGGTACTTCCTGGCTGTAAAATGCCTACCTCCCGGGTCCTCTGCTTTTTGGAGACAAGACATGCCCATCTCCCAGTGGGAAAAGGGATGGGATGACTACCTATGTAAGAAATCATGGGCCTCCTGCCAACTGGAGGAACACTTCCCAAGCCCTCTGTGTGCAATCGCTTAAAACAAAAAGCAACCAGAGTCCAGAGGCTTCCACCTCATTACACCTTCAAGTGCAATTTCAAGAATCTCGTCATCACCGTTGTCTTTATTCTAGTCGGCTGGAGATTGAGCTTTCTGAGGGGAGGTAATCATAATCTGATTATTATCCATACAAGCACCAGTCCTATGTCTTGCATAGGGTTAATGTGAGGACCAATACCTAGGGAAGTATTTTAAAAAAATCCAAGAGATGCCTATTCTTTATACCGACTCTATCCGGCCTCCTCAGGAATAGGTGTTCTGGATGTGTGAATGTTCCAGACAGAGGATGATGACCAAAATCTCTGAATTTCTACCTTTAAAAAAAATGTTCACTTTAAAGACAGGGTCTCTCTCTGTTGCCCCAGCTGGAGTGCAGTGGTGTGATCATAGCTCACTGTGGTCTCAAGCTCCTCAGCCTCCCAAGTACTACGCCCCTCTAATTGTTTAATTTTTTTTTGTAGAGATGAGGTCTTGCTATGTTGCCCAGGCTGGTCTGGAACTCCTGGTCTCAAGTGATCCTCCTGTCTCCGCCCTGCAAAGTGTTAGGATTACAGGTGTGAGCCACTGCGCCCGGTCAGCCACTGTCATTATTTACCAGCGTTGCTCTGCCTAGTGACGTAGGAGTCACAGGTTCTATTTTGGGTGTGGGACTGAACAGCAGGGAAACAAAGCCTAGGTGTGTGAAAGGAGGAAGGAGGAAGCTGAAGGTTCTGGAATCTTGAGTTCTCCTTTAGTCTGTCTCTCAGGTCTTTTCTGCCCATCCTCCAGGTCACTAGTATTCAAACTCTCCTGAATGAAATCTGGCTGACGCTGTTTGGGATTGGCGACAGGGTGCAGGTTGTCACGGCTGCATTTTGTAAGACTCGAGTTCATGTAGACAGTTAACTGCTAGGTTCTTAGAAGCCACTCTTCTTTTATCGAGAGGGGTGGTGGCAGGGGCCCATTTTCTGTCTGTTACAGGAGAGCTGCGAGGGGACTGCTGTGGAAGGGGTGACGGGTGCATGCCTTTGCCCTTCAATTCCGAGTCCTTCGCTCCTTCTCTGCCCAGAGCAGAGGCCGCACCAGCTTTCAGTCAGGCTGGTGGCAAGAAGGCGTCCACGACGAAGTCCGCACACCTTTCACTCCTTGCCTGGGGTGGTGCTGTCAGTCTTAGGCATTTGGAGGGCAGAGGTGCTGTCACTGCCATGACTCATTTCTTTCTCTTCTCTGTTCCTTCCTGCCTGCCTTCCTTATCTGCCCCAAGAAACACAGGGGAGGCAGCCAGCTCCTGAGTTCCCCGGCCCTGTGGGGAAGCTGACTCTGAACACGTGGTTTCCCCTCCTAGGACACATGGGTCACGGAGCGTGCTGGCTGGAGGGGCTGCAGGACTTCGGGGCTGGATTAGAAGTGGGGCTGCTGAGATTGAGACAGAGAGTGGAAAAGGACAACGGGTCCTCTGAAGGGCCCTTGGAGACAGGGGTAGGAACATCAGTCAGGAAGCAGCTGGAGGCTGCCACGGTGGGGTGGCGCTGAGGGAGGGAGGGGCAACAGATGGCTTCACCGGACCTAGGGAAGGGGGTCCCTGCAAGAGAGCAGAGGTCCTGCTTGAGTGAGCAAGCACTGGAGAGAGCACAGGTGCGCCAGGCAGGGCGCTGGGCAGAGGTGGCTGTGGGGGAGGGAGCTGTGCCCAGCTCCTGGAAACACTGATCTTTTCTGGGTCCCAGAAATGATGAGAGCCGAATGAACCGGGGAGAGGAGCTGGGTCCCACTGGCAGCTGGCGGCGGTGGTGGTGAAGTCTCAGTGCGTGTCTGTGTGTCTATGCAGAGTTGATCCCATTGAATATCATGAAAACAATGGTAACCGACACCAAGCAGAGATAATATAAATTGTATTACACCAGGATGCCATTTAGACATAACAGTAATCATGGAAATTAGTGGCACCTAATGGAGAAGGCATAACTGGAGCACACAGCTGCCAGCAGCCTGGGAGGAGGTGGGGATTTCTGCCCTCCTCTGTCAGCTCCCATCCTGTGATGTGTTAATTCAGAAGCACCCCAAGACACACGCTGCACAGCTAGCTTGAGGACTGCTTGGACAAAGGGCAGGAGTGGGCAGGGGGCTGGGTGCTTGCCTCGTGAGAGGACCCCAGGCGGGTGGAGGCGAGGGGGGCTGCTCTCCTAGTTGCAGGAGGAACACACACTCCTTAGAATGCACACTTTTAACTGGACACTTTCTGCTCCCATTTTTCTTTGGAATTAAGGCTTATCCTCCCCAGGACATTTTTGAAGGCCTTCGTCCATTTATTTACTCATTCATTTATTTATCTCATCAACACATAATAAGCACTTACTAGAGGCCTGTAACTATGCAAGGCTTGGGCATACGAATATGAATCAGCCCTCCTGAAGCCTGCCATCTTCCCCACTGAGAGCAGATGAAAATTTGGGGTTATGGGTTAAGCTCCATTTGGGGGTCTCAGGAGGCTCTTTTTCTGCCTCAGTTTGTACCTGGGTAGATTGGGGGATCCCAATAGCTGCTTCACACTACTCATGCTGGAATAAATGAGCCGTTTTCTGCAAAGGTGCCTCCAGGACTAGGGTGCTGAATCAATGCCTCCTTGGAGAGGGATAAGGCTAGGCAGACACATGGCCATGCACACAGGCAACTTTAAGCTCAAATGAACAGCACCATGCACTCTGAAGAAGGGAAGGCAGGAAACAAGCAGCATCAGATGTGGCTGGAACAAGGAGGAGCAATCTCTCCTTTGCTATGGGAGGGCTTGAATCTGTGGCAGCCTTCAAAACCGCCTGCCTGCCTAGAACCCCTTCCAGTCCAATCCACAGGACCAAGGCCATGGAGAGAGCTTTCCAAACCCCAAACAGAGAGGTCCCTTCCTGCTCAGCACTCTCAGAAAGCTCCCACAGCCCATCCTGTCACTCCTGCCTTGTGCCCTCTCTAACCTAGTGGGCGAGTGCTCCTGGAGAGAGCACAGGTACGCCAGGCAGGGCGCTGGGCAGAGGTGGCTGTGGGGGAGGGAGCCATGCCCAGCTCCAGGCATGGCCAGGGCATCTGGCCGGCAACCTGCACCCACACTCTTGAACAAGATGTGAATAAAATGATAGACCGCCTTCACTTCCCACAATGAGCCTCGGGTTGTGCAGGCAGGTTACCTAACTTCTCTGTGCCTCAGCTTCCCTACCTGCAACATGGGAATAACCAGAGTACTTGCCCTTGTAGGGTTTTTATTTTATTTTATTTTTAGAGACAGGGTTTAACTCTGTCATCCAGGCTGGAGTGCAGTGTTGCAATAATATTTCATTGCAGCCTCCATCTCCTGGGCACAAGAGATCCTCTCGTCTCAGCCTCCCAAGGAGCTGGGACTACAGGTGTGTGCCACTATATCTGTCTAATTTAAAAATAGAATTTTTTTTTTTTTTTTTTAGAGATGGGGTCTTGCCCAGGGTGGTCTTGAACTCCTGGGCTCAAACGGCCCTTTGGCCTCGGCCTCCTAAAGTGCTGGGATTACAGGTGTGAGCCACTGTGCCTGGCCCCTTATAGGGCTTTGTGAGAATGATATAAGTTCACACCTGCCCTGTCTGGCACCGAGAACGTGCTCACTGATTGCTACAGTTGCTACTATTGCTGTTGTTGGTGGGGTTCTTGCTGAGAGGCTACCTTCCTGTACTGCCCGCAGCCTGTGTCACAGAAGGTCCTTCCTGCCCCTAAGGCAGGCTGACCCAGCGCAGGGCCGGAAGCACTGGCAGCACCTCGGGCTTTGGTGGGTCGGGTTATCGCCGACGCACCCTGTAGGTCTGGGAATCCCTCTTCTTCCTACCAGACCGGTGTGTTCCAGTTTCCTTCCCTGTGGCAGGGCCAGAGACGGAAACCACAGTGTACTTTCCCACCGGGCTTTTTTACACCGTGTGAATAATTTTCTACATTAAATAATTAAATGTAATAGCTAATACTAGCCTTCCCACATGAAGGCTTTATGCAAGTCATATAATTATTTTTTATGCTTCATAGTGACTTTTAAGCTCTCCAGCACAAGGCCGGAAAGAAACCTGTCACAGTGTTGTAACAAAATGCAAATCCCTGAGTGCAGAGCCATGGGGGGCGGGGGGAGCGGGGGAAGGTCCTCCTGGCAAAGCTGGGGCCTGCCTGTCTAAGGAGCACTGCGTGGCACCCGGTGCCCCGTGGGCACTCTGCAAATAAATAATAATCAGGGGAATGCGGGAGCTTGGCCCACACAGCTTTGGCCTCTGAATTCTGTGCCGATGGCGAAGGCTGGGGCAAGAGTTGCCGCATTTCATCCGCAGCTGCTGCCCTTCTTTCCCGGTCCCTTTTCTACTCCTTTTAATGCATTTCTCTACCTAGGGATTTCTGTGGACGGTGGCAGACACTGCAGTTTCTCAATAGATTGGATAAACAGGTTTCATCTAAAAGTCACTAAGACGCTGAGTCAGCCAGCCTGAGGCTATGTGTGGGTTCTTAGAGAGGGGGTGACACTGGCCACCACGGGGCGCTGTGGAGCTCTGTAGGGACATGGAGTATACAGTGGGTGCGGAGACTATTCCAAAAAGAAGAGCACTGGGTCCAGAAAGGATTGAAGACCTAGCCCAAGAGAATGTCTAGGTTTCCGTACGATTTTTGAAATAAAATTCTTGCTTGCTCTTCAAGTTCTTCAATGTGAATATTCCAGGTTAGTGAGGAAATGCAGTCATACAATCCAAGATACGGTCATATTTCTAGTGGCAGTGTTATCCTTGCTGAGCCTCGGCCCCTGGCCAGCCACTGAAGACTCCCCCACTATCAGTGTCACTGAACATCACCCATGAAGGGTGCTCCTTGGATAAGTATTTCCCAAACATTCCACAGGGCCCAAGGATGCTCCTTCACTGGGCAGAACCCTCTCACACGTTGTGGGACTTTCAGCATCCTCAGTCCCACCCGCTAAACACTAAATGTCAGTTTTACCTCCCCGAATCATGGTGACGCCCTACAGATTTCCAGAACTGTGTTCTGTAGAACACTAGGTCTGTGGAAGTGTTCATCGGCGTTACAAAAAACCAATGACACAAAACAAACCCCCAAACAAGGACCCCATCCTCCAATGAGCCTGGGAGGGTTGAATTTCAGAACTTTGGCCTGAGGTAGTCTCAGGGCCCAGCACCTCTCACTGGCCCTGAGTTCTGCACTGAACTGTCTGAGCACACTTGAGCCAGAATTTCCCTGACCTGGGTGGCCATGCTGCTAAGTCCTGCTGAGCACGGCACGGATGGCGGCTCCGGAGCCACTGTCTTTGCCTTCCATCTCTGCTTTCTCTTCCGGCAGACCACCCCAGAGAGTGACAAGCTCCTGTGGTGGGTGGAGAACTGAAGGGGGTGTCCTTGCTGGATGCCGGAGCTTGTGAGCCAGGGGCTGGAGTCACTTTTGCGAGGAGGGGCACCCCAGAGGAAGCTGCCTGTCTTGTCTTCCGTTGGCCTTCATTCAGCTGACACTGACAGAGATGACAGGCACACGGCATTCCTGGGCTAGCATTTGGAAGGAGGTCAGTGTGGATGCCACCAAGAGACAGTCCTGCTCAAAGACTTTCCAGTCCTGCTGGAAGGATGAGACATTTCCATCAAGAGCTCTGATTAAGTACCAGAAAAGAGGGAAAAGGGTGCTCTGGAAGCTCAGAGGTGGTGGAGACCACTTCTAGCCAGGCTGATCTCGGGAGGCAGCTTGAAGGATGCAGCACTAGAGGTGTTTATTATTTATTACACGGAAAAGGTGAGAGCATGGGTGGCTCTGAAAAGGAGACAAGGGCTGGAGGACGGGGCCGGCCAGAGCAGCTTCCTCTGTGGACAATGGGGAACCATGGAGAGGCTCGTGGGGGCACTCAGGACCAAGCAGAACCACGAGGAACAGCGAAGCTTCTGCAGGGACCCAGAGAGGCTACGGCAGGGGAGGGATGGGAGGGAGAATGCCAGGCAGGAACCAACAGTCTCGATGTTTGAACGTGACCCAATCACAGCCACTTTCCTTTCATCCCAAATCCTAAACCCTTGTCCCACTAGACTGCCACTTTTTTTTCTTCAGGCAACATCTTAGACTGTTCTTGAATACCTTCCCAAAGAGCAGGGCTGAACACAGAGCAGTGAACGACGAAGGCCTGGGCTCCTGCAAAAGATTTTAAGGCATTTCCCTGTACATCGAAAGACTACATAGAGATGAAAACGTCTTCCTCAAAAGTGACTCCAAGAGCAGGGCATTTCTTGCTGTGGTCAGGGTTATCCCCACGAGGCTGAGAACAGCCACTGGCCCTGAAGATCTGTCCTGAGGCCCCACAGAAGGCCACCAGGAGATGGAAAACTGAGCCGGCCAGACTTATGAGCCTCAGGCTGCCCTGACCATTGTAGGGGCGGAACACAGGTGAGGTGGTGGGTGGTGGGCAGAGCGAGGAGAGAGGAAAGATTGTGAAGGAAAGAAGAGAGCTGTATGAGAACGCCTGTCCCTAGCTTCAGCATTGGGCTGGGGGCGGGGTACACTCCCCCATTATCCTGTGTTTTTTATAGCAAAGAACCTCTTAGCCAAAGAGAAGTGCAGAAGGTCTGTCTTGGAAACTCCTTTTATGGAATCATGAGGACTGCAAATTCAATTCTGCACAGCTGGGAAAAGGAAAGGGCCCTGGTTCTGTCGCAAACATGTCCAGCAAGGTCTGGGAAGGCCTGGCTTTTGAGCTCCTCCAGGGCAAGGATTTCTAGTATGGGAGAAGGAGGGGCAGAGTCAGGGACCTCTGTGATGCTCAGTATGGGAGGACGTGGGTGAGGGTAAAGGTGCACACTGAAGACCCCAGATCAGATTATGCAGTTCCCCCACTGAATGACCCATCCCTGTGGTTTCCAAGGACAGTCAGAGGAAGTCCACACTCCTCACTGTGGTCCTGAAGGGCCTGCACACACTGGCCTCTGTCCGGCCCTTTTCATGTCACCCTCTGGACAGCAGGGCAGCATTCTGGCCTCCCTCTGCCTGTCCTCAGTTTCTAGAAGGCCTGGAGGACCGTTTCTTTCTTCTCCGCAGCTGGCTTAACTCATCCCTACTCTTATCCTGGGGAATGATATTTTCTTCTCCACCCCTCATTTCAGCCTTCCTGGCTCTTGGCCTCCAGACCCCTTTCCTTCTCCTTCCTCTCTTCTCTCCCAGTTTCCTTGTGATTCTGCATGTTCTCCAACTCTTCTCCCAGGACTTGAAGGCTTCTGGACAGGATTCTTGGAGTTTCTATCTTCAGAGGGAATAGATGGCGCTGACTCCTAAAATACATCTCCAGCCCAGATCGCCTGTCTGAATTCCAGATTTTCACAGCCTACGTGACATTTTCTAACCTAATATATCCCCACATTCTCACTTTAAACTGGTTTCTTCCTGTTCTTCTCTATTTCAGCAAATGACACCACTCTTCCATCCACTCAGGGAAAGCCAGGAACCCCGGAGCCGTCTCTGATTCCTGTTCCTCACCCTCACATCCAATTCGCCATCCAGTGATGTCATGACTCTGCCCCCCTCGCTCCATCTCTTCCACTGCCACCTGCCTTCCCAGCATCAGGCTCCTTGCTGCTCCCCATCTCACCACACCAGTCATTTGTCAATGAGCAGCCAGCATGCTGGTTAAAAAATGAAAATCAGATTATATAATCCTCCCCACTGAATGGCCCATCCCTGCGGTTTCCAAGGACAGTCAGAGGAAGTGCACACCCCTCACCGTGATCCTGAAGGGCCTGTGCGCTCTGGCACAGTCCTTTTCACGCGCCACTCTCAGTTTCCAGAGCGAGCTGAGCTTGCCCCTGCCTCGGGGTCTTTGCTCTTCCTTCTGCCTGAAATGCTCCTCTTCTGGCTCCTTTTCACCCTCCAGGGCTCAGCAGAAATGGTGCCTTCCTGACCTCCTTATTTTAAACAGGTGCCTCTTCACTCACACTCTTTAGTTTCCCCACCCCAGCCCTTACCCCATCTGAAACCTTTGTTTGTTGTGTATTGGTGTCTCCCGCACTACTCTGTGAGCCCTATAAAGATGGTACCATGCTTCAACATCATCACTGAGGCGCTCAAGAACTACTTATAGAAAGAAAAGATGGAAAAGGAAGTACGGATAAGTGGAAGTTACAGAGGGGTGCATTTTAATTCAGTATAAAGAAGGATTTCCAACAGAGCTACCTCTAGAAACAAGGAGACTTGTATGGCAGAAAGTAGGACTGTGTAGAGATTTCTGCACTGATGGAAGCTCAATGGTCTCAATCCTTTCTGACACTAATATTCCGACTTTCTTTTCCGGGCTCACAATTCTCATTCATCCATTCATGCATGCATGCATCAAACTTTCACTGAATGCCTCTCATGGCACAGAGATGAACATGAAACAGCTCCCGCCATTGATGAATTTGGCAATTTTTGTGTCCCCAATGTGTAAGTCTTCCCATTGCAAATGTGTGTGCATGTGTGTGTGGAAACACATGCAGATGAGTGTGTAGTAGGCTTCGGTTTCACTTTCCTGAGCCCACCTGTCAGCTGACTACCCCTCTCCTGAAAGTGCTTGTCAACTCAGATTTGGAAACAAAATTCAAAGGTCCAAAGCAATCTAGGGAATGCAGGGGCCACAGACAGAATGGCTGAATGAGAGGGAAGGACGGCAAGGGGCCTCAGAGAAGGTGGCAGGACACAGGAGTGGAGTGAACACTTTCCATTCCAGAGGGTGGTGACTCGAGAATGGCTTTCTTTCTTTCTGTCTCGGATCTTAGAAGGAAGACAGCTAACATTTACTGAGGACTCACTAAGCGCATAGCAACAACATGGCTTATTCACATTTCTTGTTTTAATAGGGTTGTCGTGGAAAGAGTGGCTTTTGAGTCACCTAAGCCTGCAATAGAATCCCAGGATTTTTACAATGATTAAATGCATTCCTATTAAGGTGCTTAGAGCAGTATTAGGGTGCATACTAAGCAGGATGGTGTTTGTTACAAACTGACAATAACAACAAAAAGCCAGCTCTGGACTTAGCCTTTTTCTGACCTCCAGTTTCTTCAGATGTAAAATGGGAGGCCATAATATTCGTCTTATGGATTGAATGAGATAAGGCAAGTAAAATATCCAGCTTCATGTCTGGTTCTTCATTGACAATATATGTTGTTTGCTTCCCTCCAGTGCTTCTAAATGTTACTTGATCTCAGGTGTAGGCATTGATTATCGACTGCTTCTTTTAAGTTGAAATATGAATGCCAGCTGACAGGAGTTTTCCTAGTGACAAATGAGAGGGTGAACTGGGGATGCTACAAGTCTCAAGAGTGGGCCAAAGTCGCCCCAGGCAAGTGTGGCCTTACCTACCTGCTTGTATTCATGATTGAGTCCCTGGTACCAAGCCTACCGCCTAGCACGTGAGCTGCTCAACAAAATATTTTGGGGGTTGTTGGTGAACTTTAGCCTGCAGCAAAACACTAAGCAAGTCACACAAACAAAGAGTTCTTGAAATAAAGAATACGAAGAATGGCAAGGCCTAGGCACCGAGAAAGAGAGGGAATGGTGAAAAACTGAGCTGAAGGCTTGAAAAGCCGACTAATGGGTTGCATTAGCCACAGGAAAGGGGAGTGATAGTTTAGATGCTGGTAGCGTCGTTGATGCTTGCACAACCCAACTTCAAGGATGCATTAAGATGAGCCTTAAAGTTATTTCATGGTGTGAGACAGAAATCAGACTGAAGGGATAGAATACATGGGCTCAGGATGAAAGACGACAGAATACCAATATTGCAAAAGGGCCCATTTAAAATGGTCACAGACAAGAGGGCACACCCAGGCTGGAGGTGAAGTTCCTTTGGTGCTGAGTTAGAGGGCTGGGCGCAAACTCCCCAGGCGTAGGGATCCGGCTGAGTTTCATCTGAATGGCACTTTCCCTGAAGCCTTCATTCCTCTGTAGATATGACCTCACTCAGTCTCACCACAGTATGCTAAGGCAGTCTTCCTACTTTACAGAGAAACAGACATGGAAGGAACAAGTGCTTGTAGGAAGCTCTTCCTGTCCCGTCTGCTCAGCCCTGGCTGGTTCAAGGTGATGCTGAGGTGGGATCTAGGCTTCCTGGGTCTCAATCTACCAGAATTTCCTCTCTGGGTGGGATCTGGGGTCAGTGGATGATGAAGCGAAGACATAAAGCAAAATTTGCTTTGTAAAAATTAAAACTTCACAAAAATTACTGCATCATACAGAAGTGCATGGCTAATTTAAAACAGTTGGAAGAGGATGATTCCTGGTGAGCGGTGCAGGTGGAGGCAGAGGTCAAGTTGGAGAGAAAGTACATTTCAGCCAGCAATGTCATTGCTGCCGAAAACATGACTGAAAAACAAACCAAGTTCCTAGAAGATTCTCCGCTTTCAAAAAGAGGAACGGGCTCCAGTGTGCATCCTTTCCTCCTGGCCATCCCACTTCCCCTTCCTTCTCCTGGTCCTTGACTGAGCTTTTAAGAACACGTTCTGAAATGTCTCTCAACAGTCCATGGAAGAGTCTGTGGACATCGGAGTCTCTCCTGCCTCCGGGGCAGGCTCAGCTCAGGCCTGATGGATTTAGCTTGCAGGGTTCCCCTGGCCCCTCAGGTGGCCACATTGGTGTCTTTAGAGGAATTCTGGCCCTGGCATTCTTCCCACTGCCTCAGCCCTGGCTGCCCCAGGGCACCGGTGGGGCAGTTTGGGGCCTCGTGGCCTTTGCCACACCTCTCCTTAGGCTGATGAGCCGCTGCTCTGACACAGGCTCATGCACTCTCTTCTCCTGTGGCTGTTTCTGTCACCATTGGCAACCTTCAGGAGCCTGTTCTTTGGTGTGCCGTCCACTTGCCTCCTCCCGGGGGCAGAGAACATGTCTGATTACCATCCAGACTGACACCCTGGCCTGGGTGGGAAAGAGGCCTGGCCCACAGTTCGTAAAGGTGGTTTCTCTTCCCTTGCTCAGACAAGCAGATCTGACCTTTGACTTGGGGGCTGAGTTGTCTGCTGAGGGTGCCCTCCCAACTTCTCCACCTGCCAGGGGAATGTCAGAATCTGGTCCCTTTCCTGGGAGCAGCTCACTCCTGGCGCCACAGACTCCAACACCTAAAACAGCAGGTCCACACCTGAGCAATCCGGACCCTCAGCCTCCAAAGTCCCCTTGCATCTGCACAGGGCATGGATGCCCCTGGAGAACCCCAAGCTGGCTGGAGGAGGGACCACAGTATCTTCGGGTCATGTGACGAAAGCTATTTGCCCAAAGAGGCCAGATGCTAAATCTAAAGGACAGAAGTTTCTAGACATGGACAGAGCTGACAGAGTAGATGAGAAACTGGGCTGTTGTTTCTCTATGGAAGCAAGTGAACTTCCCCATGCACCCACCTCCTCATTCCAACTTTCCCTCTGCCCATCCATATGCGAACCTACAGCCCCAACTCAGCCCTCATCTGTGCCTTTCGACACAAGCCCAGTGAAAACAAGGCAGCTGGTGATGACCCTTCCATTTGAGCCACATCCTCAGGGTATCCCCAAAGATTTCTCCCCTCCGCAGGGCCTGTGGCCACCCATGTCAGGGCCAAGAATCATTTGTAAGAGCAGAAACCAGTCCTAAGAACAGCAGAGCCTGCAGAGAAAAGACTGCTCTGGAAGCCACAGGATCCCTGCCCCCACATGGGCACACTGGATACGAGGACGGCTGCCCCTGAGTGTGGAAAGTCCAAGGCCAGCAACAGCCTCTGTCAGCTCAGAGCCTTCACGATGCAGAGTGGGCTGGTTTTGGCACACGAACTCCAGGTGCTCGCCACTAGGACGACCATTCCAGAGCCCCCTGGCCCTCCCTATAGCTTAGCTGGCATATGTGTCAGTGAGACCGGGGCAAGGCTGGGCCCAGAGCTGTGCTATGAAGAGTGGCCCCAAGAGAGAGCCAGCATTTGACCTCCAGGGTCCCGAGCAGCTCTGGTTCTGGTAGCATCTCATTCACCAGGCTACCGACTAGTCCTGACTCATCCCTCACTCTCGATAAAGGAAGTGCCCAGGGCCTCGTTGATGGATTCCTCAGGACAACAGGTGGGGGACCGGAGAAACCGCTCCTCTTTCTGCCTCTCTACTCTCTGAGAAGCAGACAAGGCCAAGGCTTCACTGCCTTCATTTCCTCTTTCCTGAAAGATAACAGGGGCTTCAAAGCAGACAAGACTGTGGCAACTGAACTGCTGCCCCATTCTTAGCTGATCCTCTGAAAATGCCAGCCACGTCCTTTGTGTGTGGTGGCAGACAGGAGCCACAGCCCCAGATGGCTGTGGTAAGGCCTGTCGGGCCCAGCAGAGACCAGCGTGCAGGGCAAGGGCGCCGGCAGGAAGTCTGGAGAGGAGCCGTGGTGAGGAGGCTGCCTCCACTTCGGAAGTGGCATGGAGGCCATGAGGCGGCAAGTCTGGCCAGCAGCTGGACAAGGCTCTGCACCCCAGAGGGGGTCAGCTAAGAACCCAGAGGGGCTCACGGCTGTTAGATTTCTGTCACTAGGGCAATAAAATGCTGATGGGGAAGTCTAGACAGAAGTCCAATCGACTGTGGAAAAGAGTGTCTGGGTGCCCCATGGCTCACGGGACACGCCCTATGGGGGCTCGCAGCAGCGACTAACTCCAGACCTCACCTGCGCTTGCTGCCTTCTTAGGGCCAGCTCAGGACTGGGTGGGAAAGAGTCTGCAGGGAAAGGGCTGGGTGCTTGCAGCTGCCACTGGCTGGGGAAGGCCAGGGAGGGCTGGGGCAACTGACAGTGGGAGAAACTCACTCGGCCAGGGCGAGAGACTGTCTAACCCAGTCAAGAGGGGCTCCACTATATATGCGTCAACTTCTGGCTGAAAATCACCAGAAGAAAGGGTAGGGGGATGAGAGAAACCATCTGGCTTTGTGAAGCTGGAGCAGCTGGGCTGAGGAGGCCCAGACAGAAAGAGAGCGGAGACTGGGAACGTGTGGGAAAGGGGCCAGGCCTCCCGAGGTTTCAGCTGCTTATTCAAGAAAGCAGGGGGTCAGAGGGGCCAATGAGTGCTTTCACTCTGGGTCCATTCTCCCCTCTGGACCATTCTCAGGCTGGGGGAAAGCCAAAAAGGGAGACCGAGACTTGGATTCCAGAGAGCTGCCAGGGTCAAGGCCCTTCCAGCGTCCTCCTCTTGGGGAGGTGATCACTGGCTACTCCCTGAGTGGGATGGCTTCAGCTGAGGGGCAGAGGTGAGTCTCAGCTGCTTCACCCCTCTGCGGCCCAGGTGGAGCCTGTGTGGAGGGGAGGAGTTAGGAGCCTTCCACGGGGTGAACCCCTGCCTTCCTGGCATACCACATTCCACTGAGGAGGAGAAGCTTGGAGCGCAGCCTCTCACTCATCGCCTCCTGCAGCTCCTCCCCCCCAGTACCCTTGCTGAGACATCCTCGACAGCAAACCTCAGGCAACTAAGTGACATCATCACTCCCACTACCAAACCAGCAGCCGACACTGGAGTAGCTGAGACAGACACTGCTTCCCGCGCCAGGCTCCTGTGCATTCCCTCCTTGGTGACCTCAGAGCTGCCCGAAGGGGCTGAAGCCTCAGGACCACCCAGCCTCATCCTGTTGGCCGTAAAGGATTTACGTGTGGCTCCCTCTCCTGCCATCCTCACCTCCAGCAAAGTGCAATTGGGAGTTTTAACTGGAATGGTATTGAGCCTATGGATCAGTTTGAGGAGAAATGATATCCTAATAATATTGAGCTTTCCAATTCAGGAACATGATAGATGTCTTCAGTTATCAGCTTTTCTTGAATTCCTTTCAATTTTATCATTTTCTCTGTAGAGATCTTAGCCATTTCTGTTAGACTTTTTCCCCAGGCATTGCATATTTTTCAGTTTATCAAATCTATAAGAGTATCTTCAAAATTTATTTTCCTGTCTTTGCTGACAAGCTTCAGTTCATGATAGGACTATCCAGTTATTTAATTACCTTCAGAATATTCCAGCCAGCACTTTTCGTGCTGCCCAGCCTGGTCCTGCACCTTCGTGTGGGGTGCAGGGGCCATCCAGTTATCTCCAGGTCATGGCCTCTCACTTCTAGGGAAGGAGATCCTTCTGGGTCACTGTTCACTGTTCAAATCAATGCTGGCATGATCCACCTCACTCTCTTCAAACCATGCCTGCAGGTTCCTGAGGCTTTGTCAGGGACCGACTCAATCTAAACTGGTTTATGTTGATTCCTAGTTTCTTTGTGTGATTTTTTTTTTTTTTTTGAACAGAGTATGAATTTAAGGAGTGGGATGGTTAGATTTAAGGCAGGGACTTACTTGAGTAAATTTATTTTCCATGGAGTGGTGAGGAGAACACACAGAAATGAAGAAATTGGGAACATCCATGACCATGAAAACAATGAAAGAATGAAGCAAGAATACAAGTTGACCGGCTGATGGACCAACCAACCAGCCAGTTGCAGAGACGAAACATAAGCAGTGACAACTTCAGACTGTCTTCAACATCCTTGGTTCCTAGCCATCCTTTCACAGCAAATGCTGATGCTCATCTGGGTCATACACAAACAACCATGCCAGTGAAATAAAAAGTGCAGCACAGAGTCCTACTTAATGGTGGGAAATGAAAGTTGTCATGGATTCAGGTCATGGTTAGAAGCCACTGGTTCTTGGGCCAGATCCAGCTGGATATTCTTCCAGAGCTTCAAGTTTTTCCAGTTTGGTTTTCTGCCTGAAAATTTTGGAGCTGCTTTACCTGGAGTCTATTTGTGAATGAAGAACATAGCTCAGTAAGAATCCAGGGACTCAGCTGTGCTCCATGATGCTCCTAACTGGGTGGTGACCTTTATCCCCCTCTTGCCAGAGCCCCTTTAGGGAAATTCACAGGGAAAGATCCATTTTCCTTTCTCTTTACACCATAGATGTACCCTGGAATGTGAAATGCAAATGGGCCCAGGATGGCTGTCTTCCTTCTTGGGTAAAAGTCTCTGTTATCTTGCCCCATCTTCTCACAATAGAAAACCAGGGACAGAGGAAATTAGGAGGCACTTTACAGTTTAGACCACTCGCAATGGTTACTTCCTAGGAAACTGGCTTGTTCCTTGATTGGCAGGATTTAGGTGGAGTGTCTTTTAGACGGAGGACGGAGGCTCCTGCAGGTGTCAATTTCATGCACTTCCCAGGGAAGGTTGTCTGTATGTCTCCCGTGCTCAGGAGGCATGATTCAGAAAGTCCACTGCAGGCTCTCCAGACTGCCTCAGACATCGTCAGAAACACATCTGAGTCAACTGTGGAATGACTCAAGGCTTTGAAATATTTAAACCATATGTCTCGTGACACTGTATGAAAATGATGCCAGTTTCCCCACTGAGAGGAGTCATCCGAGACTGAGGCTCGGCTAGGCAGTGACTGCACTCCTGGCCTCAGCTGGTCATGCTGCTGTGGGTGGCGAACTGTCAGAGCTCCTGGGCTGCAGGGCTTGGAATAGGACCATGTGTGGGCACAGACACCGTGTACCCTAAGGAAGGTGTCAGGGCAACGCAGGGGTCCTCTCTAGGTCAGGACAAGATCTGTCCTCCTAAATGGGACTTGTACAGGAAGGTGAAAAAGAGTGTACTTGCTTCTCTGGAGAAGGCAGGAAACCACCGTTCTATCACCAAAGGATGTCCCTTAGGAGACTTCCTCTATGAAAATCAGCTGGGATCCCCAGGCATTCTTTGAGTGACAGAAGAATCTGCATTGTAGGAATATTGTCTTATCTTTTAAGTCCCTCCAAGGTTGTTTCCCTCTTGCTAAAAAATACCCGCAGAACACTTGACATGGGAAAATGATAGTTAACCTCAGTGTGGTGGAAAATACAGTGAAGTCAGAGGTGCCGGATTCCAGTCTCCGTTCTGCCAGTTCTTAGCAGTGGATCAATTAATCCTGGGCACTTAATTGTTTGAGCCTCCCTTCCCCCTTCTCCACAGAGGGATGCTAATACCTACTTTAAAGGGACGTTTTGAGAATGACGTGCGATGATATACATGTAGCACATGATATGGAATCCAAAGTGTGAGTGAATATTCATTCAAAGAAGGCTGTGGATATCTCCTCAATGAACATGGATTCAAAGGCCGAGCTGGACCCTCCCCCACCCCCAATTAATCTTGAGACCAGTAAAAACTTGAATGAAAATAGAAGATATGGCCAGGGATTCTTGCTCTTGGCCTCCTGTTGATCTGTGTTGCCTCTGGGAAAACTACCAAAGGAGGGAGGGGAAGGCTCAGTAAGCTGGAGAGATTGTCTCAAGTCTGTAACTGCATGATGCTCCTAGAACTCGTTCCTTCTCATCCTTCTCCAAAAGGTGTTATGGTAGCCTGGGGGCTGCTCAGTTGCTCTTATAGCCTCCCTCAGAAGCAGCTGTCCTGGTGGTGAATCCCGGCCAGTGGATACCCGTGATTCTGACCCATCTACAGAGGCCCAGGGTGGAAGGTGTGGCTCATACCAGTGTCTGCTCCTCCACCACTGAGGACAATGGGGGTGACTGGCTAGGAAGGGCACAGATGATCCAAAGAACAGGAATTCTGACCCTGCCTCATTCAGCAGCAGGCCTAATCTTCTTGCCCTTACACAAGGAACAAAGCAGAGAAATTTGCTGGTAATTGTTCTTCCTGCCCCAGAGCATGTAAGGAGCAATGCCATAGCCTCTTAGGCAGGGAACAGGAGTGCCCATGGGCTGGAGCCCTCAGTCCTGAGCCCTGAGCAAATCCAGCCCTGGCTGAATGTTTTATATGAGGTTGGTCTGTGTGGCTGATGAAATGGGAGGAGGGTGGAACAGAGGCCTGAGTGGATCTGGGGGGCTGGGCCTGGAGAGGTTTGGTCTGCCAGTCTATGAGCATAGTTTCTTCTATTAACAGGTTATGTACTAGAGGATGGGACATAGGAGAAAGACCATCACCTGCCTCTCCTAGGAGAGGCTCAGAGGTTCAGCTCAGCGAGGAATCTGCAGCTTGTGCATGCCAGCCAGGGTCAACACTGAGAGCTGAGAGTGTTTCCTGGAGTTGGCCTGGTTCAGCTCTGGGCAGGTGTAGGAGTTGGGGCACTGACCATCGGAGCAGGGATGGTCCTTCACCGATGCCTTTTTCCCTCTTCCCCTCATTCTGCCTTCAATACCTGCACCCCACCTCCCCGTTCTGTCCACCCCTGATGCCTGGGAATCAAAGGTCTTTCTCAGAGGCCTACCTTGGGTTTGAAGGCAATGAGCTTCAGGATCATCTCCACGGTGAAGAGGCCAGTGAAGAGCATGTTGAGGATGTTCATGGCGATTTTGAACAGGCAGCTCTGGCCGTAGTGCTGCATCAGGAGAGGGGAGGAGCTGTGAACACGGGGCAGGGAGGTCGCTCCTCCTCCCCACCTTTTGCCCAGCCTTCTCGAAGGCCCTCGCCTCAGCAAGACCTTCCTTGAACCAAACCCCCAGAGGGCCGCCCACCTCTCCGTGGGCAGTCAGGAGGACTCAGGAGAACCTCCAAGATCTTCCCTGCTCTGCCATCTCTGAACACATCTGTGTTCATTTCCCTGGTTGGCCGTGACAACTTTATGGAGACTCTGGCACTCAAGAGAGCTTGGGAACAAGCTCTGTCCCTGAAGACAGGTGGATGCAGAACCCACCTCCCTCCACACGCCACACCTTACCGACAACGAATGCGTCCAGCTCATCCCTCCCTTCTCCATCTCCTCCCCTCTCCCCACTTATCAACCAACAATGAATGCATCCAGCTCATCCCTCCCTTCTCCATCTCCTCCCCTCCCTTCTCCATCTCCTCCCCTCTCCCCATTGATCAACCAACAAGGAATGCATCCAGCTCATCCCTCCCTCCTCCATCTCCTCCCCTCTCCATTGATCAACCAACAACGAACACATCCAGCTCATCCCTCCGTTCTCCATCTCCTCCCCTCTCTCCATTGATCAACCAAAAATGAACGCATCCAGCTCATCCCTCCCTTCTCCATCTCCTCCCCTCTCTCCATTGATCAACCAACAAGGAATGCATCCAGCTCATCCCTCCCTTCTCCATCTCCTCCCCTCTCCCCATTGATCAACCAAAAACGAACGCATCCAGCTCATCCCTCCCTTCTCCATCTCCTCCCCTCTCTCCATTGATCAACCAACAAGGAATGCATCCAGCTCATCCCTCCCTCCTCCATCTCCTCCCCTCTCTCCATTGATCAACCAACAACGAACACATCCAGCTCATCCCTCCGTTCTCCATCTCCTCCCCTCTCTCCATTGATCAACCAACAATGAATGCATTCAGCTCAACCCTCCCTTCTCCATCTCCTCCCCTCTCTCCATTGATCAACCCAGGGTGCCATGGATTCTTCCGTAAGGCCCAGAGAGGAGCACATCCTTGACAGAGAACACTCGTCTTTCTCCAAATGCCTCCCTTGGTGACCAGGAAAGCGATGCACTGAGCTGCCTGCCGCTCCGTTACACTTTCCATCCCCATGGCACACTCCCTTCTGCAGCACCATGGCTGTGCTCCTCCTGGGACTGACCTGCATGGCCAGGCAGATGGTGTTGAGCAGGATGAGGACGAACATCAGGTACTCGAAGTAGGTGGAGTTGACCACGTACCACACTTTGTACTGGTGCTGGTTCTTGGGGATGTACCTCCGCAGGGGCCGGGCCTTGAGGGCGTATTCCACGCACTGTCGCTGGGAGGGTGGTGGAGGATGGGGAGAGTGGGGTTAGTTAACTGGAGGGTGTGGGGGGAGCTGGCAGAGAAGTGTGGGATGTGATGAGACCACACACTGTGGGGTGGGGTTCTCCGGAAGTCTGAGAAATCATTGGCCGCTCCGGCTCACTTACAGGTGGGAGGTGTTATTTGGAAAATGTCTTGATTTTTCCATGGCCCCCTTAATCAAGGAGAGAGCCCCTTCTTGTCAAATCCCCGTAACAAGGTCCTAGGCAGGGACCATACACCTCCTTTCCTCACCCTGGTGATGCCTGGCATGTGCCTCGGCAGGGAGTCGGCATCGCTAAGAATGTGCTTCCTGACCGACTGACAGCTGTGCTTCTCACTGATTACTTCCCATGCCACAGACCCTCCTTGGGTACTTCTCTCCTCAGTTTTTCTTTCCTGTCCTAAATCCAGCAGGCTGGAGTGCAGTGGTGTGATCTTGGCTCACTGCAACCTCCATCTCCTGGGCTCAAGCGATTCTCCTGCCTCAGCCTCCCAAGTAGCTGTGATTACAGGCACACGCCACAACGCCCAGCTAATTTTTTGTATTTTTAGTAGAGACGGGGTTTCACCATGTTGGCCAGGCTGGTCTCAAACTCCTGGCCTCAAGTGATCCGCCCACCTTGGCCTCCCAAAGTGCTGGGATTACAGGCATGAGCCACTGTGCCTGGCCAACTAAATCAATCTTTCTTATTTGCCAGTGTCCATAAGATGGAAAAACACAGTTCACTGAGAGGGAAGGAGATTCTGGGCTAACTAGATTCTTGGGACTCTGGCAAAGAGCCAGTCCATTTCTCTGTACTTTGCCCAGGCTTCCAGATCAGGAACTGGGGAATGTCCCCAGCTTCTTCTCAAACCCTCAGCCCCGGTGTCCAACGCCTGAGTCTTAACGCTTTTACCTCCTCCTATTCTTTCCATCGCTACCATCATTAACCGGATACTAGATCGGGGTCTAATCCTCTCTCATTTCCACTTTCTAACTGGCCTCCTCTCTTTCCTGTCTTCTTTCAATCCAGGGTCCACACAGCAGCCAGCAGAGTGAGTCTATGCCTGAGATGTAGACTTGAAAACCCACAGGGGACTGGCTGGCCTGGCGAGGGTCACAAGGAGCACACCACGCTGCGCTCCTGCCCGTGGGCACTCCTTATTCACAGACAGGGATGTGTTTCCCCACGGACTCCTCCCAGTGGGAGCCGAGCTAGGGAACAGACCTGAGGCACTACATCTACCTCCCACCACGACAGCTTCCTGACTCAGCCACGGCACTGCCAGCTCTTCACGGCTAACAGAACCTGTCACGATACTTGGCATCACCATCTCACTCCCACTTAAGCCTCTTTCCTGCCCCCACCTCCCACACAAGCCTCTGGGTTTTACTTAAGAAACCATGTAAGAGTGGTTTCCTGAAGCCGTTCTGTTCCCCACCCCAAAAGCCCTCACTCCCTCACAGTTCTAGTTTCTCTCCTCCGTATCATGGTGCCGACCCACTTGGGTCCCTCTAACTTGTTAACTTCTATATAGGGCATGAGATTTGACAAAACCTATCATAGAGTATCCTTAAGTAGAAGCTTCATAGATATTTGTTGGCTGAGTACATTTGCCAGATCTGGGGTTTGCAGGAATTTGCATTTCTTTTGCACAGGTCCCTCAAAAAGACTGACAGCCCACTCTGGTTGAGGAATAGAGAGACGATCTCAGTATCTGCACGGCCTCTCCCTGTCGCAGCCCCTCTGCGGGGTGGGCCGCAGGCTGCCATTCCCTCCGTGGGCCCCGCTTCCCTCCGCTCCTTCCTAGGAAGCTACCTGGTTCTTGTCCAGCTCACAGTTCTTGTACTCCTGCTCCCCCTGCTCCTGAAAGGTGACGATGACGAAGCCCACGAAGATGTTCATCATGAAGAAGGCGATGATGATGATGTAGATGATGAAGAAGATGGAGATCTCCACACGGTAGTTGTAGATGGGGCCCTTGTCTTCCGTGTGGGAGTCGATGGAGCGGTACAGCAGCCTGCAGGAGGAGACAGGTCCCACAGAGGGAACTGGAGAAGCAGGGTCCCCTCTGCGGAAGGACGGCACCACTGCTCCAGGGATCCCAGGGATCAGGGTGCAGGAGACAGCTCTGGGCTGGAGTCCCAGCTCGGCCTCTTACTGGCTGTGTGACCTTGGGCAAAGCGTTTAACCTCTCTGAGACTCAGATTCTTCATCTGTAAATTGGAGACAATAATTCCTGACTTTCCTACCTTGCAGGGTAGTTAGAATAATGTATAGGAAGGTGTTTTGAAACTGTGAAGAGCTATTTAAATGTAACATGAGTCATGGACATTGATTTAAAACACTGGAAATATTGGTAAATATTGAGACAGCTTTGCAAACTGGCATGAGCTCAGAGAATGTTAGAAGGAATGTAAAATAAATCTCTCCGAGAGCAAATATCCACTTAGATAAAAACACTCACATGACCCATGCTACTCCGATCATCACCAATGGCCTGGTTTTAGACATAAGCAGTTTACATACATATGCCATTCATTTGAGCCTGGGCTGTGTGCCCCATGAAGCTTGTTATTTTTCATGGACAGGGATTATCTCTTCCCCTTCCTCTGTAGCCCTGCACAGCACTTGGTTATTCTCCAGCTATCACCTATATCTTACCACATAATAATGTGACTCTTACCTAAGATCCATGCATTGCTGTTGACTTAGAAACATTTAGAATTTTCTGACTTTCAGATTCTAATTTCACTGGAATACATATTGGGGGAAAAGCAGGTATCTATACAAAGATATAAGGATCTGATGGGAAGCTGCCTGGTAGAGGTGATGCAGCGTGCAAGGCCCACGGGCTGCTCTACGCACAAACGCATTGCCTCTGCAGAGGAAGTGGGGCCCGGGCTTCCATCCCTTTCCTACTTTCCACTGTAAATACAGGCAAGGCTTTTTCTAAGGAGACCGGGATCCAGTCAAATAAAACAAAGACATCTCAGCCATCTTTACCCAATGAAGGGCATGCTGGGAGTGGCAATCTTGAATCCTATGGTGACCACAGGGCCCACACCTGGAGAAGCTCTCCCCACACCCAACTCCCAGATGCCATAAGGGTAATGACAGAGATCTCTGACATCGTGGCTCATGCTGAGGTTGGAAAGAGGGCTAAAAAAAGGTCACTTTTGGTGGGAGTTTCTTGACACCTTCTAGAGAAAGAAGAGTCGGTTTCAGCAGTGACAGTGGACTGTAAGTTCTAGAAATACACCTCACTGCCTGGGGAGGACCCAGGTAAATATGACCTCCAGAGGGAGTGCGGGACATTAACAAAACTTGGGGATGGGCTGGAAAGTCAGTACTGGCCCTTGAATGTCAGGGCTCGTGGGGCCTTGCTTTGCATACTCACTCTGGCCACCCTTCGAAGGTGGAGACGGTGAAGAGGGCCATCATGGCTGCCAGAACATTGTCAAAGTCAAACTTGCTGTTCTCCCAGCTGCGGGGTTGGATGATGGGGTGGTCAACCTCCCCGTCTTTGTACGTGATGTAGTTGCCCCTGAGAGAGGAGGAGAAGGAGTTTACTCTGGGATCTCCCATCTTCCTTCACGCCTGGCCTGCCAGTGACCTTGAATGCTGGGTGGGATGGGACTGCCTGGCTTGAACTTCACCGTTCTAGCCATGGGAGGAGCTTCAGTGGGCAGAAACTTCAGGAACAAAAAATGCTACACATTGTGTCCGTGAGGCCAGATGACACACAGGCAGAGCGCAGGTGCCACTGCAGTCTTAGAAAATGAGCTGTCCCTCCTTTCTGGTCAAGCCTCCAGCCTCCTGGGGCTGACCGGCCGTGGCCCTGGCTGCCCTCCCACCTCTACTCACTTGCATTCCGCCTCTGTCTGCTTGGAACTGTCTGAACAGGTGTACAGCTTTCCCTGGAAGGCAGAGAACAGAGTATCAGAGATGTTCAGTAATCAATGAGTCAATCCAAAAGCAATTAGTGAGCATCTCCATAGCCCAGCACTGTGCTAGGGACAGTGGGATAAAAAGTGCAGAATCCAGATGGGCAGGACCTGACTCACACGCACAGAACGGTGGCGAATACAGACGCCAGTGCTGCAAGTAGCACTGCAATGCAAAAACAGGAGCTCGGGTCCATGGGAGCTGTACTCTCCGGGGAGGTCTCGCCAGGGAGGGAGAAGTGGAGCTGGGCTCAGAGGGATGAATTAGATGGGCGTTTACACAGTGGAGGGGAGCGGGGGCGAATGCTCTAGGTGGGAGAATAGCAGAACTAAAAGGGTGAGGGCAAAAAAGACCAGAATCCAAGGAGGACACGAGGGGTGCTGCAGGAAGCAGCAGGAGCTGACTTTGACAGGTGCAGGGCTCTGAAAGCTGGGTGGTGCAGTGGGGACGTGATGCTGTTGATAATAGGTCACCGCTGCAGGCTTTAAGCAACTGACTGACACAGAGGTTCCACAGGATGAAAGTCCCTCTCTCTCTCTTTCTAGAAGGAAGGGCAGTGACCTCAAGGGCAGGTGAAGTGGAGAGGGTGAGGGGCCTCTGGCCTGGTGGCCCGATGCCTCCTTCTAGCGCCTCCCTACCCTGGTCTGAAGGTTGAGTCGGGCTGCAGGTGGAGGTTATATCCAAGCCAAGTCTGGCTCAGGACACTGTCTCGTTTGTACTATATCTGCCAGTTCCCTTCCCCAGGAATGCTGATGGGAGGGGAGGTAGGAGGACCACAACGGAGCCCAGACTTTACCTTGAAGAGCTGGACCCCGATGCAGGCAAACATGAACTGCAGCAGGGTGGTGACAATCACGATGTTCCCGATGGTCCGGATGGCGACAAACACACACTGAACCACATGCTGCAGTGGGAAGGGACGGGGAGAGGGACGTGGCTTCAGGAGATGCCAGGAGCCTTTCCAGGAGGTAGCAGGGGCAGCCCGTTTGCCACAACGGGGAGTAATTGGGCTGAGAGGGGCAAAGCCACGCTCCCAAAGTCACATGGGAAGTGATGGACCCTAATGGGATGCAAAGGCCCCCACTGGACTCTCCGTGACTACAAGGACAAAAGTCCTGCCAACCTCCCATCTTACAGTGGAAGGAATATAGGGATGGTGGCACCACAGGGGCACAGGGTTTGTGTGGGATCTCCCTTTGGCACATTCTGCTTAGGGCAGACACTTGGGATGGCTGCCTCTGTTACTATTCTGTTCATTACGGAACCGGGACATGCAGTGGGACCAGTGTCCGGGACCCCACATGGCAGCCACTTGGTCTGACCATCATCTCCTTCCAACCCACCCCTCACCTCTGTGGAGCTCCCACTCCCCAATGGGCTGGCTGGAGACTCCCTACCCAAGCCCTCAACTCACCTTTAGCCCCTTGGCCCTGTTGATGGCCCTCAGGGGCCTGAGTACTCGCAGGACTCGCAAGATCTTCACGACATTGATTGCACTGGACCTGGGAGAGGGAAACAGGCAGGGTAGTAAGCTCCTCCTGTTTCTGGGGGGAGCAAAAATAATGTGGTAAGGGAATGTCCTGACAGGTGAATCCGAGGCAAACCTGAGAAAACATAAAGCCCATCTTGGGGATGTTCGCATTCTGGGACCACTCTCTACTCCTGTCTCCCATCCCGTGAGAGCCTGGAGCTTGCCTGTAACCCTGGGGCTTTCCTGTGGGTGACTAAATAATATGCAAGGTGGCTCATGGCAGGTCATTAGCAATGTACTGTGCTACTCACAGGGGCATTCACAGTGTCACAGAAAGAAATTCAGAGCAAGGCCATGGGAATTCAGACCCCAGTGCAGGCACTTGCTAGCCAAGGCACTGAGGACAAATTTCCTAAATTTTCTGAGCTCTAGTTTCTTTATCTGTAAAATGGGTCTGTAATCAGCTCAGAAGGTCTTTGCAAGGGTTAAATAAGAATTCTATGTAAATCACCCAGCCATGTGCTTGAGAAACTGCCTGAATGGTACCTGCTCATGAGGCCTGCTGAAGACGTTACTACACTTAAAGGAATGCCGTACTAACGGTGGGATCTCGGGCCTTGTGGCTGGAGGTGATGTCATGGGGAGGAGATTTCTTAGTGTTTATCTCCAAACACATATTGCCCCTGACACCTAAACATAAAACCCACCCAGAGCACACTCAGGACTCCAAGGAAGGATGGGCTTCGCTGTTGGGGCTCAGGAAACAACACCCCGAAACGACGGCCTTAGAAGCAGTCTCAGAAGCAAAAGTTTTTCTCTGACCTTCTCTTGCCCTCCTGTCTCAGTCCCCTTCTCCTCTCAGGCTAGCCATAGACACTAGAATCCCTCTTCCCCAAGATGGGTCACAGAAACCAGAACCCAGAACCCCGTTTCCTCAAAGCCAGCCACACAACCTAAAATATTATTCAAAATTTCCCTCTCCTTTTCTGTATAAAAACTGGCCATAAAAAATGACCAGATCCACCATGTGGGAGTGTAGATCCTCAGACTCCTGTTGCAGACGGGATCCTGCCCCGACCCAGAAGGAGGGAAAGCTTCACAGAGAGCACAAGAAGAACCTAGAGACAGGCCTTGCTGGGTTCCCCACTCGGTCCATTCACGTTAGATCCTACGCTTCTTGTCCAATCACATTTCTACATGGCTGTCCATACTTTTTTGAACCTAAGCAGAAAAATGGTCAGTTTCCCCTGTATCTTTGGGTCTGCATTCTATAGGCTCTGTGTATACACGTTAAATAAATGTGAATGCTTTGTCTCCAATTAACCTTTCTTTTGTCAGTTGATTTTTCAGTGACCCTTCAGAAGGCCAGTCCCTTTGGCTCCTACGTGGCACTACAGGTTCCATACACCTGGGATGCTGAGGCCAAGCCAGAGCTTCTCGGAGTCTCGGGCTACGGCTTTTCCCTAGTGCAATGGAGACAGCAGGAGACAGGTCCCTAAGCAAGATGCCTGGATGGTTTTTGGAGCTGTCCATCCTACCCAGGTGGGGCTCATTAACCATACCACCTTGGTGAGCAGCTATGGAGCACATCCTAACCCTCACGGGCTAACTACCTGAGATAGCCTCTCAAGCTTTTGGAGAGCCTCATACTTGTCTTGGGACCTAAACAATGAATGACAGGCCAGCAAGCGCTGATTTCATGCTTTGTGTGGTCAGGATGATGTGCTCAAGGGGCTGGTGGAAAGATCCGATTTCTCTGGTGCATGACTCTTTTATTCCAAGAGATGCAAAGGCCATTCCTATCTATCACTGTGTCTCTCCTACAGTCTCTCTGGGAGGGAGTCAGTTTGCACCGAATCACAATGGAAGGGATTTAAAGGTCAGATGGGAAAAACACAGGCTAAAGAGGAGGAATTCCTCATTCAAGGTTAAATAGTGACTGAGTGGCCATGCTGGGATTCAAATCTGGACTTGTAGGCTCCCAGGCAGAAAATATGGGGTAATATAACTGATGATCACAGAAAAGGGTCTCTCCCAAGGTCCTGGTCCCTGCATGATCTCAGCCAACCATGAAAACACTCTTGGGAGGAGAGACCCAGGAACGCTGGGACTTAGGCCTTTCTCTACCACAGGTGTGACCTTGAGCAAGTGTCATGATGTCCTGAACTCCAAATTTCCCATCTATACAATCATGATAACACTTGCCCCGTCTCCCCCATCGTTTTGTGTGTGTGAGGACCACAGAAGAATGTGTATGTGGAAGTGCTTTGAAAGTTAAAGTGTAGGATTCACACTATCAGCTGTTAGAACTTGGTAGAAACTGGTAATCAGATCCTCCACACCTGAACGAGGACTGCAAGCTTGGCTGTACAGGGGAGTCACCTGGAAAGCTCTTAGAACTCACACCCAGACTGTACCCCAGACCAGTGAAATGAAAAACTCACACACACACACACACACACACACACACACACACACACAAGACACAAATATACACAGTCACACACATACATGCACTCACACATACATATGCACATACATACACATATACATTCACGTCCATAGACACATATGCAGACACAAACACAAACACATACATACACACACATACACACAGCCACAAACACACATCCACATATACACACACCCCACACATCCACACACGTGCACACATACACCCCACACTTACACAGACATATATATACACACATTCACACATACACTCATACATGAGGTGCTTTGGCTGGAGAGAGAGGGGAGAGAAAGGGAGAAGGAGGGTCCAGGTCAGGGGAGGTCACGGCAGTGGCAGACTGTGGGTTGCTGAAGGTCAGCCTAGGGCACTGGGGCCGTGGTGGAGGAGGCAGGAAGGTCCTGGAGACAACCGTTTCTTAATAGCTGAGCCTGGCCCTGCCTGTCATGGCAAAACCCAGATAATTAAACATATTCTCACCTGATCAACGTGCCCCAAGTATCAGACCACTGAGGACACAGAACCAAGAACCCAAAGCCACCATGCACAGCTTTGGAGGCCCCACCCCACTCTCATCACACTGCGGTGGCCCTGCAGGCAGGCCCTCCAGGGTCTGGTTGTCCTCTCTGGCACCCCTTGCTAGCTGCATGGCCCATCGTGGGCTGAGGGGCTCCCACTCACTGGATGCCAAAGGAGATGAGGGACACGCTGACCACCAGCAGGTCCAGGATGTTGAAGTAGTTCCGGCAGAAAGAACCCTTGTGCAAGAAAGCCCCATAAGCAGTCATCTGCAGGGAGGGACAAAGGAACACCAGTGTGAGTGGCCCTAGCCCTAGCCCAGAGACCCCTCACACCACCCCTTCCTCCCACAGCATCCCTTGGGCAAGTCCCAAGCACCATCCATGGGGAACAGGAAGGACAAAGACGGCGCTATGGTGCCAAGAAAAGAGTTCTGCTACCATGCACACAACCACCCAAGACTCTCGCAGCCCAGGACTGCTGGGTGGCTCCTTGCACCTGCCAGGCCAAGCCAGGCTCTTTAGTCCTCCATTCAAAGCCCTTTCAAGTGGGCCCCACCATCCCACTCTAATTTCGCACTGTTCCACATCCCAAGTCCATGGCTTTGGGCCTGCAGGGTCCTTTCCTGATGCTGTCGGGTTGGGAGCACACATCCCGACTGCCTCTCCAAATGCTTGAGTCCTTAGGCCAGCTGAGAGCACCAGACATCTGCCGTGAGTGGGTGGGTTGGGGGGCGGGGCATGCCCAGCAGGGTGACCAGCCATCCTGGTTTGCCCAGATTTGCTTTATCATCAGAAATCCTGCATCCCAGAAAACTCCTCAGTCTTAGGCAAACTAGGCCAGCTGGTCACCCTGGTGCCTGGTGAGAAGTTCCAGTGGTGACCCTGGCAATTAGCATACCTCCCCTTCCTGGCCTCAAAGGGTGCTTATTATTGATGCCAAATATTCTAAACTCAATTCTACTGTCCTGCTTCTAGACTACATCTGGAGTTCTTTAAGGGCAAAAGTTGTGTGATCAGAGGGGCTATGAGGCTCAGTGGCTAAGAGCACAGGCTCTGAGGCCAGACGGCCTGGGCTGGAATCCCAGACCTGTGGTATTTTATTTTTGTGGCCTGGAGCAAGAAACTCAAATTCTCTTAGTGCCTCTGTTTCCTCATTGGAAAAATGAGGATAAGGTCTACCCTACAGGGTTGTAAGCATCAAGTGGGTACCTCTATGTAAAATACTTAGGATGCCACCCTGCACACGGTGAGCCCCATAAAAGGGTGAGCTGTCACTACAGCCTGGATTTGAATTCTGGATGCTTCCTGGATGAGAAAAGTTCTGTTTTCTCATCAAAAGGTGAGGAAACTATCCCCTGGCTTTGTGAAAGCCCTTTGGAAACTTTTAAAAAGAGAACACACAAGATGACGATGACTGCTACAGGACTTGGCCATTATTACCACCCTCTGAGCCTGGTGTAAAGCTGCGCACTGCAGGTGCTCAACAAATCACCTTTACAGCCTTTCTCATTTTGCCGACTTGCGTAAGGGCCAGTGGTTATCCAGGATAAGGGCTGTGACAGGCAGCGGACAGGAAGCATCGGCCAAAGGGAAAATGTGGAGCCGACAGTGGAGAGGTGGAGCAAGGCTCCCCGGTCATCTGGGGTCCAGTTCATCTCTTTGGAATCAGAGCATGCCCAGGGCAGAGTGTCCGCAGAGCCATTCAAAAGCAAACACAGAGGGAAATGGGCAAAAATAGCTCTTGCAACCTAATTCTTTCCATTTATCTCTTGCAGCAGGGGGTCCCAAAGGACTCAGGCACCTGTGTTGGGCAATGGTTTTTAGAAGTGGGTAGATTACATAAAAGATGCAAGGGAGTATAGTTCTAGAAGGCCCACCATCTGGAAGCCTTGCCTCCCTGCCTCTTGGTGAAGAGCTGGGACCCCCACAGACTGGACTCAGGAGGCTCCCATAATTCATATTAATTGTGCCTGCAGAAAGCCCAGTACTTCCCCAGCCACCTTGCTTTTAGTGTTAGGAAGGCACTGGGTCTGATCCCTTCTTGCTCCTGGCTTGGATCTTCTGAGGCTACTACTGAGCTCTAACAGAACACTCTGCATTCCTCAGATGGGTGGACTAATAAGGCTCAGAGTGCCAACTCTGTCCTCTGGTTTTGGGCTCCTGTTTTGTTTAGGGACCCTCAAATGAGACCAACACTTGAGCAAGTGCATGTGTGTGCATGTGGGGGCGGTGGGAACATGCATCCAGGCAGGGCCAGAGGAAGAGTGGCTGTACAAGAAAGGGCAAATGGACATGGGGAAAACGTAGCATTTACTTGAAAGTCATCTGTGGTGTTCAGGGCATCAGGAAAAGCCAGACTCAGGTACCCAGTGCTAATTGTTCCTCTTTGACCCTTTTTTTCTGATTGCCAGCCACCTCGGTCCTGCTTTCCTAATTCTACACCATTACTTGGGAAGGGGCCCTTGCTGGGGTGTTTCCATCCTGAGGAAGGAAAGGAATGGGACGTGGCTCGCTAGCTCTGCCTGGAAGGGTAGGAAAGCTCTCTGTTCAACCACGGGCCATCCCTGCCTCTCCAGGCAGCTCTTCTAGCTATGAAACCTGTCTTTTTTTGTGATTTCTACTCATTGGTCTTGATTCTGCCTTCTTCCTCTTCTATGTGACGGTCCTTTGTATGACTCAGGCCAACTGTTGTGAGCCTACAAGCCTTTCCTTTTTAAGGCCAAACATTTCCAGGCCCTTCCACTGTTCCTTGTGCTAAATGTCCCCCTTGGACAGCCACGGTCATCTGTGCCATGACATGACACCGGGCCTTAGGCCGGGAAGAGGGACCCAGTGGGAAGGAGGTACAGGGGAGTGTTCCGGCATTGGGGTTTCTATTCAGAAGCATGCTGAGCATAGAAGAAAGTAGAAGAGGGAGGGGATGGAAGGACCTTGCCATGACAATGCTTGCAAAGAGACCTTTCACTTCAGCTTGTATGGCAATCCCGAAGGAGAAATAGCACCATTGAAATCCACAAGGGCAGCTCTGTAGAAGGGCACTGAGAATTGGGCCTCAGAGCGTCTCTTGTCCTGGGAAAGAACTCTGGGGTCTGTGTGCCTCCCTGCATCTGAAGTCCGGGAAGCAAAGCAGCTCACCATGGAAAGCAGGTTTTGCCGCGGTGCATCTTAGTGCAGCCACGCAACTTTCGGTTCCCTCTCCCGACCTCCAGGAACCAAGGCCTGGTCAGATCTACTCTCCACGAGCAGAAAAGAAAAATCTGAGCCACATACTTGGTTAGCAGGAACCAGGGATGGCAGCTGGGGGCACCTGAGTGTCCTGGGGACAAGGACACAGGGGAAGGCACATAAAAACTGCCCCATTCAATTTGTATCTGGATGTGACTGAACTGTCCTGTCCATCAACAGGCTGGGCCATGATGAGGGAGTCTCATCAGGGAAGGAGAGGCCTGCAGCTGGCAGTGGCATCGGTTAGGTGTGGACTTCAGCTTGCATTGGCCACAGCGATAGGATGACAAGGGAGCCTGGACTCCTTGGGAGGGGGAGTCCCAGGCTAGTCTCCCAGGAAGAAGCTAAAGCTGAAGCATGGGCTTCAGAGCCTTAGTCCTTCTGTTTGGGGAAAGGGTAGAATCTACCCCCTTGCTCAGAGAGGAGCACACGTTCCCTGAGGTCATGGAACTCACACCCTGACTCTCAGATGAACTGGCTTGCCACGCATTGGTTTAGAGACTCAGAAATATACCCGAAAAATGGAGGAATACTCTTTCTCTCATCCCAGTGTTGCCCTGAGGTGGGCTCTGCCTGTTCTGAGGGTAGCAATGTTGCAGCAGTTCCCTTAGCAGAACTGAGCTGGGCCAGCAGCAGGCAAGGGCTGGGGGCTGGGGGCTGGGTGCTCAGGTTCCTTGCGGCACCTGCTCTCATCCTGCTGTACTCAGCTCTCCAGCACAATTCTCCCTCCCCCACGCTCAGGGCAAGGGGCACTGTGACAAAGCTTTGCAGCAGGTGACTGAGGGTCGGCAGTAGTCTGTAATGGCCCTGCTAAAAGCCCTCAGCTGGGAGACCAGCTCCACATCTCACAGTAGGCCTGTGATCACTGTGACACAGCCCCAACTCCAGCTTAGACCCAATATCTGCTGCAAGTACTGAGGAAGGTGCTAAGGATGGGCATCCAAAGAGAGTAGCTCAAGTGATTCTTTCACGCCCCAGGAGGTTTCCCACTTTCAGAGTGTATGAAGCAGGAGGAGGGAAGGAGAGTCCTACGTGGGCTCAGGTATCAGTTAACCGGAGCTGGTGCATGTGGGCATGTATGTCTGGCGCTGCTGACGGCTGCAGCCCCAACCAGTGAAATGGCAGCCTTAATGTTGGCACAGCCAACACGTGTCCCTTCCAGGCCACGGACTGCTTAGGGGTGGCTGGAGGGAGGAGCTGTGGTGGGGTAGGCTGCTCCTGGCTTCTAAGTCTGGGCAAAGTGCATCACACAAAGTGAGGGGCACTCATTTTTCCAATTTCAGGCTTGGGAGTAAAGAAAAGAGAGAGTGAAAGAAACAGAAAAGACAAAAGATCCAGCCACACAGAGCAGAGATAGACAAAGAAAGCGACAGAGGATGCATTGCCCAGGTTGCATTACCTTAAGGATAATTTCTAATGTAAAGATACTAGTGAAGACATAGTCTGCATTGCCTAGGATCTGAAAAATAAGCATAATTGGATTAGTGGCTCTGAGAGTGAACCCCACACCAACAGGAAGGAGCATGTGTGTTAGCGACAGACAGCGGCAGAGACCTGGTGCTGGCACAAGGGGGACAGGAGGAGCAGAAGGGGATGGGGGCTTTACCTTCAGAGCAATTTCAATGGTGAAAATGGTGGTAAAAACAATATCAAAATAAAACAGAATCTGCAAAACAAAAAGGAACAGGGTGGGGATGGGATGGGGAAGGGAGAAAAGCAGGACGGGAAGAGAGGTCAGTGGATGTTCACCAGAAAAGGGGCCACACTTCAAAATGAGATGCCTGGCACTTAAGCCTTTGCACAGGGACACAGATGGACATGGGGGGCAAGCGGCACACACACAGACATCCTGAGGCGGGGCTAGCCTCAGGCAGCACAGCGGCTTCCCTTGAAGCCCCCAGATAAGTGAGGTGAGCTTCCAGGGCATGCCTCAGCTGGTACTGGATCTGAGCAGCATCTGGTTGGATGCTTTTCCCATTAATCCAATTTACTTACAAACCCAAATCAGACCACTAAGATACTTGTCAAAAGGACAGAGAATGGGGTTTGTCTTTTTGCAGGGAGATTCAAAATGCTTCGCTCACGTTGGTGGGACTGAGCTGGCCAGCTTCCTGTGATGGTGGACATCTATTCCTGGGTTATGTCCTCTGGGGCAAGGGAGGTGCATCCTTCAGGTGAGGTCTGCACAGGCTGAGGACCGGCTCCAGGACTGCATACTTATTATATTTCAGGTGATGGATCAGGGATGGGGCCAACACCTGCTAACCTCGGTAAGACAGCCCTGGACCAAGCAGGCCCCAGGAGCGCAGAGTGGTTTGGCATGGGTATGGCTTTAGATCAGCGGGCTGTCTTCATGCCCACTTGGTTGGGACTTGACAAAGTTTTGAGGTTTTGAGATAGAGCAATTCTTAAACTGGCCTTTAATATTGTTCACCAGAGCCTTGGGTGGGTCCTCACATTTGGTTCTACTCTACCAAAGGTACCAAGACTCTCTTTTAGGTAAGGTCAGCCATATCATTGGCACCTATTTGCCAATGCTCCCCTTCTGGTCAGAGCATGCTGGGAGCAAGGGAGGGCATGTAGTCAGTGGCCACATTTTACTAAGTTTGCAGGGAACTAGAGCTTCCTGGGGAACATCCACAGGCAATGAAAGTCCTGATCTTTGCCAATTATCAAACCAGCCTGAGCATTTGGGTACATGCTCTTTTATTTGCTTGTGGTCCTAGGGTGGTTTTCTATCAAAGCCCTACTCTCTTAATGAAATGTTAGTTGTGGATCTAATTATGACACCTAGAATTGGGCTCCTGATTGAACAATGATGTCAGCAACAGAAGCTGTGGGCCTGGCACAGCCCCAGGGGGAAGGAGTGCAGAAGACACAGGCGATGCATACATGGTTCCTGAAGGAGGTGTGCTGGACCGGGTCCTCAGCAGCCAGGGAAATGCTGCTGAGCAGAATGAAGAAGAGGATCAGGTTGGTGAAGATCGTGTCATTGACAATGCGGTGGCACTGGAGGCGAAACCTGTACGGGAGAGGGGACAGGAGGAGAGACAAGTCAAGGCAGACAAGGGGAAGCACCAGTCGGCTCTTGGGAGCCCCTCTCCTCAGCTCTCCCCAGCAGCTGGCAACAGGTGCTTGTTGGCCTGAAGTGACCTCTTCATTCTGAAGTCTTACTGCTGCTTGGTAATGACAACTGCTCACCCCCATGGTGCACATATCATCTTTGATATTTTAGAAGGTTACATCTGAGACCTTTGAGAATCTCTGAATTCCCAAATCCTGCTCTGACATTCATAACTGGCTTTTGTTTGGGGACTTATTTTCCCTATCATTGAAAAGAAATCACTTTATGAGATCAACTCTATGCTTATGCATAAGGCACAATAGGACTACCCGGAGCTGGGTATGCTGAGAGGCCAGCCAAACCGGCTCTCTGTAGGTGATCTGCTCCTGTGTAATAGCTTTAAATGTGCAATTCACTTCCATGCCCCAGCACAATTACCCAACTGAGCTTCTAGGCACTCAGTGATAGCACCAAAAATGCTAGGTTCCTAAATGCCAAAGTGTCTTGTACACCATCTCATCTTGACAGCAATGTAGGAAGGAAGGGATGGGTGTCATCATCTTCATTTCACAGGTAAGAACACTGAAACCCAAGTAGGAGAGGCTTGCCCAGAAACACAGCCTTAGTGTGGGAGAGTCAGGGCTTCAACCCAGGCCTTCAGACTTCTGCTCCTGGCATTATGGTTGACTAAATGCTCTGAGAAGCCCTCCTGCTGCAGAAGCACCAAACCCTCGAAGGGCCAAACTCTCTCAGACAATTCTGGTTTATAAGAGTTAGGAGATGGCTGTAAGAATCATCTGCTTCAAACCAACAACCCCTCCCACCAACCTCCACTGAGCTGAGGCTACGTATGGAGAGAGAGCCAGCCAGGAGGGCAGAATTGCTTGAAGATGGAAGCCAATAACAGCAGTGCTGTCAAGAAATTGCAGGTTAAGCCAGTCTTGAGGTGGGGCAGGAAAGCCTGGGAATTTTAGGCCAAGCCAACACCTCCAAGGGGCATCTGGAAGAAAGTCTCCCCAGACCTACTTTAGGTCTTCAGGACTCTCACAAATGAAGAGGAAGTGTTGGGGTCACAATCAAAGATCATCAGATGCACAAAAGGACAAGCCCCTAAGATGGGAAATCTGAAGAAACACTGGATAAGTGATTTAGATTCCAAAGACTGGAGGTATTGGAAATATTAGATATAGACTATAAAACAACTATATTTGAAATATTTAATGAAATAAAGGACTAAATCACAAAGATGAGGAATTGATAGAAACTACTAGATTTAGAGATGGATCTGGAAAATCAAGCAACAAATGGAACTGACTGAAACAAAAACATATAATGGTCAAGATAAAAAATTGGTTTAAACAGTAATATAGATTAAGTTGAAAATAGAATTAAGAAACTGGAAGATACAGTTGAAGAAATTTCCCAGAATACAGAAAGACAAGGAGATGAAAGATATGTAAGACCCTCTAAGAAACAGGGAGGACAGAATGAAAATGTCTAACAGATGTCCAATTGGAGTGTCAGAAGGAAGAAATATAGAATTAAAAAGAAGCAATATTTAAACATTATGGCTGTACTTTTTCAATAACTGAATAAAAATCTAAATACATAGGCTTAGGAAGCAGAATGTATTCTAAGCAAGACAAATGGAAAGAAATCCACACCTTGACACATGGTAGTAAATCTGTACAACCACAAAGGCAACAGAATATGTTAAAAGCAGCTACAAATAAACGTTAGGTTACTCACAAAGAAACCATAGTTGGAATGACAGCTGACTTTACAGTGGAATAACACCTTTCTTGTGCTGCAGGACAAAAATTGTCTGTCTAAAATCGTGTACACAGCAAAACTATCTTTCAAGAGCAAGAAGTGAAACAGTTATAGGTAAGTAGAGGCCCACTGAATTTGCCATTACGGAACTAAAGGAGCCTCTAAAGAATGTACTTTAGGAAGAAAGAAAATGCTAGCTAAAGGATGGACTGAAATGAGTAAAAAAATGGTGAACAAATAAAATGGTAAGGTGTACATATATCCAAACACACAGTATCTATATAACAGTAAGACTCACTAACTTGTTGGATTAAAAATAAAAGTTGGACTAAAATACTAACGACAATTCCATGTAAGTAAGGAGCAGATGAGTGAGTTAAAATAGTCTAAGGTCACTCTATTATACAGGAGGAGGTTCTTGATATTGTTTAACATCACATTTTGTTAAGTTAAATAGAATTAGTAAATTATCAAGGGTAATCACCCAAAGAATAGAAATAGAGTTTAAACATTTCAAAAAGTGGAGAGAAAAATAAACACAAGTCTTCTGATTCAAAATCCAGGACTCTTCCCTAAATGAGTGCCTGTTTATACAATTTGCAAGGAGCTGGGAGAGTCTCAGTCTCCATCCAGAGGTTCAGGTAAAATACAGGCAACTGCCAGGCTGGTACTAGAGAGAGCAGGACCCCACCTTCCCCACCATTGCTGCACACCTGTTGTTAGAGCTGAAGATGAAAAACGCGCTGGCTTCTGGCATGGGCACTGCCTTTTCCTTAAGGTGAAGCTCAGAGAGTGGTCGTGGGCGAGGGCCGACAGGCATCTCTGGCTCCTCCTCATCCTCTTCTCCTGTAAGAAGAACAGCACCATTCTAAATAACTCCAGCACTCCCACTTATTTTACCACTTTCAGAGACCTTCCTACTGGCAGACATGATTATGGCTCTGAAAATGTAGGGTACCAACCAAGACAGACATTCTGCTGTCTCCCTGTGGGTGCTGCTGCAGCTCATCTCTGCTGGAGAAGTCGTATCTGGCAGTGCACAATAAGGGGGATTGTAAGTAGGGCGACCAACTTGTTCTGGTTTTAAAACTAAAATTCCCACATCCCAGGAAACCCCCTAGTTCTGGGCAAACTGGGGTCGTTGGTCATCCTAGTTGTAAGGTATGAAAAAAGGTGACCAGGTAGGACAGGGCACTGCCAGGTGTTACTCATCTATCTAGGCCGCAGGTTGGGGAAAGGGTATGGCTGAGTTGGCTTGTGGAATCCCTTGCAAATAACCTCACTCTTGGAAGTTCCAGGAATTAGAAACCAACACTTTCCCAATTTCTGCAACTAAAAAAAAAAAAAAAAAAAAATTCATGTGCTGTCGAGATAACAGGGCAATACTACTGACCACAGCAGGCCCTTCATGCAAAGGTTTAGACACTGACACCAATTAAAGAAGCGCCTTCGTTCTCCCAGCCAGTGGCCACATTTAATGTGGACCAAAGTCAGACAGCTTATTCCTGTGCTTGCCAGCACAACGCTCATGACGGGAAGCACTGCCCATCCTGGGCTGCTCAAATGTGTTGAAGATGCTCAGAGGGGAAAGTAACAACATGGGAGTGAAGAGCAGACTCTCCAGCCAATCGCCTGGACCAGAATCCTGGCTCTGTTTCTTTCTAGCCGTGGGCATTTTATTGAGTCTCTCTGTGCCTCAGTTTCTCCATCTAAGGTGGAATAATAATAACAGTACCTCTATACCTCAGAACGGTGCCTGGCACATAGCAGCCGCTCTGTAAGTAAGTGTTTGCTGCTTTTATTACAACCTCTACCTATGGGACAGACTCGAAGCCTGTAAATTAATGCTCAACATCTTTCTCAGTCAGATCCTTACCACCTATTATTCCCTAACAAACTGTCCACTCACACGAAACTATTTTCTGAGCACTTCACTACAGTGGGTTGAACAGTTTCCCCCGCAAACTCATGCCTACCTAGAACTTTGCAATGTGACCTTATTTGGAAATATGGCCTTTGCAGATGTAATTGGTTATGAAGAAGTTATTCTGCGCTAGGATGGGCCCTAAATGTAATGACTGTTATCCTCATCAAGACAGGCACAGAGACACAAAAACACACTTAGGGAAGAAGGCCATGTGAAGACAGAGGCAGAGATTGGAGGGATGCATCTACAAGCCAAGGACTGCCGGCAACCACAAGAAGTTAGGAGAGGCAAGTGAGGATTCTTCCCAAGAGCCTTTCAGAAGGCGCTTGGCCCTGCAGACCCCTTGATTTTGGACTTCCAGCCTCTAGAACTGTAAAAGGATGCATTTCTGCTGTTTAAGCTGCCCAGTGTGTGGTCACTGGTTATGGCAGCCCTAGTGAGCTGACAAGCTCACTGTGTGCTCCGTCCTTCCTCATGCTCTCTCTCTCTCTGTTTGAGCTGCGCTTCATCTCCCTCTCTGCAGAGCACACAAGGACCCCCAATCCAGATAGCATCCTCCTTCCAACTTTCCTGAGTACTCACGCTCCAGGGAATGACCTTTCCATGGATCCCAGCAGAACCTCTGCCTCCAGTACCTTGATGACTGATTTTAAATGTCTGTCCCTTCTCCCTATGTGCTGAAAACCCTGGAAAGAAAAGCTTTGCCTGGCACTAGAAGCCCTTATTTCTTGATGATGATTGAACTTCCACACCGGTCAGAAGGAAGGGGACTCTGTATAAGATGAAGGTGAAGGGGATACTAGTCTGGCTGGAGAAAGATAGTTATGGGATGCTCGTCTCATGGACACAGCTGTGCCTCTGCATGTTCTCCCTCTTCTGGTTCAAACAAAGCCAGGTACTGCAAAGAAAAAAAAAATGCCTGGCACAGAAAGCAATTCTTTATCAAGCAAAAAGCATTCAAGCATTTAGGGACCCAAGGCTTTTTTGGAGGGCCAGTACCATACAGACATCAATCAGATTCTTTCCCTAGGGTAATTAGAGCTGACCAGCAAGACAATTAATATTTTTTCAGCAGAAGAGAGGCCCAAGATGAAAAACTGTCTACAGGACAAGAGTTGGAGTTCTTGTGACACCCAACCCTTGGTATGTAAAAGAAAAGTCTTCTACTTAAAGTCGAATAAGTAAAACCAGAATTGGCCTAAATCATGGTATTTCAAGTGAAATTTAATTGAGAAGGATCTTAAATTCCTGCCTAGGTGTTTGTATTCTTTTCAGTTTTGCTCGAAATGACCCAACACTTTCTTCTTCATGATAATTTGATAACAGGTAATTTTATGCTTATTTTAATCATTTGTGTTTACAGAAACCCATATTTACTATAGCTTTGTGCCATTCGAACTTCCTAATGGAAAACGGTGCAGGCTCTTACATCTGCACGAGCTCCCCCCCGTTTATGAAGCTCCATGCTGAGCTCCATTCCTGGGGAGAAGCAAGTTAGCTGGTCCATTCAGACACACAGCAGCTGAACCTCAGGCACAGTACTTAAGAGGAAACGATTTCTGAAGGACAAACTCAGATTTGTAAAGGAACACAACTTTGACAGCACGTGATGCTTAGCAGGTATTATGGATGAGGAGGGATGCTGACAGATCAGGGAAAGTCAGGCAAGGCTCATTTTGGGGTTGGCAACTGAACCACCTAGCCTCCTACTCCCAAATGCCAGTAGAATACATTAGGGATCTTTCTTTTCTAATTTTTGTTCTTGGAGGTTTGGAAAAAAGCATCGGAAGTGAGGTGCTGCTGCACGCTGGAGTTGCTGCTGCATTTCAGAAGGCAGGTCAGAGGATTCCAAAGTAAAACCAGGGTAGCACTCAAAGCCCCACCCTTGGTCCTTGGCAACCCTTGCCCCCCTCCATCTGATGCTCATCCTCACTTCTGTGATTTTGCTCTTGGCCACATAAAGTAAAGACATTTGTAGGATCTAGTGCCTACAGAGTATTGAGCCCAAGGCTGAGAAGACAAAGCCATGGTTCTTGTCCTCAAGGAGCTTAGTTTCTAGCAGGGCGCAAGAGTCTGCTACCAGCTGAAGGGAGTGCCTGGTTGGTAAGGGCCAGACACCCGGAGCAGTGCCTTGGGGCACAAGGAGCACAGGTGGTGGATACAGTTTCTGCATTGGGGATTTTCTCTTCGCTGGCTCAATTAGAAAACCTCAGAATCACCCTACATTTCTCTTTCCCTCTCTCCAACATCTAAGCTGTGAGTGAATCCAGCTGGTCCTACCTGCAAAATGTACCCCAAGCCTGACCACTTCTCTGCATCTCCGGCACCATCCCCTGTCCAAGCTGCCATCCTCTCTGCCTGGATACTGCGCAAGTATCCTCCCTGCCCCCATTCTGCTCTCGAACACCACTGCTCTTTATTCACACCGCTCAGAGGGAATCTCTGAAAGGGTGAGTCGGACATCAGGTCAGGGCCTCCTCTGCTCAGACGTTCTGGTGGCCCTCTAGGGCACTGGATCAGACCCAGCCTCCCGCATGGCCCTGCGCCTTCTGCCCTGCCCTCCTGCCCTGCCCCGGCCTCTCGCCTCAGGGCACTATCCCTTGGTTCTCTCTGCTGCAGGCACACTGGCCCTCTTTGGAGTCCCCACAGCCAAGTGCATCCCTGTAAGAGACTCTGCACTCAGGGTCTCCACCTAGAGAGCTCTTCGCTCCGATTCCATGTCTAGTTCTTTTGAATCCTTCAGGTTCCAGTCAAATGCTGTGTCCTCAGAGAAGCCTTTGCTGACCACACAGTCAAAGCAGCCTGACCCCTGAGTATCCCCTAACACAATCCTTGATTTTACTATCTTCACATCATGTGATGTCACCTTTTTGGTTGGTTTGTCTGCTGCCTGTCTCCCCACTGATATGTCAGTTCCAGGAGGGTGGGGGTCTTCCCTGTTTGCCCACAACAAGGACCCCCATGTCCCTGGTACCTAGCACAGTGCCTGGCACACATTAAATGCTTCATGAGTAGTTCATGAATATCTACAAGGTTCCTCCCAACTCTCAGCATCTCTGATGATTGTACGATCCTGAAAAAACTCCTTCAGCCTCTCCAACTCCCTGACTCAAAGCTCAGTCAAGACCACCCTTCTGCATGAAGCCCCCAGACTCCACCACCTCATGGCTCTCCTTGTCCTTGAACCCTCTGCAGCAATGAAAGCCTCCCCCAGCACAGGCGGTGCTGACTACTCAGTGTCTGGTGGCACTCCTTTTTTTTTAGTGTGTACCTGTTAACTTTAAGTCCTTAGTGGCTCTTGCAAACATCTGCATGCTCACTCAAATAAATTAATAAATTAAACAAAAGTAGAATTAGCTTCCACTCATCTGGGCACAATGCTTTCCTTTTCAGTGAGTTGGGTTTTTCTCTATAATTAGGGTATACCGATCTGGGAGGTTGAAAGCAGCTGGCGAGCTTTTCAGATGAAACAGAGAGGGAAGGATTCTAGGGCCATGGCTGGCCTCGATGGCCCCTTGTTGAATTAGAAACAGGCCCCTCCTCTGAGTATTCGCGGTCATGCGAGGGTAATTGAAGCTGCAGCCAGCAGAGTGCACTCTGGAGTCCAGCTCCCACTTGGCCACTCTGATACATCACTTTGGGTGCAATCTGGACAGCCCAGGAGAGAGGGAGAGGGCAGGGGGCAAGCCTAGGAGACAGGGCAAGAGAGAGACAGGGAGGGAGCAGGAGAGCATGGCAGTGTGCTCCCTGACACCGGCCCTTTCTCCCTAGTGGTCTGGCTGAAGGCAGAGCAGGAGGGACACTCACCAGTGCTGCCTGCTAAGGGGTACCTGCATGAACCAGGCATGGCAGGGGCCAGCGGCCTGGAAGGGGCAGCGGTTGGGAGCACAATGGTAGATCAGGATCTTTGCCATTCGTGGTTCGGGAGAACAAGAAGCAGGAAGGAACCAGAGATTGACCAGAACAGAGACAACAGGCCACGTGATCTTCGGAGGAGTCTCTGGGAACTTCTGCTGCACCTGGCACTAAAGGATCCAGGAGCTGACTGTGGAGGCAGGGAAGGGAGGAAATGGGAAGGCAGGAAGAGCTGGGAAGCACAAGCTAACTTAGCCTTTGGGGGCAGAGTGATGTGTGGGGCCACCAGCTTTAAGAGCATGCTGCCCTTTGGACCTCCTGGATGAGGACCTGGAAACCAGGGATAGTGCACAAATGGGCATGCTTGGGGCTGGCTTCAGAGGCCGGAGTGGTGGCTGGTGTACGTGGTGGGGCAGTCAGGGCAGCCTCAGGGTATGGACCAGAGGTCTCAACACGAAAGTAAAGAGACACATGTAACCAACAGAAATGACGGGGAGCGGGCCGTACACTCAAAAATCTCAAGAATCCTGAGGCCTCAGCAGAGGGTGGGAAGAGCTTTTCAGCTGGAAAGCGTAAGCATCCCCCAGTCCTCAGAGCCACTGGGTAGCTACGTGAGAGGCATTTCTAGGATGGCCGACCTGGTGACAAAATCCTCATTAGCCCTTTTTTTTTAAAATTAACATTCTTCTCTTTGATTTCATTAGAGCAACAAAGAAAAGAAAAGCCAAGAGTATAGATTAATAGAATTTGAGATTTTTGTTGAAGATGCAAGAGGTGTATCTGCCGTACAGGCCTGGCTGCAGCTGGGTGCCTGTGTGAAAAGACCCTCATGCTAGATCTGCCCTGTTGTGTGTGCAGGGAGGCCCATCCTGGAGGCTGGCCCCATGGGAGGGCTCTTCTCAGGGCTCTAAGGAATTTGTTTTATTACTGTCTTTCATTTTAAACCTTAAAGATTTACACAAGAGTACAGTCTCACATACTAAACCTCATATATATAACCAGCTTCAACAACTTTGGACATTTTGCTAATCTTGTTCCATTTATCTTCTCTGTCCCCATTTTTTTTTTGTTGGAATATTTTAAAAGCAAAGCAACTCGTAAACATTTAGACTCTGGCCATAAACACTGCAGCAGTTTAAAAACAGAACTACAAAATATTATACCAACAAGATTAACAAAACTACTTTCAATCATTTAGTTCCCAGTCCATATTCAATTTCCCCCATTTCCCTCTAAAACGTCATTTTAAAGTGTATTTGTTGCTTCAGGATCAAGGCAAGATCCTCCCATTGCATTTGTTCAATAATTCTAGTACGTCGTTGAAATTCCCTAACGGTTTCACCCTAGAAGGGGTTTTAAGAACTTCAAAGCCTTAATGCCGGGCATATGAAAACGCCCTTCCTGTTCTTTCTATCCAAGCTCCAGGAAACCACATCCTATTCCCTTGCAGGAGGAGGGGAGTGAGGATGGTGTGACCACAGGGAGTCTGGTTCCCAAGGATGCCTGTGAGTGTTCTAAGCAGAGAACCAGCGGAGGGAAAGCAAAAAGGGAAACCGAGCTTTGCTCATAAATGTAGGAGGTTCTCAGCCACCTAACTTGGTGAACAACCCAAATATAGCCTAACCTACAGGAACAAGGAAATGTCAGTAAAATCAACAGTCCCTTGATAGCATGTTATTGACTTCAAGCTTGAAACTGGCGATAATATCTGCAATCCTAGGTCAGAGGAAGGCAAGCCCAGGCCTTGCACAGGGTATGGGATTTCAGGGAGCAGGGAAGTGAAGCCTGGAGGGAGGACCTCTGATCTCTGACATTAAAGCTCTTGAGAAGCAGACTGCCTGCCAATTTAGGTATCAGATAGAAGCATAAAAAGATGGAGTCAGTAAGCGCGCCTTTTATAATGAGACCTGAAATCATTGCCTAAAGCAACAAGTGGGACATCTGTGGTGGCAGCTGTCCCTGCACTCGGCACTGCCTCCTGAGTAGGGGCAAGGCAGACTTGGGATTGACTATTAATATTAAGTGAGCATAATGTTGCAACATATGCCATACTAATACATTATATAAATTAATGATGATTTTACAACATGTAATGTAACAAAAATTTAAATGTACACTGAATCCAACTTGGAAAGGACACAAAAGCACTGCTCAAATGTGATCTCATTATGAGGAAACCAGAAACAAACCTGCCTCCCAGATGCTGACTGATGATGCTTAAATATAGAGATAGAAGACACTCAGCAGTGGAAGGTACTTACAGAGGGACACTGGAACCATGGTCCCTAATATATGGCCACTCCCACGTGGCTTTAGAATTTAGATCTCTGCCCCCAATCTCCCAATCCCAGGTTAGGCAGTGGGACTGGTACCTGTAGTTTCTGGGTTGGGGTAGGGGCTCTTATCCTCATTTTCATTGGGCTGGAGGTCATCCATGTTGATCTAGACAGTCACAGGGGAGAAGGGGGAAGAATAGTTAGATACGTCCCCAAGTTAAGAGGCTTGCAGTAGCCTTGAAGTTGCATTTTAGTCAGTGACTTAGCTCAAAAATAGGTACTTGTCACTTTGCATATCTCCTTCAAGACATCAGCAGATGGCTGGGATCCAGCCAATCTGCCTTATCTTCCCCCTCCCAGCTCTCCTGTTCATCCCCACTGGCTTTCTTTCCACTGGGTGTCTTTCTTTCTCTCCTCTTCTCCACAGGGTTCTGGCCTGGGAAGGCTGTGGCCCTCCCTCCCCAGCACCGGCCTCACAGCTCCAGGAAGGAGACAGCTCCTCACCTTGGTGGCGGGTGGAGACTCTCCGTCAGCCGTGATGGATTTCAGCTCAATCTTCTCCTCCTTGGATTCCCCCACTGCCGGCTTCTCCACCAACTCTTGTTTCTTCTCTGGGCTGGCAGTCCTGGCCAGTCAGCAGCAGAAAAAAATAAATGGCTGTTTACTGGAGTGATAGGGAACAGTGTAGGAGGGAACCGCCCTGTGGCCTGTTGGGGCCAGAGGGGACAGATCCCCTGGGTCTGAGTCCATCTTCCTTTCTCCAGGACGCTTCTCGTGTGCAGCTCAGTCACAAGTGCTATGGGGCTGAGCTACACCTGCTCTGCCTGACACGCAATTGGCCTCTTGCAGCTCCAGAGATGCCTGGGTCGCCAAAGCAGAAAAGGATGGTGGATCTCATCTAGGATTGGCTCCTGGAGGAGCTCTGCTCAGTGCCCGGCAGCTGTGTGGCCTGGAACTGTCCCGTCTAGATAATGATAGGATACAACATAGGGCCCCGTCTTGCCTTCCTAACACTGGAGATGAATTATAAAGTAGTGAGGAGGACTCCCTCTGTAAGCTGGAGCTGCGTTTCCCAACTGAGTGGTTACCTTTCTCTCTCCCCACCCTACACTCCTGCCACCTATCACAGCTTCTCAAAAGATAATCCCAGCAGGTGGAGAATATGACACCATTGCAGAGATTATTATAATTCATGATGGTCCCTACCAGAGTGATGCTTAGGAATTAGGAGAGAGGCCCAACTTAGGAAGCCCCAAACCCAGAGTCCTCCTAGGAGGGAGAGCCAACAGAGGCTAGCAGTCAAGCCTCTCTCTGCCACCAGTGGGAAGACATTCCACAATGGGAGCCCTGGAGCCCCAGGCCTGGGCAAGCTTAGAGGGTTACCTGGCCAGCTTCTTTCTCTCCTTCTCCTCTTCCTCCTCCTTTTGGGCAGATGTGAGGCTCTCAGCATCAGCCAGGTTGTCCACAGCAATGGCCAAGAACACATTCAGTAGGATATCTGTTTGTGTCCATTCTTAAAGAAAATGACCCTTGGTTTGGGGTTTTGGTGGGCACAGGGGCACGGGGGATGTGGGGCGTGCAGGGTAGAGCTCCTCAGCAGAGAGAGCTTGAGGGGGAAGCAATTTGAGGGAGTCAGACCCCAACAGTGTTCCTCCCCTCCCCTTCCTCCCCATCACCCTCCTAGCTACCTGGAGCTATCAAGAGGGATGAGAACAGGCTAGCCTGCACACTGGAGCAGGCGGGAGGGAGGCAGCAAGCCCTGCCTTGCACTTTAATTGCTGGGTTTCATGATTGCTTTCCCTGCTGAGATGACTGGCTGTAATTGACATTATAAACAGCATTGTCTCTAGCAGGATGCAGAACGCTCTTAAGAGCGGTTTATTATAACTGGGCGCTGAGGGGGTGGCTTGGTATCTCTGCCAACTCTTAATGTGAGCCTGCACCCACGAAGACCCTTGGAGGGTCCATCTGGAGCCAGCCAAGGCTTGGGAGTTCCCAGTGGAGACAGTTCTTTGCCCTTTCTCCTCCCCACTCCACCAACAGAAACACTGTGGGTCAGAGAACTGCAGAATCAACGAAAGCATAGCTGGAAGGGGGCTTTAAGTCTGTGAAGTCTGACCCCCGGCCCCAGGCACCCAGACATTCATATCATTTCACACACAGGGAAGCCGCAGCAACCCAGGCTGGGGAAGAGGGGCTTTGTCCAGGGTGGCTTCTGAATGTGGCAGAGGCCTTGCATGCATGATCCCATGAAAACTCCCAACGACCCTTTATGTAGTAGGTTCTATGATTCCATTGCCACATTTTACAGACACTGAGGTAGAGGACCTTCAATCTGCAAGAGGTCATCCAGCTGGGAAAAGAGGAAACCTTGTCTGCAGGCTTCCATGACTGTGTTTTCTGCACTGCCTTAGCTGGGACTTGGCCCAGAGCTGTTCCTATGTTACCCCTGGCTCTGGACGTGACTCTCTCGGGGTTATGAGCTGGGGAAGAGAAGCAGCACCCGTGGCTTGTGCCCTGGAAACCTGCCCCAGCCGGGATCAGGAAGGAGCTTTTGGGGCTGTTTGAAGTCTGTGCAGCTCTGCCCGTGACTAAAGTCCTGGAGAGCAGCATCAGAGAGAGGGCTGCTGACCAAAAAGCAGGAGGAGAGCTGAAGGTCACTTGAAGGACAACGGCTCATCCTCCCTCCCGGAGCGTCCCGCCTCTGAGCAGACGCCGCGGCCCCAGGGCAGCCGGCCCGCTCCCGCGCGTCCCTATCGCAGGCGGTGTGAGTGGCCGCACACGCCGCAACGCCAGGGGGCGCCGCTCACCCAGATTACGGCGACAGCCCGCCCGGAGCGCGGCGCCGCTGCGGGCCCGGAGGGTTCAGGAAGGTGAACCTCACCCATGCCAAAGCTGCAGGTTTCCACCCAGACCCACCTCCGCCGCCATGGGGTTCTAGGCTGGGTGGTGTGAGCCCGAGCAGGACCGCCCGGACCTGAGGGGCGTGCCCGTTTGGCACTGTGCTGCAGGCTGGGGGCTGGGGGCCGCAGGGGTGGGGGGCAGCAGCAAAGGATACAGTTTCCACAGATGAAGAGGATGATGAAGTAAATACAGACTAACATCCCTGGAAAAGAGGGGCCGCCATAAGCCATGATCCCATCATACATCACCGAATTCCAGTCCTCCCCGGTCAGGATCTGAATGACACATTCCCACCAATAAGGGACACAGCGTTAGACCAACAGCAAACCCAAAACCACCCTGCCCTGCCCCACTACGTCAACAAAATTGTCCAAAATTTCCCTTTCACTTCTTTCCCTCCTCCTGGCCCCCAATTCTCCTCCCCAGGGGCTCTGAGCTATTGAACTGTCCTTAGACAAAATGCCTGGCTATTGGCATAATATTATTTGAAGGGTGACTAAAAGGGCTTTTTGGCCCAAAGATCTCTGACTTTCCCCACACATGCTTGAGCTGACCGTCAGCCATTCCTGGGGGTAAGGCGTCAGGACCCTTTTGCAGTTGTGTGTTTGCTGAGACAGCCACAGGCTACACCAGCTTTCCCCAAACATTCGTCACTGGGGCATCATCTTCAAGACTTTGACAACATCTACATGTGATTCATTTTTACCTCTCAATCGATCTGCTTTTAAACTTAAATAGATGCCACTTTGAGTTTGCCCTAAGCCAAAATATCTATGAAATCACAAATTTGATGGGCTAGTAATATTTTTTTCAAGAGACAAGCATGGTAGGAAAGCCAGGGTTTCGTCACCCTCCCCTCCCCCAGTAAGAGCAGTCTGCTTTTCTTTATGTTTTGGGCTTTCATGGAGAATTTAAGTAAAGGATTCCATGGATAAGAACGATTTTTTTTTTTTTTATTTGAGACGGAGTCTTGCTCCGTCACCTAGGCTAGAGTGTGCAGTGGTGCAATCTTGGCTCACTGCAACCTCTGCCTCCTGGGTTCAAGAGATTCTCCTGAGAAGGCATTTTTAAACCACTTATATTGTTTCCCCTAATGGTCCACCCACTAGTGGAATTCCATGGCAGATGGGGACAGGGAAACTACAGAAAAAACTCAAGACTCTCCCGGGCATGGGCTCTCCAGGGCTGATCTAGGATGGCTGTGGCTGCCCGGTAAAAGGGTGCAGCTTCCCACACTCCTCCCACCACCCCGCCACTCAACCACCCCGAGTCCGAATCCCAGCAGAGAAGAGTCCATACCTGAAACACAGTGAGGAGGGACTGGGGGAAGTTATCGAATGTGCTCCTCCGGGTCTGCATCTCATCAAAGTTGAACTTTCCTCCAAAGAGCTGCATCCCCAGGAGGGAGAAGATGATGATGAAGAGGAAGAGGAGAAGGAGCAGGGAGGCGATGGAGCGCACAGAGTTCAGCAAGGATGCCACCAGGTTGCTCAAGGAGTTCCAGTACCTGAGAGCCAACAGGAGGGAGGTCAGCACTCTGCCCCTTGCTGTCCTCCCCATCGTGCCTCATTCTCACAACTGCCCACTGCAGGTTCTCAGAGGAGCTGCCACTCTATGCTCTTTTTCCCTGCCCGTGGGGGATGCGTGTTGGTGGTGGTGTGAGTTGCCACCCTGGAGGGAGTTAATTCAAGGTCTCAAGATGATTAATCTGTTGGGGAAGAGAGGGGGACAGTGGTCAGAAGCCCGCGACCTAGCTCTGCCGGCTACCTGCTGCATGTGCCTCTGGGCAAGACATTTCACTTCCCTGCCTTCTGCATCCCCATCAAAAAAATGGAGATTGTTGTAGCCCTTGCTTCATTAGGCTATGGCAGGATTGCGTGACATGATCCACCTTTCCCCAAAGAGCCCCCTGTAGAGTGCCTGGCACATAGTTGATAAAGGTTGGTAATCATTGTTGTCACTGTTGGTCTCTAAACAGAAAGAAAGCTTTTTTTCCCCCACCATGAATGCCAGTCTGAGCTCAGCCTATAGGCAGCAGCCTTCTAGCAGAGGCAGGAATTAGGTCACCCACGGGTAAGAGAGAGTTCATGGCTTGGTGGTTTCCCAAGTTTACGCTGTCCTAAGAATTGTTTCTTTAAGGGCCTTTCCTCTTGAGATTGTGATTCATTAGCTGTAGTTTGGGGCCCAGATATCTTTGTTTCTAACAAGCATCCTACAGGATTCTGATCAGCAGGTGAGTCTGGGAAATCCTAGATTATAGCAAACCTGTCACACCCACTGGGGCAGCTCAAAGCACGAGTCCTCTGAGTGGGCAGGAGCTCGGTCCTGAGGGGACATGGGCTTTCAGTGGGATTCCTGGGGAGGAGGTCCCCACTCCTTACAGTCCTGGGGCCTCTCTCCACTATAAATACAGCGATCCTGGGAAAATCCCTTTCTCATGACAAAGTGGGAGGGGGAACCTACTAATGACTGCTGGATGCAGGGTGGGCACCTGTGTGAGGGTCAGCTCAGGACCAGGAAGTGCACCATGGCAAAAGGACATGGCCCTGAGGGAGCAAGAGCAAGAACAGAACAATCTCATTTCCCTCTGGCCCCCTCTGGCCCACCTGCCTCCTAGGTCACTCCCTTGAGAGATTCCCAGCTCATCACCAATCCAGACAGTGGATTGCTTTTGCTGCTTCAGTGAGTGACATGCAAGCCACTCCCATTGCAGCCACAGCCTGGGCTCATCTCTGCAGAGAATGGTTCCACACCAAGGGACAGAAGCAGAGGGGTCATAGTTTGGATGGCAACATGAACTCTTTACCAACCTGCAGCCTCGAGGGCACCTTTGGCCTCCACAAATCCAGCTTTTCCTTACTTCTATTTTGCCTGCCAGCCATACCCCCTCTGTTGCAGAATATTAATATACATCTATTTGTATCTGTTCTATACAGTCTTGTCTCACCAAAATAGGCTCTAAATTTTAGACGGCAGAAGATTGCAGGGTTTTGTCCCCCTCCAGCTTCCCAACTCTGTCCTTATATAAATTCTGTACAACCCAGTATGTGTGATGGACTGCCTGGAGCCCCTGCAGGCTAGAGGCTGTAGTGATCTGCTTAAAGGAAAAAGTAAGAGAACCTCTCTGGGGGTAGAACACCCTCCCCTCTTACAGCTAAAGCAGTTTTCCCAAGCCTGCCCGGTGATCAACATCAGTAGAGGTGGCTGGGCATGGTGGTGGCTCATGCCTATAACCCCCTTTGGGAGGATTGTCACTTTAGGAGGTCAAGGCAGGAGGACTGCTTGAGGCCAGGAGTTTGAGACCAGCTTGGGCAGCAGTGTGAGACCTCATCTTTAAAAAATTAAAAAATTAGCTGGGTGTGGTGGTGCATGCCTGTAGTCCCACCTACTGGGGAGACTGAGATGGAAGGATCACTTGAGCCCAGGAGTTTGAGGCTGCAGTGAGCTATGTTTGCACCATTGCCCTTCATCCTGGGTGACGGAGTGAGACCCTGTCCTAAAATATTAATTAATTAATTAATAATAGAACAACAACAATACCAGTAGGGGTGTGTTAGCATTTCCTAAATCCTGATTCCCAGGTCCCTCCCTTGCACCATGAAACCCTAATCTCTGACTCTGGGGCTGACTCTGGGGCTGGGGTAATCCTCAGGCGACCAGTCCAACACCTGCCAATACACTGGGAGTTGGGAACCAGCAACTTTAAGCATATTTATAACAAGAATTTCCAGCTGTATCCGAGGGAAGAGTGTCCGCATGTGCACTGAAGTCACAAATCCTCTAGAGATCCTCTGTGCGCTCAACTGTCATGGAAGATTCTGGAAAAGCCTTAATGGTCATGGAAGGTTGGAGCCTTCGTTTTCATGAAGTAAAGAGGCATGTGGGAAATAACTGCAACTGGGATTATACCTGAGACCCAGGTATGTCTGACAGCCATGGGGACCAACGGGAGCCTGACAAGCAGGTCATGGCTGCAGAGGGAGAGGGCCAGGTGCCGTCAGCAAGAAAGTCTGGGGGAGGCCCCAGATGAGGAGCAGAGAGGGATGGTGAGGTGGGGGGGCCCTCCTGACCTGGGAGCCCCTCAGAATGCTTGGGGCTCCAGGGAGGAGGAGGCTGTGGCCCAGGAACAGATCCAGTCTCTAAGAGGGGAGAACACTCCTGGGAAGGCAGAGATGGAGCATGGAAACTAGCAGGGATCTCCTAGAGCGAAGGCCAAAGGCAAGGACGTGGGCAGGGACACAGAGCTGTGTCTGGAGGAGCACCCTCTGCCCACTCTCCCTGCCGCCCCTGCCTCCCTCAACCCCTGGGGCGTCTGGGAAAGTCCAAGCTGCACAACACCGGGTTCGTGCTCTGATGGAGCTCCTGCTTCCCACCCATCACCTTCCCCGTCTCAAGGAAATGAGAACCATAGCTTTTGGCTCAAGGCAAAGTCCTCGGAGTCATCTTCCTGGCTCTCTCACACTCTGCATCAGCAAATCCTTCTGCGCCATCTTCAAAATGAGTCCTGACTTTGGCCACTTCCCACCGCCTCCTCATCCTCACTGCCTGGACCCCCGCTCCGGGCAGCTGATGTCCAAGCTGCAGCAGCAGCGGGTGTTGCTATGAGGTGAGGCCCACGAAGCCTCAGTCTTGCTTCAGTCACCTCCCCTTCTCCTCTGGGTCAAAGCCAGAGTCCTCCCAAAGGCCTAGCAGAGGCTGTAGATTCTGGGCCCAGAGCCTCAGGGACCAGCCAGCTGCACTCCCCTTCCTCGGGCCCCCTCACTTTCTCCAACTCCTACACATGCTCCTGCCTGACCAAGGCCATGCTGCTGTCCGTCCGCAGGTTCTTTGGCAGACGTCAGTGGAGCTCACCCCTTCAGCTCCTTCAGGCCTCACATCTCCCCTGGCCACCGCTCTATCCCTCATTACTCTCAAAGAATAATTACTTCTGGCCGGGCGCGGTGGCTCACGCCTGTAATCCCAGCACTTTGGGAGGCCGAGGCGGGCGGATCACGAGGTCAGGAGATCGAGACCATCCTGGCTAACACGGTGAAACCCCGTCTCTACTAAAAATACAAAAAATTAGCCGGGTGTGGTAGCGGGCGCCTGTAGTCCCAGCTACTCGGGAGGCTGAGGCAGGAGAATGGCGTGAACCCGGGAGGCGGAGCTTGCAGTGAGCCGAGATCGCGCCACTGCACTCCAGCCTGGGCGACAGAGCGAGACTCCGTCTCAAAAAAAAAAAAAAAAGAATAATTACTTCTTTGCTTATTGTCTGCTTGCCCTCGCCAGAATGTGAGGCCATGGGAGAAGGAACCCATCTGTTACATTTATATCCTTGGAGCTTAGAACAGTGCCTGGCCCAAAGCAGGTGATGAGCAAACATTTTGTTCAGTGAATGAATGAACCTTACTATTCATATGACACATTGGTACTTCCTGGAGGGAAAGGCAAGGGGCCATGGAGGTGCATGGGTGCTTCTGTGCATGTGTGTTTGTGTGCGTGTGCACTTAAGTTGAACACACTTTGCCAAACAGTGAGAAGTGGCTGCCTGCCCCTGCTCCCATAGCCTTCCTATTCCCATAGCTTCCCTACATCCATGGGGAGGGATTTTCTGAGATTCCTGACTGTTCCATTGCCAGACCATGCATCAAACTAATATGTATCAATATGTCCTACAGAAAACGGTTTCTGTGGCTTGAGCAAACCTTGGGAGTAGGATTTCCAGATCACTGTGAACATGTGTCACCTTTGGGGAAGAACTCACATTCTCAAATTCACTGGTCCCAGTTTTGAGGGCACAGGTCAGCCTCTGTTTAAAAGATGAATTGGCACCAGCCTACTGTCTACATGAAAAACACCTGAGGGGAAAGACACTGTCCTGGGGACCAGTAACACAGTTAAAACATGGCTCAGACAGACAGACAGACAGAGATATGGTTGTTTGTGCTGTTTGTCTTCAGCCTACTGTTGCTTCCCATTCAACAGAGAGAAAGATGGGGTTGGGCCCGAGGCAGGCCTGCCACCTGTCCTTTCCTTTCCTTTGCAGCAGGATAAAGGGGGCAGGCTGCTGCCCAGGGCCTGGCATCACGAGGGGTGCTCAGCTTGCTGAGCAGAAGGCTTCCATTCCTAACGTGCAAATTATCAGGGATGTTTTATATGCTCATCTAGAAGATGAGACAAAGGAATTGCTGAAATGATGATGTGGCAAAGAATGCTGATAGGGTTCAGAGGAGATGGGCTGAATTCTGGAGACTGGCAGGCCTTGGCTGGTAGCAGGTTGAGGGTGGGGGCTCACTATCACTGATATGGATGGGATTTGGAGGTGTCCAGGTGGCAGCCTTTGAGGTGGGTAGGGTGACGTGAAACCACTTAAATAAACAGCTGGCGGTCCTGCAGGTCCTCACACTCCCTCCTCTTAATGTGGTCTGATGGCTCGCACAGCTATGGCCTGAAGATTGGATGATGGCCTCCTATCCTAGAATCACCATCTTTTTTAGGAAGATTCACTGTTGGTAAACTAGAGGGGTTAATGGCACATTCACAATCAGCTGAAGCTTTTTTCCTCATTGGTCAAAAATATGAGATACACACGCTCACACACCAAAAAGGCAAGAGCTTTGGAGAGAAGCGAGCAGCAGCAGAGCAAAGCACTTCATGTCTTTTGGTCACAGGCCTCATGGAAAAGCATAAAAATGAAGCACTCTCTCATCAGAGCAGTGCACACACATGCCCACAAGCTCACATTCAGTACTGTGGGCTCTACAGCACCCGGGTGCCGGTGTCCAGCTCTAGATCACCCCCCAGACACTCTGCCTGCGTCGCCATCATTGGCATCAACTTTCCTTTCCCATTCTCCAGCTGCTGGAATCATTCTCTCCAAACTGTGCGTCCCTGCTCACCCCATCCCCCATCTGACCCACTCGGCTCCCTGTTTTATCCTTAAAAGTACAGCACATCTGAGGGCTTTTCATCACATCAAGTTCTCTGCCACCTAAATTCTCTCCTTCCCTCTACCTTCCTACTCCCAGCCTCCCTTTAAGCTCTCTCACTTGCCGACCACCATGTCACTTCTGTTACCTTTTCCCTCTGCCTCTCCTGATTTAAGTTACCACCATCTGTTCAGAAATCCTTTTATCTCCATTTGTTTCCCCGTCTCTAGGTCTGTCTCTGGGTTTGGGGCTCTGTGGAATTCTTCCTCCTCTTCTATAATATAAAGTGACCCGAGCCTTCCTTGAACTGGAACTTTCATCTCATGAACCTTTTGCTTCAAAGAGCTCAGGGCCAGGTCCTTTACCTTTATTCTAGGTATAGAGCAGAGCATTGAGCTTGCCATAAATAAGAGATCTTCAAAATAACAGTACCCACCACTTTCGGATGCTCTGCAAATGTTCCACCCTATTCTCTCTGTGTTCCAGAGAAGGTCATAACTGAGTTTGATACCTGCCCAAAATGTTCTCATCCTGAAGGCTAAAAAAAAATTCTTAGTTTCGGTGGCAAGTGATCTATTGTTAAAAGAGCAGTTATAAAGCAGTCCCCTGTGGTGAATCTGTGTGGCTGGGGCTTCATGGGAGGCAATGGAGTGAAGAGGAGTGAGAATTGGCTGAGGCCACCTGGGGAAGCAGGTAGAATCCATCCAGCAAGTGAGCACAGGAGGGGGTGTCCTCAGAGCAGAGCTTCCGTCAAATTGAGCCCCAGCCCCTTAAGACACAATAGAGCTGGGAGGGATTAGGATGCCCAGAGGCAGAACCGTATATGCTGGGCTGGGCCAGGAGGAGTCAAGCAGAATTCTAGAGTATTTTGGTCTGGGACAACCTGGGCCCCAAGGCCTCAACTACCGGTTCAGTTTCTACTGGTACCTGCCCCTGCTCCCGTCCATTCTAGCAGGCTGGGAAGACCATTTTGTGGTTTCACTTTTGAGGCAAGGGCTGACTTAGTTAACAAGTTCAAAGGTCTTGTCTTCTCTGTTTGCAGCAGATGTCTCGGTCACATTAAGAACGGAACCTGCATGGGGAGTGTAACCTGGTCAAGCGGGCAAGGTGGTCTGGCCTGGACCTGGGGATGGCCTTAGCAGCATGCTTCTCTGAGCTTCTGGGCCACGGGGCTACTCAGTGTCACCTAGTTGGCCCCTCCAACCACAGTTGTGTCAGGGCTAGGGAGTCATCCTCACCTGCATCTTTTTAATCTTTCTCCTAGTAGGTGACACCAGTCCATTCCCATACCAAAGGAGAACCACCCATTGTGTTGACAGCCACATTGCAGGCTCTGGAGTCTGAGCTACCTTTGCCACAGACCCCTGCCAGGGAACTGGGCATCTGCCAAACAGACTTCCTTAATAATGGCCCTCAATGAGCTCAGAGGCTCCAGGGGGCCTGAGAAGAGTGGGGGCTAGAAGGTGATGGAAGAGCTGGGAAGGTGTGGGGCTGGATCTGCTGCTCAAGGCCAGATGCTGGTAGGGACATGGAGACATTTCGAGCCTGGGAGATGTGCTAACGGCTCTCACCTGGAGCTCTGTGGGGCCCATATGTGGCCAAGATTTATGAGCCAATCTGTCTGTGCTGAATCAGCCCCAGCTCCCATTTCAAGGCCTGGGAAGGGAGCTGCAGGGGAGGAGCAGCAGGAGAAATAAAGAGGGATTGAAGGTGTGAGAGGGGAAACAGCAAGTGCTAGAGGGGCCTCACTGCACTTGAAAACCAAGTGTGTCAAAAATGAGATGCAATCAGTAAACTGGTATCACGTCCGGATTGAATCTGTCTGGAGCCCTTCTCCCACCCCACAGAATATGTCAGACTGGGCTGACAAAGAGTAGAAAAACTGGATATTGAATCTGGGCAGCACCAAGAGCCACAGGTGGAAGAACCCAATCCATCATGAGGCTGGAAGGCCCACCGTACTGGGGCATTTACTCAAAGATGACAAAGATTCCGGCCATGCGTGTGCCCCACTGTTTTCAATGAGCAGGAATCTTGTCTTCCTCAATCTTTTCTATAAAGTAATTTTCTTACAGTCTAGTACAGGCTTCCTGGCCTTTTTTTTGTCTTGAAACAATAGGATGAATGATATTCATACATGTAGCACATTCCCTAAGGTGTTCTCAACAAGAGGATGAATGATCTTCATACATGTAGCATACTCCCTAAGGTGTTCTCAGATTTTGACAAAACACAAAAAATGTCAGTATGTAAATAATTCATTTTCCTCATAATGATATATCAAAGACATCTGCTCCCTTCAGGCATCATGGATGAGTTGTAAGTCCACCCGGATCTCACCCATTCATAGAAGCATTTTGTAATGCAAGTGACAGAGTGATGCTATTATGTTACAAGGACAATATTAATTTGTTTTATTTTTTAAAGAAACTATTCACAAACTTTGGAATTTCAGCTCTCAGTAATAAATTATTTGCTATCACTATCCAGCTGCTCTGGATGTACCACTGTGTCATGACCTCAGGGTGAAGAACCATTGATTTAGATCCCTGTTCCCGACCCTTGGACCATGGGTCCTGGGTGAGGGAAGAGCAGCCTGGAATTCTAGAATTCTAGAAAGGGATCCATGAATCCATGTGTACACCAAGCATTATACTACTCTGAATAAACAGCCTTGTCTTGCATTCATATTACCACTTTTCAAACATACACAGATGTGTAGGAATTTAAATTTAAAAGCTTTGCTGAATTCATAGTAGTTCTTACCTTGATGTGTTTTCTCAGTCAAAAACTATCAAAAGTACCATCTTGACAGAATTAGAGACTACAGTATGGAGAAGACAGTGGAGATGTAAGAATCAAGTTTTTTGGCTGGGCAAGGTGGTCAGCCAAGTGAGAGGATCTCTTAAGTCCAGGAGTTCCAGACCTGCCTGGGCAATATAGTGAGACCCCATCTCTACAAAAAATAAAAATATTAGCCAGACATGGCACTTATAGTCCCAGTTACTTGGGAGGCTGAGACGAGGCTGGAGTATCACTTGAGCCCAGGAGTTTGAGGCTACAGTGAGCTATGATTATGCTACCACACTCCAGCCTAGGTGACAGAGTGAGATCCTGTCTTGAAAAAAGAAGAGGGAAGAGAAGAAGAAGAAGAAAAGGAAGAAGAAGGAGGAGGAGGAGGAGAAGAAGGAGGAGAAGGAAGAGGACAGGAGGAGGAGGAGGAGAGGAGGAAGAGGAAGAGGAGAAGGAGGAGGAGAGGAGGAGGAGGAAGAGGAGGAGGAGAAGGAGGAAGAAGAGGAGGAGAGGAGAAGAAGAAGAGAAGGAGGAGGAGGAGGAAGAGGAGGAGGAAGAGAAGGAGGAGGGGAGGAGGAGGAGAGGAGAAGGAGGAGAGGAGGAGGAGGAGGAGAGGAGAAGGAGGAACAGAAGAAGGAGGAGGAAGAGGAGAAGGAGCAGGAAGAGGAAGAGGAGGAGGAAGAGGAGGAGGAAGAGGAGAAGGAGGAAGAGAAGAAGGAGGAGGAAGAGGAGGAAGAGAGGAGGAGGAAGAGGAGAAGGAGGAGGAGAGGAGGAGGAGGAAGAGGAGAAGGAGGAGGAGAGGAGAAGGAGGAGGAGAGGAGAAGGAGGAGGAGAGGAGAAGGAGGAGGGGAGAAGGAGGAAGAGAAGAAGAAGGAGGAAGAGGAGAAGGAGCAGGAGAGGAGGAGGAGGAGGAAGAGGAGAAGGAGGAAGAGGAGGAGGAGGAAGAGGAGAAGGAGCAGGAAGAGGAAGAGGAGGAGGAACAGGAGGAGGAGGAAGAGAAGAAGGAGGAGGAAGAGGAGGAAGAGGAGAAGGAGGAGGAGAGGAGGAGGAGGAGGAAGAAGAGAAGGAGGAGGAAGAGGAGGAGGAGGAGGAGGAGGAATAATAATCAAGTTTTCCGATTGCATATGAAGGGCAGTATTTTAGGAGAAGAAAGCAGACCAAGAGCAGCAGTAGGAAATTAGGCCAGTGGTTCTTCAAGTGAGGTCGGTCATTGGACCACTAGCATGGAACTCTCCAGGAGTTGCTGGCCAAAATCTCTAGAGATGAGCTCCTTAATGAACTCCTTCATGGGTTCAGCTAAGTTTAAGAATTGCAATTACTGGTTCAGACTACATTGTAAAAAAAAAAAAAAAAAAAAAGAGAAGAAATTTCTTCTACATATGAGTAGCAGCAAGACATTGCAAAGTACTTTCCAAGATATTTTAAAAGAAGAAGGCATGCACTTGTCTGATGGCAGGACCATGCACAGATGACCCATTTCAAGGTTCAGCTGAAGGGACCACAATGTCCACTCCCAACCCATATTTTAGGCATTTTTCTTGGTCACTGTCACCCAGTCCCAAGGCTGGCGCTGGAGACGGACTTATGGGATCCCCCAACCTAATTAGTCTCTTTGTTGCTTTCCGAAAGCCCCCAGAGGCTTTGGAGACTTGAAAATAGGAAGATGACGGCCTTTGCCACAGTCACTTTCAATTAGACAATGATTTTTTCTGTTTATAGACTTCATAGAGATCTGAAAATACTACTACTCCTTCTTGTGGAGGGACTACAGGAAGCTCTCTGATTAAGATAGATTTTTAAAAATGGTTTCTTGGCAATATCTTCAGATTAGAAATAAATTGGTGATTAAAAATAGAATGAATGTTAAATCTTTTCAAGATGTCATAACAATATATAGCAGCAAGATTTCTTTTCTATAGAAATATATACATAAAAGCCCAAAACAGGGACTTTTGAGAATTATTTAAGAGGCATTGAAAACTGCAAGTTAAAAATAGTTTTACCAGACCCCAGGAGGAGCAAGTAGAATCGGCAATTATCTAACAAGAACCAGGGCATAAAGATCTTTTAAGTCCTGTCTCAGGGACCTAGACAAGAAGACAGGTCAGCTCTCAGCTCTGCAGTGCATGGCAGTGGTTAGGAGTATAGCACCTCAAGTCAGACCACAGACCTGCCTTGCCTTTTAATCCCAGTGTTACCTCTGAGCAGTTTTGTGACCTTGGGCAACTGACAACTCTCTAAGCCTCAGTCTCTCATCTGCAAAGTGGGAATAATAATAGTAGTAGCCTATCCTCATCCTCATGTAGGTACTTGGGAGGATCACTCAAGCTAACATTCGTAGGCCTCTGCTCACCCTATCTGGCACAGAGTAAGCACTGGTGCATGGTAATCATTGCTGATATAAGGATTTCTACCACTTTCACTGTAAACCAAGGACTTTCTGTAATGCCAACATATTCAGGACACTTAGGAAGAGCTCTCTTTCGATGGGGTCAGAGAGGGAAAGAAGGCTGTTGCTTAGGAGCATTAAACTTCTGGATTTTAATCGTGGGTGTCTGTTAAGTCCCTCATCTGAGATTCAACCTTCTCCAGGAGCTATCTCCTGCTCCCAATTTCTCACAGCAGGTAATTCCCACGCCCACCACACTTTGCCAGCTCATTATATTCTGTCATAGATTTTCCTTTAATCTCTTCATGTGCACAAACTCCATCTCCCCAACCAGACTATACATTTCTCCTGGATTTAGTTCACGCCATACGCCTTATTTTTCGATTTTTTCCATCTCTCTGAGCTCAATACACAGTATATACGTAGTGGGTAAATAAGTAAGAACAAGAGTATGTGAATATGTAGGTCACTATTAGCTCTCTTCTCTTTCTTCCTTCTAATAATAGCAGTCATAATATTAGATGAATAATAAAAGCTTCTGCATATTGAGTCCTTTCTGTGCACTAAATGAAACACTTTAAATGTCTACCTCCCCGGACCATCCACAACACCATGTGACCATGCTCTGGGTGGTTGCCAAGAGAATTGTGACGAGAAGAGCAACACCTAGGGACACTCAGAAACACGCTCTGAGCAAGATGCCATCAGCTCCAGATCCTGAACTGAAGACACCAACCTCCATCCCTTTTTACCCATCACAATCCAACGGATGGTTTTAGTGCTCCTGTTATCAAAGATTCCCCAAAGCAGAGATTTTGGGAGCCCCCAAAGCAGATTTTTAAGGACAGGGGACTTGTACCTTAGAGGGGCACAGGTTGAAAATTCCTTCCAGGTGTTTCCCATATGTCTTCTAAGGTTGATCATAACGCACATTAAGAAATATGTATTCTACTGCAAGTCAGGTCTGCATCTCAGCTTTTTATGAAACAATGTTTACGTTCATGTGAGACCCTCTGATGTTTTCCTATTCTATTTCATTCTTTCTTTAAAAACGATGCTTGTGAGAATGTGAAGAAATTGGAACCCTTATACATTGCTGGTGGAAATGTAAGATGCTTTAGTCTCTTTGGAAAACAGTTTGACAGTTCCTCAAAATCTTAAACATATTGTTACCAAATAATCTAGAAATTCCACTCCGAGGTACCTATCCAAGAAAAACAAAAGCCTACATCTATAGGAAGACTTGAACATGAATGTTCATAGCAGCATTATTCATAGGAGCCAAAAGATAGTAACAACCAAATGTCCATCACTGATACATGAATACACAAAATGTAGTATATCCCTACAATGGAATATTATTCACCATAAAAGGAAACAAAGTACTGATCTATGCTACAACATGGATGGCCCTTGAAAACATTATTCTAAGTCAAAGAGGCCATCACAAAAACACATATTATAAGATTTCACTCACATGAATGGTCCAAAATAGGCAACTCTATAGAGACATAAAGTGAATTTGGTTGCTGGGAGGGAAGATGGGGGAAATGTGGAATGGGTATGGAGTTTCTTTCTGGGGTGATGAAAATGTTCTACAACTAGAACATGGTGATGGTTGCATAACCATGAATATAAAAAAACAATTAAGTTACACATTGTAAGGGGTAAATATATGGGATATGAATTATATTTCAGTATGTTTTAAAATGATGGTTGTGATCCAATAAATGGATTCCACCACTCCCAGTGGTCATAAGTCAGGTGAAAATCATTGTCCTAGAGCATGGTGCCCCTCAGCCCTGTCCTTGTCTTGAGAGTCACTGCTTGGCCTAGACAGTGAGGGAGATGGCCTGCTTTGGGTAGGTGCCGGACTGACATATGGAGGGGTGGCCATGTGGACAGAGGGTGAACACCATCTGCAGTGCAGTGTCCACAGCCCTTTACAGTGGCTAGATCTTGAACGCATTTTCAGCAGAACTTGTCCTGCTAGAATACTGCATTTCTCAGCCTCCCTAACAGCTCAGGTGCTCAAGAACAGAAGCCCTTGCTGAGACTTCTGGAAGATTTCTTCCAATTTGTTTCACTGTGTTAAAATACACATAACATAAAATTTACCATCTTAACCTTTTTTTTTAAACTGTAGAATTCAGTGGTGCTAAATACATTCACGCTGTTGTGAAACCACCACCATCCTCCATCTCCAGAACCCATTAAACACTAACTCCCCACTGCCCCCTCCCTCCAGCCCTGGGCGCCCACCATTCTGCTTTCTGTCTCTGTGAATCTGACTACTCTAAGAGCCACATATAAATGGAATCATACAGTATTTGTCTTTCTGTGACTGGCTTATTTCACTTAGCATAATGTCCTTAAGTTTCATCTACTTTGTAGCATGTGTCAGGATTTCCTTCCTTTTTAAGACTGAATAATATTGAACTGTATGTGTAGACCACATTTTAAAAATACATTCATCTGTCTAAGGCACTTGGGTGTGCAAATATCTCTTTGAGATCCTACTTTCAATTATTTTGGGCATATACCCAGAAGTGGAATTGATGGATGAGAGGGTAATCCTATCATTAACGTTTTTAGGAACTGCCATACCATTTCCCACGGTGGCTGCACCATTTTACACTCCCACCCATAGTGCACAAGGGTTCCAATTTCTCCATGTCATTGCCAACCCTTATGATTTTCAGTTTTTTTTGACAGCAGCAGTCCTAATGGGTGTGTCTGGGAGTGACTTCTGGGAGTGGAGAAGCTGACTTGGCCGGGGTGGTCGGCCCTTTTGCTCCTTTCTCTTCTTCCCACCTCCAATTTGAATGTGATGGCTCAGTCTCCAGAAGTCATCTTATGACCCTGGAGAAGAATCAGCACCAAGGCTGGTGAAGCACAGGAGAAGAGATTGAGTCCCTGACCCTCTTCTTGAAGGCACCTCAGCTAGCTGCCTCTGGACTTTTTTTCCATGGCTGAATAAGTCCCTAGCTTGCTTACATTACTGAGTTGAGTCTCTGGTATTAGCAGCCAGAGGAATTTCCAAATGATGTGCCATCTAAATGAACACAAACTACCCCCATTGCATGTGAACTTCAGAGACACCCTTTGAGGAAGAACAGCCCCCCTCCCACCCAGGCCTTGCCACCTCCCTTGCCCTCTGGAAGAACTTCTTCCTGAGTCCCCTCTTCAAAGTGAGAGGGGGAGCCCAGTACCTCGTGATCTTGAAAATCCTCAGCAGCCGGACGCATCTGAGCACGGAGATGCCCAGTGGGGACATGATCTTGGTCTCCACCAGGATGGTCTCCAGGATGCCGCCACACACGACGAAGCAGTCAAAGCGGTTGAAGAGGGACACGAAGTAGGCCTGCAGGCCCAGGCTGTACATCTTCAGGAGCATCTCTGCCGTGAACAGGGCCAGCAGGGCCTTGTTTGCCGTGTCTGGCAGGCCCAGGAGAGGGATGAGATCCGAGCAGGGCCAGAGGAGGCAGAGAGGGAGGCAGGGAAAGGAAATACAGTAATTATCTCCATTGGAAAAAAGATCCCCCATGACACCTCTCCCATCCACCTCGGCCAGAACAGAAGTTGGGGCCAAGCCAATGGGAAAGGGCTCTCTCGTCACAATCATAACAGACATTTACTGAGCATCTCCCATGCACCATAGGCTCAGCACACACAATCTCTCCTCCTCATAGCAGGCCTGTGGGGATGGTACCACCATCGTCATGCCCATTTTCAGAGATGAGAAAGGAGGTTCAAAGAGGTGAGTAGCCTGTGCAGGCCAAACAGCCAACAGTTGGAGCCGCACTGTCTGAGTCTGACTTCTCCGCCACTAGACCCCCTGCCTCCCAGGACTCTGGAAAGCAGCTGTGGAGGATGGGGCCAGGTCTTCTTGACTGCCCAGCAATGATGCTGAGGCCTGGCTAGTGGGACCCTCGTCTAGGGGCCCAAGGAAGGATAATGAGAATGAACGACCCATTGAAGACGGTTCCTTGTGCTCAGGCCCTATTCTCTTCTCTGCCTTTTTGCTCATTCCATCCTCATGTGTTCTGGTTAAGGCCACCTCAGGGCTGTAGGAAGGCCCCCAGGTATTTAAAATCCATGCTGGGGAGTTGGCAGCCAGGAGTCTGAGATAGGCAAACAAGCTGCAGCCCCTTTCCTCATCACCTGGGTCCAACAGTGACTTTGGGGCAGGCTGATGGTGTGGGCCCAGTCAGGAGAGCCGTGTCTGTTTTTAACAAGGTAGCGCATTTTATTGTGGGGCTTTGGAACTGCCAGGCCCTTGGTGTCTCCAGCACAGCACCTGCCAAGAGCCCCGACCATTGGCTGCTTTCCCCTCCACCTTCTGCCTGTGGTTATGCCCTCCCCTGGGCCTTGGGGCTGAGTTACCAGGAGGAAACCAGAGCAGAGCTGGGGCCGCCGCTCACCTTGGACTTCTGTGAGCCAGTTGGGCTGGTTGTAGTGCTCAGAGGCAATGGTGAGCGTGTTGAGGAACACCAGGAAAATCACCAGCCAGTAGAAGACATTAGACTTGACTGCGGCGCGGCACTTCCTTCTGCAGAACCGATTCCACCGGCGCCAGTAGCGGCTGGAAAGGGGACAGGGAGAGAAGGGTGGGGTTGGCTGTGAATTCAGGTTTCCTCCAACCCAAGATGCAGCACCATGGCTCTTCTCGCCCCTCACTGATCTGGCCTTGCTAGAGCAGCCCAATCTGGTGGCAAGGAGCCCAGCTTCTCATCCAGCTAACCAGGCCCTGCCGCCTTGGGGATGCCCCTGAACTCCTCCAAGCTTCAGTTCTCCCGGGAAGAGGGCCGACCTCATGGGGTTATTGTGGGGATGGATCAAATACCTTATAATGCATCTGGCTGCTTTGAAGTTGAAGATGCTCAATAAATGGAAGTTTTTTTAATTTTTGTGAAACAGCATTCTTAGAAATAGTGTTGTAAGCAATAAGAGCATTATTAGTAACAGTGGAGGAGGGGCCCAGTACCACATCAGGCACTTCTCATGCCTTCTCTCCAATTCTTTCAGTAACTCTGCAAAGCACGCATTATCCTGATTTTTGTGGAGGAGAAAACTCAGGGCTGGGGAGGTTGAGTACTCGACCAATATCACAGCAGGCAGAGCCATCCGTAGTTTTCTGCCCAGCCTCTTGGCCCTGACTGTGTGTGCCACATCCATATGGTAGAAGGGGTTCATCTGGAGCACAGGCTCTTTGTTTTTCTGGGTTATAGAATCTTTCCAGAATCTGATGAATGTTTAGATCTGCCTTTCAGAAAAATGGGCACATGCCCACACACACACCTTTACTTGAGAGCCCACACAGCACACAGACCCCTCAAAGCTCATCCATGCTCCATGGACTCTTCCCCGTATCTTGGTTTAGGAGCCTTTGTCAGTGATTCTCAAACCTGGCTACACACAGAATTACCTAGGGAACCCTCCCCAAAACCCCACTGGTCCGCAAGCCCCAACACCAAACCAATTAAGTCTGATTCTCTAGGGGTTGGGTATTTTTTTTTTTTTTTTTTTTTCTGAGACGGAGTCTCGCTCTGTCGCCCAGGCCGGACTGCGGACTGCAGTGGCGCAATCTCGGCTCACTGCAAGCTCCGCTTCCCGGGTTCACGCCATTCTCCTGCCTCAGCCTCCCGAGTAGCTGGGACTACAGGCGCCCGCCACCGCGCCCGGCTAATTTTTTGTATTTTTAGTAGAGACGGGTTTCACCTTGTTAGCCAGGATGGTCTCGATCTCCTGACCTCATGATCCACCCGCCTCGGCCTCCCAAAGTGCTGGGATTACAGGCGTGAGCCACCGCGCCCGGCCGGGGTTGGGTATTTTTAAGGCTCCCCAGGTGGTTCTAATGTGTAATGATGGTTGAGAACCAGTGGCTAAGATGATCCTAAAGAAACACATTTTAAGATTCTATGGTGGAGGCGTTTTCATTTTCCTGATACAGAGAAAATATACAGCTCTGTTTGGTTGAATTCAGTAGACGACATGGTTAATAAATGGCTGCACTGTGCAAGGAGAGAAGAACCATAGCTGGAGAGGTGCTGAGGAGGAGACTGCAGGGGCCATGCTGAGGGCTTGGGGAGGGGGAAAGGACATGATCAGGTTGGATTGGAACACCCCACAAAAACAGCCCCTCTGTCACCTTCTAGACCAGGGAGAGTATGAGGAATTCTCTTCCTGTTCTCCAGGTTAGAGATGATGAAGGCAATAGCTATATTAATGGAAAAGATGACACAGAGCTGGCAGCAATTTTAGAGGCAGAATCAATAGTCCCTTGAGATGAGCGGATGTGCAGAATAAGAAAGACAGGTATGGAAGGGACTGCCAACATTTTTAGCTGGGGCGATTTGGGAGGGCAGCACAGAGGAGGGCCAGAGGAGCGGGAGTAGAGCTCCAGGCAGAGGGGTCAGTTATGAGAAAAATGGGGTGCTTAGCTCTGCACATGGCTTTGGGGCACCTGTAGGGCTTGTACGCAGACCCACGAGGCATTGAAGATACAGCTCCTGCCTGGGTAATGAAGGCAGGAGGAGAAACAAAGTAGAATCCTGGTGATAAAGTCCATGAATATCTGTATTTTTCCATAAAATGATCTCCTTTCTATGAATCTCTCTCGTCTAGACAGACATTCCTCTAAATAAGCATGCAGAATCTGCCTCTGGGCAGAGGTTTCAAACCTCACACTGCAGCCCATTAGTGGGTCATGAAATCTATTGAGTAGGTCATGCCTGGCACTGAATAAAGGAATAGAGTGGAAAATATCACAGTGCGTATCATATCGTAAGGAAACTGCTTTTTAAAGTAAGCAGTAAGCAAAAATATTTTTACATAAAACTTTGTTTCCGGTGTGTGTGTGTCTGTGTGTGGCATACTAAGTCTGGATGTGAAAACCGGCCCTCCACTTCAGCGCAAGGAAGCTGAAATGAGGTCCTCCATTCTAAATCACAGTCCATGGCATGAGTCCGTTTCTCCAATCTTCCTGCCAGAGATGACCATCAAGCCTCAGCGTCACCTCCTGGGTCAAGTTATGCTGGTGGTGGAACAGCAAGCCCCATCTGTGTGAACTCACTGGTCTGTGAATGGCCTATTCCTTCCTAGCCCCCGGGCATGTAGCAGCACCACATGTGGGTGTGCCCCAGGGGGCAGGGACAGCTCCGTGCTGTGTGCACTGCCCTCAGCCTTGGTCCTCTACTTCCAGGGCAGAAGCCCCTCCAAACATCAGCAAACTCCAAGATGCCAACCTGGGCTGTTACGGATCCCTGCACATACCCCCAAAATTGCCTCTTGGAGTAGCCTGACTTCATCCACCTTTCTACTCTGTCATTTTTCTATCTATGATCTGCAGAAAATCCTGTTACCAAGACTTTGCTAAATCTAAGATGAGGTTAGGAGAGTGAAGAGTAATCAAAGAAGGGTACTCTTTCTTCAGGACTGCAGGGAGAACTTAGTTTTTGGCTTGAGGAGCAGGGAGGGGAAAAAGGATTAATCCAGGCAGTGTTCTGCTCTAGCTTGAAGGCCATCTCCAGTGAGGGCCACACCTTAACATGCGACACTGGCCTACCACTTGGGGGAAAATCCACTACACAGGGAAGCAGGCCACCAGGTGGAAAACATGGTTTCCAATCTGTATACTGAAGAGATATCTGCACTCCTATGTTCTCCTATGTTCACTGCGGCACTATTTACAATAGCCAAGATACAGAATCAACCTAAGCGCCCATCAGCAAATGAATGAAGAAAATGTGGTACATGTACACAATGGAATATTGTTCAGCTATAAAAAAGAATGAAATTCTGTCATTTGCAACAACATGGATGGAACTGGAGGCCATTATATTAAGTGAAATAAGCCAGGCACAGAAAGACAAATTGTACATATTCTCACTCATATGTGGGAGCTAAAAATTAAAGCAATTGAACTCATGGATACAGAGAGTAGAATGATGGTTACCAGAAGCTGGAAAGGGTAGTGGAGATGGTAAATAGGTGAAAAAATATAGTTAAATAGAATAAATATGATGTAATATTTGATCATACAACATAGGAGAGAAGGATGGTGACTACAGTCATGATAATTTATTGCATATTTTAAAATAAACTAAAAGACTGGAATTGGAATGTTCGTAATACAAAGAAATGATAAGTGCTTGATGTGAGGAACACCCTGATAACCCTGGTTTGATTTTTGCACATTGTACACCTGGATCAAAACATCACATGCACCTCATAAATATATACACCCATTAGTGCCCATAAACATTAACAATTTAAAACGTTATGATTTCTAAATGCACTTTGGGATTCTTGCACCCCCAGACATACTGCCCTGGATCCGAGGGAGGATGGTGGAGGGTGGACAGAGGGACAAAGAAATGAGACAATGAGTCCCAGATGGTCCTCTTGAGAGGCGACCTCTGAAGTTTGCCAGATCTTGATACTAAACAGTCTTATCTTGCAGGGCATGCCTCTGCTTTTTTCCTGTGATTGTGATTATTAATACTGTACAGAAATTTGGCAAGTAGTTTATTCCCCTAAAAAATGAATTTTCAGGACAAACTCATATCTGATCTTAAAGAGCTGACAGTGAAGTTTGCAAAGAACATGTTTTAAATAGATACAGTCTCAAGTTCCAGAAATCACTGATAATTGTTATTCAGAGTCCAAGGCAATCAAGGTTGCTTTCTTTGCGGTATGTAGAGCTGTCTTGGAGTGGGTTTAATATGAGAGCTTGATTATGCCCCTTTTTCCTCATGCTTGGGAGTAGTGGATATGGGTGCTGTGTGGTCAGGCTGGTCCCATGGGTCTGGAGCTGCTCTGCACAGACCCCTGAGGAGTGGCCGGAGTGGACAGGACGGTGTCCCTTTCAACTGGGGTGCTCCTGAGCAGACCCATTTGGGAGAGTCACATGGATTTGGGCTGGGGTGGGGGTGGGGTAATTACTATCCAGAGAAAGTATTTAAAGATAATTATGCACCTCCCACTCTTCAAAATATAGCTTTGCTTGACAACTGGTTTCCTGGCAACACTTCCTACTGTATAATAAATGTAATGGTTTATTAGAATGTGTAAATTTATTTATGTTTACATATGCATGGAGGATACAGAAATTAAATGATAAAATAGGGAGGAGAAATTTGCCTGCTATTCATATTCCCTTCACACTAACTGGAAGTCATTTTCTCTAGAAATAGAACCTTCCATATGTAGACACAGGAGAGAGGGATGGATACGAATGGGTCTCATCTATGTCTCTAAACTTCGGGATCACTGCTTCTAAACTTCTGCTCTCGCAGCCCCAGCTCCACCTGCCCTTCTCCCTACACTGGGCCTTCCTCTTGCCTGTCCAGCTGCAAGGCAAGTCCTCCCAGCTACCGGAAACTCCACCGTTGCTTCATCCTGTCTGTCCTGCCCCTCCTGTGGGGCTCACACTGAGTCCCAGCTTCTCCACGATGCATGCTTCTAGTCTTCTCAGCCTTGGCACTCTTCAGCGCTTACTGTCTGCATTACTCATTTTAGTTACACATCCAAGAAATAGTTACTAAACACTGACCACGGGCTAGGCACCAGATACTCAGTAGCTAGCACAGCGCTCACAGGCCTCCTCTGCGTAAAAGCTACACGGAGACACAGACCACTAAGTGAGCAGTCACAGCAGGGCCTGAGTGCTGGGCGGGTCCACCAGGGAGCACACGAAAGGACACCTTAGGCGAGAAGGGTCCCCAGAGGAAATGAGTTCCCATTTCCTTGTACTGTCAGTTACGTTTCATTTGTATGGTTCCTGCCTCTCCGCGGAGCTCACAAGACCCACGAAGGAATCGGGTTGTGTCTTACACTTGGTTACAGACCCATGGGACTCAGCACAGTCCATCCTGCACGGGAACCCCTGGCTGATGGCACGGTTGAGCAGCAGAGACGAACTCTACGCAAATGTACTACCTCCCTCTGGAAGACAAGGCTTGAAGATTCCCGGAGCTCTTGTGAACCAGGGCTGAGGGTGGAGGTGAGGAGCGGACAGTGCTCCTAAAATAGTTTGCTTGACATGCAATGGTGCACAGGCATCTGGAATCGTCGACAACATCAAAATGATGGGCCCTGCAGGCTCCTTCTAGTGGCTAGAGTAAGTTTCCACTTTTTTTTTTTTTTTTTTTTTTTACCAGAACCAACAACAAACACCACAGAAAATCATTAAGTTTAATTCTCTTGTAAATAAGTAACTTTACAAAGGACTATTAGAGATTGGGGCAAATTTGGATTTGTGCCTTGTTGCTGATGGTATGGCAGAAGTGAAGAGAACATTGGAAGCACATTTCACTGAAGACTGGGCAAGCTAGTCCTCCCAATTTCAGAACCCCGTGAGGTTCACTTCAGAACTCCGTAAAGTTGAGATCCAGAAACTCCAACTTGTGTAATCAATCCCTTCAGGTTACAAAAGACTTCCTGAATCATTTGTTTCATAACTGTTTACATTTATTCTGAACAGTGAGCTCCAAATGTCACAAATCTCTTATTTTAACTAATTCCTCTAAGTGAAAACCTGGATTACCAAGGGAATCCTCCACTATGGCTGTAATCCACTAACCGGCCACATTTTCCCTAGAGACTCCATTCTTACAGTTCTTTAAAGAAACCGTGACTTTGGATCATTCTGTTTTGCAAAGGAAAAGGCCAGTTTGAGACTCAAATTCCATTATCTGTAATTGTTAAACTGTTTCACCTAACTTGAGAAAATGATCAGGAATACTTTGAAAACGTTGGTGGCATTTTCAATCTATTTGTAACCTTTGATATTCCCTAAGCAGACACCATCAGTGAACTGCTGAATCTAGATTAGACGGCTGCTGTGTGATACCTGCTCATGTGTGAAACCTCCAGGGCCACGTGGCCTTGCGTGGCAGCCGCTAGCAACATGCAGCTACCGTGCATGGGAAACATGGTCAGTCCAGACTGAGATGGGCAGTAAGGGAAAAACACACACTGAATTTCAAAGACTTGGCACAAAAGGATGAATGCAAAATATGTCATTAATAATTTTTATGTGAATTACATATTGAAATAGTAATGTTTTAGAGATACTGGTTTAAATCAAAGAAATTTCCTGTTTCTTTTTATTTTTTAACCTGCCTACTAGAACATTTTTAAAAGTACATATGTGGCTTGCACTATATTTCTGTTGAATAGCATGGCTCTAGAGTTACACACTCTGCGGACACACTAGCTATACAGGAACAGGGTTTACTATTCCCGGGCAGAACCTCATCACAAGGATGGCACAGTGATTGGCAGCAGAGCCCCTGGGTATGAGCTCTGACTCAGCCATACTAGAGCCCTGTGACCTGGGCCTCTCAAAGCCTCAGGATCCTCATCTGGAAATGAGTTTCAATGATAGTGCCAATCTACTAGCTGTAAGCCTTTAGGAGAACAAAATCTGCCGTCCGCATTACTGCGGTGTATTGAGGGGTGGCTGCAGAAGGAGAAGGCCTTCCCAGAGGCAGATGATCAGGGCTGAATGGCCAGCACATAGCAAAGCCTCAGGGCCGAGGGAGACTCCAGAGGTTTACAGGCACCACTGCTCTTTCCCTCTTGTTGAAAAGCACAGTTTGCACCATAGATCACTGGATGAAAATAATGTTCCCAGAGTGTTCCAGGCAATCTCTAACTCGAGACACAAGTATGTAATTTTCCCTTCCATCCTCCAGATCATATTCATTCATTCATTCATTCATTTATTAATTTATGATTTACTCACTTGCATGAACTGAGAATGATATTTTGGAAATATTTTCAAGTGTATTTTTAATCCCTTTACTCTTATTGTGTGGGGGCTTTGGAACTGTTAAAGCACAACATGCTTTTTCAGCTTTGACTGTCAAATTAGATATTTTGTTTGAATCTGTGTCAAGTCTATTGTCTTACTGGGGCAAGATCATTCATTTATTAATTACTCACTCACCCAGCAAATATTTATTAGGTTCTTGTTATGTACCAGCCACTTCTCCAGATGCTGGAGATTAAGCAGTAACAGCCAAGCATTACTGAGAGAGAGAAATTTTTTTTTTTTAATATTTCTGGAGCTCTTGCTCTGTAATAAGAGCTAGAGTGGATGGGCCTGACCCTAGATGTTTTATGTAGATGAGGTCTTGGTTTGAGAGAAACAAGGATTGGGAAAAAAGCCTGTATTTTCCAGTCCTAGTGAAACGGGAGAGAAAGAAGGTATCAGAAGTGGAGCAAAAGTCAGACACCAGGGTCCCCACTTAATTTTTAGCCCTTGGTCACCACAGCCCAAGAGGTTGGTGGGGAGTTGCTTTAGAAACACCCAGATGGCCACGGGGAAGCCCAGCAACACTGGGGCTGGTGGAGTGCCTCGGCAGACCCTGGGAGAAGGTCAGCCCTTGGCTTGAAGCTTATCCTGGCTGTTACAGAGGTTGTGATGGGACACCGGTAGGCCAATGAGCCTGTCATAGGGCTGCTGTCTCCTCTAGCTCCTTCACGGAGTGTGAGGGACCTGGAAGTGTCCATGTCCTCAGCTGAGGTATAGAGGTGCTAAAGTCAGTGGGCCAACAGAACTCAAGGGTCAGAGAGCAGAGGTGGAGATTTCAAGGCCGGAGGCAAGTAGAGGGCATGGACTCCAGCAGTGGATGCCCTAAGGGCATGGACTCCAGCAGTGGATGCCCTAACCAGATGGACCTCAGCAGGTACCAGTTCAGACAGCAGTTCAGCCTAGCCCCATGCAGCAGAGATGAGCAAGCATCCAGAGGGCTCGCGTGGCTTCTAGGACCAGCCCTCATCATTCCCTGCTTCCTGGGATCTCAAAGTCCCTCTCCGCCATGTGTCCAGCTCCGTCCAAGAGAGGAGCTGGGAGAGAGGCAATCTGAGAGACAAATCACTTTACCTTAAGGGACTGTTTAAAATACAGCACTGGGCTACATTTACTCAGCTGGATAAAAATTTCTCTATGCTCCTGCCATGTAGGAGATAGGGCTAGGGAAACAAGATTAGCTCAATTATGAAAAATAACCAATATTTTTTGGCACATACAAGCTTTGTGGGAGTGAATTCACATTCTCCCTGCACACATCTGTCCACTCATTCATTCAACACACATGTATGGACGTTCACCACTGGACAGGCACTGAGCTGGGTGCTCTGGAAATAACCCCTGGAGGCATGCAGGCAGAGCCTTTGGAAGCAGGGGACTGTGAGCCAGTAATCCGAGTGTCATGTGCTGAGTGCTGTGACAGAGGCATCAGCAAAGCACCAGGGAAGGGGGAGCTGAGTAACTCTCCCTGGAGTTTGCAGAAGGTATTTTCCAGGCCCAGTGAAATGGCAGAGAAAGCAGTAACACGGAAGCAGTCACATCTGAGGGTCTGAACAGAAGTGTGAGTTCTCCAGATGAAGGCATGGGGGCATAGTGATTTAAGTGAAGGATTGGCTCCATGCAGGGGCCTCAGTGTGCACCAGGACAGGGAACATTTGGATAACTGCAAGAAGTTCCTTGTAGGGGGAACAAAGGTTATTTTCATGGAAGTGCAGGAAGTGAGGCTGGGAGGCAGATGGGGGCTGAGGACCCTGGATCCTTTTGTAGGTTCTGTCATTGTCAAGAGCAGTGACACAGACGGGTGTCATAATCCTACGTGCTTTCCATCATCATCAAAGGTTACATCTCACCATGTTCTATAAACATGAAGTAGGTCATGACAGTCACAAGGGCTCACTTTATGTTTCTTTTAACTGGACTTCATCTTAGAAGGGAGGAAAACACATTTGGTCTGACAACTTCCTAGGGACTGTGCTGCCAAAAAGATGGACAGTCCAAGATCATTCAACAAATATCAACCGCTGGATTATTTGTCTGATCTGAGCCATAAGCTTTTTCTTGATGGCCATACAGAAAGTAGTTACCCCCTTAGAAGAACAGCCCTTACACTACTGGCAACTTGTAGGTATTACCTTGGGCCACCCAACAGGGTGGCTGAAGACAGAGCTGGTGGCAGAAGGAAGGAAGAGCAGCGTGAGTCTCACTCACCTGAACTTTGACTTGGAGATCCGGTGGCTGAAAAAGAAAAAGGAAATGTTACCAAAGGATGGACACACACGTGCATTTAAAAGACGGTCAACAGTCCCAGGGAAATTTGATGTTCCCCAGGTAATTTCGTGTGGGTGCTGGAAGGAGGCATGGTGTGAACTAGAACATCTTGGGAGAGAAAGAACCCTATTTATGTATTTGAATGTGGAGACTGAGGTCTGGCCTGGCTAGCATCTTCTAAGTATAGACAATCCTTGCTGCAGAGGGAGAGTAGCAGGTCCTCAGGGTCTGCCTAGAAACTTCTATGAGGTCAGGTTAGGAAGAGCTGTATCTTGAGACAAGCTGCAGAGAAAGAAAAGGCCTCTCCTGATGACAAGAGGACCCCAACAGCAGAAAAATCACAGGCAAGAACAGGTCGGCACAGACCTCACAGCTGTCTGCCAGAGCCCAGCTAGAGTAGGGTTATGAAGGGAAGACCAGCAAAAGGAGCCAGCCAGAAATGGAGGGGCCACAACAGCCCCCACCCAAGAGCTGCAGAGGAGGCCTAAGGCGCCAGCCCCAGACTCCGAGGAGAAACCCAGGATGCTGACGGTCACACGCAGCCCTGAAGACCTGGGGACCTCTGGGCAGAAGCTCAGGGTGGGTGTGAGGGTGGCTGCCTGGAAGGGTCATGGAACAGGGAGGAGGTTCCATGGAAAGGCAGAACCTTCAAGGAAGTCCTGAGGCTCCCTAGGTCATGTAGGGAAGAGTCCAGGGGAGGCAGGAGGCTGGAGAAGAGGGCAGGAGGGACAGACTGTAAAAGAGAAGTGTGGAGGAGAGAAGGCTGAGCCAAAGAGAGAGAGACAGGGAGAGTGAGAGAATGTAAGCAGTTGAGACCATTAGAAGGCACCTGTCAGCTTGGCTTTGGTGCTAGGAGAAGGGCATGAACGCTGGGGATAGTGCAGGTGGTGACAATGTTCAGATGGAGAAGCAGAAGGACAGAACGCAAGTTAGAGATGAAGAAAGGGATGGAGACAGTGGTGGAGCAACAAGGAGAGGCATGGGGAGGAAACAGGAGAAGGGAGTCTGGGAGGCAACCGCCGCAGGCCTGCGACGTCCCAGCGCGGCACACAGCTAGCTGTGTCGCAGAGCAAGAAAACGCCAGCCCCTCTCGTTATTTCTTATTAAAAAAATTAAGCCAGAAGATGTGACAGGTGGCAAAGCCATCGTGCATGAGATAATTACATCTCTGGGGCACTGCGAGTCTGAGCCAAGCGCCTTTACTGCTCCGAACGGTTAGCTAATAACCTCATCCCACCCGCAAAGACTGCCTGTGAGGGCTGGAGGGCTTAATCACAGGTTAACAGCGTGTGGGAGGGGGACTGGGAGCCCAGGGCAGCATTGTTATTTACAGCCACAGTTTAACCAGCAAACAAATGTTTCCCAGCTGCTAATTGGGTGCTGGGGAGCCTAGGTGCTCTCTTCTCCAGCGGGGCCATGCTGAGCCCCAGACCTTCAGTGTCTTCCCAGGCTGCTTTTGGGTGGTTGTCTCCCCTTGCTGTTAACCATAAGCTCAAGTGGGTGACCATGGACTTCAGCCTTGTCACTCTGACTCCAAGCCTAGCCTGGTCCCAGGCCTTCTTTCAGAAACACCTCAGTAGTCCTGTCTGGGGTGCCCCTTGATGACGACCACCGGCCCTTTGCCATGAGGCGTTGTCTTGCTCACAGTGCAAGCGGGTCACAAGTGCAAGTGGGCTCTGAAAAGCTCCCCTCTGGGGAAACCTAATCCTGAGTGTTCGTCTCCAAGGGAAATGACCCTGGGAAGCAGGATTGGCGCTGGGGGTGCTGGGAAAGGAGGTCCTGCTTCAAGCACAGTCGTGGACTACAGGTCCTTCTGTGGCATCCGGGCACATTCTGAGCACGAAATGGACAGAGCCTTCTTGTCTGCTTTGTTACAGGTCTGGATGGATAAGCCTGGGCACCACACTTGAAGACTGATTTTGTTGCTATTGTTGCTATCCTCCGGGATTGTGAGCAGAATTTTAGGTTCATGGGGATCAAAACCTCATCCGCTTTTAAAGGCTGGCACTTTTGACAAGCAACCGCCAAATGGCTAAGTTCCATGTCAGGCAGGCTCCACTCCTTGCGAAGGGGAGGACACTGCTCAGCGGCTTTTGTCTGGAGGCCAGGGAAAACTCCATGCCCATGGGGAGCTGAGGTGAGAACTCTGTGACGTCTGAACGCCTTGGTTCTTTCTGCTCCCTTTGCACACCTTGGCGTTAATGATAGGACCTCTTTGCCTCCTGGGAGGTGGCCCAGGGTTCTGGGCTGGAAAGGTGCTCCTGCAGTGAGAGGACGCAAGCCAGGAGCCCGGGTGCCTCGGTGCCATCAGGAGCCCAGATGCCTTGGTGCCATGGTGCTGGTCCACACCCTAGGCCGGTTCACTGTGGCCAATGCCTCCCTGCTACCGATCTTCACAATCTCCAAAGAACTCTGAGAACAGCTGGGGGCTCTGGCTTCTCTATGCACAGCACACTCGGAAGGCTTCCTGGTTGTCTCCACTGTTGTTGTTCCAATGAGGCACAATTCCTACCTCAGGTTGAGCGGATTCTTGAAGAAGAGCGAGGAGGGAGAGAAGGCTGGTAAGGAACATGAGACCATCAGAACAGATCCACTGGGTAGGAACTGAAGTTCATGCAACCCCAGATACTTTCTCCACCCAGGACTCCAAGACAAACCTTCTGGGAGACCATGATTTTCCTTCGTGCTTTTCAGGTTCAGAATTAGAGACAAACCCCAAACTCCTTTTTTCCCCTAGTTACTCAGTTTGCATTTGTCATTATTTGAGACATATTTGAACTTCTTGAGAGCCATTTGTATTTTCAGCCTCTCCCCTCTTCTTAGAGGAAAGAGTGCCATATGTTTACTACCTGCTGTGTAAAATAGTATTTCCCTGAATTGTCCCAAATTCGCCTTTAATATAAGTCAGATGGCACTGCAGTCATCATCCACATTGACAATGCGTCTGACTCAGCATCCTTAACTCCAGGACGTCCTCTCCCCCACAGCTCTTATTATTGGGAGGGCCACATCCTGCCCTTGCACGGCATAGAATTGCTTCCACTCCTGGGTGCTGAGCTCAGATGCTCCATGACTCTGGCCAGAGCCTCCCTTTCTATGATCCCTCCTGCTCTTTCAGAGGACCCAACATTTGTCCTCACTGGATCCTCCCCATCACTCTCACCCTTTAACACCAGGCTTGACTACAGTCATGGCAATGTTGCCCGCGATACCACACAGACTCCACACCGCCTGGGCCTTCTGCCATGCCTGCATGGCTAAGCCCCACCCTGGGACACGCCGCTGTCTCTTTTTAGTGCTCTCAGGCTTCAGAGTCTGCCAAAAATACGGCTGACTGCACATTTATGATATCAGTCTCCACCGTGGCATCAGTGCTGCCCAGCAACCTTTGAGCATCCTCTCGACGACTCACTGGTTTCAGTCTCTATACTGCCCTTCAAGTTCCTGTGACCCCTGACCCTTGCTTTGGGAGATGAGATGGCTGAGCTCATTCGGAGTGACTCCTGTCACTGACCCCTTCATCAGAGCCTGTTTCTGATTCTGTATTCTTTACAGAACTGTAGGCTTTACAGAACTGGAAGGGACCCTTAGATACCACATGGACCTACGGTTTGCAGTTTCTCCAGGTGTAGAATGCTTTCTTCACATGAAATCTTGCACCGCTGCAGGTGGTTTCCGCCCCCCACCCCAGCCTCTGCAGAGATGTCAGTCTGACCCTTCTTTTTCCCAGAGGACGAGGCTGAGGCCCAGAGCGGAGTGCTTTGGCCAAGATCCCAGGGCTAGCTGGAGGTTGGTGGGCACTAGACTCTGGGACTCCTCTTCTTTCATTTTCCAATTAGTTTCAGGTGCACAGAAATTCCTCCTTCCTGAGCAAGTTCAGGGCCTCAAACTGTCTTTGCTGTCGCCCTTCTCCTCTTCAGAAGCAATGCCTTCCTATAAGCACTTGCTTCCCCTACAGCTTGTTTCACCTCTTCCTGCTCCGTGACTTCTTCCTTGTCTTGAAGTTTGCCCTTGCCTTTATTACAATGAAGGCCAGCGCTTCCCACACTCATGCTACTCCTCTTCACATGCTCCCATCTTCCTCCCTGTCCATGGCCTCACTGCCTGAGTGAGCACTCTGTCGTGGCCCATTTCCACCCCATCTCCCTCACTGAGACCGACTCCCAAGACCAGTGCCCTGCAACCCTGAGGGGTAGCACCCCAGAACACACACACAACACAGCCCTTCTTTCCCTCTGCAGCCTGAGCTGCTGCCACATTACCTCTCACCTGTGTCAGGCTCTTGCAGCTTCTCATTCCTCCCTGCTCTTTTCCTGACGTCGCAGTGATCCTTCAGGAGCTCAGAACTAACCAAATCAACCTCCCACTCAGCTCTGTTCTGAATGCCCTTCAGTGACTTCTCACACTCTTCTGATGCAGACCCAAACGGTTAAGGGTCTGCCAGTCCCTCAATAACTCATGTTCATCCTTCTGTTCTCAGCTGGAATTTTAATTCTGCAAAGAAGCCTTTCCTAACCTGCCAGTCCAAATTAGAAACCTTTGTTATTAGCCCGACTTTACACTTACTTTTCCTTCATAACACTTACCCCAATCCTATAGTTGCCTATTTATTTGCATAGTGTCTCTCCCACACTAGACTGTGAGCTCCAGCACGATGGTGTCAATTTCCTCCCTGTTGTGTGTCACCACCACCTAGCCTTAGCACCAAGCTGGGCAGACTGTTGAACGAATGCATGGATAAACAGCTCTGTCCTGAAATTCCTCCTCCCGCGGCTTCCAGGCTGGCGCTGCTGCCTGTTCTCTTAACATTCCTTTGTCTATTTTGCTTGCTTGGTCTTATTCTTCTGTGTGTCCATTTCCCAAGATTCAGCCCTTGGTCTTGTTTTCCACTTCACTCTGAACAACCCGTCCTATCACCTCATTGGTAGTTTTCATCCCAACAACCTCAAACATGTGTGTCCACCCTTGTTCAGGGCTGAGTTTCGGGCCTCCGTATCTCGTGGTCTCCATGACACCCGCAGGTCACTCCAACTGGGCTCCTGCTTCAGATTTCACTTCTGCCTCATTATCCTCTTCCCTGACTGTGACGGCTCCTTCCTCTTCATTACCTGCACCCGCCTGCCCCTGCTGCCATGAAGTAACATGCCGTAGTTCCTTCCTCCCTTCCCCCAACAGGAACCGTCTTCATCCAGGCCTCCTTACTACACAGCAGTCCTCATCGTGACCTAATCTCATTACATGAGACTTTTAACCCTTAGCTTTAAAGATCCCGGTCACTCACTTCCCCTCAGACCATCACACGCAATCTCAGTTCCCATGCTGCTTCTCCCGCCAGGAATGCTGGCAGTCTTGGCTCATCATTGTCTGGGGCGGGGTGGGAGGTAGGGAGATGGGGAAAGACCACATTTTATTCGGGGCATATTATAATTCTGGCACTGTGACTCAGCGTTCTGTATGCACAGAGTACGAATGTGGCTAAACATGGGGATAACGGGGACCATTTCTGCAGAGCTCTCCAGGCTGCAGAGCATGTGCTCTGAGCAAACGACAGATCCACTGGAGACTGCCAGGCTCCATCCGTGGGGGAATATCATGTTTCCTTCCTAACAGAGCCTCATGCTCTCCTGAAATGTACTATCAAGTGACTTCCTGGTGCCAGCTCCCTAGTCCCTCCTGGTATGCGACTTGGGCCTGCCCAACAGCCAGAGTTGCAGGGCCTTTGATCATCTCTCTAAGCCTCGTCTTGGTGGCAAGACAACAGAAAGGCCTAGAACTGACAGACTTTGAAGCCTTCCTATAGGCCTTTCCCTAGAGTTGCTGTTTGGGACCTACTTCCAGAAACTCAAGTGCTTGTTTTGTATGATTCCAAAAGAAGAGGTTTGCACTGCTGCTTAAAAATGTAATTAGCATCGTATTTTAACAACATTTTGACAATAATTGCTTCCCGACAATGCTGAGAAATCTGCAGTGCAGACTCCCTGGTGCCAGTGTCAGAGTGAGTGATACTGAAGCTCCACGCTCCCTGGAAACAGCGGCTGTGAGAGCTGCTCTGCCGTCAGCCTCATTCTCCCTCCCCAACATGGGCTCCCAGGCCACGCTCAAGGCCGGCATTGCTGTGTTTAGACTCTTCCACAGCTCAGCGTTGTGAAAGGGCTGCGCTTGCCCAGGCTCTCCATCATTCCACAGACGAGGAGGGAAGGGAGATGCCGCCCTGCCCCGCCCCCCAGGTGGAGCAATTCAGAAATGCATTGTACCTGGGACTGGTCTGACTCAGAGCCTCTGTTTGCAGTTCTTCCAGAGGCCAGGGTGAGTTTACAGTCGTGACACCCCAAGGCAACAGAACAGCAGGCTCCACTGCACTTCTGCTTCCCTTACTGGCAGGATGAGAGAGCTTCAGGTAAGGACCCACATGCCAGTCATCTCCCAGAACATCTTCTCACCTGGCTGCTTCTCTCCCAGGTCACATTTATCAGAATGGAAAGGGTGGCCAGCAGGACTCAGGGCCCTAACCTCGCTGTCTCTTTGAAGAGGGGCGAAAGGGACTGGAGTGAAAGAAACAGACTTTGGGGCCGCCCCCTACACACACACCCTCTATATTTCTCAGATGTGATGAAAAGAGGCTCAAAACCTAAGAGTCAGCACCCCCGAAGAAGTGATGAATTGAAGACTAGCCTTGATTTTAAGACTCACCCCCGGCCAGGGCCACCCTCACCCCAGGGCCCTCTGCTCCCCATCTTGGTTCCCACCTGAGGTTTGTTTCTTGCCACCGGCTCTAATCTCTGCCCTTCCTAGTGATGAGCCAGCCCACTGTGATTTCCAGATGCAGCTTTTCCACCCATGCTCCAGAAAAAGCCCCAGCCCCTGGGCTCGCCGTGCCTACTCACGCCAGCCTGGCCCCGCAGTTTTCTCCCTCGATGTCACCTCCAGCCACGTTTTCGGTGTTGACGGACTCGGTCTCACTGGTGGGCATGCTCACTGCAAGAGTCAAAGGGAAGCAGAGCCAGGCATTGAGGGTGGGGAGACAAGGGAACAGAAGAGCAGTAGTTTGCAACACGCCCACCGCAAGACCCAGTGCGGGTTGGCAGAAAGAGAGGCTGAGCACGCTGGCTGGCTGATCTGCACAGATCCCCTTGATGGACACATCTGCTGGTTGTCCAGGCAGGTTTTGCCGCCAAGAACACTGTAAACTAATGGAAGTATGGGAGGACATCTGGTAATAAGAGCATTTTACCTCATAGGACACATCCTGAAAAAACTGACCATTGAATCTCTCCTCTCCACTCTGTGGACTGGAAGAAGCTGTAGAGGCTTTCCATTTGCAACTACCACTTGCCACAGAAAGAGGAGCTTTCATGAAAATATATCATTTTCCTTACTTCATCCCACCCACCATCTCTAAGGGGCTCCATCTCCAAGAACAGGGACCAGCCTGTTTGTAGAAAGGGCGTGCTTGCTACCTTGATGAGCTGCTGGGTGGACAGAGGCCTTCCCTTTCCGGCAGTTGGTTACACCCAGGAGCACAACTGAGACAGAGGGCTTGAGGGGAATGGCCATCCCCAGAGCCATGCACTAAGATTCAAGCTAGCCCTGCAGACATAAGGAGTGAGGAGTGGAAGTGTGCAGTCCACACAATTATGTTTAATTGTGGTCAGAAGACAGCCTGTAGGGATACGATTTCCCCTTTCAGCCACCCTGACATTCCCATGTCAACAGGCTGACTTGGATATAAGCCGTTTAATTCAACTTGTCCAGCCTCCTCCCAAGGCAGCTGTGGGCTGAATTTCCAGAACAATGGGAGTTTTCTGGCTTAGAACCCAGTTTGGTGGCTTGAAAGAAGCCATTTCTTTTATTATTATTATTTTTTCTTCTAAATAAAAGTTTAACTCAAAGAATTTTTCTCCACCTTCCAACACTCTCTTACTATGATACAATGCGTTCCTTAGTTTTGTAACCCTTATTCTTTAGAGTGGCCATCATATCCTTGGTCCTGGTTCTGCTGTTCCTCCAGAATAGAACTCCTCATATGCTGAGAAAGTCATCAGCCCTCAGCAGACACAGAATCTGCTGTTAGTTGAGGGAGTGGCCTCTGGTGACAAGTCCCTGCGAGGCTGCCAGAGCCCAAGAAACACTTTTACTGGTTGCATGGATAATGTTGATAGATGTGGATTTTTCCTGGTTTCCTTTCCTTCAGATGAAGACAAGCCAGGTTGGTGAGAAGAGAATCATTTCAAGAACATGGAAGATACAAACAGAAAGTCCACGACTTACCGTATGTTTGACTGTTGTGTATGAGAGACCTCTCTGACCTTTTTAATAAAATTGAATTAAAAAAAATCCAGATGTCATTTTATAGAACTCTAGGGCTGGGTGAGGCTTTAGAAATTATCTGGCTCTAACTCGTCCTCCTCACTCCGCAGGAGAGGAAAGTGAGGCCAGAGAAGGGATGTGATGCCCATGGTCATATGGTGTGTTCAAGTAGGGCTGGGTCCAGGGCACAAGTGTCACACCTCCTGTAGCATGTTCATCTTGAGCGCCCCAGTCTCGACCACCTCTGTACTCTACACCCTAGGCAGACAAGCTTCTTAAAGCCTACTAGGCTCTGGGAGCACCACAGGAGGGCAGTGAGTAGCCAAACAGGGGCACTGAATTCCACAGCATTACACTCACTTTATAGTCTGAAGTCTGGAGGGGCTGGTGAGACCAGCCCTTAGGGATGGTTTTAGCTCAGACCTTCAGAGCTTGCCAGGGGCTTTGCTCAAACCACACTAAGGAAGCCATAAAATGGAAGCACTCTCAGTCTTCCAACCCATCTATCTCCAGCCATCTCAGCCCAAAGGTTTTTTTTATTTTTTATTTTTAGTTTTTAGCTCTCTACCCTCCAGACATCCTTGTTTGAAGGGCTAGGCCACGTAGAAAAAGTTCTGTGACTTTGTGACACTTCGTTCCCAGAGCCTTATGTGTGAGTACAGTGCTGTGGAGGTGGTGGTGCTAGGCCTGGAAAGACAGACAAAATCGGAGGGGCAGGCCTGGGCACTGGAAATAACGACAGCACCTTCTAAATCAAGGCACTGCCTGTGCTGGTTCCAACCGTGCATTCACAGTGTGCTTACTCTAGGCCAGCACTGCCCAGAGGAAGAGCTCCTGGAGGAATAGCTCTGCCTGTTTGTCACACCCACTGACTTTACACATATGAAGCAATGATAAGGCAGTGGCTTTGAGGGGGACAGGTTGCCATCCCTTCACAAACACACACACACACACAACATATATACATACACATATATGCACACACACAGAACTACTGCGGCACAAGCCATCAAGAGAGACACCTTCCCATTCAGTCTGGTATGCACCCACACGCATTTACACACACAGAGCACAGGGGAACATTACCATGGGTTTCTGTGGAGTGACTAAACCAAGCAAACTTCCCTTTCTTCTGATCAAGCATGCCCGCCGGAGTGCCTCCTTTCACAGACAAGATGGTCAGTGTCAAGAACCAGGAACAAGACATCAATAGAGCACACGCAGTCAGCCACGGGCAAGAGAAAGAAACAAGGAACTCAGCTTTCACATAGAACATCCATTTTTATCACAGAAAATAAACAAAAAAAATTCAATAAATCAAAACATACAGGAAAACATAACACAATAGAACCAAACTCCCAACTCACATGAATTAACATCACAAAACAAATGATGGACCCTGGAGAGAAGGAATTACTCCAGGAGAGAGAGGCTATCTGGCATATCTAATGAGTGACTTTGAGAAGGCTTCCAAGGAGGGGGCTGCCACTCATCCCTGTTGTTTCCATAGGGAGCTGTCGCCCTTTGCAGGCTCAAGCGGGGTCACTGCTAAAGTCTAACTGTAGCCCTGGTATCCCCTTCATCCCTACCCAATAGCCAGGTGACTTGTCTCCTCCCTCACATGGGACCACAATGCAAAACTTTCACCTGTAGTGGATTCAAGGGCTTCCTTGCTATTTGCACCTGGATGGAGTCACCTGCAGGTAGAAAAACAACCCACTGGTCGACCTACTTGCTCCTTGTTCAGTTCAATAATTCAATTCTATTCAGCAAAGACCCATCAAAGGCCTAGGGCTCACATCCAAAACATATATGTGTCTGCTTTTAATCAGTTTAAATGGGCCAATAAGTTGTTAAATTGCCTGTCAATGGGTGGTCATTTGAGGAAGTTTGTAAATAAGGAAGAAGAATTCTGTGAGCTCTGCTGGGTCTCGGCTACAGCTGAAGAGGAGAGTGCTCCAGAAGAGTGTGAAGACACTACCCACTGCATGGGAGGGCGTGAAGACACCAGCCACTGCACGGGAGAGCACGAAGACACCTGCCACTGCATGGAAGAATGTGAAGACCCCAGCTACTGCACGGAAGAGTGTGAAGACACCAGCCACTGCACAGAAAAGTGTGAAGACATCAGCTACTGCAGGGAATAGTGTGAAGACACCAGCAACTGCACAGAATAGTGTGAAGACATCAGCTACTGCAGGGAATAGTGTGAAGACACCAGCAACTGCACAGGAGAGTGTGAAGACACCAGCTACTGCACGGAATAGTGTGAAGACACCAGCTACTGCAGGGAATAGTGTGAAGACACCAGCTACTACACAGAATAGTGTGAAGACACCAGCTACTGCACAGAATAGTATGAAGACACCAGCAACTGCACAGAATAGTGTGAAGACACCAGCAACTGCACAGGAGTGTGTGAAGACACCAGCCACTGCATGGAAGAGTGTGAAGACACCAGCCACTGCACGGAAGAGTGTGAAGACACAAGCCACTGCATGGGAGAGCAGGAAGACACCAGCCACTGCACAGAAGAGTGTGAAGATACCAGCTACTGCACGGAAGAGTGTGAAGACACCAGCCACTGCACGGGAGAATGTGAAGATTCCAGCTACTACATGGAAGCATGTGAAGACACCAGCCACTGCACTGGAGAGCATGAAGACACTAATCATTGCATGGGGAACGGGAAGTTATGTATGGACTTGGAGTTCTGGATGTCAAGTGCTTTAGCTAACTGTTCAGATAGAGTTTTCCCATTTCATCTGAAAGAACTGGCATGAGCTGTGCCTCTGCGAGGTCACTATGCAGGGTGCTGGGAATGAGAGGCAAGTAAGGCACAATCACAAGTTAGGTTGGTGCAAAAGGAATTGTGTTTTTTGCATTGTTGGAATTTGCCATTTGGTATTGAAATACATTCTTAAATAAATTTGGTTATGTTATACATCATTTTAATGGGCATTTCTCACTTTATTTTTTTGTTAATGATGTATTACTTGCTATTTATTTTATGTTTATTTTAGACTATGGAAAGGATGTTAAAGAGCAAATTCGAGCGATTTGGGTCATAAAGCAGTGGAGACAACTTGCAACATCAACAGCTCATTTGGCCCAGGAATTGCTAACGAACGTACGGCACAGTGGTGGTTCAAAAGGTTTTGCAAAGAAGATGAGGAGCATAATGAAGAAGATGAGGAGCATAATGGCAGGCCATGGGAAGTTGACGATGACCAATTGAGAGCCACCATCAAAGCCGATCCTCTTACAACTACAAGAGAATTTGCCGAATAACTCAATGTCAACCATTCTATGGTTGTTAGGCATTTGAAGCTTATTGGAAAGGTGAAAAAGCTTGATAAGTGGGTGCCTCATGAGCTGAGCAAAAAAAAAAAAAAAAATCATTGTTTTGAAGTGTCACCTTCTCTTATTGTACTCAACAACAATGAACTATTTCTCAATCAAATTGTGATGTGTGAGGAAAAGTGGATTTTGTGTAACAACCAGCAACGACCAGCTCAGGGGTTGGATGGAGAAGAAGCTCCAAAGCACTTCCCAAAGCCAAACTTACACCAAAAAAGGTCATGATCACTGTTTAGTGGTCTGTTAGTATGATTCACTACAGCTTTCTGAATCCCAGCGAAACCATTACATCTAAGAAGTATGCTCAGCAAATCAATGAGATGCACCAAAAACTGCAATGCCTGCAGCTGGCATTGGCCAACAGAAAGGGCTCAATTCTTTTCCACAACAATGCAGGACTGCATGTCGCACAACCAATGCTTCAAAAGTTGAACGAATTGGGCTACAAAGTTTTGCCTCATCTGCCCATATTCACCCGACCTCTCGCCAACCAACTACCACTTCTTCAAGCATCTCGACTTTTTGCAGGGAAAATGCTTTCACAACCAGCAGGATGCAGAAAATGCTTTCCGAGAGTTTGCTGAATCTGGAAGCACGGAGTTTTACATAATAGGAATAAAAATCTTATTTCTTGTTGGCAAAAATGTGTTGATTGTAATGGTTCCTCTTTTGATTAATAAAGATGTGTTTGAGCCTAGTTATAATGATTTAAAATTCACAGTCTGAAACCACAATTTCTTTTGCACCAACCTAATATTAATGAGTGGCAGCAAATGCAGGTGGGAAGTTGGTCACCACTCACAGAAGGAAACATGTGCCCTGCTGAACTTGTGGGCTGCACCATCACTTCCAGGAAAGGCATGAGGGGAGGGGCAACCCAAATCTTAGGTTTTTCTATATTTCATCCTCTTATCCTAGAACACAGATTATAGTCAATGGACTTCCTTGGATGTTGCCTGGTAAGGAGAATTTTGGAGACTGGCTAGTGATAGAAAAGGGCCATGCCTATTTTTAACCTGAAGATCTGTGTCTCACACACTCATCTTTAAGGTACAAAGTGTGGAACAGAAACTTCATAACCGGCAGGTTTTTTTTTTTTTTTCACTTCTCAGAAATCCTACATGCAAAAAGCACTGAGAGTTAGGAGCTGAAATGAGCCACTTGGTTCAAGTTTCCCTTCTAGGGAAAGGTGTCTCAAACAGTCACTAACATGGGACTCTCATAATGAATGGTCTTTCTTTCTGGAGATATAGGGGGTGGACGTAGGCTGCCAGTCACCAAGTTTCTATCTGTGTGGTGGCTGTCTGAGGGGATGAGAGCCCTGCTTAGTGGTGGAGAGTCCAGAACATTGACGCCTTCCATGCAGAAGCATTATTCAGCTTTTGGCTCTGACATCCTAAGTGTCCTATGTTGTCCAATTTCAGAAGTAACTGTATGATCATTTTATGAACCTGAATTTGACCAGGGCTGGTCTTTCATGGGGGCCAAGTTGGCAGTCACCTGCATGGAAAATGATCTGAAGAGCAACTAAATCATCTCCCTGGATGGTTCACATAAGTCTCAGATCTTTCTTTTGGGGCACTGCATATATCTAAAGGTTCCTTTCTGAAATAAAAATGTCTCACCTGGAAGAAGCAATATATGAACACATTAGTGCCTATTAATTTGCGATAGTTTATCCCATAAGCACCTGCAGGAATCAAATGGTGAAATGGTGTTTGTGTTCCTATTACCAAGGGATTACATAGTGGTATCAAAGCTGATTCCTCAAGGAAAACTTCTAGGAAGCTGAATGTCCAAATTGTTGAAAGTTTAGAATCATGAATGCTGGATACTTATTCAGTGGATGAGATGGAAAGCCTGACCCCTCCCTTGGCCATTCAAATGATGAGTTGGTTGGAAACTAAGGGGCACCTTTTCTCTAAAGCCAACTTGCTTCACTTCCTTAGAAGTGAAGTTTGATTGTCTGCTCATCTGCAGGCAATGTCATAATAGCACATCCTTTATAAGGCACAATATGCTTTATTGAATGGATCTGGGAAGGAGAATGCTGGGGAAGAAAGCTATACAGGAAGCTTGTTTTCCGATTTTCTAACCTCCCTCTTACCAGGTGCTATGGACCAAATGTGTTTCTCTGGGCTATCCAGTCCCTTGCTTCTGGTGAGAAGACTCCACAAGAAAATGAGGTTTCTTTGAAAGTGCAAGAAACATCTGCCAGCAGGAGTGGCTGGCCTCTCAAGAGATTTGCTAAGAAAATGACCAGTCTGTATTCTGGAACTTGGCTGGTAGCTCAAGATGGCTAACATCATTGCATTTTTAGTAATATCATCAATGGCTACAGCAAGTTGTATGGTCGAATTGCCAACAACTGATTACATCCTTTAATTAATGTCTTCTCCCCTCAACCCCACAAACATGTACTCTTGGTGGCCACTCTTGCTTGAACAGCACTTAGTAGGACTATTTCTATGTCTCAAGAGAGGTGCCCAGTTATTGTCTTACAGCACCAGTGTCTCCCCCGACCTGCTTTGGTGTGTGACTACTGGGGAGATTATAAAAAGTCATTTTCTCCCTGGAATAATCTCTTGAAACTGGAAGCACACCAGCTGTGCTAGGGGAGGAGTGCTAGAGCTAAGCCATTGTGTAGATTGCCCTTCCTTGGTGTTTGGGTTAGCAAACCCTCTGAGGGTTTACTCGCTGAAATTTGGGAATCCTCCATTAAACACCAGGTGGTGCTTTGAAAGTATGGCTGCACTGATCAGCGGGCCAGGCTTCTTACAGCTGTGGTCAACAAAAAATGGGCAATGTCAGAGCACACAAGCCTCACTTTCCCCATAGGAAGTGAGCTCTCTGTAAAACGAATGGCTCTCTTGACAGTTCCCTGTATTGCTGAAAGCAAGTCTCCAAGTAGTGAATCTGCCGCAGGCTGTGTCAGCGTGTGAACACTCATGTTCTCCTTAAAAAGAAATTGGGTCTCATTTAGCCACCATGAGGCCAGCATGATGTGTCCAAAGATGACCAAAGTCATCCTCATGAATAAAAAATGACTCCAGAAGGGGTTTTGGCAAAGGATTGAGAGTCAGAACCACTTTAGTTTTGATAAAAAAGAAAAATGGCACTAAGGTGACAGCAATAAATCCACGAAGGAAACAATGAGCAAAATCCTCTTTGGTGCCCGCTGCTGTACTCTCGTTTCCTTCCTCCCTGCCACATCCTGACTCCCTTCCTTCCCATCCTGAGACTGGCAGGAGGATGGGGAGAACCATCCTCATAGAGAATATCCGGCCTGTTCCTGAGGCCCCCGTCTCGGAGCTTTTTATGCGTCATGACTGACTGAGTGGCACCAGAGCAAAGCTCCACATGAGAGAATGAGGGATGGATGTGGGGCGAGATGAAACAATCTGCCTAGTTCCGAAACCTTTGGTCACCCAAAATAGCTTCGACTTTGTCCCAGGGATGGAGCTTTGTAATGTCCTGATGTGCCTGTCAGCAGGAGTGGCTGGCCTCTCATGAGATTTGCTAAGAAAAATGCCCAGTGTGTATTCCGGAACTTAGCTGGTAGCTCGTTATCCAAGGCCAGAGAGCTCACCAGCTGCTGTCAATCTTATGCCTCCTCCGGGAGGAAGAGGGTTGATGCCTCAGGCCCAGACATCCCAGGCAGTGGCTGGGGGTATCGGGAGCACTGCTTGCCCCACCCAAACTTCTCCAGTGTGGTGGGATGTCATACAAGGCCAATGGCTGAGTCCAGGTCACCAGTCTGCTGGGATCCAGTGTCCAGGCTTCCCGGCACTCCAGGATGGAACTAAGGAATTGACTTTGCCATGTACTTGGCCAGGTGCCCATCTTATTACATTTTTTGCATATGAGCGGCATAATTTGTATTTATTTTCTCAAAGTACTAATCAGACTTACGGTTAACAAGCAAAAGGATTCCTCATTTCCTACCTCATTGACTCCAATCTGGTATCTAAAACACCCTGTAATTTGGCTTCATCTTATCTGCTGTGAGTTGAGTTATATCCCCTCGGAAATTCAGATGCTGAGGTCCCAGCCCCCGCATACCTCTGAGCGTAGCCATGTTTGGAGACAGAGTCTTGAAAGAGGTCATTAGATTAAGATGAGGTCATGAGGGTGGGCTGAATCCAGTGTGACCGGATCCTTATAAGCAGAACAACTGTGGCCACTGACAGGTACAGAGGGAAGACGATGTGAAGACTCAGAGACAAGACAGCCACCTGCAAGCCAAAGAGAGGCCTGGGGACTGACCCCTTTTCCCTCATGACCCTCAGGAGGAACCAAGCCCGCCAGCACCTTGATCTCAGACTTCCAGCCTCTAGACTGATAAAATCAGCTCCTGCTGTTCCAGCTCCTGGGTCTGTGATACGCTGTTGGGCAGCCCTGGCCGACTAAGACACTGTCGGTTCTCTCTCATGTCCTGAGACTTCCTGCAGAAACTCCAACCACACCGGGCTGCCCTCCTCACCATCCTTCAACGTGCTGGCTCCGTACCAACCTCTGGTCTTTCCCGTGCATGGGGCCCTACGTCATGCCCTGTCCCTGGAGTGCCTGTCCACCTCCTGCACGTATTCCAGGGGTCAGCGAACTGCAGCCTGCCCTGTCTTTGTCAGCACAGTCCTCCTGGGACTGCCGTGCCCTGTGTGTGCTGTCTATCACCGCTCTCACACCACAGCAGTGGAGGGGAGGAGTTTCGGTAGAGGCTCTGTGTGGCCTGCAAAGCCTTTGATATTGACTCTCTGGCCCTTTCTAGAAAAAGTTAGCTGACCCCTGATCTATCCAAATTTCATCCCTTCTCAGAGGCCCAGTTCGCATCTGTGGCAGCTCCCAGGACCACCCTCCTGCCCACCGAGTCTCCTCTTCTGAGCTCCTGTGACTCCGGAGTCGGTGAGAATTTTAAGTAAAAACCTGGATCTGTGTTTTGGTTTCACCCTCTCCCTAGAATAACACTTCATATCATCATGGGGTTTTAAGGGGACTCCTAGGTGCCGGACAGTTGAGAGTCTGTCCTCAGACCCACTCTCCTTCCCTCTCCCCAGGCCTGGTGCTCCAGGAAGCTGACCTTGCTTCCTGCTTGGGCCGGCCCATGGGCAGCACTAGCAGGACGTCCGTGGGTGGACCCGAGGAGAGAGAGGTGGGGCGTTCGCTCCCCAACTGCAGCACACAGGGTTGGTGTAGACTGGCTGCTTCTTGCTGCCCAAGGCCACATGTCTGCCCCATGGCCCTCTCCACATAGCTGCTCTCTGACTCTGAGGCTGCCCCTCACTTTGTTCCTCCAGCCTTTACCGGTAACAGATCCACACAGCTGCTACCCTGGGGTACTGTACTTGCTGGCTTCCTTAAACCCTGCCTGCATCTTTATGAAACCCTCCTTAAGTCCTTAAACCCTGCCTGCATCTTTATGAAGCCCTCCTTAAGTCCTTAAACCCTGCCTGCATCTTTATGAAACCCTCCTTAAGTCCTTAAACCCTGCCTGCATCTTTATGAAGCCCTCCTTAAGTCCTTAAACCCTGCCTGCATCTTTATGAAACCCTCCTTAAGTCCTTAAACCCTGCCTGCATCTTTATGAAACCCTCCTTAAGTCCTTAAACCCTGCCTGCATCTTTATGAAGCCCTCCTTAAGTCCTTAAACCCTGCCTGCATCTTTATGAAGCCCTCCTTAAGTCCTTAAACCCTGCCTGCATCTTTATGAAACCCTCCTTAAGTCCTTAAACCCTGCCTGCATCTTTATGAAGCCCTCCTTAAGTCCTTAAACCCTGCCTGCATCTTTATGAAGCCCTCCTTAAGTCCTTAAACCCTGCCTGCATCTTTATGAAGCCCTCCTTAAGTCCTTAAACCCTGCCTGCATCTTTATGAAGCCCTCCTTAAGTCCTTAAACCCTGCCTGCATCTTTATGAAGCCCTCCTTAAGTCCTTAAACCCTGCCTGCATCTTTATGAAGCCCTCCTTAAGTCCTTAAACCCTGCCTGCATCTTTATGAAGCCCTCCTTAAGTCCTTAAACCCTGCCTGCATCTTTATGAAGCCCTCCTCAAGTCACCTAGTTTAAGAGTACCTACTGTTTCCATGGGGACACTGACCGACATACCCCTACGGCACAGGCAAGGTAGATATTATTATCCCCACTGACAAAAGAAAGTGTAGTCCCCAAAGGCTGAAGTTAGGTGCCCAAGGGGAGAGCTAGTAAATGGCAGAGAATGACAGGTCTTGAGTCCAGGCCTTTTTCAGCCCCATCAGGCGACGTCGCTGAAATGCACATTTGCAGGCTGGACTGCTGCTGAGAGCTGGTGGTGCAGGGGCCTGTAGCAGGGTTGCTCCAGCCCCACCGCAGAATAGACCTGAGCAACTGGGCTGTGTTACTTCCCAGGAATTGAGGAACTGTGGCACGGCATGTTTCATCTGATTTAATTTTCTCTTTCAGAAAACAATAACTTGGAAAGTTATTCCTTATGACTTTTCTACCGTTGGATAGATCAAGCACGTGGCCATATGTATTGTCAAGTGGATAGATGAAGGAACTCTTCATATGTGTTTGCCCAGTTTGGAGTCTTAGGAGTCTCTAATACTGTGAGTCCAGGAAAAACAACAAAGACAGTCCTCGCCTTGGCCTTGCCCTAAGTAGCTCCAAAGCTTTGGCAGGTCACAGTACAACTCTGGTCTCTTACATGGATAAATTGAACCGGAGGGTGAACTGAGGATCTCTTCTAAGGAAAAGAAAGGAAAGGAATGGCAAAAGAGAAAAGAAGGTTGTAGAATAAGAGGAAAGAGTGGATGAGAGAAAAAGAGAAGAGAAAAAGAAACACAGTTCCCAGGCCACAGCAGCCTGCCTGGGTGGAAAGGTCACAGAGAAAGGTGCCATCAGCTTCCAGAACCTTCTCAACAACTTCCTGCCAGCCCAGGCCCAGCTTGGCTTCCTCTGCATAAGCAATTAAAGCCTGGTTGATTTTAAGCCATCAGAAAGTAAATATAAAACAGGATTAAATATTAAGAAGCCAAACAAAGTGGCCTTATTAAAAAGGCACAATAGAAGTGCGCTCTGCCATCACCATAATTATGATCACTGCTATAAACTGGGAGGAGGCATAAATGCCTGCCCTTGATCTGCAGCCATAATCCAAAGAAGAAAGCCAGGGTTACTGTGATCTCAGCAGGCCATAAACATCCTGTGCTCCCAAGCAGAAAATCTCTCTCCACCATTAGGGCACCACGGAGTCTATCAGGCTGCCTTGGTTATTGCTGCCGGGTTGGCGGGGAGGTGGATGGGGCCGGGAGGGGGCAGGGGCAGTAAGTTTAGCTGCACCCAACAAACTCTTGAACTTTGGCACACTCCCTCTCCCACCCCCACCCCACCTTCACTAGAGATGGCAGGGCAGCCTGGGACATGCTCAGACCCTCGGGGACTATGGGGAAAACAGGCTATCTGACCACACAGGAGGGCGAGACACTCCAAGGGGAAAACACAGCTTGCCTGCAACCATTAGGGATGGGACAGGGATCTTCTAGACATGGAGTGTGGTGGTCTTTCTCTAGAGCACTCCTTTGGAAACCCAGTTCTCACTACTAAAAGGACATTAGTGGTGTCCTTTTAAGTGCTAAGTGCCACATGCCAGATGGTCACCCACGTGGTATGATTGGAAAGGGATAGAGTATGATTTGCACCCCCAATCCTCCTCCAACCCGGTTCCATGACACCTAATGGCCATTCCTTGATTTTAAGGCCTTGTCTCCCAGAGTGTGCAATAGCAACATCAGCCATTTCTATCTTCATATTAACAACAAAGCTCAGTCTCTCAATCACTCACTATATGCCAGCTACTCTTCCATGAATTTTACATACATTAACTGAGGTAACCCTATGAGGGAGGCATTAGATGTCCCCATTTTTTGGATGAGAAAATTGAGGCTTAGAAAATTCAGTCGTTTACTCCAAGCAAGCGCCAATAAGATTCAGGATTTGAACCCGGGTAGATCTGATGCCAAGTCCATCCTCTTAGCTAGAATGTCTATTGATGAATTTATAAAGCCTTTTCCTATCTGTCATGGGAGAGCAAGGGTAAGAGAGCCCTGAGGATGTGCTGGCATCACTAAGTGGAGGAGGAGGGCAGTGGGTGCAGGTGGTGGTCCTGGGGAGAAGCCACTTATTTTATGACCCTGCCCAGGGCCTCCCTGCCGGCTCCTCTGGGCAGAAGGAAGCAGTCAGCAGGCAGCGTGGTTAGGAGCATGGGCTTGGGGGCCAGGGGCCTGAGTTTGGATCCTGGCTCTGCCACTTGGAGCTATGTGACCTCACTCTTCTGTGGCTCGGTTTCCCCAGTGTGAAATGGAGATCTTAATCATGACATCATCACAGTCAGAAGGGGTCTGTAGGATTGTAGGCCAGCCCTTCATTTGATTTTTTATTTTTATTTTTTCTGAAACAGAGTTTCACTCTGTTGCCCAGGCTGGAGTGTAGTGACATGATCTTGGCTCACCGCAGCCTCCAGCTCCCAGTCTCAAGTGATCCTCCCACCACAACCTTGAGAGTAGCTGGGACCACAGGCATGCACCACCATGCATGGCTAATTTTTAAATTTTTTGTAGAGACAAGGTCTCACTATGTTGCCCAGGTTGGTCTCGAACTCCTGGCCTCAAGCAATCTTCCCACCTCAGCCTTCCAAAATGTTGGGATTACAGGCATGAGCTACTGTGCCCCACCTAGCCCTTCATTGTATAGGTGAGAATGTTAAGGTCCAGAGAGGGTCATCAGCTTGTCCAGAGTCGCAGAGGCAGATAGTGGTAGAGTTTTGAACCTCTTTCCACCATCAGTGCTGCCTCCCTTTCTCACTCACCATTGATGCACATCACGGAGAGGCCAGGAGCCCACCCTTGGTCAGAAAAGTATCAAGGATGGACACAGGCCCCAGGCTCCCTCTCCTGTACGGAAGTCAGAGTTTTACTATGGATGAGTTTTGACGTTTGCACCCTGTTCTTTGCCGTTCACAAAGCTATGCAGAGCTCACGATTTGTTCTCATTTTCTCTCTTCTCTGGGGCCCCGTCTTTCCTGCTTCACTGCTTTCTGCTGCTGAAGAGCAGGTCAGATTTCCTGCAAGGAGGATCTACAGGGGCCCAGCACTACCTTGAAGGCCGTGAACAGCCACAGAGGGAAAGCCGCCTTGAGTATGGAGCAAGACTTCCTCAGACAGGTCTCATTTGTGTCTTCCCTTCCAGCAGGCAAGTAAATTGCTGCCTTAAATTTCTAGGCTGCCGCCATTGATGACATTTATGTGAAGTGAGTCATTTTAACTCCAACCCCATGGTGTCTCTTCAGCCCCATAATTTCATGAATGAGTTTATGGGCAGCTGTCAGAATATCGATCAGCTTGCCCTGCTATGTAGCGTGTCCTTTGCTTTAATTCTTCTCCCAACTCTGCCTGCTGGATGCTTGCAGTTTGTTTTCCTCTTTCTTGCCCTGGGGCAGACAGAGTCTTTGGTCCATCTGGCTACTTTATGTGTTGTTTTAGTTTTAGGTTTTTTTTTTTTTTTTTTTTTTTTTTTTTAGACAGGGTCTTGCTCTGTCACCCAGGCTGGAGTGCACTGGTGTGATCACAGCTTGCAGCAGCCTAAAACTCCCGGGTTCAAGTGACCCTCCTGCCTCAGCCTCCCAAGTAGCTAGGATTACAGGCCCACACAACCACACCCAGCTAATTATTTTGTTTTTTTTTTTTAATAGAGATGGGGTTTCACTACATTGCCCAGACTGGTCTTGAAGTCCTGGGATCAAGCGATCATCCCACCTCGCCCTCCCAAAGTGCTGGGATTGCAGGCGGGAGCCACCATGCCGGGCCTCTGGCTGCTTTTTCTTTTTCTTTTTTTGAGACAGGGCCTCACTCTGTTGTCCAGGCTGGAGTGCAGTGGTGCGATCTCAGCTCACTGCAAGCTCCACTCCCCAGGTTCATGTCATTCTCCTGCCTCAGCCTCCCAAGTAGCTGGGACTATAGGCGCCCAGCACCATGCCTGGCTAATTTTTTGTATTTTTAGTAGGGATGGGGTTTCACTGTGTTAGCCAGGATGGTCTCAATCTCCTGACCTCGTGATCTGCCCGCCTCGGCCTCCCAAAGTGCTGGGATGATAGGCGTGAGCCACCGTGCCCGGCTCTAGCTGCTTTAATTGCCCACATCTTTTGTGAGAGGTCCTGCGGCTTCATGCATTTCTAGGCTCACTGCTACAGGCAAAGACCCAGGGAGGCAGGGCTTCCCTCTCCCATGTATCAGGCAGGCCCCCTTAGGATAGAGGTTCAGTGCTCAGGATCATGTCTAAAGGGGGCAATAATAGAGTTCTTTGATGGGGAAGGGCCAGTAAGTCATGTTGTGTCACTTATAGAGAACAGTAGAAGAAAAAATGGAAAGGTTTAATTTAGATAAGGAGAACCTAAGAGACCTCGCCACCACCTTCCAACATATGAAGTTTTTTTCCACAGGAGGAAGACAGCACCTGCCCAGAGTAGTTTTAGAGGGCACTGCACTAAAGAAGGAGAACTGCAGGGGAAGATCGTGCCCTAATGGATGAAACATTTCCCAAATGGCCTGGCTATCTGGAGAGATGAGGACTTGCTCATTAGTAGAAGTTTCCAGGCAAAGCCTGGATAAGCATTTGCTGCAGGGGTGGGGGAGGTGAAGGTTGAGAGGAGATCTCTAAGATTTCTTTGCCTTGGAAAAAAAAATTAAGCTCTACAAGAAAGGAGTGGGTTGATTGGATGAAACAGTTAAGTTGTTGGTTGTAAGGGGACTCTCGGCACAGAGAGAGAGGGGCTTGAAGCCCACACGTAATTCTCTCATCTTCTGGAGGAGTCTTTCTCAGCAGGGACTTCACCATGTCACATCACTATCACTCAGCACACGGGACCCTTGTCCTGGCTCCCAGGGCCCTTGGCAATCCGCTTTCACTCTACCCATCTAACTACACCTTCCCTTTCCAGCATTCGCCCTCTGATCCATGCACTCAGTCCTACTCTCTGCCTCCAGAATATGCCACACACGGTTCCTCTTGCTTTGACACCACTGATGGAGGGCTTAATGCATCCAGGGCGCTTGCTGGGAGCTGTGCGCCTGTGTCTGGGTCTTTGCCCTGCTGCCCCACTCTTGGAATTCCATCCCCACCACTCCCCCACATGCACAAAAGCCTTCCTACCTACCCTCCAACTCCGACCATCTCCATGAAGCCTCCTTGACCTACGTGGCATCCCAGAATGGTCCTTTTCCCTGAGGCATTTACTATTTGTGCCATGTAGCTTGGTGTGCTGACACATATGGTTCTTTGCTCGTTCATTAGGAGAGTCCAGCAGTGTGGCTGTTCAAGCGCTCACATGACAGCACCTCATTTCATGCTCCCAACAACCTGGGGAGACTACTGGGGAAGGCGTCTCCAGCCACAGGTGGAGATGAGAAAACTGAGGCTGCCGAGAGCAGAACCGGGACAGGGACGCAGGCCTTCTCCAGCCTCTGCTCCCTGCTGCTTCCCCAGCCCTGGCGCTTTTGACATGTGCTCCTGGGACAAGGAAGAGCGAGGCTGCCCTAGCCCCACCTGGCAGACTCCACCAGCCCTCGTATCCTGACTCCCCTGTCCTTTCCTCTCCACCGAAGCTCCCAGAGAGCACACCTCTGCTGCACCAAGCAGCCTTCCCTGGGAGGGCAGATGGGAATGCCCCAGGGAGGGAACATGGCTGGGGACTTCCACTGGAGGCATCGGAAGCACCCTGGAAAGACTGGCTGGCACTGGGGCACACACCCCAAATTCAGCTTTTGCTGTTTCTCCTTCACGCTCAGAGAGGGGTATGAATGAGCATCTTGGGGCCAAGGGACGGGGTGTGTACTCCTTCACTCATTCAATGTTTGATCCATTATTCTGGAGCCATTTATCCAGCCACCCACCCATGAGCTCCTTCCTCCCTCCTGGGTTATTTTGGGTAAGGGCCAAGATGTGGAGACTGGTGAGCAGTGGTTTTCATGCCCACAGCAGCTGGGGCAGCTCTAAGCCAAGCACATTGAAGGAGAAACCGACCCCAAACCAAAAGTGCAAAAAGAACAGACGGGGATGAACGCCTGCCTCTGTCACTCTCATTATTCCACTGAACAGCCTCTCCCTCCAGATCCTTCCTCTCAAGGCTGAGTCTGAATCAAAGGCCTTCTTCACCCTTCATCCCTCCTCCCTCTTTGCCCGAATCTTAGAACTATTCTGTAATTTCTCAGGAGAGCTGGGCTTGTTGGGGACGCTGATTGTTCTTCCTTCAGAAGAGAGAAATGGTTTTTGAAATCCAGAGAACAGGGACCACTGTCTTCAACAAGCAAAAGGCCTGGGGGCATGACAGGAAGTGGGAATGTTAATGATCCTGAAATCGACTTGAAATGTGAGGCCTGACCTTGGGCTCACCTGGGCCCGACTGCCTGGGGTACACTGCTACCTCTCCGTGACCTGTCTCCTTCTGAGTCTTAAATTCTAGGAGGATTCATGCTGCAGGCTCAGTGGCCCAGGAAACCTGGAAGGAAGGAAAGGACACAGAGGTTCTGATTTGGGGATGGAGTCCTGGTCCTGGTGGATGGAACACAGGAAGGCTCTTGGGGTGAGGAGTGGGAGTGTCGGGCAGTGTGGGCTGTGTGAACACAGGCATCGGTGGGCCTGTCCAGCCAGAACATGGGCCCTGGGCAGCTTCAAGCTGCTCTATCGCTTTTGCTGCTTACATTACAAGAGTAACAACTACCTGGATGGTGAAGTTGGGATGTGCCTGATTTGGGGAAAGCAGAGAGGAGACAGTGGCCTGTTACTATCTCAATAATACTGTGGGGGAGCGGGCCTTCTTGCAGATGGGAGTGACCAAGCACAGATGTCAGAGAGGAAGGAAGGACTGTGTCGAGGGGTGGGAGGGAGAGAGGCAGACAGAGAGAGACAGAGAGATCCCTGATGCCTGCCTGGGCCAGAGGCAAGAGGCAAGAGCTCCTCTCTGCTCAGTGCTGGCTCCTTGGTTGAGAAGGAACATGGTGTAGCAGCTCAGCGCTTCCCTCAGAGTCACTGGGAGGACAAAGGGAGAAGAGGTGGGAAAAGATCTCAAAAGCACAACCCCTCATGGAAACATAGGAGGCAGGAGGGAGCGCAGTGACAGAAAAGCAATTAGTGTGAGTAATTAACCATGCCAGGATAATTCACCACACCATCGGGAGGATGCCACTGCACCCAGGACACTGTCTTTCCACTGTCACTCAATAGCTGCAGGTGTCAGCTGGAAGACCTTCCAGCAGCTGAGGCTTGCACAAAGATGGAAGGGTTTTTTGTGACTGGTAAGTTCCTACACGGAGAGTGTGTAAGAAGCAGGGTGGAGAGACTCCGTAGTGAAGGTGTTGTAGAGGAGTTTCACACATAGGTGGGGATGACGGGAGAGAAGGAGAGAACCTCAGGACACCTCCCGGCACTGAGGTTCTACTGTTCAGTGCTCTCAAGGTAGACAGACATTGTCAGGGTAGTGGCTCTGGGAAAAGGGCAGGAGAGCGTGGGCCCCGAGGAAAGAGTCAGCTGCTGGATGCGTGCTGGCAGAGAAGCTGTCCAGAGTCCTTATGCAGTGGACACTTCCTCTCTTGTGACCTCTGCTGCCTGGCCAAGATGGGAGAAGCGTCTCTTTGCAAAATGAGGGCATCCTCTCCTCAGCTTAGCCACAGACTTGTTCTGGAATGTGAAACTCCAAGAGAAAGACAGGGCTGGATGGGGCTTCAAGGGGATTGGAATGCAGAAAGATTAACAGACAATTAGAGATCCTTTGGGTATTACTTTTACCTATGAGGAAATTGAGGCCCAGAGAGGAAAGGGTTGTTTAGGTTACAGGGCCAGTTAGTATCAGAGCTGGGACTAGGAACCAGGTCTCCATACTCCCTTTCTAGGGCTTCTTTCCACTCCACTTCTCCTATCACCAGGCTCATGATTCTGGGGGGTTACCATGTGCTTGCCTCTCTGACAAAAGAGAAAGAGGGAAGGCTTTCGAGTCAGATGGGGCGTGCCTGGGTGTAAGCCTGGGTAAACCTCCTGTTAGCGAACTGGCCTCAGGCCAATGATCTGAACCTCACTTTTCTCATCTGAAAATGTGAAGTGAGGGCAAAGATAATATGGGCAAAAGGAGGTGCTTGATGAGCAGTAGCTGTCGTTCCTAATATTCAGTATTAGAGCTCTGAGTGTGTAGGATGCCTGGACACTGGGCATGTATACAAAAGCACATGAATATAAAAGCAAGTGCAGGCCAAGAGAAGAATGTCCTCGGGACCCCTTGCTGTGCGTCTAAAGGTCGCCTGGAGGCGGTACTCTTACTGGAAGGGATACAGCATTCTCAGGGCCACCCCCTAAAGATGTCACAGTTAGCCGTGTTCCCTCTGGGGCCATCAGCTTCTCAGATGTGTTCCTCATTGCTGTCATTCTCGTCATGCAGTATTCATAAAGTTCCTACTGCGTGTTAACGGTCACTTACCCATGGCATGGTCCCTATCCTGGAAATGATCTTTATGATTCATCACGAAAAAAACTGAAGCACCGCTGGAAAAAAGAGAGCTGCATTCAACTCCCTTTTGTGCCCCCTTGAATTTGTTTTAACCCTAAAGTAAGCCAAGGCCCTGCCAGAGATTGTGTTCTGTTCTCTGAACCCACTCTCTGCCATTCAGAAAAGGTCACTTATGACCACAATTTGGGCTCCATCATGGTCCTTCTGGCCTTGCTCTGGATGATCACTGAGGGCAAGAAGAAATCTTTAGGATGGCCACTGCTACAGATCTCTGTAGTTTAACTGGAAAGAGTTTTTACTTCTAGGAACCAGTAACACCAGTACCAGGGCAACATGGGGCCTCAGCTTCTATTGGGTTTTAAATAGATTTTGGCCTAAACATATTTATCAATATGCAACAATTGGGTTAGTCTAATGACAAATGTCATCCCCTTCCATCGCCAGAGCAACAGGCCATTTCCATTAGGAGTAATGTTTCCTGGCCAGATTAAGGCATGGAAAATAATTTTTGGTCATCAACAATTCCCTTCAGTTTCACTGATCTGATTAAACTTAGCAACGGAAAAAGGAATTTACAAATTAGATGCTGTTCTCTATTTATTACCAAAATGGTTGCTTTCCACTACATCCAGGAGATACAGCTGAGTTCTCATTAAGTCTCAGCTTGTGATAACATTTACTCCATAAATCTCCATTGCAGCCAGTGAATGAAATGAGCATTGTGCTGAAGACCACATAATGGACGAAATCAAACCTCTGCCCCCTTTGAAGGGAGTTGACCTTTCAAGCCTTAAATGTATTCAGCTTTCTAGTTGTAAAGAAGCAACTCAGAATTTATTCTTGGTATTCTCTTAACCATTTCCTGACTGCTATTCTTAGCTGGCTAGCTGGCCTTCCTGAGAAAGGATAAAATGAGAAGTATTTCTGACACTTCCGTGGACAGGTTTGAAGAAGAAAGAGGAGGAGAAATTAGTACATGAAGAAAAACATCATGGGATAATCATGTCCTCCTTGAGAAGTGAAAAAGAAATGTTGACAGGCAAGGAATGGAAGATTAAAAATTAATTTATGTGCCTGGTTAATTACATATCCTCTGCTGGATCAGATCTGGCCCAACCTCGTTTTAGATCTGACAAAGTGACAAAGCAGGCCTAAGTGATCCATTCCCAGAGGCAGAATTCCAAGGACTTCCAAGCCAAGACCCTACTTTTATCCCCCAATTTCCAAACCCTTTTCCAACCAATATTCATTGATTGCCTATGCACCAGGATCTGTATGGGATTCTGGTAATACAAAAGTCCCCACATTCAAGATGTACTACCCAGCAGACGGTATCAGATAGATGAATGCCACAGATAAAATGCAATGAATACAGCAGACAGGGAGACACTACAGATCACATACAATAAGTACTATGATGCAGCTGTGGAATGGGGTTTCTGGGAGCATGAAGGAGCGGGTAAGACCCTGCTGGGGAGAAGAGGTGGTGAGGATAGAAAAGGCAGAAAAGGAAGGGATGGTTGATGGGGCTTTGAAGGTGGGGTGGTGAAACCAAGGGCTAACCTAATGAGGTCACCAAACCTAACTTGCCTCACTGGTTTCTAGTTGATTTTAAAACATATGCAGCTAAAAGTCATGTAGTTAAGGAATATGTAACTAAACTTCTACAAGCCTCCTTACAGATAACATCTCTGATGTATAAGTCACCATGATAATGGTTGCTTAAGTCATTTTTCAAGAGCTTGGGGTCAGCTCTTGTCCAGTTCAAGCTAGCTCAGACCACTAATCCTCCAACTGGGCCTGCGTGAGTGTCCAATGGGCGACCTTTTGGCATCAGAGGGCCCAAACATCCATCCTCAGATCACGCTAACGATGCCATTTTGTGAACTTGAATCCCAGGAAGAGCTGTGAAGCTTGACTATACTTGCGCAGATAACCGACGGCCTCACTTTTCCTTACCCCCAATCACCTTTCCCCATGCCTTGGACCTTGCTCCTCTATCCCATAAATATCCCTAAAACCCCATCTTTGGGGAAGTGGATCTGAGACCTGCTCTTCCATCTCCTTGCTTGGCTGCCTTGTGAACAAACGCTTTCTCCGCTGCAAAACTTGTGTCTCCGTGATTGGCACATGGCATGATGGGTAGGGCAAGCCTGGCCTGGTAACATGGCAGTTCGGAAGGCAGATGGTGGGGCTGGGCTTTCCGTGCAGAGATCAGGGTGTGCACAAGTGTGCAGAGGATCGTTGGAAGAACGGGCTGGCTTTCAGGGTGCAGGCAATCCTGCAGGAGGAAAAGTGCAATTCCAGGAGTCTGAGGACTTAAGAAGCTAGAATCAACTGAATTCCTCTGGGGTCTGATGGACTGAAATGATCAGGTTTGGCCCAGGCTCCTGGAGCTAAAGCTAACGTGTGTCAACTGAGAACTACAGAAACAAATTCCAAAGCTGGAAGGGGCTTTTACTGACCTAACCCCCGTCATTTTACAAGCAAGGAAACTGGGAGAGGCCAACTGCAGACTGGCTATCAAGTGGGGCCGTGAAGTCTGGCTGCCTGCTTTTCTCTGGCTCCTGTTAGTTCCTGTATAGCACACGACAATTGTTCAGACTAAAAACTCTGGCATCCTGTTGGGAGAGGAACATGAGGGTCATTCATCCCAGATTGCTGTATTCTCAACTCATCTAATCAAGGGGTAGGACTTAATAGATTAATAGAATTAGTTTACTAAGGGATTATGGAAATTATAATTCATGGACATGATTGTATACCATCTAAGAGGTACAAGAAGAAACTCTGCAGTTTTTATTGAAGCTTGGGATCTTCTTGATGAAAACCTAGGATGCTCGGCCTGATGGTTAGCAACTGACCCCTTAGCTTCCTAGTCAATGCAGAAGTGGTCCAAGGGGCTGGGACCCACCACTGACATTACTTTTTCATGTCAAGCAGATGCTCTCCCCTGTGGGGACAGCAGGGATCTTTTTCTCTGCCTCTGCCAGGCATAGCAAGCATCATGCCAAGCTTTTTACTCAAAGCTGGACCCAGCTGACCTTAGCGAATATTAGTAAATTCATTGAGACTCTAATTCTGAATATTCCTGACAAGAAAGGAGTCCTTAATTTCTTCTTGCTCCTGTGTTTGGTGTGTGTGCATGTGTTAGTAGGTGTGCATTTGGTTATTTTCAGATAATTTTGTTAACATAATAACTGACAGTGGACACCATTATCATATCTCATGAGTCATGGACATGAGATACAATGGTTGGACAGGCTGATTTGAAGCTTGAAATTGAGAAGGTAAACAAAGGCTTTTTCCTTTAAAGCTAGCCTGTCAAGCAAATAATTAAGGCTTTTCAACTTCATCAGTAAGTTGTTGAGAGTAGATCTAGTCTATTACTTCAAGCAAAAGACACAAACAAGTCCCAGCACAGTTGTAATCATTCTTTAACAGTGCTGGCCTGCGGTTTGTCTTCGCTTGACCTCTAATCTTTATACACTGTGATCCTGCACACAAGGCACTATTGAAGTTCTTAGAGTAAGACTTGGGCCATGTTAGTCAAAACCAGACTCAGGCTTAGCAAATAAGGTTTTAGAACATGATTTAGGGAACAGCAAGGGCTCCTCTGCCCAGACATTTTTAAAATGTCTTAATATCCTTACTTTCTTGTAGAATAAAACAAAACACTGAATAACTTTATCAAAATTCAAATATATATATTCAGAAAGGATAAACCTTTAAATTTCTCTTTTATCAAAATTCAAATGTATCTATTTAGAAAGCATAAACCTTTAAATTTCTCTTATCAAAGCTCTTCTGTCCAGTGGCTCGGCCCTGCAGATCTTTGCTGGGGTTACTTTTCTTCAGTCGGAGGAACTAATCTGTATTAATTCTAAATTGCAATGGACGTGTATTTTTATGACTGAGTAAATGGCTACACTTTTCTTTATTCATTCTCTTCTTAGGCTCTCTGCAGCGCCATGTAGAAGTGAACATGCTACTCTATCACTCCAGTCTACCTTCACCGGAGACCATTCATTCATGGGCTGTGTTTAGAGACTCTTGTGCAAACACGTTTCTTGCCCATCATTTCCTTTGAGGAGGGATGACTCTGGATGGCACCACATGTGTGGGCCCTGCTGGTGAATCAAACTGGGTGCAGGAGGAGGAGAGTTTATGGCCTTATCAGTAAAGTGCAAGTTTCGGCTCAAAGCCAGGTGTTTGGAAATGAATACAACTTCCTGTTCTGTTGTGGAAGGCCCTTGCCCTGTTCCCATGATGCTACCTTTGAGCATGTCCTGTGATTTTTCCAGAGACAGTGTTGAAACCTGCTCATATCTCTAAAAGAAACGGAATCCGGGAGCACTGTCAGCTGGGAGGTGGTCACTCCAGTGTGATGTGACAAGGCCCTGGAATAGCAGCACAGACACTTGTCTTTGGGCCAACAGCCCCCACATGGGGTAGGGTGTGGTTCGGGGGATGCATGATTAAGCCCAGGGAATGAGGACAGACTCAGGGACCTGGAGCCCCCTTTATGCCCCAGGGTTTTAGAATTCCGTAATTTTTGGATGGCGATGGAGCTAACCACATGGCTAAATAAGGAATCCAGCACCTGGTACCAGGATATAGAAAGAAAGTAAGACATAAATGAGCCAGCCCTTCTCTCCCCAGCTGCCCCTCTTCTCCTGACCCTCACCCCAGCCTAACGCTGCCAATTGCCTTCTATTTTGAAGAATTCCATCTATCTCCCCAACAGACCACCCTTTTCATTAGGCAACTCTTTGAGCAGATTCTCTGTTGTTTCTGGCAAGGCTTCAGTTCTGTCCCTCTAGCAGTGTGGCATCGACACAAAGTGATCACGGTGATTAACAGTTCAGTACTTACAGCAGGTATCATAGTTATTTAAGAGGACAAAGTCTCTCCTATTATATGAGGGTAGAAATCTCTTCTGGAAACACTGCAGCTGTCACCAGAGGCATGAGTATTTCCATTTGGTGAAGTAATCCTGAAGGATGGAGCCATCAAAGCCTATGTTTGGGGTTGTTACTCGACTTTTTCCCCAGGAGGCATTTAATCATGCAGGCAAGGATTTAATAGGCTGAGTTGCTTGGAATTCTCCATGTGGCACCTTTTAGGGTAAGGGGACTGCTTGTGGGTGTGTTTATGGTCATGGGTATTAAACAGGCCTTGGAATGCCAAGGGGCAGAGGGTCATGGCAGGGATCCCACCAAGGAGCAGGCAGGACAAACCAACTCCCAGGAAGAGCCCCTCAGAGGGGCATGGCACTGCACAACCTCCTCCATCATTCCTGAGGCTGAAAAGCACAAGGTGTTTATCCTGGAGCCTCCAGGATAGGTGTTCAGGGCCTGCCAGCCCTTAGGACCCTATCCCAGTGGATGCAGGCTCTTTCCAATCCTTCCCCGCCTGTCCACTCCCACTCAGGCCTTATCAGCCTCTGACTGACCCCCACTCCGCCTCCAGCTTCTCTCTCCTTCCAGCCCATTGTCCACACTCGGCTGCACAGTGACCTTTCGATGGTAAACTGGTACCTTGTCATCCCTCTGCTTAAATCTCTTCGGTGGCTCCTCCTTAACCACAGGATAGAGTCCCACTCCGAGGCCCTTTGGGACCAGGTCCCAGTCTTTCTGTCCTGATCTTTCTTTTTGGCTTCTCCCCTGTGCACCCTGAACTCAAATCACCATGAAACATGTGCAATTCCATTTCCTTTCCTTCTTTTAAAAATTATTTTGCTTCTACAACTTTGCAAATGTAGCCCCCTCAGCTTAGAAGGTCCGGTTGCGATCTTTTGGCCGTGTGACCTGCTGCCAAACTGCAGCAGGAACACTGTCCTGTGCCCACCCAGCCCCAGTCCTTCTGCCCCCGAGCACTTAGTTAGCTGCTCTTCGCCAGTCCCCTGGAAGTCAGGCGGAAGTGGGAGCTGTGTTCCGGCCGATGGTGTGTCGCGAGCAATGCCCACACTCCCAGGCCTGGCTGCTGAAGCCTCCAGCAGGCCCTCTGCTCCCTCTTCTGCTGGCCCGATGCAGAGCAGACAGGGGAGACTGTGAGGCCCCGGGGGTGGCAAAGCCACAAAAGGGGTGCAGCCTTGGGGCCTGAAGACCGGTGTGGTGGAACTCTCCTCCCTCCCATCCCCAGCTCACACTCCACCGTGGGGTGAAAAGTAACCTTTACTGTACTAAGCAACTGAGATTTCATTTGGGGGCTGCTTATTACAATGGTCCACCAACCCTGACTGACATGGCACCTTCATGAATCCTTCTTGGGGCAGGCAGTCCCTCCCACCCTCTTCCAAACTCTGCTCTCTGTCTTCTGTGTTTCTCCAGCCCCTGGTTCATGACTGCAATTCATCACTGTCACCTGTCTGTTGGTGCATCTGTCTCCTGAACTAGGCTGTAATTCCCCTTAGGACAGAGACGGTGTCTATTTATCTTAGTATTCTGGGTGCCCTGTTGGGACTTAAATGTGTGTTAATGTGCCCATGTCTCTCTCAAGCACTCAGGATGGCCTGGCATGCATGTGGCTCTAGGAGGTTCCCTCAGACACTAGCCACTGTGTTGAGGCCAATGATTCCACTTTCTGTGACCTTTCCACTAGCTTCAGGGTTCCAGTTCTATAAATCATCCTCCCATGCCATGCACCCGACGATGGAAATACAATACGTGGCTAATCTCCCTCCATTACTGGATGATAATTTTCCACATCAGCAAGTAGTGAGAAAGGCTGGAGCTGTCACTCTCCCCTCCACTGATAGCCTCTGACAGTTAAGATATCTTGATGCGGCATGAGCTTCTTACCCCCACTGTTTACAGAGAAGGAAGCGTGGAGTGGGTGAGGGAGGCAAGGGTAACTGTAGTGTAGGCAGCTCTGTTTCGGGGCTGAGCACTGGTTATTGGAGAAAATGGATCAAAGGGAAACTCAGGATGATTCATCTCCCCTTCCATCCCTCTGCTGAGCTACTTTAACGCCCAAGTGTATAGATCGATTTGCAAAGCACCAAATTAAAGTCAAATCAGCTCTTTACTGAGTGCCTACTCTGGGCAAGGCCAAGTGGACACAGGCAGATCCATTCTTAAAGCGACCCGTGGCTTTAGGTAGGTGACAGGACTTCTCCAAAGACACCACGTGTCAGTGATCCCCCCCGGGGCCCCATAGTGCTGAGGTTCCTGGGATCAGAGACTCAGAAGTGATGACGCTGTAGCACTGCACAGCCCAGAATCATCAGAGGCGGTTCCATGACATTCCTCACACCGTACTTGCCAAGGCAGGAAAGTGGTAAGCTAGAACTCCCATCCCCAGAGCATTGTGGCTGATCAACACCCTCCTCTAAGCCAGTCCCAAGGAACCCTGAACTGAAGGAAATCGGATAGGTCACGGAATTGACACATCTCCTTCCAAACAAAACTGCCTCTTAAACCATTCCAAAGGGATGGCGCTTGACCTCAGTTCGCTTTTTCTTTCCGTGAGCAAGATAATGCCATAACTTCTTTCCATGCTTCAAACAGAGTTCTCAGAATCATAAAGTTCAACTTAAAAAAAAATCAAACCCATGCCCTACTACCAGCACCACCGCCCCCGCCCTCCCGCCCCATCTCCGCTCTTTTCCTCCTTTCTCCGTCCACCTGCTTTGCATATTAGGCTGAAGCGATAAATGCAACAACCAAGGAAAATTCACAGGCTGTTCCGGCTGGGGGACTGGAGGGCCCACTTCTGGTTCCCCTGGTTGGAAGAGAAGGGCATTCGTGAGGGGGCTTGTGGTAGAGACCAGCATGGTACGGAGGGAGCAACGGCCACATAACTGTGCAACTTACAAGCTGAACAATGTGAATACGTTAACTTTTCCGAGCCTCACTTTTCCCATCTGCAAAATGGGGCAAACAATACCCATGTGAGATGATCTTGGGCAAGATGAAAGGAGACCATCCAGGCCTTCTTCACCTTCCATGCAAGAAAAAGACATCCCCTCTCATGCCTCTGCCCCTGTCCTTCCTCTGCCCCCCAGCCCAGGAGAGCCCCAGAGGGCTGAAATGTATCCATGATCCAAACTCAGAATCTAAAAGTTGACGCCATACAGTGAAACAATGACCCCTCCTACGGGGAGTATGTGGGCATGAGGCAGCTTTGTCCCTGTTCTGTCGACTCCCGGCTTTCTCTTCTCCTGGGACTATATAATTCTAACTCCTTCCAAACTTTCCTCTCGGCCCACTTTCTCAACGCCAAATCATTTCTGCCCATTCTGTCAACCACAATACACTCTCTGGGGGCTACCATGAGCATGGCTAAGACTGGAAAAATGGTATTTGGCCAACTAGGTATGAATATAGGGCTATCAGACCTTAATTCTCTGATCCGAAGAGAATTCAATTCAATTCATTATGTGTTTTTGGGGGAAGTCTGTGAAATAGAAATCATTGCCCTACATACTGAGTGGGAGAGTGAATAAGAAGTTACCAATGCACGCTGCTGCCTCCCAAGAGCTTTCTATATAACAAGACGGCTGGGCCACCCCCACCGACTGGTGGGTAGGTGAGGGTTGAGTGCTGACAGTGCCTGTCCTGAGATGGGGGCTCTGGGAGGCCTGAGCCAAGACGTGCTCTTCGACCTGGGCTAGGAGGCCACGGAGGAGCAGGGGAGGAAACAGGTGCTGTAGGCAGAGGGATGGGAGATGGGTAAAGGTGCAGAAACAGGACAGCAGCAGGCGTTTCTGGAAAACAAGATGCAGTCTGGCTTTGCGGCAGGGCAGTAGGGAGTGATAAGGTTCAAGCTATTGGCTGGGACAGGTTGGAGATGCCTGAAATACTGAGAGATGTTCAGGCTTTATTCTGTACCCATGGAGACACATTCAAAGCTTTTGAACAAGGGAGTGACACAGTCGGCTGCAGAAATATGAACTTGGCTGCATTACACAGGTTGCGTGGGAACGGGGCTGGAAGGCAGGGCAGCAAGGTGGCTGCGAGTCCAGGCGGAGAGAGGTGAGGGGAGAGGAGGGAAGGAGTGAGAAGTCCAAGCGAAGAAGCGAAGAGGACAGCCCATACGACTTGACTGACTGAACGCAGGCACTGATAACTGTGGAAGGGCACAGGAGAGGAAAGAGGAAGGCGGCTTTGTATCCTGGGGAACTGGGAAGATGAAGAAGCCTCTGGAGAGAGAAGTGGGCTCGGAAGATGCTGGTTTGGGCTGGGACCCTGGCGGGCAGGCAGAGGATGCTGTCCTCCAGGCCCTGGAGAGGAAGAGGGCCTTCATGCTCCACACCCTGCCAAGGACCCCCAGTGTGCCTGGCAGTTCAAGAGCTAACAGCCTGTTTGCTCTGCCCCTGCAGGGTGGCTGGCTAGCCAGCGATCCCAGGAACACAGCTGCTCTCTATCCACATCCACTTTAAACTGCAGGAGAGGTCCCGGTGGCTCCCTGGTAACTCTTGTCCCTCCAAAACCACAGTGTGGCCTCCACAACACCCGACCCAGCCCCTGCTGCTCATAGGCCCCTCCACACAGCCTCTGTTCCTACCATAGCTGTTACACAGTGAAAGGTAGACCAATACAAAGGCAGGTATCTAAAAAGGGTGTGGGAATCCTTCTTCTGGTGTCTTTCTCAGCTGGTATTGACAATATTCTCCACCATAAACCTAGCCATCTGGATTCTGGAGTTTGTTGGCTTATCAAGGTTATCGTTTTGGCCTGGACACTCCCCTAAAGTCAAGTAGGCGTCTCCCCAAGGGGAGCAGAGCCTTTATTAGCTGATGGCTTGGCAGAGCTGCCAGGCACCTTTATGCTGATCTAATGCCAGGCCCAGGAAGCTATGAATGTCTCCTGTCAAAATGTTATGTGGCTGTCACCTTCCCACTCCTCTGAAGCACACGGCCATTGGTCAATGAGAAGACTGTCATGGCTTCCCTCCTCTGAAGCACACGGCCATTGGGCAATGAGAAGACTGTCATGGCTTCCCTCCTATGAAGCACACGGCCATTGGTCAATGAGAAGACTGTCATGGCTTCCCTCCTATGAAGCACACGGCCATTGGTCAATGAGAAGACTGTCATGGCTTCCCTCCTCTGAAGCACACGGCCATTGGTCAATGAGAAGACTGTCATGGCTTCCCTCCTCTGAAGCACACGGCCATTGGGCAATGAGAAGACTGTCATGGCTTCCCTCCTCTGAAGCACACGGCCATTGGGCAATGAGAAGACTGTCATGGCTTCCCTCCTCTGAAGCACACGGCCATTGGGCAATGAGAAGACTGTCATGGCTTCCCTCCTCTGAAGCACACGGCCATTGTGCAATGAGAAGACTGTCATGGCTTCCCTCCTCTGAAGCACACGGCCATTGGGCAATGAGAAGACTGTCATGGCTTCCCTCCTCTGAAGCACACGGCCATTGGGCAATGAGAAGACTGTCATGGCTTCCCTCCTCTGAAGCACACGGCCATTGGGCAATGAGAAGACTGTCATGGCTTCCCTCCTCTGAAGCACACGGCCATTGGGCAATGAGAAGACTGTCATGGCTTCCCTCCTCTGAAGCACACGGCCATTGGTCAATGAGAAGACTGTCATGGCTTCCCTCCTCTGAAGCACACGGCCATTGGTCAATGAGAAGACTGTCACGGCTTCCCTCCTCTGAAGCACACGGCCATTGGGCAATGAGAAGACTGTCATGGCTTCCCAACAGCTTAACCTAGCAAGCCTTGCCCAGAGCTGGTGGTTTTGCTTTGGGAAGTGTCCGACAGCTCACTGAAACAGGCTGACGTGCCTACTTCGCACTGTATACACAATACAGCCTTTCCATAGCTCTTCCACTGCTCCCCTGGCTGGGAAAATGGCATTTGTACACTTACGGGGCCAGATAGCACAGCAGCCAGGCTGTGCTCCAAAGGTAATGTGCTACCAATGAACAGACCCCTTCTGGATCCTTACTACAACATGGCCCCCACGCCCCGCTTTGGGTGAGATGCCTCTCACAACACCAAGTCCACAGGACCTCGCCCATGGGTATTCATGACTACCAGAACCAGAAATATCCATCAGTGGTTTCACTGCAGAGCCCCAGTACACAGCCCCACTAGCCACCATGGTCTTCAGGGAACAGCAAAATCTCGTTGCTTAAGAACTCCCAATGCTTTCCCACGGCACTTCAATTTCCCTGTCATCGCCACTGTCCACACGTATGGGGGGCTCTGTGCTTATTCGCCTGTTTCCAAATGGTGCCTTCCAAGAGTTGAGAGTGACTGAGGGCTATTGGAAAGCAACCGTGTTCATGAAAGGAAATGACTTTGAAAGGATGTCATCGGTGATGCCACAAGGAAGTCAATTCTGAGCAGACAGAACAATGAGCCAACTCAGTCCAGGGGCAGTGTGAGCTCACCTGTTCCAACAGCTTAGAGCATGGCAGAAGGTGCTTTGCCAAAACTGGCATATGGCATGCACTCGCGTTTGCGTGTGTTCGTGTGACTCATATGTGCCATGACATTCCCATGCTCTGGCCTGTGTCAGGTCATGGGGACACAACGGTGAATTAAAGGCAGCCCCAAGAAGGACCTCTCAGTGTAGCCCAGCAAGCAAGTGTAAAGAGGTGGATGTAATTCCACAAGATAAATGGGGATGTGCCCCAAGAGCTAGGGGGACAGAGGGACAGTTAGGGAGTGCTGCTGCCTGGGTATCCAAGAAGCCTTCTGTAAGGAGCACTGTGGTCTGCTGGGCAGGGTCCTGCATGGGGAATCTGGAGCCCTGGGTTTGAGTGCTGACTTCAGTAACATTTAGGCAGGTGGCTGTTTCCCACCTTGGGCTCCAGTTTCCTCACCTGATCTCTCCAGCAACTTTCCAGCACTAAAGTTTCCAGGGCTCTGATTAGGACCAGCTAAGAGTTAACGTGAAGGCCCAGGAGCTACTTCCAGGCTCTGCCTTAAGGATCTGCTCTCACTTCATGGCCTGGCAGCATGATCACTCAACAGTGCAAGGTATGAACAGAATCAAGGACAAAAACAAATATTGGCATGTCTTCTCATGTAATCTGAGCCAGATGCTTCACATGTGTTTGTGTGACTCGTATGTGCCATGACATGGGATTGTGTTGTAGGTATCGAGAGATCTAGATAAATACTGATCGTACTGATTTTTTTTTTTTTTTTTGAGACAGCGTCTGGCTCTGTCGCCCAGGCTGGAGTGCAGTGGCGCGATCTCGGCTCACTGCAAGCTCCGCCTCCTGGGTTCACGCCATTCTCCTGCCTCAGCCTCTCAAGTAGCTGGGACTACAGGAGCCCGCCACCGCTCCTGGCTAATTTTTTGTATTTTTAGTAGAGACGGGGTTTCACTGTGTTAGCCAGGATGGTCTCAATCTCCTGACCTCATGATCCACCCGCCTCGGCCTCCCAAAGTGTTGGGATTACAGGCGTGAGCCACCACGCCCGGCCCTGATTTTTTTTTAAAGATCAAATAACTATGTACATGCCCTTGACACATATAAAATAATGTAAATCAGCGATATTCAGGTTACTGCTCTCAAGCCACATGGGGCCCTATCGTGGGCAACCTGCAGCTCTTACAAGCCTTCCAATTTCCTGTCTCAGTAATATGTGATCCTAGACTCTGTTGGGCAGGCAGCAGGCACGTGGCTCTGCTAGCTGGTGATGACTGCAAAAGTGGCTCCCGAGTCACATAACTCGATACCATGGGGTAAATATTTAATCCTGCTTATCTGCATGGAAATTCAATATTTTGGTTCCACTGTCTGTCTGTCTGTTTACGTGCTCATCCACATCAATGTCTGTATTGAACTGCAAGCTTTAGAGAGCCAGGGTGCATTTAAGTTGTCTTAATGACATGAAAGAGAGATTCCTGTAAGGATGGATATTTAATAGATGTGTTTTTTCATCTTGAAGAGGAAAAAGAAGAGAATCTGTCTCTTTTTCTTTATGGCTTCTCCCTGTAGTGTCTGACCTTCTATTAGATTTAACGTCGGAGCTGGAAGATGAGCCCTGTCCCTTTGAGCAGTGCATCTCTGCTGATGACAATAACCCTGCACTAATGACAGTTCTGCAATGGGTCCCTTCACAGGGGCTTCTCACTGCTGCTCAGAGGGAGGGGAGAAGCAGTCACTAGAGTGGGGAGACCTCAACATTATCCTAGTCTTTACCCAGAGAGAAAAGGGGCTTGGCTCTTGGCTGCCCCACTTAGGAAGCCACATCCAGGGCAACAGTACATAAACATGCCCCTTTCTTGCCCCTTTTTTGCCTTTTTGGCTCTGAAATGGCTCTTGAGTATCACGTCCTCTTTTTTCCAAGACTGTAACCCATTGCAGAGGCAGTGGCTAGTATTGGCATTGCTGTAGAAGGGAACATCGTGATGGGCTAAGCTTTAGACACTGACTGTCTTGAGGCCATGGGCATGCTAGAGTCTGTGTGAGTCTCCTCCTCTCCTCTTTCTGGTTTCCTGATGGCCAGACTCTTCAGATGGCTGGAAGCTGGGCCATGCCAAAGAAGCAAGAAGCCTGCAGAGCAACGCTCCATGCCATTGCAGGAGGCATGCAGACTCGAGAGATGCACAGGGTAAGGCTGATTTGCCAGGAAGCTTTCTCCCCAGCATTTCATCCAACAGCCTGTGTTAAGGCACCAGCAAGTGAGCCCCACATTGCTAAGCCCAATGGTCAGTTTCCAGTCACAGCAGCAACGCTCACACCCCTTCCTTTGCATTCCCTCCTGTCTCTCTGGCCATGCCTTTAGGAGTCCTGTTTGCTGGTTCTTTCCCTGTATCCCAATCTCCAAACATCAGTAGGGCTAGGACTCAGTTCTTGGACAGCATCTCACTTCTGTCTACACTCACACCCCAGTGATCTTATCCAGAGATCCAGGGGTTAAGTATCTTCTATATGTTGTTGACTTCCCAAATTACAGTTCAGCCACAGATCTCTCTCCTGGAGAGGTTCATTCCTTATTACATACTCAACATCTCCACCTGGATGTTTAATAGGCACTTCAAACTTAAAGGTCTCAGATGGCTTTCCTGATCCTCCTGCCCTGACACCCGTTCCTCTCACAGACTTCCCCATATCCATAAATGACAATTCCCCTCTTGCCATCGTTTAGGACAATTGCCTTGGAAAATGCCCTACCTCTCTCTCTCACATCCCATATCTGACGCGTCTGCAAATGACATCATCCTGAAGTCTGACCTTATCACTTCCATGGGTGTCAAGACCAGGCCCAGCATCTCCTGAGGCAGCAGGCACCTGACGGGACCCCTGCCTCTCCCTGGCCCACCTTCATTCCATTCTGCACATGGCAGGCAGACGGATCCTGATAAGTGTCTGTCAGATCGTGTTGCTTCTCTGCTCAATAGCAATTAAATACCCAGAGGCTCTTTGGTTCACTCCCAGTAAGAGCCAAGTTCTCACAATAGTTTATATACCCTACTCCTTGGGTCCCACAGCCTCACCTTACACCATTCACCCCCTTACTCCCTCCTCTCCAGCTGCACAAGCCTCCTCAGCTCCGGATTCATCAGCGTGGCCCCTTCTCATTGGCCCCTTCTCGCTAGCCTCTAGAAGGCTCCTTTCCCAACTATCTGCATGGTGCTTTTCCTTCCAGCCTCCACGTCTTTATTCCAATGCTGCCTCGATCGTGAGACATTCCTTGGCTGACCCCTTAAAATCACAACCTCTCAACACTCTTCCCCCTTCACTGCTTCCCCCCTCTCTGGCATGCTATTTAATTTACCACCTGTCTCTCTACTAGAATCTAAGTTCCACGAGGGCAGGGACTTTTGACTCCCTTGTTCACTGCTCTATCACCAGTGTCTATGGCAGTGCCTGGCAGAGAGCAGACCTTTCATGTGTGGATGGGTGGACTAATGAATGAATGAACTGGAACATATTTTTGTATATAACTTACGGGCCACTTCACTTACACTAATATTTAGAGAAATGTCCCCAACTGCACGCTTTCTTTCTGTTGTCCTTCCAGCCCATTTTTTCTACTCCTTGGTGGCTTTTGCAGCTTTCCCTAAGGAAACAGAATCCCTGGGCTCCCCTAAGATATGCTGGGTGTCACCAAGCAGCTCCTGCACTGCACTCAGCCCCACCTCCCCAGCCTCACACCACGGGCATCCAGATGCTGCCCAGGGGAGAAGCGGAGTCACCACAGCTGCTGATGAAGAGTGATCGGCCTTTTCTCTTAAAAGATGACTTGGCTTTTGAGCTGAAGAGAATTGGCAAACATACCATACTATAGTCTTTTAGAAATTTCAAAGGCTAAGATATTACGGTAATTGAAACACACATGCTTCAAACGTAGCAGGATTTCTCCCCTTGTATTTGTTTCAAAGAGCAATCTATGAAATTCTCAAGACAGGAAGATAGTTTCTGAGCCACTGTCTTACCTTTTTTGCAAGTGAATTAGGCCTCTGATTCCTTAATCATTTCATCACATCAATTCTACTTTTAATTGGACTTCCCCAACAGACACAGTCTCTTCCCAGCTCCACTCCTGTCTCTCACGTTCCACTTCATTGCATGTGTCTATCTTACTCTCTACATCTTGCTTTTTAAAATATTCATTCCCCTGCCTCATCCCCTGGAACTGTCCCACTAATTAGCATTTCCACTAATGAAGGAGCCAGGCTCCCACTCCAGTCCTCTTAGGACAAGAAACAGACCCCCAGGGCTCCTCCAGCCGTAAGGAAGCAGTGCAAGGTGAGAGAAACCAGTCTCCAGAGTCTAAGGCCATCCTTATCTAGGCTTAGGAAAATCTTAGCGAGACTGTCTATTGGGTTAGGCAGCTCATTATGCTCTTCTCAAAGTTTGTCAAGAAATTTGGGTAGATGGGCCTTGTCAGTGTGATCTGCTCCAGCAGCAAATAATACTCCATGCTGGGAACTCTCCTAACAATTTATTCATTTAATGGGTTAGATGGAGAAGCAGCACACTCTCCCTTGGAAGCTCCTGTTTTAGGCGGAGAACAGAATAGCAACGTTCTGTTATCTCGGTGGATAACCACTGGCTGCTAAGCGTGTAGTGGCTACTGCAGGTTTTCAATAACACGCGCTACAGAAATGCTCATCACCGTCAGTCACAAGGTAGCACCAGTGCTCTGACTTAGGGTGGAGCCAGGAGCCAGCATACAAATTCCTGCATTTTAGAGGTAGGCTTCTCCGTGGCTCACAGGCCAACTTATTTATTTACCATACCACTCAGTGCCACAAACTAATCAACTACTCCTCAGTTCCATCAACAGTGTAATAGAAGGTGTCAGGCATTTTTCCAGGAAGACCCTCATTGTTATAATCCATCAAAGGCCCTGTATTCCAACTTGCAAAACCACTTAATGGAGCACAAAGGCCTCCTTAGGTTACTACATTATGTTGTTAACAGTCCCTTGTTGTTTGTGTGCTTTAATTTTGTATTTGCTCCTTGAGCAGCGTTATCAGAAAGGGAGCAGTTGATAGATTTATTAAAGCTATCTTTGAAATGAGGGAGCAGAGATTCTGCTCCCGTGAACATCTTTGGCTATCTTCGTCCTTTCTTCCTGCACCTGTTTCTGCTCCTGGCAGCTCTTCTCATCATCCTCTCTGCTCAGGGTGAAGTTCCAGTTCCCTGTCTTTACCAGCATGACTCCACGCAGCAAATGCCCTGGATGGCTCTTTAACCTGTTTGCTTCGTGGAGTACTCTAGATGCTCAGTGTTTAGGAAACTGTTTTTAAGTAAGGCTGCTTGAGAGGACAAAAATGCACCTATTCAAACATGTATAGTGAAAGAGAAAGATATCACACACAGAAAAAGAAAGAAAGAGTATGATTCGAGTCACAGAGATCAAGGCCAAATGAGATATAGAGAGTGGTTAGAGTTAACCCAAAGCTTCTCAAATTTACTATGCATCTTGATCACCTGGGGGAGTTGTCAAAACAGAGATTCCTGGGCCCCATTCCCACAGTTTCTGGGTCAATAGATCTGGAGTGGGGCCCAAGACTTTGCATTTCTAACAAGTTTCCAGGTAATGCTGACGCTGCTGGTCAGCGGCCATGCTTTGAGAACCATGGAGCTAGTCTGGTAAGAGCCTGAATTTTCATGATCCGTCATTTTTTACGTATTTGTGAGTCAATGTCATCCATCACTTTCATTTCTATCTCAGCCACAGCCTATCCAACAAGGGGCCACGTGAACCCCCAAGGAAGGGAATTGGCTCAACTTCCATCACCTAATTGCATTCTGCCGAATTCCTCTGGGCTTCCCCCAACACTCCCACTTAGCACTTCCCCAGGTCTTTGAATCTAACCCCCTTAAGGAAAACCTTTCACTACCTTTCCTATGAGAAAGCTCAGTGGTGCATGGAAATCTGCAAAGGGGGAAGGAATCCTGAGCAGGTATAAAGTTTTCCAGGCAGCTGCTTGGCACACATTGTTCCTTTTAAACAAGCCTGCGCTTTCAAACGGGAAGCCTGTGCCCCTGCCCAAAGAGGTGGAACCTGGAGGAGAAGGATCTCTGATTTTAAAAAAGCCTCTGCCTTAGCAAAATCTCAACAGTCTTTCAAGGTGAAATATTCTAAAAGGAGCATGAGGTTTTCTAGATCGACAGCTATGATTTCCCACATGTGACCGATGTCTGTGTGCAGCAAGTGACTGCCATCAGTGAGATAACTGCTGCTCCAGGAAGGCACCCCGTGGGCTTCTAAGAAAGGGTGGCGGTCAAAGTTCTGTGCTGACCCCGATGCTGTCTCCTCTCCCCCAGAACCCAGCCCAAACACAGAAGAAGACGGCTGCTCACTGTTTCGGGGCTTCTCCTCATCCATGCCTTCGTCCTCATTCTCAGGATCGATGTCTTCGGCCTGAGTGATCCAATCCAGGTAGCCTTTGAGATCCTCTTCTAGCTGCTGCTTCTCCCGCAGCTTCTGGAAATCTCCCCGGGCCTTGGCCTTCTCCCTCTCTTTGGAAAACTCTCTGGTGAGAGTGAGAGGAGGGGCAGGGCAGGAGAGCACAGAGAAGGAGGGAGCACCGAGAAGGGTCGAGGATGGAAGGAGAGATGGAGATAAGGAGAAACAAGAGTCTTAATTGCTTTGCAGGGAGAAACCTGCCCACACGCCCCTACTTTCCACAGACAGCTCCGCTAGTCAGCCTAGGTTAGGTCTACTATCACCTCGATGGGAAGCGTCAGTAAGGGGACATTCCTGACACTGGCCAGGAGAGGCTTAAGGGGATGGATGAAGTCCATCTCCCTCTTTTCCTGGATCATGATCACAGGCTTTGCTTTTTAATAACTGTTCTCCGAAGACCTGGGAACTCGTTCCAAGCAGTAACTAAAAACCTCCACCACCATTCCAGAACATGCATTTCCATCCCACCCAGTATTGAGTGGTAGTTTAAAATTCTCCCAAGGGTCTCCAGGTGACACAAGGTTTTAGGACCGGCAGTGTACCAAAGCCCACTCACTCGCCCCAGGTCCTGAGAGCCAATCATTCATGTCTCTTCCCAACTCTGGCTTCAGGGATGTCTCGCTGGTAGCTTGAGATCGGCCACAGTGGGAATATTTACACCATGGTAACTGGCAAATGCTGAAAACCAGGGCTTTCCCCATAGAGAGCCAATTGTTAAATATTTACCAGTATACCACTGATTTGGGACCCAGGAGATTTAATGTCCTCAATCTCTATTCTTATGACGAGCTCAACCTGCCACTCAGCATTCCTGGAAGGATTTCTAATCTAGAGAAGGTTCTCTCCCACATGAAGACAAATGAAGATTCCAAACACAAGAAAATGTCCTGGGGGCTGCCCTTTTGGTTTAAAGAAATCCAATCAGAATAGAAAAATACATAAAATCAAGATGATATAAAAGTTAAATGATGCATTTGATTTAAAGTAATAATGAGTAGAAATTGAAACTGGGGTGGGATTTGCTGGAAGAATGGCCTATTGAAAAATTTCTGACACAATAACTATTTCTTTTCTATGATTCTGTCCTAATTTTCTCTCTGACTTCGAATTCACTTTCTGAGCAAGGAGGAGGCTGGCAGGAGAAGGCAATCATCAACAAAGTGAATTCTCAACCCTCAAAGCAAGTCTGTGCCTTTTCTTGCAAAATAGGCATAGGGGAGTATTTTTGGTTTTGATATGCAGTCTTTGGGGAATGAGGCCCTTGGTGGTGCATGTATGTGTGTATTTGTGTGTGTGTGTGTGTGTGTACATGCATAGGACATCTTGGTTAATTCTTGGAGCCATGATGTCTTCCTCTCTCACCCATGAAGGCCCAGTTCAGGGCACGAGGCTGCTGGAAGCACCTTGGAGAATTTTTTGCTGAAGCCACACTCTAGGAAAGGCACCATGGAAGGAGGGACAGCACCACAAACCATAAGAGGGCAAAGGGCTCTGCTTCTGAGTCTACTGTCATGTGGGGCAGCTCCATCACTACCTGCACTGCCTAGTGCTTGCATTTGGCCTGTGCCACTTGGGAGAGCACTAATTTCAGCATGCACCGTCTTTATGGTGAGATGGAGTTGGGGCTGGGGTGGGGCCTAGGGAACTTTTTAATTGGGAGAATGTGGGGGCTGTCAAGCTAACCAGTTCTCTTCAACTGCTGCCTTAATGATGCTCTGGTTTGGATTGAATTTTCTTCTTAAATTTGATTGAATCCAATTCTAATTGGATTGTACTTGCTGTTTCTTGGGCTTCCTGCCAACCAGTGGGTACCTTCATTTTTTTCCCAAGGACTTTTATGCTAGGGAAAAGGGACAGATTGACAGCTCACAATGGCGAGGGAAACTTTGCTCCTTCCCTTCTGGGGATGATCATAGAGAGATGCCATCCCCTCTCCTCCTAACCTCTTATCCCCTGTACCTGGTTAAGCCTTCGGGGCCTTAGTCTTGCTCCTGGAGACAGTAACCTCATATAGCATTTTTCTCCCTATGCAAATCAACTCCAAAAACTATGTTTCAAGGCCTCCTCTCTTGACTGTCTTTCTGTCTACCTCCATTTGCACCCCTCTGGGGTGGGTTTGGAGTTGCAAGGGGCTGAACTTCACAGTCCCTTGTAAGGGCTCACTTCAGCTCTTTTGAGTGACTTTGCAGAGGGTTCAAGTTCTGGTTACAAAACACCTTCCCATCCTTCTTTTGGAATTGGGAGAATAGGACTGGGACTCAACTGGAATAGGGACAATTGGCCCAATCCTGTTTTACAGCAACAGTCCCATGGAATGAAGCTCACCATCTATACCCCAAGGCCTCTGGGGATCTAAAATAAACATTACAGGGGGAGAAACAGAACACGAGGTATGCTGGTGATTCTGCCTGGCTTGAAGATAATTTTCCTCATAGAGGAAGGATGTGTTTTGGGAGTGTGAGAGGGATGGAGAAGGGCTTTAGTCAGATCTGGAGCATGGCTGGATCCCATGGAGTATGAGGCACAGACAGGCTTGAGGCTGGATGGAAGATGAGCCAAGGTTTCCCACGGTAAAGGATCTGCTGGTGGCAGTGCCTGGCTCTCTTTATCTCCTTGCCTGGATGCCAGCCATGTTCCTGCTCTGGGGACTGAGCTAATGAAGACATGGAGCCCCAGCCTGACAGTCTGCACTGGGCCCAGGGACTGAAGCCGGCAAGACAATCAGTCACAGCTGTGGGATTTGTCACGAGACAGGACTGCATCTCTCGCCAGCAATGGCCAACATGAAAAATGAGGGGTGGTGTGGAGAGCCAGGGGCCAGGGCTCAGCGATGTGAAGCATGCACAGGGCGGTGTGTGTGGAATCCAACCAATAGCCTGAGGTGTGCTAGGCCCTTTGATCATCGATACCACCCAGGCTCCTTATTTGTGGATCCCACATCTACAAATGCGCCTACTCACTAAAATGTGTTTGTAACTCCAGAATCAATACTCGTGGCACTTTCAGTCATCTGTGGACATGTGCAGATGACAAAAACTCTACATGTTCCCGCTGAGGCCAAACAAGGGGCATGTAGAGTTCTGCCTTCCCAATTCAGCTCTCATACTGTGAGGTGTCCTTTTCACCGTCCACTTAGTGCCATGTTTTCTCATTTTTGTGCTTTTTGTTGGTGATTTTGCTGTTTAAAATGGCCCCAAGCATAATGCTGAAGTGCCGTCCTGTGTCACTATGCGTAGGAGGGCTATGATGTGCTGCACAGAGAAAACACGTGCATTAAATAAGCTTCACGCAGGTGCGAGTTACGGTGCTAGTGGCCAGGAGTTTAATGTTCATGAATCAATCATATATATTAAATAAGGTGTCTTTAAATAGAAACACACTTAAAACAAGGTTATGTATTGATTGGTTGACAAAATGTGGGCAGAGGCTCACAGGAAACAACTCTGTAGTTCCTCAGGACCAACGTCTCAGTGTCCACTACTTCATGTTTGTGGTGACTTTATGGAATGTAACCGTCATGAATAAGGGTTACATTCCATAACATGTAAGGGTTACATTCCATAACATGACTGTGTATGTTGGGCCATCTCTTCTGCTCCCACCCACAAGGCACGTGTGTCCTGACCTTTTATTGCTTTCTTCTGGTCCCAGATACTGTGTCTTAACTGTGGGCCATGGTCCAGCGATACTTCCTGGCTGTAAAATGCCTACCTCCCGGGTCCTCTGCTTTTTGGGGACAAGACATGCCCATCTCCCAGTGGGAAAAGGGATGGGATGACTACCTATGTAAGAAATCGTGGGCCTCTTGCCAACTGGAGGCGCACTTCCCAAGCCCTCTGTTTGCAGTCGCTTAAAACAAAAAGCAACCAGAGTCCAGAGGCTTCCACCTCATTACAGCTTCAAGTGCAATTTCAAGAATGTCATCATCACCGTTGTCTTTATTCTAGTCGACTGGAGATTGAGCTTTCTGAGGGGAAGTAATCATAATCTGATTATTATCCATAAGAGCACCAGTCCTATGTCTTGCATAGGGTTAATGTGAGGACCATCAGATAATAAAGTATTTTGAAAAAATCCTTTAATATCTATTCTTTATATTGACTTTATCTGGCCTCATCAGAAATAGGTGTTCTGGATGTGTGCATGATCCAGATAGAAGAGGTCTAACCCTCTCAGGGCCAAAAGTCTTTGAATTTCCATTAAAAATTTTTTCTTTTTTACTTTTAGAGACAGAGTCTCGCTCTGTCACCCAGGCTGGAGTGCAGTGGCATGACTATGGCTCACTGCAGCCTCAAACTCCTGGACTCAAGTGATCCTCCCACCTCGGCTTCCCGAATACCTGGGACTATAGGTGCTGCCACCAAGCCCAGCTAATTAAAAAATATTTTCTTTGTAGAGAAAGGGTCTCACTATGTCGCCCAGGCTGATCTCAAACTCCTAGCTTCGCATGATTCTCTTGCTTCAGTCTCCCAACACTGGGATTATAGGCATGAGCCACCATGCGCAGCCCTGAATTTCCACACTTTAAATGGAAGCTTTATGGAGTCATCTTCTCTACCTTCACAAGCACAACACACCAAGCACCGTTCAATCTTTCCTTAGTGACTGAAGGACATAATTTATGAGGATGAGTTACTGTGCAGGGCTATAAAATCATATTATCCTTAATTGTTGGAATGCAGGGTTTCACACCCACTTCTCCCAGTCCCAGAAGGCTCCAAGACTGCAGTGCTATTCAGTTAGTGGCTTTGCTCTCTTTCAAGGGCCATGAAGATCTGCAGGGCTGCCGGTCCCTCTGCTAAGCAGCCCAGCCCTGCTGCAGGCCTCTGGGCGGTTGCCTTCGCAGCTTCCTGCTGGGATTCTGTGTGCCTGCTGGCTGTTTCCCGCAGTCTGTGCTGATTGCTTCTGTGCCTGCCTGCTCGCTCCTCTCACCCTTCCTACTGCAGCTTCTGCTCTTCCCCTCTCCATTTCTCGCCTGTCATTTAAAAGCATGGGATGAACCCGTCCTATGGGTTTGGGGAGAGTACACCACAGAGGTCAGGGATAGAAGTGATGGATTCACATCGCTTGGGCTCAGCTCTGCATCCTGCATTTCTCACCTGCTGGGATTGAGGTCATTTTGCCTGGTGAGCTTCACTTGCCTTCTCTGTAGAATGGACACAGGAATAGCACCAGCTCACTGAGTTGCCATGAGCATTAACTGAGCGAATCTAGCGAACACGCCGAGCACGGAGCCTGACACAGAGAATGCTAGTGACTGTTAATGTGACAGTCAATTTCATGGAGCAGTGAGACCTTTTTGAATGCTTCTGGAAGTGTAGCTTAATCAGAAGTCTGATGAATAAGTGGGTGTTTGACTGCATGGTCAACTACATCTGCACCCAGTAAGTGTGTGACTATTCTACGGTCCTGGCTAATCAAGACACTGACTGGAAACCGTTGCCTCTGAGTGGTCAGCCAACAGAAGCTGATTCCAGCTTTGGCACTGCATGGGGCGGGGGCAACCAATTCAGAGTGGCCAGCCCTTGACACATGAGGAGAGGCCTCCTTAAACCAGAAAGGGGAGGTGCTCGCCCATACACACATCTTTGCTCTTTAGGGCAGACCTTTGGCCAAGGAAGCCTTGGCAGATGTTCTATCAGTGATTCAGGAGCTGCAAGGAGCAGACGGCAGCTCTCAGAACAGGTCAGGAAACAGAGGCTGGCGAAGGTCTCCAGGAAAGACCAGCGTATCGACTCAAAGACTCCTAAGTTCAGAGGTCAGATAGCCTTAATGTTCTTGTTCTGAGTCAACCAACATTTTTGAATATTACTAAGCTCCAGGTTTGGGGTGAGGGGTCTAAATACACCCTAGCGCTTTTAGGCTGAGTCAGCCAAGATATGGCCTTCAAAGTGGCTTCTTCCCCAACATCAGCAGTTTCTGTCACTTGACTTCACTGCTTTGATTCCTGGGCAGACGCTCTGCTCAGGGAGGACCCTCAGGGCCCAGCCCTCATTCTCCACTTCAGGCTCTTGGTGGGGGGTTACTTGCTCAGATTTGGTTCCCAGTCTCCAGGGGAAGAAAGTGGAGTTACATTCTTTTAAAAGTCTTGAGCTGTGGCTTGTGTTGCAGTTCAAGCTCATTCATCATAGATCTCATGGGAGGCGGTGCCTTGAGGGCTGGCTCTGGTTCTGCTACTTACCAGGGAAGTGACGTTGTACAAATCACTTAACATCTCTGGGCTCACGCTCCTCATCTTTAAGAGGAAAGGCTGGAGCATGTCTAATATTTGATGATTCTATACTTCTAGTTATAACAGGCACCAAGTAAATAATAATCATTGTAATGATAGCACCATTATTGGGCACTTATTATATACCACTGTGTTAAGTATTCTGAAAATGATCTTATTCTATCATCACAGCCACCTATGCACTGGAATTATCAGCTTCACTTTTTCAGATGGGGAAACTAAGATTTAAAAAGGTGAAACCACCCAACATTATGTACCCAGCAAGGGCAGAGCTGGGATGCCTCAATTTCTGCTTTGATTCAGGGTGATGAGGTTGATTTTTTCAATCTTTTCCTTAGAGATTCACATATAAACACATGGGCATTTTCTTGTGTTTGAACATAAAACTGAAAACCTCTCTACCTTCCAGGCAATGAATCAGGGACTTACGTTGTTCTGCTCATCACTGTTATCCCTGATGGAAGGCACTAGTCTCCTGTGTGGCCTCACCTTAGCAAAAGGCATTTTGTCATCAAGGTCTCTACTGGGCCATTCTCCATGGGAGGTGGAAGAGCTGGGAGGAGATTCTTTCCTCTACGCAGCTCTGAAGGCCAAGCCCACTGCTCTGAACTGCATTAGGGCAGCTGTAGGAGCTGGGAGTAGCGATTCCCAGTTTAGGTACTGGGGGAAAGTGGAGAGCAATCTTTGTCTTTATGCTTAAATTTCTCCCAGCATTAACCTCTCTAGACATTTAGGGAAGACTCTGCAAAGCAGCTGACCAGTCTCAAGCAGAGTAGAAGTAGATTACCCCCCTCCCCCAAGTGGCAAAGGCAGCAGAGTGGGTTACCCATGAGCAGGTCACCAGGAGCATTTAGGTGTTAGGCCTTGGCATGGCTGGTGTGGACTTCTGAAGAAGAAAGTGGGTTGAGGAAATATCCTATGCGTTTCCATGGTGAAAAGGTGGCCATCCTCAGGTGCTTCCTTCCAACCACGTGCTACTTCTACCATGGGGTCTCGCTATGTTGCCCAGGCTGCAGTGCAGTGGCACGATCATAGCTCACTGCAGCCTTGAACTCCTGGGCTCAAGTGATCCTCCTGTCTCAGCCTTCTGAGTTGCTGGGTCTACAGGTGTGCACCACCATGCCCGGTTACTTCTACCACTTCTAACTTCATCTGAGCAAGGGCTGAAATTAGGTAGATGTGATACTTGCAGCCAACTAGATATAAAGTTAGAGGAAATTGCATCCCATCTCCTCTATTCTTAAATAATATATGGCTTTAAACAGTTAAGGGTCCTTTCCATTCAGAAAAGGAAACTCAGAGATAGACTGCTCAGTCTATGAAGTAAAATGAGAATTAGATTTTGAGTCTGTCTTTGTTTATGTTTTAAACCAGTCTTTTCTTACCCAGGCCTGTTCACCAGAGGCCACGAAGGCACAAGGAGAAGTGCCCTGCCTGCCTGGACAGCTACTTGAGGCTGGGAGGGGCCAGCTGGACCCACTTTTTGTGGTGAAGCCAGCTCTCCTCCATTGTCCACCACCAAGACCAGTGGCACATCTGACCCTTTACCCAGCCAGGACAAGGACATCCACTTCAAGGCTCCTGTGGTGACCCCTTATCCCAGGTTCATCAGAGCCAGAAAAAGAATACAGCCAGGAATAGCAGAAAGAATAAATAAAAATAAATGGAAAAATCAAGACCTTTTTCCTTGGTCCTGCTTACCCGCTAAGCACACCGAGAACCAAGTTAAGTACAAAAAATGACCCTATGATGATTAGTGTAACAAAATAGATCCAGGGCCAGTCCCTTCCTACGGCATCATTGACCTGGAAGAACGGAATGATAGTTAGTGAGGCACACTCAGCAACCGAGCACGGCCAGTGCCGGTCCCCGGCTCCCGAGACACTGACCCACGCAGCGCCAGGATCCGGGGACCCTCTAGGTGCAAATCAGAGGCCAAACAGCCTGCCTGGCCAATGGGTCAGAATCTGTGGTTGAACAGAGGCTTTGTTGTGGTTTTCCTGGGCCTGTCAGGGTCCCATCCCTGAGGACCCCGGGCATGTACGGAGTGGAACCTGAGACCTTGCTCGGCTGCGTTGTGGAGAGGACATAGAAACGGTCAGCTTACCCGCTCAACACACCGAGAACCAGATTTAGAACGAAAAAGGATCCAAAGATGACCAGACTGACAAAATACACCCAGGGTAACTCATAGCCCATAGCGTCCTGCATCTGGAAAGACGAAGGAAAGTTAGGAAAGAAGAAGCAGAATTGGGTTACAGCAAAGAGGCAGGCAGCAGGTGTGAGCAGATTGGGAGGGGACAGACGGGGCTGAACGTGGGCTTTGTTCATGTGCACCAGGTTACCCGTGTTACCCAGGGCATCGCCCATGTTCAAAGGAACTCCTGTGACCGAAGGGGACCTCGGCCCGCTCTGCCTCAAGAGGAATCACTCTGTCTCTCTGTGGTTTTATTTTCTGAAAAAGAAACATTTCTCCAATGTTTTCTATTCACTTGTCTGAGAAAATGGGTCACCTCAAAAAATAATTTCTTCAGCATGGGATGGTTTAACTCACTTGGGTTTGCCTGGACATTAAGCCTTCTGTTGCACCCGGAGGCCCCTGACCTTGGTGTATGAAGTGCGTCAGCTCCTGCTGACAGGCCTGGAGAACTGAAACCACAGAGGAGGTGTGAGGAAAGATAACCTTCCTCAGAAGATAACCTTGGCCACCTGGACCGTGGGCCAAGCCCGGAAGTTAGAGGCTAAACCCCAGTGCTTCACACGTACTGCGGGCCACCGGCTGGGAGAGGCAATCATTTTGGTTTATGTATTCAGAGAAGGGTCCTGTGACTGCAACCACAGCTTAGGGGTAAATGGTCCTTAATGTGGAAACTGACTGTAACTACTGAATGGTGGAGAACGCCCTGAAAGGTCACAAACCCCTACGGCAGCCAGAGGGAGTGGTGCGCCGGAGCTGGCTCCTGGGGGCTGAGGGGAGCTCACCGTGCACATCTCTTCCCAGCTCCGTGTTCGTTGACCACACTGGCAGCTTGAAACTGACCATGGTGGAAGTATTTACACCACAGAGATAGGCAAGCAATAAATCAGCCCCCTGTACCCGCTGACCCTAAGAAGAGATGCTTAAACATTTATTAGCTCACCACTGGCTGGAGGGTGGACGTGAAGATAAATTGCAGAGCTGTGCTTCCATCAGAGGAAATTTATTCTGATTTAGTTTCTCAAAGCTATCTCTTCTGATGCCTTCTGACTAAACAGGGTTAAGTTCTGGCTTCCTAAAAATGCACCCAACTTTGTCCTTGTGAAACTAGCTCATAGAAACCCAAACTTCCAAGGCACACAAGTGTCCTGAATGATTCACATCAATGGCTCTCAAAGTGTGGCCCACGGACGAACAGCTTCAGCGTCACCTGGGGACCTGTTCAGAAATGCACATACCTAGACCTCACCCTGACACTGTGGGGAAGGCCCAGCAACCCACGTTTTGACGGCCCTACAGGTGATTCTGATGCATGCTTGAGCACCACTGATCACATTGTTCTCTCCATAGCTCCCAATTTCAAATGTAACAACACAAGTGTGTGGCTCTCCATGTACCTCCACAAGGTTGCATAGCAGTGTTCCTCAAAGTGTGGTCCAAGGACCACCAGCATCAGAAACATCTGGGAGAGTTATGAACAAAGCAGATTCCTGCCCCATGCCCCCAAGATCTCAGGGTGGCCCACAGTCTGCATATTAACCATCCCAGGTGATTCTAGGCTATGCTCAAGTTTGATAACCACCCCACGATTTCCACCCAGGGGCCTCAAAGGAGTTCAGGCAGGTGGGATAGTAATACCCTCAGCCCTTGGGCTTTGCAGCTTCAGCAGCCACATGCATTTGTCTAAGTACGCTGGATAAACATGTTCTCTGCATGCCGGGAATAAAAGACTGAGAAGTACCGAGACACCTAGCTAGTCTGACTGGTATGAAGTGTTACATCCCAATATGTTCTTTACAGATCCATTGAGATGTATCTGATATTACTAAATTTTGGTTAGGAAAATTCACCCAACATAATCATTGTGCATAGTGCAAATATCGTGTCTGGGGCAAGAAGATTCCCAGTGTGTGCCCACTTGGCCATGCCATCGTGAAATTCAATTGAACGTGGGTTTACTGAGCATGCCCATTTTCTCACATCTGGTTTGCTTTCCCAGAGCACTTCTCACTTGGTAACTGTATCATTACCTATTTATTACGTGTATTATTTGCTGTTTGTCTTCCATGCTAGAATGTGAGCTCCCCGAGGACAGTTGGTTCTGGCCTGCTTTGTTCACGGGTGTACCCCAGGTGCCTACAACGATGCCTCGCACATAGTAGGTCCTCAGCTAACGCTCTTTGAGTGAATGAGTGAACCTGATATGTGCTAGGTACTGTGCTGTAAACACGAAATCCTTGCTGGAGGGGAGACAGGAAATGACCAGGCAGCTACAGTGCAGGCTGGCAGCTGCAACTGCAGAAGGAAGCACGCAGGGTCCCAGAAGGCTTCCACCAGTGGAAGAGTGTCTGCGTGAGGCTGAGGGGGGCAAGGGCCAGGCTCAGCAGGCCTGTGTCAACCTTGCACTGCACAGCCACTGAAGGCAACGGAGATAAAGAGCAGGAAGGAAGCCCCAGAGTCCATGTGGTCCTATGATAGCAATGGAGGTTTGCAGAAGTCGGCAATTGTTAAAAATAGAGCCTATGGCTGTGAGGCCATCCTGGCTGCAAAGATTCTCCCAGTGGCTGAACTACTAAAATATCCAGCAAAAGAGCATCTGTTAGGAGAGGCGGGGTGAAAGGTCCTTGTGTGTCAGACACTGTCCCCATCCCAGGGAGCCTGGGAGCTTTCCTTTAGCGATAAGGTAACTGTCTGAACCAACAGTGCAAAGGAAACCACACCAGACTTCAGCACCAGGAGAAGAAAAACAAACCCGAGCCAATACAGGATGGGTGGGATTGGTGACATGAGATTAGGGAGAGAAAGGCATGAGAGCCACATGAGCTGCCTGACCACAGGCCACACTGACAGCCGTGCTGGCCACGATGGGCTGTGGTCTGCAGGTCCCATTTGACGATGGGAACCGTGAGGTCATTCTTTGACTATTCTTAGCAGTGGTCACATCAGAGTCCACGTTTGTTCAACAAGTATTTACCGAGCGCCTACTTGTGTAAGGGTTCTGTTGTGTATCGGACTCTCTGATACAGGGAAGGCAATGGGGTTGAGACAGCCCTGGAATGGGAGTCCCAGGCACCTGCTGAGGAAGAGGGAAACCTGGATCCAAGGTCAGGGGGAGCCTGTGGGTGTCCTTGTAGCTTTTCCTCTCTCAGAGTAAGTCCTGCTAAGGAGGGTCAGAAGCAGTCCCTTTCTTTTCCTCTAAATGAGTATTGCTTTACTTTTTTTTTTTTTTTTTTTTTTTTTGAGGTGGAGTCTCACTCTGTCGCCCAGGCTGGAGGTGCAGTGGCGTGATCTTGGCTCACAGCAAGCTCCACCTCCTGGGTTCATGCCATTCTCCTGCCTCAGCCTCCCGAGTAGCAGGGACTACAGGCACCCGCCACCACACCTGGCTAATTTTTTTTTTTTTTTAAAGTAGAGACGGGGTTTCACCGTGTTAGCCAGGATGGTCTCGATCTCCTGACCTCGTGATCCGCCCACCTCGGCCTCCCAAAGTGCTGGGATTACAGGCATGAGCCACTGCCCCCGGCCTGCTTTACTTTTTTGAGAGGGTGGGGCAGTCAGGAAAAGCTTTTGAGAACTATGGACTCCCACCAGCAGTAATGTGCACTGCACACACACAGCATCCTGCAGACAGCCTCGAGGGCACGCCGGCACCCTGAAGCGCGTGCAGAACCCCATGGTACTGACCTACTCCAAACAACTGGTCTGTTCTGTTCGACCCCAAAGGAGCTTGCCCCGTGTGCGTCAGGGGATCAAGAGTGGCAGAGGATGTCTGTTCTTGGCAAACTCCCCTTGCTCCTCTCTGGGTCACAGACCCCACCTTCTTCAGGACACGTGGGAGCAGCCAGTTCCAGGAGGCCACGACGTGCTCACCACAGTTCCCCTCCCAAAGCTGCCTCTGGAGCCTGGGCAGATGGCGAGTGGGAGTTGGGCTCGATGGCGCCCAGGCAACTTCCTCAAAATGAAATCTTTCCTCACTAGTTCCTCACACCCCTTAAATTTTGTGAACATTTAACCTCACAGAAAATGCAGCCTTGGAGGCCACACAAACCCACGCGCCTTGGAGATTTCCTAAGGCCCGAGCTTAGTCTGGGAATCCTTTCTTCTGCGCCACACACAAGGTGAGAGGCTTCCAGCATATGAAGGACTTCAAAGGGGGAGCTACAGACCTCAAGGTCATGGCCCCACAGACAGCCAGGACCATAAGAGGAAACTCATGGGTCCCCCTCGCCGTCCCACACTGCTGCTTTGGTCCCCCCTGGGCTGTGGGCTGGTTTTTTAGAGGTTCGAGATGGGGAACAGCAGGCGAGGGCAGGAAGCAGGAGGACAGATGAGAGATGGAGACGGACGAGGCCAGGGTGGTCCTCAGAACCCCACTGCCTGGGTGAGCAATGCTCGGCTGCCACAGAAGGTGATTCTCTGGCCTGCCTGGCTCTGGTCTGAAAGGAAAGTTCTCCTTTCACTTCCCTCTTACTTTCTCCTCTTTATTCTGGTCCACCTACTTTGGGGGGACAGCTGAGTAGAGAGCACACAAAGCTGGGTGGCTCTGAAGTAGGGCGATGCCTGGAGTCATGAGATTGATGTCCTAAAGCAGCTGAAATGGAGCTATTAAGAAGACAAAGAATAAAGTCAGATTTAAAAAAAAAAATGACCCAGATTGCTGACACCCTTATTTAGAGGTGAAATAAGGGATAGGTCTTCTAGAGCCATTAAGCCGTGTTCCTCAGGTCTCCTGACTTTCCTAAGGAAAGTCAGCTCATTGTCTGTAGCCTTGAGGGCCTCCAGGCCCAAGTACTGGCAGGACGGCCCCTGCCTTGGCTGAAACAGCCTCACTACAAAGGGAGGGAGCATTGAATGAACACTATCAAAGACCTTTCGGCAACCAGCATCTAATTCCTTGAAGGGAACCCCAGATTTAAACCCTCAAGTCCACTTTTTATCTTTCCCCAAAAAGATAAACAGGGGAATAAGCTTCCCTAGCCCCTCTCCTCGAGGCCAACTCCCCAGCCCAGCAGACTTCCACGGGTTCTCAAGCTGTGTGTACCTTTCCTGTAAGGTTCTTGGCACAGGCACTGTGGATCCAAAAAGGCTGAATCGTTTCAGCAAATGTCGAGAGAGAGGCTGACACCTGCCATCGAAAGGCAGGAGGTGTAAATCTGTGAAAGCCACGGTGCTTTACACTGTCACTGGGGGACAGGATCTGCTGCTGCCAGTGAACACCAGTCAGCTCAGGGCAATAGCTCCATCAACCTGCGGCTTTCAGAATCTATGTCACCTTGCTTGCTGGGACACGGGCAGCTACCTCACGGAGCACCAAGTGAGCAGGAAGTTGTGGAACAGGCTCCACCTGGCTGCTCCCCACCCCTGCACCTGCTTATTGAGTGCTGAAAACCCGGGAGTGCCTCAGAGCCCAGGTAAAAGCTTAGTTTACATGGGGGAAGAAAACAACAAGCTCCTAACACCAAGGCAAGCCAACAAAATAAGCTCCTCCATGCATTTCAAACTCCCTGGAATCAGATGGACTCATGTGCTGACATCATGTGGGAGGTTGGGAGCTGTCATAGAGAGTAGTGGGCCCCAGTGTGTGAAGACCTGTGCAGGAGACAACTGGCTGACAGCCATAGCAATGTTGAGAGAACCTAAAACCCAGGTCTCTGCGGCCTCCCAAACTGAGACAAAGCTTGCTTTCCCCAGGCAGAAGAGCCTTCTCTCCTGGTCCAGTAAAGCCCCACTTGGTCCTGGAGTGCTCTGTGCCCCTCAGGGCTGTCCTGCTCCCACAGAGGGCACTGACCCCCATGGCTCAGCTGTGTTCCTCCGCATGTCCTGCAACTCTTTAGTTAGACCTGAACTGCCTGGGCAGGCCTTATTCTTCTCTGTGCTCCCACATCCCTCGTCCCAGGAAACAGCAAATGCTCAATAAATGTTTGCTAAATTAAATTACAGAATCATAAGGACTCATCTAATACCAGCAAAATAAATAAAATGAAACCCAATAAATAAATAAAGAATGGCTTTGAGAGATGCTGACTCTCTTCCTTGATATGCTTCTGAACAGCCAGTTTACTGTTTAGATCAGGGATTCTCCATTTTAGGCAACAGGTGCACCCTGGGGGTAGCACGGAGGCAGGTGAAAAGTCAGGGACCACAGAGGTCCTAACACGGTCTCTACTCCGATACCTGAGAAAGGGCCCTGGACACTGTTTCTGGGTTACTTGAGGGTTTCTCAGCTCCTCACTTAGAATGACTCCTAGGTCATCAGCAGAATTCAGCTCTAACTTTTATGAAGCCTTCAGCAACTCTATATTCTGCAGTGAAAGGAGGTGGCTTTGTGAAGATGGAGTAGACAAAAATAGGGTAAAACACCCAATTCAACCTGCTTGGATGCAAAAGGTCTTTGTCATAAACGAGGGATATTTCAGCAGCACCAATACCAAGAGATTAATAGCTGTTGTGTGTGTGTGTGTGTGTGTGTGTGTGTGTGTGAATTTAATAGAAATACCTTCTCCGCACATCCAGACACATAGTGGGATGGCAAGATGAAGGGTGGAGCTGACAAGTGACTTATGAAAAGTTAACTCATTAGATTTTTGTTCCAAGAGTCTCCTGTTGGCTGAACCAAAACAAATTCCAGGTTCTAGAGAACACACTATTTGTGACTCTAAAAAAATCTTTCTTTTAGATGATTTCTCATTAAGTATTTTTTATAACCTAATTTTTAAGTTTAATTTTTAACTTGTAAAAAAAAATCAGTCGAAGAACTGATCACGGAGAAACTAATGCAGGGGCAATGGGTGGTGTCAGGAAGAGGGTGGTCCCAATAGGATGGGAAGGGGCATGAACCCAGGATAACGCGGGCCAGAGGCTCTTTACTGTGGTTCACAGTGTGCAACATTCTTGGGGATCCCAGAAGGGCATGGGGTGGACAGAAGTCAACAGAATGCTCCTGATGAATTATCCAGGCATTGAGATTCCTAAAGAGCTAGAAACACATCCTCTAGTGTGATGCCTAGTCTAGCTGCTGCCCCCCTTCCACAATTCTCACCTGCAACGTTCTGCGTGTGTCCCCAACCCCTATCAGTGGCCATGTCATTCTGTTTCCCATGAGCAGGGGCCTCATCTCAAGTGCTGAACACAAAGTCAGCACTGAAAAGATGTTTAATTGATGGATATTTCTGTTACCTGATTGTGACTGCCCACAGTGTGTAAGAGGTCATGCTCAGAGTTTCAAACCAACTGGAATTCTCAGAGCATGCCTATGAATCCTATCGACAAGGTCCTGCAAAGGAGGCTGACCCAGCAGACTTTACATCTTTGAGATGGCTCATGCGTAGACCATGGGAGACAAGCAGCCTTGAATGATGTGCAAAAGGCTAGGGATGTTTAGATTTTTGAAAAAAACAAAACGTGAAACTAAGAATGGAAAACAATGGTAACGTTACACATTAGGTTCTTCCCTCCTTGGTGCTTCACTGCCTCTGAAGAAGGCCAGCGCTTTTTATCTGATCACACTCCCCACACCTACCCATCTGTTTTTAAGAGTCTTGGACATTCTGAGAGTAAAGGATGAGCCTTTGGCTTAAGAAGTAATTTCCTAAGGAAACTATACACCAAACCCGAGTTTTGTTTCATTTCCAAATCCCCGGTATCCACCCTTCCTTATTCTGTCATCTGCACACTCCTCAAACAGGATATTAGGTAGAAGAAATGTTTTCAGCAAATTGCTCGGCTTGTTGGAGCCTCAATGCAATGCATGGCCAATGGCTTTCATAGCTGAAGCAATGTTCAAGTATTACTCGACCAAGTCTGATTTTATTTTTAGTCCACTCTTTAAAATCTAACAATGGAATGCAATAACGGATGTTAGAGGAAAAGAGAAAGATACTGTATCATCCACAACTGGAAGCAAGTGCTGCCATCTGCTAGGTGCCTTCCCTGATCCCTTCTATCTCAGGCCATAACCAGCGGCTGACCAATCGCTTCTTTGATGCTTTAGTGACTTACTCTTTTCCAGCTGTTTGGTGATTTAGAATGAATGGAGCTCTGGGGTTTCCATGCATTACTATATTTGAAAATCTTGGCTGCTCCTTCTCAAGTCCTTTAGACTTGCCCTTGTGCCTGAAGGACAATTCATTCTTCTGAGTGAAAGGCCTTATTTCCCCCTCCTCCCTGTGGAAACTATCTCCTTAGAAGGGTTCAAAGCCAGCAGCATCATACCAGCACCATGAGGTTCAACAGGTTAGATTTCCAGCGTTTTCAAACTCCAGCCTGGAAATCAGAATCACCTGGAGAGCTTTTTCAAAATGCAGATACTGGGGCCCCGACTTTAGAGCTTCTAATTCAATGGCTCTGAGGGAGGTTTGGGTATTTTTATATTTACAAAGCTCTATGTTTGATGCTAGAACATTTTGAGATTTGAGAGTCTGTGCTTTAGAGATACTGGCCTAGAAGCTAAGGAGGAGGGACACTGGAGAGAAAGGAAGAGGGAGAGGGAGGAAGAAGGAAGAAACAGCCGTAGAAAGGTCAAAGCAATTAGAGAAATTGAAAGCAGGAGCACTGGGCTAGGCAGGGCTTCTATCATGAATACCCAAGTTTCAGTTTTAGGTGTGTGTATGTGCACGTGTGTGTATACACACTTGCAGGCGTGCACACACATACAAATGCACACACACACAACATGGCCATTTTGGGAAGGTGCTGGGAAAATCAGAGAGAGGCATGTCCCATGAGCCTGGGATTGTTTCTTCACCTCTGACACTGTTTCCATTCCCAGCCTGAGCACTATCACACGCTCCCCAGGGGAGAAGGCACAACACAGCTGCTGAAAATTGGTGGTTGCAGTTGTTGCTGCTTCTGCTCCCCGCCCCGGCTGTCATTATGACAGTATTTCTTTGGATCACATCTGGCTGGTGGGGCATCAATGACTTGTGGTGGTGGGAGAAGAAGGGAGTGGTGAAGGAAGAACACAAAAATACATCAGCAAAGGCAGTCATATCTATTCCTACCCTCCACCCACCCTCCACTGCCACCTGCCCTCAGTTTGATGCCATGGAATGCATGGGCCTGAAGCTTATGGGATGAGGCCCCAAAGCACAGTCCCACACAATCATTTATCCTATGTGGCCTGTAGGCAGAAACTGCCTGTTGGCAGAAGGATGTTTCTGTCCTTGGCTGGTCAGAGGGACCCACCCCAGGAAGAAGGACCAGCTAGGTCCACTTGGGAATTTTGTCTGCTTTGCTAAACAAAATAAGTTTCCCTAAGTGTAATAAGTTCAATTCCTTCTGTCTTACAAATTATTCAAAACCAAGGTCTTATTGAGCATGAATCTCAGAAATGTTTTCCAGTGTTTCATTTTAGTTTGAGGCAGAGGGGTTCTGACCTTTGTCTTCTTTTTGAAAGTATCACAACACAGCAGCTTTGCCGCGGCATGGGTCCAGCCATACTGCCATTACTCAGTTTAGAGTTTAGTTGGCTTCCTAGACTGAGATAATTGGACTGGACTGGATCTTATTTATGACTGAATCCTCAGAGCCTAGGAGCACCCCTGGCAGGCAAGGACACTCAGGAAATGTTTGCTGGGTACAAGGTCCTCGGGCAAGTTTCAAGTTGTCACTTACAGAGGGAGGGACACATGTCATAGCAACACTGGGGTTTGGCATATTGACTATCATGTAAAAACTGAGAAAGAGGGATTCTGAATCAACAGGACATGGTGCTTTTAAAGAAATCATATGACAGAATACTGTGCACCAAATCTCCGTACAGTTACAAAACTCTTCCTTCCGATTCAGGAAGAAGTCAACGCCTCTCTTGGCATGATTTCCTTTTGATCTGGCAGCTCTGCTCAACGGGAAGCATTTGCTCCCCTCTCACTCTTCCCTGCTTTGGTTTGTAGACATGTTCCCTGAGCAGGCTCTTAGATTGTTTTCACGATGGCCAAATAAATTTGCCTATTTGCAAAACTCTGAAGGAGATGGTATTTTTAAGACTGGCAGCATGCTTTATTCGCCCAAATTCTGGAGAACAACACTGGATTCTGGCAAGTCATTTCTCAGGCTGAAGTTGGAGACACTATGAAGAATAAATTTTCTGGAGTTTTTCCTAATAATGGACTTTGCCAGAATCGAGACAGCTCAAATATGGAGTGTGGATTTGCCTGTGGGGTAGGCTGTACAAAAATCTGGCACTTCAGAGGCTCAAAGCGCAGCAAAGTAGTGTTGGCTACTGGGTAATAAAAGGGGCAACTTTAAGGTAAACGAAGATTTGCTATTGATTGGGTGGCTCTCGAGAAGTGGTATTTCTCTACCTAATGTATGTGGGGCTTAATAGATGACGGGTGGATGGGTGCAACAAACCACCATGTCTCATGTATACCTATGCAGCAAACCTGCACGTTCTACACATGTATCCCAGAACCTAAAGTAAAATAAAAATTAAAAAAAAAAAGTGTATTTCTAAATAGGCATCACATGACCAGCAGCATGTTTGGGGAATAGTAAAAATGCTGCCAATGCATTTGTCTGATGGACTATTCTAATATGTTAAGGTAAGAGTAAAATAAAAAGTAAAAATTGAATAGCATGTCACAATGCTACACAATTCAATAAAAATGGTTTCTTTATATAACTTCTTTTTAGAAGATCAGGACTTCTTCTCTTCTGCCCTAAGAATACATAATTCTGCCTTCTAGCTCCCTTTTGAGGAAAGAGGCAAGAAAAGGATGAGGGCAGAAGGAACTCTGCATGGGAGGAGGAGTTGAACGGAACCCTTGTGCCAGCCTGGCCAGCTCATCCATGCCTGCACACCAGGGTTTTGCACTGTGGGACGCACTGGAAAAATGACCTTCCCCTAAGGCTGGCGGGTGGGGGAGGGGACTCGTTAGGGTGAAAAGCTCATGCCTTGTTTCTCAGGCAAGACCTGGAAGAAATCAAAGACGCTCTTCATCAACCATTCCATCAAGATGCGTATGTGACCCCAAGACCATGGGGAGGAGGAGAAAGGGAGGTGTCAGGGAAGGGTTCACGGCCGCTGTTCCCCCACCCTCTGACTGCCCACTCATGCTACGTACCCAGTACAGCACGTCCGTCCAGCCCTCCATGGTGATGCACTGGAACACCGTGAGCATGGCGAAGGCAAAGTTGTCAAAGTTGGTGATGCCGTGCTTGGGACCATCCCAGCCGGGCTTGCACACCGTGCCGTTCTGGCACTGCCGCCCGTGGCCCGTTTCCAGCGCACAAGGGGAAGGGTCATCTTCTGCTGGAACATCTCAAATGGCCAGAAGAAGACAGGAGACGGGAGCAGCAGGGAGGGAGAGATGTGGGCAGAGAAAGAAGTCAGAGAGAAAAGTGACAGGATGAGGTTGATGGGATGGGCAAAGCAACCATGGCAACAACAGCGCAAGACATGTTTAAATCAGGTCCCCAGATGTGAATTAAGCAACACAAGAAAGTAGGCTTTCCATTTAGGCTGCTGTTAATTTAGAAGGTCAGTCCTTTCCACTCACTGTTGTAAAAGCTGTATTTTAATCTTAGTAATTGATTTCTATTGCCCATTCTGCTGCAACATGTCAGCCTCAAAATCAAATGGCCAATCAAAAAATAATGATGATGCCACCACTGCAAGTGGAAACTGACCCAGAAAGCGATTAGAAGTCCATATTTTCTTTTTCTGGTGGTAGAGTTCTATAGACACTTGTATTGGAATACCAGAATTTAGGGTAAGGACAATACCAATGCAAAGACTCCTTCACATAGTTAGCCAACCGATCCCATCCAATAAAGCTTTCTAACTATATGGGTCCACTATGTATTAGAGGATACATTGCCAGGGACGCAAGTCACTTTACAGTGAAGCCTTACATAGGCGAAAGACGGAAAACGGACTCTGACTGCCGGGGAGAGGGATCACCTGCAGCCGTTTTCCTTACAGCCTGTGAGTACACGCTACTGACTGTATTTCATGCATGTCATGTGGGACTTCACAGCTCTGCCCTTTGCTCTGCAGCATGAATACTTTTCAGAAGAGAAGAATCATTTTCTGACCTCTATCAAGATAGAGCGGCAGTGAATAATAGGGAGTGTGCTTCCTCAGTACGGACGGGGCTTTGTCAGGAAACAGTAGAACACAGTGTCTGTGGCTAAATGCAGCAGTTGGACTAATTTCACGTGCTGGGAATAGCTCCCAGCAAATTAATGAATGAAGATGTGACTTATATTTTGAGTGTGGAGATTGATGGTAAATTTAAACAAGACCTGACTGATCTAAGAATTTCCATTATGGGAAAACACTGAGAAAGTCTTGGCTCTGGCTATGGAAGGTAACGGTGTGGAATTCACAAAAGTTTGTGAAATCAAGGACATTGTCCTGTCCTTAGACAAAGTAATGACAATAACAGACAGAAGAGACCCCAGTTCCAACAAATAAATGATTGCCTATAACAATGAAAATACACTTCCAAAGAGAGAGAGAGAGAGAGAGAGAGAGAGAGAGAGAATTTGCTTATAGTTCTTCATTTAGAGACAACAGATAACCCAGGATTATTTTCTGGTTTCATATATATCAAAACAATCGTAAGTGTGATTACTTTGCCTACGTTAGGCTGTGCATTGAACAGGACTGGCCGGTGGGCTGATTCTCAGTCGGTGGCTTTAAATCTGAAACTGTTCACTCCCAAGAGGAAGACCAGAAGAGAAATATTAATCCTTAAGTAAGAGATAATTCTTAGGAGAATAGAGTCTACTTGAAAATATATGCCCGATTGTGTCTTCCCAGCAGCAGTGGCAGCTCCTCCTCCTCCTCCTCTTCCTCCTCCTCCTCCTCCTTCTTCTCCTCTCCTCTCTTTCTCTCCCACTGACCCCATCAGCTTTATTGACTTATAATTTACATGCCTCCTCCTCTTCATTGTCATCATCACCTTCGTGGTCATCTTTGTGGCCTCCTCCTCCTCCTTGTTCTCTGTCAATTTCATTTCCTCTTCCTCCTCTGTCATTTCCTCCTCCTCCTCCTTTTCCTCCTCCTCCTTCTTCTCCTCTCCTCTCTTTCTCTCCCACTGACCCCATCAGCTTTATTGACTTATAATTTACATGCCTCAGAATTTATCAATGTAAATGTACATCTTAATTATTTTTAGTAAGTTTATATAGTCATGCAGCCATAACCACAATCCATTTTAAAGCACGGCCATCACTCCCTGAAACCCCCCTCGCCTGCTTGCAGTCAATCCTTCCTCCCATCCCCAGTCCCTGGCAACCTGATCTGCTTTGTGTCTCCATTGCTTTGCCTCCTCTAGAAATTTCATATAAATGGAATCACACACTATGAGGCTTTTTATGTCCATCTTCTTTCACTTAGCATAATGTTTTGAGTTTCATCCGTGCTGCTGCATATATCAGTAGGCTCTGTTCCTCTTTATTGCTGAGCAGTGTATTTCATTGTATGTTTATCCATTCACCAGCTGATGGACGTCTGGATTATTTCCAGGTTTGGGCTATTATGAATAATGCTGCTTCCTGGCTTATTCTTGGGCCAGTGCTTAAAGTTGTGTGTGAGTCCTGTGTTCGTTGATCAAGGTGCAAAGGTCTGCACTGCTGGTCCCTGAACTGCTAGAGAGACAGTATCCACACCATTTCCTTATTTCAGGGTCCAGCTCCCAGGAGGGCTCCATTAACGCAGCTGAAACAAGCAGTCCTCTAACTACAACTTTTTATGACTTTTAAAAATGTGAAATCTTTAGAGATTTGGATGTGATGCTACAAAAAAGGGGGAGGCTAAAATGTAAATCCTAAGCCTAAATAATACATGAAAAAGTGGATAATAAGCACCGAAAAATTTGGGAGCTGAGAGACTGGAAAACCAAGAGCCAATTAGATCATTAATTATGTTGGGTTGTCACCCATTCTAGTCATAGCTTTCTAGGGAGATGTGTTCAGTCACTGTGATAAAAGTACTGGAATGACAGCAGAGACGGGACAAAGAGAAAGGGTGAAAAAGTGAAGGGGAAGCTTGCATCTTTTTCTTGCATCTTTTTCTCATGTTTTGCTTTTTCGCAGAATAAAGATGAAGTTAATCTTTACATTGGGACCACTCATCTGACAGCATTCCCTGCACTCTCAGTTCCTGAAACATCACAAACAGGGAAGAGGAGAAGGCTGCCAAAGGGAATTCTGAGTGTCCTCGAGAAAGGAAAACATCTCTGGGGATTTTACGAATATCTGCGAAAAAGAAAATGGCATCAAGGGGAAGTGATCTCACTAATAAGAGAGAAAGGGATGAGATTCAGAAACATTATCTAAAGGTTTAGTGCCACTCTGCTATTTAAAATCCGATTTGAACAATAATGAAAAAGATTTGAGAACAATTAAGAAGCAGTGATGATCTGGTAAAAATAGGTATCTATAAAAAGCGCTAAAGCGAACACTTGAAAAAATGTGAACACACACAAATCAGCAGGTCCTAGCAACACACACTCTAGGGTGAGGAGAAATTTGCTTAAATGTAAAAATGTGTTAGTTTTCTTTTGCAGAGTCATGAAGTCCTGGGGAGGAAAGTGGGAACATGAAGTGGGAGACAGAAACAAAGCAATGCAGGTTCTACATTTTAAGACAGAAATGAAGAGAGGTAGAGTCATTCTGGAAAGTCCAAATTAAGTTTTCGGTAAAATAATGGAGGTGACGATTAGGAGAGAGTTAGAAACGCAGTTAATACCAACACAAACATGCAATCCTGGGAGAGCTCCAGTTAGTGATTCCAAGGAGAAATCACTGAAGACAAAAATCAATTACTTTTTTAAAACTCAACTTTAAGGAGTAAATAGAATGAAGATGATTTCATTTCTAGGTTTTAGCCAACCAGCTCTGTGCCAGTCTCAGGGGTAATTACTGTGATTGGGAAGCTATTCAGAGTGACCTGGCTCAGTGCACCATCAAACAGATGGGACAACCGGAAACAAAAGGTATCGGCATATGGTGATGTGTCTGTTGAGGAGCTGAGAAGGCGCCTTGCAGATGCCTCCGGGATTAGGGAAACGCCGCCTCTTCTGAGACCGCCTTCACCGGGGCTGCTCCCTGGAAGGGCAGTCTAGAGGTAGAACATGGCTCACCTGGACAATTCCATAACTTTCTTTATGGATTTTATTGGAAACATGGCTCAAAATCAAACGTATTTTGAAATCTAGAGATACATAAAATTCACAGTCTGTGAAATAATATTGGACTATAAAAAGAATTTGATGTAAATCTCATCAAAAATTACAACAAAGGCTCACAAAGCACTTTTGTGTAATCTAAATTTGCGGAAAATAGGGTAATTCAATCCAAAGTCTGAAATTTTAAAAAAAGAAAGAAAGAAAGAAAGAAAAAAATTAAACCACCCATTCCAAAGTTTATATAAAACTCTCCAAAACACTCAGGGGTTGGTTTCAAAGCCTGCAAGTATTTGGTCTTCTACTCCACGGCTGCACAGACATGTCTGGGTTCTCGCGTATTTTCCCTCCTTGTCTGCACTGCCCACTCTGTGGGTGGACAAGGGCTTGATAGCAGCGGCATCGTGTTGTGCTAAGAGTGACAGAGTGGGTCCTGGCTTGTGATCAGACGGCAGGTTTGGGAACGAAGGGACAGCAAGCTCCTGATTGCAGAGTATTTGAGAGGACAGGCTTCTGCAGCTGTGTCCTGGGCCCCTCTTCCCAGCAGGGACTCTGACTCCAGCGAATGAGTGAGGCCACCTTCTCATGGAGCCTGGCAGGGCCCTTCTCTCTGGAGCACTTCTGCTGTTGTCCTGGCCCCCTTGGCTCATGGCCATTTCTGTGATGGGAGCCTACTTCTCTTCTGAACTTGCAGGCAAAGATAAACCCATCACATAAACAATCTGATGAGTCTCTTGGTAGGAGGCAACTTCTCAGGCACTTTTCCTGGTCCTGTTTACTATCAAGGGTGGACAATGTGATCCTAAATTGGCCATTCCAATTGGGGAGGCCAAGTCTTATCTTTGTCCTAAGAGAAGAGGAGGCCATGACAGGTTCGGTACTTGGGGCGTTGGGGCGACCTCTTCACTGGGCCCTACGGCTATGGCCTTCAGGACGGCTCCCTCCCCGTGCCATGCTTTCTTTGTCTACCATGCTCACCATTTTCTGACTATCCAGGGCCTCTGAGGCCTGGTAACAAAGCCTTGGGCTTCCAACCAGTATTCAGGGCCGCTTATCCTCACCCGCCCTTGCAGGAGCCCACCACCGGCAGAAAACACTCTTGGACTGCTTTCTCGTTAGGATGATGGAAATTGCCTGCAGCTTTGGAGCCCCTCTCCTTACTCTGTGGTGCACAGACCTCTGATTGCACAGCAGGGCCGCCATCTTTGGCTCGATGGCTGAATTCTACCATTTCGCTCTCCCCCATTTTGTTAGTGAGGGCCTCACCATCATTCACTGCTGAACTGATGGGGAATCTTTGAGACTCCACATGTCTGAGACTTCCTGAGGAGTTTGGGTCAAATGGGTCATTGATAATTTCAATACAACTGCATGAACTTCAGACATACCACAGTCAGTTTTTAAGGAGTCTTAAAATGAGCTCTCACAGGGCCACACAATTCATATAAATTTATTGGTTCTGAGCTAGCTATAAATCAACCTGAATAAAAGGAAGGATTTTAATTAAAGGGGAAAATATTATTCATATATGGTTTCGCATTTCTTTAAGCAAGGCTAAAAAGTCTCAGAATTTTAGCTACAGGCAAGACCTGCTTCTTCCAACTTAACAAGGATTCCATTTTTGAAAACAGGATAGTTTATTTTATACAATTATGACCCAAGTAATTTGGAAATTCTCTCTAGAGTGAAAAAACAGTCTCCTGTTAAACAGACTTCCATCCAAAAAGTGAAAACATTTGTGTGATTCTGTGTCTATAGGAGTATACGTTTTGTGTGTGTGGTTTTTTGTTTTGTTTTGTTTTTAGGACTGTGGCTATGTAGAAATAAACTAGAAATGCCCTCAAATATGCAGTTAATCCATCCGGTCATACTAGATCATACATAGAAAGTATTCTGTTTTGGTTTCTGCTACGAATTTCACTCCCTGTTGTTTGGAAGCTATCCCTCCTCACCCCAATGAAGCGAGAGGTCCCATTTAACTGAGTGCTGGGACTGAGTGGGAATGAGGTGCAGTGTCGATGGAGAAAATTAGGTATCCTTCACTGTTTCCGGCAGATGATGCTCCCCTTTTTCCACCAAGATGCTAAAAACTAAGATGATGGATCTTGCTGTGTGAAAAAAATCATATATATTTAACACAGCTAGCCCCTTTGGGGTGGGTGTTATTTTTTCAACAAGTTCTTTGTGTTAAGCCACTGTATATGTCTGTTTAAAAGCCTTGTCAATTTCTGTTTAAATGTTTCTTTAAAAGGCCAAGCTGCGATGTTAGTAGCTTTAGCAGCAGCTTGCAGCATATCCTGCAAGCCAAAACTCCAGTGCCACGCAGGGAAGCGCCTAATGAGCCAGCATTGCTGTTAAATATATTGATTTATGGAAGGAACGTGAAGTGGGAAGGCTCAAAAAGGAAGGGACTGGGAGTCATGGGGTAGAACTAAGCCTTCTCCTTGAAGGGAGGAAGTTTGGCTGCCGGCAAGGGGGTGATTCCCACCTGCCCTCCTCCCCCACCTGGAATAGGGGCTCTGGGGCATCTGCCTGTGAATGGAGAAGCAGAAACAATAATTACAGAGGATCTGGAATCAGCACCATGAAGGTAGAAAAATCTTAGAGTGGTGCTGGGAGAACCTGTTGCTCAGGGCTAAGCGGCCCCGTGAAAGGGCTCCCAATGGCCAACCACACTGAAGCATGGAAGGAGCAGAGACTGACGACCCCAGGTCAGCTCTGATTCTTAAAATACTCAGGGTTGGCTTGAAAAGTCGTAGATTGACAAAAGATAGGTTCTAAGTTATTCAAATGTTTCTCAAATTGTGTAGCTTATTGAAAAGTGCTGAACGAAGTTTGCGTTAGGCCGGTTTAACAGAGATTAAAACAAAAATTGGAACTGAGAAAAAAAGGATACGGGTCTCTGCCTCTCACTTAACCATGCCCAGTGTGTGTCTGAATGAATGGGGCCTTCCCTGGGCTCTGCTGGTCATGTTGGTGTAGCCAGCAGCGGGAAAGGTGCTGGGAGCGATAGAGGGCAGGGCCTTGGGAGCGCAGCCGCCTGCCCCTCTTACCTGCTATGCCCTCCTGGTTGTAGCAGGTCTTGTGCATCTTCCCCATGAAGAGCTCCAAGCCGATGATGGCGTAGATGATGATGACAAACAGCACAAGCAGGGCGATGTGCAGCAGGGGGACCATGGCCTTGATGATGGAATTCAGGACCACCTGGAGACCTGCGGGGACAGAGCCACTCACTGAACCAAGCATCACCGCGGTACCGTGCTGACGCCATCTCATGCAATCTTCCAGCAACTCTGCAAGGAAGGAACTGCCAGCCCTGTTGTTTAGATGAGAAGACTGAGGCTCAGAGCCACACGCCAAGGACTGATGGTGCAGGGGTCTAAATCCAGGTTGGCCTCACTCCAAATCTGTCTTGGAGACTCATCCAAAGCAAAGGACTGGCAGCTGCTGTACTTCCAAGGGGAAGAACATGTTGTTTCCATCCATAACTGTCAAATTGTGTAATACCCCATCTTACAGACAACTGAGCATCTTTTTCTCCTAGAGCAGCATCTCAGGACAGTGAGAGCTCATGTGGACTCAAGACGGCCCTGCAGGGACTCATTTATCCTCGAGGTTTTTCCCATGGTGGGATTGGAAAAAGTCCCAGAGCTGGATGGTGATGACAGTTGTACAACAGTGTGAAGATACTTAGTGCCACTGAATGTACACTTGAAAATCATTGAAATGATCAATTTTGTTATGTTCTTATTACCACAAGAAAAGAAACTCTAAAAAGCACCCAGATCCCTCTGGTAAAAAAGAGTAAAGGAAAAGCCCGCCTGGGGACATGGGTGTTGTCGGTGAGGTCTGGGGCTTGCACCGCGGTCTATGGGGAGAAGGCCCCCCTTACTAAGCTCGGTTATACCAGAAATAACACACTGGGGATGGCATTCATTTAAAGGGACACTGCAAATCATTTGCAAATGACAGGAAGGTGGTTATCAGCAAGTCACCCCCAGATGACACCCAGCCCCGAGAAAGTCACGTGTGAGATTCCTGCCCAGGTGAGTGCAGTGAGTCTCACATGCCAGGTGAGAATGTGGAGGCAGCTCCTCCTTCCCTCCAGCAGAGCCAGTGGTGCAGAAAGTCACCCTGAGTGCCACCTCTGACACACAGGACAGGAAACCCCCCTCCAAGTCGCACTACACAGGTCACTTTTTGTGTCTTTACCTTCTGTGTGGGGCATCTCACCCTCACATTCATCCACCGCGCTTGCCCCTGGGTAAACTAAGGCTGGTCACCCCTTTCCCAAACCCCAAGGCCGTTGTTGGTGCTTTTCATTCTGGTGATGTGATTCTCGCAAGGCTGATTAGAATGATTCTTCCCAGCTATTAAGCCAAGCTGGGAAGATAAAAAAAAAAAAAGAAAGAAGAGAAAAGCTGGAATGATTTTACCTGTGAATTAATAAGAGTGCTTGCAGCCTCCCATTAGAACAAGATGTTTTCAGATTGAAATGATTCCATTAATTAGCAAGTTGTATACACATTAGTGTTGGAGTATGCAGAGCCGCGAAGAAAGTTGAAAACTGAACTGCAAAGCGGCTTTCAGGGCATCTGCTGGGGGTGGGGGGTGGGGGACGTCTTCCAAGTGCTACTCGAGGTGGTGGGAACCCCAAATCTGGGCTACCCAGGCATGAAGGGGTGTCTCGACGGGCCTCAGTGCCACCGCCTCCAATGGCAAGAGAACGGTGGGTGTGGGACATAAAGGGACACCCATCGGGAGGCTCCCCTCCAGGCCACAGCTGGAGGGCTGCTCAGCAGGCTGCCTCAGGCCTGCTGGAACTTTGAATGCCTTCCTCTGCTCTTAGGATGAAGACAAGATCCTTCCTGTGCCCTACAGGGCCCTGTCGGGTCTGGCTACACCCACCTCTCCACCCACTGCCTCTCCCCAACCCACTCCAGTAAAACAGCTCTTCTTTTAGAGAGTTGAATATGCTACTGTTCCTCCCACCACAGGGCCACCACATATGCTGTTCCCTCAACCTGGAATGCTTTTCCCCACTTCCCTCCCACTTATCCTTCACTCTCAGCCCAAGCATCTGTTTCCCCAGGGATCATCACGCAACTCCCAGACCAGAAACGTTTCCTTTATGTCTTCTTGGAACTATTTTCTATCCTCTGGAGAGTGCACCTCAGTTTGAAATGTTATGTTCCTTAACGGGATTTTAAAACATTTATATCTGTCTCTCACATTAGGCTGAGTTTTGTGAGAGGGACTGTGCCTGTTCTTTTCCATTTTGTTGCTAAGGCCTGGCTTGGTGCTGAGCATATGTGGGCACTCAGTAAATATTTACTGAAGGAGTGACAAAACTTATCATCTAAATAAATGCTACTGCTGTCCTGGAGCGCTGGTGAGTATTGCTGCACAGACACCTGCTTTCCAGATAGGTGTCTAAGGGACAGGTGAGTTTCAGGGCCTGCAGGGGACAGAGGCCACTGAACAGGCTGGAGAGAGGCCAAGTGGAGTGAAAGCAGCTTGTGGGCGTCATTTCAGCTGTCAGAGATGCCATAAGAATTCCTGCCAAATGCCCTGTTCCTCACATCCCCGTCCAGGCTGGGGGTCACGCCACTCACCTGAGCACCCAGACCAGAAAACTGATCTCCTAGGCTCCTTCTTCCACTCAGTAACCAAGTCCTGCTGGTTTGGTTTAAAAGTATCTTTAGACATGAATACATTTTTCTTACTGTATAAATAATACATGCTAATTATAGAGAAAACAGAAAATACTTATTATAGAGAAATTGCAGAACACAGGGAAGAAGAAAAAAGCAATGACTCATTGTCCTGCCCCCAGGAGAAGAGCCACTGTTAGCTTTTCCATCCATGACTCGTTTTCCTCCTCTCTGTCCCCTTGGTGCTCGTCATTTTGTCAACTGGTCTCCCGGGTTCCAGTGTTGCCCAGTCTTCAAGCTACACTTAAAATGCTCTTCCTAAAGTACACACTGGAACATGTCACTTTGTAGCTGAAAGTCACCCAGTGACTCCCTGTCACCTGCAGGTAAACTAACCTGCCTCCTTCCCCAGTTTGGTCTCAAATGACTCCCAGTTTTTACCCTAGGCTTGAGCAATACACCCCGCAGTTCTCTGGCTTCGTGCCTCCAATCCCAGCGCACGCGGCTCCCCTGCCTGGAAAGCCATTCCCTGCCTCGCTGAGAGCTCCTTGAGTCTCATCACATCTTCTTATCTTTGTGTCTCAGGCACGTGGGGAGGGACTCCATGCACATGGAGCCAAGTCACGTGCGTGAGCACGGGGTGCCTTCAGAAGACAGAAACCACAAGAATGAAAGAATTGGAAATAACATCATTCAATAATCATTAGAAGAAATTGAAGGTGTTTTGTCAGGAATGGTGAAAAGGCACAGGCAGGAGGGTAACGTCAGTGATTTTCAGAGGATCTCAACTGCTATTTGAGGAAGAGGGGTTAGATGAGTTCTGTCTGACCACAGGATGGAACTACGACCAACTGCGAAGTGTCCGGGAAAGACTTAGGTTCAGCACAGATAAACACTTATCTGTCCGAGAAACAGGCTTATCTGAAGGTGGAATAGGGTGCTTTAAGAGGTAGTGATTCCCCATCCTCAGAGGTATCCAAGCAGTGACTTGAGGAAGTGCCTGACTGGGGATTCTGTCACTGGGTGAAGGACTGCCCTGGAACACCAAAGGCCCTCCAACTTGATGAGCGCGTTCTGAAGACTTGCCATGGGCGACAGCAGCCCTCAGCACTCTATTGGATCATTCCATCTCCTCCCGGCAACAACCTAGGAAGTAGGCACTATTTGTAACCATATGTTTCTGATGAGAAGAGTGGGTCCAGAGCAGTGGAGTGATCTACCCAGGGTCGCACAGCTGGGAAGTGGTGGCACAGGGCTCAGTGCCAGGTGGTCTGGCTCCTAGCCCATGGCTTCACGACTGTGCAAATGCCCCCCACACGCTTAGACAGCAGCTCTCAGCCTCCACGACCTGAGTCTATAAAGCAGTGACACGTGCTTGCAGCATCTGCTGGGAAGGCGGGGGAGTCTAGTGGAGTCCCTGCTTCCAGGAGAGCCCAGATGTTTCCAAGGCTGGTCCAGGAAAGGCTCTCGCTTCCATCTGCTTTCCTCGCGGCCTGCCTGGGGTGGCAGAGCCAGGCTGGCTTGTGAAGGCGTGCGGCCAGACATCCTCCTCTCTACCCTGCCATGTAGAGTTTGGCTCTCAGGGCCTGGATGTTTAACAGCTTCTTGGGATTGGCTCACAGCTGCCCCAGAAACAGCTCCTCCAACTCAAGTTCTAATTTGGAAAATACACGACATTTCTCCACCCAAGTGTTCTCAGATAGGCCATGCTCACCGCTGATAAGCGAGTGTCGGGCCTTCTTCAGGGCTGGCTGCTCATGTTGGTGAAAGAAAATGGGCCCTAGACAAGCCTGGTGAAGCAACTGCTGACAAACGTTCTGTGAACACAAGATCACTATTGGCCCACGCATGTGATGAGCCTGTTTTTCTAGCCCTACATCAGGGTAAGATCTGACAAACACATGTGTACTTATGGGACCAATAGGACTGAGTATGTGACAGGAGAGCTCTACTGGAAAATTTGGAACATACGGTTCCATGCAAAGATCAAACAGCACATAACCTAGAAATTCAGTCTCGCTAGTTTGGAGTTCATGTCAAGTGACTGCCTCTTGGCGGGTGGAAAGACTCTCAAGGTACCAGGAAGACCTTCCAGGGAGATGGGGCCTTGGGCAGTGGCATCATTCAGTGCTGGGCTCGGGAAAAGGGGAGGATGGAGTTTAGCCGGCAGACATGGATTTCCTTTCTTCCTCTTACAGTGCTGCCCGCATTCCCTCTGGGGTGCAACTTGACAATTCCGGTTAGGAAAGGCTTAGAGGACCTGCATCTATAAATCACACTGTTTCTCCTTAAAAAGTCAAGAGAAGCCGTCCATTGCAGAAAGCAATGTCTGGCACCTTTCTCTACGGTGGTTTTGAGGTTAGCCTGGAGATGCCCAGATTGGCCAAAGTTGGTGCTTCCATTACCTGGTCCATATTGTCCACCATGACTGACGAGGGCTGACAACAGATCACATCCTCTTTTGCTTTATAAAACAGCATCTCACCAAGCCCTACTTTTGGGATGAAGTGTTCTGCTCAGGGCCCCAGAGATACTATCACAAAAGAGTATGAAAATGCCTTTATGAGCAGAGGAAAATGAGAACTTCCTGGGGCTGGAAGGTAATGTGCCTGATTCAAGGCTCCTCTTAAGGACTCTATTCTTTTCATGTAATCTTCAACCCATACTTCCCTCTTTTGAATTCATATTTTGAGTCATTTCACATGAGATGGGAGGGCACAGGGAGAAACTGTTGAAGACCCTAGAATTGGAGATCATTGCCAACGTTAGATTCCATTGTTTGGATTCCACATTGACGCTCTGCTTTTCTGTTGGTGTTTAGGCATGAACATTTCACATTCCCAATTATTCAAACTCAAAGATTCCAGCCAAGCCTTAGGAAAGTATGAAAACGATCAAGGAGGCTTGATGACAGAATTCATCAGAAGACAGTGCTGAGAATCACTGAACTAGGAAAAGAGAAGTTTGGGTTTAGGGGGTTGGTGGGTACAAGTTTCTCATAGGTGGACTCAGAGTTTGCCATGACAGGAAGAGGACTTTGGGATCACCTAACCCAATACCTTCATTTCACTCAAAGACTATTTACTGAGCTAAGCTCTACAGGCCATGAGCCATGCTTGCGTGCTAGAGATGGGAATACGGTGGTGACTACAAGCCCTGCAGGCCTTGCCCTCACAGAGCTTGTAGGCAGCCAAACATTAGTCAAATAATCATGCAACTGATGTATAATAAACTCTGTGAAGAGCCTTAAAGAAGCAGAATAGGGTACCACGAGGGTCCTCCTTTGGCATGGAGGCTGCAGAAAGGCTTTCCAGGAAGTGGTGCTTAAGCTGAAGGCTGAATGGGGAGAGGACCTGGTCAGGTATGTGCAGGTAGAGGGTCCCGGCGCCAGGGCTGTGGGGTCCAGACTGCGACGTAGCCTGGATAGCTATAGGACACCCAGGGCTCTCCGTCTGTCAGCCCCATGCTCCTCCTGGCTTTGTTCTGTCTCTCAAAGAAATCCCTGGAAAGAGGTTTGAGGAACCAGTTTGTTGCTTGTGTGTGAAATCAGAGGAAGCAGATATCACTTTTACTTTCAGGAAAACAAATTCAGGAAGCACACGAGGAAGGCCCTCCTGATAACGTCCTCGCTGGTAAAGTGGAGGAAATAATCCCCATCTGGTGCCACAGAGGGGCAGGGGAAGGACAGCATTAGGCCAGGGGTCCTCTACTCTGCTGGCTTTACTGGGGCAATCTTAACCACAACTTCTCAGCGACCCAATCCAACAGAAGAGAGGGCTGCGGCACCATGTGAGATTCTGCCAATACGGAAAGCCTGGATGAAAAGAAATGGCGAGTCAACCTCAAGCCTGGGAAAACCCCTTCTACATGTGATATCCCCAATCCCGATGTAGTCAGGGCTTCCCAGGAGTGGGGCTGACTCTGGATTCTGCTGTGCTTCAAGCCAGCATTAAGGCGACAGCCCACTTTCAAGACTGGGGCAGGAGTCAGGACATGGAGTTTTAGAAAGCTGCTCCTTAACTTGAACTGGCTGTCCTTGCAGAATGGAAGAGAAAGCCATACTGCTTAATCCAGATGTCTGATTAGCTGAATGATGGCTGACTGAGAGGCTGGCCCTACCAAAGCAAGTTATGCCTTCTGTATTTCCAAATAAACTTTAGCCAAATCCAAACAAAAAGAGTCACTAGATGGTGGGCAAATTCTAAGCTTCGCTACAAGTCCTTCCTCTTAGAATTGGATGTCATCTGAAAGAAATAGATTTCTCTTAAGACAGGTGTTCAAGGCCAGGCACAGTGGCTTTAGGCTTGTAATCCCAGCACTTCAGGAGGCAGAAGTGGGCAGATCACTTGAGCCCAGGAGTTCAAGTTTACAGTGAACTATGATCATACTACTGCACTCCAGCCTGGGTGACAGAACAAGACCCTGTCTCTAAAAAACAAAAAGAAAATTTAAAACAATTTTTAAAAACTTAAAAAAAACAGGTGTTCAAGTGAAGGGCACTGTCCTTACTGTGCCCACCGAGCCCCATAACTGCCCTTGAACCTCACTATCCTTGGATTTGCGATGCAGATTCTAAGAAAATGTAGATCAAACACCAGCTTCTCCCACAGGGGAATCTAGAATGAAGTTTTCCATCCTCAGCTACATCCTCTATCTGAGAAAATACTATCGGAGAGTCTCTCCCTTCTGTAATGAGAGAGACAGGCGTACCCAGGCTGTAGAAAGTTTTCCCCAGATGATCAAGGTTCCCTTTCTTGAGGCTACCACAGACAGCTATGCCATCATTCACTTGTGCATCTTCCAAGCACCTACGGAGAACCTATGAAGCACCCTGCTGATTGCCATGGGAGGTGGGAGAAGGAGGAGAGTGCAGTGGTTGAAGAAGAGGGACCCTTGGAGCCAAATGACTCCAATGAATCCCAATCCCACCACATCTCATCCATGTGTCCTTGTACCAACTATTGACCTCATCTTAAAGAGAGGATGATCGTTTACCTATCCCATAAAGTTGCTGTGAGGATTAAACAAGTTAATTTAAGCAAAGTGCCCAGAACAACATCAGGCCCATAGTAAAGGCCATATCAGTGACAGCCATTGTTATTTGAAGTGTGGTCTTAGAAGCGTGACACAGGTCTCAGTGGGACCCTTTAGGGTAAATGAGCACATAGGTCCCCTAGGATCTTGTCAAAATGTGGATTGTAATTCTCCATCATGGGTGGGGAATGAGTTTGCATTTCTAACCGGGTCTCAAGTGACACTGCAGCTGCTGCCCCACCAACCAGCAGCCAGGCCCTAGGGCACGCTGGCCATCCTGGGAGGCTGCAGCAACCTCATCCAGTCTTTTTGGTGTTATCAGATGCTCTCAAGCAGTGACTGGAGTTTTGCCTGCATGGGGGTTATCCTCAGTGATAATATTCCTAAGAATTATGCCCAAAGGACGGTGGAAGCATAGAGGAGAGGGAGAGACTATCTTCACCTAGGAAAATATGAAAACAGTTCCCAGAAGACTAGACCTGTGAGCTGTGTCCATGGGTGGAGCTTCTCTCTGCCCTTTTATTCTGTTAGTCTTCTGCCCTTTGTGTGGCTCTCTCTAAACTCTCTCTCAGAAAATTCATGCACTTCACTCCTTCCTAAGAGTCCAATAGTCACCACTAAGTACATGCATCCACACCTGTACTTACATTTATTTTCTTTGTCCTCTCTTCTGAGTTCAAGACATGCTTCATAAGCCTACTAGATATTTCTACGAGGTTGTCCCACCATCTCCTCACACTCAAATTAAGATAATTTGAGATGACTGGTGCTTTTTATGATGGGGTAAAGAGAACCACAAGGGTGGCCTGGAAGTGGCAACAACAGTGATCTATTAGCACCACTAGGCTGAAGAAGCAAGTGGAAAGAGTGGTTACAGAAAGTGGGAAGGACAGCATTCTGTATAAAGGACCACTCGGAGAGGCTGTGACAATGCCAGCCCAGACCTGCAGGGAAGGATCTGGGGACAGAAGAACCTGACCTCACCCTACTCCCACCTGCTGATCTCTTGCTCGGCTCCCCATCGACTGAACCCAACTACAGACTGGAGATGAGGCAGCCTGTTGATGGAGGCCATCTGGTCGACTCCCCAGCCAGAGAGCAGAGTGGGGAAGGGTGGAGAGCAGATGTGGTAGCGCAACTGTAGGATGACTCGCAGATAAGACAGAGTGGCTTTCTATGTGCCACCATCACCTTTCCATTAAGCCAGGAGGAGGTATTCCACCTGGAGGGCTTCTAAGTTTTGTGAGCCAACAAGTTCCCTCCCAGGGATAGTGATCAGATAAATATCCTCTTACTATAACTCACTAGCCAACTCTGGGTCCTCATCTTCCAAAGTCATACCTGACTGCTTCTAAAAATGAGTGCTCCTTTCAGCATTTGTGGTGGTGACAATCACCACTGTCATCATCAGGTTGTGACTACTAGCCCACGCTTACTTCTGATCTCCATGAATCATGTTGCACTGGCTAGAAGCTGGAGACGTGATGAATCTCACAGATCATGTTTTCTGCCTTCATTTGGCTGATGAAGTAACAGACACTTTTAATGGTCTCACAGGCTTAATGGCTTTCAAAAGAAAATAGGTCTAGAACTAGGAAGGCAGATAGTTCTCTCTTGGGGAAAGGAGTAAGTTTATCAAGCTGAGCTTCAAAAGTGACTAATGCATTTTCTTACTGGGAAAAGAAGCTTCCTATAAACGGGGAAAGAACTATTGCCTGGATAGCTTTCCTACAGCCTCAAGTTTTATGATTTTTGCATGTTCTCATTAGAGTGTCCTTATTCATTAGAGATTTTCATTTATTTTTAATTTAGCCTTTCCAGATTAATAAATTCTGCATCCCACACATGGTATGAGGAACACTAAAGGAGGGTTCTTGTCTTAGCAAAGGGATGGTGGGTAACTGGTTCCCCAATAAATTAAAACTTTAGGAGTAATTAAAATATCAGCCTTCAAGTTGAATTAATTTTTTATATTACCAATGTGGATTGAAAAGAGAAATTCAGAGAAAAAGATATAAAAGAAACCCTGTGTTAGAAGAAAACTGCATATGGTGAAAGGCAGACAAGATGATCTAAAGCAAACAACAACAATAATAGTATTAACTACCATTTCCCGAGGACTCGGCACCTGCTGGGTACCACATAAGTGCTTTACATACATTGTTTCATTTAATTCCCCAGCCGTCTTAATACAGATAAAAGAAATGAGGCTTAGGTAAGACAGATAAATTGTCCCAGATTACACACTTGGTAAATGGCAGAGTTGGAGTTAGAAGCCAAGCCAACTTGAAGCTACCACTTCCATTCCTTAGCCATTATCCAGGCAAAATGACAACTACACTGCACACATGTGCCACTTGTTGGCCCGCGTCATGGCAGATGCTGCTCCTTCCCTCTGGTCCAGATGGGGCCTCACAATCCTTCTCAACAGTGCATCTCTCATGACAGCTCTAATCCATTGGAAGTGATTGCATCACGATGGCCGTCCCTCTGTGCTGCCTCCCTATTGGTGGCAAACTGTAGTTTTGTGCTCCAGGCAGAGTAAGGAGCAGATCTCCTTCGGCATCTGCCAATGATATAGCTACCTGGACCTGTACTTTTGCTTCTTCTTACATCTTTTTTTGGAAAAAACTGTGAAATATACATACAAAAGATGCAAGAAAGGGGGATGTTACAATGTATGATTTATCACAAAACAAACAGCCATGCAACTATTACTCAGACCAAGAAATAAAACCCCACCAGCTATACAGCAGCCCCACTCACCCCTCCTACACCAAGATAACCACTATATTATACTTCCATAACAAGTTAATATGTAATTCACATTAACTTAAAAATAACGATTCTGTCAGATGTAGGAAAAAAACATTTCATAAATGTGAGCATCCACTTATTCCCTGATATTCTGTACTCTTCTCTGCATTCCCAATTCTTTTCAGTTTCTGTGTTTGATTATCAGTATTTTTCCCTGCCCTCTCTCTAGTTCAATAACTGTTTTCAGCTGTGCCAAGTCTTCTTTTAAATCCATTCACTGCCTTTTTCATTTCAGTGATTGTATTCTTCATTTCTAAAATTTACATTTGGTTCTTTTCCATATCTGGTTCTTTGGAAAATTACCAGTCCTGTCTTTGATATCTCTGAATGTGGTAAATACAGTTATTTTCAAGTCTATATCTGACAATTCCAATATCTCAATTCCCTGTGGGTCTATTTCTATGGTCTATAGTTTCTCCCCGTTTTCACTCAGGTTACTTTGTCTCCTTGTGTATATAGTTATTTGGTATCATGAATGAAACCTTCTTTTCTTTTCTTTTCTTTTTTTTTTTGAGATGGAGTCTCACTCTGTTGCCCAGGCTGGAGTGCAGTGGCGTGATCTCGGCTCACTGCAAGCTCCACCTACCGGGTTCACGCCATTCTCCTGCCTCAGCCTCCCGAGTAGCTGGGACTACAGGCGCCCACTACTGCGCCCGGCTAATTTTTTGTATTTTTAGTAGAGACGGGGTTTCACTGTGTTAGCCAGGATGGTCTCGATCTCCTGACCTCGTGATCCGCCTGCCTCGGCCCACCAAAGTGCTGGGATTACAAGCGTGAGCCACCGCGCCCAGCCAAAACCTTATTTTCACACAATTGGTTTTCAAAGTAATTTGAAAATGTTGATGATGTTATCTTTCTCCACAGAGGATTCACATTTGTTTCTATCAGGCATCTTTTCCAAGCTCCAGAAAGAAGATTTAGAATATTTTGTCCAGCATTTCTAATTGTCCTCGGCAGGACAGTTGATCTGAATCATCTCAACTGCCAATTCTGAAAGAAAAAGTGGCCTGCATTTCTTTTTTTCTTTTTCTTTCTTTCTTTTTTTTTTTTTTTTGAGATGGAGTTTCGCTGTTGTTGCCCAGGCTGGAGCGCAATGGCGTGATCTCAGCTCACTGCAACCTGCGCCTCCCAGGTTCAAGTGATTCTCTTGCCTCAGCCTCCCGAGCAACTGGGATTACCGGCGTGTGCCACCATGTCTGGCTAAGTTTTTGTATTTTTAGTAGAGACGGGGTTTCGCCATGTTGGCCAGGCTGGTCTCAAACTCCTGGCCTCAAGTGATCTGCCTGCCTCGGCCTCCCAAAGTGCTGGGATTATAGGCGTGAGCTACTGCGCCTGGCCTGGCCTGTACTTCTTATGGGAGAAACTACCTACGGGATCCACCTGTAGCTTTTCCTGCCACACTCACTCCCAGAACCAGACAACTGGGTTTTGAATACAAGGATATATTCTAGAGCACTGGAAAATCTTTGCGACATTCTCTTTGTGCCAAACCCTTGACAGAGCCTCTTGGAGTGAAGTTTCTGAGGACTGGCTGTTTGCTGAGCAACATACTTGATAATAAGGCCAAACAGGAGGAAAAGGTGGCTTGGTTGCACTCACTGCAAATCCTCACTCCTTCCTTTAGAAATGTAAAAAAGGTATACTTTTGGGGAAAACTTCAAAATATCTCTATGGTTTTGGTGGTAAATGAGATGTACTCATTATAGAGTTATCTAGTTGAATGAGTTACTAAACTAGTCTTAATTATACCTCTCTAATGATTTTTTTTCTGGCAAATACCATTATACCCAGGCAACAGCTTTCTCTTCCCTGGATGTTCTTGAGATGGAGTGTAACAAAGAACCAAATTTGTTCATTGCTGCCAACTTACGGTAACTCTACGCCATAAGCTAATCTTTCTATGTAACTCGAACAAAATGCTCTTAGGGTCACATACTTACTTATTTTCTAATTCTGGCTCAAATCACTATTGCATCAATAGGGACTTTGGCACTAACCAAATTTTCTATAGTGGTAAAAATTTCTAAACATCATGCTTAGATTTTCTTTTAAAATATATTTTTGGAGGGATTTAGTGGGGGAAAATGCCAGGCTATTTCCTCTTCTGCTATCAATAACTGTGTGACCTTGACAAGTCATGTCACCTTTTGGGTCCAGGTTTCAACATCTTTAAAAGGTGGACATTGGATGAGAAAATGCAATCTGGCTCTAAAATTTTCTAAGTTGTTATTTTCCAAATAAAGCAAGATTCTAGTACCTTTCCTTCTTCCAATTACTACTGTGCCTTATACACAATAAGTCCTCAGTAAATGTGTGACATATAAAGTAAAATATAACATATAACATTATATTATCTAATATACTATAATTAAGAACAGTTTCCCGAGGACAGCACAAAGAGCTACAGTTCAAGCACAACACTGCAGCCCCATGGAATTGAGAAGGCAGAAATCAGGTTGGAATGTGGGAAGCTGAAGTGGCTGTGGTGGGACATCCAGAAGAGACAGCGAGGTAGATACAGGGCCCTAGAAGTTTGTGTAGGGGTTGCCTGTGTGTCTGTGGCTTAGGGCTGGGTTGTACAGGTACAAGGTGAAACCAATGAGGCATATCAGATAGCAGCTGGTTTAGGGTTGACAGCAGAAAAGAGATGGTACAGGTTAATCAGTGCTGGGGAAAAAGCAGTGTCAGGAGGTTGGACTTACGGCCCTGAAATTGTGGAGAGACCTAGTTAACATCTCATTACCACCCTGGACAGATGACTCTGACACTGCAAGGGCACCTCCTGGGAGTAAGGCCCTTTGTCTACAGTGAGACCCACTCTAGATCCATCCTGGCAAAGCCAAAATCATTGCCCTGACAACATCAGGAGGGGAAAATTAAATGTGGAGGTTGAGGGGTTTGGGCTTTCAATGTCTCAGCACCAACAAGCATAAAACCAAGCCTACACACGTTCATGGTAAACTGTCTGCTGATGAACCAATACTCTTAGGAATATGAAAAGATCCAGAGTCACAACAACATATTATCCATGATTCTAATATTCGGTAAAAAGAAATCACTAGACATATAAAGAAATATAAAATGTGATAGTCAAGGAAAAAAGCAGTCAATAGGAAACAAAAAATGAGATTGTTCAGATGTTGGACTTGGCAGACAACGATTTGAAAACAGCTATATATATGTGGGTGTGTAGAGAGATATATATATATAGAGAGAGTGCTACATATGTATCCATATATAGATACATATATTTAAAGGATGGAAGAAAAACTGATTAAAGGAAATAAATGAGTATATGATCTTAAAGGGAGAAATATAGAGAATTCCACAAATAAATGGGAACTATAAAAAGGAACAGAATGGAAATTCCATAATTGAAAAGTAACTGAAATGAAAAATTATGAATAGGCTTAATGAAGATGGAGACATTAGAGGAAACATGAGTCAACTGAAAGAATAATCAACAGAAATGAACTGATCTGTGGAACACAGAGAATAAAAGACTGAAGAAAACTGAACAAAGCCCCGGGGACCAATGAGATACTATAACATGGCCAAACACCATGTATAACAGGAGTCCCAGCAAGAGAAGAGTGAGAATGGAGTACAAAAAAATATTTGAAGAAATGATGGCCCCAAAAGTCCCGAACTTGAAAACTTCTCATTTATGAGTGTATCTGAGAAGCTCAGAAAACTCCAAGCAGAACAAATATAATGAATATAATAATGATGCACATCATAGTCAAACTGCTGAAAACTGAGAGAGAAAATTTTAAAAGCAGTCAGCAAAGGAAGAAACATTATGTGCAGGGAAATAATAACAATAATATCAGGCCAGGCATGGTGGCTCACGCCTGTAATCCCAGCACTCTGGGAGGCCTAGGCAGGTGGATCACGAGGTCAGGAGTTCAAGGCCAGCCTGGCCAAGATGGTGAAACCCCGTCTCTATTAAAAATACAAAAATTAGCCAGGTGTGGTAGCAGGTGCCTGTAATCCCAGCTACTCGGGAGCTGAGGCAGAGAATTGCTTGAACCCAGGAGGCGGAGGTTACAGTGAGCCAAGATTGTGCCACTGCACTCCAGTCTGGGCGACAGAGCGAGACTCCGTCTCAGAAAGAAAAAAAAAAATCAATGACTTCTCATCAGAGACAGTGGAAACCAGGAGAAAATGGAACATCTTTAAAGTTCTGAAAGAAAAAAAAACCTGTCAATCAAGAACTCTATACCAGCAAAAATATTCGTCAAAAGAGGATGGCAAAAGACATGTTCAGATAAACAAAAGCTTAGCTAATTCTCCAGCAGCAGACCTACATTATAGAAATGCCATTGGGTTGCTTCAAGATAAGGGGAAATGATACCAGAAGGGAACTTGGATCTATAGAATGTGTAGTAGAAGCATCAGAAACAGTAAATAAGTAGGTAAATATAAAATACTATGTTTTATTTTTTCCCATAATTTACTTAAAAGACAATTGACTAAAGTAAAAATAAAAACATTGTTGAGTGGAACTTATAAAGTATGTGTAAATAGAAGACATATAGTAATCACACAGGACAAGGGGTTGGGTAAGTGAAATTCTATGATTTTAAGGTTATTACACTTAAGTGTACACTTAAAATATGTGAATTTTATTGAATATAAATTACGCTTCAATAAAGTTATTTTTAAAATGATGTGTACGTCAGGCACAGTGGCTCACAACTGTAATCCTAGCATTTTGGAAGGCCGAGGAGAGCAGATAACCTGAGGTCAGGAATTCAAGACCTGCCTGGCCAACATGGTGAAATCCTGTCTTTCCAAAAAATACAAAAATTAGCCAGGCGTGGTGGCACATGCCTATAATCCCAGCTACTTGGAAGATGAGGCACGAGAATCATTTGAACCCGGGAGGGGGTGGTTGCAGTGAGCCGAGATCTTGACAATGCAGCCTGGGAGACAGATCGAGACTCGGTCTCAAAAAAAAAAAAGATCAAGTATAGAAGGTCCCCTTCTCTGATCAGTCCAACTTGGAGCCTGAGGTAGACAGATAGGGAGTTGGACCCACAGAGTACTAGTAGCTAGTATTTGCTGAGTGCTTCCTGTGTGTTTCACACAATTCTATTGCTTTAAAAGCATTTACTTATTTAATCCTCACAACAACTCCAGGAAGCAGGCAGGTGTAATTTTAGCCCCCATTTTATAGATCAGGAAATCGAGGCACACAGCTAATAAATGGTGGCTCTGGGAATTTGAACCTAGGTAGTGGGATTCCACCATCTGAGTCTTTAACCACTAAGTGTCATGAATCAGCACGAGAGAATCAACCAATAATAACAGGCACATGGGGCTCACGTTCTGCGTATTGATCACTTCACAGGACGCTGGCCTCACTGGATCTTCATTTCATTCCCCCCTCATTTTTCTTTCCAACATTTAGAAAGCCTGGGTCACTTATAAGCCTAAGTGGCCTTTATTATTGCCATTATTTTTAATCAGTCATCACCTTGTCTGTGATTTCATGTTTGGAGGTCTCCAGACACAAAAAGGAATCCATTATGGAGCTTCCTGAGTTTAAGAAGCCCTCTTGTCTCTTGTGATGATTATACCACCTGCCACAGTCCTGGGCTCAAGATGAGTGCTTAATAAATACCTGCTCTTATTTTAGGACCTACTCTCCCACCTCTGGGCTGTGTGATTGCTTACTATATTGGGAGCTGAAAGAGTGGCATTTGCCCAGGGTCATACTCTGTCATGACACCTCAGGTCTAGAATTAGTGGTTAAAAAAGAAATTATTAGGTCACTGCTATTCTCTATCAACAAAGCACAGGATGATAATACTCAGAGGAATTTCAGGGGTATTCAAGCTTTTTTTTATTTCTGGAAAATGCAATGTAATTAATATAGTTTACATCTACCTGCTTTCACTAAATCTCAAGAAATTCAGGAAAGCTCTTGTTGACCATAGAAGGTAAGTCTAACAATTTCTGGGGAAAACATATGATCAAGGCATTATTTCTGGGAAAATTAAGTGAATAAATATATTATTTTTTTAAAAGTATTTCTGTTTTGCACAAGTATTTATTAGTAGGACTATATGGTCTAGTAAAAACAGCCTGAAGAAGGCATTATACTTTTGGATGTCTCCTCAATGCAGTTGATGGTGCTCACAGTCCCAAGGCTTTTTCTGAGTTCAGCGCTTTTCCATTATCCTCCAACAGCAGTACATTTTAAGAATACTCAGAATTATCCCAGCTTAGAACTGGAAGCAACACTGAAAACTCACCTGATGACATGCTGTTCCAATCACCCATGTCTTCAGAAGGAAGATGTCTACAACTTGTGCCACGTTACTCTCCTCTTCTCTGCCCTGACAAACAGCTTGACACCTCCTATGACATGAGTGTATTTCCTATTTCAGTCCTTTGCCAGTATCAACACAATGCGGCATAGATGAAGAAACGGACTGGTGGCTCGTGTCGCGTGGCTCGATGCCTGGCAGATAGTAGTCTCTGAATAAATGCTCTTGATCAATGGCATGTCTGAGTGAAGACAGAACTTTTCTATCATCATCAATATCATCTGCTGCTGCCACAGACCACAGTGTTTTGTGAGCTTTTTGTGAGAGGCACAGAACCATTTCTCCTGGCTAATGTTTGTATATATGTATATATATACCAACAAGTTTTTCCCCTCCCGATGTGATTCTGTATATCCTTGGGGTCATACACCACATAGTCTACTGGGGTACCCCCAACAGAAATGGCAACAACCTTGGTGGCTCTGAAACGTTCCCAAGCCAAATATTAAAAAACAAAACAAAACAAAACTAAACTAACTAACATGCAAGAGGGTGCTCAAGAAGTCAGCTGACTGAAAATTACGCATGATTCAGAGGGCAACTGCCATGGTGAAAGGTGAGCACGGCAGGCATCTAAAGGCTAATACTCTAGGGCGAATACAGTTGTACCCTCCCATTTTGCAGGTGAGGAGGCTGAGGGTCAGAGGTTAAATGACAAGGTCACACAGCTGGCCAGACTTAGATCCCTGGTCTCCTCACCGGCAGGCCGGAGTGCCTCCCACCCCATCACAATTCCTGAGGTGACAACAATACTATTTGCCATCAGGTCCTGCCACCCAAGGGGCTCACAACTCTTGAAACATAAATAAGGCAACAGGCAAACTATGAACTACTCTCAATCTCTAGAGCCAGGCAGGGCGCCCTACAGCCCAGAAGCAATGTGATTCCCCTCGGCTCAGGAAGCTGTGTTCTCTTCCAAACAACAGAAACCAAGTCCTGGAGGGAGTTATCCCGACTGGAAAACAGTCTGAACTAGATAGCCTGGATTTGCCTATCTCTAAATTAGGGATAACGTCCCTGTGTTTCTAGACCACTGGGCCGATTCATCAGCTAATCAAGCTCTTTGAGTCTGAAGGCCTTGAACGGATGCTGAATATTGCTTGTAGTTGGAGGTAACCCTAACATTTATCACTGCCTCCTACATTTTGTTCTCAAATCAAAAAGAGACCAGTTCGTGACTGGAGGAATGTGTGTGTGCCTTAGCACACATGTGACGTTCCTGTGTGACTGCAGGCATTCTTTGCCATGAGGACTTTTTACCTGCTGTATCTAGAACACTAAATAATAGAGATGTTCCCAGTTCAGCCACATACTGTTGTTGATACTCAGTAACCTCTCAGTGAAACTCCACTATAGCAGAGGCGGGAACCTGTGAGTGTGCTTACTGTGTCCATCAGCTCACTTTGCCGCATGGCGGGCCTCTTCCCTTCCTATCTGGTGCGGTGGCTCCTGCCAACCCACAGGGTCCCTCTCCAAGAGGTCTCGGATGCTGGGAGCTCACAGGGCTGCACAGGTAGAATCTCCTCCTTATCCATGGCACCCCCATCACTCACTCTTTGTAGATTGAGAAACCGAGGCAAAGCACCTGGCAGGGCAACAGAGAAGTCGCAGCAGGGTCGGGACTCTGAGTGGGCCTTGAGCTGCTGGCCCAGGCGTCTTTCAGGGGCACCTGGGAGGATGCCGGGAAGAGAGTTGCTTAACTGGGGATGCAGCAGTCAAGGGGAAAGACCGTCCACACTGGGAGATCAGGAGACACCGGGGGAGAGGGTGGGCCTGGCAGGTGCTAAGGGGCAGGGCGGGGCTGGGCGTGGGACCCACCCTGTTCTAAATTCTGTTTCTTAGAGGCAAGCCTCCTGCAGTGTGAAGGGCCCCCCGCCACCCCCTGCTGTCTCTGGCTGCCCTCCAGGGTGCTCTGCCCCATCTGCAGAGCACAACCCCAGGCTGCCTGGGTGGGAAGGCGGGGAGCGGGTCCTGGGGCTTCCTCCCTTCTGGGGAGGCTGGGAGACCTGGGGGCAGCAAAGATCAGCAGCCCTGAGGGTTCCCTCACCATTGCCATCAGAGTCCCCTTGCAGACCGTGCAGGAAGCAAGGGTCCTGCCCACCTGCCACCAGGTCACTCTGTGACCTTAAGGAAGCCATGTGGCCCTCTGGCCTCAGGGCTCCTCTCTGCAGAATGGAAGCTCAGTTGTACTAGCCTAGTCCCCTCCCACCCAGACATTCGGATTCAGGAACAGTGCCATGAGACACATACAGCGGACAAGGTTTGAGTACTTCCTGTGGCAGTGAAAGAAGTGGGAGGGAAAGGGCTTAGAAGATGTTGTAGGGACCATCTCCGATGGGCGGGCAGGGGGACCAGGCAGCCTCCAGCGCTGTGTGAAGGAGAATGAGGGACGGCCTCAGGGGTGGCCCCCTGCACATGCCCCTGTCCTCATAAGTAGCTTTGTAAGTGTCCCCTCATGTTGTTTAAGGGTATGTGGCCTGTAAGACCCCTATAAGACAAAGGGGATAAAAAGCAAGAGGAAGCAAAATAGAAAGTGAGGGGAGAATGAGGGCCAAGTCCAAGGACATGAGAGGGGGTGAGAACAGGGGTGGAGAGGCTGAAGGTCTGCAAGCAGTGAGGGTACAGCCTGGTGCGGTGGGGATGAGCATGTGGGAGAGGGAAGGGGATGCAGAGGCCAGCCAGTCCAGGCCCTTCAAGCCCCAGATGCAGGACAAAGTCCAGAGGGAGGGCAGACCTGCCCAAGGTCTCCAGGCTTGTCCGGGTGAATGCAGGGCTGGAGGCTGGGTCCTCTGCCTACCCAGGCTTGTGCTCAGCTGCACCAGCAGCATCCTGTGGGTACTTCAGTGTTAAATCACATCAACCAGAATTAAAGGAAGTCTGGGAACATGAGGACACAGGCAGTGGAAAAAGCAAGGGATGGGGAGTGAAGCACTGTGGTTTGAGCCTCTTCCCTGACTCTGGGATCTTCTCTGGGACTCCAAGATATGTCAGTTTCAGGGGCTGAGTTACAGGATTTTGAATATCTGCTCCAGAAAGATGTTCTCTTATCAGTCCAGACTGGGAGGTGTCCTTAACTGCAAGCGAGGTTCAGGAGCTGTTTGCAGGGACCATGCCTGCTGCCTAGCCTCCTCTCTTGCACAATGCGGCACCAACTGGGCCAGAAAACACTTTCCTGGGAGCCACGATGGGATTGCAAATCTGCTGTGGCTCAATTTACCAACAGCAAATTTCAGACAGGACAGCATGAGTGGCTTTAAACCATCAAAGTGTGAAAACACTCAGAAAAGCCGCTTTTAGCAGCCCTAATGTGCCCTCAGTGGGTCTGATTAACTGGCACCGCTTGCTAATCAGTGTGGCCAGTTTCACGGTGACTAATCCCCAGGAGGGGAGAACCCATCCTGGGAGGAAAACTACATCTCGGGATGCGTGTGGTTCACCTGGGGACTTGGCACTCAGGTGAGTTTTCAACTTCTGCAGCAGCAATTTTTAAGTCAATATTCATCGTATCAGTAAGAATGTTTTAAAAAAGAGTGTTTGGTGTCAAGCAGCATAGGATCTTCTGGCAGGGCGCTCAGGACAGAGCAGGATGGCCCAGACCTGGCCTCTGGGATGGAGGTCATGCAGGGTGGGAGAGAGCGGTGACAGCTTCGGTATGGCTCTGACCTCAGCTCTGCCACCAGCCCGGGTGGGTTCGTGAACCTCCCTGGAATTCAAGATTCATGGTCAGTTCTGACCTTCTTTTGTAGATTTCCAAGACACTTAGCTGTCTCTGCAGTGCGGTTTTTTTGAACGTTTTGTATGGAGAGTGAACAGCAGTGGCTGTTTAGAAAACTGCCTCTTGGTGTGCCATCCAAGACCCAGCTCAGTCTGCTCACTGCGGACTTTTGTCTCCTGGCTCTCACGACCCATACTTCCTTTTCGGTAATGGGTTTGGGCACCCCACACCTATGTGCTGGCCGAGACTGGCCCACATTGGTGACCTAAACAAACAAGGTTTTCACCCTCAGATGTCCTTCCATCCCCATCCCTGCCTGTTCCACATAAACCTCAGGGCTTATCTCCGGTATGTCCTCCTTCATAAAACTTTTCAGACTGCCACAGTCCCTGGTAAACTCTCCCCTTGAATCCATTTCATCATCTACACTATGCAAGTCAAATAATCATACACATGCCTCTCTGGTGATTTTTGGTCTCAAACTGCTATTTAACTCTTGAATATTCCTTATCTTTTAAAGTATATTTGTTGTCTCTTGAGAATGATCTTGTCCTCTATTTCAGTCTACATATGTAATATAATATAATGTAACAGCTACCACTTAACTGAGCACTTACTATAAGCAGGACACCATTAAAGTGCTTTGCGTGCCTTAACTCATTTAGTCTTTCCAACAGCATATGTAATACGTTCGATTACAATTCCCATTTTACATAGGAGGAAACTAAGGCACAGAGAGGCTTAGCAACTTCCCTAAGGGTACAGAGTCAGTAAGTGGCAGAAGCCAGTAAGTAGTCTGATTCAAGAACTCATGTTCAAAACCAGCATGTTGTAAGGCTTTCCTTGCCTTCTATATGGTATCCACTCCACAGATATTTGTCTACTAACTGGTGCTGATTTGCTTTCAGGAAACAGTCCTCACCTGAGCAAGGAAAAATTGAAGCTTCTGACCTCTATCCACACATGGTCCTCAGTGCTCCTTCTCACCTCTCAGGATGAAAGTAAACTTCCGTTTAATAGCGAGCTGTTTTCTATTCTGTGTGCTTCCAGATATAACATTTTACTGACAAAAGGGACATCCTGAAAGATCTAATCTTGTAAAGACTCACATACTAGGAAAAACGTATCCCACGAAAAGTCCTTAAAGCATTCCATTAGGACTAAATCAAAATCACATTAACCAGGATTAAAGGGAAGTCTGGGACGATGAGGACACAGGCAGTGGAAAAAGCAAAGGATAAAGAGTGAAGCAGTGTGGGCTTGAGCCTCTGCTCTGATTCGGAGATATTCTCTGAACTCCAAAATATGTCAGTTTCAGGGACTAAGTTACATGATTTTGACTATCTGCTCTAGAAAGATGTTCTCTTATCAAGTCTGGACTGGGAGGTCCAGATCTAAAACCGGATGGTCCTTATGAAAACTGGACAGGTGTTCTGATTTGACTGATGGGAGTGCACTATCTACCTCTGTCCCCGCACCTAGCTTTGTGCTTGGCTCACAGAGAGTGCTCAATAAACATTCATGATGAGTGTCTTCCAAGGCTAGTGCTGGTCTTACAGAAAGGTGATTTTTCAGTTCCTTTCATCATCAGATCAAGTCTAGGTTGCTCTGAGTTTTCGTCAAAGACCCTACACATCTTTCTCATCTCCATTTGACTTCTCCCTTTATCAAGTCCCTCCTGAAAGTTCTTCTCCAGAAGGCATATGAGATGAAATGGAAAGCAGGAAACGACCCCTTGCTTACTGCTTCACAAGCAAATGTACTCCTTGCATATACATTGCAAATATTTAACCACAACTCTCCCTATGGTTCATCTGGCTGTATAACGTTGATTCCTCCATATGGCTTAGTCTTTGGTGTAATACGCATGCTCCACAGCACGGCTGCAGTGGGAGAGTGGATGCTCACAGCAGAGAGAACTGATTCTGTTACTGTAGAAGAGTCTCTATGAAGCCAAATGGCCAAATCTTTCAACTACACAGAACCCCATTGGAAGAGCCAATCTGATTTTCACCTCTGCAGTGTAATCAAGCCGTTAGCCTTGCAGCCTCACAGTGTGCATCTCCAGGGCCACGGCCACTCTCCTTCCTTTGTGTGATTTCCTGGAATGCCTCTCCTCACTCATCCTTCAAGTTCCATCCCAAATGCTACCTTCTCCAAGAAGGCTCTCCTGATTCTCTATCACCACTCCCCAAAGTATGGTGTCCCCAATGCATGGCTTGTCACAGAATTCATCACATTGCACATCTTACCTAAACTTTCCTTTTTGACAGCTCCAATTTTTATTTATATAATCATTTTTATGAATATTTTTTCTTCTACTACACTTCAAGCTCTCTAGAACACACTTAGCATCTGACTCACTTCTGTATCTGCTATAATGGCTAACAAAATCTTACATAAAGTAAGTACTCAGTCGATTTTGTTGAACAAATTGATAAATGACTCATGGACTTGTACCCTCGCAATCATCTATTTCCATAACCTGTGATCATAAGATTTCAATGACATTTAGTACATATATGTGCATTTAAAAAATGCAACTTTTAGGCCGGGTGCGGTGGCTCACGCCTGTAATCCCAGCACTTTGGGAGGCTGAGGCGGGCAGATCACGAGGTCAGGAGATCGAGACCATCCTGGCTAACCGGTGAAACCCGTCTCTACTAAAAATACAAAAATTAGCCGGGCGTGGTGGCGGGTGCCTATAGTCCCAGCTACTCGGGAGGCTGAAGCAGGAGAATGGCGTGAACCCAGGAGGCGGAGCTTACAGTGAGCCGAGATCACACCACTGCACTCCAGCCTGGGCGACAGAGCAAGACTCCGTCTCAAAAAAAAAAAAAAAAAAAATGCAACTTTTGGGGCCTCTAACACTATTGGTCTAGAATTGCAGATGTCAAAAATGGCCCAATGAACCTATTTGTTGTAAGAAAAACCCTACATATCTATATATTGCCTATGTACATTTCTTAATATCACCCAATTGTCATGAAGATCAAATGAGACAGAAGAAGTAAAGACCCTTTGGAAAAGCCAGCAAAGGCACATGTCCAGGAAGCTGGCACCACTCACATCATTTTAGTGGGTGGGGTGGCTCTTAGGGCCTGTGATGTGAAGCTATGCCAGCCGCCATGGGCGTCCGTGTAACCATGTTTGCTCATTCTACAGATATTTATCACCTTTATTGTCGGTGCTGAGGACACAGCTGTGAACACAACTAACAAAAATTGTTAGCCTCACGTAGGTTACATTCTCATGAGGTAAGGGGTGATAAGCAAATGAACACATACACATACAGAATGGCAGATGGTGAGAGGTGATGTGGGGAAATGGAGCAGGGAAGGGTGGATGAACGGGGAGTGAGGGGATGGCATCAGCGGGGGCCGAGGAGGTACGCAGGCCTGTGCAGAGAGCTGAGCCAAGGGGCGGGCCGAGGAGGTGCGCAGGCCTGTATGAGAGCTGAGCCGAGGGGGTGCCGAGGAAGTGTGCAGGCCTGTATGGAGAGCTGAGCCGAGGTGGGGGCCAAGGAGGTGCGCAGGCCTGTGCAGAGAGCTGAGCCGAGGGCGTTCAGACAGAAGGAGCAAGTGCCGGCCACCACCCCACAGTGGGGTGAGCTTGGAATGTTGGAGGAATAGCAAGGGAGTCACTGTGGAGGGCTGGTGAGGAGGGAGAGGAGGGGAGGGTGAAGGGGGTGAGCTTAGGGAGGAAGGAGGCGTGAGATCGCAGGGCCTATGGGACTTTGGCGCTCACTCTGGGCAAGTCAGGGAAGCCGTGGAGGGTCCTGAGCAGGGCAGGAACATGATCCGACTTGGCTGTTCAGAGGGCCGTTTGAATGCCGTGTTAGGTCCGGGCCATGATAGGGGTTGAGGCAGAGACTCCTGCAGGAGGCTGTCGCCATCATCCAGGACGGAGGCGAGGGCGGCCAGCGCTGAGCTGAGTGTGCAGGTGGTAAGAGACAAATTCTTGACATGTTTGGAAGGTAAAGCTCATAGGATTTTCTGATGGATTGTAATCAAAGAGTGAGAAAAAGAAATAAGTCCAATAAGGCCTGAGAAGCTAGAAGGATGAGGCTAGCATTTACCAAGCTGAGAAAGACTCTGGGAAGACTGTGAGTTCTGCCATGAGTCTTGCTAAGTGCAAGATACTTATTATCTATTCAGACAGGAGAGGAACGGAGTCGGCAGGTAGGGATACAAGTCTGAGGTTTGGAAAAAAGGTCTGGGCTGGTGACACACAGCTGCTGGTTACTGGAAGATACATAGATTATATTTAACACCAGGAGGCTGGACGTGATAACTAGGGAGTGAGTACAGACAGAGGAGAGGTCTCAGGATCTACCCCTGGAGCTTCCCAATGTTAAGAGGGTGAGAAGATGAGACAGAAGTCAGCAAAGGATTCCAAGAAGAAGAAACAAGTGAATGAAGGGCAGAGCTAAGAAAGAGCAGTGTGCCAAGGGCCAAGGGCAACGGTGGTTCAAAGACAAGGAGCGATCAGCTGTATCCAAAGCTGCCAACAGATCATGTAACATGGCCCTGGAGGACAGAGCACTGGGTGCGGTAACGGTGATCACTGATGGTCTGGACAGGAGATGTTTTGGTGCAGCAGTGGGGAAGAAAGCCCCATCAGAGTGGATTCAAGAGAGAATGGGAGGACAAGAATCACAGACAACAGGTAGAGGCAACTCTTGAGGAGTTTTGCTGAAATACAGAAAGAGATAACCTATGGCTATGAGAAGTAGAAGACGGAGGCATTTGTCTAGGTTTGTAGTCAGGGGAGATACTGCTGACATCTTTGTAGATGACACCAACCACACTGGTACAGTGCACTGATCCACCATGGTCTGCATGGTTCCCTGTTTCAAAAGCTGCACAGACACTATTCCAGCAAGAAAGGGCAGAAGGCTGGATGAGCTGAGGAAGAGCCACCATTTTACTGGTGACCCAAAGGAAACCAGACACCGTTGCTGCTCCTATGCATAAGCATGGAGCTACCTACAAGGCACCCACAACAGCAAATCCATCTCAGTGTCATCATCTCTAATGGCGAAAATATTTTCCTGGACTGCACGGCAGGTAACATGAGGGCCTTGCATTTGAGGCCTGCATCCTCTTGAGAGAATTCCTAGGAGTGTTACTGCTTCCTGACCACTACAAGACACGTCTACCTTACTTAAGTGCAGATGGAGACAGGGCTCCGTCCTCGGGAAATTTCCTCTGTAGTGGAAACCAAGTGACCCGATCTAATCTAATTCTTCCTTTTAATGCACTGTAGCATGAGTGGCTCTCAACCATATTCATCTCTAATTAAGAATCTCTGTACTAGAGCAATTACTGTAGCTACAGCTGTTGATAACAATCATCTCCTCAGTCTCTTTGTGGTAGGCTGCTATGTGTTCTCAATCGTTCACCCATGCTTCTCTGCAGGTACAGCACACTTCTTGGCCCCATTATCTTTGAGGGTGGCCATGTGACTCGCTTTGGCCAGTGGAATGTGAACAGCTAAGACAGAAGCCACATCTAAGCATAAGCCTTAAGTTGCTAGTGCGGTTTGGCTCTAAGCCCCATTTTGTGAGCACCTCCCCCAGCCATGACAACCACAAGGCCTACCACCGAAGGTGAGGGCTCCTTCGACCTGGGCTCCAGAATTGGATGGCACGCAGAATGTGGTCAAGCCCAGAGTCCAGCTGAGTGCAGAAGAGCTGCAGCTGACCACCACCCTCAGGTGCCATGAGCCAGGTGTAAATGTTGCTGGTTGTAAGCCATGCAGAGTTTGAGATGGTTTATTTCCACAGCAAAAGCTGACTGTTATACTCTTTTCTTAGACTGTCAAATTTCTCTAGTGAAAGGACCATGCTTGTTCTTTATGATACGTCCTAATACCCCTAATAAAAATTGCAGGCCCCTAATAAATACATAGATAACAGGTCGGGGTCATTGTGTCCATTTCGCTTGGTTGGCTGGCATCTGGAATTAACTCCCAGTTGCTATCACTGACACACTGGCGGTACCATTACAAGCTCCTTAAAGTCATGTTCAAAGTCACTGTCATCCTCCCTTCCTACTTCCTGATTTTGGCTATTGAGTTCTGGCTGATTGACCAGGAAAACCCAAATAATTTAGGCTTCAAAAAGAAGTGGGTCCTGGCCACGATATATGCAGTTTCTATACCTAAGTACCCCCAGACAGTTAAGGCCGAGTAGAGAAAGTCTGCTTTAATTGTGCTTGTGTGCTCAGCTCTGCGTGCCTTTTGAGCCTAAGACAGGCCACAAGCTTTGCCCAGGGAGTCCCACTGCAAAGAAAACAAACTCTTTCTTTTGCTTATTCAGTAAGTTCCCTTTGCTTATGTTGTGTGGGAATCAGAGGCAATAGAAGGCACAGTTCTGGGTTTCAAGGGGCTTATAGTGTAGTTTAAGAGACAGGATATATGTGTAAAAATCCAAGACAATTGGCCGGGCGCAGTGGCTCATGCCGGTAATCTCAGCACTTTGGGAGGCCAAGGCAGGCAGATCATGAGGTCAGGAGATTGAAACCATCCTAGCTAACATGGTGAAACACCGTCTCTACTAAAAATACAAAAAAAAAAAAAAAAAAACACACACAAAAAAACAAAAATTAGCTGGGCATGGTGGCAAGCACCTGTAGTCCCAGGTACTCAGGAGGCTGAGGCAGGAGAATCGCTTGAACCTGGGAGGCGGAGGTTGCAGTGAGCTGAGATTGTGCCACTGTACTCCAGCCTGGGGACAGAGTGTGACTCTGTCTCAAAAAAAAAAAAAAAAAAAAGAAAGAAAAAGAATCCAAGACAATCAAGAGAGATATACCACTTAATTCTTTAAAAGAGGCAGTGCTGTATGGCAGGAAAGAGCTGGTCTAGAAATCAGGAGACATGATTCTAGTCTTGGCTCTATTGCTAGTTAATTAAAGTCACAGGAAGATCTTTTCACTATTCCGTGCATGAACAAAAAGTAAACTGGTTAATATAAAGTCCCTCACATTTCCACGGTTTCATGACTCCAGATGATACCACCCAGCAGCACACCGGTAACCAAGTGCTCAGTGCATGCCATGGGTAGGAGAGGCTGTGCATTCGGAGGTCCTCTGTCTTCCTGTCCCTTACACCATCTCCAAACTCATCTGGTCCTAGCCTAGTCTGAGGGGTCTCCTATGTCTTGAGTCATGGGCCAAATCTACTGGAGCTGAACTGAAAGCAAAATTTAAGCAAATGAGTCCAGAATTGTTCTCAGATACCACAAACTGAAGAGGGAAGAGTAGAAAGGAGTTCTAAAGTGGACTGAGCTCCCAGGAGCACCTTGGGCTGGGGTTTGCTTGCGCCTTCCCAGGGGGCCTGAAGCCACTGTGTTCAGTACCTGGGGTGCACCCATAATGGGCCAGGCTTCTGGAGAAGTGGCAGAAGAGGCATTGTCCATGTGACTGACATCCGGATAGGCAATACCTCTCCAAACCCTTCCCCTGATTCAGAGAGCGGAATATCCTCCTCTCTTTGGGAAAAATAAGTTCTCACAATGACAGGCGTGGTATTTCCAGTAGGGCTCCTGAGGCCTGGGCTGCCCCATTTGACAGGAAGGGAGGAGAGGGCTGGGAGAAAGGTCAAAACAGAACTTTTAGAACATCCACTGATGCTTTCCTGATTGTTCTTTGGAAAAACACAGAAAGTAGAGATAATCTCATTGGCTAAAGTGCTCTGGAGCCTCGGAGATTAGCCACCTGGCTCTTCTGCTACAAAATGTATTTAAATCCCCATCCCAGGGCCTCCAGGGTGGCTCAGATGGCCACTTCCTTTATGTAGGATTCATGTGGCTGAGTGACTGCTGTGAACTTTCTCCAGGAGTTTCCAGGCGCTGGGACCACAGTGTGTTTTAAGGCACTTACATCCGAGTTGGGCTCTTCAGATCAAAGGAACTCATTTTAAAACAAAAACAAAAACCCCTCCATTTATATGGAATCAGGTCCCTTTGCAGAGTGTTCTTGGCAATTCAGCAAAGGACAGCAGAAGGTGGTGAGGAGATAACACTGTACACAAGAACGGGCTTCACTTACTTGGGACTCCGGACACCAGCCGCAGGGGGCGCAGCACGCGGAAGGCCCTCAGCGCCTTCACATCAAATCCGGCCCCTTTCCCTCCGAGAGCGTTTGCCCCATCTGCTTTGGTTGCTTGTTCTAAAATTGCACTAAAAAGCCTAGAAGAGAGGAAAGAGAGAAGGACTGTCAGGACTGGGTTTTCTTTTGCCCAGCTGGGGCTCTGACCTCTGGATACAGCCCGGAAAAGCAGATTGCGCAGGCGTCTCCAGCCCAGGGGCGGGCGTTGTGGGTGTGCGTGGAGTCTGTGGGTGGTTGTAAGCTGACATCCCCTCAGTGTGGGTGGTGGCCATGCCCAGGGTGCCACCATGGCCCAGGGAGGCCTGAGCGAGCTGAGGGGCAGGCCCTCTGCCGTCATAAAGGCAGGAGCTGGACAAGCGCTGGACAAACGTGGGAAGCAGGTGAAGTCTGTTGCCAGTCCTTATCTCCTTGAGGAGCCCTCCGGCTTCTCCATGGTATCCTAGCGCCCCTCCCAGGTGTGCCAGCAACCATGTGCTCTGTTTCCCCACCTCCTTCCTTCTAGATACCCCCCCTCTTTGACTTGTTCCTGGCCCATGGAAATCTCCTTTGTGCTGGCCTTGGTGGCTGCTCAGGAGGTGCGTGCTGCGCAAATGAATGAATGGTTGAGTGGTTAAACAAGAAGGTCTCAAGTGGGGTAGAACCACACGTGCACGTAACTGAGACACAGGGCTTTCAGCCCTGCCACTTTAGGTCTGAGCTGGCATATTCACTCCTCCAACAAACAAGAACACCTGCGGTGTGCCGGGCACTGTTCCAGACACTGGGGCTATAGCAAAATGGACAAAGCCCTTCCCCTCATGGAACTTGCATTCTAGCAGGGAGACAGACAATAAACTGAGCAATCAGTAAACAGACACTGCAGCTTAGAGTGATGAGTGCTGAGGAGGAGGAGCGGGGAGGGGCTCTGCAGAGACAGGGTGAGGGCCGCCTTCCTTCCCACCTGAGAAATCTGCACAAAGAACTCCCTGCAGGTGACACTTGAGCAGAGGCCTATGGGAAGTGAGGGCGGGACCCACTTCACTATCTGGAGACTGTTCCAGGCAGAGGAAGCAGGTAAGCCAGGGGCCCAAGGGAGGGGCAGGGTGTGCGTTAGAGGAACAGCAGCGACCAGTGTGGCTGGAGCAGGGCAGGGAAAGGGGAGAACTGTGGGAGAGGAAGTCGGAGAGGAAATAGGGAACCCCACCGGGTGCTGGTATCCTCTCTGAGACAGAAGCCATTGGGGGACTTTGAGCAGGAGAGTGACATGATCTAACTACAGGTCTAAAAGAATCATTCTGCTGTTGTGGGAGACTCCCCTGTCGGGGGCGAGGCCAGAGACCAGCTGCGGCAGTCATCCAGGCGCGAGACACTGGGTGGCTCAGAACAAGTGGTGGTGTTAGAGGTAGTGAGGAAAAGTTAGATACCAGATTTACCTTAAGATAAAGTTAGTGGGACTGGCTGATGGACTAGATGTGAGGTGTGAGAAAGAGAGGGGAATCAGAGAAGATTCCAACAGTTTGGGCATGAGCAACAGGAATGATGAGATATGGCGGAATGGACATTAAGCGTTCTGCTGAGAACTTCTTGAAGTTTGAGTTGTTGCTTGGACATCGAATGCATGTCTTGAGTTGGTTCTACTGTGTCTGGAGGTCAGTGGGGAGGTCCAAGCTGGAGACAAAAGCGCAGCAGTTGTATAGTTCATATTTAAAGTCAAATTGTATGTGACTACCTAGGAGGCCAGTGCAGAAGGTGAGGATGTGAAAGCACTCAACCCTGCAGTGCTCCCACATTGAGGGGTCAAGAGAGGAGAAAGCAACAAAACAGACTGATGAGGGATGGCTTGCAGAGCAGGGACATGGAGAGAACGGCGCCCCATGAAGAGAGCGGTCAGTGAACAGGCGGTGGTGTCACGTGCTGCAGAGACATGGCTGGACACCGACCGCTGGGTTTAGCAACACCAAGACCATCCAGACCTTGAAGGCATCTGTGTTGGTGGAGTGATGTGGACAAACACCCAGCAGACATAGGTTCAAGAGAGCATGGGAGGAGTGGGAGGCCGTGAGGATAGACAGCCCTGGCCAACAGAAATCTGATGCAAGCCACAAGTGTGGGCTGCATGTGTAATTTACCTTTGCTAGGAGCCACATTAAAAAGTAAAAACAGGTGAAATTAACAGTGATCATAGATTTTATTTCACCCGACATAGCCAAAATATTATCATCTCAACATGTAATAAATATAAAAAATCATTCATGAGACATTTGTCATTCCTTGTTTTGTACTAAATCTTTGAAATATGCTGTATGTTTTATACTTATAATTATTATTATTGCAATGCAGATTAGCCACATTTCAAGTGCTGAATGGCCACGTGTGGCTACCGTATAGACAAGTCTTTTGGGAAATTTTGCTCTAAATGAGCAGAGAAAAAAAGGGGGTTACTAGAAGTGGGCGTGGAGTCAAGAGGGTTTTGTTTCTGAATGGGAGATATGACAGCAGTTTTCTATGTGATGGGAATCATCTAACAGAGGCAGAAAATGTGATGACATAGAAGCGAGAGGGAACCATTGCTGGAAGGACGGAGCTCCTTCACTGGCAAGAAGGGGATGGGTGCACAGAAAGGGTGCCACCCGTGCAGGGGCAGGGCCGTGTGGGACGGAGCTCCTTCACTGGCAAGAAGGGGATGGGTGCATGCGAAGGGCGTCCACCTGTGCAGGGGCAGCGCCGTGGGTCGTGGTTCAGTGAGAAGGCGCATTGTCAGCATAGACGCGTGGTTGTGGGAATACATGAAAGTTTCTTCTGATTGCATCTTTCTAAGGGAACTGGGGAACGAGGCCATCAGCTGAAAACGTGAAAGGGGAAGGAGACGGGAAGTGTGACGAGAGAGGCACGGGTGCTGAAAGAATTAGCTCAGAAAGCAGAAGGGTGAATGGAGTGCGGACAAAGCAGGAGGGCCCTCAGGTGTCACCGAGGGCCTCCTTGAGGTTGGAGGTCATGAGTGTAAAGTGAGAGTCTGCTCAACTTTGCAGATTTCTTGACCCTTTCCAGGTACCAAGCAGATCTCTGGTTGGACTTGATTAGGGTTGGTGTTTTTCCAGGTGTGCAAGATAAACAGACAGAAGACTAAGAATGCTGAGCATAAATGCAAGTGAGTGAGGGCAGCAGTGGCACATGGCGTCTGAGCTGGCTGGAAGGAGGGTGGACATGGTGGCAGGGATGAAGAGTGCGGTGGGACGAAGGGATCGTGGGAGTCAGGGTGAGAGAGGGAGGGGACCGGAAAGACGGTGGTGCTGGTTAGAGGGTAGGATGTTAGATTTGGGATTATGGGGGAGGTGTTAATCAGTGGTGACAGGGATATTGGCTATAGCCATGGGATTGGGACTACTGAGATAGGTTCCCCAGAAGCCAGATATCCAAGAACCAAGAAGCTACTGCAGGAAGGTGGAGAAGTGAGTGTCGGAGTGAAGTAGAGCGAACCAAGAGCCCTTGTCCTCAAGGCACAAGGAGGGGTGACTCAAAGGTCTGCAGAAGGCTGCAGTAAAGAGAAGTAAGGCATAGAGGATCTGATGACACAAATGTCAAAACTGGAGGGCTCCAGGGAGGTGGGGGTGCAGTGGAGCAGAAATCAGGAGCTGGCAGGGCCCCCTTAGACCTGGCAACCTGGTGCAGTGGAAGGAGGCTTCTGGGAGAGGAAGTGGCTGCCTGCTGAGAGACAGCAGAGAAAGCTGCACCCTCAGGGAGAATCAGGAAGTGACCAGAAAGGAAGCTGAGAACTGGGCCACCTGTTTTGCAAAGTTTTGTTGGAATTCAGTTACACCCACTCATGGAGATGCCACTCTTGTCCTGCTGCTGGGCAGGGTGGAGTAGCTGGAACAGAGACTGCATGGCTTGCAAAGATGAAAACCAGCATCCGGCCCTTACAGAAAAGTTGGCTGACCCTGAACAGGCGAGGGACTATGGGGATGGGAGGGCACAGTGGGAAGGTTTCTGCAGCGGGGTGGTGAGAAAGGAGGGATTAGATCAGAGGATGCACAAAGCCCCATGGGAACAGGAGTCCGGGTGATGAGGGATGACTCAATAATTTTGGGCTTTTCGTGGCAACCAAGAAAAATAGGGAAAAGGGCGTGCAGGGTGATTTCTGTCCTTTATACCCAGAGAGGATGCTACAGATTCATTGCCACAGAGTGCACTACACGCTGGGTCGTGTTTCTTCAACAGAGGGGCGTGGGATCAAGGAGGGAGCCCAGGTATTAGGAGTGGGTCTCCATATCAGATCTAAACTATGAACCAGGACAGCTTTCATTCAGGAGCAATAGGCTTGAGCTCTTAAGTGACTTATGCCCCAGGTATCTGGATCTAGAAATGGGAAGCTGCAGCTGGGGGATTAGCCAGATGCATTAGCAGAAGTTCAGGGCCAGGCAGGGCTGAGCGATGAGGGGATTGGTCTAGAAACGCTCCATGGAGGCCCCCAGGCACAGACTGGCTGCGTGACTGGCGTTCTGGCTCCTCTAGTCCAGAGGAGCTTCCCTTCTATCTGGTCTGTGTCTTGGACCTCTGAGCGAGACTCTCAACAGTGGGTTCTGCAGCCGAACGAAGTTTGAGAACCCTGTCCAGGCCGTATCTGCAGTGTCTCTCAGCCTGGCAACTTGATGGCTTCCTATGTTAGCTGGTGAGGCCTTGAATCCCAGGCAGAAGTTGCCAGGATGGGGGAGTGGGCTTCTTTCTCCACAAGGGAAATGTTCTTTCCACTGAAGCCTAGATCACTGAAACCTGAGGAAATGGAGACCAGTTTGCAAATTTGTCAAACAACATTCCAAATGCAAACCAGATTTTGTTCCCAGTATTTCCTGCAGGAAAGTAATATGCTGATCGGAGTAAAAGAGGTTCACAAAATACTATTCGGTGAAGGGAGTGGAGATTAGACAACTTGCCTTTAACTCCTGCCTCAAGTTGAGACTCTTTATTAAGTATCCGCTTTTAATTCTGAAAGGGTAGAAAATTCAAACATGGGTGTAGGAGTGGCTGGTGTATTTCTCCTCAATGAGACATTCTAAAGGCAAAACCACTGCTTGGTGCCCACTGGTCCCTGAGGGTTGGGCTCTGGTGTGGACGCCTGGCCGAAGGACTGCTCTGGGAGCTGTGTCTGGCAGATCTGTAGTCCGGCAGTGGAGCTTTTAGAAGAAAAGGACCGTGAGGCTGTGGAATGATCGTGAGGCCCAGAGAATGGGAAAGGCAGGGCCTCCACCCTGCTAGGGAGGTAGGGATGCAACAAAGCCTCACTGGCTGGCGTGGAACCTCCTGAGGATCCACTGAGGATTCCACGGTCCCTCGGTAGGGGCACGTGGATCTGAGGCCGCCACAGTCCCTCTGTGTTTATTCAGCAATCCCACCACCAAGAGGCCTCTGCTTTAGGAAGGAAAGAAATGCCACGTGTCTTGTGCCACCAGAATAGCAATGCAGAGATGAGGCTCTCAGCCTGGCACTCAGGCAGTAGGCAGGCAGGTCCACCTTTCTCTAGGGTGAGTTAGGCTCCCCCAGCTTTGTGGGAGGCCAGGAGAAACCTTCCCCTACAGCTACAGAAGAGGGGCCAAGGATAGCAGATATTTTCCAAGAGACACAGGGAAGCAAAGGGCTACCCATTTAATATTGCAAAGGAAGCAGAAAAAGGAGATGAGCTGAAGAGAGGTGGTAAGCTGCACCCTGCAGCGATGGGGGATTGTTACAAGAATGGGCTGATTTAGACAGGATGAAGAGCCCTTAGGAGAAGAGAGACTAGGTGCCAAATATGTCCCAGTGCAAGACCAACCACGAGCTGGGCAACTGCTGGCATCTTAACCTCTGTGGCTTAGAAACAGGAGCACACAACTGGATGCCTCCCTCTCTTCACCAGCCTCATGGCCTAGGCCCTAGGGAGATGTGACTGGAATCTGGGCTGACCCCAGAAAAAGCCTGGCCCCTTGTGGTTGTGTGGAGGAGTCTAAGGGATGAAGCGGGTCCAGACAGACCGCAGGTGAGGCACCAGGTGTGGGCCAGAGATGCACCACTGCACTGCCTCCCTGTCAACCCAGGCAGGGCCCCTCCCTCCCAGGGCTCCTGTTCGGTGCCTACTCACCCTGTATTTCTTGTCTCTGCTCCCCCGACTCATGATTTCATTAAGACCACATATGGGGCAAAGCACATATAATCAACTCCAACTCACTTCAAAATTCCAAAATTTTGCCTAAACAAAATTCGTCCCTGCAAGTCACCCTCATCCCTCCACTGGTCCCAGAAGCATCTGCTCTCATCATTCCCAAGGCTCTTTTCTATGCATGTGCAAAAGACTCCCAGGAGACTGAGGCCTTGAGAAAGATGCCAAATTCTAAAAAGGATTTAGGGGCATTTGGAACAACCCACCTTAAGGACTTTTGCTATGGTTTACTGAGTCATTCAAGGCATGCGTTTAGCCACTCTTTGTTTATTCTGGCATGAGCAGAAGCAGCAAAATCTCTCCTATAGCTGCATGCACACCCCGAGTGCTATGAGCCAGAGCTAGACCTGGCTAATGATGCTAATAACCTTAGTGCACCTCGTATCACCCAAATATTCCTGAGGTTCATGTGGCCAAAGTGCGTCATTCATTGGCCAGGCAAAATAAGGCAACAACAACAACAACAAAAACCCTAACGTGGTTCCAAGCAACCTTATGAGCCATCCAGATGGCCAGAGACAAGGAAATAACTTGCAAATGATCTCGACGTCCTCCTGCGTCATTTCCTGCAGTAAAGACCAGGCACTCTCACAAGATGGTGAACGGCGGGTGCTCTGGAGACGTCCACAATGGCTGTGTCTCCTCCGGGATGGCACAAAAGGATCCTCCAAAAATAGGCCTCTGGGATAAAGAGCTCCTGACATTCTGACCTTGACTCTGCAGACTGCCAGGACTTCAAGAGAGGGAGAGTCCAAGGTGGCAGCCACTTGAGCACTCACTGGGCTCAGAGTAACAAGGGATTAGCCCAAAGGAACCGGCTTCTTCTCAAGGTAAAATCTGCTGCAATGGGCTCCCTCCTATTACAAGACAGATGTGTTGATGGAACTTCATCACCTGCGTTTTTTTTTTTTTTTTTTTTTTTTTGAGATGGAGTCTCGCTCTGTTGCCCAGGCTGGAGTGCAGTGGCATGATCTCGGCTCACTGTAAGCTCCGCCTCCCGGGTTCACGCCATTCTCCTGCCTCAGCCTCCCGAGTAGCTGGGACTACAGGCGCCCGCCACCTCGCCCGGCTAAGTTTTTGTATTTTTAGTAGAGACGGGGTTTCACCGTGTTAGCCAGGATGGTCTCGATCTCCTGACCTCGTGATCCGCCCGCCTTGGCCTCCCAAAGTGCTGGGATTACAGGTGTGAGCCACCGCGCCTGACCTCACCTGCATTTTAATAACTTACACTTCACCAGTGTAGGTAGGCCTGTTAGGTACAAATATTTTATGGAGATTCTTTTTGTGAGGTTAATAACTTATTTATAAGGAGATCTCTTCTACATTTTATTTAAGATTCTTTGCATTGCTGTTTTGAAAGCCTAGACTGACTCTACCTTATCTTATGCTACAGTGGAGCAGGGTGTCTGGGGGAAGCTGCATTTGATTGGGGTTTGGTTACCTGTCATCTTCGCCTTTCATAGTTCCCTGTTTCCTTCTCATCCACCTGTCTTGAGCAGTCTGGTTTTCTGGGGCCACAGAACCAGGCCCCCTGTAGAGTGAGAATGGGGAAGAGGCCTCTGTACAAGTCCAGAGCACAGGCACAGCCTGTGTGCGCCCCACCCTCACCCCACACCTGCAGACTGCATGCTCACGGACGAGCTGCCCCAAATGTGCTCAGTGATACAGCAGGGAAACTATCAGAGGAACTGCGGGGCCAGATGTGGTCTGAGATGAAACGAAAGTCCTTAAGCAGGGGGATATCCTACAGCAGCACAGAGCAGCCTGGGTTCCATCAGGAGCACTCAGGTCCAACCGTGTGTGCATGCTGTGTGGGAGTGGTGGAGAGGGGTGCTCTTGGGTCATAGCCCCTGTCCCTCTGGGGAAGTCTGAATTCAAAGTGATTTTCACAGATCCTTTCTTCTTGCCTGAAGCCCAGCATAGTTAGGACCAAATTGAAAAGAGATAACACAGAAGGAAGAAGAGGGATGTACTGGTGAGACAGCCAGGTGGGGAGGGGTCCCCAGAGAAACTCCAGCCAGCCTGCGCACTGGGAGGAGTGCACACTAGGGTGGAACCACGGAAGTTCACGCCACCAACTGCAGCAGGGAGAAGCCTGACCCCTCCTTTTCCTGGGTAGAACCTTGGATTCAACCTGCGAGGCGGGAAGCCCATGGGCAGGAAGCGCACTCTCTCACTTTGCTGAGTCTCTCTTTCCCTTTCTGTTCCTTTTAGCAAAATAAATCTCATTTTTCTCACTCTAGATCATCTGCGAGCCTAAATCTTTGTGGCCGTCTGACAACGACCCTGTCTTCAGCTGACTTAAGGAAAAGTCCCGCAACACTGGTAAGATAAAGGGAAAGAAACAGACAGTGATACTTACCCCACAACCACAATTATAAAATCTAGTAGGTTCCAGCCGTTGCGGAGGTAGGCATTGGGGTGAAAGAGGAGTCCATAGGCGATTACTTTTAAAAACGCTTCCACCGTAAAAATTATGAGAAAGAGATATTCCACTCGTTCCTAGGAAACAGAAATAGAAAAGAGAGAAAAATAAGTCATTGGTTTGGGGATTTGGAAAGTTTGGAACCAGTAGATCTCACAAGTAGGTGGAAGATAATGCTGCCCCCTCTGTGGTGGAACCAAGTGGGGACACCCAGGCCAAATTAGCAACTCCACGACCTGCTCTACCGCGACAGCACCAAGCTACTGGGGATTACAGGATTTTTTTTTTTCTGCATCAAAGTTCCCCCATGAACATGTAAATATTAGACTAGTGGAAAAATTTCATATTTTTTGAAACATTTTATTTAGTTAATCAGTTGACATTTTATTGTGCTCTCCCAGAAGAGAATTCATAGTGTCTCCATCTAAAGGGAAACAATGTCAGGGCCAAAAGAGAAGGGGATAAAGCACAGCTCCTGGAAAACCGCGCTCCGATTCTGCAGGAACAAGCCCTGAAGACAGCAGACTTGGTCTTGGGGAGGGTACTAGCCGAGTTCCTCCAAAAGACAGAGCAAAAATGCAGCCACAAAGAAATGGAGACGGTGAAGATCCCTTAAGAGCAGCCCAGACAGAGGCAACCTGCTCACATACACCGATCCAGAAATGTGAAATCTCTTTCTTGAGAAAATAAAACCTTCTGTCCAAAGACGTCGAACATTTCAGCAGAGAAAATCAGCACTTTGCGGATGGAGGCAGGCACTGGGTGGGAGTGGAGAATGGAAAGAGCCCCTCTCTTTCCTCAAGGGGCAGAAGACAATCTTCTTCCTCCCCTGCCACCTTGAAGAAGGGCTTTGCATTTAAGGATGCAGCTCCCATCCCTGGGAGCCCAGAGCGAACAGGACAAACTTGTTGGCTCAATTAGAGCCAGCCGACTCTGTGCTGATTCATGCACGTCCCTCGCCACTAATTGCTTTCTCCCACACCCCCATCCCAAGTGCAGAGCCTTAATGGCCCCCACCAGGCAAAGGCTGCCTGGATGCCTTCATGCTCCACTGCTCGCCTCTGCAGAAGCCTCAGCCATCCCTCACTGGAGCCACGAAACACCCATCCACATTGCATTCGGGCATAGGCCCTCCAGAGTGCGGCGGGCCTGTCCACAGCCCCAAGTGGGCACTCGGCTCAGAACCCCTAGACCCATTTTCCCCTCCTCTGCGAGTCAGAGGGAGCTCTGGTGTGTGCATGTGGGAGCAGTGGTGAGGGGGTGTTCCAGGCTCACCCACATTCTGGAGGAGGGATGTTGCCCACAAAGGCCCACCTCCTCCTGCCTAGCCAGCTGGAAGGTTCCTCCAAGGCAGGGCCATCGGGAGCAGGGCCAGATGGGAAGCTCTGCAGGGAGCCATCAGGCCATATCAGTACCCTGGGCTCCCATTCATTCCATCACAATCCCCTGGGCATGTAGGGAGTGCCAGCCTCACTGTGAAGCAGTTTGAGGATGCAAAATTAAAAACTGTAGAATTCTGGGCCCTACCCAGACCTACTGAAACAGATCATCTGGCTATGAAGCTTGGAAATGTGCATCGTAGACAATTTCCAGGTGTTTCTGAGGTACCCGGAAGAACCACCAGCTCACGTGTGGATGAAGGCCCAGATCACGCCGCGGCGTGGGAAAGGAGTGCAGGGGTCAGATTTCATCAGCATCTCAGAGGCAGATTCGTCCTTCCCTTCCTGCCCATTTTTGTGCCATAAAATTGGTTTAGGGAGGCAGCTGCCTTGGGGTTGTGAACCACAAACAAATCACAGGACGTGGGAAGCTCCAATCTTTTAAAGTCAGGTGATGTTGGGTTAAAATGTACATCAGGGCAATGTTGAAGAAGAAAACATGAGACAACACAGCACAGGGGAACCTGAGGATGTTTGTGGGAGTGGGAATAGTGGAGCTGTCACACAGCCCCTTAGCCCATCTCCTTATCCCCAACCCATGATGGTTCAGAGCTTTCATGTCTGCCACTAGATGACAGGGTCACCTCTTTCTATATTCCCAGAAAGGTGAAGCTGAGATGGGAAAGAAAGCACAGGAAAGGGAAACACACAAGTTGGGTATCCATTAGGTGTCAGGTGCTTTCATATGTGCTAGTTGCTTTCACACTTCCATTCACCATCACCTGCCCACCCATCCATCCATCCACCCACCCACCAATTCATCCATTCATCCATCCATGTACCCATTCACCCATCTATTCATCCATCTTTTCATGCACTCACCCATCCATTCATCCATTCACCCACCCACCCACTCACTACTCATCCATTCATCCATCCATTCACCCACCTGTCCATCCACCCATCAATCCATCTATCCACCCATTCACCCATCCATTCATCTATCTTTCTACCCATCACCCATCCATTCATCTATCCACCTACCCACCCACTCACCACCTATCCAGCCAGCCACCCACCCATTCATCCATCCATCCATTCACCCACCTATGCACCACCCACTCATCCATTCATCTACCCATTCACCTACCTGTCCATCCATCCATCCATCCACCCACTGACGCACCCATCCGTCAGTCCACCCACCCACCCACCCACTCACCCATTCTTCTATCCATCCAACCACCCACTCATCCATCCACCCACCCACCTATCCATCCACCCATCCATCCATCCATCCATCCACCCACCCACACACATACATACATATATATACCCACCCACCATCCAACCACCCATCTATACATCCACCCACTCACCCATCCATCCATCCACCCACCTATCCATTTATTCAGCTATCCATCTATCCACCCACCTACCCATCCATCCATCCATCCATCCATCCATCCATCCACCCACCCACCTACATATATCCATCCATCCATCCATCCACCTACCTACCTATACATTTATCCATCCATCTATCCATCTACCCATTCATTCGTTCACCCACTCACTCATTCTTCTATCTGATCATCCATCTACTCATCCACTCACCCACCATCCACCCACTTACCCACCCATCCATCCACCCATCTGTCCCCTTAGTCATTCATGATCAGTGTGGCACAACTAGTTGCATTGTCAAAAAGTGACCCTGTATCTCCCTCTGGGTTGTCTAGATAATGAGCCCTCCAGAAGAGGTAGCACTCAAGCACAGAACCACTCCTCCCTCTGGCAGAGAGAGCAGCAATATCCTGAAGGCTCTGAGGGCCCTATATGCTGGGAAACTGGCATTCCCAGACAACTCCTATAAGCAGCTGGCACCCCTAGTCCAGACTGCCTGGTACCAAGCAGTCTGCTTATTTCCTCATTGACAGGCTGCTTTCTCTTGCTTAATTGCCCTATAAAAAGAGAGAGCCATGGGTCGCGGGGTGTGGTGAGGGCCCTCCACTTGGGTACAGGTTTACTGCAGGGCCAGCAGCATCCTGGACCTGGCATATCTCTTTTTGAGATGGAAGGGTTGGGGGATGTGACTTCTCTTGTTGACCTTTGGCCTTGGCAAATTTTCCCAAAAAAAGCCTATCCTGCGATCCATGCCATGTAACATTTGTCCTGCATCCTGGCATAGAACATGTGGAGACCCAGAGGGACCTGTCCCACCTGACAGTGATCATTCAATCCAACATTAACTCAAGCATTCACAAACATGTTTATGTAAGTGTTGGGTGCTGGAGACTTGAGGAAAAAGTCTCAGAAACAGACCTCAAGGATGTACTGGTACAATGCAGGGCAAATGGACAGATGATTCCAATACAATTAGGACATGGCATGGCATTCCGGAGGCAAGCACAGCTGGCTATGGATGGACTTCCCAAAGTAAGAATCTTCAAGCTGAATCTCGAAGGATGAAGAGTTGTCCAGGTGAAGAAGGTTAGGTGCTGGGGGTAGGGAGTAGGGAATGTGGAGGGGGTCAGGCATTGCAGGTGGAGAGTGAACTAAGAAGATGGGAAGTATGGACAGCTCTGCTATGCAAACATTTGATTTGGCTGGAGTGAGGGTGTTGAAGTAGCAGGGCTGGAGGGCCCGGCAGGAGCAAGATGACCAGGAACTTTGTGGCTATGCCTGGATGCTTGGATTCCATTCTGAGGAGAATGGGAATGACCTGGTGAGATACGCCCTGCAATCTGGCACTGGCTGGAGAATGAGTGATAGGGTTAAGGGCAGGGGAGTGACCCATGCAGAGATCATGGAGGCGGGAGCCAAAGTAGAGATAGTGGGATTGGTGAGATGTAGGTGGATTTGAGAGGAGAAAGCATGTGCTTTGTTTTCTGGTTGTACGTAGGGGTTGAGGGAAGAGGCAGTGCAGAGATGTGCAATGCCCCCTCCCTGAGGTTTCTAATTTGGGTGACTGTGTGGATGGTGATGCCTCTCACTGCAGCAGGGGACTTCAAGAAGAGGAAGAGGGGTTTTGGAGGAAGGTAGAGACATCAGTTATGAACTTGCTGAAGTGGAGATATTGGGGATCAGACCTACAGAGGTGGGGCCCAGAGCAGAGTTCATCTTGCAGGAGACGGCTGAACGAGGAGAGTGTGCAGACTAAAGAGAAAAGGGCAGAGGCTGGGCTCCAAATCAGTACGGAACAGCCACTACAAACCCCCATTAGCATGTGCATCCCATCAGAAACCTCATCCCCAAGAAAGTCCCTTCACATTATGCGAATTTATCTCCAGCAGAAGTTACAGGACCTCTCTTAAAATCATGAAGTCTGGGAGAGAAAGAAACTTAAAGGTTATCTAATTAACCTCCTCACCTGAAAAATTAGGATTCTGACAAGATACTCAAGCCAGGGAGAAATGCACAGAGGACAGGAAACCAGACTTTCTGACCTTCAAGCCAAAGGTCTGTTCATCACATCTCACCTGCCGGGGTACTGGAGAAACGCAGTTCACTGGTACCACTTATCCCCAGAGACATGGCTGGTTTCACAATCCTCATGCCTGATTGTTTAAGGGTCTGAGATAGAACTGGAAGGGCCCAGAGAGCCAGTAAGAGCGGGTCTGAACAGGAATCCAGAGAAAGACAGCTGCCTATTGTTGAAACGTCTGGGACACGGTCACTGTGTAGCATTTGTGTGCACTGTGTGTGTGCGTGTGCTGACTAAATGTTGCAAGAAGCAGTGTTATTCACTCTGACCTTAGAGGCATGACTGCCCTTCTAGAATTACTTTAAAAAAAACAACAAAAAACAAAAACAAGCAAGACAGCTTGGTTAATTCCTTCAAAACATACGTTGTGCTGTCATAGAAACATCTAAGGGCGAGTATGAATGGAGTGAAGAAAAGAAAAAGTTGGTCAAAGACTGTTCTCATAGATGCCCCACGTGCCTCTGGTTCCTTGAATATACAGTTCCGTGGCCCTCTTCATGCCTGAACTCTGAAGCCAGAGGCCTGTGTGCCCTCCTAAATCCTGGGTGGTCACAGAGCTCATTGAGAAGGCACCAAATATTCAGCATGCAAACTGGCCCTTTTGGTGATCTTGGGAAACGGGAAGCTTTGGAAGCCAAGTGGAACAGATGAAGACTCCCATTCCTACTGTTCAGTGTTAAGGTTGGATAGTGTAGAGGAGGTACGAACAACTGCAGAAGAGAGAATGAACCCCAGACCAATAGCATGGAAACACCCAGACTTTCAAAGCTGCAAATGGGCCATACCCAAGGCCTTGGGAGCCCACCCCTCACACCAGTGTGCCCTGGATGTGGGACACGGAATCATAGCAGATCATTCTGGCTCTTTAATGACTGCCCTACTGGGTTTTGAACTTGCCTGGGGACTGTGACCCCTTTCTTTTGACCAATTTCTCCCTTTTGGAACAGGAAAGTTTACCCAATGCCTATATTCCCATTGTATCTTGTAAGTAACTAACTTGCTTTTGATTTTACAGGCCCATAGGTGGAAGGGATTTGCCTTCCATCTTGCTCCTACCGGGCCCTCCAGCCCTGCTACTTCAGATGAGTCTTTGGACTTTTGAGTTAATGCTGAATGACTTAAGACTTTGGGGGGACCATGGAGAAGGGATGATTGTATTTTGCAACATGAGGACATGAGATTTGGGAGAAGGCAAGAGCAGAATATCGTTTGAGCATAACTTCACCTAGATCTCATGTTCAATTGTAATCCCTAGGGTTGGAGGTGTTTGGGTGATGAGGATGGATCCCTCATGAAAGGCTTAGCCCATCCCCTTGGAGATAAGTGAGCTCTCTGCATTCCTGTAAGATCTGATCATTTAAAAATGTGTGGCACCTCCCTGCTCCATTCTCTCTCTTGCTCTGTTCTCATCATGTGATGTGCCTGCTCCCCCTTTGCCTTCTGCCATGATTGGAAGCCTCCTGAGGCCTCCCCAGAAGCAGATGGCACTATGCTTCCTGTACAGCCCACAGAACCATGAGCCAATTAAACCTCTTTTCTTATACATTACCCAGTCTCAGGCAGTTCTTTATAGCACTGCAACAACGGCCCAATACAGGCTGGAAGGGATTCCCCGGTGCTCCTGGAGGACCCTGCTCCTCTGACAGTGGGTGGATCCCTGCCAGCCTTGAGGCAGGCTGATGACCTTGCCCACAGATAGCTCCTGTCTTCTTCCTTTCTACCACTTTCTCTTCAATTCCATTTTTCCTTTATTGCTTCCTATTTCCATCTTCTTCTCCCTTTCTTCCTTCTCTCCCTGTTCATTTCTTAGATCTCCTACTGGCAACTGGGGGGTCCATGGCCACACTCATGTCTGAAATATTTAGAAGAGGTCAGTGGAGAGAGAGCCCCAGTTCCAGGAATCATGATGGCTTCTAAACACTTGTGGAGCTAATTAGACACTGATGTGTACAGGCTATCCTAGTTTTCCAATTTATCTTCTCACGTATATATTACCACTCTTTTCAACTACATTATAAGCTTCTTGAGGACAAAGACTCAAGAATGAGAATAATAATGATGAGTCTTTACTGATGAGAAGTCTTTGAATGATGGTAATAATTTTGATTCTGGCACCAACTGGCTGCACATCCTTGGACAAGTCACTCTACTTCTCTGGGTCTATTTTCTCATGTGCAAAAGGACGTAAGAAAATTACAGTGCTGCAAAGAGCTCTAGGCCTCCACAGAGGGCTTCGGGACAGGTGCAGGCAAGAGGAAGGCTAAGTAAGGAGGCTTTGACTCCCCATCCCCTCTTGAACCAGAGCAATGCCATAATCCCACATGCTGAGTGTCGAAGGGTCCTAACACAGTTGAAGAGGGTCCAGGGAGCCAATATGACAGAGTGTGGACAGAGAATACACACAAAAAGCAGCAGCAGCTACCTATTACTGACCAGTCCGGAAGAATTTTACTGGCTTTATGTGCCAGGTTCTGCATAAGATTTGAAAAGAGGGATCAGTGTTTTTTTCGTTTTTCTTGGAACTTTGAATACCACTTCCAAAGCGGTAGCTAACTTCCAAAGTCCCTCCAAGATGCTATGGCGAGGGAGACCGCCAGGCCCTGGTTTGTGTGCATTTCTGCCAAAGGCACAGTGAGATTTTAGGACATGGGACGGAATAAAGAGCTCCTCTTCTTCACTTCCTCTCCTTGTTGTTCTGAGGATCACCATGAATACAAAGAGACTTTATAACAAAACACCCTCCATTAATGAGATTATTAATATTTGTGCTTTAGAGGAACACAGACTCCTTGTGAGCAGAAGCCATGCCAGGGTAGATCTCTTGGGACCAGGACAGTCTGGAGAGACTGACTGAAGTGTCTACTCCCATGTGCACAGTAGAGCTGGGGGATGCTCACCCACCTGTGCTGAACACTGTGTGGCTACATCCACTAGGTGACAGACCCAGGGTGTGAGAACTCATACCAAGACAGCTTGTGTGTGCCCACCTAGATTTATGTAAATGTACTTATGGAAGCCAGCAAGAATTCTCCACCAAACAGAATTGATGAGAAGCCCAGTTATGCAATTCCATCTCAGTACAAGGTGCAAAAGACAATCAACACAATAATAACACCTCAAGCAGCACGCTGTATCTCAGGTTGTTTCAGAACTTGAATACTCATCAGCCCGACCTCTACATGCATTTCCTGCCTATTCTCTGTCTGAGAGATGAAGGATGCACAACCTCTTAGCTCTCACTACCTCATTCTTCTCCCATGTATTCATCCAGCACGCCACAAATACTTCCTGAGAGTTGCAGCACTTTGCTCCACTTGCCGCATTGCCCTCTCAGCGCATCGATGAGTTGGAGAATGTAAGAGGCTGGGAGAAAAACCAGGACACCCATCCCAAACTCCTTGGGATATGGAGGTGAGGGGGCTGATTCAAGGACACATGTCTTGCCTATGTGAGGGGCATGAGAGTTTCTCCATGGCTGGTCTGACATTCCTTCTGCTGAAGCACGGCCGTCTCTATCCATGGACTGTCTGAAACCCCTGGGTTACTGTGCCCAACAGGAGCTGCTGGGCAGGTAAAAGCCTGCTTGCCAGGTATGGCTGGAGGGGTGGGCAGCAGGCCTCCCACACTGAAGGCCTCCTCCTCCTGGGATCTCCACCTATGCCTGAGATTCAGCCATGAAGAAGCCTTCCTTCCACTGACAGAAATGGATAAACAAAATGTGGTGCCTACACATTCCCACACATGCTACAGCATGGACGAGCCGTGAAAACACTGTGCTAAGCAAAAGAAGCCAGACACAGTAGGACAAATACCGTATGATCCCACTTACATGAAAGATCTAGAGTAGGCAAATTCACAGAGACACACAGTAGATTACGGGTTACGAGGGGCTGGGGGAAGGAGCAATGGGAATTACTGCTTAACAGGTACAGAGTTCCTGTTTGTGGAGATGAAAAACTTCGGAAATGGTGGTGATGGTTGCACAACATTGTGGGTGTGATTAATGCCACTGAATTTCACACTTAAAAATGGTTAGAATGGTAAATTGTGTTATATATATTTTACCACAATAAAAAAAGAAGCATTCTTTTGGATCTTAAATGTTTGACAGCACAGCCTTTTGTAGTGGGCCAGCGGACAGATGCGCAGGGTGAGCCTAGACTGGGAAGAAGGGCTGGGCAGGGAGGTGGGGCAATGCTGTGATTTCACAATCCTGAGGGCAGGTCCTGCCGGGGGTCTTCTGCAGCAGCCTCTGCTAGAAGGTGCCTGCTGCTCCGAACGGTCTGGGCTTACACTCAGGACATTCTTGTAAAGCAGAAGGACAGGGAAAACCACTAATAGCCTAACAGCAAAGCAGCCTTGAAGAGAACAATGCACCTATTTATTGAGGGCAAGCAGCAATTGAGGCTGGGTGAATTAAAAAGTATGCTAGTTTCATTGCTTTTACAGTAGCTCAATTAAAAAAAAAAAAACCCTTCTCAAACTTATCTCTTTCTCTGTAGTTGCCCAGGATGTTAAGTTGAAATGGCTTAGTTGCCTATCAGTTTCTTGCGAGTATGCTTTCCTCCCTGCCCCAGCACATGGGTGTGGGCCTGACTTGCCTCCCTGCCCCAGCACGTGGGTGTGGGTGCTCAGATCCAGGGTGCTGAAAGCTGCCTCGTTGTCTGACACTAGCCCTGTGCACGCCTCTTGGGCTCTTCACTTCCACTGCCCCAGCCAAGACATGTGCCTGTGCTGACCTCTCACAGGCAGGTCTGGGGATGAGAAGCCAATGCGGTAGATTTGCACACCCCAGTGGCCTCCTTATGGCCCACGTTTTTCCAACTGCAACCTACAGGGCAGGCATGGGGCATTTGATTTGCCTGGTGTCCAGCGTTTGAACAGTACAGAGGGCATGATCAACCTTTGCCACAATGCTGCCTGTGTCACCCTCTTGGAGTTGAGAGGAAGCCCAAATGCCACCCAGGCCAGCCACCTGCCCAGGGCAGAAGCCCCTTCTCCACTGACCTCCTCTATCCCAGGGCTGTCAGGTCCTCATAAGGCTACTTGTTCTGTCATTGGGCAGCTGTGTGTCAGAGCGTGGCCACAGCCCCAAACTCTCCAAGGAGCTCACTGTGCTCATGGTGATTACCTCTTCTTTGGGGGCAATGGAGTGGAGAGGGTGACAGATATTACCAATCAGGGCTGAATTACTCCTGGGGACAATGGGCATTTGCTTAGTGACCTGTGGGCTAGCATGTAATTTCCCAAATGGGGAAAAAGTGCAGCAGTGGCCTTAAAACTCTCTACTAACTGCCCACCTTCTTTCAGGAGTTAGACCAACACCTGGCCCAGGGAACAGGATCCTGTCTTTCTGCCTCACCCCATGGCCTCTCCCCACTCAGGCCCCCATCATGGGTTGTTTGGATATTAAAAGAGCTTCCTAACCAGGCTCATTGACACCTAGGGAGTTTTACTGCTCGAAAGCCTTCAATGGCTCCCTTCTGCCCTTAAATGGGATCTAGCCTCCTTAGCATGGTTCAAGGTCTGTCACAGTCTGACCCTCCCCGTTCCCCAGCCACATTCTGTGCTCCAGCCACACCAAAGGCTCACCACACCCAAACCAGGCAGGCTGTTTCCGGCAGCTTTCTTCTTCATGCCCTTCCCATCCCTGCCACTTTCTCCACTTCCAAGAACTCCTACTCCTCCACGATGCAGCTCAGTGGCCACCCTGCTCTGGACTTCTCAATCCCCATCTGCCTGCCATGTCCACCTCCAACATCACCTCCTTCCGCCATCACCACCACCACCATGACTACCATGACCACCATCACCACCACCACCATCATTACCACCACCATCATCATTATCATCACCATCCCCACCATCACCACAACCACCACCACCACCACCACCATCATTACCACTATCATTACCACCACCACCATCACCATCATTATCATCACCATCCCCACCATCACAACCACCACCACCACCACCATCACCATCGCCGTCATTATCCCACCATCCCCACCACCACCACCACTACCATCCCCACTATCACCATTACCACCATCCCTACTACTACCTCTACTATCACTATCATCACCACTGCCACCACCATTACCACCATCACTACCATCATCACCACCATCATTACCACCACCACCCTCACCACCACTACCATCATACCGCTACCATTACCACCACCACCACCATCATCACCATCATTATCACCACCATCCCAACCATCACCACCACCACCACTCCACTGCCACCACCACTACCATCTCTACTACCTCTACTATCACCATCATCACCACCGCCACCACCATTACCACCACCATCACCACCATCATCACCACCATCATTACCACCACCATTACCACCACCACCATCATCACCATCCCCACCACCACCATCACCACCTCTACCATCTCCACTATCACCATTACCACCATCCCCATTACCACCATCCAAACTACCTCTACCATTACCATCATTGCCACCACCAACACCACCTCCCCCATCATCACCATTACCACCATTTCCACCTCCCCTATCTCCACCATCATCACCTCCACCATAGCTGCCATTAGCAACAGTCGGAGCCTGGACATTTCTGTTCTAATCCTAACAGTAACTCTGCATGATGGGTAAAAACTATCTCCAATATAGAGATGAGCAAACAGATCAGAGGGCTTAGATAATCTTCCACAAAGCCTTACTGCTAGTAGGTGGTAGAGCCAGAATGTTGAGTTTAATGTTTTTTTCCCATTGTTTGTGATTAGAGGGAAAGCTGGACTCCATCAGCTCACCTCCCAGCCACCTCAGAACCCCCTTTACCTGGCACAATTGTCAGAATGGGAAGTGTGTTGGGGCTTTGTTGGGGCTACACTGAATGCCTGATTTTTGAGTCATGTGCTGGCTGCTGCACAGGCCTCCCCACTCTTCCCCTACCACACACTTTCTTCCCACTGCCTGTCAGACCTGGTCACCACCTTATGAGGAGCACCACTGGCTATGAACCCACCACTGGTGTAACCCAGCTAAAGCTGACTTTATTCCTTTTCTCTTCTCCATCCATTAGCTTCAGAAGTGGCCTGAGACCCAACCCTGCCAGTGTGGCATGAAGGGAAATTTTCTCATTGATTCAGAAAGACAGAGAGGCATACCAGCACAAAAGCACTATGATCTCTCGTTGAATGGGAAACATCCATGTCTATATGTGAAGTCTGGAACTGTGGCAGCCATCTGGGGACCATGAGGACAGCTAATTGATGACAAGAGCAACATGCTGAGGGTGGGCAAAGAGAAAAGGTGGGAAAAACTGAGGTCCTGGGGGAAGCAGTTGAACCAACTTCAGTGCCACCTTAATTTGGGGCTTCCTGTATGTGAGATAAAATTTCCTTATTGTGAAAGTCATTCCGAGTTGAGTTTTCTAGTACTTGCTTCTGAAAGCAGCTCTATTGATGGGCTCATCTGATGTCTCTGCAACGGTGCCCAGTGCTTCCACCCCTTATCAGCCATTTGGGCATATTAAAGCTCAACTTAGTCCTGCCTGGGTGGAAAAGGCAGTAGCGTGCAGACACTGGAAGACAAATGCTGCTCTGCCTCCCTGTTAGCTCCCAGCCTGTGTGGGAGATGCTTAGTTCAAATTATGGTCTCAGACTAGATCTACAGCCATCAGCCCAAACCCCCAGCCAAGGGTAGCCCATGTAATTCTGTGCTTAGCCTCTTGTTACAGCACAGAGCTATGGAGCAGAGGATGAGGCTGTGGGAGGGAGGCAGTAACGTTACAGCTCTTAGAGAGGCCGGGGTGAGGAGGCGGAGAAGAGGCCCCTTCAACAGCCTCAGATCTACAGCTGGAGGACACAGGGATGCAGACCCAATATTTCCCCGCCTAGTGGTGGCTTCTTCCTACCTTCAAGGGATGAAGGAATTTCTGAGCAGTGAATTTCTGACAAGGAACTTTCCAGAGTCTCACTTTGAACATGCCACTTCCCTAACTCAAGAACTTATAAGGATTCCCAATTAGTAGTTCATCAGGACCCAGCTTCTCTGCTTAAATCCTTCCTTCCCCACCTCCATATCTTGTCTTCTCCCAACTCTCACTGCTCCGGTGGAGAAGTTGCCTCCCTGACCACCCATCTCCATCACTGCCCCTGCAGCCCCTTGCCTGGGAAGCTCTCACAGCCAGGCCAGCTGGACTTCTCCTCCCCTGGGAGGGTGCTTTGGCTTGCCCAGCCTCTCGGTCTCCTTTTCCTGTGGTTCTGCAGCCTCCTGGCCAGTCTGTCCACTGCTCGTTTGGGATGTTGGTACATGGCACGACGGCCTGCTTTCCAGGCTGTCCCATTCAGCAAGCGTGCAAGACCTCGCTCCTGCTTCAGGAGCAGGAGCACTCTGAGGGCAGATTTTCCTGTGCTATCCACAGTGCATTGTATAGTGCCGGGCACTAGAGGCTCACAGAGTCCTCCAGAGTAGAAGTTGAAGGGCACTGAATGCCATCAAGGTCGATGTCCCAGCCACGGCCTCCCTCCAGTGCCTGCAGCATGTCATGGTTGACAACATGCTTTCACCTCTCAGGCTGCCTGTCTCCCAGCACTCGGGGTGCAACTCCAGGGGTGCTGCAGAGGCCACCCTTCTTCCCGGGCAACCCTTCCCCCTGCCCGGACCATGTGAATTCAAATGAGCAGCACCCACCAGGACACCTTAGTATCCTCAACACGGACGGCCTGTGCCGAGGGCCCACCCTGAGAGCACTGGGACAAAGGACTGCAGTTACAAAGGGCAGGAGATGCTTCCCCTGCCTTTGGGGTGCACAGTCCAGGCAAGTGGGCAGGAAGGACACATGCCATGGACAAATTACAACACAGATTGTGTGTGCAACCTGCCACATGAGCCCTGCTGGTAATCGGCAGTTTAAGGATTTGGAGAAAAGGCGATTGCTGGGGCTGGTGGTCAGGATGTGTGGTGGCAGCGAGGCCTGAAGGTGGCAGGGGAGGAGCTGCACAATGGGGTCCTGGTCAAGGTCGGTGACCTCCACATGAGAAACACAAGATCCTCAGGGGAAACAAGCAGCAGCCCCTGTTTGCTGGAGTGTCTGCACGGTGGGGGAAAGCCTCTGCCCAGGCAGGTGAGGTCTAAACTCCAGCCAGCCTCCAGGATCGCAGGAAGAGTCTACACTCCCTACCCAGGATGTTGTATCTGGGACCTAACATCCACGTTGACTTGGGCTGACGACGGTTCACGATCAAAGGGTGATATGTGCCAAGCTATGTTTTAGGAAATAAATATGAAAAGCAATCTTTAGATGAACTAGACTGAAGTGGGGAGACCTCTGCCGTGGTCCAGGAAGGAGGTAATGACAGTCTGAATCAAAGAGAGGGAGAAGAGGAAGAGAAAAGACAGAGTGAGAAAATGTTACGGCCTGACGGGGACTATCAAACGTGGCCTTCAGACTTCATTCAGAACGGCTGGAAGAATGAAAGGCTCACAGAAAACAGAGTCCAAAGTGTGGGCTGGCCAGTGACCCCAGGGGACTTGGACATGCCATGCAAACTTGCCAGACCGCAGTTTCTTTATCCACAAAAGTGAATTTGGCTGGATAATCCCCACTCCCCTTCGTGCATGCAGCTAGAAGGCATCCCAGTGTAGTGGGACGTCCACGGCGCTGGAAGGAGACAAATCAAGTTTAGAATTTTAGCTCTTCCACAACTATTGCAGCTTGGACAGATGGTTTAACCTTCCTGTGTCTCCATTTCTTTGGTTGTAAAATGGAGAGAATATCTTGTTGCAGAGACTCTTTTAGGACTAAAGGGAAGATGTGAACTGAACACATTAAATAGGAAATACTTAAGAAATGTCCCTTTCCCCAACCCCTAGTGGTTCTAGAATTCCAGGGTGTCTGAGAAGCTCACTTCAGATATGACATGATGAAGAGATGTGATGGCCTCCCCGTGGAGATGTATGTGGGGATTACAGACGGGGGGTCAGGCCTGACAGGTGGGCTTGACAAACAACCTATACAGATAGTTATGTGATATCCACAATCAAAGAACAGTGTGAAGTGAGGGGAACAGAGGGAGCGGGTGCAGGAAGGGAGCGCAGGTGAGACTCCCCAGTGCAGCATCCCCCGGGACCATTGGAGCCCTTGCCATGTCCATGTATGCATAGCGTTTTTCCTCATTTTTTCATTAAATCAACTCACTTTTTTCTTACATAAAAATCTGGAAAGGGAACTTTTTTTAAAAATCACCACTATTATTGCTTGCTATGATAAGGGTAACAGTAAAAATAACTATTTAAAATGTCCATGTACTGCCCCAAATTGTCTCCCCAGCCATGCGAAGGGCCCATTCCACACTTGGAGAAACACTGGGCTCAACGGCTGTCCCTTGAAATGATCAGGCTTGGTCCATGTGGCTCTGGAAAGGAGAAGGAAGTCGGCAGGACTAAGCAGTGGGAACGAGACGGAGGCCGATCTTGTCTCAAGAAAGAACTTCCAGACTTGGAGTTTCCCAAGAAGGAAGGGCTGTCTGTAGGCAATGGAGGGACTGAGCCTCAGAGAGTTAGAGCACATCTCCTCCAAGGTCCTTTTGATGACCAACAGCACTTGATGCCATGAGGTATCCTCACATTCATGAGTGAGAAGAAAGCAAAGAAGTACATGGATAAATGGGTGGGTGAATGGATGAATGAATGAATGCGTGAGTGAATGGGTGGATGAATGGATGGGTGGATAGATGAATGGAGGCAGAGAAGGGCTATTTATCAAAGCAGGCATGGGTCCAGGGCACTGCAGGGCTTCTATTGTCTTAGCCAAACCTCCCTCCTCTCTCCTGCACCTGGGCTTACCCAGGCTAAGACTGCTCCAGGTCTGCGGCCCCACAAGAGGGACTGCCCCTGAGTAGGACCACCTGTGGCCCCAAGCACATCAGCTACACCAGGATGGATGCCTCCTTGGCCTCTGTATGCCTTTCATCTCTGCTGCTCAGCTCTGCTTCCTGTGCTGAGATGGGCACAGGGCAGCATCTATACAGCCTCCTTAAAACCAACAGGCAAGGAAATAAAATACCCACCAGCAGCAGCCTGGACACCCTTACCATATGGTGCAGAGTCATCAGCACACACGTCAAACGCGTGGAACAGGAACCTCATTCCAGCAGCGAGGCTCCTCTGGCATGGGTTGCTGTGGAAGGGGACTGTCGCTGCCTAAGTGGCACAGGGTTAGTCTCTAAAGGAAGACTTCCCCTCATCACAGCCTCAGTGTCTGCTTTGTTTGCCCTCTTCAGTCTCCAATTCCTTCCTGGTGGTTCACCTGGAAGGCAGCAGAAGACTAACAGGCTTTGTGGTGCACAGCAAGCATTCTAGCTGGAAGGGATATGGAAGTTCATCTGGTCCAGGGCTTTAGTTGTTCAGATGAAGACAGTATAGCACAAAGAGGGGGAAGGACCTGCTCAAGGCCACAGAACCAAATACTATCAGTAATGTGGTAATGATGCTTATTTACACACTCCATTTTTTAAAAAGAAGATTGCACTTATGCCTTTTCTGATCCATCATCCAGAACAGATGATTGCACCATTATCTGGACTTGCACCTGTGTCTCCCAGGCCTGGCCTTGCTCCAACTCCCTTAGCCCCGGCCACTAATCCCCAAGGTAGCAAGAGAGTGGGGCAGGTGGGAGGAGAGGGTCAGACTCCCAGAGAAAAAGAAGCTGAACCCCAGAAAATCAAGTCCCTTTCCCCAGGTCAGTCAGAGGTAGGTCTTTGAGGCTGATGATCAGGATGGTCATCTCCCCTCTCCAGGCATTGAAAGCCCACCTGGCATCATGGTGAGCACCAGGGCACCAGCAATGCGAAGAACGTCACCCTCCATCCACTTCCTTTCTTGTAAGTAAGTGACTTTCATTCCCAATAACTGCTCCTGGCCTCTTTGCCGACCACATGCCCCCTAAAAGGGCTAACTCGCCTCTCCTCCAAATCAGGCTCTGCTCTGAAACTGTCTGACACCCATACTGAAGGCAGATCTAATTTAAAAAGTGTTTGCTGCAAGCTTTAAACTGTCATAATTTTGGCTTTTTTTTGTGGGTGTCTCCTTTCCCTTGTAAAAATGGGTCTGTTCTCCTTGCTGATCAGCACAATTATAATGATATAAAACAGAGTACAATAAAAGCTGGGGACCTGCCCTTAAAAGGGAAGTTGTGGGAAAAGTGATTCACGGCCTTATCCTCTGGTGACCTTGGCAGGGTTGGGCTGAGCCTTGAGTTGGTTCTCCCAGATGAATATGAATTTTGTGGTAGGTGAGGGAATGGGAATCTTGGGGTTTGGAACACCAGGGCTCACAGTGCCCAGGAGGTCCCTACATTGAAGACTCTTTACTGCAGAGCAATGCAATGGCAGCTGTACCTCCACCTGCTTGGGGGACTCCTCCATTGCCATAACATCAGGGGAATGAAGTAACTGGGCCTGAATCCCTCTCATACAGGCCAAACCCTTGACCCCTAGTTCTTGCTGCATGCCAGGTCCTGTGTTTAATGTTTTATGTAGATGATCTCACAACAACCCTGGGAGGTGGGTATCATCATTATTCTCATTTTACAGGGTTGGAACCAAGGTCTGCCTGGTACCAGGCTGGCGTCTTAACTATCATGTTCTACCGACCTCTCAGCACAGAGCACATTTGGATTACTGGATTCCATATTGCCTCTTATGTTTTTTCTCCCTCTGGAAACATAGCAAGGGCAAGGAGCAAGCTGTGGCAGTAAGAGCATCATCTTGGAAGCCAGGAATCTTGGGTTCTAATTTTAGTTTCATCATTATCAAGCTGGGTGACCTTGGGTAGGTGACACAGCCTCTGTGAGTCTGATTTTTCTCATCCACATAATGAAGACGTTGGAGTATATGAGTGGATCCCAAACTTCGGTTCTCCTACAACTACCTACAGATATTTTGGGGTACTGGTTAAAAATGCAGCCTCCTGGCCCCCACTCCAGACCTGCTAGGTCAGAAGATCCTGGGGAGGACCTGGGGATCTTGACTTCTAACAAGGTCCCCACTTCTGAAAAGCACCAGGGCCTGGGAACTACTGACCTAAGTGGCCCCATGGTTCCTTTCAGCTACAGGATTCACTGCTTCTCAAACATATCACCCTGCCCATGGCCACCCGTCAATGAAGGGAGCTCCCTCTGCCTGCAGGGCAGGAAGTGCAGAGCGGGTGAGGAGAGACAGAAGCTTTGCCTGAAGCCGCCCACAGAGAAGCCATGTGTGGCTGGGGTACTGGGACATGGAGTCAGCAGTGGGTGTGTTTCCTGGGTGGGAGGCTCAGGAACAGAGGAGAAACAGAGTGAGGCCAGGGTGCTCAATGCCATCAGCCTGTGGGGATTGGGCTCCATGGGCCCAGCTTCATGTTGAGGACTGCAGGGAACACAAAGGAAGGGCCTCCTATACACCTGGGGGAAGGAGACCTCCACATCCAGATCCTACAATGCCAGGAAGGAGTATACCAGTAAGCGGCATCTGAAGAACAGAGACCAGGGTGCTTGGGTTTACAGGGGAAAGGGGAAAGGAAGTGTTTACGGAGCACATACTCTGTGCCAGCATTGGGTCTCATACATGCTCGGACCCCCCCACCACCTCCCAGACTGAGTCAGGGGTGGGCAGGTGGGGAGAGCAAACTCAAGGCAAGTGTGAGGGTGGATGGGTCTACAGTTTTCTGTAAACAGTCCTGGGAACTAGTTAAAAGAATATACTGGACCATGAATCAAGGTATCTGGGTCACTTTGCCATGAACTAATTGCAGATCCTCAGGCAACACATTGAGTGTCTCTGGATTCTAGTTAGAAATAAGAACACCTGTCCTGCCAGTTCATGGAATGAAACATAGCACAGCAGATCTGTGGAAAGTTAAGATCACTGCTTGTTATGGTCCGAATGTTTGTGATTCCCTCCCCCAAATTCCTATGTTGAAATCCTAACCCCCAAGGTATTAGGAGGTGGGGCCTTTGGGAGGTGATTAGGTCATGAGGGCAGAAGGCCTCATGTATGAAATTAGGACTGTTATACCAGAGACCCAGGAGAGCTAGCTCACCCCTTCCACCATGTGAGGACACACCAAAAATACAGCCATCCACGAATGAGCCCTCACCAGACACCAAGTCTGCCAGCACCTTGATCTTGGACTTCCCAACCTCCAGAACCATAAGAAATACATTTCTGTGGTTTATAAGTCCCCAGGAAATACCCCAGTTTACAGTATTTTGTTACAGCAGCCTGAACTGACTAAGGCGCTGCTCAAATCTCTGGTCTTTGTATGCACAGCCTCCTCTCCTACTCCTCACCACAATTGGCCTGAACTCATGAGCTTGTGGAAACTACTCTTCCTCATCACCTAAGATGGGTGGAGCTGGGCACGGCTGGTGTTTTGGCCCATAGAATATCACGAAGTACTTGGGAGTGAGCAGAGGGACTGGTATCTATCAAATAGCTCCAAGCACCCCTTGCAAATTTCTGAACTTAACTTACAAAGCCATCTCCTGGACAAAAAGAAGCATGGTACCATCCACCATGTGCATACTGCCTGCAGGCTACGAAGAGCTTTTGTGTGAGTGGATTTTCTTAACCTGAACCCTGGGAGGGAGGAAAGGGTATTATCATCCCCATGGGAAAGACAAGGAAAGCAAGGTTTACCCCACTGGACTACGGTGGAGACTGGGCTTATACCTAAGTTTTCTGACTCCAACCCCAGTGCTTTTCCCCCACATCAACTTGGTGTGTGCCTGCTGAATAGATGTTAGGTCCCAGAATTCTCTCTGTTAGCCGAGGAGAGCGCAGACTCCTTCCCAGTCAGTTTGTTACAGAATCCAGGCTGGCACTGGGTTGAACAGCATCCTCCCTTCCCCAAATACATGTCTTTTCCAGACCTCAGGATGTGACCTTATTTGGAAATAGGGTCACTGCCAATTTAATTAGTTAAGATGAGGTCATCCTGGAGTTTGTGGGCCCCTAATCCAATATGTTGATGTCCTTATAAGAAGGGAAAACAGACACACACAAAGAGGGAAGCCATGTGACCACCGAGGCAAAGCTGAGTGATTAATGCATCTACAAACCAAGGAATGCCAAGGCTGTTGGCAACACCAAAAGCGAAAAGAAAGGCATGGAACAGATTCTCCCTAGAGAATGGCCCCGCCAACTCCTTGATTTCAGACTTCTGGCCTCCAGGATACAAAAGTATACATTTTTGTTGTCTTAAGCCACTCTGTTCATGGTACTTTGTGACAGCAACCTTAAGTAACTAACACAAGGACATCACCTAAGATGCTCCCAGCTTCTCCTCTTTGCACAGAATCAGCGTGACAAGGCTTGGACACAGGCTAAACATCAGCATCAGCCTCTTGGTTTCCCGCTGCAAAGTCACTGCCCAGGGCAAGCAGAGAGCACCTCTGACTTTAATGAGCTCTCTTTCTTCTCTCATGTCTTTAAGGAAATGTCCAGCCAACCAGGAGGACATCTCATTGGGTTGCAAGTTCAGTGGGACCATGAGTGTCACAGCACAGATAAGTAGGTAGCAGGGAGATACATGCCTGGCCCCACAGTCTGGGGCTCCTACTGTGTTGGCTCCTTTCAGAGTGAGCAAAGCTCCCCGCCTTTGAGATGCCACACACACGGGGCACTCAGGGACTGGGAAGACAAGATCTGTGCCTCAGGAAGGTGGCAGTCTAGGCAGGCAGGATTAATAGCCCCCCAAATAGAACTAAATACCAGGTGAGTGACATGCAAAGCCAACACCACAGCTGGCTGGATCCAGGAGTGAGGGCTTCCTGGAGAAGGCAGTGTAGGAACTTCCCACCAAAGAGAGGGCAGAAGAGAAAGCTGAAAGGCAGGGGAGGACCCAAGGCCAGCAGGAGACAAGCCCATTCAAGCACAGTGCCCATTAGACCTGGTTAAAGCAGGGGTTTGCAGGGTAGGGATGGCACAGAGGGTGGGGATGTGCTGGGGGTCCCTTCAGGGAAGGCTTCAAATGTCAGTGAAAAAAATTGGGGCTTGCTTCTGTAAGTTTTGAACAGACAGTACATAAGTCAATCTTATGAAAGTAGTTTTCAGGTGTAATTAAAACAGGTTTTCCATTTACAAGCAAGTAATAAGAGACAGTCTTTCCTTTGAAAGTGTTTCTCAGTTTGAAAGCTCTAAAGCGACAGGCCGAGTGTTTGATCTGATAAGGAGCCACTAATACAGTATAAACATTCCAAAATCAATGGTATTTTACTTTTTAAAATATGCCTCATGGCCAGGCGCGGTGGCTCACGCCTGTAATCCCAGCACTTTGGGAGGCCGAGATGGGCAGATCACTTGAGGTAAGGAGTTCAAGACCAGCCTGGCCATCATGGTAAAACTCCGTCTCTACTAAAAATACAAAATTAGGTGGGCATGGTGTACATGTGTGTAATTCCAGCTACTTGGGAGGCTGAGGCAGGAGAATCACTTCAACCCGGGAGGCGGAGGTTGCAGTGAGCTGAGATCACACCATTACACTGCAGCCTGGGTGACAAGCGTGAAACTCCATCTCAAAAAATAAAAAAATAAAAATAAAGTAAAATAAAATATGCCTGACAATTGCTAGCCATTCTCGGCCCAGCTGAGATCCCACCTCTGCTGGGAAGGCCTCCTTGATGTGTGGGTCGGTAGCGAGCCATTTCTTCCTTCTGGGAATTCTTGATCTTCATAGGCTATCCAGTGACACCCAGGCTCTAGTCAAGATTTTATTGATCAGTACAAAAGCAAAAGAAATGTTAGGAATGGACACAGGGTTGCCAACTTTTTATTCTGCCAATAATATATTAAAAATAACAATGATCATTTGTTATCCTTTTCATTTCATGAAAGGAAGGAGAAGCAATACTAGAATAAAGAACAGCTGAAAACCCCACTACCATCCCCATCCCCGTCCCTGGCATGTACACAATGCACCCTTCCTGTTTTTCTCCTCTAACTGCAGGCTGATAAACCTTCATTGCAGATTGGCACAGGTCGGCAGACTGGCACTGGGAAGCACAGGTCCTTCCCACTCTCTAGCTCATTACATCCTTTCTATGTCCTTCCTACTAAAGGGTTCTTTGGTCTGGCACCCAATCCAACCAACCCATCTGTGGAAGATGGCAAAAATGGCCACGATATTTTGCAGCTCTTCTTTTCCAGAATCAGAGTCTATTTCCTCATCTCTTCAATCTGAGCTGACTTTGTCACTTGCTTTGACCAAAAGAATATGGTGGAATAATGTGCAACAGCTAAGCGTAGGCCACGTGAAGCCTTGCAGCTTCTCCTCTCACACTGAGAACTTTTCTTCCATCACACAAACAAGCCAAGAAAGCCTGCTAAAGAATGAGAGGCCATGTGGAAAGAGGACATCCCAGCCATCCCAGCCATATCAGCCAATGCCACTATGAACTGCCTATCTCTAGCAAACCACCAGCTGACAGCAGACACTTGAACACCAAACCAAGATCAGTGGAGCCCTGCTAGGTCCAGAAGAACTGCTCAACTGAGCCAATCCAGATTACCAACCTGCAGAAATGTAAGTTAATAAATGGTGGTTGTTTAAAGCCACTAAGTATCCGGGTAGTTTGTTACGCAGCACAAGCTAACTGATATATCACCTTTCTGACCACAATTTTCATGGGCATCCTAAACCCTTCTACTGCCTTTCAAATACAGCTTGGGCTTTCCTATCTGTAAGAATTTACCTGTATTATTTCCCCCAGACCTGAAGTATCTACTGCATGTATCCTCAGATTTTACCCATTCTTACAGACCCAGCACTCACTGTCTATGCCACTCTCTTGGCACTTAATCATGTACTACTCACCTTGTGGCATCTCTCACACACTGTTGTCAATTATTTCTGATAATATTAACTTCAGATGGGTTTATTACCTTCTCAATTAGATTGCCAGTCCTTCACGGCAAAGGCATGTATCATATTTAGACCCCCCAGTTTTTAACCCAGTATTTTGCACAGGGTGGGCGTATGTACTGCTCATTGATTGATAAGATTTGGAAATTCAGTGGGTATATGAAAATAACTGTGCTGGGTTAGTTCTCACCAGTGTTCCCTGCCCCCAGCTCTGAGCTGTATCCTACTCTCTCATTCTCTTCCATGAGGACTGGGCTAATTTCTCAGTCCCACCACAAATGCCTTCGAGAATATGAGGAACATAGTCATCTGTTCCCCCAACAAGAATACCACGAAATCCAAAGAGGCACACCCAAACCAAAGCAAGGAAGACCCCTCCTGCCAAATTATTACTTGACTTCCCAAGTCTCTTGGGGCTTTCTAAAAACCCTCTGGAAACTTTTTCTTCTCATTCTTGTGACCTTTCATTTGTCCCAGGCATTGGGATTGGATAATCCAGGCTTCCCATGCTTTTCCACCTTCAGTAAAGTCTTTAAAGTGAACTACAAAGCTTTGAGGGGAAAATAGATAAAAAGCTTAGCATTGCAAATGAGGAGAGCATGAAGCCCAGGCTGGAAATGAGGTAAGTGCATTTAAAGCCACACCTCTAAAGACTGGCTGCAAAAGGTTATATTGTAAAGGTAAGGACCAGGGTTCCCTGCTCTCATGGTTTAATCCTTTGGTTCAGTTTTCTCAAATGGCCAATAAGAAGTCAGCAAAATGTGACTTGCTGTTGTCCCAATTATTTCTTATAATCTCGATAATTTTATTTTCTAATAGCCAAATAACAAATTCTATGTTATAAATTTAAGAAAACTCTGAGACACCCACCCAAAAAACAGGAAAAGGAAAAGGAGCAGTATTCCACTTCCTTGAAGCTACTGTTGCTGACATTTTCGCTTATATGATTAATCTACTTCCTTTGTGTGTATTTTTCCAAAATTGCGATTATACTGTTCGTATCATTTTATATTCCCTATTTTTGCTTAACAACAGCTTTTAAACATTTAATACACTGTCAAATTTTGTCTACAATATCATTTCCAATAACCTTATAGCATTCTAGTAGCAGGAATAGCTGTACTATAATTTATTTACCCAATTCTCTGCTTTTGGTGTGTTAGGTTTCTATGCTACCTAGCAATGATTCCGGGCCTATCCCTCCCTGGGGAATGTGACAGCCAGGGCCTGCATTAGCCCCAGGGCTGCCTCATGCCATGCTTCAGTCCCTGACCAGACCTCTGGACTCTCCTTCCCTCCCACAGTGCAGACAGTCGCCCAGGTGAGTCCAGTGGGCCCCACGTCCTCCTCCAGGTGCAGAGGAGCTACTGTTGGCCAATAGAGGACCACAGCCCTGTGACACTGCAGACAAGGACCTGGCCTTGTCATGGTGTTAGGACCCTCCCCGCTTCCTGGCCCTTATCAGCGCCCATGCCCATGGCCTCTGCCAGCTCAGTCTCTGGGAGAGAGGTTTCCTCAACTTCCTCCTCACCCTCCCACAGGACACAGTACCTGGAACAGACTTTGCCACTTCACAATGGAATTGGGAGAGGGAGGCAGGCAGAAGGGTCCTGGAGCTGCTGAAGCTCTTGGAGAAGTGAGTTTCTGCACTGTCGATGCTCTGGGCCCCACTCTCAGCATAGCCCAAGCACTCACCCCCTACCCACATGTGAAAGAAAGCCCCGTTCCAGGCCTGAGCTTTCTGCAAAGTGTCCTAATGCTCTCCATCTCCCTGTCCCTGAGACAACATTCAGTTGACATATTTTTAGCCAAGACACCAAACATCCAAGAAAGAAGTGAATCTGTCTCATGCTGGGTGAAAATAACCATGTCCTCACACACGCTCCTCCACATCTGCTGTGGTTTCTCTCACCTTCTCCCCGTTTTCCCTCCCTCCCCCTTGACTTTTCCTCTCCCCGCTTGCTTTTTCTTTCTGCCTCTTCTCTGGACCTCTCAGATCACCCCTCTCCACCTGAGGATGGACAGCTGAGTGCATTCTGAATGCCTTCACTGAGTCACGTAGGAATTTGGCTAATTGAGGTCTTTCCTGCAAATTGCTGAAAATGTGTGCAGACCCACTGAAGATGGAAAAACACAGAGCTGTTAGCCTCAGCTTGTGGCGCTGAAGACGCCATTAATGAGGCACCAGACCTTGTAATACAGAGATTGGGGGAAATTTACTGATCCATATGGAACCACATAATGTGCGCGGGTTACTGAAGAAACACTGACATCGCAGGCAGTCTCTCCCAAGAGGAGGGGAGGGGGAGCGGGAGGGAGCACGAGCTTGTCCATTCAGCCACCTGCCATGAGCCCATAGTACAGCAATGGCATAACAAGCACCCTGCACCTGCCACTGACCTTACCAGATTATCGGAGGTTGAGGAGGGGAGAATTTCAGCTCCCCAGCCAATACTCTCTCAGGGCTAGATGGGGAAAACATCTCTTTAAACATCATCTTTATTTTTCTCATTACCTTGCCTGCTGCTTCTGACCTGTGGATATAAATCCTAAGGTAGACACAGCGCAGTAAATTCTGGGGTCACTGGGGTCACATACAGACTGTGGGGTCAGTTTCTGAGAAGAGTCCCAGTTATGCCATTTACTTGCTGGGTGTAACTACTATACTACTACCACTGCTGTTAATTGCTACCTCCACCACCTCTACCACTCACTCTATCAACTCATTTTATTACATGTGTTCTATATTCCAACCAGTGTCCCAAGCAGCTTGCATGAATCGTTTCATTTAATCCTCGAAACATCATTATGATGTAAGTATATTACCCCATCCTACCGATGAAGGTACTGAGACACTGAGAGATTAACTTGCCCAAACCACACATATTGTGAGAGCTACGGCAAGTGCTTGAACCCAGGCAGTTTGAGCCCAGAGTCCCCTTTACTTGGCCTTTACTTAGCTTTAATTTCTTCACCTATAAAATGAAGATGATGAAAATAAAGCCAGAGTCATGTGACTGTGGTCAGATACATGCAAGTGCTCTGTCAACTATAAAACGCACCATGAGAATACTAGATACTAGCTGACATCCGTCCCAAAGTGCAGCTTCACTCTGGAGCAGAGAGGGCCCTCTCACAAAGTTACCATAGGATCACACGATTCTAGGGTTGGAAGGGAGCTCGGATGTTATCTTGCACAATCCCCCACTAGATGGAGGGAGTGGGAAATCATGCTAGATGACATCGGAGCTCCCTTCCAAGCTAATCCTCGATGGAGGACGAGATTCGAATTATGGAATTGAAAGAAAACTTCAGGTATCTTGGTCCAACATCAGAGAAGGGAAACGATCCCACTCAGATGACAGGAAGCTAGGAGCAGAGCTGGCCTGAAACCCACACCCTGACCTGGCCAGCGTTTGTTCTGTGCCGGCAGGGAGTGCTGCCTCTCCCTCACTTGCCCCACGGGCCGCTGCAGTTAACCCATTGCCAGGGCTTTGCTTGCTGAGCCACAACACGACTGCAGAACCCTCCTCAACACAGCACTCCAGCAGCTGCTGCCAGTCAGCGCTGACACATAAGGTGGTGCCCTTTACCCTCCCTGCAGGGTATGTGGACTGGCCACACGAGTTAGCACTCAAACAAGGGCACTTTAGAGAGCTAAAGAGGGCAACTATTAATAATTTTGTGGGGGACACAGGTGATTATGCTGGGGTTATCTCAGATGACCTGGAAAACATGGCCATCCTATGGTACTTCAATGAGCCTCCCAAGGCATCCAAGATATACCCAGGTCCTTGTAGGGCAGAAATGCTCTGAAACTGACTTGAAGGAAGGCTTGTTGGGATCCTCTTCCTACAGATGGCTGGGGAGGCACCAAGGGGAAAGAAGGGAAACTCTATTGGTAAAAAAGGACGAAGGCTCAGCTTGGTTCATAGACTTGTCTGCAGAAATGATTCTGCCCTCCGTGGGTTATTTTCCCTCCATTCCACTGGCCTGTAACAGCTATCTTCCTAGCCAAAAGCCATGTATGTCTGCTAATGCTCCCGCTCCTTCCTCCTCCTCTCTTTCTCCTCCTATATTGAATAATTGTTTCTATGGTAGTTTAATTAGCCAACTATGAATGTATTCAGGCATCTCATGGAGGAAGAATCACTTTGTTTACTTTTTGGAAACTGAATGGGCCGCATTTTGTTTCTATTTTGGGATATTTATGGGTATTTTCTGTTTCTAGATTGCAAAATTGAAAAATTAAAGTCTAACCAAGTATTAGTAGATTTCCCTGAGTGGAGGAACAGAGAAAGGTATTTTGTTCACTACCAGGTTGCCCATGTCCTAGCATGGCCATGACAAGAGACAGAGAATTGCGATGCTTTTTTTTTTTTGTTGAGACAGAGTCTTGCTCTGTCACCATGCTGGAGTGCAGTGGCATGATCTTGGCTCACTGCAACCTCTGCCTCCCAGGTTCAAGCGATTCCCCTGCCACAGACTCCCAAGTAGCTGGGACTACAGGTGCACACCACCACACCCAGCTAATTTTTTGTATTTTGGTAGAGACAGGGTTTCACCATATTGGACAGGATGGTCTGGATCTCCTAACCTCATGATCTACCCACCTCGGCCTCCCAAAACGCTGGGATTACAGGTGTGAGCCACTGTGTCCGGCCAGAATTGCGATACTCTTACAGACCCAAGAGAAGAGAGGAAAGGAACTTAGCAGGCTCACCTGACAGAACGCTTATGTTGTAGTGAGATAGAATTAAACTGTTGGACTACTCTAGTTGGGCTGAGTTGACCTCTTCCTTCTCCAATCTGGGATGTTCCTCTCAGATAACTCTCTTTCCCATGGTGAATCCCATTTGTCCCTCAAAAAAGAATTGAGGCAGATTTAATTAACAGTATGAAACTTCAAGCGTGCAAAGTTCTAAGCAGGCATTGCCTCATTGACTCCAGTTTGCTTCAGACATTGACTGAGTCTTGCTTTTCCTTTGCCCTTACGTGTTCTATGAAACAAGTTTCAGAAGTTATATGAGAGGTTAATTGGGCAGATTATCCTAGCAAAATAGTTGCAAACCCAGTTAACACAAGAAAATTACAATCATCACATGTTTTATATATTTCTAAGTTCCCTATAATTTTTTTTGCTAAGCTTTAAATATTCTGCACGTTTGGGTTGGAAGTATGAGAAAAACAATCTGAAAACTTTATGTAACAGCAAATGAAACTGTCTTCTTGACACTGATGGAGACTTCAACTTAGTTAGTCACTAATAGTTTACCTTCTTAGCTATTATGGCCATTTTAAAATTTAATTCACAGGATCTGACTAAAATAAGGGTGCATTTCCTACCATTAGAAGAGATAAAGGCACTAAGGTTTCAGAGCACCCCCAAGGACATTCGGGGCTCCAGAACTGCACACAGAGCTTCAAATACAAAACCCCATTCCATCTTCACAGTGATCGTGAGAAATAGGTATGTTCCTCCAGATATGGAAGCCAGGTGAGAGCAATGCAAGGCGCAGAGCCAGGGCTGGAATCCTGCTGTGATTCCTACCCAGGTCCCGGCTCTGCCCAGCACCCCAGGCTGCTGCTGGATGCTCACCATGTTTTATTGGCCCATTCCAAACGTCTCTGAGTTCCTACAGATGTTCCAGAGACCTTGCTTAGAGAGACACTGTGGGCAAATGCAAAATCCCTTTTGTTCTTCACTTGGAGGATGCAATGAAAGGGACTGGGTTAATTTAATAACAGTGTCACTCTCCTTCCACCTTGGCCCAACACACATACCTGCTTCAGGACTGAGATGACCAGTTACAGCATGCAGGGAGAAAAGCCAGTGGGAGGACACAGCTCTGAGACAAGAAGCCTTTCCTTTATCAGGATGGCAGCTCTGTCTAATGAAGGTGGCCCCAGTCAACCACACCATCCCTCCCACAGCCTCAGCATCACAGCGGGGGTGAAAGCCTGGTGGCATCTCCCTGGTCCAATCTCTCATATGAATTAACAGTGGCAGCTGGCTGGAACGCAACTTCCAAGGATGGAGGGAAAGAGGAGGGAGGTTCAGTTAGTGGGAGTGGCTCCATGTCCCTGTTGGCTCTGTAGCTCTTTATTATCTGGTATTCTCTCCCTGTTGAATGCTCCCTCCCCCTACACACACACACACACACACACACACACACACACACACACACACACCATTTTGCCTAAGTCTGATTACCCTGTCTGGCTGCGTTGTCCTGACATCCAGAGGGGTGAGGCCATGGCCAAAGTGACCCCATTACGAAAAGCTTGGCAGGGCCAGAGCAAGGCTGAAAGTGCAATGTGGGCCAAATTGGAGACTGGTGGCGGGTACAGAGATGGTGTGGAAGTGACCCTAGCACAGGGCAGGCTGGGCCCCGGCACCCATGATGACACAGGTATGAAGCCCCCATCCAGCCTCAGCACTGGCTGCCCTCTCTCCCGTGTGGTTGAGGTTGGATTGCAGAGTCAAAATCTCTTAGGGGGAGAGGCCACATACACCCTTGAGAATTCTCTTCTCTTCTTTATTGCTGCAACCACTATTCCTCAAGGGCCTACTGTGTGTGAAGGAAGGGTTTGTGCCCCTGTCTAGAGGGACTATTCTTTGAACCCCCAAATCAGGACACACAGATGGACAAGTCTCAATTTATTTGGAACATTCTGGACTGCGGGGCCCCTGCTTATGCCCTAACGAGTCTAATTTGATGTGACACATGATTCATGGTAGATCTGGGATGACAGAAAGAAAGGGAACTGGCATGGTGGTGCTATAGTTCAGATATCTGTCCCTCAAATCTCATGTTGAAATGTCATCCCCAACACTGGAGGACTGGAGGTGGGCCTGGTGGGGGTGTTCAGGCCGTGGCGGTGGATCCCTCATGTCTTGGTGCTGTCCTTGGGATAGGGAGTTCTCATGAGATCTGGTTGTTTAAAAGTGTGTGACACCTCCTCCCTCCCTCTCTCTTGCTCCCAATCTTGCCATGTGACATTTCCTGCTCCCCCTTCACCTTCTGCCATGATTGGAAGCTTCCTGAGGCCTCATCAGAAGCTGACGCTGGTGCTGAGTTTCCTTTACAACCTGCAGAACTGTGAGCCAACGAAACCTCTTTTCTTATAAATTACCCAGCCTCAGGTATTTCTCTACAGCAACGCAACAATGGCCTAATACAGGCAGAGAGGCCTAGGGTTGCAGGAAGGCGTTATGCCCCGGAGGGCCTCAGTTTTCTAATCTGTAAAATGAACACCCCATCCTTTTGCTCCCTCCTAGTGCTTATTTTATAATGTAAAATCACATATAGTGCTGCATGTACACATTTGTTTGTATGTTTCCATAGGGGTCTGTAACTTCCAACAGACCATAAGGGGCTCTGTGACTCCAGGAGGTAAAGAACCCCTCAGCTCCCAATCCCCTCTACAAGCAGTGGAGCTGGGGGTCAGCATGCTCCCACTGGGGGTCAGCATGGGCTGCATCTGAGGCTAAACCTGGCTCGTGTCAGGTTGTAGGACCCCACCTCCCTAGAGGCTCCACTGGCCAGTTGTCCAGGGGTGTCAGCTCCCTGCAGGCAAAGGTGAGTCCCACTGATCAGGATTGCCCAAGTGCTCTTTGAAACTCATTTTACTTGCTGGAGGAGGGATCCTGGGCCCTTCCCGGGATGATGCAGTCCTTGTGGTGCATAACTGGAACATAACACAAGAGCCTTTTCCTCCTCTTCCTGCCCTCCTCCTCCTCTCTCTCCTCACTCAAACACTCATCTCCTCCACAGGGCTCTGGCCTAACTGAGCAACAGTCTGCTGTGGGCAGGGCTTGTTTTACAGGCTCTTCCCCTGCCCTCGTCAGGCCCGCAACTCTGCCAGGTTCTCTCTCTCTACTAAAACCTACTCTCAGGACAGATTCGATGTTAGTCATTCACACCTTACTGCACAACCCAATGGCAGTGGTTGCTCTCCTTGGAGCGTCTGAACTTGCACCTGTTGTATTTATAGCCATCTGAAATGTGGAAGACCCCATCCAAAGGCAAAAGAGGTGGGAGGTGGGGAGCACTGTGGGGCAGCAGAGGCTCCAAAATCAAAGGCCACCCGCAGCCCAGGAGAAGCCAGCCTGGGAGATGCCTGCCGTAATGCTAGGGTTCTGCCTATCTGTCTATGCAGCTGAGCGAGCTGAGGCAGAAGGTTAGACAGGGACCCAAAAGCAGAGAGGGAGCGGCTCCCTCATCCTGTGGGAAAGAATCACTTAAGTAAGGTCAACTTCCTCTGCTTGATGTAAGCCCAGTAACAGCAGGAACTGCACCTGGTTTTGGTCTCCACTGAAGTCCCTGCTGAGCCCAGCACCTGTACCTGGGAGGCCCCGCACAGGTATTTGCTGAATATGCAGCTAGAAGAATGTCTGCTCTGGGAGGCCCCCCTTGCCATTCCTGTGTCAATCTTTATTGCTACAGGCGGGAGGGGTAGCCACCTGCAGGGGGGAATTGGAGCACAGTGAAAAGTCTCCTGCCCAAAATCTCTCTCTGGTTTCCAAAACTGTCAGCATTCACATCACTCACTTCTCAAGGGCCTTTTCAAGGAGATGAGATTTTTAACTGAATGAGAACGTTCTGCTACCTGGGAGGGATGATACATTAGCACAGATTAATGTTTCTGATTAACAGCATCATTACCTCTCCCTTGTCATCCGCCTGGACCACCTTGCAGCCAGTCACATGCCACCAAACAGACTGCAGCACACGCACAGGGCCCCTTGATCCGACAGGCCAGAAAGAGGTCCTTGGCGCGTACCTCCTGGGAATTTTTAACAAACTGCCTGGGCCCTATCCCCAGAGACAAGGTAAACAGCGGCCAGGGAAGGGCCCCAGGCATTAGCGTTTTTAAAAGCACCCACAAGCACTGTCAGCCAGAGTTGAGATCCACTGAACCTGTTGTGGGTGTCTGTAGCCACTACCGTGCAGGCCCATGAGGTGAAGGTGAATGACTGCAAGTGGGTCACAACTGCTGGAAGCTGATCATGACAGGACATCACCGGGCGGGAGCCACAGATACAACCCGCATCGCAGAGTATGGGCTAGCTACAAGGAGTCTCCCCACGCATGGAAACGGCCACTTTTAGGAGAAGGCCTTCTACATCAGCATGACATGAGCTAGGTCTGATTTCACCATTGGACCAAAGCGACATCCTTGCCAGAGGACTGGCTGCTCCACATTGTATAGAAGTGACTGCAACAGCACACTTGATCCACTGCAAGCATGTTTAAGAGAGGTGTGTACGGAACAAGACTTTCCACAACAGGGAGAGGCAGTCACTAACATCTAAAGGACTGTCTGTGATGAAAAGCCAAGTAGCATGAGGAATGTGAACACTCCGGATGTGGAGCTAGAAGAGCTGGGTTCGAATCCGGCCTCTGCTTCTTGCTAGTTGTGTGAACTCTGGCCAGTCCCTTAGCCTCTCTGATTCTTAGAGTCCTCGTTTGTAAAGGGTCCTTTTCAGAGGGTTGTGATGAAAACGAAGTGAAATTGTGTCTGAGATAATGACTTCCACAGTCAGTGTCAAGTAAAAATTAACTCCTCTTCTCCCACTTCTGATGGAGACGTTCCCTGGCATGGTGGGTGGAGTCCCAATTGTCACCCACAGGACTTCTGCCTTGTACATCTTACTGCAGGCTCAGAGCGTGGTGGTTGAGCCCAGAGTCTGGAGACAGACTGGTTCTGGAGCCAGGTGCTGCCACTTACTAGTGGTTTGACCTGGGACAAATTCCTTAAGCACTGTGCCTTAGTTTCCCCTCTATAAAATGGAGACGGTAGCAGCTACCCTATTGGGTTAAAACTTATAAATATTACAATCGTCCCCCACTCCTTCCTTCCTTCTCTTTTTTCTTCCTCCCTTCCCCTCTCTTTTCCTCCCTCCTTCCTTCCCTCCTTCCTTTTCTTCCACCACTCCTTCCATTCTTTCATTCCTTTTCCTTTCCGATAGAGCATCTCCAATGTGCCTGATACTTTCCAGGCCCACGAAATAGAGTGGGGAACAAGAGAAGAAAGAGAAAGCGAGCCATAAAGGAAGGGTGCTGTCACGGAGGTGCACGCAGGTGGGAAGGACGGTAAATGAGTGAACAAATAAGACCTTTCTAAAATAGCGATGAGCTGTCAAAGGAAAACAACCAGGGCTGAGAGAGGCCTCTCTGAGAAGGAGGCACTGGAGCTGGGACCCGCAGGACAAGAAGGGACCAGCTTGAGGATACACGTGAAGAGGTCCCGCCCCCACACCCTCACCTCAGCAAAGCCTGAAACCTGGGCTCCTCTGAGAGGACAGAAAGGGAAGGGGAGAGGAAGGAGCAGGAAGAGAAGCCTGCAGTCAGCACTGAGAGTCACCCAGCGCATAAGAGAAGGGTGGCCGGGAAATGCGGGGAAGGGGTGCCTGATAAGAGCTGGCCAGGGAAAGGGCAGGTTGACCACACTTGGAGGAGAGAAAGGTAGGCAAAGAGAGAAGCAAAGACAGAGAGGGGCTGGGGGACGAGGCCACCATGGCGGGGACTCCTGCATTAGCTGCTCAATGAGAGCCGCCAAGCTCAGCTCTGGTCACATCAAGCAGGAAGGCCCCGAACACACAGGGCTGTAACTGCCACTGACGGTCACCACTGTCCGACCTCTGCCTCCCCAGGGCCTCTGCTTGACCAACTCAGAGGAGAGCGGCAGCCACAGAGTGTGTCACTGTTTTCATTTCTTCTTCTTGGGACGGTGGTGTTATTCCTGCTGCCAGTACTGTTTTTTATTTTCATTTTCTGTGGCCTTGGAGAAAATACATAAAGTATTTCCACTTGGAAGAAAAGCTGAATATTTCCTTTTCATGATCACAGCTCAGGTCACCAGCTTGCTGCCATGGGGCACTACAGGGGCGCTGCGCGGCCTCCACGGGAGGCTTGGAAGTCAGTGTACCGGCCAGGCTCAAGTTTGGAAACGTAGGTAGAAAAGCGTGGATGTGGCTCATAGGACAACAGGCGAATGGTTGAGCCTACTCACAGTGGAAGAAACAAGGTGAGAGATAAAAAAGACTAGCAAAAATTACTAGAGAGGAACATTTAAAAATACAAAGGAGAATAAAAAGGCAAATAGGAAGAGAAAACATACAAGAGCAAGACAGAAAAGTGGATCCTCTGCGTGAGCCCCCTCGCCACCCTGACAGAACCTGGGTTCAGGTCCCACACTCGCATGCCACAGAGGTATCTGCCCAGCAGAAGAGGGTGTGCGTGCCTATGGAACAGGAGCCCATGGCACACACAGACCGTGTCGGGTGCCTTGGGGAAGAGAGCCCGGTGGGCATGACTCATACCTGACTCCAGGAGGCGGTAAGCCCTGTTTTGGGTCCCCTGGGAAAAGAACTGGCCTTTGGGCCAGTTCTTGGGAGAAAGAAAGCCCGTGATCCCAGCACCCCTGTCCAACTGAAGCCAGGGTCTCCCCGGCAGACACCTGACTGCCCTCTGGCTAGAAGTGACATCTCCAGCTCAGGGCTGCCCACATTCAGTAAGGGGTACAAAAAACTTGGGAAACACTGGGTTAAGCAAAGTCCAAAGGTTTCTTTGCTACAGGACTTCTCAGAGCCTTTAATGAGCTCGTATGCCCTGTGACACTCAATCAGAGGTAGAGGCTGCAGTCAGCTGACACCCGGAACACAGAACCCTTTCATTTTTTAAAAATCTCAGAATAGCTGTTGACATCTCAAAGGACGCTGCCCTTCCTTTGACACTGGTAGGTGGGAAGCCTGACGCAGGCATAAAGACACCAGCTGAACTTAGTTCCTATCCAGGCCTCCCAGGTCCTTCCCTTCCCTTCTGTTCCCACTAAGCACAGGCAATCAAAATCCGGCCATCCACGGGAAGCTGGTGTCTGCCTCATGGCTTATGTACGACTTCACCTTTGATGATCTCAGTAAAATTCCCATTCCCAAATTCTGAGCCACAAAAGGAATGGGAAGTTTGTGTTGCTTAAGTGCTAGTCCTTTTAAAAGAAATATTGAAAATGATGGGCTCTAGTGGAGTGAGGAGAATACAGAGACAGGCAGCTATGTCCTGAGTGAGTGCCATGTGCAGACAGTAAATCAAGTGACACTTGGAACACGGGTGACTAGTGTCATCCCCATCTTACAGATAAGGCAACTAAAACTCAGAGATTACGCCACTTATCCCGGGTCCCACGGCCAGCAAATAACGGAGACGGGATAGGACTTGGGCCAGTCTTACTCTGAATCCCACTCTCTCTGCACTGCCTAATGTTGCATCCCTGCTATGCAAGGCACTGATTTGAGTTTTGGGGGCAGCCTTGGGTGGGGGGTTATTTAAAAACTCATCAGATGGTCTCAGCTTTTAAGGAGCTTATAGTCTAGCAGGAGAGGAAAACTCCTGTTCCCTAACAAAGAAGTGCCTGGGGAAGAGGAAGGGAAGCTCACCTCTAGCTCAGGAACGGGAGGCATTTGAGCTGGGCCTTAAAGGACAGAAGAGTTCCAATGGCCTAAATGGCAGTGGAGGGCCTTCTCCGTGGAAGGACCATGGTGAGCAAAGATGCAGGTGGGAAAGGTCAGGTTGGCTTTGGGGACCCGTGTGTCTCACATGAGGTTATGGAGGGACGGCGGGACTTGAGTGAGATGGTAGGACGGCGGCCAGACCCAGCCAGAGGGGCTGTGAAACCTCAAACACAGCAGTTTTGCAGCAGGATGGTAGGAGGTTTCGGGATAGCGGGCTTTGGAACAGCATGTCGCTGCATTTTATCAGAGCTCTGTTGACACATGTCTGGTCCAATAAATTAACATTTCCATCTCAGCTGACTTCATTTGGCAGGAGCAATAAATTCACATGGCAATTCAAACTGAGGAGGGGAAGAGTGTTGGGGGAGGGGGCCTATGGGGATAGGATAGATGGTAGAGTCATTCACGCTTTATCAAATTGCTTTCATTTGTTCATGCAGTCATTCAAAAAGCATTGGGTAGGCTGGGTGTGGTGGCTCACGCCTGTAATCCCACCATTTTGGGAGGCTGAGGCGGGTGGATCACCTGAGGTCAGGAGTTCAAGACCAGCCTGGTCAACATGGTGAAACACGTCTTTAGTAAAAATACAAAAATTAGCTGGGCGTGGTGGTACACACCTGTAGTCCCAGGTACGTGGGAAGTTTAGGCAGGAGAATCACTTGAACCCAGGAGGCGGAGGTTGCAGTGAGCCGAGATCACGCCACTGCACTCCAGCCTGGGCGACAGAGCGAGACTCCTTCTCAAGAAAACAAAAAAGCATTGGGTCGGCCCAAGAACCAGCTTATTTTATGAGAGTATCTTTCTAGCAGCCAATTCACTTATATCATAAATTTTACTTACATTTTGAATTGTTAGGCTTGGACAGAGTTGCATGCTTTTCAGAGTCTTTTCTCAGTGTGCCCTCATGTCATTTATTCCACAATTCTATCCCGTAGAATAGGTTCTCTGCTACGTACTCAACATGAGACAAACCTACATTCAGACACGTTTATTCCTCCAGCATAGCCCCTTCCTCCTGATTTCAATAGTTTGAAAACTCAGCAAATCCATTGTATAGGCATCTCTTAAATATCTATTTATTTACATATTGATCAATATATTTATTCTCTGGTTCAAAAAAAAGTGAGATGATTTACTGAGCACTTACTATGAAGCGGAGGTGACTGAATTAAATTGAATTAATGACAGAGATAGGGCAAACTTACTCACTCGCAGCTCAATGTGCTTTCTCCCGAGCCCTAAAGCAAAGCATACAGTGTGAGCCTCTGGCCGCGGGGGCGCCTGTCTCACTGCTGGGCTCCTGGAGCTTATGCATCTCTTATCTCCTGGAGACCATGGTTTAAGCAGCCAGGTCTGCTGGGCACCGCCCCTTATCCCCATGATCTCAAAAGATCCAGGGAGGGCCTGAAGAGCACTTAATGGAGTACAAAGCCACAAACGTCACTGCCTGACCCGTTTCTCTAAGAAGCCAGGTCTGAGGTTATCGAGGCACATAGAGAAGGCCTCTCCGGTGTGTGCTGTGGAAGGACGGCCTTGCCAGCAGGGATTGTGGGGGGCCTTTGTGGTATCCTGGGCGTCCTGCAGTGGGGCTGGGGCTGTGGTGAGGGAAGGAAGGGACCCCTGCCTGGGGAGCTGCTTTTCCTGAGGGACCTCCACAGCCACAGGGGTAACGAGCTAAGGGCAGTGGAGTGGCAGGTGGGCATGGGGGGGGCTTGGGCGTGGGGAGCCGGGGTCTTGGGCGTGGGGAGCCAGGGCCTAGCTCGAGCAAGAAGACAGCTCTGGGGCCCAGAAAGCCTCTTCCTGGCTCCACAGGACAGCTCAGAGGGACAGCCAGGAGGGAGAGGCTATCTAAGTCAAACGCCTTCCCCTTTCATGGCCCCTGTGCCTCCGACTTCTCTCCCCAAATGAAAGGAAGCAGACATCTGCAATTCCTTTGGGGCAGAGCTTCAGAAGGATGGTGCAGCTTTCTGCCTCCAGCCCAGCAATCCTGAGGATGGGGGAGGAGCCTCAGGGTGGACAGACAGCAGCGCTGGGCTAATCCCCTGCACACACCTGAGGATCTGAAATCTTCTTCTTATTGGATTCCCTTCAGCAAGCCCTGGAAACCTCTGGGCTCCCTGGTGTAAAAGGTGAAAGGGTGGCCAGGCTACCTCATGGCTGCTTTCTGAACGAGGGGCTCTTGGTTGCCTCCGGTGACTCCGGCAAGGCCAGGGCCCGGGGACTAGGAACAGAGGCAAGGGCTCTGTTCCTCCTGGTTCTTAGCTGCTCTGAACACACAGCCAGCAGTGCCATTTTAGCCCACAGAAGGAGCAGGGCTTCTGTAGTTGTTGTTAGTGGTTTTCACTCAGCGAAAAATAGAACCGTAACATTCCAGTGTACCCCCCACCTCCAGCCCCTCACTCCCTAATTCTAACAGGTCTTTCACCTGCCTTGTCCCTAAAGGTCCTAGGGCTCTGACTCTGCCCGTGACTGAGTACTTCCAGTCACCCTGCTTTTCCTGTCTATATAAGGCCTGCCTTCATTGCAGCTCTCCACCGCAGGGCTGCTGTGGGCTGAGGCTGCTGCTCTGTCCTTCTTCCCCGCTCGAGTGGTGAGGCTCCTGATACCCCACAGGGCTCAGGAGGTGGGGAGGAGGCAGGCTTTGCTGGGGACAGTTGGAAATACCCAACACATACACGGGCGGAGCAGTTGGGGACATCATGATGGTGAGATTTGCGCTGATCTAGGCCCTTCCTAAGAGGCAGAACTGGCCTCTCTGGAGAGTGATGGAGCCTGGTAGTCTTACAGGTACTGGGCCTCTCATGCTGCAAGGGGAGTAGGGAGAGAAAGATGAGAGAAAAATCCATGTCACAATGGGAGGCAGCCAGGAGAAGGGAAGGATAGGGCAGCCAGGAGAAGGGAAGGATAGGAAGGCCATCCTCACAGCCAGGGTCAGCTCCTGAAACACACACACGCACATGCACACGCACACACACACATATACACACACAGGGGAGCCATCCTGACAACTAGAGTCAGCTCCTGGAATACACACACGCATGCACACACACACATGCGTGCACGCACACACACACACACAGGCGAGCCATCCTCACAGCTAGAGTCAGCTCCTGGAACACACACACGCATGCACACACACACACACACAGGCGAGCCATCCTCACAGCTAGAGTCAGCTCCTGGAACACACACACGCATGCACACGCACATGCACAGGGTCCAGATGCTTTTTACTCCAAGCATATTTTTTCCTCATTTACTTTAAATATTTGGTTTTGGCATCCTTTGCACAAAGTAATCCATGGAAATCATGGTCCTTTGAAAACGAAAACTATATCATGCACCAATTCCTTGCTGGGGTCCACTCATGACAAACTTCCACAACCAGAGCCACAGTGATTCCAGAGAGAAGGGAGGTGGTGGGACACGAAGGGCCTTGTGCCCTTTTCTGCTGTGAATGGGAGGCCAGGGTTGTGTTTCCAAAAATGGGTGGTGGGGCTGCTAAAACGGTGCCCGGCGACGAGCTCGTTGAGGTCGATTCTGCGGTCGCCATAGGCATCACGACTGGCCAAGCCTCAGTGCTGCGGGGAAGGACCCTGTCCCTCTGGCAGATTGGAGTGGGAACAGAATGCATGAGCCCACCATCCAAGGCTGACAGCTAAAAGCAACCCACAGTCTGAGAGGACGAAGCTGCCAGCTTGCTGAGGCCCGCGGCTGGCAGGTGAGGATGATTCATTCCCACCCCGAGCGAAAATTCTCCTCTGTTTGCGTTCCTGTCTCTCCGAGCTGTCCTGCTCATCCACCTCTCCCTTCCACTAGTTCTCCCTTGTGCTCTCCCTTCCTCTCCTGCCCCATTTTCCTCCTAGCCCTACTTCCCTCTCCTCCCTGACCTGAGAGGGACTGTGTACATCACACCTGCGTTGCCTCCACCTCCCCTGCTGGGCAGCGGGCCCTGCGTTGGCTCCTCTTTCTTGCATTTGGCACAAGTGCCATGGGAGGCACCAAGGGAGCACAGGTACTTGCCTTGCTAGGGTGAACACTGCAGCTTCAGGGAGGACTATAAGGGGTTTGGGGGGGACTGCGAGGAAGTGGCAGACAGAAAGAGGACCCGCAATCAAGGCACCTAACTTCAAGGGGAACAACAGACAAACATCATTTCTAATTTGGTTTTTGCTTCAAGCACAATTGCCAACAAAAATTAAGAAATTATGGTGAGAAACCTAAAATAGGAGTCTCGTTGAAGATTCTACCTGTAGTGACCGTCCACTGCTGGTTAATATATCCATCAGCAAAAACTCATCAAGGAGGGCACACCTACGGTGATACCTCCATTCTCAACCTCCTGGTCTGACGGTGCTCTTGACTTTATCAGAGCTGACTAGCCTGAACCTGAAGATACTTCCCAGAGGATGGGTCCCTAGGGATGATCTAGTTCTACACCTGTCACTTTAGTGGTGAGGGGTCTGAGGCTAAACATCTAGGGGAAGGAGACGATCAGCTGATTAGTGGCAAAACTAGGTCGGAACCCAAACATCCCAATTCAAAGCCCATTGCTTTTACCAGGGTGCTACATCAGGGTGCTTCATCCAAGAAGTGTTTTAACAGTCAGCAGTTATCATGAGGACAAAAGGACAAGTCCAATGTAAGTGTGTATGATCACATGTGCTAACAAGAGTGTAAAAGGAACAGAGCCACGAGCTGAAGACACTAACAGGACAAGAAGACAAGGATCAGCATAAGTAGGATAAACTAATGTGATTATGAGTGGCACTAGTCAACACACCTGGGATTAGTATTATTGCAACATTGGGCAAAAGAGATATTGAGGAAGGGGATGTCACGGAGGATGGCAATAGGCTTCTTACTTGATGTTATGACTGGTGCCCTGGAAATGTCTAGAAATATCAATGCAAGGTTTCAGAAGTAGGAGTCCTTTTCCATGAAAATGAAATATATTTTTCAGCTATAAGTTTTATATACTAAATTGAAATGAATAAGACTTCACTAGTGAGCAAAAAGAAATGAAATGTGGACAAAACTCTTCACATAAAGTGGCCTGGAGACTTCTGCTTCCAGAAAGATGGAGTAGACACATCTTTCCCTACTAAGTGCAACCAAAATCCCTGTACGTTATATGTAAAAGAAACATAAAAAGACTCTAAAAGAGGAGAGAAGCAGTAGACCAGAAGGGAACCCCAGGACCTGAGGAATAACATAGCAGAGTTCTCTGGATTCCTGGGGAACCCAGAAACATCAAAAGGTACAGACCAAAAAAAAAAAAAAGCCCCAATTAGAGCCTCCTCTCGTTAGCCAAAAGCCCAGGAAAGGGGAAGTCTAGCAAGACCCAGACTTTGTAAAACTGTGGTAAAATATACATAACATAAAATTTACTGCGTTAGCCATTTTTAAGTGTAGCATTCAGTGGCATTAAGCACATTTACATTGTTGTGCAATTATCACCACCCATCTCCTGAGCTTTTTCATCCTCCCAAACTGAAACTCTGTATTTAATAAATAATAAATCCCCATGATCCCTTCCCTCCAATCCCTGGAAACTACAATTCTACTCTTTGTCTCTGTGAATTTGCCTAGTCTGGGTACCTCACGTAAGTGGAACCATGTAATATTTGTTCTTTTGTGTCTGGCTTATTTTACTTAGCATAATGTTTTCAAGGTTCACCCATGTTGTAGCGTGTGTTGGAAATTCCTGGTTCCCCACCTGTCTTGATGCCACCCCGGCAAAAGAGTTGGGGTGCCTTGTTACAGCCTGATGAGGATGGACGTTGAGGTTCCCCACTTGGCCTTTGCTGGGGGAAGAGTGGGTGAAGCCGCAGTGTTTCTTGTGGTGTTTGGCTGGAGGAGAATAGTTATTGTCTAACATTTTCTGTCTTAATATAAAAATAAGCAAAGGATTTGAATAGACATTTCTCTAAAGATCTACAAATGGCCAATATGCACATGAAAAGATGCTCGACATCACTAGTCATTAGGGAAATGCAAATCAATACCACTGCACACTTATCAGGACGGCTATTATCAAAAGGACATTCCTTCCCACTGGGTCATGATGAGGCTCCCCAGTACCCACATGGTGTCAGTGGAGACGATGTCCACCGCACACTTATCAGGACGGCTATTATCAAAAGGACGTTCCTTCCCACTGGGTCATGATGAGGCTCCCCAGTACCCACATGGTGTCGGTGGAGACGATGTCCACTGCACACTTATCAGGACGGCTATTATCAAAAGGACGTTCCTTCCCACTGGGTCATGATGAGGCTCCCCAGTACCCACATGGTGTCGGTGGAGACGATGTCCACTGCACACTTATCAGGACGGCTATTATCAAAAGGACGTTCCTTCCCACTGGGTCATGATGAAGCTCCCCAGTACCCACATGGTGTCGGTGGAGACGATGTCCACTGCACACTTATCAGGACGGCTATTATCAAAAGGACGTTCCTTCCCACTGGGTCATGATGAGGCTCCCCAGTACCCACATGGTGTCGGTGGAGACGATGTGAGAAAACTGAACTTCCACCCCAACTAGGCAGTAATGAGGTGTGCCCCCCTTTCCCTGCCGAAGTGGTGTCAGAGGAGGTCTAAGGGAGCGCCAGGACATTCACCATGTGGTAATGAGGCCTCTCCCTCGCTGCGGTGTCGGTGAGGCAGTAACGAGGCTCCCCTCTGCCTCCAGCCAGGGTGGTATCAGCAGAGGTCTGGCAGTGAGCCTGAGCCACGCCAGCAGTAATGAGGAGGCCCTGCCTCACTGAGTGCTGATGGGGGCCGAGTGGGAACCTGACTTCCACCCTTACTGGAATAGCAAGATGGTGGCATCCCTCCTCCCTGCTGGGTCAGTGGCAAAGGAAAGCAGCTGTAAGGGAAGGCTTCAGATAACATCCGGAGCTGCATAATACCCAGAACATCCAGGTTCCAATTGGAAATCATTCCTCATACCAAGAACAGGAAAGCACCAACTTGAATGAGAAAAGGCACTTGGATGACACTAGCACTGAGATAACCCAGATGTTAGAATTATCTGACAAAAATGTTTAGGTGGCTACTGTAAAATGCTGCAACAAGCAATTACAAGCAGGCTTGAAACCGTGGAAATGCAGAAAGTCTCAGCAAAGAAACAGAGCCTCAGTAAAAAAATGGAAGACATAAAGAAGGCTAAATGAACATTTTAAAAGTAAAAAGAACAATAAATGAAATTTCAAAACTCAATGAATGGGCTCAATAGTAGATTATAGACAACGAAGGAAGGAATCAATGAACTTGAAGGTAGAATAATAGAAATTACCTAATATAAGGAATGGAGAGAAAATAATCTTTAAAAAGTGAGCAGAGTTGGGTGGCCTGTGGGATTATAACAAATGCTCTAACATCCATGTCATCAGAGTTCCAGAAGGAGAGAAAGAGGAGGATGGGGCTGAAAAAGTACTCAAAGAAATAATGGCTGAAAATTTCTTAGCAAAAGACATAAACCTACAGATTCAAGAAGCTCAGTGAAGCCAAAATAGGATAAGCCCAAAGAAATCCACACCAAGATATATCACAGTCAAACCCTTGAAAACCAAAGTCAAAGAAAATATCTTGAGAGTAGTGCAAGGGAAATGTCACCTTGCCCAGGGGGGAAAATAATTCAAATGACAGCATATTTCTCATCAGAAACCAGGAGTATTAGAAAGAGGTAGCATACCATTTTGCAAGTGCCTAATGAAGGAAAGTGTCAACCAAATTATATATCCAGTGCAAATATTCTTCACAAATGAAGGGGAAATAAAGGTATTTTCACAGATGAAAGAAAACTAATAGACTTGGTCACCAACAGACCTACACTAAAAGAATGGCAAAAGGAAGTTCTCTAAGCAGAAAGGAAATGATTTTTTTAAGGAATCTTGGGTTATCAGGAAGTAAGGAAGAACAGAAAGAGCAAGAATATGGGCAAATGAATACACTTTCTGTCTCCTCTAGAGTTTTCTAAATTTTGACAGTTGAAGCAAAAATCGTAACACATGCATTTCTCATGTGTGTGGAGGAAATACCTAAGGCAATTCTATCATAAATGGGTGAGGATAAAAGTGAGACAGACACACTTCATTTGGGCTGGAAAAAAGTAGTACCAGTAGACTGATAAATTATGTATATATAATGTAATACTTAGAGCAACCACAAAACAGCTACACGAAGAGATATACTCAAAAACACTAGAGGTAGATAAAAATGGAGTTCTAAAAAATGTTCAACGAATCCACAGAAACGCAAGAAAAGCCATTTATATAACATTCTTGAAATGACAAAATTATAGAGATGGAGAACAAATAAGTAGTTGCCAGGGGTTAGGGATGATGAGGAGGAAGGGTGGGTGTGTCTAAATGTGCACACGGGGAAGATCTCCATAGCGAAGGAACTGTTCTGCATCTGCGGCAGTGGTCACATGAACCTACATATGATAAAACAACACAGAACTATACATGCACGTTGTTCCAAAGTCAGTTTCCTGGTTTTGATACTGTGCCATCGTTATGTACATATGGTGTGACTATTGGGGGAAACTGGGTGAAGGGCACTGCCTCTGTGCTACCTTTGAAACTTCCTATGAACCTATAATTATTTAAAATTTTTAAAAAATTTAAAGTGACTTGGATCAGTAGAATGTATCTATATCCCGTCCGTATTCTTTCCAGATATCCCACAGGGAGTAGCCGAGTTATCCTCGAAGGAGTCTAAACTAGCATGCCTGTCAGGTGGGGAAACAGAGGTAGGGAGCTCCCTTAACAGAATAAGTTCCTTGTGCAGTTTAGCAGTGTTTATGGAAAGATCTACTATGTCCTGTGCACTGCTCCAGGCAATTTGAGAAGAAGTCAGAAACATGTACGTGGATCCTTCCTGATAATCCCAAAGCTACTCTTCTTCCTGGATACCCTCGGTCCTTCATGCTTAACTCTTCACAAAGAAAAGCCACAAAAAAAATCCAGCCACAAACTTTGGCTGTGTAATCTTTCTATGGTAACCTCCACTGCTTGGTTTCTTCCCATGTGAACAAGTGACCCCCAGAAGCTGACGAGACAAACTATTTGTCTTCATGTGCTTGGCCACTTGATCTTCTGGAACCCAGGGCCCCCCATGCATCTGGCTGGGAGCTGGCCGCTTTCTGCCTGGGCACTTGAGGAGAGTCCATGTTAGGAGAGGCGTGCACAGCAAGCCAGCTTCTGAGAGGAACTCGAATCCTGCCTTCCAACAAATCGTCTGATCATGCAGGATTGTATACGGTTGAATGTCACTGATTTAATCTTGCCTAGACAATACTGATTGTAAGTACACAGGGCACTGCTTCCCATGCAAAATGCCTGGCTTGGGTGCGGGGCTCCTAAGAAGAGGGTGGCCTTTACCCTGAGAAAGGAACACGTGGAATGTTAGGGTAGACAAGAGGACAGGAGGAGATGTGCTTCACCCAGAAAGACAGGCTAGGCTGCCCCCATGAGCGCTCTTAGTTACTGTGAGGAAAAGGCCAGGGGCTCATTCCTGAGGAGCATGGGGCTCCGGCAGTGCTGAAGAGCTAAGGACACGGCTCGAGTTTCCCGGGGCACTTCAATTACTCTCCTTGCTACAGGCCCCGGAGTGGACTAGCGGTGATTCTCAACCTTTTCCATAGTGTGGCACACAGAGAAAGGGACAGTGCTTTTATGGCATCCACAGGGAAATGGATGAAGCGCCCACAACCAGAGGTGACCAGCCTAGGGGATCCTGAGTCCAGGCCCTGCCTGGCTGGACGGAGCCCACAGTGTGCCCTGGTACACAGCAAGGACATTCTGACTAGAGGATTTCTGTACACACTTTCAAGGGTGAGAATCATTAAGTCTTTCCTCTAGGTGGAAACAGGCATCTCTGAGAAAGTCCCTGGGGCCCCAGAGCAGAGCTGTGGTCCACGGACACCAGCAGTCTGTCAACACCACATCTTCGTCATCTTGTGGTGGGAAAGGCACCGAGTGCTCCACGCAGCCCCTGAGTGATGTGGCAGACGTCTACCTGGGGCTCACTGGGAGATGGTGGGGGCTGGACTGGAGAGATGGAGGAGGGGCCCTGCAGGTTGCACGAGTCATCTTCTCATCTGTTATTTACTGTACTTTCCTAATCATATAGTGTCAATGCATCTATAAATTATCTTGTCTCGCAGCAGCTGCCAGGAGTGGTAAAAGCTGTCACTTAATCAAAAAAGTTTAATTAAAGAATTTTAAAAAAAGAAAGGAAAGGAAAAGCAGCCTTGGGATGGCAGCTCCGGGCCTTGCAGAGCTGGTGAGAGGTGAGGCCAGTGCAGGAGTCACGTGCCTGCAGCTTCCTCCTTGACTTCTAAACCCTCCTCCCTGGGTCCTCACAGCTCCGCGCTCACTCCTGCCTCCAACGCCATCCCTCTGCAGCGCACCTTGACACAAGAGGGGAAGTCACTCGTCCAATGACACAAGCAGCTAGTCAGCTGTGTGGCCAAGACCAGAAGGTCAGTCATAGGAGATGTGTCTTTGGCCTGGAGTAGTATCTGCTTCACCTTGATTTTGGGGCAGGGCAGCGAGACACTAGTTGGAAAAGAATGAAGGCTGTTAAAAGCAGGTTGACCTCCAGGAAATGTTGGGAAGACTGTGGTTGACCCTCATCACTCCAGGCCTACGTCCTAGCCCCGTATCTGTGTGCTGCTGCCTACACACACAAGTCCCTCTGCCCTGCCCCACAGTGCTATTCTAATGCCCCTAACTTGAAGATCCTCATGATCTGTCTATCTCTTTCAGCTCGCATCCCTACCCAAAAACAAAAGCAAAACAAAGCAAATAACCTTGCTCATAGCAGAGGGTCAAATAGGTAGGAAAAAAATTAATGGACCTATTATTCCTAAGGTATTATAATTGATATGGCTTAAATCATAACCTAAGGAATAAATCCTTGAAGGGAGCGATGTTCTAGTGGTGGTGGCGGTGGCACAGCAGACCTTCCTGTTGACCGTGAGACCAGACCACCAGGGCTCCCACTGGCACTGGGGGCCTACAAGTCTGGTTCGGAGGATGAAAGCTGAATGGCGATGCAAGGCTATTGCTAGTAGATTGCTGCTTATCTCCAGATTACAACAACATCAGTGTGCACTTGAAGATTTATAGGTCAGTTTCACATGTGAAGTCGTCAGAGCCAGCATTAAAATTCTCATTTCACAGATAGGACTACTGAGACTCAGAGAGGTTAAAGGCTTTGCTTAGGGTCACACAGCAGCAAGTGGCAGAGTGAGGCCTGGGACAGCAAACCCTTTGCTGTTCACATTCACACCGCCTGCAGTGCCACCTCCTGCCTGCCTCTTCCAGCTGGTGGGCTTCTGTTCTCTAGAGCTCCCAGTCAGGTCTGGCCCAGGCCCCTGGAAGCACACGGAGGTGTCCCTTCCAATTGCACTATCCAGCAGAGTCTCCTAGCCAGCCACGTTGCACGTGGCGCTCAACTCATTTCATTATCTTTCTCAAAGCTCCAGGAACAAGAGGAGAAGCATAATATTAAAGGCCTGGACCACTGCCAGCCAATAAGATAAACAGTCAAAAAGGTCAGGTGCTGCTTGGATAATTGTCTAGCTTTGGTGGAGTCATAGAACCAGACTACAAATCAAAGTTTTCTCAAGCAGGATGTTGCAGCATTTGCAATAAACACTGCCATCTTATTGAGATACTGTAATTCAGCTTGTATTCATCTTCTCTGCCAAGAGGCATGAACCTACAATGTTCATGTATAAAGGAAATTCACCATGTTTAACGAAAGTTTTAAAGAATGAGGTCCTCATCCCATTGTCAGAGGCTCATGCCATATCTAGAGCCTTCCTTAAGTAACAGAAAAATAGGTGACACTTTACTCCCTTCCTTCTCATTGTGGATGTGTTCAGAAGTGTACAAAAGGAGAGGACATAGTGTAAAGAACTCCATATGCATGTCTAGGTTGCATTATTTTACAACATTCAGTGCTTACTAGCTGCCAGGCACGTAATCAGTTAATACTTGCTTTGAAGATCATAACTCACTTATTCCTCATAATGAGCCTATGAACTAAGTATTATGTCCATTTTAAAGAAGGGAAAACTGAGGCATAGGGAGGTTAAGTAATTTGCCAAGGAAACAAAGCTATAAGTGGAAGAGCTGGGAATCACACCAGCCAGTCTGGCTCTCGGGTTTGTTCTTGACCATCATGGATGCCCCACCCAGATCTGTGGTTGCTCTCCTGTCTGCTAGCTCTATAATGTTATACTCTGTGACTAAGTTTCCCCATCTGTTCAAAGGGGAGACCTGTCCTACCTGCTGACCTCATAGGTTGGTTGATGATGATCAGATGAGGTCGTGGAAATGTGTCCTTTGTCACAAGGGTGTGAAATGAATGTGAGCATAATAATTTTTTTCTTTAAAGGTGCAGCTGAAGTCCTCCCTTGAAACTTAACTGTGGGCACCCTGGCTGCTGCCCAACAGACTCATCCTGAAGCCTCCTCTGTGCGCAGCCTGGCACTGGGCCTGGGCAGGGGGCAGGGGACACAGGTTCCCACCCCTGCCACAGAGGCCCAGCACACCAACAAGGACTGGAGACTCAAAAACATACATGCAGTAGTATCAGAATAATTCTGGCCTCTTCCAGACCCTGAGGTGTCACTAAGAGCCATCCAGTTATTCTGAGAAGGCTGTGGGCAGGAGCTGGGAGAGACTGAAGGGAGGACCAAGCCTTGGGGGGCTTCTAGGCCGAGATGGGGAGGGGGTCTGAGGGCAGTGGGGAGAAGGGGACTTGGGAGAAGGGGACTTGGGAGAAAAGGCTCAGAGGATGAGGATGGAGGTGCCTGGCATGGGGAGGGCAGGAGGGAGATGCCACTGAAGCATCAAGTATATTTGGGGGAGGAAGGAAGCAGTAACAATAGCTGTAGCTGCTGTGCCTCCTTCCGTGGTCACCAGTCAGCAGATCAGCATTAGAGGTGTACATCTCTGCCCAGGTGTCAGGCACTGTCAGGGCCGTGCACTCAGTGGTGAGCAGGCCAGATGGGGCCCCTGAGATTAGGTAGCTTGGAAGCAGATGGATAAATAAGAGGGAAGAATGCTTCAAGGGAGGCAGAGAGTGCTGTGGGGGCACAGAATGGGAGACCCTAAGCCAACCTGAGGTGTTCAGAGAAGATGCCATGCTAAGCACGTTATTTGCATTATCTCGTTCTGTATTCGTAGCAGCCCTGTGTGGGTTTTCATGCTACAGATAAGGTCAGCAAAGTCAAGTTTGCTCGTACAGCATGGGGATGAAATTATTCGGTAAAAGGAGCAGGTTCTCAAACCCAGCCTCTGACTCTGATCGCATGCTTTGACCCTAATGAGAACTTGGTAGGTAGATGGAGTCAGTTATGGGCACATAAGCCCCTGCCCCGTAGGCACCACCTGGAGTCCACTTCACAATGAGCCATTACTCATTGCTGAGTTCCTCACTCTGCTTTAGCCTTTGCATTCAGAGAGAGGCAATAGGGCACGAAGGAATGACCTGGTTTCTAGAGCTCCACAGGCTGGAGTTGAGTCCTGGTCCACCAGTGATCCATGTTATTTAACTTTCCCGAGCCTCAGTTCTTAGCTGTGTAAAATGGATTTAATATTATCCACACCATGGTGGTGTAGTGAGGAATAAATGAGATAATGCAAAGTACCAGGCCCTTCACACTGTTGGTGATATAGTTTTAGGAATACACCCCCCTTGCTTTCACCTCCAGGAGGCGAGATCTTTAAAAACTGGGCACAGCTGTTGTAAGACTCACTGTCTAAATCTCCTAAAAACCTTGCAAGGGGGAATCAAACCCCTGGTGCATACAGGCAGACACATTGGCATTAATATATCCAAAAAGCAGGAGACAGGAAGTCAGAGTTCAGATGCTGAGTTATTAATGATCTGAGGTCATTGTGAGTAGTTCTTTAATAAGATGCAGTAAACCCATGGGGATGATATGGCCAGGAGGCAGGGAAGAAAAGAGTGGGGTCCCTGGCAAGGGTTCCACCCCCAAGCCTGGACCCATGGCCCTAAATGAAAACTTCACATCCCTGTTTTCCTGCCCAAATGTTGCCTTTTGGCTCACCATGCTCCCATGAAAACCCCAAGCTCCGCTGGCAGAGGAGCAGAGCAGCGTGGCAGAGAAGGAGAGAAGAGAAGAGGTGTCTGAACATTGAGAGGAGAAGAGGCAGCTGGACATCAGAGACTATGGTCAGAGAGGAGTTCAGCCGGGGATGGTTGGACAGGAATTTGGCTGAGGATGGCTGAACTCCAGAGGAAGATTATCTTCCCACTCCATCCCCTTTCAAGCTCCCCATCCTACTGAGAGCTATTTCCACCACTCAATAAAATCTTTGCATTCACCATCCTTCACATCTGTGTGACCTGATTCTTCCTAGATCCCGGACAAGAACCCAGGCACCAAGAGGACAGGGGGTAAAAGGCTGTCGCCCTGATCCTCCACTGACCTGGTTTAACATTTAGTCATCCACGGATGGAAAATACTAAAGGAGCACTGTTTGTAACTCACACCCTCTGAGGCTCTAGAGGTCACAGGCAACCACTAGACATTGTTGTGGGCAGGTATGGGGTTCATTCCTGCCAAAGCCCAAGAGCACTTGCCCTGCCTCCTGCACCCACTCACCTGCATGCTCCCCTTCCCACAAAGGGTTAGAGTGCAGCAGCCGAGCAAAGGAGCCACCCCTGTCTCAAGTCCCCGGGGGGAGGTGTTAAGGGAGATCTTCCATCTCAGGGAGAGGGTCAAACTGTACCCAAAGCCCCATGTTCCTGGGGTCTGTGACAATGACAGTTGCCAGGGCACTGAGGGGGCACCTCACAGCTGTTACCAATAACAAAAATACTAGGAAAGCTCCTCTGGCTTTCCCAGTAAGAATGTTTCATGATTTCTTCCTGTCCTGAGGTCCCCAGGTAAGAAGGTGTCACAGCTTCCTTGTTCCTCTGCAAGTTTCTAGCCTGCTGCCTCCTTTGGGCTGTCTCACCAGGAACTGTCTTGGGCATCTTTAGACCCCACACATCCTCTCCCCTGGACCCACGCTCCCCTCTCTTTCTGCAGCTTTGGGTGGGGTAGGCCACCCTGTTCTGACCTGGAATGCTGGAGAAGCATTTCAAAGTGCTTCTCTAGACATAACTCAGTCAATGATGACAACTCTGTGGAAGGTGGGCAGGATGTAAGGTATGGAGGCCCCCAGCTGTCCAGCTTTCAGATAAGGAATGGTGGCTCCCAGAAGTCATCTGGTGAGTGGCCAGTCTCCCGATGCACAGACCAGAGCTCTGCCCGACTCAGCACCACCCAGCCATGCTGCCCTTTGCTTCCACAGAGTATCCAGATGAAGGGCATATAGTTTGGAAAAGCTTATTCAATGTGAAAACTTTATATTTAGAGATGAAAAAACACATCTTGCTTTTAAAATGCAAACTTCACGAGGTAAAGCTCAATACAATTTTCTTGGCCTGGTAGCTCAAAGAAGGTGTGAGGGATTCTCCAGGGGAGGGGCACGTATGTGGAAGAGGCCTTCAGAGCTGGGCTATTGGATTTTGCCCAAGAACAGTGGAACTCAGAAAATGCAAATAATGGCATCAAAAGAGTGCATTGATATTTAAAGCACAAAAATGAGAAGTCCTCCTTCTTACCTTTTGGAAAAAGCCAAATGGCTCTCTTCCTTCTAATTGCGCCTCCAGCTTGGCCTGAGTTTATTTCAAGCCTGGGCCTGCCCTCGGGCCAGTGATGGAGATTCAGGAGTGACAGGCCCAGGGGCTAGGCAGGGGCCTCCTGGACCAGCCCTTTGGGGCACCACACTTCAAAGTCCTTCCTGCCTGCCAAGGGCGCTTGTTGTGACTCATCTGAGGGACAAAGCACGCTGTCTGCCACAGCTAGCTGCCCGAGAGCTAACTATGCTTTCTCCTGACTGCCCCTCCCTACCCCTAAATCAGAGGCTCTGACAGAGCAGTAAGATTTATCAGAAGGCTCATGGCTTGGGAAGCCAGCAGGATGCCCTCTGCAGACGCTCTAATCCCACTCACAGGTGATGGGGTGTTTCCATCCTCACCAGCTTTGCTGCTCCACTGTGTCTATCATCTGCCAGCATTGAGTGTATTGGGCCTCTGTTTTGTGCCAGTCACTTGGTACACATAAATTCCCCTGCAACCACAAGCCTGATTACCATTTCCAGAGCCGTGGACTCTGGACTGGTCCAGGGCCACCCAGTCAATCAAGAGCAATGAGAGTCTGAATGTAGGTGCCGCCTCCGCGGCACGTGTGTTGCTGCTGCTTACCTGACTTGCTCCTAGAGCGTGAAAGCTCCTGGGGGCTCTGAATAATTGCCCTGGAGTGACTTTGTGTCTGGGATGGGCCTGTCACTCAACTGAGCTCCCACTCTTACCTGTGAAGTCTGGAGTGATTCTAATGATCTAGCCCCCATTCTACCACTCAAGGACTTCGATTCAAAATCCAAGACACAAGCAAAAAGCCAAACAAAACAAAACCCAATACCTGTTTACTCTTCTTGATGGATAACACTCCACAGTCCCCAGAGTTTAAGTGTGGAAGCAAGTGTGGTTTAGCACAGGGGTTCTCCACTTGGATCCACTGATGATCTTTAGAGTGTGGCTTGTGAATACCTTGCAATTCTAAGCACAATGTTGTACATATGTGCATGGATGTCTCTTTCTGGGGCAAGTCCAAAGCTTTCATCAGATATGAAAACAGGTTGGTGAACCCCAAATATAAACTATTTAGAAGTTAGTTTAGAACTACTAACAGGCTAAACAGTTTGAGAGACAGATGTGTGGCCCAGAAGTATCCAGACCAAGAAAGAGCTGAGACAGTGCAGCAGCCTGCCCTGGGCCTCCAGCCTGGACTCCAAGTGACCAGATTCCTGGGTTTGGGATCCTTCAACAGTTTGGTTTTATGAAGTGTTCACGTACTTCTGAATGGTGTGGCTCGGCCAGGCTTGGCCCCATGCCTTTAGAAAACCGCTAATGAAACATTAAATAGTTGGAGAGGCCTAGCTTCATGCCAGAGCTCTTGGCCAAGAGGCGCCTGCTGTGTGGCCATAGGCCAGGGGCTGCTGGGTCCCCAGAAAATGTAATAGGTGGTGACAAGGCAAGTCCTGGTGACAACAACTCACCCTGTTCACAAGGGCCCTAAGTTTTGGGATCCTCAGCTGGTGTTTTGGAGGACCACAGGCCTGGGCAACAAGCCACTGCTTAGCTGAATCAAAGCTCAGCACATTCCCCAGGCCAGAGGCCACAGACCGAGTTAAGCCTGACCTGAACCACTTGGGCAGCCGGATCGCCTTTCTGCCCCCAACCACAGAAAGAGAAAAATCATCCCTCTTCTTCTTGGGCAGGCCTCTTCGTCCCCTTGACTCGGACACCGAAAGGGAGCAGAAACAGCTTTGCTAGTGTTGCATGCAGAGACAATCAGGCTGCAAAAATATTTCCATGTTTCCCAGAGTGCTTTCTCTCTTCACCTCTTTCTGTTGCTCCCCAACTCAGAAGGCTTGAACAGATGTGTGTCACTGAAAGATACACAACTTGGCACAGATAGAACCCCAGGAAATAACCCAGCACCCTAAAAGACCATCAGAGTGTCAGACCCAGGGGCTGAGACTGTACAAAAGACACCACGCACACACACTTCCTGGTCAGCTGAACTGTTTCAGCAGGCCAGGGACAGCCCCTGCTGAGGTTCAACACCAGGAGTGCAGACCATGGGGACGGGCACCAGGCTCCAGTGAGGTAGACTGGAATCTACTCACTGTGAGATCTTGACAAATTAATCCCTCTGAACACTGGGGACCCTAGTACCGGATCCTGGCTTGTAAAGATTAAATAAGATGACGTGTGTTTGTGCCTAGCACCTTCTAATTTCTCAACCAAAGGCAGATAATGGTATGAGCAACTACTCATGTGGCTCAGATCTGTGCTAATGTCAATGCAAAAGAGAAAGTCGGGGGTTCGGCTACCTTTTCTCAGATCATAGGGTTCAGGGATGCACATAGAGGTGCTGCGTTGAAAGGAATACATGGGAAGCCTCAGACTGGAAAAAGGAAACAGCTCTAGCCTGGAAAATCTGGTTTCTCCTGGATGGTTCCAGCAGCCAGCCACTTGGCTCTTCCAGAGGCTCAGAGGGACCCGACTTGCTTTCCCTGTAACTACAGCCTCTGGCCACTGGGGGCGCACTGAGTCCCTCTGTCTTCAGGGTCATGAAAAAAAAAGCCCCTTTCCCTTTATTCAGTTAAAATAAGGCTGGTCACTTTGAGAGGCCAAGGTGGATGGATCACATGAGGCCAGGAGTTCGAGACCAGCCTGGTCAACATGGCAAAACCCCATCTTTACTAAAAATACAAGAATTAGCTGAGCATGGTGGTGCACACCTGTGTTTCCAGCTACTTGGGAGGCTGAGGCAGGGGAATCTCTTCAACCAAGAAGGCGGAGGTTGCAATGAGCTGAGATCATGTCATTGCACTTCAGCCTGGGCAACAAAGCAAGACTCTGTCTCAAATATTTAAAAAAAAAAAAAAAAAAAGCTAGAGAAAAGAAAAGAAGGCTGGAGTGCAGGCACAGTGCTTCCTGCCTGTAGTCCCAGCTACTCTGGAGGCTGAGGCAGGAAATCATTTGAGCCTGGGAGGTCGAGGCTGCAGTGAGCTATGACTGTGCTACTACACTCCAGCCTGGGCAACAGAGTGAGATCCTGTCTCTATTAAAATAAGTAAATAAATAAATAAATAAGGCTGGGAATTTTCAAATGAAAATTTCACTAGGAAACTAAGTGAAATAAACAAAAACTTAGACAAGTTGACAGTGAAGAATTTGGATCCTAATTGAACTTAAGTCTAGCCTTACACTGGCTTTGCAGATACAGCTTATGGTACATCTGGCCAAGTTAGAGATGGGAAACCAAACCACTCCAATTTCTTACCCGAGACTCACTGGGTTGGTACTACTTCTTGTGTTTTCTCCAAACGTGGGCTCTAGCTCCTGATCCTGATAGCCCTGGATAAGGAAGACTCTTCCTGACAGAGGTGTCCACTGCCCATCCCTCTACACCTGGGGCCCTTCCTACTTGATGCCATTCTTGTCACCAATGCACTTCTGAAGACCCCTTTGGATGGGCCCAGAGAGGAGGCCTTCCAGAACCCCATCCAGGGTTTTACAGTCTGAAAACACTTTACATTCACAAACTCAGTAAATGCGATGACATCGTTTCCACTAAGGAGAGAAGGTGGCCATTCTCTCCAGACAGCAGGGGATTTTATAATTAAGTAAAATATTTAATATTTAAAGGTATACTTGCAGGGGAAGGTGGCTCAAATTTATTCTACATCTTCCCTTGAAAATCAAGCATGAAGAAATGGAGAAATTTTTATTTATTAGTCACTCTTATCTTTTCAAGCTCTTGGATTATAAAGCCTGCGTTTATCATGGCTGTGTCCAAGTTTCTCCTGTGGGCCAGGGACCAGCTCCTGCGTCCATACCAGAGAGAAGCCACATCAGGAGTAGGAGGAGGGCCATGTGGGAGTGCAGACGACAGGCCTCCGCCTGGCCCGTGCTGGTTCACCCTGGCACCTTGGAAAATTGTGGAGCTTCTTCTCCAGTGTCCCTCCTTTTCCTTTTTTTTTTTTTTTTGTTTAGAGACAGGGTCTTGCTCTGTTGCCCAGGCTGCAGTGCAGTGGCACAATCATAGCTCACTGCAGCCTCGACCTCCTAGGCTCAAGAGATCCTCCTGCTTTAGCCTGTAGCTGGGACTACAGGCCCATGACACAGGTAATTTTTATATTAATTTTTGTAGACATGTAGAGATGGGATCTGGCTATGTTGCCCGGGCTGGTCTTGAACTCCTAGCCTCCCATGATCCTCCCACCTTAGCCTCCCAAAGTGCTGGAATTACAGGAGTGAGCCTCCACGACCAATCCCCAGTGTCCCTTTTCAGCCTAATTCAGAGATGTAAACCCTTTCCTGAGTTTTACTTCCCTAAAATAAGAAATTTTGATCTTATAACCTTCTTAGTAAGAAAACGAGTACCTGCCAAGGATTTAAACCAGAGAGAATAGAGAAGCAGCATCTACAGAACCTTTGTGTTAGGCATTTGATAAACATCATTTCATCTCTGCAACAACCTGCACAGTAAGTATTTTTATCCTCTTTTGCAGACTAGAAACAGAGGCTCGGAGAAGTTCTATGGCTTGCCCTCAGCTATATAGCTAGCAAGGAGTGGGGGTAAGCTTTCGGCTGTCAGGCCACACTTGCCCAAAGTTACACAGCTAGTGGATGGCAGAGCCAGAAAATGAGAAGGATTCCACAGTCAGAAGCGTGTACTCTAGCCTCACTAATGGATGCCACAGTCTTCACTGGAGCAGGAGATGGTGGAGGGCCAGCCAGCAGGGTTTGAATCCATGGTCCAGGCCTAGAGCTAGCAGTCATTCACATGCCACTCACCCCTTCTCTGCTTGGCTGGTGATCAGTTAGAGGCCTCCTCAGCCCAGCCTGCATTTTCTGCTTGGTTTGCAGTTTGCTAGGCGGCTTCTATGGTAAGACAGTGGTCTGGAGGCCTTGCCCCTCCTAGTGAGCCCAGGTTTCCATGGGAGATGAAGCTGCAGCCTTAGCTTCCAGCTACGAGGCAGGACAGTGCACTTTCAAGGGCTGTTGACTCCGGAGCAGCTCCCAGGGTGAGGTCTGGCTGAGGGGCATGTGTTTGTACAGGGGCTTGAAGTGCACGACAGTACTTTGCTGTGCTAATACTAGAGGGTTAACAGTAGTCAACAGTCTACACAAGGTAAGGACACAGGGTTCTTACGGACACAAGGATTGGTCCAGGAATTTCAGCCAAATAGCAAAGCCCAGATGGACATAAAGAAAAGCTCCCTAGCTGCCATACTTCTGCTGAACTCATCCATGAACACATCCATGTGCGATGGGGCCAGCCCTGAGAACATTCTGCCAACATGCTCTCCTCCCCCAGGTAAAGGCCACAGGAAAAGTTCTCAGGTACAATCCTCTGCCTCCCACCTGGGCATCAGCAACATTCCTCCAGCCCAAGTTCAGGTCCCGCTGTATGCAGAATAATGCAAAGGACCTTTTTAAACCCAGGTATCTTGGAGACACCAAATCACCCCATGACAAATCCCCTCTAAAGAATAATAAGGAAAATAGCTCAGGGAGGAATGAAAAGTGTGCTTTGAGCTTGGGCCCAGACACAACGGTTTCTCAGAAACCCACCCCCGGCTGATGGATGCATGCGAGGGGCTGGCAAATCAGATGCTTTTTCTTCCCAGCAGCTGACAAGGTCTGCTTAGGTGCCCAGACAGGTGAAAGCTATAGCAGGGCCTCTGCAGCTTCCTGGAAGGAAGGGGCTATGGTGCTAAATTTCCCTAACGAGCTCATAACTTTCAAAAAAATAGAAAAATGAAGTTACTGTAGATGCACAAAAGCTAATGATCAGATGGAAGTGGTTATGATGGTAGCAGTGGAAAGACTAAATAGATGGCTCAGTAGAAATAATTCTCACGTTTACATTTCTCTCTCTTATGTTTAACAACATGGAGCAATTTATTATCGGTCAATGCCTGGAAAAAATGCTGACTTGAAAATTGTAAGAATTCTTCAGCTTATATGATAAAAATACCATCTGGTTTTCTTCACCTCAGAACTAGGTTTGGAAACTAGATAAGCAGATTGGGCTTATATACTCTACTAAGTTCCAAAAGGCAGAATTAGGAAGATGGTGAAACGCAGAGTTTAAAACAAGGCTGTCCAGCGGAACTCCTGGCAAACACGGGAACGCTCTGTGCCGGTGCTGTGCAGCATGGTGGCCACCAGCCACGTGGCAGCTGAGCACCTGATACACAGCCAGTGCCACTGAGGAACTGAACTTTACATTTTATTTATTTTAATTAATTTAAATTTAAATAGCCACACTTGGTTAGTGGCTAGTGGATTCGATAGCCCAGGTCTAGAGGGCAAACAGAGTGGGTGTTCTTTCAGAAGTCACTGTAAAAAGGGACTTCCTTAAAACTCCATTAACCTGAAAAGAAATACTTTCAATTAAACCCCAGCTCACCCTCCATCTTCACACCTTGTCTTTGCCCCACTTCAAGCACTCAGAAGGAGTAGGCTACACCTTGTTTCCTCCTCTCTGCCTCCCGCCCACTGTCATGGCTCCTGCCCGTAACTTCAAGAAAACTGCTCATCCAGCATTCCCAGCTTGACCCTGCTTCCTTCCGGGCTTCCCTGACAGTCCTGTTCTTGGTTCCCTCCCACCCTGCTGACTGCTGCTTCTGAACAGCCTTTCGTGGTTGCCCTTTCTTTGGGGTTAGACGTTGCCCAAAAATCAACCCTGGGTTCCCAAGTCCTCTCGCTCCACACTTGCTCTCTGAGTCATCTCATCTACAATCACATCTTCTATCAGTGCACCGAGGAGTCAGTATTTCTGACATGAATCTGTCCCTCGAGCCCCAGACCCATAGATACAAACTCCTAATGGACGTGTCCGTGTGGATGCACCACAAACACCCAAACATGCCCCAAATGGCCTTTGGTGACGTCAGACTTAGCTGCTCTCCTGCTCCCTGTCTCAATGAAGGGAAACCCCATCTTCTTGGTCTTCTGAAGCAGGCTTGTGTGATCTTGGCATTTTTGCGTTCCTCACCTTCCACGTCAGTCACTGCGTCCTATCGTCTCAGCTGCCAAATGCTCTCTTAGGGTTGCCTCTTCCTCTGTCCTCTCTGACCCTGCCTTGGTTCAGAAGCAACACACCACCACTGCTGTGTGGAGAGTCTCTGAGGTGACCTCTCCACTTCTAGTGGTTTCCTACTCTGGCCTTCTCCACACCTTCACCAGATGTGTCTACTAAGCTCCAGCATGCCACAGGCCACTTCAGACCTTGCACTCACGCAAAAAGAGATCACAAATGCACAGAATGAATGATGCCTCCAGAAGGTGAATGGGTCCTGTCAGGGCCCTGTCCAGTTCTCAGCTTTAGCTCTTGCTCTCTCTTTTACCCACCGTGCCTTCGTTCCACACTCTTGGCACACATTCCCTCTCCTGCAGCCCTATTCCCCAAGAAATCCTGATCATCTTCAAAGCCCAGCTCTCCTGTCACCTCCTCTGATTCTCGAACCCCTCCAAACTCATCCCTCTTCTGCTTTTTTCCCAAAGCACTTCGTCCATAAAGCTATTACTTACCAAAACTGAAATCAAAACTTATCACACAGAATTATGGCAAATTTTATTTGTGTCTTTCTTCCCCAACAGTTTTTTAAGGCAAGGATTATATCTTGTTGTCGGTTCTAGTGTCTGGAACAATGCCTAATCCATAGTAAATGCTCAGTGACTGTCCCGTAATGTTAAGCACTAGCCAAAAAAGAGTCTCTCGGGTTCTGTCCCCCATTACTCATCACAGGCAGGATGACTGCATGTCCTGGCTAGCCCAGGACAGTCCTCATTTACACTGGTTGTTGTTCTGGTGTTCCCAAAGATCATACCTGGGTTCCCAAGTCCTGTTTGGTCAGGGCCCCCTTTGGCATCTCTGTTTGAATGCAAAATTACATGGTCGCCCTAGTCATAAGGGCTGGGCTTGGGGGACCTTTTATATAGAAATCTTAAAGAAGACGTACCTACAAAGAGTTTGGAAATCAAGCTGCCTAGAATTAAAGGGAATGGGTCAAATAACCCCTCAACTTCTATTCAGTAGTAAGGTGCAACGACTCTATGATTTCTAGAAATATTCTTGAGAGATGCTATAATAAAAATTTAGCTACTTTAATTTCCTCAGCCTGGGAGTAGAGGGCATTCCAGGCAGCCTCCTGTGCACTCTGACAAATGAGAAGTAAGAGAGGAGGGAAATACGGGAATTCACTGTAACCAGCTGGAACTTGCCCAGGGGACAGAGGGAGTGAAAGGAGGGATTCGGTGCCGGAGGGTTGGAAGAACGAGGGTGGGTGGGCAGCACCACAGCAGGAGCACACACACCAGTATCAGTGGGGACTCCGAAAGGCTGGTGACAGGAGGCTTCTTCTAAAATTCTGCCAAGGAAGAGAAAAATGGAGGCCCCAAGTGTAGACAATTAGGAGGCAATGGAGTCTCTGCAAAAGCAGTCATCAATGAAATGAGGCCAGTCCAGGAAGCCTTGGCCACTCTAAATGCCTATCAGGTTAGACACAGGGCTTGTAAGATGACATCTGGCACTGATCACATTAAAAGGATGCTCTCTTTCACTCACAGAGGACAGGATCACAATCTTCCCTTTTACTTAAAGTTTAGCCAGCTTGCCTCTCCTACTTCAAAACAAATGACAACAAAAATAGAAGATATCCCTTGATCCCAAAACTGTCCTCTTTCACCCCTCTCCTTCCCAGCACAGTGTCCTAGAGTTCAGACGCTTGTCTCCATCACTTGCCTCCCACTGCTTGGCACAGTGTGCTCTGACCTCTGCCTCAGCACTCCTCTGGCATGCTTGCCAAGTGCACCGGTGATCAACACATCTCGGAATCCAAAGGCCACGCCTCTGTCCTTATCTCATTTGACCTCTCCTATCAGCAAGAACAGGGGACTCTGTTCACCACCTCTATTCCCAACACCATCTTCCTTAGCTTCCATGACTCCACACTTTCCTGGTTTTCTCTCTACCTCTCTAGTCACTCATCTCATTGCTGCTACTAGCTCTGTCTACGCTGGTCATTGATTAAATGTGATGTCCTATTCTCCTCCTACCCTAGTCATTCTTCCTAGACAATGAATGACCCTTGCTCCTATAGTTTCAGTTATCATACACTGATGACCCCAATCTACATTTCTCTCCCACATCTCTCCTCAAATTTCCAGAACTGAATTTCTAAGTGACTCCTAGACAACTGCACTCGGATATGTCATAGACACTGCCAACTCCACAAACCCAACATGGACCATGAACTGATCAACTGCACTTGGATGTGCCACAGACACTGCCAACTCCACAAGCCCAAAGATGAACCATGAACTGGTCAACTGCACTTGGATATGTCATAGGCACTGTCAACTCCACAAACCCAAAGATGAACCACGAACTGATCAACTGCACTTAGACATGTCACAGACACTGCCAACTCCACAAACCCAACATGGACCATGAACTGATCAACTACACTTGGATACGTCATAGGCACTGCAAACTCCACAAACCCAACATGAACCATGAACTGATCAGCTCTCCCTACCTCTCTCAGATTCTTCATACTTCCCTCACCTCCATCATCAAATCCAGTCATGATGTTCCATGATTCTGCTCTTATTTTTCCCCAGCTTTATTAAGGTATAATTGACAAATAACAACTGCATATTATTGAGATGTAAGATTGACATTGGTATACACTATGAAGTGCTTACCACAACCAAGGTGATCAACTAATCCATCACCTCATAGTCACCATAGTCTTACATGTGCCCACCACACATAGCAAATTGTGTGTGTATGTGGTGGGAACACATAAGACCTACTTCCTGAGCAAATTTCAAGTGTATATTTTTATTAATTATAGTTACCATGCTGCACATTTGTTTTCTAGAACTTACTCATTTTACAACAGAAACTCTGTATACTTTGACCCAAATCCATTTTCCCCAGCCCCCCAGCCCCTGGCAACTACCTTTCTACTCTCTGCTTCTATGAGTTTCATTTCTTTAGATTCCACATATAAGTGAGACATGATTCTGCTTCTGAAACCCCTCCCTTCTATCCATTGCAGCAGCCTCTTCCCTACTCAAGGCTTGGTCTCCTGCTCTCTAGTTTCATCTCTCCTGGGCCACTGATCTGGGCAAGTTCTCTTAGTACAGATCTGGTAAGGGGGCTCCCTGGTTTTATGCCTCAGTGGGGTTTCACTGCTCCTAGGATAGAATCCAGACTCCTGAAAATGGCTTCCAAAGCCCCTCCTGCCCTCGCCCCTCTGCTGTCACTCCTCACAGGCTTTGTGGCAACTTCTTTCTGTTCCTTGCAGCTGCTGAGCTCTCTCTGGCCCTGGAGCCCTTTCACAGGATCTTCCAGTTGCAGGGAACAGCTTTCCACCTTCCTCTTTGCCTCAGGTGTCAGCCCTTGGCTCCACCTACTCTGGGGAGCCTTCATGAAACCCCACAGACTAGGAGCTAACCCTGGATGGAACCTAGCATTTTCTATGCTATAGCTCTTAGTTCATTATTAGTCATTGCTTTCTTTCTTTCTTTCTTTCTTTCGCTCTTAGTTCACTTATTAGTCATTGCTTTCTTTCTTTCTTTCTTTCTTTTTGAGATGGAGTCTTGATCTGTCGCCCAGGCTGGAGTGCCGTGGTGCAATCTCGGCTCACTGCAACCCCTGCCTCCCGGTTTCAAGCGATTCTCCTGTGTCAGCCTCCTGGATGGCTGGGATTACAGGCGCCTGCCACCACGCCTGACTAATTTTTGTATTTTCAGTAGAGCCGAGATTTCAGCAAGTTGGCCAGGCTGGTCTCGAACTCCTGACCTCAAATGATGCACCCACCTTGGCCTCCTAAAGTGCTGAGATTACAGGCATGAGCCACTGCACCCGGCCAGTCATTGCTTCTTTAATCATCTGAGTCACCTCCTAACTGAAAGTGCTCTGAAGAAAGTGCCCTCCCCTGCCTTGCACACCACTGCATCTCTAGGCCTGGAATAATGTTGGCATGTTATTGAATGAATAATGAATGGACAGAATTCTAAACCTGGAATAACTAAAGTCAGTTTAAAAAGTCTTATTGTTAAAAGAGCTGTGAGAACCATCTTCACACCACGTCTAGCAGCAGCAAGCTCAGAATGTGGTCCATCACAGGAATGGCAGTAATTTACTCTTCCTGCCTTTAGAAAGGCTGGGTCAGGTGGAGGACTGGGGTGGCAAGAAGGCTGCCCCAGGAGTCAGGAAACCTGGTTTAGCTCATTTATCCATCCAGTAAACACGGACTGAGCATCTACTATGCTGGTGCTGCACTCCCTGCTGGGATGCAGAGAAACAGGGCACGCCCTTGCCCTCGGGTGCTTAGTGTCTAATGGGGGTGGAGATAGAGACACATAATCAGAAAGCACCATAAAATTCTAAAAGCCCTTTAATGAGAAGACATACAGGTCACAGAGGCAGAGTGGTGAACCTGTGTGGGGAGGAGGTATAGGAAGAGCTCACACAGGACAAAGTACTGAGCTGAGTTTTGGAAGATGAACAGGTGCTTGCCAGGCAGACAAGGAAGTGACAGGCATTCCAGGCAGAAGAATCAGTGTGTCTAGGAGTAAAAACACAGAATGAGAAATAACATGGCACTCGTGTTTGGGCCACTGCAGTTGGTTGTGTGTGGCAGGACTGAAGAAAGTTGGGGGGAAGAGGAGAGTTTTTCTAAGAGATGAGGCTTGCTCAAGAGGCAGAAAGAGTCAGATCCTGGCTGGTGCTTCTCAACTCTGCTGCTCATCAGAATCAACCGGAGGAGCTTTAAAAAAATCATGTAAATACCTGAGCCGCAGCCAGTGATATCAGTGTTTAATGACTTGTTGGGGGGCAGGGGCTGATTTGTAGCATTTGCCAATTTCTATGATGTAAATACTCATGCCATGGTCAATTTCAAGCTACCAATGGGATGTCACTGACTGCAGAGTTGGGAGGAGATGTGTAGTAGCACACCATTATATAGTATTTCCACCCAGCAGATACAATCAATAGAAATTACCTCGAAAGGTAGTAAAGGCATCAGGCAAACCTGACTTTTGAGTATGTATTACCTTTGTTTTTAACATAATGTACTTACTTACAAGTTTGTATAATTTTTAATAATGGTCATTTAACAACCCACTCATAAGATTCCTGGAAGCGATGGCCTCTCCTGAGTCGCTGGGGCTGGTTCCAGCTGTAGGACACCACTGGCCCCACCCAGGCCCACTCTATGGAGTCACTACGGGTGAGACCCAGGCACGGGTAATTTTAAAAAGATCCCAGGTGATTCTAATATACACCCAGGGGTGAAAACCACCTATTTGTAGCCCATGTTAAGGAGTTTATAGTTATCCTAGGGGCCACTGAGGCCATTGCAGGATTTCAAGACTTTTAAACAGAAGCAATTTTACCAGGTTTGCTTCTTAGATGGGTGAGGCAGCCACAGAGTGACAGGTGAACTAAGAATGGAGGGAGGCAGGGGGACCCGTCAAGAGACTGTTGCAAATTTCCAGGCAAAAGCTGCCAGGGGCCTACCTAAGGCTACAGAGGGAGGGAGGTCATGGAGAGACAGCAGCGGGTCCTAGCTGCCCTTGGGTGTAGGGGTGCTAAGTGGATAAGGTGAGGGGGATACAGGAACAATTTTAGTTGCTGGTGGAGACTGAGAAAGTTGAGGAAGTTGTTTTCTGATCACCTCATTTTTTTTTTTTCCTATCAGAACTAGGTGATGAGGTTCCGTTGCCGGGAGAGGGAGGCAGGCATCAGAAAAGCCTCTGGCCCGGCCGTGCAGTACCTGGCTGTGTGCATCTGAGGGGGCCGGTCTTCCTGTCTATAAAGCCAGGGAGCTCAAGCAGATCCCTCTGAAGTCTCTTCCAGCATGGAGACTCTGATTCCATCACACTGGCATTTGCTCATGTTTTCACTTTCTTAACTTCCCCGGTGACTCAAATTACAACTTGTTATGGGTATAAAGCCTCATTTTCTCTGGGAATCTGGACTACGTCTTTGTAAGTCTTCAGCTCGGGGCAGGCAGTTTCAATCCTTGGGGAGCGAGCACTATGCTTACTTCGCTCTCATCTCCCTCCTTTCACGGTCAGTTGGCTCCCCTCCCTGAGGCTGACCACTCCCAGCCCCTTTCCAGATGGCGTCTAATAAAGCCGAATGGGACAGAGACGTACCTTCTGGATAACTACGCATGCAGTAAATTCTAGCAGACCAAAAAGTAAAAAGATTTGCTAAGCCAAGGAGTGGGCTTTGCTCAAATTGCAAAGGAATTTCTCCAAAGGCCTCTTGCAATGCCTTGCTATGGAGTTCATCTGTCCCTGCAGTGCCTCTACTGGTACTATACTATGCCACGGTGAGGACCAAGACTGCAAGAGGCTGGAGACCCAGGTTGCAGGTTGCCCATGTGGCTTACTCTCCCTCCACCTCCCTTCCCTTTCACTGTTGCTGCTCAGAGAAGGAAAAGTGCAGGGTTGTCTACCAGGAAAAGAAAAATAGGGCATGTACACAAACGGAGAAAGGGAGGCTGGGGTTGAAAAAGAGTCATGAACTGGAGAGACTGACCATGGGCTTTTGTTAGAAAGAAAAAAAGGAGACAACAACAGGGTGCCAGGAGACCTCTAATTGTGCTCATTCTTGCTAGAGTCCTTCATGGACTCTAGGCTCAGTTCCGAATCCACGACCAAAGTAGATGAACTTGGAGTAAGATCCAACAACATAAGGTGATTAGGGTCAGAAAGAACAACTTGCACAGAAAGGGTGAAAGACGCACAATGTGTAACCTGGAGGAAAGACAGTAGAAACAAGATGTAACAAACATCTTCGAGAATATGAAGAACTCTTACACAAAGACAGTACAGTAACCCGCGATTCTCCGCCAAGGAGCATGCAGATGAGTCACCTGCGAGAAAACTTGAGTGCAACAGTGTTTCTGGTGGCACTGCTGCTAACCTGGGTGGTGTGTGATCCACAGAAGGAAGGCAGCTTGTCTGGAGGGTTTTAAAAATCAGAGTGGTCCTTATCAGTTTGCTGAGGTTCAGATGAGGTTCTCCATGTAGGGGTGGCAAATGCATTCACAACCTCTCAAGTACCTTGCACCCGGAGGATCTGTGATTTCCCTGCTCATTAGCACCTTTGGCAGAAAGGGAAGCCAGGATGAAATGCTAATCAATTAGATTTCCTGCTCATTAACAGCTCTTCTGAAATGATTAAAGGAGGAAGTGAGAACCAACAGACAAATTCAGGACTGGGCCCTGGCCTCTTCTTCTGCCCTCTGGCCCATTCTGCAGGGCGTTGTCTTGCACTGGCTTCTCACTGGGGCAAAGGGTACTTCACTGTATTTTTGGTTCCTTCTATTTTGACGTGGTTTGAGTGTTCAGCTCTCCCCAGCAAGGCATGGGAAAAGGCTCTTTTCCTTGCCTTGGCTCTGAGACAAAATCCTTTCTTAGGATGATTATTATTGCTATTCACATTATCATTGCAGACGAGGCAGTGAAAATTCCCTACTTACTCTGCTGTCTCATTGGATCGCCTCCTCTGTCTGGGAATTCAGGCTTTCCATTTATAACTCCACTGGTTTATCGTAGGGTTGAAGCTGACCCCTCGCTCAACCGGACATGAAGACATCATTACTTAGAAACCAAGGACAAAGGGCACATTCCTGCCACCCAACGAACTACAGCTATGTTGCTGATCTCTTACCACCCAGGAGTGGTTACGATTATTCCAATGACAGTAAGACCAGGCAAAGGGGGAAATTCCAGGCCCCTAGGTTAAGCATCGCCACGAGACAACCCGCTTTAGTCTCCACTGCTCTTGTTTGCCTTTGCTCCCACCCACCCTTCTTTTCCTGAGCCTTCCAAATGCTACAGGTGCTGCTTGCATATGATCATAGTAATAGCTACACTCGTTTAGTGCTTACAAGCCAGGCACACCTACACAGCACAGCACCCCATTTTATGGAAGAGAAGGCTGATAAACCACTTGCCTGGATCACACAGTTCATTAATGATAGTGCTGGGACTTGAATCCAGGATTACAAACTAGTTCCAGCTGATCTAGAGTGCATTAGGGAACACTGCCTCTCTTACCTACAAGTGGCCTTGGTCCAGCCTGCTGAGCCCAGAGCTAAGCAGCTTCCCAGCTCTGATCCCAGTGACTAATACCAAGGCTTTCCCCATCCTGTGGGACTCTCAAGAACAGCTGAAAGGCGGTTGTGTCAATAAGCCCATCTCAAGATCTCGGATGAGCTCTATTCTAAGTCAGTCAGTTCCACATCGATGCAAGTTCCTTTCAAATACTCATGGGTTATTTTCTTATTTAATGAGGAGGTAAAGGGTGCCCAGGGCAAAATACATTCTGGGATTTGCCAGTTCAGGAACATTTGCTTATGGGATATATGACTGGTTTCGAATCTCAGCACACACAAGGTTGGCTCCTACATCTCTCCTTTCTGTCTCTCACAGCCTCGATGTTCACATAAGCTCAGAGCTCCCCCTATGATATGATTCAGACACAAGCAGCACAGGATTGAAATGTGAATTGCCAATTTAGAGAAGTCTGTAAGCTTCTTGTGCTGTGGCTGCCTTTGGTGGTTCTCATGATGGCTGTAGGTCCTTCTCAGAATAATGTTCTTAAATGGAAATAAAGGATTGCAAATAAAGCCAGTTATGTTGAAATATAGATATCAAAAATATTTAAAGACAATTTTGTAATACACAAATATGCATGCTTCTTTGATAATATGTTAAATAACAAAATCTAGTGGATTACCAGAATTTTGAAGTAGTATTGAAAGCAAACAATATTTTTGAGATATTTGCAACCATCTTAACGTGATAAGAAAATATCCATGGTTTCTAATGGTGGACAAAGTAACAGAAACTGCTAATGCTATTGTGGTGTGTTGTCTATACTTGCGAAGGAATACCGTGAGAAATTTCGGCTAGAAGCCTGTGATAATAAAGATCCAGTTATTCTCCAAGTTCATAAACCCTCTGGAATTCCATCTATAGACTTCATGAACCCCAGTTTAAGAAGGGAATGTTTGGGAAAACAAATGACACAGAGAGGGATGGGTCTGCCCCAGGCTGGAGGCAGCACTTGCTTTGAAGGAGGGCCCTCTGATTGTTGGGCTGTCCCTGGGATCCATCTGCAGAATCCTCCCAGATGTTCTGATTCTCAGAGTTGTTTCTATCTTCTCCCAGGATACCTCCAAGGACTGGGAGATTTTCTTAAGCATCCCCATAGTCAAAGTCATTATTATTAATTTGTTAGTAAAATTCCAAATGAGAAATGCTGCCGATTGCTCTGAGATCATTCTATCTGAGTGAAAGCTAGAGATGGTGAGATGATGAGAAGGTAGCCAGTCTGGGGAAACTGGGTTAGTTCTCTACGACAAGGAAACCACCAAGGCTGCCCAATAGTGGAAATGGTCTTCAGGGTTAGCCCCAGGATTGCTACAGTGTCCTGGGGTGGAGGGCCTTACATCGAGGAAAACCTGGAGGCAAGGAGCCAGGCTTCCCAGGGCTGTTGCAGATGAGGTGGGAACACCAGAACCACCATATCTGGGGAACTTTCCTGGAAGGCTACTTGGTCAATACTTTTAAAGCAGCTAATTTATAGGGCATTTCTGACCGAGTATCCATCATCTGTCTCTACAACCTGAATGCTGAGTTTGTCTGAGCTGACAACACACGTTAGGTTTGGAAGTTCTAAAATCATAATCGGGAAGAGGAAGATGGATCCTTGGGGAGCATCTCACTTGGTGGCCCTTAGCCTTTGGTTCAGGGACCTCTGAGAATCACAGGCAATGGCCTTTTAGCTCCTGACAAATGCCTGACACACATTCACATTTTATATATAATTTCAGGAACTTCAAGGACTCTTGGAAGCCTGATCTAACCTCCCTTCCTCCATTCAGAGATGACAAAACTGAGGACAGAGGAGTGAGGGACTTCCCACAACCACAGGCAGCCAGCTTGAGTGTGTCTGCTGCACAGTTCACAGCAGGTCCTGGAAGGCAGATGGCCATGGACGTGGAGACCTTGCAAAGGGCCACATCCCTGGAAATTGCTTCTCTTCTTTCACACACCTCAGTCCCCCTCCCCATCCCACGTGCTGCTGGGAAAAAGCACACGGGCCAGCTGGGAAGGAGGTTGCACCTTCCGTAGGTGATCCTTGGTGATGTGCCTCTGCCTTAGGACACCATCCATCTTACGTGCTGTAATGAGGACATTGCCCCCCACCCACTCCCAAGCAGGGCCCCCAAAGAGGCCAGTCATGTTATTTAAGGCTTTATCTCTACACAAATAATAAATGCAGAGATCACAGGCATGGGGAAGTTAATTAGTATTATTGTGTCTTTAATTCTAACATTGCTCACTGGCAGAGCCCTTTCGTGCCAGCCTTAAGCCAAGAACAACCTTTGTGATACTCACTTGGACAAACCCCTTGTGTATGTGATGAAAGAGGGATGGGGGAACACTGGGAATCTAACCAACCTATTAAGAGCCCAGTTTATCAGAAGAGGTCAGTACCGGGCTCCCAGAGGGGTGAAAAACATCAGCTGCAGACAGAGAGCAACTGAATGCTCCTTGCTACCACCTAAACACACAGATGGAATGCCTGCATGCCCTCTTGCTATCGTTCCAATCTTTTAGAAGCTATATTTGAATCCTAATACCATTGTCCAGGTACTGCTTTTTAGTCACCTCAATTGCAAGATTGTGCCTGTAAAGAAACAGGCAGCGTCACGTGTTAAAGCTTGCAAAGCCAAGTCCAAAAATAGCCATGCAAGCACCATGCAAGTTAGGGTTAGACTACACAGATGCTACAGGAAACAATTCACACCAGGACGACATCTGTCTTCCAGAGAACACAATCTACCATCAATAACTTGGACACAGAAAAGGATACAAGGGACACCCAGCCACTTGGGCAGAGTGTTGAACACGTGCTTAAGCTGACTTGACCATCACGTGGGTGGGGATGGGAACCAGGGGACCTGTGCCAAAGGAGAGCTGGTAATATTATGTCTTTTTTTTTTTTTTGAGACGGAGTCTCGCTCTGTCGCCCAGGCTGGAGTGCAGTGGCGGGATCTCGGCTCACTGCAAGCTCCGCCTCCCGGGTTCACGCCATTCTCCTGCCTCAGCCTCCCAAGTAGCTGGGACTACAGGCGCCCGCCACTACGCCCGGCTAATTTTTTGTATTTTTAGTAGAGACGGGGTTTCACCGTTTTAGCCGGGATGGTCTCGATCTCCTGACCTCGTGATCCGCCCGCCTCGGCCTCCCAAAGTGCTGGGATTACAGGCGTGAGCCACCGCGCCCGGCCATGTCTTTATTTATATTATTATGTCCCGCATCATGGCAGGCTCTCTGTAATGGGTGAAGGAAGCTCAATGTCACTTCCAGATGACTGTGCCATGTGACCATGGGCCAGTTACTTACGTCTCAGGGCTTGCATCCCTTCCTCACCAGTAAAATGAGAGATGGACTGGACAATCTCTACCACCCAGACAGCCTCACACTCCTAGGAGGCAGACCAAGAAAAAGCTGTTCTATCGGGAGCGTCAAGATCCTCCAATTCCTGTACACTTTTAACAACGTGCCTTCTTCCTTGTCCCCAGCCCCAGGGTGAGTAAAATTCTCAGGGTTAAAAGCTTTTTCCACTTATGCTAAAATGTGGAAGAGAAAACCGATAAAGGGATATGAACGGTTACTTAAGATTTCTCTAAAAGGCTGAAGGAGCTAAATAAAGGGTTCATGATTATTAGCCCGGGACAGCCTATCATCACCGTTACATGGACAAATTGTACTGCATGTCAGAGCACGCACAAGATGCACAATAATTTATCAGTCAGGACCCAGAAAATTGTACAGTACAAGTGCCTCTGCAGCTTGTGCCTCCCTGCCCTGCCACCCTCCCTCGGTTCTGTCAAAGGGACATTGCCAAGAGAGGCCCTTGATTTAGGACTTGGTTTAAAAAAGCACTTATCAAAACCAAAAAGGAACTGAAATATTTCTGTGACATTTATGAGTAAACAACAAAAAGAAAACAGTATTTTTCTCGCTGTTCTCCTTCCCTCCTGTGGTTTCTCACTATTCTCTAGGTAGTTTCCTAAATGCGACCACAAAAAAGAAACCTAAATTTGTGCAGTAAACATGGGATTGACCAGGAAGACACATGAAACTGACTACGGTGGCCTATTGGCAAAGAAAGGAAAGAAAAGAAAAGGAAAGAAAAAAAGAAGGAAAGAGAGAGAGGAAGGAAGGAAGGAAGGAAGGAAGGAAGGAAGGAAGGACCCAAATAAACAAACAAAAAGAACAAGGACAACCAAGCAATGGCCGAGAGCAATGAAGATTTAGTAGCCTGTGAAGTGGTGAGGGAACACTCTTCCCCCACGGGGAGTATTTTATCCCCGACCTTATTTAGAATGGCCAGGCCATGATGACAATACAAAGTAGACCATCTTTCTGTGAATTTTATGATTGTTTTTAAATTTCCCATAGACAACTGCTCCCCTCTTGCCCGCACAGGGTAGATGGCTCCCATGGGCCTGTGCTTGGTACACCCCGTAGACACTGGTTGGCATCTATGTGCTTACGTTTGATGATTTGAGGAATCATGGGTAATGAAGACAGGCGCTTTTGTGGCGGCACAGTCCAACCCTGTGATGTTCTAATGTAAAAACAGTTTTAAAAGACTGCAGATTGCAGAGGCCATAGAGGGGTGCTGGAATCTGGCATTCGAACCCATCCACATGCAGAGGCCCGTGCTTCCCTTAGGATGCCTGGAACTCTCCTGGAAGCTGTTCCTCTTTTTCTAGCTTGTGTTTCTGGGGCTGTTTCTACCTCTAGAATCTGCTCACAAGACCTAGCACTTCACTAATTCCCAAGTATTTACTCAGTTGTGGTTGTTAATCGTATTATTTCTAGACTTTATAATCATTATTACTGGAAGAAACTAAAGTCCAAAGAAGGGTATGGGAGTCCAGTGAGCTCCTGGCAGAAGAGAAGTCATGACTCGGCTCTGCGGGGGATCATACTCTTCACACTCACCCCAACCCTCTTCTAGGCTCAAGACCACCAGATTACTGCCAGATCACTTAGTAAGGCCAATTCACTCAGCTCTCATTCCCCAAAGCTTACGGGAGCACTCAGGCCTACCTTCTTTCACATTTTCCCACGTAGTAGAGACAGTGAATTCTCCCACAGGACACAGGGAGGCCTCGTGTGTTCTTCAGAAATCATGGAGAAGCAGAAGGAGCTCCAGGAGCCAGGCGGACTCACTTGGCATCCTTTCCCCTCCTCATTAGCTGTGTGAACTTGGGCCAGCCACAACATTCTTGTGAACCTCACTTTACTCAGCTGTGAAACGGGGATAATACGCCCCACCTTTTAAGTGAGCAGTGCAGACTGGAGGAGATAAAGAACATATAACGTGTGCTCAATGCTCAGTACCTGTGGCTGTGGTGAAGGAGGTATGGGGTGTTTCTTTAGTATTTCCTGGCTGTCTTCCCACAATCGAAATTGCAACGCGAACCATGCTGACAGCAAATAAAACAAAACCCTAAATCCCTCGACGTCAGGGGCCCAGCACACCTGTGATAGCCGCTGTAAGGCTAGGCTGGTCGGTGAGTTCCTTGAGGGCTGTGAGTAGGTCAGGGGTGCAGCGCTGTTGCAGCTGGGTGCATGTGGTGTTCGCCATGTTTGTCCTTGCACTGCATGAAAGCCCCTGAATCCTGGGCTTCGGCATGACAACATCACCTCTTAGGGCTCTGCTGAGAGTCCTCCCAGCTTGTGCTCACAAACAGAACGGGGGCCGGGAGAGGAGGGCATTGAGGCCACACACAGCCCTGCTCAGTGAAACCCACAGCTCATGCTGGTGTTTAAATGCTAACTATGGGCTCCCAGGACAGCCCATTTAATTTCTCCTTTTGTTGGCCGTGTCCCAGCCCTTCCTTCTCCTCCAGGCCCCTCCTCAAATACCACGCCAGCTGGGGAGCTGCCCCTCCCCTAATTATTACCCTGGGGCTGCCAAGATGCTGGCTCCACCCCCGCAGAGGATGGCGGCAGAGCACAGAACGTGACAACAGCAGCAGCAGGTGGCCCCAGCAGAAAAGGCCTGATCATGGTCCCTGCGATTCCTACCATTCCTGGCCAGCTAGTGGGCGTAGCGAGCATGCTTTGTGTGGCGCAGGGGTTCTGCATTCTTAGGGCACCACCATCTTTCACCCCATCTCTGTGAAGCAGGGAGGAGGTGGGGGGTTTTCTGTGCAGCAATGTATGCCTAAGACACACTCTTCTAGTCAAGAATGTAGGATTGCTTAGCCTAGAGCAGCAGAATCCCAGTTAAGGTTTCATGTTGGGGTTCTTGGGGTGGTCTTGCCCTCCACATAGCTCCCCAAGGGAAAGGGCTCCTGTGAGCAGAAATATACTGCAGCTCACAGCCCCCTAGCCTATTACAGAAAGGTAGGACAATCCTTGGGAAGCAAGCAAAGTTTGCCGCCAGCAGCTCCCAGAACCTTCCTTGCACATTTATTCGTCCACCTGTCCGCCTAAGCTGTGCATCCATCCGAACACCCACTCATCTTTGCTGAGAACCTAATGAGTGAGGGCTCTGTGCCACATGCTGGGGATACAAAGGTGGGTAAGACACCATCTCGGTGCTATTTGCCCCCCTCCTCAAGCACAGGTACTCAGGGGGCATCATCCAGTTGTAGTTTATGAGGACTCTGCAATAAGAAGAAGAATGGGCGCTTGTCCTCACATACAGAGGCTCAGAGTTTAGTGGCTTGCCCAAAGCCACACAGGAGGTCACAAAGCCATGACTCCGACCTGGACTTCTGATCTAGAGTGTCCTCCATGGCAGTGTGTTCTCTAATGGCAAAAACAGACCACTTCCCCAAGCAATGGCTGAGACTGAAGGGGCGACTCTGGCCTTGAGCATGGCTGCTCCTTCTACTGAGCAACCATGTCATTTCACTCAATGTTTCTCAAACACTTGTTAGTGCCAGGCCCTGTGCTGGGCACCAGCCAAACTGCCTGGGGCCCTGCTTGTCCTCTTCCCCTGTTTTGATTTGCTTGCTTCGTTGTTTGGTTCTTCTTGGACTGTTTCTAGGTTGGTTTAGTCTTTGATACTCCTCCCATGTGAGAAGGTCCTGACTGGTTTCATCCCAGGGAAGGAAGACAGCTCCCAATCAAGTGGTGTGGTCAACGTCTTCCACTTTGCCATGCAGAGAGCCTGAGTTACCAGTGAGCTCTGGGCAGAACCAGTGGGCTAAAGACTCTCCATGGATTATATCAACACTGTCAGAATTGTCAAGTTAGGCACTGTCTCTAACTCAATATGTTAAGATACATATACTAAGACAAGGACTTGATTTAACAACAGCAGCAATAATAAGCATCCTTAGGGTATGATGTATAAAGAAAAGAGACAGCGGCCTGGAAAACCCACAGGTGGCACTTCAATACTAACTATAAATGGGAAGTTGAAATACCTCGGAAAAGAAACATCTGATCATCAAGGAAGAGCTTTGTAAATCATAGAATGGTATCAGTGAGTGTAACGTTGGGGACCTCCAGGCTAACTCCTTCACTTGGTGTTCAGAGAGCTAAGACTTAAGAGTACTCCCAGTGCCACAGGAGCCGAAGGTGGGCCAGACCCAGGAAACGCATCTCCTGAGCCTCATGCCAGGCCTGTTCTGCTGAGCCACGACACCGGGCATCATTCACTGGGCATCATTCTCATCAGAACCCCAAGCAAGCCCTGCTTGTACCTTGCAGATCTCAGCCCAACCTGTCCCACTGAGGCAGCACAGGGAAGATGCCAGCCCTTCTTCTGCAGAGTCTCAACCATCCTGTCTCCTTGGCAGCCGCTCAGCACATGCACATCTGCTGCCCAGAGAGAAGGGCAGTGTGTGAGAAGTGCGCCCTGCACTGGGTTCATGTTCCAACCCTGACTTTCCCCAGCCTGCTGACCTTGAAAGAATCACTAATCCTGTCTCATTTTGTTCCCCATCTGAAAACTGGAGCAATAATCTTATCTCTGAAAGCTTTTGTAAAGATGAAGACGTAGACTGTCACTGGAAGCACCTTATTATTGATATTGCCCAGTTCCCAGACAACACTGCCAAGCTCTGAGGCTGTCCTGCCACAGATCCCGATGTGAAGCCACCCTGCTCTCCAATGAACCCAACTTCCAGTGCATGCATGCCTTTCAGAGTGAGGAAACGCGCTTCTGCCTCATTGTTTGCTTTCCCGGCTGTGCTGGTTGGATGCAGCAGGGATAATGTTGACTGGAGATGGTTTATTTGTCACCTAATGCTAATGTGTCATCCCTGCAGCAGTGGTTATCACCTACTATTAGTATTCTTTGTCTGCTGAGTGAATGGCTAAGGGGCCCTGAGCTGGAGTGGACAGAAGAGGGGAAGACAAACTGTGGAGTTAGGAGCTGCTATGTGGGTGTAAGCCAGCAGGGAGCCCTGACCGCTCTACCAATGCCTCAGAGTAGGAAAACCACCCTGGCTGAGTTCCCACCCTGAGGCCTGGCCCACGGAAGGCCAATGTGGCGTGGGCTGTGATATGCTATTGAGACAGGCAGAGGGTTGGTGGCCTTGAATGCCATGGCTGGAATATTGAGTTACGAACAATAACACCCAGTCCCCAGTCATGGGAAAATAAGCAGGGCTTAGGGAGGCCCCAATGGGAGCCACAAATAACACCAAAGCAGAAAATGGCAAAAACAATTGCCACCACAATAAAAAACCACATAGAACCAAAACTTATGGCCAAATTTCCCACATACTGCAATCAACAGTCCATTACTAAAAAATTCCAGCATACCAGGGAAGAATGACAGGACCAGAGGAAGGCAGAGAGATGAATCAGAAAAGGAAGAGAAGAAATAATGAGCACTGGTAAGTAAACGTGCACGTGGGAAGACTACTAGTCTACTGTCTACTAGTTGTGGGGCGGAAGAGGGTGCTGGGTTCTAGCACCAGAGGCCCAGCCCTGGCTAGCGGAGTTGTGATGTGGGCCAGGTCCCTTGACCACTGTGGCAACCAAGTTTCCTCATCTGTAAAATAAGGACTGGACCCAGTGATCTGTAAGGCCCCCGCTGGCTCTAGAATTCTAAGAAAAAGGAATTCGGAATATCCCTTGAAGGCTGGCATAACAAAGTTCGTCATGCACAAGAGAGGAAAAATGGGACTGAGCTTACTGATACTGGAGAAAAGCATGAGGTTTGACTTGCAGATCACCTTCAAGCCTAAGAAGGGTGGCAAATATCTTTTTTTAATCGCCACTAATGGAAAGGCAAAAGGAAAATGGGCTTGAAGAGGGTTTGTTAAGGCAGCTGGAGCAAACTCATAAATACGAATATAATTCTGTTGTTTCCCTTCTGAAATACTTTCAATGGTTCCCATATCTATCACTTAAAATCCAATCTCTCCCCTGGCTCACAAGCCCTACAGCTGCGGCCCCTGAATCCACGCCAAACTCCTGCCCCATTGCTCTGCCCAGTTCAGAGCGCTCCATGCTGGCCTCTGCATGCTGCCTGGGACACCCTCTCTCTAGCTTGTCCCAGGGCAGGCTCCTCAGGGCAGTCGGGCCTCAGTGTCACCTCAGGAGACCTCTGCCGACCACTCACTTTGCAGCCTCCCCCAAAACTCCCCATTGTATATTCATGTTCCTGACATTTTCTTTACTTATTATCTGTCTCCCCCATGAGAATGTAGGTGCCAGGAGAGGAGAAACCCCGTTCGTGTTATTCAGTGCTCAGGGTCTAGAACGGAGCCTGCCACATGGAGAAGCTCAGTGAGCATTTGCTGAATGAATGAGGGGTGACAAGTAAGTAATATAAGTAGAAAACATATGGATGTTTTCCCCAAGGAAGGCTGAAAGGCACTCAAATGAAGGGTTGGGGAAAATCATGGATCCTCCTTCGCTGAAAGTCTCTTTAAAGAACAACGAGATGCTTTCCTGTCAGTAACGATCCAGTTCCTTGTCACTTCTCCCGCCACAGACCAGACCAGGAATGTGCCGAGTGCCCCAGGCTGGCTGCCCACTTTGTGACATACAGAAGCCAACACCGTGCATTCCTTTGGATGGTGAGTCAAGGAGCTTCTCGGCACCGGACTTGCTGGCCTCTCCTGGGGCTGCCCCCGCATCCATCTGCTACCATTGCTAACGAGCCCCTGGCCTCTTAGGCCTGCCCAGGGAGCTGCCATTGCACTACTGGCATGTCCCCGGACCCCTGAGGCTGACAGGACTTCTCACCAGCCAGCCAGGCCAGATGGACAGGCCTCAAGGAACATGCCAGGGGGCAGGCTAACGGATGGATGGGCCTTGGAAAGGGAGGCGATAGGGATTGACCCTCAAACTATGTTTTAATCTGCTGAGAACATTAAAGTGATCCATTGCTTTATTTTTTCAGGTTGCCAAAAAAAAAAAGGGAATGCGGATTTATTTATTATTATTATTTTGGTAATGTGGAGGATGAAAGGCAGGCAGGCAGGATTAGGTGGGTTGTGGGAAAATGTAATATTTTCCAGTACTACATGTGTCCATCTCTCCTGGATTAACTGGAGATCAAAGAAGCCCCTGCTGGAGATCTGCCTGTGTCATAAGGTGCAACGAGTCAACCTGATGTTGCTATAGGAACCAGATTTCTCCCCAGCGTCATGGCAACAGACTCCGGTGTGTTAGGCGCACAGTCTGCTCACACTGACATAGTGAGCTCAGGAAGAGAGCAGCAAGGGGTGGGGAGATGTGGGGGAGGCTGTACACAGTTCTCTTCCTAAACCAATCAGCTGAAAGCTCAAATAAATGAGCCTTACTTTGAATGGAGATGACGACGGGAATTGTGCATCTTTGTTGGAATAACTGCAGGACACTGAGGACATCATCAAACTTGGGGGTCCCATCTGTGGTTGTCTACATCATATACTATCTGTTCTTATAACGAGGGGTTTCACTGAGGAAGACTCCTTCCAAGGTCCAGTAAAACAACAAATGATAAACAACCAACCAACAAAACAAAACCCAAAAGAGCTAATTATGGGCCATTCTGAAGTCCATGAGCAATATTCTATTTCCTTCATGAATTTCTAAGTGACAATGAACTTCCCCACCATCTAGGAACATCTAAGAGGGGAAGGAAGAAAATTGCAGCATCCGCTCCCCTTAGAGGCTTTTAATACTCAACATCAATTTCTTTGGCCTGGTGACAGAGCCCATCATCCAGGTAGAAATGTGGATCTGGAAAGAACGGCCTCCAGTCTGTGATTTAATTCCACAAGTTTCAACACTATTGTCCAAGAGTCCGAGATTAAAAAAAAAAAAAAAAAAAAAAGCCATATGTCATTTAGTATGTGCTTGCTTCCTGTGTGCCATATTTTTTTTCTAGGTCTCTGTACCATCGGGCTTAAGAATATCTCCTTATTTCTTGCTCTTGACCTAAGGAGATGGTTCTCAAAGTGTGATTCCTGGAGCACCAGTGGTAGCAGCAGCAACATCACTTGAGAGCTTGTCAGAAATGCAAATTCTCAGGTCCTCACCTGAGACCTGCGGAATCAGAAACTATGGAGGTGGGGTCCAGCACTGTTTTAACAAGCTCCTCAGGTGCTTGTGTTGTAAAGCAAAGGTTGAAAACCAATGGCCAAAGGAGTCTATGCCCCTTCAACGCCTTCTTTCTGCCCACCTGGGCCTCCAGTCAGTCAATGATGGGACTGCAGAAATCCTACGGCTGGGTCTTTTGATGCCTTCTATTCCAACTTCTGCCCGATGAAGCCTCTCATCTTCACTCCTCAAGGATGCTTTGTGTCCTGGTGAGCTCACCATTTTGCAAGATGAACACCTGACTACACCTTACATGGCTCTAAAACCTGCCTCTCCCTTTCACTCCTACCCAAAATCTAGTTCTGCTTCCTGAAGCTACTCAGAATTAGTCTGATTTTTCAGCCTCATGTAGCCCTTTATGTATGTGAAATCAGCTATTCCATTGCCCCTAAATATCCTTGTTTCCAGGTAAAACATCCCTAGATCCTTCTGCAGTTCCTTATGTAACAGTTTCCAGATGGTTCCCCTGGGGTCCCTCACTGAATGTGACCAACATGAGAGGAGGACACACCTTGCTTCTCTTTAAACTTGGAGAGCAGACGAGCCTGACTGTACAGAGCATAGGGACTGCCCCCTCCCCACCTGGACACCGCAGACTGCCACCAAGGCAACCCAGGTCAGCTTCGACTACAATCACAACACCAAGCCTGGGGCAGTGAAATCCCCCCGATCCTTTTCATAAATGCAATAGTTAAGTTAGTCCTCTTTCATTCCTATTTTTTGAGGCTGAGCCCATAACTTAGCATTTCTAATACTAAATTTATCTCATTAGTTTTGGCCCAGAATTTTTATTAAGATACTATTGAATTTATTTTTATACTGTACAAAAATGTGATACTATGCATATTTATTTTCCTTTTAAACTTTATTCAAATTCATATGCTGTCCATATATTTTATATCCTGCTATTAATGTGAAATGAGCATTTCAACTTGTTGGCTTCAAAAACATAAGTTTTATTAGCTCATCATATGAGTTATAACACATTTAAACATTCCCCTTTGATGTTAGGTTCTCTCCTCTTTTCTTGCTGTTATACATGAGCTGAAATGAACATCATTATACGTAAATATAAAACTTTGTCTAATTATTTTTCAGCCCAAATTCCTAGATGGAAAATTAGTGGTAATAGGGTATGAACATTTCAAAGACCTTGATATGCATTGCTAAATTGTTTCCAGAAAGGTTATAACTTTTTTCTATTTCTATCATAGTATATGAGAGCCCATTTTACCACACCTATTGCTAATGTATTTTTTTAATCTGTGTTACTTTATTAAGTGAAAAATAGCATCTTCTTTTAATTTATGTTTCTATTTTACTAGTGAGGCTGATTTTAAAAATCAAAATGTATTTACCAGTTTGTAGTTTATATTTTGTGAATAAATCTGTTCACGTCCTTTGCCAAATTTTCTAATGGGGATGTGTTTCTTTAATTGATTTCTAAGATCTCCTTATACAGCAGCAATATTGACCCCGTGTCTACCACTTTAATAAACATTTTCCCAGTGTGTGTTTGCCTTCCAAAATTTTCTGTAATTTTTCTGTGGGTAAAAGTTTTCTATTTTTATGAGTTGAATCTCAGTCTTTTCTTTTGTGCCTTCCTCCATTACTTTCATGTTTATAAAGTCTTCCATAATTCTGGAGGCAGTTAAATAGTCTTTTTCCCCCAAGTCTTATGGTTTATTTTCTTTCATTTAACTATTTGAATCCACCTGTAATTTGCTTTGTCTAAATGTATAAGATAGGTATGTAGGCTGGGCGTGGTGGCTCACACCTGTAATCCCAGCACTTTGGGAGGCCAAGGCGGGAGGATCACCTGAGGTCAGGAGTTCAAGACCAGCCTGGCCAACATGGTGAAACCCTGACTCTACTAAAAATACAAAAAAAAAATTAGCTGGTTGCAGTGGCATGTGCCTGTAATCCCAGCAACTCGGAAGGCTGAGGTAGGAGAATCGCTTGAACCCGGGAGGTGGGGGATGCAGTGAGCCAAGATTGCGCCACTGCACTCCAGCCTGGGCAACAGAGCGAGACTTTGTCTCAAAAAAAAAAAAAGGTATGTAAAGTTATTTTATTTCCAAATACTTACCAATCCAGTCCCTGCCCTCGCCCACCTTCCTTAAAACTTCTTTGCTTCCTTTACCATATAGTAGGTTCTCATGAGCCACAGATGCACTGCATATTAGTTTCATTTTTTAGAGAAGCACCTTAAAGTTATTTTTACCATACATAAATTGAGGGGAATTTTAAACTGGTTTTGTAAGGGAAAACAGATTTTGTTTTCTAGTACACAGTATATGCTACTTTGGAGACACATAGGAGGATGCAAATTTTCTTCTGCCTTTGACTGATGCATTATTTTATGGCTCTGGCCTTCTACTTTTAAAATGGTGCTGTTGAATACAAGGTTATTTTGGACACATTTATTTTTAAAAATTTTATTTTATGCCCCAACAAATATCATTACTAGAGGCTGTTTCCTGGTTGTTTGTTTCACACAGCTCTGTCCGTGGATTCCTTTACCCGCACCATTCTGTTCATCTGTAGGAATGCCGTCTCTTATCCTTTCCTCACTGTGCTCATGACATATCTTTCTTGGTAAATTTGGTCTGGTTATTTTTCCAGATAAATTCTAGAATTATTTTTCTAAGCACTCTCCTTTCCACTCCCCACCAAAACAACAAACAATGCCCAAACCAAAATATAAACAAAGAAAATACACCCTGGGCTGTTGATTAGGGTTCTTCTTAAACTCATGAATTAATTTGGAAAGATTTGGCATCTTCAGATATTCAATCTTTCCTATAGAAATACGACATGCTTTCATTTATTCTAACTGTTCTTCTATATCTTTTAGTTAAATTTAATTTTGTCATACAGTCCCATGTGTTTAGAATATTTTCCCTAAGCACATTTTAAAAGTTTTGTAATTGTTGTAAATAGGAATTCTTTTCCATTTTATTTTCCAGATGGTCATTTTTGGTACATAAAAACTACTGATTATTAAACTATTTATGTCATATCCAGTCACGTTTCTGGGGCCCTTTTATTAATGCTAACTATTTTCAGTTAGATTTTCTAGGACTATAATCACACCATTTGCAAATATTGATAATTTTCTCTCTTCCTTTCCACGTCCTGCTTTGTTGTAGCCCCTCGACCTTTCACAACGCTGACTGGCAATGGTTCTAGTGCACGTTCCTTTCTTGTTCTTGATTTTAAAGGAAATGCTTCCAGGACATCATCACTAAATGTTTGCTGTTAGTTTGAGATACATTCTTTATCATATTAGCTGTCATTCTATTCCTAGTATTTTAAGAGTTGTATTTAAAATGGATATTGAGTTTTATTGCATGCTGCATTTTTTAGTTGACTTACCAATGTGATATATTATAGTATTAAATTTCCCAGCATTGAATAGTCCTTGAATTCATTGGCTGTGTCTTACCTAACTGTGAATCCAATGGATTCAATTTTATTTCATTTTTCTTTTTTCATCTGTGTACATATATAAGATTATTCTAAGACTTTTTTGGTGACATCTTTGTCAAGATAATGCTAATTTTATTAAATAAATTTTTAACTTTAATGTTCTTCTGTATTTTGAAAAAAATTATCTAAAGTTGAAATTTATATTTTTCTAGAAAGTTACAATTAAGATTTTCAAATTTCTTAGCATACCACTATGAATAGCATTCATTCTCTTATGCTATTATGTTTCCTTATTAATTTTTGCTCTTTTTTATTTCTAAATTTCCAGAGGTAAATTAATTAAATTTTGTATTTTATAGCACCAGCTGCTTTATATTGTAAATCTATTCTGATACTGTTTCCTAATTAATTAATTAAACTTTTAGCCTTTTTGCAACACTTTGTTTTAGTGTCTCCTGTACAGAATATGGATACATTTTCTGTTTTAACCAACATCTGTAAGTCTTATACTTTTAATAATAAGAGTGTTTAACCCACTTACATATTTTAGCATAGTTAAACGTTCAACCCTACTTCTGTCATTTTGTTTTATGCTTCTGGATATCTGTGTGTTTACTTTCTCATTTTTTGTTTCATAGAGCAGGAGTCCCCAGTCCCCACAATGGCGGACCGGTACCGGTCCATGACCTGTTAGGAACCGGCTGTGCAGCAGGTGAGCTACAGGTGAGCAAGCATGACTCCCTGAGTTCTGCCTCCTCTCAGCATTAGATTCTCATAAGAGCTCGAGCACTATTGTGAACTGCGCATGTGAGAGATCTAGGTTGCATGCTCTTTATGAGAATCTAATGCCTGATGATCTGAGGTGGAACAGCTTCATCCCAAAACCCTGCCCCCATCCCTTCAGTCAGTGGAAAAATTATCTTCCATGAGACTGGTGTGATATGGTTTGGCTCTGTGTACCCACCCAAATCTCATCTCAAATTGGAATCCCCACATGTCGGTGGAGGGGCCTGGTGGGACATTACTGAATCATGGGGCGGACTTCCCCTTACTGTTCTCATGACAGTAAGTGAGTTCTCACAAGATCTAGTTGTTTGAAAGTGTGTAGCACTTTCCCCTTTGTGCATGCGCTCTCTCTCTGTCTCCCCTGCTTTGCTGTGATAAAACATGCCTGCTTCCCCTTTGCCTTCTGCCATGATTGTAAATTTCCTGAGGCTTCCAGGCCATGCTTCCTGTACAGCCTGTGGAACTGTGAGTCAATTAAACCTCTTTTCTTCATAAATTACTAAGTCTCAGGTAGTTCTTTATAACAGTGTGAGAACAGACTAATAAATGGTCCCTGCTGCCAAAAAGGTTGGGGACTGCTGTCATAGAGTATACTTTTGTTTTATCTTGAGTTTTTGAAAGTTGAAACCCGGATTTTTAACCTTTATACGTATTAAAAGCATTTGCAAATTAAACTTCTATAATTTACAAAGTTCAAAACAAAACTTTAACTCATGGTTCCCTTCATTAACACAAGTAAGTTTTAAAATACATGTAACACCTGCTTCCCTCCAGCACCCAATATTTCCTTGTCATTACCAATTTAGTCTTGTATTATATAGGCAATTTCTTATATTGTTATTTCTCAAAATATTATTTTTAAAACTAAATTCTAATTTTTATTTTGTAACTATAGTTAACATAGTTATTTTTATAAATAATACTAATAAAGTTGATAAGAGTTGTAATTTTGGGCACTTTACCTACATTTTCTATTTAATCCTCACAGAAATCACACCTGTTCAGTGAAGTTCAGAAAGGTTAAATAACTCTCGCACAGTCCCACAATTAGTAAGTGGCAGGGGTGAGGCTCATTTGCAGCTCCCAGAGCTTGTGCTCTTGCTCAGGATGCCTCAGCTCTATTTAATTGGTTTCAATTCACCATTGGTCCATTTTATACTATGCTGGGGTCCTGGATTTTCATTCATCTCAATCACTTGGAACATTAAAAATTAATTGATTCATTGTCTCTGGAGGAGGACATGTATGCTTTATTTTCTGAGACCTTGCATATTTTCATATGTCTTCATATTTTTCTGCCTGAATCACATCTTATTCAACAATCCAGCTCTTTGGGTCTGTCAGTGGATAGACACGTGGAGTGCAGGCCAGAAAAATGCCTCTCAATTCACCCATTCCCACTGGTAGGAATTCCACTTGCTCTTTAGCGCCCCTTGATTTACAATGTGATTGGAAGTTTCAAACTTGTTGGCATATTTATGGTACTTTATTTATATGTTCTTAGGAAGTATATCAAGCATATTTGGTCTCCTGTCATGTTAAATTAAAAACCAGCATGGATTTTAAAAATATTGTTTTCTATGCATTATTTATATGGCATTAGTCATCTCTCCCAACTTTGTGTCTTCAACAAATTCGTTAAGTTTCTATTTTGCAATTTCATGAAGGCCAGTGGTAGACATGCTGACTAGGCCTGAGCCCCATGACAATGAACTGAAGTCCTCCCTCCAAACTGACATCAATCTGTTAATCTGCATTTTTGGGCCAGTGTTGGCCTAACAATTATTAACATATTTCTCCATATTTTTCAAAAGAAATCATGATAGATGCCCCTCAGTGCCTTAATAAAATCAACACTATCTTCGGTATTCTTTTGATCTAAACCTAGTAGACCTACAATAAAAGAAAGTTCAGTTAATTTGCCATGTTCCTAAAATTACCGATTTCTTTTGAAAGCACACACACTATTGTTTAAAGAATATACCCTAAGAGTCTTCCAGGAATTAACATCGAGCTTACTCTCCTACAGCCTCCTAGCTGTAGAAAATCAAAATGTTTCGCTTCTCTGGCCCCTACACACGCTCCATAATTTCACAGAGATCACTGTCAGAAGCTTTAAGAAAGTATCAGGAGGTTCTTCCACTACTTGGGATAAAGCTGGACAAGAAAGACTGGAATGCTTTGTAAATGCATTGGGTCAATTCCTTTGTGGCAGCGTCTGCTGTTCTGTTTCTAGCCTGTAGGCCACTCACAGGCAGGGGCTGTTGCTTCCTCATTCTCCTTCTTGCCTTAAATTCACCGCAGAGGCCCATGTGGTATTCTCATTCTCTGCAAGCCCCTGCTTGTTCTACTCTTCTTGAACTACCTTCTTTTCAGAGACTCTCCTGGAATCACAAGATCGTTCTCTTCTTTGTGCTTCCTGAGGTGTCTGTGGCTGACCTCCGTGGGCTGAGTTCTGTACGGCAGTCTCTGCTTTCAGGACGAGGAGCCCCGAAATGACTGGTCTTTCTCCTCCATGATTTCCTCACCCCAACTAACTCTTCCTCTTTCTCGGAAGTGAGCCCAGCGTGGCCATCCCTAGAGCTGCTCCCACTTCTTGAGAGCTGGACCTCTCAGCAGCCCATGGCAAGAGTGTATTTAAACGTTCTGCTTTTAGCCGAGTGAAATTTCTAGCAGAAGATTGGGACTGTTGCCTCTGTACCTATTTTCTGAACGGTATTAAGAAGTCACATTTCCACAACATAACTTAAGTTCCTCTCTCTTTGTATCCTAAGTCTCTGCACTGGGCCGCCACACCGGGTTTACAGGTTTCTACAACAGTGTGGATTTCATAGATGTCTGGTCCACTCCCAGCCTCTCCCACTGGCACTGCACCTTTCAAACAAGGTGTGCACTTTTACTGCCACTGCCAGGTCTTAAAGTGAAAACCAACTCTCAGAGACGCCTGTAAAAATTGCATTTTCCCTATTGCATTCACATTTTAAATTTATTTCCTTTGTCCTTATAGGCATTCACCTAGAGACTGTCAAAATCATGCCAATAATGGAGAAAAAAAAGAGAACTAAAAGGAGAGTGTGGGCCTTCACTCCGGCCTCACCTCTCGTTTAGGTCTGAAGACTCACATCAGATGCAGTGGACCTTGGGGCTGGTCTGGGGCTGGGATGCTGACTGATGAGTTAGGCTGTCCTTGGAGAAGACCAGGGATCAGTCCACCCTCTCTGCTAAACTGGCACTCAAAGCTCTAAGGGCTGATCGTCACCAGGCACGAGGGGATGATGGCACTGGCCTCCTGGCCTGCAGGCCGGCCAGTAAGTTTGGACCACACCTGCTACTGTTGTTCAGGGGGTCTGCCTACTATTTGAACATCCCCAGCCTTCTCCCTTCCAAACTGTGCTTCACTGACAGGTCCAAGAAGAAGCAGAGGTATTCTTTACCGTCCCCCTACCCCAAACCTTAATACACACCATTATCCAGTCCAAGACACTCAAGGAAATCAAGACTCCAGAGGCTGTAAGAGATCTTCCAGGTTATGTTGCTAAACCTCCCACACACATATTGTGGCTATTCTTATACAGAGATCACCTTCAGGGGAAAGAAAGAAAAAAGCTCTAGAAAACAGGAAGCAGGAAGGGTGGGGAGAGGCAGAGGCTGGGGTGGGGTGGGCACTGTGGAAGCACTCCCCCACTGGGAACCCCAGCAAACTGGGGAAGGATTCAACAAGAACAGAAGAGAAAGACATCTGCAAACAGCGCCAGATAGCCACCTCTCCTCCGACAGCTGAAAGTGGTTTTGTGAGTACGGGTTGGTAACTTATTTGGAGTGGACTACCTAATTGGTTGAGCCAGGTCAAAATGATGTGGAGTTTCCAAAAGCAGGAATATAGAAATGATATGGAGAGGGGAAGAATGATCATTTTAGTGGTTTCCAAGATCCTCCTCAGTATATTATGAGATGAGACAAGGTGGGTTTCCAGGGAGAAGCAGGCCCCTGATCAGGAAGCCATCCAAGGTAGCTTGTCTCCTTACGGGGAACCTCCAAGAGCAGACAATGCTATGGTCAGCCAGGGAAAGGGCACAACTGGGACAAGAGGATGCAGGACTGGCTCTTGGGTGAGGGGAGTGTTCCTCTGGAGGGCCATACTGTGACCATGTGGGAGTGCAAGAGCTCACTCCTGATGGAAGGAGGCAGTTCAGCCCAGCTGCCTGATACCTACTCACCCCAGGCCATTATTGCATGTGACTAACAGCCTGTTACGGCCACTGGGAGGATTTTGATGAGGGAACTTCTTTTATGTAGAGATTTCCTTAGGGTGAGAAACCATCTTTTATCATCCAGTTCACACCTGGGTCAGAGGAAGGCTCTCCTGTGTCTGCCTGGCACAGCTGTCCTGATGCCCGCTGGGCCTAGAATCTGGGCTGGGCCATGTGTGCACCTGGGGCTGAGCCATCCCTCCCTGCTCTCTTTCCATTCTCCCTCATTACAGTCTGCAGCCACAGGAGAGAGAGGGCTGTAGGCCTGATCTGAGCCCTCGCAGAAAAAAATATTCTTAACTGTAAAACTCAGCTTTCTCCATCAAAACACTGAGTGCCTACTGTGCCTTCCACACTAAAGGAACGATCAGAACGGGGCTCTGCTTTCAGGAGGATTATGGTCCAGCTGGAGAGGACACACATGCACCCCAGCAGGAGAACAAGTGTTGTCTTGAACTGTGTGGTCTTGAAATAAGCTCAGTGCAATGTTGAGGATTAGCTAGACTAGGTTGGGTGGGTCTATGGGGGAGGAAGGACTTCCGCGTGCCACAAAAACATGTAGGATTCAGAAGGAGTAAAGGAGAAGGGAAGTATCCCGAGCCACAGGCCCACGTGAGTGAAGGCCAAGAAGTGCCAGTCTAAGATGGGATCCTTCAATCTCTGGCACTGTACACAGGCTTGGGATGCATTCCCAAGCCTGCATCACAGCATGAAGGCACACACAGGCTGCATACCTGGGCCCCATGCTACAACACTGGAGATGTCCCAGTGGCCTTCACGCCCCCTCAGAGCTGGGGCTACACCGTATGCCTCTGTATGTCCCCAGCGCATAGCACAGTGTCTGTGGCCAGGGGGACATACCATGTGCCTATGTACACACAGAGCCACTATTTTTAAGCACCAGCTGTGTGCTAGGTACTAAACAAGACACCTAATACATACGATGTCTAATGCCAATGAATGGCCTGCGGGGTGGAGATTATTACTCTAATTTACAAATTAGGAAATCCAGACTCAAGACAATCAGTTGATCAAGATCACAGTCGGTCTCAGGCAGAGCTCGACGTCACACTCCATCTGTCTCCAAAATCTCTCCTTTCCTGTGCTATGTTATAGCAAAAGTCTACTGCTCTGAGCAACTCAGCAGTGGCATTTGCTTATCAGGGCTACCCTTTGCCTTTGACCTTGGTTCTCACCATCTAAGCCAGCTCACCTGGAACTTATATGGATTCATTAGAATTTGGTGCAGCTGCATAAATAAAACAAAAGATAATAGTGGCTTTATTTTTCTCTCACATAAAAGATGTCTGAAGGGAGACAGTCCTGGGATGGGATGGCAGCCCCATGGTCATCCTGTCCCAGGCTTTCAGCTTTCTGCTTTGCCATCCTCAATGCTTGGCTTCCATCTTATGGTCCAAAGTGGCTGCTAGAACTCCAGCCATTACAACTGCACCCTGGGAAGGAGGGAGGGAGGCAGAAGGGAGGGAAGGAGAAATGAAGGGAGGAAGGGAGAAAGGAAAAAAGGATCCTTTCCTTACTTTTTTAAAGGAGGCTTCCTTAAATTATAGCCTACAGTAATTTAGTTTATCTCTATCATCGTCCAGAGCTCACCTGGCCATGCAGGACACTGGAAAGTCTATTACAGTCTAGGTAGCAATGTGCCCCAAATCAGGTTTAGTTACTAAGGAGGAAGGCTGGGATAGTCAGCTAGCAATTTTTCTTATACTAACATTTCATTATTATTTTTTAAGTGTCAGGGTGTGGCTGGTCCAAAAGGTTAGAAGCAAAATTAAAATTGATATTGGAGCTTTTTTTTTTTTTAAAGTACCACCGCAATCTGGAATTCAGCAAGAAACAAGCAAATAAGTGTGTGAAATAATGATCCCAGCCCCCCAACCTTCCTAGTCTCCCCATGAAAAATACTCGTTGATTCCAAGCTACACATTTAAAACATACACAAGACTGTTCTGAGGCCAAAGAACAGAATCTGTAGTTTGGTATGCTGCCACCAAGGGACCAGAGAGCTTGCGCATGGTCGTGTGTGGTGAACGGCAGGCCTACACACAAGCTGAGCTAGCTGGAGACGAGTGGATTCGTATATTTTTCCTCATCCTTCCCAACTTCCCTAGGATAAGTTATGCAAAGAAAAAAAAAACATTGAATTTAAAATACTTCACTACGAAATATTACACTGAATCTACTTTATACTCTTCGAGCATTGCAATTCTTCAAACAGCCAGTAGAGACAGAAAGGTAGAGCTGGATGGACCTCAGAGACTGTCCAGTCCGGGTGTCTCCTTTTCCAGAGAAAGAAACTGCAACGGGGAGAGGTAAAATGACCTGCTCAAGCTCAAGGCAGATACATCTCTTGACTCCCAAGCTCATTCCATTCTAGCCCCTGTGGGGCAGCGGTGGTGTCTGAGGGACCCGTTGGAAAACTCCACAGAACTGTGACCTAAGACTTCAGTGACTGCTGGTGAAGTCCAGATAAAAACATGGAATGAGCATTTTTCCCAGCACCCTTGTCATTAGGGAGAGACGCAGGGGTTCTTCAGAGCTGTAGGGCAGCTTTGATGCCCCAGCGTCCATTCCAAGTGACCCAGCAGGGATGCTGGACGGAGCCACCAGGGCAGGTGTGGCCTGGGCTCCTGAGCAGCTCCCGGGCAGTGGAAGATCTAGCGGGATGCTGCAGGCAGCAACCTGAGGAATCCGGGGGAGGCATTTCCTCTTTCCTCACATCACCAGCCTCTTGGTTCTCAATGAGTTAGTTCTGCATTTGTCCTGGTGGGGTGGGGTGTGTGTGTGTGTGTGTGGGGTGGGGGGGTGGGGGGGGGTGGGGTGTGTTTGTGTGTGTTTTAAGAATACAGACACCTGGACTTTCCTCCCAGAAACTCTAAACCAGGAGGTCTGGATAGGGCCCACGAAATTGTATTTTTTACTACGTGTCCCTGGAGATGCTGAGGCAGCCATCTCGCTACTATCTGAGGACAAGCGATCGGGAAGCTGTGCACTGGATGACTTACAGAAATCCCTACCACCGTCCCAGTGCTGCTCTCGTCTGGGAAGACTGCTTGGTGGAAGAGCTTGTGATCCATCCTGCCTTGCTATAATTAACAGACCCTGTGATAAGGAGTTCTTCCTGTAGCCTCAGGCTCCCCTACCTCCCACTTTAAGTGTCTTTTCTTCCCTGGTAGTGGGAAGCCAGTCTCCATGTCCTAACCCTCCACAAACTGGAAGCCTATTACTAGGTCACCTGTCAGCCTCTCTGTCCCAGTTAAATCATCTCCATTCCCCTCACCATTCATCCATGCTCCTATTTTCCAACCCATCAATCATTTCCCCGCTTTTCTCTAAATGCTCTCCAAGTTCTCTCCAGTCCCCAAGTTGTCTTTGTTCCTAATTCTTCCCTTGAACAGTTTGTGTCTTGTGAGATTTAAAAAAAAAAAAAAAAATCCTGCTCCAAAAGGATTCGAAGGCTATTTTGACAAGATTAATTTAAGAAACCTCCCTGCAGCATCACAGCAATCCGGGAAAGAGGGCAGGTTGCATAAGAAAGTCTAAGGAAGGTAGTACAATAAATACTCCATTGTCTCCTTGGTAACACACCCCAAAAGTTTTCTGGATGCTCACATAGGCAGGAAGGTGAGTCTATGGGCTGAAGGTCCACCCACTGGCTCACTGGAAAGCCAGGAAGGACGGCTTAGCTTTCCCTCCATTCACGTGGTAGAGATCAGGGCAAGCTGAGACTACCCGAAGGACCGAGCAAGTGGGAGGAAACAGAATCGAATGTGGGAACCAGAGAGCAAAGGGAAGGAGTGTAGGAGATGGGTGGGTCATCACTGACCCCTGCTGACAATGGTATCTGTTTAAACCATAAGCAGAAATTCACTTTTGAGAAGATTTTTAAGGAAGGCAAAAAGCTTTCTCATGGGGATGATATGAAAAATCAGCCAGGAGAGGTGGAAGGAGAAAGAAGGGAAGTAAGACCAAGAGCAGAACAAAGAGAGACAAAGTTCAGTGGCTGCTGCAGACCTATTTTCTACAAAGAGCAGAAGGAAAGGGAGAAGGCAGCAGAGGGAAGAGAGGGCAGTGGAAGAGGCACAGAAATGGAGTAAGAATCTGCCTTCCCAGTCTCGGGGGCCCAGAAGAACACTGACTGCACCTCCAGTGAGGACAGTGACTGTAGGCTTTGCTGGAAACTTGGGAAAGTGGGCACCAGTTTCTAAATATTTCCCAAGAGGTGATCTCACAGAACAGCCATGTGGGCGTGCGCACTGTTCTCTCACCCACAAACTGCCCACCGCTTGCGGTTAACCTGGATTGTGCAGTTTCCAGAAAGCCTAGTGCACTTAGAAACTCGTCATTTAGCACTTCTCCTTTCTTTCAAGTCCTTTCTTATATGATAATTTTTGTCTTCCCAACAGAATTGGCATTTATTAGTCGTAAATTCCTAACACTACGGCCACTGACTTTAGAGAGTATAGTTAATTCCTGTTACTGCCACTTACTAGGTGTGGCCCAGAGGAAGTCTGTAAATCTTAGCCTCAATCTCTTGGTCCAATAAATGGAAAGGGTTGTAATGAGATTTTAAAGAGATGATGTAATTACATGCCAAGAAACATTTGCTGAATATGAATGCCTCTATCTCTTTCTGCACTGGATATGCTGAAGATGACAAAGAGACACACACACACACACACACACACACACACACACACACACACACACACACACACACAGGAGGACGCCGCTTCTTTTAGGCCAGCCTGGTGGCAGATGGGCTGGGGTGGACACACCCTCCCGGAGAACGGCACCTCCTTCTTCCATCCTATGCTGAGGTCAGGCATTTCCTTTGGAAAACCCCTCTGAGGCCTCCATAGCTGATGAGATAAGGAATCATCAGTAACTTTTCCTCAAATGGTGAACATGTTGGGTAAGAACACTTTAGATACGATTATGATAAATTACCAGTGGGGAAGGGCTGTATGTTTTGTTGCGATTTTTTTTTTTTTTTTTTTTTGAGACTGAGTTTCACTCTTGTTGCCCAGCTGGAGAGCAATGGCATGATCTCAGCTCACTGTAACCTCCACCTCCTGGGTTCAAGCTATTCTCCTGCCTCAGGCTCCTGAGTAGCTGGGATTACAGGCACCCTCCACCATGCCTGGCTAATTTTTGTATTTTTAGTAGAGACGGGGTTTCCGCATGTTGGCCAGGCTGGTCTCGAACTGCTGACCTGAGATGATCCACCCGCCTCAGCCTCCCAAAGTGCTGGGATTACAGGTGTGAACCACTGTGCCTGGCCGATTCCTTTTTTTTTTTTTTTTTTAAGGAAAAAAAACCCAAACAAATAAAAAACAAGCAGACTAAAGCCCTTCTCCACCCTTTGGTTCAATCCTAAACCCTGGCCCAATAGCTAATTTTGTTGGTTAGCCTCTTTGTTCACTAATTAGCAATTATGAACAGCTAGAGAGAGGATTACTCACCTTGAGAAGAGGGAATTGTGGGCTCAAGAGGGATGTCACTTAGGGAGAAAAGAAGAACCTCTCCAGATACAAGATGAACCAAACAAAACATGCCCCAAATTAGATACATCTTTAAGAAGGCCAAGAAAAGAAAACACAGCTCTGTTTGCCTCCACATGGCCAACATGCCACCCCCTGGTTTCTGGGTAGCTCCACTCTCTAGTACCTACTTTCATCAGGAAACAGAGATGCCAGCTTCCTTGGAGCAAGGTGATTCTCTTGTAATTTTAGACCTACTTGAAACCAGGGCGTGCAGCTGGGGAACAGCAGGTTGTTCTGGGTGGAACAGAAAATCCAATCTTGGAAAGAAGGAAAGCCTCACTTCTAATCTTGTCCAGTTTTGGTTCTCATCAATGAGTGACACATAAAAAGCCCAGAGATGACTGCGCATATTGCAAGCATAGCTTAAAAACACCCAGGCAAAGCAGGCTTGAGTTTCAAGACCCCATGGAGGATGGAAGGATGGGCAGAGGCTGCATTTTTGAGAAGTGGACAGAAAGGATGCTGCAGCACTCTAGAACGGCCAAGGCATGGACTCTGAGTTTGAAACCGGTCATTATTGCATACTAGCTGTGTGACCCTGGGCAAGCAACACAATCTCTCTGTGCCCCAGCGGCCTCATCTGTGGAATGGGAATGCAGGTGGAGGGGAGGGGAGCAATGCATATAGAGCACTTAGTATATTTGGGGAGAGGCACGTAAGCTGACCAAGTCCAGCCCCTGCCTGGACGCAGGGAAGAATTTCTATTCCCCTTTACAGAGGAGGGCAAGCCCACAGGTCAGGGTCAGACAGCTAGCGCTGGTGAAGGGGCTGGCCACACAGAGGTCATCTGCCTCTTCAGGTCATGTTTTTTCTGCCTCACCAGAGTGCTCACACAAACAGTGTGCCCCTAATGCACTGCTGGTGTGACAGGCTCTGCTCCCACAGCCTTGGGGCCAAGGGCAGCGCCTGAGCCAGCCGCCTGCCTGCCCCCTTTCCTGGGCATACAGTTCAGATGGGAGCATCTTCTCTGTGGGTTCCAATGTGAGAACACTGAGGAGCTCAGCTCCATACCACACTGCCTCTCAGTATAGACTCTGGACAGTCCTGCACTTTTCCAACCTTCCTCAACAGACAGTTGGGGCAGTGGCTGTTTTTGGCCCCATCACTTTTGAGACAAGAAGGTCAGAGAGTTACTTGTGTCATTAAGATGCACAATAAATGAGAAGTGTCTGAAACCACTCAAGGCCACAGCTTGCAAGCATTTTCAATTTTCACTCTCATCCCTAAGTCCCCAGTCTAGGTCACGGAGGCCACTTCTTGATTGTGAAGCAAAGGAAAGACTAAGCTACTGCACCAGGTAATTGGTGCATTTGCCTAACGATCTGCAGGGCAGCTTAGGTTCAATTCGATTTGATTCCATTTAACTAAATGAATTCAATTCAGCCCCATTTATTGAGTGTCCAACTAAATGCAATGTCTCACCCTGGTTCCTGGGGGTTGCGGGCCTGGAGGAGAGGGTTGGGGCAAGATGCAAGCAGCTGTGTCCTGCCCTCTGGGAGCTCCCAGGAAGGAGCTGAACAGACACGGAGGCTTGTAGATCTCTCAGCTCAGCACTGCTGACTTATTGGGCTGGATCATTCTCTGGGGTGGGGCTGTCCCATCTACTGTAGGCTCTTCAGCAGCATCCCCGGCCTCTACCCGCTAGATGCCAGTAGCTCCCCTTTCAGTTGTGAAAACCAAATCTGTCTCCACACACTGCCAAATGTCCCCAGGTGGTAAAATCGCCCCCATTGCAAGCCATAGCTGTAATAGGAAGTTAAATATAATTTTCCATAAAAGAGGTATAAACCAAGTGTCAGGTGGGCCAAGAAACAGGTGACCAGGGCAGTCTTAGTAGACAAAGTGACATTTGGGCTGGGCCTAACAGAGTCAGTAGGGTTTTGACAAGTCTCATTTCTATCTCATAAGGAAAAAATACAGCAGCAGGAAATATGAGGACCCAGTGTCAAGGGACTTGGCATAACCTGCAGGCTACAGTGAACTTCTGAAAATACTGAACCACGGTGGCACCCACCAACCGAAATGAGTCCAGGGAGCAGCCTTCCACTGAGGAAATGTGGGGGGGTGGGAGGTCCTGGATGGGGGATGGGCACTCAGGGACACAGGACAGCTGAAGTTTCTCAATATTTAACAACTGATGTGGCCATGCAGCCACATGTCAGTGAACATCAGCCAGCTTCTCCCCCTCCGGAGGAGGGCAGATCCCAAAGTTTAATCCACTCTTGGTCTTAAGTGAAAGCTTAATCAGCTCTGACCTGGCAATGTTGGAAAACCCTTTTCTATGCAATAGTTCACACTGACGGTGTGTGCGGTAGAAGGTAAGCATGATAAATACCCGGGGAAGCGGGCAGAGTTGGTTTTGCTGCAGTAGGTTTAATATCCAACCTTACACAATGTTACGCCTCCTTCTTCAGCCCTCCACCCCACCCCACACCCAGACCCATCCTCACACCTGCACCTCCAGGATTTGGCTTCATTTCACTCAGGTCGCTCAGCCTGCCCAAGTGCACACCTGGGTAATGTAAATTTCCTCACCAAAATGGAATCTAAAGCTGCGGGGAAACGACCAGCTCTGAAATGGTTACTCCAGCTAAGCCTGGAAGGTGGAGAGCAGCCCAGGGAAACGAGAATGGAACCAGAAGTCAAGGCCAGTCTTGCCGTGTCTGGAGAAGGCAAAAGCAGGTGTCAGGCCCAAGTGACATGCAGGATTCTCTTGCCATGCTCAGAAAAGCCAAATTACAAGCCAGTCTGTGGTCAGGAGTGTCTGGGCTCTCCCTGGAGGCCAGGAGAAAGGATGGACTCCGTTCCTGGGCTCTCCCAACCAGAAGCACGCACTTCTTACAAGCATAGCTAGGAGAGCATGCATGCGGAAAGGCATTTTCCCTCTCTTGGGTCTCAAAGATGGAATTCAATTCAGCTGCTGGTGAGGTTCTCCGTCCCCTTCTCAACAGTCTCCTGTTCCTCCCGGCGTTTCCCTACAGGCTGCAGTCATAGCTGCAGCCCTGGCTAGCTGTGTTTTCGCTCCTCTAAAGAAAGATTTGGCTTATCACCACTCCAAGCAGGTGGCTGCAGAGCGACCTAGAGGCGCCAGAGGAAACACAAGCTGTGTGCGTGGCTTTCTGCTCTGTGTTTCCTGCTCTGCAGGGCTTCTGTGACAGGCTTAGGCAAGAGAGCCAGGTGAGGGTGCGAGGACAGAGGGACTCGGGCAGCCTAACTGTGCGGGGCCCACATGAAAGGCGGGGCTTCCACTGGGTTAAGGGGTTCTGGAAAAACAGACTCCATCCAGTCCTTCCCGACAGCCCCCACTCCATCCCCATCAGCATTTCAGAGCAACCTCCCAGCTCTGCCACTTTCACCCAGCTCCCGGGACCCTGCAGTGGTCGCTGGGCAGGCATTTGTCTCCAGATTCTCCTTCCTCTAACCTGTGTGAACACAGTGGCCAGATTAATCACACCCAAACATGACTAGCGTCTCATCCTGCCACACACAGAAGGCCCACTGCTGATGGCAGGACAGTGCAGCACCACAGCCCAGCATTCGGGACCAGAAGGTGTGCTCCCAGCCGCCCTGATCTCCTTCCCCTGCCTCTCCCCACACAGCTCTGCCTCAGCCAAGCCATCTCATCAGAATCCCACAAACAGGCTCTGGCCATCTCAGCCCTGGGCCTGCACTGTCTCTCCCACCCCCAGACAGCCTCCCCTTCAAATCTCCTCTAGATTGAGGCACGGGTCATGCTCCACTTCCTCCAGGAAGCCCTCCAAACTGGAGTATTCTCCCTGAGCCCCAACACAATGGGGGGCACTTGGCAAATCCAAGGGCAGAGGCTGCTGACCCGTCTCCTCCATGGGGCCCTTCGGACCTTGACTTGATGGAAGCAGACCCTCCACGTCTCCCTCTCCACCTCCTGCTGCAGGGAGCCCCAGGGCTCCAAGAGGCAAACTAAGTGCTCTTCTTCCCAGCCCAGGTGCTGAGCGCGGCAGCGCCGCCTGTTAGGACAGTCTTCCAAGGCAGCAGCATAGAAGCGCTCCTGGCATGGGACAGGTAGGGAGGATAAGAGCACGGCCAGGGGGACAAGGTTGTCCCCATGGGCTTCAGAATTTCCCAGCACCAGGGGGGGCTCACTCTGCTGTGTGAGTCAGGCCTTGGAGACTTGCAGGGTGGGTGAGAACTTCTGCATAGGCCAGCATCTCTCCCTGTGGAAATTCTACCCACCTGCCAGACTCAGCCTGAGGCCACTTTCTCCAGGACAACAGCCCCCAGCATCCCAACCAGAGTGACGTGGCCTTCCTCTAAACTCCCTCCCACCTGACCTGCTTCGGTGCCAATTCCACAGGTGACCTCGCCCCAGCACCCAGAACACTGCCTTGCACGTGGAGCGCTCAACCAAGATTACTTTAAGGACAAGATTCCTTAAAATAACAATCCCCCCTTTTCTTCCACAATAACAATCCATCAGTCCCTTGTGTGTATGCTTCATAAGTTGAAACTGCATTTGTCTTGCAGAGTCTGATTTGGTCCTCGCCACTGCTCTGAGAAAGTCAGTGTGACATCATTATCCAGTCTTACAGATTGGCAACACTGGAGGTCAAAGGGGCCTTTTCAGATCCTATATCACAACAAAGAGGTAGGTCAGGGTTAGTCCTGAACTCATTTTTCTTTGCCAGACACTCAACGGTCCACAGAGTCTATTTCCCCCAACAAGTAATGCAGTGCTAATTCAGCATCCTTGGGGGTAACCAGCATCTCCCCACCAAGAGGTATGTCAGGGTTAGTCCTGAACTCATTTTTCTTTGCCAGACACTCAACGGTCCACAGAGTCTATTTCCCCCAACAAATAATGCAGTGCTAATTTCAGCATCCTTGGGGGTAACCAGCATCTCCCCACCAAGATAAAGAAAGGAGGCCATTACTGGAAAAGGCGGGATGACAGCAGCGACACAGAATTCACCTGGCATGTCTTGTGAAGGTCTTCAAACCCGACCACGTTTCCCCAAATCTTCCTGCAACCCACACACATCAAATGCAGGCAGCTTATTTTGTATGATTGATGAAGACTTTTTTTAGCATAAGAATTTAATTACAGGGTAACTGTATTTTCAGAGGGCCTGTCAATTGAGGTCTCACCATACAGACCTTCTGACAACCTTAGGCAGCCTAGGAGACCTCGTCAAATGAGCAGGAGAGTGGGAGAAGAAAGTAATGTCTTCAAGTCGGTGCCTCTGCCAAGGCCCACAGTGCAGGTCTGGGACATTAGGTGAGCATCTCACCTGATGATGCTCTAGACTGTCTGTCTTCACACCAAGCTGCTACAGAACAAACTGGAAACAGAGAAAGGGAATTTTTGTGGCTCTAGGGACAGGGTGATTGTGCTGCATTTTGGGTGAAAGCCTGACGTTTCAACCAACACATTTCTGAGTCAGGACACAGATAACAGGGCAGGTTACTAAGGTCTTCTGCACTGGGCAGACAGAAAACCTGACAAGACCGGAATCCTGGCTTTGTCCTCAGGACTTTCCAGAGCCTGGGGATGTCTCTTCCTTGCTCCCGTCTCCTTGTTGGGTAATTTCCAGACCCACGGTGTGCAGAAGAGGTGGTGGGCATGTATTTAGGGGTAGGGGTAGGGAAAGGGGCAGCCCAAGGAAGCACCTGCAGAACCCACATGGGAGGAAACACGCTCTCATGACCCTAAGCCAGGACACAGGCGTGCAATGCTGTTTTCCCTTCTGCAGCATGGCAGACACCAACCAAATGAGAAGATCACTGCAGACACACCCTGGGGAAGGACAAGTGGGAAAGACCTTAGAAATAACCCATCCCTCCACTGCCAGCCACGCCCTGGACCCTAAGGTCCCTCAACTCCTGCATCAGCCACCCTTGAGGAGAGGAAGGACAGAAGGGTGGGGCAGGCCCTATGCCACCCATTGCTGACAGGGCAACTGAGGAAACCAGACCACCTCCAGGGCCAGGAAGTGGCCTTGGGGACCGCTGCCTTGTTTATTCCAGGCCGCTTCAGCAGAGGCCAGGTGAAGGGAGATGGTTTTGCTTCAGCCAATGGCCATCGGAGGCTGGGGTGGGGGCTGCTCTCTGAGCACTGGGCAAGGCAGAATTAGAACAGCAGATCAACCCAGGCGATTTCGGCCACCTTCGCCCCAGGGGACATTTGGCAGTATCTGGAGACATTTTTGGTCATCACAGCTGGGGGTACGGCGTGACTGCTACTGGTACCCAGTGGGTAGAGGCCAGGGATACTGCTAAACATCCTACCATGCACAGGCCAGCCCCAGACAAGAAAGAATTATCCATCCCCAAATGTCAATAGGGCCAAGGCCAAGAAACTTCCATTAGAGTATCTGAAACAGTTCACTCAGAAATTGCCTTCAGAAGGGGCCCGAGGGAACAGACCAGAGGGCCTGGCTAGGGCCAGTGGCTGGAGCTGCTCCAGGGCAGCCTTCGGCTTGAGTTTATGAACAAGAACTTTCTATCAACTAGATGGACATCCAAGGGCTTCTCCATCATCCTTGCTTGATTCGACAGGTCCTGCCAAGAAGGCTACAAAGGACTCCTGAGTCAGGTGGAAGAATAAACAGGGTGACCTCCAGGGTCCTTCCAACCTGAAGACTCTGGTGTCCTGCGACATGGGGAGGTGCCTGCGAAAGGGGGCAGAGCTCAGCAATTGTCCAGGGGAAAGGGCTTGGAAAAAAGAGGACTCCATTCAGGCCAATGGCAGCTGAGCCGCCGAGCCTGAAGACAGCCTCTGCTGCCCATATGAGGGGGTGACCAGCCATTCATCATCCAGGCATTCGGGCTCTTCAGTTCATGGGCATCAATGGCCCCGCAGCCCAGCACACTTCCTCTTCTGTTTGCCATCATTGTGGACACATTCAGGCCCCATTGCCCCCTTGATCTTTCTCTTTCTGCTACTTAAAAGGCTTAGAGATGAAAGAGACAGATTCTGGAGCCAGACTGTCTGGCTGAAATCAAAGCAACATCACTATTTGTGTGTGCTTGGGCAAGTTATATGACTGTTTACTACCTCAACTTCCTCATCTGTAAAATGGGAGAGTCACAGTCTCCTACCTAACAAGGCTGCTAGGAAGTAAAGGCTTCAGCAGCATCTGGCCCATGACCACCCCTCACTCAGTGTTGATAATCACTCATCTCATCACAACCCACCCCTGGGGAAGGTCCAGTCAGGGACTCCTCTCTGCTTTGGATCTTCACCTGATGGAGGTGAGGTGGGGTCTCTGGTCTCACACTAGTGTTGTGAGAGAAGGCACGAACAGCAAGAAGGAATTCCTTATAGGCCCCCCAAAAGGAGGTTACTAGAAGATCACCTTCTCACTAGACAGTGAACAAACATGACTCCTAAGAGGGGTGTCATAGCCAAAAACCCAAAAAGGAATTCTGAAACCTTTCGTGAATGCTGGGGCCACCCCTTTGTCCTGGCTCCATTTCTTTCTCTGACTGTCTCTGCAACCACATCTACACATACTGATCCATGGAAAACGACTCTTCTTTCCTCCCCAAGACTAAGTAAATCACAAATTTCAAAACTCCTAGTCAGATTGCAATCTTTCCTGAGCACCTAGTACATGGAGAGCCCCTTTCGGAGGGTGCTGTGTGCCAGACACTGTGCAAGGTGCGTTCCTCCCATACAACCATCCTATCCCCATTCTGCAGATGAAGAAACAGAGGCTCAGAGAACTCACGTAGCTCCAGACTCGCAAGAGCTCCTGGTTTAAAGCCAGATCCGTGGGACCACTGCAGAGCTCTTCCTACCCTCTGCAGTACCTTCCTCCTGAGTCCAGACACCACCTTTCACACCCATGGCAATGCCAAGCAGGGGCTAAAATTCCAGAGGGGAGGAGGGCAGGGGGCAGACGTGGGAGCTCTTCTCTGCTTTGCATGCTGCGCCCCTACTCAAAATGCCCCCAGGCTGGCAGAGGCAAGCATCTGCTTGTAAAATGTTTATTTCACCTGAGCCCTTCCATTTTTCTTCTTAACTTTAAAAAAAACGATGATTCCAATTGAGACAGTACTAGAGAATCTCCCTGCGAGTCTGTTGAAATTCCATACCCAGTTAGAACCCCACCCAAACTGCTCTATGTCCCAACGCTGCCAGGGGCCACTTTCCACACCAAGGTTCCACTCACACAGGACCATGGGACTTCATGCTGGCCACATCTCAGTCCTAACGGTGTTTGTATTGTATTCTACCCTTCTGACGTTTTCCAGTCCATGGGAACATGCTATTAGAGCAGACCCCTCCCGTGACCTTGGTGTAGTGCTGAATGCCATCAGTAGAGCAGGTCACCATCCTCTATTAGGCCTCAGTTTCCCCATGTTATAGATGAAGGGGCTGGATAAGATAACCCACAGTCTTTTCTGGCACCACCGTCCTTCAATTCAGTGTGTTTTGGGTGACAGCCATTTTCTTCACCATTCTGGGCTAACTGAACTCCAAAGTATCATACCAGTTAGCCAGTCGATGCCTGCCTCTAAGAGGAATTCCATTAAGGAGGACTTTAGGAATTGGGTTCACTTTGAAGGAGGCTTTTTCCTGCCGGGCTCTGAATGCTGACATGACGGGTAACATCCAACAGCCCCACCCTGTGTCTGGGAAGTCCAGCCATGAGCAAGCTTGAAGCTACTCTCCCATGCCACCCAGTTCCCGAGGAAGGAACCTTTCCCCCGAGACATTCCCAGCTCCTTCTCCAGGGCGCCCCACACTCTGGGTCCCTCTGGGAGAAATCTTAAAGTGTGGCAGCAGACGGAAGCATGAGTTTATATTCAGCATGCCAAACATTCTCTGGACGGCTTCTAAACATAACCAGGCCTTAATATAGTGTCTCTTCTTGTGCCGACGACTTGAAATCCTTGCCCACCCGGCGTATGAGCCCATTCCCTCGGGGAGACTATTTGTAGCCCTAAACCAGGTGCTGTGGCTCAGCGAGAAGACACCATACACGCCAACGGGAAAGGGGGTTCTTACATATGCCAATCACCTCCACGTTTGGATTGACTAAGTTGCTAAGAAGCCGCGTGACTCAGTCGTGGGCCGGGAGCTCTTGGGAAGTCCCCCGCACATAGGATCCAAAGGGTCTAGATCCTCAGGGCCAGCACTCAGGACGGCCTGTCCTGGCCCTGCAGTGGGGGAGGGGCTGCAGACCTGCCCCCCTTCCGGTGAGCAGAAGGCCTCAGGAGTCAGGCACAGCTGGCGCCTCGCTGCACTGCCCAGCTCCTCCGGCTGGGGCCATCCCACTGGCAGCTAGCCCCACGCTCCCACTCCTGCAGCAGGCAGGAGGGGCTCCCCTCGAGTTGAGAGTGGGCCTGCCGCACAGTCACCTCACTGCAGTTTCTAGGACAAGCTTCCTCAGGGAGACCTCACAGATTTCCCAGCTGGCACTGGCTCTCTCAGCAGGTACCAAAGACTGTTTCCAACAGTCCGGTGAGAATGGCCCCAGGGCATAATCCTCCCGCTCCTGGCCCCTCTTCTGGAATCTGGTGTGATACTCCAACAGCCTACCAAGTGCACAGCCCCTTGGAGCTGGTGGGGACAGAGAAAGGGCAAGACCTGAGTCTGGGACCTGCTCCCAATGTGGGGATGTGTCCTCCTGTAGAAGCTGGCCAGGGACATCACTGGGCAGGTCTGGTTTAGTGTCCAAGCTCAGGCATGAGTCAGGCAAAAAGGGCATAGGGCCTGGCCACATGGATGGAGCTCAGAGAATGGAATCCCATAAGGCAAACCCTCCCACAAATCCCAAAGGCAGGAGCTATGAGACTGGCCCCCACGGGTCCTGGGCTCCTGTCCTCTAGGATTCTCTGGTCCTGGAGCGGTGTTCCTACTGACTGGGTCAGAGGAAGCCCTGGGATACCACCCTATGAGCATCAGGCCTAGAGCCTGCCAACTTCTGTGATCCTCAGCCCGCTGCACTCAGGATCTCTCTTGAAGCTTTTTACTGGTACAAATGTGGAGCCTAATTTCCTTTCCCCATCTCCCTCCAGAAAGGATAAGTTTAAACAGTTGTCAGCAGCATGAAATGAAACTGTGATGCTGTGGATGTACCTAGCACACAGCACTGGATGCTGAACTGCAAATGTAAACCGTATGATCGGGAAGACAGGCAACCATGGGTGCTGGTACATCTCACTTAGTTCATTCCTCACTGACAGATGTGGGGAAAGTGCAGTGTTCGTGGGGAGGTGAGAAAGGGTGCATTTGTTCATTCATTCATCCATTCAGATGCTAGCTGCATACACATGGCAGGCTCACATACCCTTGGAGGTAGTACAAGGAGCAAGGCTTGGTCTCTGCCCTCCAGGAACATAGGGGAGCAAAGAATTATAACAAGAGTTCAGACAGGCTAAAACTGCGGTGTGATCCTACACAAAGAGGAGCACCCTACTCATTGAAAGGGGGTCAGATGGCCTCTTAGTCCTGTAAGGTCTGTGGCCCCAGCCAGTGGAAAGGGTTATACAAAGGACTAGCATTCTGAGAAGAGGGAGACACCAGCAAAAATGCAGAGGTGAGATGGTTCAAATCATGGCACCCCTAACAAGCCTTGGAGGTGAGTGAGGCACCAAATGATTGCCACATACACACTGCTTTGTATGTATTTGTGTATATGCTGCTATATGCTTATCATGAGCTGGATGCAAAATCAAGTTTTAATGTCCAAGTCACGTTTGACTCCTGATTTCTAAATGTTCCTTTTAAGGCCTTCCAATTCCCCCTGCTAAGCCCTGGCAAAGCCTGTACTTCATCACGGTGGACGATGCAGTCATTCTCCAGGCTTGGAAGGGCAGTGACTACGCCCCCAGGACACACACTGGGGCCGGCTAAGAGAAATGGGGGAGTATGTGACTGAGCCACAGCCATCCTAACACAGGGGCAACTCTCTTCCTGGGGCCCAAAATTTAAAACATAGCAAGCCCATTGTCCCAAAGCCCTGGACAGCAAAAACATTTCCTCTAGGACCTGTGGAATGTGAGCTTGTCCCAAGCCTGGGGAAGGGGGTGGAACACAGTCTTGCCCAAACACAGACATAGACACACAAACACACAAACACAGAGACATACATAGGCACACACACACATTACAAAGACACACAGACACACAGAAATGTACACACAAACACATTACATAGAGACACAGGCACATACGAGAGATGCACAGACAGAGACACACACAGACACACACAGAGATGACACACACAGAGACACACACGCACACCTCTGCCTTCCTCGGCTCCACCCACAGACAACCAAGCCACGGCTATCACCTTGCAGCGGATCCAGGTCTTGGGAAGGCTCCTGGTGCACCTGGGGAGCTTCAGCGGTTCTAAATGGAACACAGAGGCTGTGCATCTTCAGCACTATCTCAGCCTCCTCCCATCACTGCCATACGGCCCACGTTCCTTCACAGACCAAGCCCGGGCGTCAGAGGTGATTAATGGGGGTTTCATGTAGCCAGGCAGGGTCCTGAGGAGGCGAGTGGGTTTCTACTTCCCTTCCTCCAAGTCCTGGACCTTGGAATTTGGCCCAAGGAAGAGCGGAAAAGTTCATGAAGGTTCAAAAGCATAAACATCTCACCATACTCCATTTTAGGACCTCAGGGACAGATGATCACGGCTGTACCATATGACCCACCCCATTCAGTCACCTCCATGTCATCATTTTGAAGTGAACTATTTCTAGTGGCCAGCCTAGATCAACCTGCAGAGACAGTAACAGGCGATTTGCATAAGGAGACAAAAGTCACCTTGTAATTAAGAGCACAGCCTTCAAAGTTAAACAGATGGTTCCAGTCCAGCCGTGCCACTTTCTAGCTACAATTTTAGAGAAGTTTCTTAATCACTCAGTGCCTCAGTTTCAACATTTGTGAAATGGAGATATTAACAAAATCTAACTTCCGGGTTATTTGTAAAAGTTACTGAGTTAGTATGTGTAATAAAGCATTTAATATTTAACTAAGCACTTACATCATTAAAACACTTTGGAACCAGTTGGTTAGTGGCCACTGCCCTATGCTCACCGAGAATCTTCCACCTTGTGGCCCTCCTTCCAGGGCTCCTGGACCTCTTCGCAATCCAGCTACCAATCCAGTTAATGCCTGGCGTACAGGGGGAGCTGCCTGTTCGAGCCTTGATATCTATGCCACAGCATCCTTCCCTGTTCAAATGTCACCCCTGCCCCATAGACTCTCTCACATTCCCTTTCACCTCTGCGCACTTGGCAAGCTCCTGAGGTATGCCCTCTTCCTACTCTCAGAGGGACTGAGCCTTCTAACCCTGCTCAGCTTCCTGCTGGTTCTGATTGAGCATGCAGTTCCTCTCTAGATCATTCAAACCCACAGACATGGGGCTCACGGCCAGAGAGCTTGATCTAGTATGGTTCCCAGCTTCATTTCAAGGCCAAAAATGTTTGGGAAAAGCTGGAATCAACGTCCACACTTCTGCGAAGCTAGGAAAACCCCAAAGCTAGTCTCTTAGGGCAGCAGTAAATGCTCAAGAAAGTAAATATTTCTTAAAGAAACAGTTAAATCTGTCCAATTCTGCCACCACTATGCACCATCTGCCCTGTCCTGGTTTGTTATCACTGTTTTGATGGAGTAACCTGGCAAGTAGAAAGTATGACATTCAAATAAAAAAACATGAGCTTGAATCTCAGTGGTGCTACATGGGGCATTGGGCAAGTGCCTGCAGTCTCAGCCTCCACACACACAGGGACACACATAGGCGCACATCCTCATCTGGGAGTGAGGTGTGCTGTGGGAATAAAGCAAGGTGAGGGCCCATCCCAGGACAGCCCACAGACTCCGCACTCAAGACACTATTGAGGGAGGAGGTTTTGGGCCATGTATCTTCACATTCTCTGGAATGATAAGCACTCAAAAAAGCAGTTGAACATAAATGTTTTAAAAAGAGTTGCTTGGTCTGTGGATTTGTAATGCAAATGCCCCTAATAAGAGAAGAGAGGGGACAGACTCACAGGAGGGCACTAGGCATGTTCCTACCTCTCCAGGGTGCAAGAGAACCCAGAGCTACCTTCACAAAGATACTGTGAAAATGCAGAGTGTGAAACGCTCACACACCTGGAGGAAGTGTTCAAAAAGAATGCCCTTTCTTTGCTACATCATTCCATTTAACAGGCTGGCAATTTTCAACTTATCCACAACTTCTATTACCTGAGACCATCACAGGTAAATTTCCTAACAGTAGTAGCAATCGGCCTTAAAAGCATGATGTGTGAGATCGCAAGAAGGCATTATTGGGAAAATATGATATTCTGGATTTCAAGAAATTCTCAACTGCCGGAAGTCTTTGGTAACCTAATTCCGTTTTCAAGACAGGGTTGCTCCTTAAATTTACTGCCTGGGGGAACCAAAGTTTTCAAACTATCAATGTCAGATCAACTCAAGTGTGTGGGGAAGGTGGCACCGTTTTCTCTATTTCCAGGACAGGAACCAAACTGGTCATTATGTTAGGCAGGAGATGAAACATTGTTGCAGTCAAAAAGTAATACACTTTTACAGTCAAAGTAAACAGACCCTTATTTGGTGTGTGCATGTGTCTCTGAGCCTTGGCCTCTCCGGTCTGCCATTCTTTTTCATATGAGTTGCTCTTTCTGCAGCTAGCGGCCACATCATTTCCCTACTGCCCTGTAAATAATAGCTCAAGATCCGTCTTTTCCAGGAAGCATTATCTAATTAACACTATACATTCTGCAACCCATTAATTTATTTTCCCAGCCCCCACTCTTACTGAAGACTCTGCTGTCATTACAGATCAGACACTGCCCACCCAGCCACAGTCCTGGTATTAGGGCTACAGATAAAATACAGGACACCCAGCTAGATTTGAATTTCAGATAAACAACAAATAATTTTTTTTTCAGTATAAGTATGCTCCATGTAACAGTTAGGATATACTTACAAAAAATTATTTGTTGTCTATCTGAAATTCAAATCCAGCTGGGCATCTTGTGTTTGGTTTTGTTCTGTTGTTTCTTTGTTTTGTTTTTTGTTAAATCTGGCAATTCGATCTGTTACCCTTCCTCCTTGCTTACACTTCAGACAGAGAGAAGAAAAAGGTTGTGAACAGCCAAATAGAGAGAGGCCACAAAACCCAGGCACTAAATCTCAAACACTGTCTCCAAAGGAGAGACTCTTAAACCTTCACCTGGTCATTTTGCGCCCAATTTTAACAAGCTTTGTGGCAGATTACCAGTACCAAACTAGAAAGAAGGTTGGGAGTTGCTAAAGGGAAGAAGGATGTTGGCACAGAAAGAGTCCCAGCCTAGAATCAGGACACCCAGTCCTGAATCCCAGTGTCTTCCTTCTAGCCATGTATCTTTGGCAGGTTGCTGAGCTCTTGAAAGCTTCAGTCTGTTGCTTGCTTGTTTGTTTTTTCTCTTTTAATCAGCAAATTGGAAATGATCCTATCTGCCTTGCAGAGCTGATATAAGGCTTAAATAAAATAATGCACATGAAAACTGCTAAATAAATGTAAGATGCTTGTTATCACAAAGATTCACTGATGGAATAAAAAATAAGCATCCTCAGTTTCACTGCTGGGAAGGAGGCAAACTACAGAAATCAAACACAAGGGCTCACAAAGACAACACTCAGGCTGATTTAACGTTAAGGGCAAAGAACTGGTATACCTCAATAAAACAGAAGCAACACATCATCCTACTGCAGCACTGATGTTCAAAATGATGGCTTGGAGGCATCAGGAAAAGATGAAAGTAAATTCAATGCATTCTGTTTAAGAAGGCAGGGAAGTGTTTCATCCAGGCGAATCTATCTAGGCCAGGGGGCTTCAGTATGACACAGCTCCGTCAAGAACCCTGAGAGTTGCTTTTTATAAATGCACTGGGCACCTCAGTGTGCCAGGCACTGTGCTAGGCATAGTCACATTCATGGGCTTAGAAAGAAACTCTTTGTTCAAAGCAACTGGCTGTTATCCTGCCAGTTGTGGATATTCAATATTTGTGGATTGAATGAGGAAGAGGATGAATGAATGCCTATAGTAAATTTACAAAGTGCTGGATACACAAAAAGGACTCAGGATATACAAGTGGCTGGATTAACTCCCTTTATATTATAAGTGACGAGACAGGGCAGGGAAAAGAAAAGGTACCAGTTATGTGCACAAAGTAGAAACAAACAGAACGATGCCCTGACTGAGGATACCCAGCATGAGTTCAGGGTGGGTAACTTCAACACAGCAATGACAATCATACTGCAATCTGTCGGGTGACACCGCTCAAGGGAGCCAAGGGAAGACATGCCTAAGGAGGGTTTTTAAGTGGTTAATACTTCATGAGTCATCCTATTTCTCTACTCTTTGGAAACAGTCTGGTTTTATTTCCTAACAAATGACTGGGCCCTGTAATACCTCACCATCATGATTTTAACCCGTGAGGTTGGGTCGAAGCATACCCAAGCAGCATGGGGTTAACACTCCCCAAATCCGAGGCTATCAGTGGGCCTTAAATGCAGCCATGAGCTGAATGGGGCTATGTGGGTTGTGCCGATGGGCTGAAATCCACTAAGGTTAAGCTGCGGTAAACAGATCATCACAGCCAGGGCCAGAGAGGCTGACCCATTGAAATCACTTCCTTGCCAGTCAAACTCCTTATCAACCAGTCAGTTACCCCTGAATGAGGGTCCGTCACACGTGCTCGTACTAGTTCCAGACTTATTTGAGGGCAGGCAAAAGTCAGAGGAGATGATGAACCTGGTCTTGCCCTCAGGAAATTCATTTTTCTAAACAGAGGACAAACCCACAAAGGCAAGAAGACAATGACAGACATCTGCTAAGGCATGTGGATAACGTCACAGTCCAGCAGGGCTCCGCGGGAGGCTGCCTCTCAGGTGTGCACAGGGGCCTGTGGCTACCTGTGTGAAACGCAGGGCCCGCACAGCACTGCCTCCCAGAGTGGGGATTCCACAGCGACTCTGAACTTCATACTTAGAAGAGCAGGGCCTCACCTGGGCTGCCTTGGAATCCTCAGGAAATTGGATCTCATGGGGTTCTTAGACATCAGATAGTTTAATCCCTCGCTGGAACAGATGAAAAAGGGAAAGAGCCAAAGGAAAACAATGACCAAGTGCCAAGCTCGCACCATGTGCTCTAATCCTCACGCTATCCCAGGGGTCAGAGACACAATCTTTCTGCAGATCGCCTGCCAGTCACACAGCCAGGATGCAGGGAGGAACCAGGATCTGTGTGACCAGTGCCCCAGCACTCCCCTCACTGCCCCAAGCCACCGCAGGTGAAAACAGGAAGAGGCCTGTCCAGGTGACAAGGGTAACAAGTGGCACATCCAGGCCTGGACCAGGGCTTTCGACCAAGTCTTACATGCAAAAACGTTCATGTCCACTCCCCCTAGGGAGTGTTGAAGGTGCCTACTGCCGTATCGCTGTATTTCATTAAAAGGCCAAGTCTTTTTTTTTTCTTTTTTGAGACGGAGTCTCACTCTGTCGCCCAGGCTGGGGTGCAGTGGCACAATCTCGGCTCACTGCAAGCTCTGCCTCCCAGCTTCACGCCATTCTCCTGCCTCAGTCTCCTGAGTAGCTGGGACTACAGGCGCCCGCCACCACGCCCGGCTAATTTTTTTGTATTTTTAGAGAGATGGGGTTTCACCGTGTTAACCAGGATGGTCTCGATCTCCTGACCTCGTGATCTGCCAGCCTCGGCCTCCCAAAGTGCTGGGATTACAGGCGTGAGCCACCACACCCAGCCAGTGTCTTTTTTCAAGGAAACTTCAGCTATGGATCAAATCAATCTCCTCTCAATACATTTCCAGGGACCCTCCGGATCCCTCTGTTGATCAGAATTTTATCTTAACTACAGGTAGAAATAAGAATGCCCCAGCTTGGGTTCAGCCATGTTTTGTTAGAGGTTGTACAGGTGGCACTTGGGTTGTGTTTTAGAAGAGTAATTGTGGGTTCAGAAAGCATTTTCCCAATGCTATGTCCCATTCACTTGTTTTCTTCCTTTCAGATTAATAAAGATAATGCTCAGCCTGTTGGCATGGGTGTGAGGAGTCAGAAACTTTCATATTCTGCTGCTGAGAATCCAGATTTGGACAGGCTTTCTTAAGTGCCTTTTGGCAAAATAAAGCAAAAAACATAACTTTTCACCTATAAATCCTTCTGTTAGAATACATCTGCAAAAAGGGGTATATATAGAATACAGTTATTTATTTTACATATATATGTTATTATGTACATTATAAAGTTGTATATAGAAGAATAAAGTTATTCTTCACTGTGCTGCTGAAACTGTGAAAACAGCTTCGTGCTCACCAAACAGCAGATGAATTATGAACACCAGGACACCTTCACAGGATTCCACATTATACTGCAGATTCATATTTAATGCCACAAAAGGACAGTCATTACATATAGTTTTTAAAAACCAAAGTACATAGTAATATGTGTAGTAGGATTCTTTTTTAAAAAAATATATTTCCATATTTGCATGGTAAAGACTGGAAGGATATACACATAAAAGAGAGTAGTATCCCTTTGGTCTGAGATTTTGAATGAACTTCTTTGCTCTTTAAAAATCTGCCCTTAATTTTTTGATAATGACTATGTACGACAGTCACGTGCTGCATAACACTGCAGTCAACAACAGGCCACATACACAATGGTGGTCTCATAAGGTTATAATGAGGCTGAAAAATTCCTATCACCTCATGACATCTTGATGACCTGCGTAGGTCTAGGTTACTATGTGCGCGTGTCTTACTTCTTAACAAAAAATTTACAAAGCAAAAAATAAAATAAAATAATTTTTAATAGAATACATCACATAGAAAAAAGGATATAAAGAGAGTATTTTTGTACAGCTGTGTGTTTGTGTTTTAAGCTACATGTTATTATAAGAGTCATCAAGTTAAAAATTAAAGTTTATAAAGCAAAAAAGTTATAGCAAGCTAAGGTTAACGTATTATTGCAGGAAGAAACATATTTTTTATAAATTTAGTGTAGCCTAAGTCCACTGTTAATAAAGTCCACAGTAGTGTGCAGTCATGTCCACTCACTCATGACTCACACAGAGCAACTTCCAGTCCTGCAAGCTCCATTCATGGTAAATGACCTACACAGGCAAACCACTTTCTTAATCTTTTATACTGTACTTTGTACCTTTTCTATGTTTAGATATGTTTAGCATTGTATTACAATTGCTTACAGTACTGAAGTACAGTGGCATGCTGTACGGAATCCAAGGAACGATGGGCTACGCCATATAGCCTAGGTGTGCAGCAGGCTCAACCATCCAGGTTTGTGTATATTCACTCTATGATGTTCACATATGATGAAATCACCTAACAACGCATTTCTTAGAATGTATCCCCATTGTTAAGCAATTCGTGACTGTACTTGTGTAATTATAATTTTGAAATTATTCTCTAAATTAAAAGAGAAGCTATTATTGATATGGGGGGAAGCATTTTTCCTATAAAACAATCTGTAACTCATAATAAGATAATCAGATTGGATCATAAAACCTGTTAAACCTGTTTAGCATGATGGGTATGCTAGCTCAACTTGGGGGTGTGTTGGGGGAAAGGGACAAGAAGGAAAGAAGTTCCCTTCATTTCCTTGGGCCTAGGATAAGCCCTCAAGAGCCCTATTCCACCCCCAAGGGCACCTCCTCCAAGGCTCCTGCTATTCTCATGCTTCCTGGGCCCTGTGTCCTGGATGCACAGGCATACCGGGTCGCTCGCTGCTCCAAAGTTACCCACTTCACACCAACCTTGCCAACCCTAACCCTATCTCTCAGACATCACCCAGTCTCTGGGGAGCAAAAGAATGGCATCTGCCAAAAGAACAGCTGAGATGAGCCACCGGTGGTCAGTGTCACTGACTGGAGGGAGGGGGACCATGGTTCCAGCTGTATCAGCTTCATGGGGGTGGGGGTGGGGGGACATTTCTGGTATGCAGCCACTTTTGGCTCCAGTGCATCCTGAGCCACACAGCCAGGACCTGTGGACGGCATGTGTCCATTGGCCTTGGCATCTATCTCAGACAGACCCTTGTGCACAAGGCGCCCACCCTGGGGTCTCTTCTTGCTATGGACTGCATGGGGATGCTATTATGCCTATACAGATGTCCGTTTTCTTCATTTACCGATTCTCTGACTTACTGATTCAGAAGACGTTTGCTGCTAATTAGCCCCTTGCCAGACATCAAGGAGGGGTCAATAGTTAAAAAACGAGTTGCCCTCTCCTCCCCCCATGTAGCCAGCACTGGGGTCTAAAGTTGGCGTGGCATGCTCCTGCCAAGTCCTGCCTGGCTGTAGGAAAGGCATGCTGGGGGTAGTGAGGGGGAGTGTAGGGTCCTGGGATAGGACCAGGCTGTGCAGAGAGGGGATTCCAGGCTGGAAGTGTGGACTTAATCCTGGGACAGTCATTCCAGGTGCTGAAGCAGAGAAAGGGGACAATTAAGGAGATCTGCCTGGGGGCTGCCTGTGGGATACTACAGGGGGCTGAGACCAGAGGCAAAGACCAAACCTGAAGTCAGAGGAGGAGGCGTGGTCACCACAGGCTTCAGAGAAGGTGGCCAAGGGCAAAGTGCCTGGTTCAGGAGGGCCAGCTTCTGGCCTCCCCAGTGGTGGGTCCTGGAGGGTGTTACTCAGTTCCTCTGGGCAGCCCACTTTTCCTGAGTGAAACGCACATGATAACTCTGCCCTCGCATCTCAAAGGGGCTGGGTGCATTTAAAGTGCTTTGTTAAACTGTAGAGTGCTATACAAATGTTAGCTATTATTATTAAAGGGCTGAGACAGTATTTTGTCAGCAGCTTAGTTCAGCTTGGTTGAACACGGCACTCCAAACATTTCACCAAATACCAAACAGGACTTTGTTATTTAGGGAAGAGATTCAGGAGCTTTCATGGAACACTGGAACATCTAAACACCAGCGAAAAACACAACTATCCCAGCCTCCATGATAAGCATCTTCACTGTGGCGAGGCTGGAGGGCTGGTGAGCACTGTGACCCTCAGGCTCACGCCCAGAGAAGGCCTACAGTCTTGGGGTGCTTGGCTCCAAAAGGAGTCTAAGTCTGGAGGAAAGGAAAAGGAGGGTGTTCATACGGCCAGAAACAATGGTCCTGGCTAGTCTGTGTTTAGCCAGGTTTACCCTGAATGCTCACTCAGTTCTACAGGGGAAGGGCCTCTCAGGGACTACTGACCATGCAGAACACCTCAGAAACTTGGAATCCCAAAACCTTGGTCTTGGAAGGGCATTGCAGCCAGGCTGCCTCTCTACCTGCTTATCTTCCTCCCACAAGCCTGTGGGCTTCTCGAGGATGGAAACCAGTCCCCTAGTACCTAGCAAAGGACCGAGGACGTAGCCAGCTTCCCATATGCATTGGTTGTTTGGATGGATGGATGGATGGTGAATGGATGAATGAATTCCATAGCATTTCTAATCAAGAAAACACCAATCTGTTGCTTCCCACCTTTCCAGGGGAAGCCACCTTTTCTTGCGGTGTCTTACTCTTAAAAGAGTAGTATCTCATCCTGTGTCCCAACCCTGCCCGACATGGCACTCCACTCGCTCCTTTCTCCCACCACTGCTGCCCATCAGGAGGCTGTTGTGTTAATTCTGAAGGCTGAAGCCACCCAGAAACCTCCGCCCAGATGCCTTAGAGGGCCCCTAAAGAGGAGGAAGTAGCCAGGGGGTTGGCCTCATTTCCCAGCTAGCAGCACCAGCTCTTCCCTGGGTGTGAGCTGAGAATTTTCGGGGACAGGCAAAGAGCCTTCCGGAAGGGCAATAGGTTCCTATTTAAACGGTTGTTTTCATTTGCGTGTTTCACTAAGCACAAAAGCTCCCCTTTAAGCCCTCATCTCATGGTGAACAGACTATTCCTGCCTGTCTGAGTCACATATCTCTGGGCAGCCAGACCTTCTGACTCACTGGTGGTTGAAATCTCAGATTCACAATACCAGAGAGTTGCTAAAAATAGGAATCATGTACCTGGGCCCCAAAATAGGACAGAGTCAAACACGGCTCTTTAAAAACCTACTGCCCAATGTGTAACATAAAAATCAAAGAGGGGCTATACTTGTCTTCTTTCATATTATCTTAAATGTAATAAAGCCGTCTCTAATTCCTTTGGAAATCGGCAAAGTAGATGGACCAATACAATAGAAAGATAGGTTGGAATAATCGTGCCTAGTGCACTCTGGTTGTTTTTATTAGAAAATTCTATATCCTTAAATTAGCATAGGGTATTTTCACAGCAGTGGTAGGGAAATGAAGCTTCTCCATCCATGCTTTGCCAGTTTCTCTCTTGGGAATCAATGTGGCTTAAAATAGTAAGGAAATTTTCACTGAGGAACAAAGAGGATGCTTAGGGTTTGTTTTTTTTTTTTTTTTTTGGAGTTGTTTTATATTTCCTTTCAAGGCTTTGAGGTCTCCCTATATTAAAATTTTATAGCTTTTTCCATTACTTGCAAACTGTTTGTACTTGAACAGCCTTAGGATCAGCCTTGATTTTTTTCAGCCTTACTTTTTTTTGGGAAAAACATCTATACCACTTGAAGTATTCTTGACAATTCTGGGCAAAAGTCACAACAACTTTCTTCATCCTGCGTCTCTCCTATAGAAGTTACCATGGCTTCTGGGCCTCTGCTGACCTCACAACAGCCTGCAGGGAGGTTGGGCAGATGTCCTCACTCTGGGTCTACAGATGGGACTCAGATGTGCAGGGAGGAAGCACTCAAAGGGAGGGCCGGTCCCTCACCCAGTGTTTCTGATGCTTGCCCTGTCCTGCACCTGGAAAGGCTGGGAGTAGACACATGTGAAAGAAGAGAACAGAGCAGACCTGCCTTCCAGGGACAGGAGGGAGCCACGCTGTGCATGTCCTGCTCTGTCTGATGGCTGCCACCCGTGGAAAGGTGCTGCCATTCTGTCTTCCATACCTGCACATCTTTCTACATTATGTTTAAGGTTTTTTTTTTTTAACTAATATGCTCTACAGAGCAGATGACCTAAAGAAAATCACCCTGGAGATTGTCTCAAGAGGAAGGAAATGGCTCTTGACATCGTAAATCACAGATGTTTGTTTTCATGGTGTTTTAAATTCCAGTGACTTCCGGAAGGTGGGAGCCTGCAGGCATGGCGGAAGAGACCACTGAGTTATGGATCATAAATCACTGGGGCCACTTGTGGAACCCAGCCTAAAATCGCCAGCAGCCAAGATGAGGCTGCCGGGTGAGTGAGGGGGAAGACAGGGGATCACAGTCACACTTTGGCCAGCTGGGACAAGGTAAAATGGCACTATGTGTGGCTGAGATACTAGAACCTCCAAACCCAGAGCATCTCAGAATAGGGTTGAGGCTCATGAGAGGCCACTGCTAGCTTGGAAGCAGGCGTGGGAGTCCCTGGAATGGGTGCCTCAGCCTGGGGCCATTGGATAGGTCTATGGGGGAAAAGCTTAAAGAGAACGTGCAAGAAGCTCTGATAATGAAGCTTAGACATTTAAGAAAGGCGTTACGGTCTTATCTTTCTTGAACACACAATGGAAACCCCAAACCATGACATTTCTATCTAATTTAGGAGGGAAATAAATTGCCAAGAGTTGATGGTGGCAGGCCTTTAGTTGCTGTCATCTCATTTAATCCTTGCATCATACAATGGGACAGTTTATTTATTCTCTTAATTTTATAGCTGAAAAAACTGAGTTTCAATGAAGTTAAAGAATTTGCTGGAAGTCACACAGCTAAGAAATAAAGTCAACATTGAAAAAAATATTATTTTGTAGAAACGGGGCCTCACTATGTAGTCCAGGCCGGTCTCAAAGTCCTGGCCTCAAGAAATCCTACTGTCTTGGCATCCTGAGTCACTGGGACTATGGGCGTGAACCACCGTGCCTGGCTGGAGTCAGTATCTGAACCATGACTTGCCAGACATCCAAGCCCACTTCGCCTCACTACAGCACAATTCCTCTCTAGGACATGTGCCCAGTCTGCTAGTTGGAAGTTGAGCATCCTAATGAACCAGCGCTCCTGTCCTTTTGAGCCTAGAATGAGTTCTTTTGACTCAACCCATGGCAACCTTTTCCCTGGCTTTCTCTCTCCTCAGTTCCAGTAGAGTGACTGGCATATGCTGGTAAATGTCTGCTGAACTGCAGTAATGCTGTGGCACCTTCACTTCAGGGGGCCTCCTCTAGAATAAGACATCATGAGTGGCCAAATGGCTTCCACCCACTTTCTGCCTTGTGTAAATCTTTTTCACTAGGTGGGGGTAACCTGAAGGAGAAGGATTTATAAGCATGGAGGGCCCACCTCTTGTAGGCAAATTCATCTTCTGAGGCAGGAAGCAGCATTAGGAATGATCTAGCCCATCTCCTTGCCCCAGGGTGAGACAATAAGGGATCTTCCACTCTGCCCAGCATCGTACTGTTTGCAGAAGGAGTAAGAAGGGATAAAGAGGAAGTTAGAAGACTGACCTAGTCACCAATGACGGGAGGCAAGTAACTTGATTTCCCTGAGCCTCAGTTTCCTTTCCTAAGGGAAGTAATTCCTGTCTTGTCTTTCTTAGGGAGTTCTTGTGAGACCCTAAGGAGGGCTGTGTGCCACAGAGCTTTGAACATCAAAAAGAGCTACACAAATGGCAGGCATTTCTTCTCCAGGCTCTCTGGGGAGACAGTGAATGGTGTCTTTGTGTGATTCATTTTGTGTTGATTCACTCTTGCTGTCAGAAAGGCTTCTGAATGCCAACCTCCATCTCTCTCTGCAGCTGTCCCCTGTCGTTACGCCTTGTGAGGTGACGGAGAACAAGGGGTCAGAATCACCCTAACAAGGCTGCATCCACTGCTACTGGAAGGAGGCTGGATGGCGCGGTCATGCTTCCTATGCACAGGCATACAGTTTGCCTTCCCCTTAGGCCACTGTGGGATGAGAATTCCAGGAGAAAACGCAGGAAGGATGCTTGTTATTTAATAACAAGCTTGAGGAAATCACAACAGAGAGGAGGAAGCAAACAGGCTGACAAGTCAGGATGGCAGCGTGGGGGCCAGCGCCCCCAGTTCACCCACCATGGGCATGATCCAGGAGGCCAGGCAGGGCTGGAATTAAGAGCACAGGTTTTGGAGTCTCCCAATCTCACCTGGAATTCCAGCCGCACCTCTTACTACACACTGGCCTTGGGTAAATCATTCTGTCTCTCCAATACTTAGTGTTCCTTATCCACTAGGGGGATTAAATGAGATTCCGGAGTGCCCAGCACACAGCCCATCAAGACCTGTAGGTGTGCCACACTCCACGTTGTCACCATGACATCAGCAACCCCTCCTCTTCCCCCACGGAGTCTTCCCCACTTTCTGAAGTCTGAAGAACTGGGACTGGAACATGTCCAAGGGGCTGCTCGTCACTGCCGGAGGGATAACTGTTCAGACACTGTCGTCACACAGTCACAGAAAGACTCAGAACTTCATTGCTACTTTATTTGTTGTTTTCTGCCTTTAGGATACTTCCTTATGATAAAAAATGTGATATTACTAAAAAAATATTAAAAAGTAGGGAGAAATGCTACCAAGTATACTCCACATTTTGGCTTACTTTCTTCCAGATTTATAATGCGTATTTTGGATGTAATTGAGATTCTACTGCATGTACATTTTATTCTGGTATTTCACAGGACATGATAAGGTAAGCATGCTGTCATGCTGTTAAAAACTCTTCAGAGACATCATTAAATGGGCACATCCTATTCCATGGTAGGGCTACACCAGGCCCCCATTGTTAAATATTTAAATTGTCTCCAATATTTTACTGTTGGAAGTCACACTGTCATAAGATACTTGTGCATACGTCTTTGCATTTTTGTTTATTTTATTTGAGCAGAAATGGGGCTAAAAGTTATGGATATTTTTAAGATTCTTAATACAAATTGCCAAGTTACATTCCAGAAAAGTCTGGCCAAGTCTTTCCTGTGGCTAGGGTTTAGGAGTTCCTGCTACACACTCACATCCTCTCCTTCAATGGCTTGTCCTTATTCATCAACAAGCAAAATAGGGCACTTGCCTTTTTCTTTTTATCTTTTTATTTTGAAATAATTTCAAACTTAGAGAAAAGTTGCAAGAACAGAGAAAGACACTCACATAGATGCTTCCCCTAGATGGTCCAATTGCTAACATTTTTGTCATATTTGCTTTATTATTCCTCAATAGATAGGTATGTAGGCAGAAATATACATATGTAACATACATACACATACATAAACACACATATATTTTTTTGGAATCATCTGAGACTAAGTTCCAAACAGGATGTCCTTTATGCCTAAATACTTCAGCATGTATTTTATAGAAACAAAGACATTTTCATATACTGTGATGAGCAAAATAAGAAATTTAACATGGACACAGTACTGTAACTAATCTGTAGGCCTTAAATTTCACCCCATGCCCTTTATACCAAAAAAAATTTAATAAAAGGGAGTTCAGGATTCAACCTAAGTCATGCATTACACTTAATTGTCATATTTCTTTAGTTCCTTTAATCTTTAGTTCCTTTAATCTAAAACAGTTCTCTCCATCCCTCTGTCTTCCATGACCATGACCTTTTTAAAAAGAACAAGCCAGGATATTTGTAGCATGTCCCTCAATTTGGGTTTGTCTAATATTTCCTCCTGATTAGCTCAGAATCACGCATTTTGGGCAGGAGCACCACGGAAGTGATGTTGGGTCCATCTTGGGATATCACATTGGGTGGCGTGTCCACATTTGTTAGTTGGCATTATGTCCTAAGGAAAAGTTTTCCTCATTCTGCCCCGTTTATTCACTAACTTCCGTATGTCGGTATAGACTCATGGATTCTTATTTAAGCTGTTAATGTCTCCTCTCTTTTGATGCTCTAATTATCCGGGATTTAGGCAGTAGGAAGCTCTTGGATGGGACTTCTGTGTCCTTTGACACGACCTCGTCCTTCTGAGAGCATGACTTTCTGGCACCAGATGTAGCAAGAAGCTCTCTTGTGCTGACTTTGCCTTTGATTCCTTTCAGTAAAGCACAATATTAGAAACCAAAATCTAGATGCTAGACTCACATATTGCTCTAGGGGTGTCATTATTTCTAAGTCCTTTCAGCAGCTCTCGAGTTGGGATATGTACATATGTGTGTATGTACATAATCCATATTATATATACATCCATACATGTACATATGATATAGATGAATAAATATAATCATATTAACATGGTATTTCTTTTTAAATTAGAATTTTTTAAATTATTGCTGAGGTTGAACACTTCCAAATGTTATTAGGGTATCATACGGCTCCTTTGCACACCTGTCTATCAGAGTCTTCGCATTTCTTTAGATACATATTTAAATATGGATATTAAGGAAAAATACTACATTCGTGGTAAGTACTTTCCCAAATTTATTGTTTGCTCTTTTATTCCTGATGCAGAGACTTCCAGTTTTTTAAAGTTGTAACTATCCCCAATTTTTGTAATTTCTTTCACTGTTTTGAGCTATTAAAGTCCTCCCCCAGTCAGACATTTGATACTCTATTTTCTTCTTCTTTTTCCATTAATCTATTTAATCAACTTGGAATATATTGTGGCAAACTGTATGAGATGAGGATCCAAATCGCTTTGATATTTTTTCCAAGCAGCTAACCAATTGTCCTAGCACCATTTATTATATAATCCTTCCCTTCATCACTGATTTATCATTGTTGTTTTTAGAAATTGCTTTTTGTATCTCCATCTGGCCAAGTGGGCTTTATAAAGGTTGCAGGGTAAAACTGTTTTTCTCTCCTAGTCCCACATAATTTAGGACATTGGAAAAATAGCATCCTGGCTAAGCACTTGGCCTCTGGACTGAAGCCAGGCTGCCTGGATTCAAATCAAGTCGCCAGCTTTCCCACCTGTAAAATGGGGCTAATCAGTGCACCTACCTTGCAGGATATCATGAGTATTAAAGGAGTCAAAACACTTAAATGCTTAAAATAGTGCTTAGCACATGGAGGAACTCAATAAATCTTAGTTATTATTCTTTTTCAAATTATCTTGTTTTTAATGTTAACTTGTTTATTTCTCAGATGGGAAAATGAGGCTTAGCAATATGAGGTGATCCTCCAAGCTCACGTACCCCAGGCCTCCCACACCGATACATTTCCTACGAGAACGCAGGTCTTCCCCGGCATCTCATGCTCAGGTCAAGCCCCATGGCATTGACCTACGTAGGCAAATTCCTCTATGAGATAAGGAGAGGGAGGGAAGGTGAGAGGGCGGGAGGATGCAATTCAAACAGGATGTGTGGTACCATCCACCCTTCTCTCAGCATATGTCCACCCCATGTGAGTGGGGAGACCCCGACAGCTGTTCAGCTTGTCTTTCTTAGTTCCTGTGGCCTTCTTCACCACACTGAGTGGGTTTCCAGTGTTTAAAGATATGTATTTTCAAACAACACGGCCCCTAAATGTAAACCAACTAACGTTATTCCATCTGGGGCTCAACTGTTCCAGCAACAGACCTCTAATCCTCCTGGAGCAAAATCCAGCTGTCATGGCCTTCACAAGAAGTGGCTGCCATTCTGCAGCACGGCCCTTTCCTAGGGGAGTTTATTCACTACAAGGACTATGAGAGTGAAGTCACAGCCGCCCAGCTGCCACTTGTTTTTTGTCTTAGGTCATTCCCCTTTTCCTACTTTATTCTCCTCTAATGTGAACTTCATAAAGTGCACACTGGACTCTTCACCATGTCCCCATAATCACACAACCACACAACATCTATAGCAGCAAAAACGGTTCCTTTTGCCAAAATGCTAAAATCAAGAATTATTATTATTTTTGGGGGGTAGACTGGAAGAGCCTAAAGTGACAAGTCGGGATAGAGCATGTGGCATGTGCAGAATAGGATGCACTTGCTTGACAAGAGGCACAAAGGAATGATGTTCATTGATGGGGACAGGCATCGGCCCTCACTGCATTGGCTGGTGGTGCACTGACACTGCAGGTGAAGGGACTCTTCCTCATGAGCAAGTTTCCACACTTGGGCTTGAGTAGGGCAAACAGCTAGGTAATGTCAAGACAGAGCACCTAATTCTGGCTAATGCATTACAGAGTTCCATGTGTTTGAAAAATTGTAATAACGGTAGAAACTGTTGATGCTGTTATTCCACTAATCAAAACCATTCCAAAGTTACATACAGGAAAAGAACATGATACTGGTAGAGAAAATGGGTGGAGACTGAAATGCAGTCATTAGACCAGCAGCATCGATCTGCGGTGTTTGTAGACTCAGTAGGTGGCCAACAGGACCAGGAAGCCATTGTATACCAACATTGCTATTCAGGGTGCTATCTTTAGTTATCTATCACAAAACCAGGAGGCATCCACAGCAAATTTTGTTAATGCCCATACTGTCATTGATCCTGAAAAAATCAATCCGAGAGGTAAAAATAGAACAAGGGTGACAACAAGCAGTACTCAATTTCACCTGATTATTACACAGACAAATTCCACTTGGTCCCAGATGAGACACCGCATTGCTCCTTAGTCATTCTGTGGAGGCTGCCTTGAGTGGCCTTGTCTACCCACACTGTCAAAGTGAATGTTGCAATTGATCAATGGCACAATAAAGAAGATGCATTAGCAACAACTAAAAATGACTTGCTAATTGAAGCTGACACAGTAAAAGCCCCCATCTAGACATCCTTGTCTAATTGCACCAAGATGGCGAATAAATGGCCCAAGAACAGACCAAGTGGCATTCATTGATTCAGTTCTCAGCTTCCATAAAACTCATCTATCAAGCCCATGCCCACCTATGTTTTCCATACTGAAGCTGCTCCAGTTGGTCTGAAGAGTGATAATTCACTAATGTTCACTTTTGGGGTTCTTAATGCCTTTCCTAGGGAGAATGAACAAAAGCAGACAATCAGGGCTGCATTTGGAGCTAAACTTGACTAATCCACCCATCGCTTCAGCTCATTCTAACACCCATTCTGGGGTCAGTACTAAGTCACACCTTTGGACAAATTAAAATAAAAGAAGGGGGCAAAAATGCTAGAATCCTAGTGACTTCACTGCTATCACAGCACCCCAGGAACTTATGTTAAACCTGGGCACAAAGCCTCACTGGGCAGAAGCTCTCTAATAAAGGGAGCTGAGTATCCCCAGGGAGGTTCTGCTACCCAGGTACTAAGAAGAAAGAACTGGGGCATCCAGGAAATTTCTGTGAACCTTGAAAGCTCAAGGATCATTTGGGGGGCAAGAGATATTACAGCCAGCACCCTCTCTACTCTCAGTGCACGGGGAGAAAAGGAGCCAGCAGCCTTGCCGCTTTGACAGATCTAATGAAACTACTCTTTTGGCTGAAGTTCTATCAAAATCTTCCTCTGCAAAGAACTGCCCCCCTATCTAGGGCATCTGGAAGATATGTTCTCCTACAGAGTAATTAAATGATCTCATCTTTTGAACTGGATATTCAGGAGAACAGGCCATAGGTGAAGGAGGAAGTAAGGTGAGGAACCATCTGAGGGTTTTCCACTGAGGTCCAGTTTTCAGGTACAACCTCACCTCCCAGTGATTTCACCTCAGCAGGTCCAGTCATGCCGATTTTTCCTCTGACACCATCTTCCTTCATGAGTACCTATAATGAGGTAACTGAATTTTCGTTTTGCTTTTGGCAAGGCAACCTTCCAAGTTCACCATCTTCCTTGTAATTACGCTGTTGCATCAACCCTCAACTCCATCCATTTCCTAGTCATTTGTCAACCAACCACAAGGTAAGCTTAGCCAATCAGGTTCACGTATTCCGAGTTCCTGCTCACACCACACGAACACCTCTCAGAACTACCGTTAGGTCAGAATGTTAGAAATGGATGGAGTGTGGAGGTCGTCTGGTTAAAGACTGTCATTCTACCGTGGACCACAGTGAATGCCAAGGCACAGAACGAAATCAGAATCAGAATCAGGAAGAAAGCCCAGAATTCCTGACGCTACCAATGAACCCCATTTTCTTTGAGTAGAAAGGGGAGGATAGGCAACCTAATCAACCACTTGCTCAGTCAGCTAAGTGTTTGTTGTTTGACTGTAGATGCCTGGCAGTGTGTTTCATTTCGTAAGATCTGCAAAGGAAGTATACGTACAGCAGTTACCTGCAAATAACTTACAAAGCTAGCGGAAAATTGAGAAGAACAGGAATTCAGCATCCAGGACCTCAATCTCAAGGAGCAGGTCTGGGCTTCCTTTTTTTTTGTTAATTAAACAACATAGAAGTTCATTTCTTCTCTCTTATGTAAAACTCCGAGGTGAACAGTCTACTCCACTCAGTCTGTGGACACCAGATGCTTCCAGCTCACTAGCTGATCATCTCCTACTCATGGTCCAAGATGGCAACTAAAGCTGCAGCCATCACATCCACATTCCCAGCAGAGGAAGAAGGAGGCAAGAATGAATACTAGAGGGTAACTGATATATCTGCCATGGCACTATAGAGAGAATGTTCACCAAATCAGGAGCCTCCTGGAGTTTGGCCCTGCCTATTTTTACAAAGCTTCACAAGCAGTTGTTGATGCCTACCCTGGTTAAGGACAATTGAACCAGATCGTCTCTCAGGTACCTTCCAGCAGGAGCCATTCTGAGTGACATGAAATGAGGAGAGATCGATCAAGTATCACGCTAAGCTTTGTTTCAGGCAGTAAATCCAGTGGGCTGATCAATGCAGCCAGGCCTTGAGAACAGGGTGAAATACAGGCTGGGCCCTCAAGGCCAAAAACAATGCCAAGAGTTGCAGGCAGGTATTTACTAGGAGACACAGCATGGCGAGAGCTAGGAGGCAGGGGTCAAGCCTGATTACATTCCTGGAAAATAGCTCCTGTAGTCCAAGGGCAGTGGCAGCCCCTCTAATGAGATAAAGAATCTGCTTTTACCAGGGAAAGGAGCCTGGGACTTTCGAGAATCTCCATTCCAGGGCCCAGCTGAAGGTTCTGTACTTCTCAAAGTGTGGTCTCCAAATATCTACATCCAAATTGCTAGAAGAGCTGGTTAAAATGCATATTCCTAGGGCCCTAGTTTAGACTTATTGAATCAAAGTTCAAAGATTTGCATTAAGTTTTCAAAATGTGCAGTTTTAACAAGATTCCCAGCTGATGGTTAATGAACATGAGATCAGCGCGTTCCCTCTGAATGAAGGGCAGCTTATACCGTCCACCTTTATCCTCCTAACTATCTGCCCCCTTTATGCACCATTTCTCTGCTCTCTCTCTCCTCCCTCGTCATCCTCCTTTTTCTCTCCCTGCCTCCTTTAGTCCACCCCTCAAAAGCCCTTCTGAAAAAAATTGATGATGAAGAACAAAAACGCTCCCCCTGAAATGTGGGTGAGTCCTGCCTCCCCCTGCTGCCCCCAGAGTTTCTGCAGGCCCTTGTGTGCCCTTCCTCACAGCCGTCCTCAGGGGGCTGGCCAGGCTGATGTTTGCCGTGAGTGGAATGAAGGGCCCCTTGGGAAAAGCCAGTTGAGCTCGCACACACAGTAGCGGCTGGTGGCGATGTCTGAAGGAAGTCCTATTTCAGTCCCCCTCTTCCTCCCTGGCCTAGGGAAAACTTCCTGCTGTCCGCAGAGCTCGTGGCCTGAGTGTCCCTTCACGAAAGGTACAGAACACCACCACCTTGTCTACATGGCCAGGGCTGGGCTGATGCATAAGTGAAGTTGGTGGCTATTACATGACTTGAAGGAAAGCAGCAAAACCTGTTTGCCCTCAAAGGGAAAGGAAGGAAACTCATATTTATTGATGGTCCTGCTGAATGCCAGGCTCTGTGCTGTGCACTTTGTGTGCGTAACTTCACTTATCCCCGTATTACAAATGGTACAGTGGGAGCTCAGAGAGTTTGCATAATTTGTCCAAGTTCACACAACGAGTAAGTGAGGGTTGGGATTTGATATGTAACTCTACAGCCGATATTCCTTCCAATAAACCATATACCATGTACCCAAAAAGAACAAATTTCAACTATTAGACATTTACTTCTTAGGATTGGTTCCAGGAGTCCTCTGTTAAAACACGTTGCCTCTGTGAAAACAAGGTGCTCCCCTAGTAAACTAATCTACTATTTCCCGACCAGGTATTCTCACTGTATCAGAGAGTTTCTTGGATAATTTTCCAATGTGAGAGCAGCTCAGAGGAAATGGGTCTCGAGACCAGATAGTATGGATGGTGGGCAGAGGTTGCCCAGGAGGGGCTGTAGTGAGGGTGGGTGCCTCCGGACAGCAGGTGACACACAGAGCATAGGAGATGGGAGCCAGGGTAGGGCGGCACACTCATCCGCTTTACAGGACTGCAGAGGGCTCTCGGCTGGCACAGACCTTGGGAAAGAGAGCCCAGGTCCAGGCAGAGCTTTGAAACCAGAGCTGGGTCTAAACCTGTGTGATTTAACCTCTTTTGTCAGTCATTTAACCTCTCTGAGCCTCAGTGTTCTCATCTGTGGAAATGGACAGTAATTCACTCCTCGCCAGGCAACAGTAACGACTAAATAGCTTACAGAAAGCTATCCAGCGCAGTCCCTGGCACGTAGTAGGTACTCCATGGCATTTTCCTGACAGAGTTCATCACATGGAGAGCAAGACAGACAGCAAACCCCCCGAGAGGCCCAGCTCTGTGCCCCAGACCCAGCATGCCCTTCCCCAGCCACCCTTCCAAGCAAGCCCGCCAAGGAAGTGATTGATGGAGGCCTGTTTATTTCCTTTGCATATTTTTAATGACCTCTGGAGTCTACCAGCAAGCCTGCCCTATTTCCTACTTCAGACAGAATCACAGAGCAGAGAAGCAGCTGAAACATCAGGGTCCTGGCAGCATGCCTGCTCCAGCAGGTGCAGCTCAGGGAGCCTTTTCTCCTGGGGAGGCGGGGCCCGGGCAGCTCCGAGTGCAAGCGCGGGACCCAGGGCTGCTGTGTGTTCCTCAGGCATGTGTGCAATGGTCTTGGACAAAAACAGGACAACTCCAGCGTGTCATCTGGGCACAAACTCAGGTGCCACCAGGTGGAGATTCGGGCAGCAAGGGCGCGGCTTGTCCCTTCTTGGTCCAGAGAAATGAGATGACAAAAAATCCAAAATCTCCCCAAAGCAAAATGAATCGAGAAATGAACACTTGTCAGGCCCCTCTAAGTGTCTGTGGCCCTGTGAGGTGGTTTCACGTTTTGTGCCAGGCCCATGGAAGCCCTGAGGTGTCAGCCCCATCCCCCGGGCTTTTGAGGGAAACTGAGGCTAGAGTGGCTAGAGTGAGTCATCTTTAAGCATCAGAACTGGGACTTGCTCTCCTATTTTTAGACTTGAAGGGAAGGATTGACAATTCTCTGGACATTTGGGTTATATATAGAGCCAACTGGCTTGTTCTCAAATGGAAATGTCCAGACTGACTACATGAGCCAGACTCACCAGATAAACAGACCCGGCTCCTGCGATGGAGAACTGGAATGGAAGGACTCAGATTTCATCTTCTCCATGCCCTTCACTCACCACCACTACCCCACTGTACGCCCCCATCCGTCTAGGCTCTGCTGGGAACCAGGGGGAGGTTCTGATTCCAGACAGAGACAGAGGTCCCTGCCCCAACCCCCTCCCCCACCAAAAGCTCCTCCCTGCACGGACTCCCACAATGCCCTACGCAGCCTCCATTAGACCCACCCTGAAGTTAATGCACCATTTCCCCAAATCTCCTGGTCATGTGCTGGGCTACAACCCAGGAACAGGAAGCATGAGCTCGCAGAAGATAAACTGTGGGATGAGCTGTCACTGGGCAGGGATGGAAGCTGCCTCAGGTCTGGTTTTTTGAGGGTCGCAGGGGACAGGTCCAGGGCAGCAAGCTCAGTGTGTGGGCACTGCAGGGGAGGACAGGGTGGTGAGGGGTAGGTGTGGTGGGGCCAGCTGAAGATCCCGCCTCCTATGTGGGTCTACTCTAATCCTATTCTGATGGCGACACTCACCGTCCTCTCAGATTCTGCCACTATTTTCCTATTCCACAAACAGGCCCAACTTCCTCCCTTGGTCTTTGCCAAGGTGCAGCTGCAGGCAGTGAACCCCAGCATATCTAGGCTAGAGAGACCTCTCCAGGGGGAGCAGAGCCCCTCAACATTGTGGCCAGTGAAGGCTGCTGAAATACTTTTTAAAAAATTATTATTTTCTGGATTGTGAGCTTAAAGAACATCTTCAGAACTTCAAATTTCCTTAGGGTTGTGAATTACCAGATTGAGATAGAGGAAGCAAGGTCGGCTGAAAAAGAGCTACAGCCGTGTCTGGCTGTCTCCCGTGTGTGCAAAGAAGAGAGGAGAAACAGGGAAGGAAGGAGGAAGGCGGGGAGGGAGAAGATGGGGAAAGAGCATAGGGCTTGAGGATCGTCACAGAGAACAGGCAGGTAAATGGAGAGGACAAGAAAGAAGAACTTCAGAGACCAGGGCTGGACCACAGCTATGGGGAGTGGTGAGGACCTTCAGAACAGACAGCGTCGGGACAGCGTGGTGCAGCAGGCAGGCGGAGGGCCACTTCATCACCCAACCACTCACGTTTGTGGAGTGCTTGCTATGGACCAAGCGCTGCTCTAAGTACCTGCCATGTATTCACCCACTTAACTTCCAAGGTAACCTCGTGAGACAGATGCTCATGCAACAGGCTATGGGATAGAGCTGAAATTCGAGCCCAGGCAAGCTGGCAGGTGGCAATGCCACAGCATAACTGCCGTGCAACGCGGCATGGTAAGAAGGGGCTCAACAAAGCATTTGGGGTGAGCAGAAGGAAGGGAGAGAGGGAGGCAAGGGGGAGGAACACCTGACTTTGGGAGGGTCCCGTTTCTAGCCTGGACAGTCCACTAAGGTTTCAGAGCCTCATTTTTCATCTGTAAAATGGAGAAGATGATTTCTCTCTTGCCTTCTCATAGGGCTGTTCTGAGCCTGCAGATCGTGCAGATGGAAGTGATTCATGACTGTACAGCGCCACACATGCCCGGGCATCATGACCACTGGTGGCCATTGGGAGTCTCCCACGGTGGCAGGAATATACAATGCGTAGTCTCCAGAGTCAATGTGCTGGGCAGGCCCTCGGGCCCTCCCAGCCCTTAGTCCACCTGCTGGCTTCTGAAGTTAGGAAAAGCTTTACTACATTCATTGAAAATAGATGTCTTCATCTGGGGGTGGCTCCAGTGCCCCTGTGATTCAGCCCGATTCACCTTGTAGGCAGATGTGCCTTTCCCGGGCTCTCAAGCACTTCTCCTTGTTCATCACCCACACAGGCACATGTGCACGGAAAATAACTTGTAAAGATAAACAATGTGCACACACAAGTGTGAAGCAACTCAATTGACCCAAAGTGCAAATTAAATCGATTTCTTAATAATGCCCTATAAATAAATTAGTTTTGGCTATTGAACACAATAATGAGCCTCAGCAGCTGCGTCTAGTTCTGATAGATCAGGCTAATCTGGGACACCTCCCAAGAACTCAGCCCTTCACTCCCAGGTGGAAGATTCTCTGATGTATACCACCAGGTCACCTTGGGATTTAATGCAAACTTGATCCAGACTTTACCTTCGAGGAAGGAACCAGTTGCCATCACAACATAATCACAGACTTCATTCATTCCTGCCCCAAGGACTTTGCACGAGCTGTTCCCTCTGCCTGGCAACTTCTCCTCCAGATCTTCACATGGCTAGGACTTCATCCTCATTCAAGTCTCGGCTCAAATGTCACCTTCTCAGAGCCCGCACCTCCCAGCCCATATGACTTTACCTTCTTCATGGCACCTAGTGCTATATGAAATTACCTTGTTTATTCACTTGTTTACCTGCTTAGTTGTTTGTTCTCCCCACACACATGCTCACACATGCCACTAAATGCAAGCTGTATCTCAGCCACTGCTTTATCCCCAGAGCCTAGAGTCATTCATCCTGACACACTGTAGGTGCTCAATATTTATCAAACCACCAGAATTAATAAACTAATTAATGTAAACACAAGGCTAAGCAGTATTGCATTCAATCATCCCATCAGCCCTACGAGATGGGTACAAGTGCCCATTTTACAGATAAGGAACTGAGCCAGGCTAATGCACCTTGCTCAAAATGGGACTCCAAAAGCTATGTTGCCCTAACAGGTGGACAGAAAACAGAACAAATCCATCCCACCCAGGAACAAAGGAGGAGCCAAGGTGAGTACAGGCACCTGCTCTTCCCCCACCCCCCCAACGACCACCTTGGAAGCCAGAAAAAGCCCCTCCCCTGGACAGGTAGGAGGATTTGAAGCAGTTCCAGCTGCAGGTGACACTGGCTGCCTGAGCTGAGCCCAAGCAGACAGCCTCTGTTGGCTGAAGAGGCTGTGCCTCACACACCTTTAATTTTCCATAATGCAGCAACTGTAAATACGTGATTATAGGCTGCAGCCTCAGCCATCCATTGCCTTACACAGCTGCTGCTGCAGCATCCGTGTGGTGATGGAAGCCCCTCCTCTGGGCCCCCCAGGGTTGTAGATGGTCTAGCTTGTCTGGCAGGTCACCCAGGACCTGTGACTATCCCCGAGCCATAGGTGCAGGGAATGAGGGTTTCCAAGCACCCAGGAACCTCATCCTTTTTGTCTCCTGCTCCTACCCCTAGCTGCCTTGGCCTGAATGCCTGGCTGAGACTGCACACCTCCAAGCTGCTGATTTAATAGAGAGCTTTTCTTGAGGGAAGCCGTGTTTTGGGATGGGTCACAGAGAAAGGGAGGAGAGAAGAGGTGGCCTTGGAGGGGGTCCAGAGTAACACAGAAAGAACCATCCACCCCCAGAGAGAAAAGAAACCCCAGAGAAACCAGCCCTCCCCTTCTCCTTCCTCTATACCACAAGCTGGCTCCCAGCCCCTTACGGTATCCACTAATGCCACAGGCAAGGTAAATGGAGGAGCGGGGGCAGAGGGTGATTAATCACGTGTACATTCTGCTAATTACAATAATTGCTATTTAATGACTTGTGTATATTTCTCAGACTGAGAGCACATACACTGCCACCTGATGGACTAGGACGTGTTGGTATTTGGGTTCTGCTTACTTTTTATTTTTGCTAAAATATGCATACATATTCAACAAATACATGGGAATTAAACAAAAGCAAGGCCAAGAGGCAGCTATAGAGGGTGGAACTGCAGGCTGCTCTGTCAGCCTGGAATAAAGTCAAAGGAGGGAGTTAGGATGAGGGTAGCTGGATCCCACAGGACCTGAAGTCCAAGATTTTCATGGCACTGACCAACCACTGGAAACCCAATCTAATGCTCAATTTGGAGTCAGGGGCCCAGGTCAGTAACACTGTGGCTTATCCTCAGGCAGGGGACACACCCAATGGCCTGAATCCCCGGGGCTGGAGAAGAGGCCAGGGACGTGGCCCTCTAAGAAGGGAAGGGAAATACTTGGCTGCAGACTTCAGAGACCATCCTGCAGCAAAACCCCCAGGGACAGGAGCTTTAAAGGGTGGGAGCCGGTGTCAGGACCAGAATAGCTCATGGGGCTTCCTCAGCTCTGGGAAGGATGTGCATTTTCCCTGAAATGTGAACATGACTCACACCTAAGGAATGAAGTGAAATGTCTGGGGGCCCCTCCTGCTAGAAGGGGATACCTGGCAGGCTCTTTCAGGGTCCAGCCCCTTCCCATCTAGTGCTCTGCTGTCTCCCTTCTTGAGGAATGCTCATCCTCTCCCGGCCCAGCACACCCCCGTGAGCACCAACATTTGCAGACACCCCAGATCAAATTTAATACACAGCAAGAGCAAGCCAAAGAGTAAAAGAAATGTCTGAAGAAGATGAGGTCTGCCCGGAGGGTGTGTGGAGACCTCCAGAAATGAGCAGAGCTACACCCTTATCTCAGGCTCACCCGGCAATGCCCCTGAGTGGAGACCCTGGAATCCAACCCACCCGCTGGCTGCTGGGGGTTCGGAGCCAGGGTGTCAGGGGCCTGGGGCCTGGGGCTGTGGCGTGGGAGCGAGGTCTCTTCCTCCTGATGCATGGTGGCTGCTCATCGTGTACACTGGCCATCATGTACGCTGCCCATGTACGCCACCCATCAGGTACGCTGCCTACCAAGCACACTGCCCCCATGTATGTTGCCCACCATGCACGGCACCCCCATGCATGCCGCCTTCATGCACGCTGCCCCCACAGGCCACCCACCATGCACGCCGCCCCCATGTACACTACACATCATGTAAGCTGCTCATCATGTACACTGCCAGGACAGGGCAGGGGAGCCCACGAGGGTGCAGTGATATGTGGGGACCCCTGCCTGCCCAGGACAGGTGACAGGTAGGTGATGGGGTAGGAAAAGGAGCCGATGAACTTCACAGCCCCAGGAAACAGCTGGGGTGAGAGACTCACAAGCCCCACTCTGGAGAGTAAAGATTGGTCCTTGGAAACACCACTATTGTCAGAAAAGGAGCTCAACTCTGAGCTTCCCAGTCCTTTTCCTGAGGATTTAGAGGAGTAGGCCTCCCTCCCTGCCTGCCTTCCTTCCTTCCCTGCTCTCCTCCCTCTCCTTCTCTCTCTCCATTCTCTTCTATCCAACCCTCCCCATCCACCTCCCTCCCTCCTTCCCTGTCTCTCTGCCCGCTCCTCTAGCCCCGCACTCCCTGTCCCCCACCTTCTGTCTCCCTGCCCTATTTCCCATCCTCCATCCCCATGCCATCTCCCTCCTTCCCTCTCTCCCTCCATTCTCTTTCTTTGGTACCTAGTCCGTGCCCAACACTATTCTAGGTGCCGTGTGGCGCCTGCCTGTCTGGTGATCTGTAAACTCCTCCAAGCTGGGAATCAGCACTCAGCCTGACTCCTCTGATTTCTGGGACCCTTAGCAGAGCCTTCTCTAGACTCTGCGCCCCTTGAGGGCAGGAGCCATATGCTTACAGAAGCGTAGCACAGGGCGTAGCATATACCAGGCCCAGAGACAGCTCTTGAGCAATGTGGGCTGGGTGCCAGGTCCAACGGATGGAGGCCTCCTTCCACCACTGGGATTGATTTTACTGGGGATGTGGTGCTGGCTTATGGCTCAACAGGGTTGCCCTGCACAATAGGGAGAATTCTCCGCTGTCGCCTTGCTTAAAATCATTGTTTCAGCGGCTGCAGAGTAAGATGTTCCCTCTGACTTGCCACCTGTCAGGCCTGTAATTACACTCCACAGCTCCAACAAAATCTCCCTCATCCTGTGAGTTCCCGCCCCAGAAGGAGAGCGCCCAGGCCAAGGGGCGCAAAGATCATTCTTTAAATGCCTCACGAATTTTTCTCAGAGGGGAAGGTCAACTAGGTCAACTGAGTGAGAAAAACTCTGTCTATTCCAAACCCTGGGCCGGTCAGACCAAGCCATCCGCAGCACCACTCCTACCCACCACCCTTCAAATGTCCTGGACCCTCGGCTCGCCCCCTGCTCTCCCCGTCTGCCTCTGAGCACCGGCAGAAGGCGCACTTCCTCAGGCCTGGCTCCCGGAGCTTCTCCACTAATTAAAATGTGATGCCAGTTATTTATTCCTTAGGATGAGATCAAGCCACTGCATCCTCACCTCTCCCAGGGCTGCTTTCAGTGTGATTATGAAATGAAGGAGATGGCGCCGTTTCCTCTTCTCTCCTGAAATCTCCTCTCCACCCAGACTGTGTTCCCACATCCAATCGCCACCAGAGCCTCTGGCCTGCGCAGGGCCACAGTGCTTGGAGGGATTTCTTCTGTTCATCTGGATTCAGATACAGCAAGTATTCATTTGAGTTCCTTTTGTGTTTTTAAATTTTTAATTATTTTTAAAAATTGTGGGAAAATACATTAAAATTTGCCATCTTAACCATGTATAAGTATGTGGTTCAGGAGTGTTATATACACTCAAATTGCTCTGCAACTGATCTCCAGAAGGCTTTTCATCTTGCAAAACTGAAACTCTGTACTCCTTCAATAGCTCCCCATTCCCCACTCCCTTCAGCCCCTGAAAACCGTCATCCTGCTTCCCATCTCTATAAATTCCATTACTCTAGGCACTTCATACAAATAGAGTCATGCAGAATTTGTCTTTTGTGACTGGCTAATTTCTCTTCGCGTCATGTCCTCGAGGTTCATCCATGTTGCAGCATGGATCAGAATTTCATTCCTTTTTAAAGCTTGCAATCACATTTCACATTTTGCTTATCCATTCATCTGTCCAAGGACACTTGGGTTTCTCTCACGTTTTGGCTTTTGTGAGTGATGCTACCACGAACATGGGTGTGCGAATATCTCTTTGAGGCCCTGCTTTCAATTCTTTAGGGTGCATACCCAAAAGTGGAATTGTTAGATGGTATGAGAATTATATTTGTAATTTTTTAAGGAAACACCACACCATTTTTCTAAATGATACAATTTTATATTCCCACTAGCAATGCCCAACGGTTCCAATCTGTCCACATCCATGCCACCACTTGTTTTCTGCTTTCTGTTTTGTTTTGTTTAATAAGAAAATCCTAGTAGGTCTGAGATAATTTCCTTTTATGTTTCAGGCACTATGCTGGGTGCTTGGCATGAGTATTCTCATTCAGTCCAAGTCTCACCAGCAGTCAGCCGGTAGTGTCCGCATTCTCCCCGAGGTCCCTGGCCATCTTTTTGTGCCTGTGCACATGGGTCTCCACTGCAAATCAGCTCTTCATAGGACACACCCGCACAGTCACGCAGGCTGCCAGCACAAGCCCTAACTTCAGCAGATACTTGGGAGTTTTCTGTTGGTGAACTAATGAGTTCATGGTGTTTGGGCATCAACAAGAAAGGTGGGATTTCTCTTTTTGGCCATTGGGGTCTCCACTGAAACTCAGTGACCATATACATGCTATTCCACCTATTCATGAGACCAAGCCTGGCACGGTATACAGGATGACCAAGGGCTTTCCTTGTCAGCTAAAGCAAAGTCTCAAGTAACTAACTGAGCACTATGTGTCAGCTTCAGCTGTGCATGAAGCAGGTACCTGAAGGCATGTCTGGCCTCTGTCTGCATACAGTAGATACCTGACAAATGTTTTCTCCAATAACAAAAAGCCTACACTCTTGAACGTTTACCACATGCCCTGCACATTACATACACTGACTGATTTAATCCTCATAACAACCCAATAAGGGAGGTATGATTCTCCCCATTTTACAGATGTGGAAACCAAGGTCTCACAGAAACACAGGCACTTTCTCAAGACCATACAGATAAGAGATGGCAAAGGTGGAATTAAATTTTTAACTGTTCTGCCCTTCTGTGTCTCCATCTATGTTCAGCTTTGGGGGCCTGCCCCACATTGGTAGAAACTGAACAGGCCCAAAGCCCATTCTCTTAGTGGAGCCAGCAGCTTCCTGGGTGGAGCATGGGACCCTCAAACACCTGCTCTCTGTCCATGAAGGTGCTGCCCTCTGGCAATAACTTATGGTTATTCTTACCCTTAGAGTTGGGGCCAAAGAGGTCAGGAGCACCTTTATACACAAGGAACTGGAATGCAGTTCCTTTCTGTTGTTGTTCTCTTGCCCGATGAGAACATGTTCCCAAGCTTCAGTGACATTAAGAGACTTTGACCAAAAAGCCATTATTCTTAGGGCACTCTTACTGCTAAAAGTGATCTAGGAAAAGTCTCAGAAAATTTCTGTTCTGGGGAAGCCAGCAAAACTCTTAATTGTATTTTAAAACTAATCATTCATTCACTCATTTGCTCCGGAAATTGTACACACGCACCTAAAATAGTGCCTAGAACTTAATGTGCGTACAATTAATAGGGTTTTTTCTTCCCTTTTACACCCCTTCCCCCAAGCCCTTCAAGGGAGGATGGATGGATGGTTTGAGGACACTCACAGCTTGCGGGACTCTGTGGGAGGCACGGGGCGTACAACACCTGCCTTCGTTTCTTTCCTGAATGAGAACTGTGATGGTTAAAGGCCTGCTAGAGCCCATTCTTCTCCCTAATAAGTCAGCACACTGACAACACAGCTTCCTAATCAAGAAAGGTGGCGACTAGAAGGGGAAAAAACACAAACTGTGGCATGTTCACCCAGGCATTCATCAGTCTAGCTGATGGAGGCTGGTTCCGTGTTGTCATAAATTCAATCTCAAGCAAACACTCATCTCTCTCTCGTGCCCAGATTGTTGGCACAAAAGGAAAGCAGACGGTTGCAGATGATATCCATCAATGAATGTCAGGGAGCTGTGCTTCCCCAAACCCTCTGGATAAACAAGAAAAGGCCACGTCTGTGGTGCTCATCTGGCCTTGAAGATTTGAAGTTCAAATAAGGCACTTTGTGGAAAATTATATGAGCTATAGAATGGGTTGGGGGAAAGTGTGACCCGGGAGAGAGGAGGACGTGTCCTTTTCTCTCATGTCCGTCAAAAGAGAGGTTCCTTGCAGGCTAATAGAAAGGCAACTAGGCCAGGAATCAAGAAATAGCAGTCCTCACCTTGCACAAGTCCCCACCTCTGTGTTTTCTTTCATAAAGGCAAGTCGGCAGGGGCTGAGGAGATAAATGTTCTCACATTTTCTACATTGAAAAAACTTCTCAGTTGCAAAACCACTTTGTAAAACTGGCAATAATTGAGCTAAACATAGGCACACACCCTACAACCCAGCAATTCTACTCCTAGGCATTACAGGTAATTAAAGTACATGCATATGTTCTCCATTAAAAAAAGACAGAAAATATCCATCAATGACAGAATGGGTAGAAACACCGTGGCACACTTGTACAATGGAACACTATACACTGATGAACATGAACAATGGAATACTATACACCGATGAACATGAACAACTTTAAAACTACAGGCATGGATGAATCTCATGAACATGATTCTGAGTCAAGAAATCTAGACAAAAATATAGACTTCATGAGTTTATATCAAGTACAACAAGAGGGGAAATGGATCTATGCCATTTAGGAGTCAGGGCAGTGGTTCCTGGGGAAGGGAGGCAGTGACTAGTTGGGGCACGAGAGGTGTGAGTAACGTTCTGTGTCTTGACCCGGGTGCTGGCGACACAGCCGTGTGCACGAGGTGAGAATTCATGCTGTGCACTCACAATGTTTGCATTTTGCCGTCTGTGTGCTGTACCTCAATGACATTTATATTTAAAGCTTTTACTTTAAAATATCAGATCATGGAATTTTGAAGGCTCCAAAAAAACCTCAGTGAGATAGAAATGTTATCCTGGGTAGCCTCCGCTGGAACATGTCCCTGGGCATCTGAATATATGAGCAGTATAGGGGGCCCTGGAACAAGAGGAGGCATGGACCCAGCCTAGAAGGCTGCAAGCTCCTCAGAAGAGCAGGTGCCCAGGAGAGAAGGTGACGTGGCTAGATTCCCTGATGGTGACAGGGTATAATATAAAAACCTTGGTCAAAGGGAATAAGAAGTGGGGGGGAGGATAAGACAGAGGAAAGGGCTGGGCCATCTGGAAAGGCCGTGTGCCCTGTGCCCACATAGGCACCGCCAGCAGCAGGCAGGCTGTTGATATTTTCCTGAGCCTCCCTGGCCATGGGAAAACATGCGGCAGGTGATGGAGCTGCTTTGCTGGTAATTATTTCCTGCTCAGACAGGGAGGCGATAGATCATCTCAGGGGAGACTCCTTAATTGAAAAAGTGTCAATAGATAAAAAGCGATAAAAGCCTTTTCAGCTAAAACCCTGTCTGCCTCAGTCTCAACCAATGGCTAATGCTGCTTCACCAAGAAAGACCCTCCCGGGCCCTCTTAGCTCCAACCTGACCGACTCCTTCCCTAAGGCAGGGAGGGAACCAGCATGTGTCCACATTAGAGGGAAAGGGCTCCACTGCTTTTAAGTCAGGAAAAGCCAGTCCCCAATCTCTGAATCAATGTTTTAAATGAACCAAGGAAACCAAATGTTGTCCCAAACTGTCATTTAGTTTATCCTCACTGATTATAGGAATGCTCTTTTTTTCTGGGGGATTTTCTAGGCCCTTAATCTTAGGCTACTTCTCTTTCCAAAGACCTGCAAGCCAGTTTCCTGCTGATTCGTGTCCTACCAGAGGGCTCCAGGAGAAATTAAACTCAAAGCCCCCACTTTGTGAGCAGTTTTGAGGCAACTTTTTGGGTGGGGAGGAAGTTAAGTCTGAATGATCACCTGCAAGGAGGCTAGGGATGACCTTGACCATCTCAGCCCGCAGAATGTAGTGGATGCCTGCCACATGCCAGGCACCACATCCCCCTGCTAGCCTGCCCTGTCTATCACAGCATACATCTCTTTAACCAGTCCTCGCACACTCTCCATCAATCCTTGGGAGCAAAGTGGAGAAGCCCAAGCTGGATGGTGGTGGCTGGGTGGACTCAGGGCGGCCTTACCACACCCACATGACTCTGATTGATATAAACTGAAAAGGTGGTCTCTGTACTCCCAGGCCAATTCTGTACAGCATTTCAATCAAGTTCTGCTATATAGAATTCTAACTCAGATGAAGACATAGACACACCCAAAGCTAGGGAAGGACAGTGGGTGAGGGAGTCAGGACTCAGTATCTGGATATCAAAGGCCCTGATTTTAACATAATGAATAAGATTTCTAGTAAATTTCTGAGTTTAAGTTAAATAAATTTACCTAATTTCAGGACTGGGGAGCCCTTGCTCAACAGTCATTCATGTAAAAAAAAAATCCCTGAGGCTTCAGATGATCACAAGCTTTTTTAAGGAAAGGATGGTATGACGGTTGAAATGCAACATTGGGGGATAATGTTGGACATATGGAAGTCAAAACAGAACAGATGATAAAATTCCCATACCCCTCTCTGAGCAGACCACTATTAGTATTGGGTTTAGTTCTGGGCATTATCCTGAAAAACTACTGTACACCCAAAGCAGACACCCAGGGTGGTTAGGGTCTGGAAGCTGTGTCATATGAGGAAGAAACTGAAGAGAAGAGGAGGAGGTTCTGGCGGGACACAAAGAGTATTTTCAAAGTCGTATAATGCTGTTGGAATGGAATTGGCCCTTGTGTTGATCTGAGGGCAGAAGGATGGTCAATGGAGAGATTACAGTGCTTTGTTGTGGGTGTTGCCTTGCTTCATATAAAGAGGGAGGAACCGGCAACAACTAGAGTCTCAACAACAGAACAGCTCGCATGTGCACACCCGCACGCCTGCCCCACTGCCACGCTGCAGGATACTGAAGTCTTTCTCCTTTGGGGGAGAGAGGGTAAGTAGGTAGCCTCCAGCAACTCTTTTCATAGTTACAGCCAATAGTGAAGGCAACCACATATCAGCATTTCTCAGTGCTCCCTGCCAAAAGAGTCACCCCTCTAACAAACTCGGAGCGGGTGTGAAGGATTGGTCAGCTCCAGGGGCATGGGTTTCTGGTGTTTTACATAAATGCCCTGAAATATCCTGACATTGTGTGGGCCTGTTCCCAGGAAGCCAGAACTTCACCCTCTTGTATTACGTGGGGGAAATAAATGAGGACTATTCCAGGGGTTCTCCTAGTTTACATAATCCCAAAGAGCCTTTATAGTCTGAACACCCTGCTCTTTTATTTGGGGGATAAAATATACATAACACAAAATTTACTATGTTAACCATTTTTAAGTTTACAGTTCGGTGGCATTAAGTATATTCACGTTATTATGCAATCATCATCACCATCCTGCTCCAAAACTTTCATGCTACTTTTAAATGCCATGATGAAGTTACAAAATTATTCTCAAAAGCTGTTTCTAGTTTTATCAGGCAAGTATGAGATGCCACGGTTTTTCTCTGCAGGCCCACCATGAATGTGGCCATTCGTGTTTAAGGGCACACTTGTATTTCTGGCTAAAGAAGCCTCTGACGTCTGACATATCGCGGAAGAGGTTCCTGCCTGCCCTTGGTTCCCCGTGATGCCCAGTTAGGCTTCTCACGCTGTCGCCTGTTTGCTGTGCGAGAGAGGATGGCTTAAGCAGCCTCTTCTCAGGTTGGGACTGTGGAAATGGGTCAGCTTGGTTCCCGTTTCACTGTTTTCTGAAGGTAAAGGGAGAAAGTGAAAATCAAGGGTCCCTGCATCCTCTGGTTGATCTGCTTGGCTTGGTGTTAATGTAAACAGTTAATTGCAGGCTTGCAGGCCTTAGAGAATACAGGGCTGCTTTAATTAATTCCAGCACACGTCTTGCAATGTTTACATTCCAAATTACCTTCATGTCAGAAGTATGCAGCCCAGAACCACAGTTTGGGGGCAATAAAATTCCACTAGCCGCTGCTTCCAGCATCTGGAAGTCATTTGCTCAAAGAACCAGAGTTTGCTATTTGGGAAAGTTAAATATGCTTCAAGACAGAGATGAGGTGACACTGGCTTCCCCCAAAACTACTGACGTCAGGAAAGCCCCAAGCTGGCTCCAGAGGAAGGGTGATGCCCTGTGGATTCCGGGCAGAGAGGAAAGCCTCACTGTGTGTGGCCATAAGCGTGAAAGAAAGCCTAGGATGAGGGTTTAGAGAAGAAGAGATGCTACACGGATGACCAGGATTAGACTCTAGAAGGCACTTTATGCTGTTGCAGACATCAGCCCTGGGTTCTGCTGAACGTAGGGGCTGTCTTCCTTTTTCTACCCCTCAACTCCCTCCCACCCAAGTGCACCTTCCGGGATTCACAGAAAACTCCATCTGCATTAGGAAGGGGGTCTTGCGGCAACCATTGGTTCTTCTGATGTGCTTCAGAGCATGAGCTCTCCAAAACACACCAGCTCCTTGGCATCTCTCATGCCCAGAGAACTGGTGCCCACAGAATGAAAGAACCCTGTGAGTCGAAAGCCCTTGCAGGTTTCCTCTAGTCCATCCCCCTGCCTTTAGGAACAACTAAATAGAAACAACTCCAGACTTTCAGTTACCTACCTTGTTGTTTCCCTCTTCAGATCTAAAAATGGAGGGCTGGGGCTTGAGAAATACTTTGCATTTGCTCCTTTGGAAGTCGAATTTCCAAATGAGTCGACAATGCCAAGCTCTTTATAGCATCTCTAAACAAACCAGAATTTCATGTAAGTCCTATTATCTGTCAATGTCATTTTGCCTCCCCCACATTCAAAACCAAATTAGATATGTTGGTGATACACATCAAGAAGTCTTTATTCCCATACATATATATATATATATATATTTTTTTTTTTAACTGGGAGGCAGAGGACAGGACAGGATGTTGCCCCATCTTTCCTGTTGAGGGAACTGAAGGGAATAGAATGTAGGCCCTGGAGTCAAACAAACCTGAGTTGGGGTCCCTGACTTGGGTTCAGTTATGTAGCCTCTCCGAGCACCTCAGTTTCCTTGTGTGTAATAATACTACTTATCTGATGGGGTTGTTAAAGGGTTAAATGAGCTAATCATCGCAGAGGGCTTTGTATGGCAAGTGTTCCGCTTCGTAGCCAACCAGTGAGCTGAGCAGCTCTGCGGACCAGACAGAAAGATTTAAACATAGATCTTATAGACTTCCAGGCCACCAGGTCTCTGACTACAGGTAGTACTAGGGTGTTACCAGACTGCTCCCTGCTGAAAATGCTAGAGGGTGAGAGATACCATACAGACCTTTAAGAAACCTCGGAAACTCATGCAGTTCCCCGGCTGACTAGGATCCAGCTGTCTCCTCCACAGCATTTGCTACTTGGTGTTTCGCTGCTCCACTTCCTCATTTCTTCCCTCCTGGACTGTAAGTCGCCAGAAGGCAGGGGCCATATCTGTGCAGATTGCTGCAGGCATATGCAGTACAGTACTCACAATGCCCCCTGCAAGGCGATGCTTAATACTTTCTTCTTATTTACTTTTATTTATATTTTTACAGTTTTGTAGTTTAAATATAGCTATAGTTTACAGTTTTACCCAGCTTTATTGAGGTATAACTGACAAATTAAAAAATTGTATATATTTAAGGTGTACAACATGATGATTTATGTGTACACTGTGAAATGATTACCACAATAGAGCTGAATAACACAGTTCCCTCTGTGTGTGTGTGTGTGTGTGTGTATGTGTGTGTGTGTGGTGTCATAGGCCTTAAGATCTACTTTCTTAGCAAATTTCAAATATACAGCATAGTATTTTTAATTACAGTCACCATGCTGTACATTAGATTGCCAAGTTTATAACCCTTCCCCATCTCCCATTACCTCTTCCCCCAAGCCCCTTTAGCCCTGGCAACACATGTTCTACTCTCTGCTTCTATGAGTTGGGCTCTTTTAGATTCCACATACAATTGAGATCACACAGTGTTTATCCCTCTGTGTCTGGTTTATTTCACTTAGCATAGTGTCCTCTGGGTTCATCCACACTGTTGCAAAGGGCAGGATTTCCTTCTTTTTTAAGACTGAATAATATTCCATTATATATAGAAAATCACATTTTCTTTATTCATCTGCCAGCTAACACTCAGGTTGTTTCAATATCTTGGCTATTGTGAATAATGCTGCAATGAACATGGGGGTGCAAATATCTCTTAGAAACACAGATTTCATTTCCTTTAGATATACACCCAGAAGTGGACTTTCTGGATCCTATGGTTAGTTCTATTTTCATTTTTTTGAGGAGCCTCCATGTTGTTTTCCATAATGGCTGTACCAATTTTCATTCCCACTGGCAGTGTACCCTGCAGGATTCCCTTGTTTTCATATCCTCATCAATACTTGTCATTGCTTGTCTTTTTGATAGCCATTCTGACAGGTGTGGGGTTTTGATTTGCATTTCCCTGGTGATCAGTAAGGTTGAGTACCTTCAATATGCCTGTTGGGCATTTGCATGTCTTCTTTAGAAAAATGTCTTTTCAGGTCCTTTGCCCATTTTTCCATCAGGTTATTTGCCTGAATAGCCAAAGCACTCTTGAGAAAGAAGAACGAAGCTGGAGGCATCACACTTCCTGATTTCAGACTGTACTACAAAGCTATAGTAATCAAAATGGTATGGTACTGGCACAAAAACAAGACACATAGACCAATGACAGAATAGAGACCATAGAAATAAACCCATGCATATATGGTTAACTAATCTTTGACAAGGGTGCTAAGAATACACAATGGAGAAAGGATAGTCTCATCAATAAATGGTGCTGAGAAAACTGGCTGTTGAACCCTTATCTCACACCATAAACAAAAATCAACTCAAAATGGATTAAAGATTTAAATGTAAGAAAATATTTGCAAGCCATATATCTGATAAGGGGTTAATATCCAAAATATATAATATATTCATACATCTCAATAACAAAAAAAATTTTAAAAAGATTATCAGGATGATATCATTGTGCTACATGTTATCCACATTAAAAATCAAGATGCCTTGCTTCTTTCTCTAACCCACTTGGACAATCATAAACCTGAATTTCTAGCCTCATATCCTAGCATGTGGGTGTTTGAGTGATTCCTATAATTACACAGTTTTGGTTCTTTACTATGTAAGTCAGTATTTCTCCAAGTGTAGTCCAAGGATGAACTGCATCAAAACCACATGGGTGGAGGTGGGAAGAGGGTGTGCTGGTTAAAATGCAGATTCTTGTCTTCCACCCCAGACCTCCTAAATCATAATCTCTGGGGAAAGAGCCAGAGGTCTTCCTTTTAAATAAGTCCATGAAGAGTAGCCTCTGTGGCTCCCAGAGTTTGTTTCTACCTTACTTTTCATAGTCTGCAATAGTGGGCAGCCGCATTGCCTTTTGGAATTGAAGGTGTGGCCAGTTTGTTATGTAAGTGGGCTTAAGCAATAGGAATTTGCACCTCCTGCCCTGTAAAACAGACCATGCAAATTCAAATGCACCTGAGAGCAGGAAAAGCTTCTCAGTGCTCCAGGTTCAGCAGCGCAGAAAGAACACTCCATCTAGAGCCTCAAAAGATGAAGCAACTTTCCCAAGACCCTGGCCCTTCAAGATGGATGATTCTGTAATTTTTACAAAGTGCCCTGGGTGGGTCTGCGGCACAGTAACATTTAAGAACCATAGTTAAAGGCCATGAATCTCGGCCCCAGCACCCTTTGCAGAGAAGTAGAGCTATGCAGCCGAAAGACCATGAGTACTGGGAAGCAGGGAGCTGGGTGCTAGTCCTGGCTCAGCTGCTTCCAAGGAGCTGTGTGATCCTGTACAGGTCTCAGCATCTTGGAGCCTTAATTTGCCTCAACTGTTAAATAAAGGAGGTTAAACTACATCAGCAGCTTTCAGATTTTCTTTTTGGCAATGAAATGCTTTTGCCAAAGAAACTTTTCTCAGACCCTGGGTAGAGAAAGCAGATGAAAGTGAAGCAGGAAGCCCTACTGGATCCCAGAGGACCAAAGAACACAACTCTGAGTCCTCTGGGCCAATGACCTAACGTCCAGGTCAGATTTGCAGCTTTGCACATCCCAAGGGTACAACCCAGGAGCTGACAGGAGGGAAGTCAACAGCAGGCCCAAGAAGAGGTGTGAAGAACTGGCTGGCAGGGGTGCCTCATGGCTTCAGCTGAGACCATGGCAGGTGGCTAAGAGTGGGCTCTGGTTTTGGTGAGGGGGGTCCTGATTTCCTCTAAGGCTAGTCACGGGGCTGGGGAAGTGCCAACAGCATAATTCCTGACAGCCAATGGACGCTACTAGTTTGCTATGACAGCCACTGGCAGTGCAAACAGGCCTTGAAAACACTTCCTCATTTGTATGTGAGATGGAGGGGAAGGGGCTCAGCTTCTACCAAACTGCGGATTAGCTCTGCCTCCCAAGGACATTTGCATATCAAAGATCCTGAGAAATCCTGTGGCACATCAACTTGTTTAGCGTGACTTTAAGCCAGTGTGTCTCAAACTTTTTTTGACTAACATACCCTTTTTACAAGAAAATTTTATCCAGCGTTCTTTGAAAGTCAATTTGGGATATACCAAAGTATTAGTTTCTGAAGTGCTTGAAGAGTGTGCAGAGTTTGGGGAAAGATTGACATTCTGAGGATTTGGGCAAGACGGGACAGGCAGAGGAGGAATTCTTTTTAGGACCTTTTCCCTTTAATTTTCTATTCTACAGGATAAAAGACCACAAGGACTTAACTTTATGACTGTGTAAGTGCTAGGATTCAAACTAGCTATGAGGCATTTCCAGGGTCTCTCGTTTCTCTGCTGTCTCTGAGAGATCTCAGGAGAAGACAGAGGACCCAAGAGGGCCCCCAGCTGCCTGCTGGCCTGTGATCAGGCCCTGAGGGTGGAAGGTGTCAGACGGCAGAGCGCACAGGCTGAAGGTGGGCTGATCTGCTCACTCACTGCTTCCCACCATGGACCAGAGCCTGAGAAACAACCATCTGCACAGTCAAACCACAGCTTCCGGAAGTATCCAATGTCCCCTTCACATCCTAGCAGGCTGTCACTCAACAGGATGAGCAGCACAGCAGGGCTCCCCTCAGAGGAGAGGCATCTGAGGTTAGGAACTCAAGGACTGCAGTGAGGCTGCCTGGGCTCAAATCCTGGCTCCACTACCCTCAGCTGCATAACTTCTGGCAAGTTCCTTACCTCTTGGTGCCTTCGTTTCTTCAACTGTAAAGTGGAGAAGGTCGATATGAGGATTACATGAGCTAATATGAGTAATATATTTAAATAGGGCCTGGCACATGGTCAGCCTTAAAAAAGTGTCTCTATTACAAACCTTATATCACAATTTGGCCTCACTAGTAATCTGGGTTTTGTTTTTAAGAGACAAAGTCTTGCTATGTCACCCAGGGTGGCATGCAGTGGTGCAATCACAGCTCACTGCAGCCTCCACTTTCTAGGTTCAAGTGATCCTCTGGCCTCAGCCTTCTGAGTAGCTGGGATTATAGGCATGCACCACCATGGCCAGCTAATTTTTAAATTTTTTAAGCAATGGGGTCTCACTATGTTGCCTAGGCTGGTCTCTAATTCCTGTTCTCAAGTGATCCTCCCACCTCAGCCTCCCAAAGAGCTGGGACTACAGGCATACCCTCTGCATCTGCCTTGAGCAACCTGTTTTTTGAGGGGTGGGGAAGAAATGACCCAGACTGAGTTGTGTCTGGACCTCCACAAATATGTCCAGCTGAAGAAGGACATGAGGATGGGGAAAACACCCCAGGTAGGACAAATCAACAGAAGGACAGATATGCTGTCATCCAGGGGAAGGAGCACCAGGCTGGGAGCCAGGGGACCTGGGCTCCACCTGAGGCTGCACCATAAACTTTGCTTTGTCCTAAGAACATGTCTCAACATCTCTGGTCCTCAGCTTCCTCCCAAGTAAAGTGATGAGACTGAAATAAGAGCTCTCAGAATCTGCCCCAGCTTTTAAATTCTATGTTCCTAGACCCAGGTACTGGGCACAGGGAGGGCTAGGGGGCAAAAGCAAAACCAAACTGAATAAAGAAATAGCCCTGCAGTGTGTGCATCTGTGTGCAGGACAGGAGATCAGGGAAGATGGATATTCAGATGCCTCCCAGAGCCCCTGCCAAGGAGTCTCTGCCCAGCAGTCCTCCCAGCAGCTCAGGATGGCATGGATGCTGAGGCAGTTATCATCCTGCAAACACCCGCACACAGCTGCCAGCCAGCCACCAAGAGAAGTGTTCAACTAGGGAAGAATTTAACGTCACATTAGAAATGAAAGCTCTGTAAAAACATAAAGCCCCCGGGCATGGCGGCTTTTCTCACCCAAACCCTCTGCTCACCCTGCCTGCCCTGCCTGAGACCTGTTCTTTGTGCCCAGGTGTTGATGCCCAGCAAACCTCACCTTAGCTCTTGCATTTGGATGCAAGGAGCATTTTTTAAATTTAGAAACAACTGGCTGTCCTAGCAGGAAGGGATCTACCTGTGTGGTGCAGAGGGCTGGCCCTCAAGGAGGCCTGGATGTGCCCAGAGCCTCCTGGGAATGTGCTTTGTGGCCGGTGGAGCAACCCGCTCTCTGTGCCTTTACAGAGAGGAGGAGGCAGGGGCTGCCTGCCCTGGGGCCAGGTCATGGAGCTGGCACTTACTCTTCCAGCTTTATCCAGTTAATCCAGCCCTGCTCGGGAGGTGGCACAGCAAAAGCACAGGGGGACAAACGTGTCAGGATGGAGGTGATTTCACGCTCTCAGAACAAGCTGGTGGTAGGGGATCTGCCTCGGTGCCGGGTTGGATATCAGTGCTATTTATGTTGCTGCTGTCGCTGCTGTGAGAGGGACCCTTGGCTTGCTTGGTGAAGCCTGACCCTGAAGGAAGGAAAGGAACTGCAAGCCCAAAGCGTGTCCTAGGCTGGACCGCCCTCCAGCTTTCTTCTGGGGCCGTGCACCTCCTCAAGCCCTCCACCTCGCCTCACACACACGCCCGGCTGGCAGCCCACTGGAATCCACCCTGGGACTTTTTCACTTTCCACCAGAGTTCACAGCCCCTGAGGGACATCCCTCAGAGATCTGACAGAAGACACAGCAAATGGTCCCTGCTCCGTCCTGTGCACCCCGGGCAAGGGAGCCCAAGTATCTCCTGGGGCACATGTTGCAGCTTTCTTAAGAAAAGCCCACATCTCACCAGGAAAGAGGCAGGGGCCATCTGCAAGAAGTGCCTCCACAATCTCTCTCCACCACTCCACACCAGACGCCAAGCCAGCGCTCACCATGTGCAGATACGAACTGGGGTGCAAAGTCAAACAAGACCTGTCTCTACCCCAGAACAACTCATCTCCCCAAACCTGTGGGAAACACACAGGTTTTCTGGGCCAGGCCCGTCCACAGGGGGCCTCCTTGGACATCAGACTGAGGTGCCTCCCCTGGAGTTCCACCCGGCGCCCACTCCGCACAGCCTTGCAGAGCAGCCTTGCCCGTTAGACAGAAGCATGGACATTCAGCTATGGGCTGAATGTGTCCCCACCAAAGCTCATGTGCGAAAGCCCTCACCCCTAGCACCTCAGAATGTGTGATGGTATTTAGAGGTAGCATACTATTTTGTTTGTTTTTTTTTGTACAGACAGGGTCTCCCTGTGTTACCCGGGCTGGTCGCGAACTCCTGGTCTCAAGTGATCCTCCCATCTCAGCCTCCAAAAGTGCTGGGGTTACGGGTGTGAGCCACTGCACTGGCCTAGGGGTAGGGTATTAAAAGAGGTTAAGTTAAAATGAGGGCATGAGGGCGGATCCTATCCAACATGAATGGCGTCTTTGTAGAAAGGGGAAGTGTGAACACGGACGCACAGAGGGATACCATGTGAGGACCCATGGAGAAGCCAGGGAGAAGGCAACCCTGCACCACCTTGATCTCAGATCTCCAGCCTCCAGCCTCCCGCCTGAGAAGAAACCTGTTTCTCTTGTGCAAGCCACCCAGTCTGCAGTGCTCTGCCACAGCACCTCAGCAAATGAATCCAGGTTTCCTCACTCATTTTCCCACCTGGAAGGCACTTTTGTGACCGGAAGCCACATTCACGAGTCCATACTAGCGGCTCCAGCATGCAACCACATCCCTCTGGACTGGGAACATGGTCCCGACCAGGGAAGCTCCCACGGCCGGTTTCCCGCCTCCGTCCTGGGAGAAGGAGGAGCTCTGCACCCTGCTCTTGGGCTCCCCACTTGTTGCTGTGATGCAGGCTCTGCATTTACCAGGCCCCCCTCCCGGGGCCGCAAGAGCCCCTCACCATGGCCAAGGCAGCAAGCCCAGCCAAAGCAGGAGTGAGGTCTGGGAGCGGCCAACCCCAGGATGGAGCCGAGAGGCTCCCTGGTCCCAAATTAGAACACAGAGGGCAGAGAGACAAAATAGACCAAAATACCATTCTTCTCATGAGGGAATATTTACTGAATAGTTTATATATACTGAATGAATGTTATGTAAGAGTCAACATGTTCAAAGCACTAAAAATAGTTCTGGATACATTTTGGCGAATAAGCTATTGATGTATTTAAACCCCTCTAAGGACAGGGCACATACAGGAGCAAAGGTAAGTGGCCACTCCCTGTTGGCACGCTACCCATCCCAAGCCCTGGCTCACTGGTGGAGCATCCGAGGGGCCCGGAGGACACTCCCCTCCCAGCAAAGTGGAAATGTCCCCAGGCGTCCCAGAGGCCAGAGCCACAAGGGGAGGAACTTCCAATAATTGGTGCCTTTGGAAGAAGATGGGCAGTATGGACGAGGCAAGGGACTGACGCTACGGCTGCCTCCTGCCTCCTTTGGAAGAGTGACCTTGGCATTCTCAGCACTTGGGCAGCCTGGCACTAGCAAGCAGAGGCGGCGGGGGTGGCAGGGGGCACAGCAATTATGGCATGACCTTATGTTCCTGACGTCAGCCTCTGCTCCTGCCAACACACAGGCCAGGCATCCTCCATCCGAAAGTCCCAGCAGTGGGAGAGAATGGCGAATGGGTTAATAGCAAGAATGAGGCCTCAGGCTAGGAATTCACTGTGCGAGGCTCACTGAGTGGCAGAGGCAGCCAGATTTCAGTTCATAAACACTAGTCAGTCACGAAAATCAGCCAGCCTCAAAAGCAGTATCTTTTTCAAAAACCCAAACACTTCTTTCTTGTAAGTGAACCAAAGTTTACAAATTGTTTCCTAATAAATCAGTTGGATCATACTTTTTGTAAGATTACTGAACCAGAAACAATCTAAAATGTCTTCAAAATAGCCTCGCAACCACACTGATAGTTCATTCAATTGCAAAGCCTGCCCACGAGTCTCCTCTCAGCCTTAATTCCAGCTGGTTAACAACTAAGGAACATTAAACCAGACCTGGGATCTGAGGCTCCCCACCACTGCAGGGCCAGGCTGGGGAACTTGGGAATCTCCTTTCAGAGTCTGGGGCTTGGAAAATGAACAGGCAGATGGAAGGCTCCTTCAGGCTCAGTCTGGCAGGACCTCATCACTCCAGTTTTTTCCAAAGGAGATCAGGCTGGGTCACAGGTCGCCCAGAACATTCACAGGGACTATGTGAGAAGGGTACTGTGGTCAAGACAGTTTGCAGGCCACATAGGGCTCTAAAGAGGACTTCTTCTGCAGGACTTCTCTGAGCCTTTAAAATGCCAATGAGCGTCTTTGTGACTCTCTGGTGGGGTGGCGGGGGGCGGATGAGGCTGCTGCATTTCTTATGCTCATTTAACTAACAGAACCTTGCTCATTTTCACCTCCGGGGCAAATCACGGATCAGGTACCTTCTGTGCGAAATTCTGCCCTGCCTCTGTGCTAAACTGCTGGCCCCAAATTAAGACCTTGCCTGATCACAGAATTTAAGGTCTAATCATTCTTGTAAATGTCATTTTACAGGATCAGAAGGTTTTTAAGACCCACAGATACGGAGCTGACTTCTGGGACAGAGGGTTCTACCGATACCCTCTAAGCGATGGCACAGAGGAAGGAGGCCACCTGCTCTCCTGTCGCCTACACCCCACCCAACCACCATCAGCTCAGCCCTGGGGCCAAGCGCCTCCTGCAGATAGTGCTCTTGGGCCGTGCTAAGTGTGCCTGTGGCTTCCTGGGCAGATGCCGCCCTGAGGACCGGCTCACGACAGGACACGGAGTGTATGCCTGCAGACTACCACCAGCTGTCAGGGGGCCACAGACCCAGATGACCCCAGTTATAAGTGGCTGTGCAGCTCCAGGACAACAGGGACCCTCACCTTCCATCCAGGTAGGGCAGCTGCTCGTCATCCCCATCTCAGCCGTCACTCTTGTCCCAGGACCCTCCTTGGATATCTCTTTGGATTTGCTTGTAGTTTCCTGCTCCAGATCCCTCCCTACTCTCCCAACAGGCTCCCCCAGCCACCTCCATGGCTCATTGTGTTGCCATCCTTGAATCATCTAGCCCTGGAGAGTCCTAGTGACACAATTTAGCACTTAATTACACATCCTCTCGTCCTGCTCCTGTTCTTCAAAGGGAGCTAATTGTACTTCCCAGACCAGACGGCCAATTCCCTGAAAGAAAGGAATCCAGTCCTTTTCATGTATTATTATTATTTTTTTAGAGAAGGTCTCACTCTGTCACCAGGCTGGAGTGCAGTGGTGCGATCACAGCTCATTGCAGCCTCCACTTTCCAGGCTCAGGTCATTCTCCCACCTCAGCCTCCCAAGTAGCTAGAACAACAGGTGCATGCCACCACGCCCAGCTAATTTTTTTTTTTTATTTTTAGTAGAGACAGGATTTCACCATGTTGCCCAGGCTGGTCTCAAACTCCTAGATTCAAGTGATCCACCTGCAATCAGCCTTCCAAAGTGCTGGGATTACAGGCATGAGCCGCCCGCCGTGCCCGGCCTGGTCCTTTTTATATGTGATGCCACCAAGCACAAAGCTGAGCAAACAGGAGGCACTCCATAAGTGCATGTAAATTAATTCATTCTGGATGACAATCGGGACCTCACTGTTTTCCCAATTATGGCTTTGTACTCTTAACAAACAGGTCTTGAGGATTACCTGTGTGATCTTACTCCAACTCTCTCCAGAGAAGCTTCTGGTTCAGATACAAGTTTAAAACCAATTTACCCCCACTAGCCTCTAGATTTGCCTCAGACTTCACAGCCAGAATTTTTTACTTCATTCTCTTTAAATCTTAGAAATTGCTCTTACAGTGTGTAGCTTCTATCTGAGTTACAAAATGATAGTGCTGATGATGATGATGGCAGTGAACACACTGAGTATCTACAATGTGCCAAACACGCATATTACCTCATTTAATCCTCGAAACACTCTTAGGAAGCAGAAACCATTATGGCTCTCATTTTACAAATGATGACATTGAGGCTTAGAGAGGCTGAATGCCTTGTCCGGGTCACATGGTGAGTAAGTGGCCTATCTAGTGAACCCTAGGGCCATCAGATGACCAAAAGGAAAATGTAAAATCTTCACTCCTAGGAATTGAGGATCAAGTTTTCCCCTTTCGGTGGTTTCTGAATCAAAAGCATCTTCTGGGAAGCTTCACTATTCCTAAGAATAACAGGAATAACAGATTCTTCATTCCTACCCTCAGAGGTTCTGTTCCGGCCAATGTGGATGAGGCCTAGGAATCTGTATTTTCTCAAAGATCATGGGGGGATTCTGATCATGATTTCAGGACTGAGAAGCACTGGTCCCACAGGAACCCCTCTGTCCATAGCATCTGAACTAGCCATGCCAAGCATCCGATGAGAGCTCTCTGGCAAACACTCCCTGAGCATCCACCAAGCAGGAAATGGTACACAGCTGGGCAGCACGCCAGCCCTCCCTCCTACCTGCCTCCCACATACACCGGAAAACGTTTTTAGTTTAGCCCGGTGGGCCTCAACCTTGGCTGCACGAGAACCACTTGGAAAACTTAAAAAACAAAAAAGCAAAAACCACACCCCCTGATGTCCAGGGAGGGCCAGTGAAGCAAAGGAGGAGGTGGGGCCCAGGCACCCCATATCATTATATTTAAAGTTTCCCTGTTCATTCTAACGCATAGCGCATAAAGTTGTCTTTTTTAGGATGAAAGACACTGGGCATTCAACCTTGGCATTCAGAAGCCCCTTTCTCACATAAGCAAAGTGAGCAGGGACTCTCCTTAACAGCTCGGGCTAATTTTAAAACTAATAACACTAAAATGTTTTAATGCCCTCACTAGCTCCGTTCAGCCTCATTAGCAAGAGTAAATAAAACAGACCACATTCCCACACACATACTCAAACCTATGAAGTCCCCGGAGGTGGGAGCCACAACAGTGTTACTCTTGAAGTCAGTTTCCAGCACAGTGTCCTGCAAGATTGGAGTGGCCAGGCACAGAAGGGTGGGCTGGGAGGACTCCAGAGAGCCCCTCGATGGGTCCACTGTGGTCCAAAGATAGGAACCGACTTGGCTGGGGCCACAAAAAGCACTAGCAGCAACATGGAACAAGAAGCCAATTCTGCGGCCATAGAGGGCACGGGCCTACAGAAGTTAGTCCGAAAGCCTTCCGGGCTCCACTTGTCACCTTCTGAATGCCAGGGCAGACATAAACCAAATCTGTCCTGAAAGCCTCCATGTTAAGACCCTGTCACCTGGCCAGGCACGGTGGCTCATGCCTGTAATCCCAGCACTCTGGGAGGCCGAGGCGGGCAGATCACAAGGTCAGGAGATGGAGACCATCTTGGCCAACATGGTAAAATCCTGTCTCTACTAAAAATACAAAAATTAGCTGAGTGTGGTGGTGCGTGCCTGTAATCCCAGCTACTTGGGAGGCTAAGGCACAAGAATCGCTTGAATCCTGGAGGCAGAGGTTGCGGTGAGCCGAGATTGTGCCACTGCACTCCAGCCTGGCAACAGAGCGAGACTCTGTCTAAAAAAAAAGACCCTGTCACCTGAGAGATGCTTGCGTTGTAAACTTGAGCTGTAACTATAGGATGAGCAATTGTGTTCCTTGTGAAAGAAGGCTGAGACTATTGCTGAGCACTTGTCATGGGGAGGGCAGGGTGCTCTTCCCAGGAAGGACTGTCCCTCTTCCTCAGATGGGGAAACTGAGGCTTTGAGAAGTTGAGTTGCCGCACCAAGCACAACAGCACATGTGAGTATTTGAACCCCACTGTCGGACTCCACAGCCCTTGCCTGGACCCTCTGTGATGTCGTCTCCTTTAGATGTTACCCAGCAAGGACAGAAGTCTATTTTGGGAAGAACTGCTGAGGTCCTCTGAAACAGAAAAAGCAACCTCCTCTGGCTGTTTTCTTTTCTTCCTTCTCCTTCTCTATTTATTTATTTGCATGTGCACACGTGTGTGTGTGTGTGGTTTTAGGTTTTTTTTTGTTTCTTTGGTAAAGGTTGGAGAGCTGCAACACATCTATATATATCCAACTGTTCAGACAGATACACGTATATGCACATTACAGACTTAAGTATATGCACAGAGTATGGAGAAACACACACATATATAATATAGATGCATGTTTATCTGTAGATACTTAGACTAAGCATAAAAGAGGACCCTAGATTCTCACAAAGACGCAATGGAATGCTTTCGATGTCACAGTATCACTTGTAAAATTCACAAGCCATGCTGTGGGGCTCAGCAGTGGTGGGGAAAATACACACCTGGGCGTCTGCTTTCTACAGAAACGACCCCCTAGCATCTCTCTTCCCTTTGCCTTTCCTCCTTGGAAGCAAGGGCCACTGCCCATGTTCTCCAACAACCCATTGTCTCTTGACAAATTAAAATAACAACCATAATAACAGCACTAGTGAATCAAGCCAGTGTACTTGTCCACTAATGACAACCCTTTGATACTGCCAATGGTTTTCTATTTTTCAGTCTTCTCCTGTTGCAGGCAGGATTTCTCTCTCAAAGCCCAGACAATGCTATGGATAAAACAATCAGCCTTTAAATGCCTCTGGTGAATGCTGCTGTCACTAACACAGCTCCTGCAGTGACGGCTCCCACGTGTTCTGTGCTCCTGTCCCTAGAGAGTTGATGACACCAGGAATGTGGACGGTAGGCTGACAGGACAGCACTCGAGAAGCCTGCTCATGCAATCGGAGTTGCTTCTATTACTGAGCGGTTTCTTTGCTGTCCTGGACCTGACATCTTTCTTCTTACCATGGATATTTTTCTCCCACAAACTAAGAGAGGGTTATACCCCCAAGGCAGGAGGACCAAGACCAAAAGGTGATGAAGACAGAGTTGGCTTTCTAAGCTCTTCTCTGTTTCCTCAGTCATCTCTGTGGATGTATATGATCTGTGATGAAGTGATTCTGATCAAGGTGTTAGCCAGGTAAAGTTTTCTCTTCCCCTGGAAACTGTGGAATAATGGAAGCAAAGTAAAGCTAGAATGGTGAAATCTCAGGCAGTGGAACATTTACAAAGAAGAGACATTTCCACCCCATGCAGATGGCTATCCATTTCCGTACTGTTAGACCACAGACCAACGGGGGAATTTGGTACTACTTTGGTTCCCTTAGAACCCCTGGCTTCCCTTTCCCTTATCCTCACTCCTTGGCTCTACGGTAGAGAATTTAGATAGTGTAGTGTGAGGTGGAAAAGCCTAAGGCAGAAGGCTGGGGACAGAGAGCCTAGTGGAGGTGGTGGTGGTCCCATGTGAGGATATTCTGAAAGCAGCACCAATTATTTGTTTGGGTTGGCCTTAGAAGCAAGAGGAAAGCTGGGCCTGCACTCCTTCAGACCCCAGTAATTTTCCTCCAGCCTGTCACCACTCCCAGGGCAGTGCTGCAAATGATCTTGGACTCCCCCAGAGCCCAGAGGATGGCAGTGTCAGGAAATATCAGATGTCTTTGTTGTCTATGACCTGTCTTTTGGATCTGCAAGGCCAGACTGTTACAGAGATGCTCCAGCCACTGTTTGCAGCCTGGAGTTTTAGGTTCCCCTGCCACTAGGGTGAAGATTCCTTGTGCTCCTGCATTTGCAGCCCACAGACTGCTCCTCATAAGCATTAGAACAGAGTGACTATCACGTCCCCACTCCATTAGCATGGATAAACATTTGTGCTCACTCATCATCTGTCAGCGTCTCTCTGCTCCCCACTCCCTTTGCATTTCTCCATCTTTACTCTAAGGCACAGTGCATGAATCATCCGTTCTTATGACACCTGCTGAGCAACCTCATTTTTCTGACCATTCTGGCATGTGATATCCCTTCCATTCTCCCTGCTTCTTACCAAGGCTGCTCTCATAGGAGAGACATGGGCAAAACCCAATCACAGGGATAAGGAAGCAACGTGGTCACAAAAACAAAACAATGAAAAAATCCCATGCGATCTGGGAGATGCAGCTATGGCAGAGGACACATGTTGAGAGGTTGGGAGTGTGGGCCAAGAAGCAGAACACTGGCCCACTTCCACATTTGCCACTTACTAGCCACATGACCTTGGTCAAGGTATGTCACTTCTTACCTGCAAAATGGAAGTAATGCCAAGACACAGGTTGGTTACGCTGTATTCAATCATATGATGGTTGTAACGGGTCTAGCACTGTGACCAACCCATTGCAATGAATAAATGGTAGGTATTGTTATTACTTAAAAACCATTATCACTCTTAATACTACTTAGCATTTATTTGGCCCCGTCAGCTGTGCCAGAATCATTGATATCAATACACATTCACTGAATGGCTGTTTTTTAGAATTCTGCTAGGTACTGGGACTAAAGGAAGTACAAGAAAATTCCCTGCCTTAGAAAGAGAAATTGGGGTATCCAGGCACAGTTGTCACGTGCCACAGGGCTCATGTGCACAGTAAGGAAGGACGTTTCACTGAGAGGCATGGGGTTGCAGAAGGCTTCAAGAAGGAAGTTTGGTTTGAATGAAACCTTGAAAGACAAAAGAGGGAGGGGCATGTTAGTTGGGGTTGCCAGAGGTGAGAAGCGGCATGACATGAATAAGAAACAAGGAATTCATCTGCTTGACCATATGGGAGGACTCCTGAAGGATAACGAGGAGTGGATTCAGGGAAGCTGCTAAGGGCTTAAGGATGTTCACTGCCCAGGCTTCACAAGGGGACTGAAGGGCACGGGGTGGTTTAGGAAGAAGACTCTCAGAGGCACACATGAAGGGCTGGTGAGTGGGCGGCTGTAGGCAGGGAGCTGGCAGAAAGACTCCCACACTCAAGCCAGCCCCGGAAGACGTGGTGAAAGAGGGAAGACGAAGGAGGGCTAGGGTGGGGCACAGGCCAAATACACCCCTTCCCCGGGAGAGGCACAACACAGAACTGTGCGCACAGCATTGCTTCACTGACCACGGAGATTACACAACTGGAGCAGATGTGACTCACTGAGCACCATGTGCACACAGACGGAGACCACCCTGCCCCACCTACTGCCAACTCTCTTGCTTGATCTGTGGTGAAAGCTGCCTTGACTACTTGTCTGGGTCAGTGTGACCAACAACGCGCCCGCAGTCCCAGCGGCTGCCAGAGATGCTCAATATTGAGGCGACATGTTACATATTAACTAACAAAGCCATTTCACCCGCAGCTGTACTTGGGTTCCTCTGGCTTGGATGGCTCGGATGGCAAGCCTGAGGCCACGCTCCCTTGCTTGGTTTCTTGGCATGCTTCAGGCTCCATGATGTATCCCGACAGCACGCACAAGAGGAATCTTTCCCCCACCACATCAGGCCTACCGCGATGGTTCCTGGCCAGCCTCCCCCGCCCCTCACTCTCCACTGCCCCAGGTGACCCTTCCGAGTCTCCTCAGGGCCTTTCTGACTGCCTGCTCAGCTTCTGCCCAGGGTATTCAAGGCCTTCGTGCTTTGACTCCAATCTACGTTTCCAGCTCCACCTTCCTCAGCAGCCGCCTCTTCAGGGCTCCCCAAGCACAACCGTACCCGTGCCTCATGCTATGGGCCACGCTCTTCCTTCTGCCAGGACCCACCACCGCTGCCATGTCTTCTCGCTGACTCCTGCTCGTCTTTAAGATGAAGCTCAAATACATCCTCCCCGAAACTCTCCCCTTTAAGGCCAGGCAAAAAGCACTTCCTCTGTCCTAAATTATGAATATATACTCTTCATTAATATATTACCAATCGATATTTCATTTTAAATTATATGCCCATCTCCCAGGTGGATGGTAAACACCCCTCATGTCTGGTCAGGGTTGTGTCTCGTCTTCCTTTGAATAACTAGTGCCTGACAGTGGCTGGTGCATATTATTAGAAAGTTAATAAATGATTCAATTAATATATTAGCACAAAAGAAGACTTGCTATTAGAGTTATTACAAGAGTTCTCTGTCACCTTAAGAAAAAAATGATAAATTATAGTGTAAGCACTGGCAGACACTGGAAGCTGCTGTTATCTATTAGTCACTCATCAAACACTTATTGTCTACTATATTCAGGCACTATTTTAGGCCGTGGTAGGGATACAAATAAAAATGATAAGAGTATAATATGGTTTGGAAAATGAAGTACATACATATGAAAAAGAATAAGCCAAAGCAAGATACTCTAAAGGTCAAACTGTGGAAGGCTCTAGACCAGGGATGCCCAATCTTTTGGCTTCCCTGGGCCACATTGGAAGGAGAAGAATTGTCTTGGGCCATACATAAAATACACTAACACTAGTGATAGCTGGTGAGCTAAAAATAAATGCAAGAAAAATCTCATACTGTTTTATGAAAGTTTATGCATTTGTGTTGGGCCACATTCAAAGCCATCCTGGACCACGTGTGGCCAGTGGCCCATGGGATGGACAAGCCTGCTCTAGGTGTTAGAGGCATTCATGGAGTCACAGGGCTGAAAAATATTAATTATAGCAACACCAATTACGCACACTGGACATTTAGTTTATTCCACTCCCTGCATCTTGTCCCAGTCAGATGAGAATTGGCCATATGTATAAAAGCTTATTGTGAACAGGCAAAAAGGCATTTGACATCTATCAGGAAAAACTTGCTTGTGTCTATTCTAGCACACTTATGCTACAGGTTGAGCCCATTTCTTTTGCTTTTGGTCTTCAGAGGAGATTTAAAAGTGTTACCGTTTCCTTGCCAGAGGTTACCTTCTCACCTTCTGCTCCTTTCCCTCTCCTGCCCTCAAGCCTGAAGTGCACCCACTAAGGCCTCAGATTTTACAAGATTCCCCGTGAACAACCAAATAATACACACAAGTGTTTGTGCCTGGGCATATATCAAGGAAGGTATAAATGAGCTGCAGAGGGAAATGGAATTTCCTGGGTTGCCAAGGGGCTTTTAAAACTCATAAATACACCAGAAAAAAAAAAAAAGAAAGGACGCAATTACGGAAAGCTCTCTGGCATGCCCCTTTAACCAGGCATGCAGGCTCCCACCAGCACTCCAGTGTGGGCCTGGTGCCGCAGGGCATGGGAGAAAGGCAGGAAGAGACACTACAGCCACATCCCCACTTGGACCTTCACCCATAGGCTGCCCATTCAGGGAAGAGATTGGCTGAGAACTAGAAGCTCCCCAGGCCGCCTAAAGCTGGCAGCTTTCCTTAGACACACTCAGTCTCTGCCCTGCTCACCCTCTCCACCAACCTCTGCACATCCCTTCAGTCCCTCTAGCCTGCCTGCCAGTGCCGGTACAGTATTTAGTAAACGTCTGTTGATTGGATACATGAAGCTGTAGAGAGGTTTGATAACTTGACCAAGGACATACAGGTGGTAAGTCCTGGAGGTTTCAAACGTGGGCTGTCTGATTCCTGAAACAGTGCTCCTGACCTCTGTACTGCACAATGTGAAAGGGCTGAAAAATGGTACTCAACTGTGTCCTTCTCCAAATACCTCAGAATATCAACAAACGTGCTCTGTTTATACAAAATGGGACACAATAAACGTGCATGGAATTGAACCTTCACCTTGGAGGTCAGAAACTGTGTCTAACTGAACACATGCATGCTTCCTTCTCCAATATTCCACAAGAGGATGGACCTGTCCACTAGGACTCAGCACTTGCTTCACTCACTATTGTACACAGATTTAGCACAGGCTTCTCTTGTCTACTAAACTCTCAACCTCTTAAGGACCAAGGTCATGTTCTATGTTTCTTTGCCTCCCCGGGAGCCAGCACAAGGCCTGGCACTTAGTAGTGCTTCATGGCTGTCTGTCAATTGACTCCACGCTATTTCCAGTCCTAGTGATGTCCTCCTGCTGGTCTCACTGACAGCTCAGCTCAGAGCAGCCTGAGACCTGGGCAGGTCATTAAGCCCAACAGAACAGTGGGAAACTTAAACGACCCTTTCCTACCTTCTCAGTTGGAAAAATGCTTCCAAACAAAATCTCAGAATGAAATGTGGCATGGCTCCCTAATTAGGATCTCTCTCTTCTTCTAGCTGATGGAGGATTTCTGGAAAAGGTCTTCTTCCTGCATGTGAATCACTCTTCCCACGTAGTAAACAGAGGTGACGTTAATGGCAAAAGGACCGATTCCAGTGGGCTGGTTACATTCACCTTTCTTGCTTCGTGGGAGGGACAAACAGCCAATCAAAAGCAGCCTGGATGCTCTACCCAGAACAGGCACTTCCAAACGCTGCCATTTGCAAGTGGCCTCTAGCTCTGCTCCGTCACAGCCAAATCCTGCGCCCTCCACTGCAGGGTACTTCTGTGACGAGTTTCAATAAAACTATATTTACGCTAAACACAAGACCGAACAAAAGCTCCAGACTCTAACATCTTATTTACAAACATCTCAATTTGAAGTAATTAAAACAGTTGCAAAACTACTAGTTACCTTCCTTTCCTCCCTGCCTCTCCTGGTGTCCTGCTCACCAAAGAGCAGTCGAGAAAGAGAGTGTGTAGTTCTAAGAAACCACCAGTAGGTGGTGCAGGCAAATTCTGCGGCGGAGTAGGCCCTTGAGAAGCCAGGGGCCCTTGAGCAAATATCCGTCTGGGTTCCATTTTGATTGTTTTGGCTGGTGGTTTGGGATTTTAAGTCCCCGTCATTAAAAGACTGTTCCATTTCCAAATAACTTTTCTGGCTTAAAAGGAAGGACCTTTTATTGTTTTGTTGTAATAAGGGTTACCATTTAAGTACCTCCCAGGTGCCAGACACGCTAGTAGGTGCTTTACCTACTTTCAATCCAGGCAACAACCCTACGACATATTCACCATCACCTCATATTACAAAGGAGCTAGGACTCAGCAAGTTCTAGTGCCCTGCACACAGAGCTGGAATTGGTAGAACTGGGGATTTGAATCCAGTCTACATAGCTCCAACATCCATGCTGTAAACCCCCTGATATCACTTTGAAGCTGCTGATTCAGACAATACATTTGAGGAAGCCACAGAAGGGCTATTTTAGAGCAGTCCAGACAGCATCCCTAGGTCCCCAAGATCCTGAAATGACTGCCAAGGATACTGGGAATTCCATTCCTGGAACACGTCTCAGATCCCTGGGAGACCTACCTCCCCTCCAGAGGTTACCATTCCACGCTGGTAGGAGTCCTTGACTCCTTTTCTCATCTCTAAGACACAGAGTGGAGCAGCCCTGGAGGCAGCAGGAGGGATTCTGGGTAGAGCAGCCCCGAGTGTATGTCTCTAATAAAGCCAGGTACAAGCTCCTCGGCTCACTGTCCATGGACAGTACAATTAATCACGTTTCCACTGCCACCTTCCCACCCAGCCTCGTGGTCATCTTCCAGAGTCTGCCTGGTTAGGAAAGGAAGTCCTTTGTCACAGATCATTTCTTTCTCCCCAAGAGGGCATTTTTTCTGCCCCCAACCAGCACTAATCCCTCATTCTTATACATATCCTCCAACATATCTGCTCCAAGATTTCTGTTGTGGGACTGCCACCCTGCAGGGCTGCCCAGAGGGAGTCAACACCATTGTCTCTGAAAACACGCCCCTGCCCAGCTGAGCCCAGGGAGGCCCAGAGGACAGTGCCCCAGCACTGCCACTTTCCTGATGCCCTTTATCATACCCTGCCCCCAATCCCCAATTGCCTTGACATCTGTGAAGCAAGGCAGGCGCTGGCCAGGAGGCTCTCTCTGATGCTGGCTCTCCACCTGTCCATGCTTACCACCTGTGGACTCCAGCTCTGCCGGGCCAATTAAAACATTGAATCTTCAGAGCGAGGGCAGTTTGGCCATAAATGCCCAGGAACTTCCCCTGAATCGCTTCATTTTTCCAAAGGGGAGGTAAAGTCAAAGAAATACTAATCTGGGAGTCAGAAAAGCAGAATTCCACCCAAGCTTTATTACTAACTAGCTGTGCGATTTTGGACAGGTTCTTTAACTTCTCTCCTTCAGCATCTGCATGTGTAAAGCAGAAGAATTAGGCCAGGTGATCCTCCAAGTGCAAATATTCAGTGATTCTATGTGACTTGACGCGAATTTCCTCTTATCAGAAGGGTAACTTGAGCTAAGTGAATGTGAACATGTAAATGGCAAAATAGGGAAGCTGTTCTGACCACTTGGGATCCTAAAAAGTCACTTAAGAACTAGGTGTCCCCGGTGTGTACCCATCGGCAGCTTGGATCATTGCCCATATGGCACTGATACACTGATCACGTAACGCCTGGTTTAATCCATGTTCTCCAGTGGCACACAAGTCTCGGTGAGGGCGTCGTGCCTTTATCTCACCCACCGCTGTATCCCCAGTCCCTAGTACCACCAGCACAGTGTAGGCACTCAATAAATATTTGTGGCATGAATGAATTTCCACTGTACAAATCTGATTTCCTGACTATACCGGAGACCAGGCAGCAAGCACACATTTAATAGACTCTGCAGCTCTTCTCTATCTCTTCCCCGTAGATTTCCACAGGAAAATGGGCTTCTGATGGTTCTAAAAGTGAGTTTTGTCCAGCAGGGTTGCCTCTGGAGGTGGCTAGTTTCCCTCCTCCATCCACCCCCTCCCCAGGCAGTGAAGGAAATTCAGGATGACTATTGGGCATAGTGCCTCAAAAGCCACATCCACTCAAAGACACACAATTTGCTGCTGGGCCATGGGCTCTTTTTTCCCACCTGCTCCTTTTTGGCATGTGCCTCGACTCTCATACCCTCCCTCTGTACTGTCTGCACCCCCTGACACTGCAGGAGAGAAGACCCAGCATTTTTCAGGAAGCTTGGCTCCTGCTGGCTCTGCTAACCACCTGAGGGCATATCTTCCCCATATGGGATGCATTTGGTGCATAATTAGTCAAAGGCATCCGATTTCAATGAAGCCCTAGTTCTCCCAGCTTGGTCCACAGTGCACGAGAGAACCCTCTTAACCCGACCGGCAGCCTGACAGCTTGGCATTTCTGTATCTTTAAAGGCAGGCTGAGTTGGAGAACAGACTTTTAATTAAAATTTACCTTCCTATACATGTGTTGCCCCACCATTTACATTGTAATTTTCAGGTCACACATGCATATTAGTGCTACCTTTTGGGTGCTGGCAGTGGCAGCTCTACTGATGAAGGCTACACTGCAGGATCCATTGACTGGGGCTGCCAGAGCCACTGGGTAGCTGGCATCCCGCAGCAGGGTGATTAATCTGTATGTTCTTCCTCATAGCTGTTGTAGATACAAGCATGGGGCGGTGGGTGGTCCTGAGGGAAAACAGACAGAAGGGAGGCACAGACCCACCACGGACACACAATACAAAATGCAAGGGCACCTTCTCAGCCCCGCAGCCAAACTGGGTGGAAAGGGCCACTCCTCAAGACCCTGGAAAAACAGACCCCATCAAGGAACACAAACCCATTAATGGACAAGCTGACTCAGAGGGAAAATGGGGTTGCAAACACCTTTGATGGGGAGAGGCGGAAAAGCACTTCTGGGGTGCAATCAACCTATTTCAGGGCAACTGACCATGCTTTCTAGGTTGCCAAGGCCAGCTGGTTGATTGGTTCCTGAACTGTCCAGGAAGGCAGAATCTGCGCAAGAGCCTCAAACTCCAGAGCAAAGTAAACAGGCCATCATCATGTACTTAGCAAGAAATCCTCACTCCTCAGAGAGAAGCTGGCTGGAGAGGGAGGCCAGGGAGGGTAAATGACAGGCTCTCATACTTACTGCACATTCATGCTCAAGGAGGAGGGGCTGGGGTGTGGGCAGGAAGCTTCAGCTGTGCTTCTCCAAAGGACAAGGAAGAGGAAAACAACTGTATGTCCTTGGGCAGGGCTCGGTTCCCTTTGATGATTCAGTTGTCAGTGGAATTCTTGAGGGTCTTCAACTCTAACTCAGTGCCTAGCACACAGTCTGACCAATGAATAGTTATTGGATGATGCAAAAAAAAAAAAAAATCAATGATCAGAAATCGTTTTCAGCCAGAGCTATATGTTAAAATCACCTGGAGAATGTGAAAAAATTCAGATGCCCAGGCCACATCTTCAGAAATTCTGATTCCTGTTCATAATCGTGATTTCCAAAGTGTGGTCCCAGGCCAGCAGCAGCGAGTCACCTGGGAGCTTGTTAGAAATGCAAATTCTCAAGCTCCATCCTGGAGCCACTGAAACTCGGAAGCTGGAGCCCAGGAATCTGTGTTTACACAAATCCTCCAGGTGATTCTGGTGCCCACTCAAGTTTGAAAATGAAGGGCGTGGAGTAGACTGTAGGATCCTGGCATTGTTTTTTGTTAAATGATCCCAGATGATTCTTATGTGTGGCCAGGGATGAGAATTACTAACTTAAAGAATCACAGGAGCACTCCCGATGGCACATGGTCTGCTTTACCCAGAATCACAGAATTGGAGGGAGCTTCTCATCAGCCAAGACCACATCAAGACCACGCAGGCTGAAACTGCTCTTCGGGCCCTGATCTCCACTGACCCAACCTTCCTAAACAGCCACGGAACACACGAGCAGCCACGTTCATTCTCATTCCCTCATTTCTCTGGAACTGCACCATGTGCAGCACTGCCTCAAGGGACACTGATCGCGTATCCAGCGACACTCCATGAGGCACGGGTCGCAATCACAATCCAGACGAGCAGGAATGACTCAATACTTGCCCGATCCCTCCCCTTGGGAAGGTCATTCCCAGAAACCCTTCCTCTAGAATATTCCTTGGGAAAAATGGAGAGAAGGGGTTAAAAGTACCAGGAGACCATGAAGGAGGAAAAGCCATAATTTGAGAAACCCAGAAGGGGTCCTAACGGTAAAGAGCCCTCTGTCAACTGGGGGCAGGCCCCTGTGGGACCTCCCACCTCTGGGCCCGGGGTAATTGGGACAGTCAGCCAGACAAGGCACACAGCTTCCAAATTTCTTGCATGACCTCTCCACACACACCCTTCACTTTAGATTTTGCCTCCAGAAAACAAGAATAAAAATCTGCTTAAAATTCCTCTGGCGTTCCAATGTGCTTGGGGCACATGAGTAAGGGAGGGCCACTACCAATTTCAGTCCTGAGGCACATTCTTTTGGGACAGTGAAGAAATCCTTTCTCCTGTTATGAGCATTGCTCAGTAAGAAAAAACATAAAAGTTGTAAGCATGAGTTCCCAACGCACATTTCCCACTCTCCAGAGGAGGGCTGCTCATGACAGCCTGAGCCTGGGTCCTGTCATTGTTTCTTGTTTGTCTCCTTCCACTGGCCACAGTGCTCTCGGGGGAGGGACTGCGCCTCCTCCACTCTGCAGCCCCAGCCCTGTGTCCGGCACACCATCCACACTTGATCAACAAGAGCCCCCGAATGAACCTCACAGACCTGTTCTTCAGCCACCCAGAGAAGCCCCGAAGCCAGAACTACTGCAAAGCAGCTGGGTGCTGGGCCATCAGGCCCTGTTACCTGTGACATCTTCCCACAGGGTCCTTACTGTGCAGAGCCTGTAGACACTGGCCCTTCCTATCTGGCTTCCTGCCTAAGGCATATTTTCACCCGCTCGCTCCACTTTCAAGTATTATGTTCTAGGAATACTAGCCACTAAGACATCTTCTCAAATTCCTTATTAAATAGGCCAGAGCCTAGGATAATTAAGGTTCTTGCTTCCTACTCCCTTTTAATGCAAACAACCAAACCTGTTTCCCAGGCCTCAGCAAGCTTTGACATTAACTCTAAATGGAAGGTCAAGCAGGCCAGTCTTGTTTCAAAGCTCTTTGCAAAGAAAAAGGACAACTGAAAACAGAACCGGCCAGGTATAAATGACGAGTATTTAGCTCTTGGTAACTCTGTTCATTCTAATAACTCTGGCAGTCATCCATAATTCACACGAGGCAACATCCCTTTAAACAGCTGAGTGAAGAAAACAGGCGACAGGACTAGGAGACCTTCATTTTTAGTTAGAGTTCATCCCCTGGGAAATGTCCCTGGGCCTCAAACTCCCTGACTATAACATGAGGGCTCGCCTAAACGAAATGGCCTGAAAAGCTGTGCAGTTTGAAGAATCCCTATCTTCAGTGGAAAACGGCTGAACTTTACCATCCATGTGGTATTCCTTGCACATATAACGTAAATTCCTAATAAAACACTCCCTTCCACTGCCGCCCAAAAAGCCGCTGGGTAGGTGCGCACCAGCCTCTCTCGAATGAGCACGTTAGCAACAGGTTGAGAAAAAGAGTAGAAATACCGTCAGATAAGAACATGGGGTTTGGAGACCAGGGAACGGTGGAAGGGAGCCTAGGAACGTCGAAAGTAAGTCTCGTCCATCACTCTGCTTTGAGTGATTCCAGCTCTGCGGCACAGCAGAGTCCTCTCATTGAAAGTCAACCCGTCTGGGATGAGGAGGTGTTTAAGGAGAGTTTAAGAACAGAGCTCCTAAGTTCCAAAAGCTCCTGAGTTGTAGCCGGCACAGGCTATGGGCAAGGAAGGAAGGCTGCCATTTCCTCCACTACCTGGGCTCTCCCTGCAGCCCTACGTCACCTTCACAAGTGGTTCCAGCCAGTGGTATGTTGTTAAATGTTTTAGCAACTGGCTTTTAGGAGAGGGGGAAGGAAAGCTCTGGGTGTAGCATATGCCAGTTTTTGTGGTGTAAATGTTCCCACTACTGCCCATTTCAAGTTATCAATGTGATGACATTGAATGCCCAGTGTAAAGGGTTGAGTTCAGTCAGCAATCATGAGCCCTTCCCACCCGCTTGACCCAAGGAAGAGGAAATTCCTGCTAGGTAACACGCAGGGATGGAATGGAGAGAAACAGAGTGTTTCTACAGAGGGAGCAAGGTGTGAGTGACAGGCTGCCGTCAGCACTTAGCGGCCCGTCCCTCCTCCCAGAGAGCAGGAGAGATGCCAGGCACCACTGGAAGCCAACCCAGGATCTGCAGAACGGCCCTACCCCAGGCCCCGCTCACTGAAGGGCATCGCCCACCAGAGGGCAGGCTGGAGAAATGAAAGGAGACACATGGCCCTGGCCCATTCTGTGGCTACCAGGAAGGTAACAAGGAGGAGGCTTCAGGCTCTAAGGAAAATGAAGTTTGGGGATCACTGGTAGAAGTTAATTATCCTTGCTTCCCCTTGGAGCAGCGGGCATCCCTTCCCTGCAGACTCACACTGGAACAAGGCTGAAATGAGAGCCGCCTGCCTGCAGCTTAGGGGCAGAAGTGTCTCGTCCAACTGCCACTCAGTCAGGAAACTGAACAAAGCAGGACCCCATAGAGTGCACAGGCCGGAATTATGGTAAATTACAAAGCAATGATAATCATTTACATGTGTGCGTGTCTGCCAGTGTATGCCTCACTTTCACAGACCTTTTTTCTTTTTAATTCTGATCCTGGGAGGCAGACAGAACAGTGAGCTCTCTCCCTAAAGAGTTGACAGCATAGAAGCGGGCAGTATGCCCGCCTGGAGGGCTGTTCTGTGCTGCGCCTGGGTCCTGTTCTGCACCCTCCTCCCCCAGCCCCTCACTGTCTCTTCCTTTCAGTGGCTCTTCTCATTCATTCCATCTTGGCAGCAGCCGCTTGTGTAACTAAAACCGCAAGAAACTTTGTTTGGCTTCGAATTCAGAAGAAATTCCAGTAACTCACTTCCCACTACCAAAAAAAAAAAAAAAAATCTAGAGGTCTGTTCTAGAGAATTCAGCTTTTTCCGTGGGTAAAATATTCACAAAAAAATGCTCCCTCTCCCCAGCTTACCCCACTCCCCCGCTGAAGCCCCAACATCTGAAAGACATCGGCCCCTCACTCATGCAGCCCGGCAGAGCCTCAGCACTTCCTGAGGGCCAGGGACGAGCTAGGGGGATGGCGGGTTCCTGTTTCGTGGCTGGAGCCAAGCAAGTTAAGAGTTGTTGAAAGACGTGCTTGGCTGGTCTCTCTCCTCACCCGGGTATACTGCTGTTTTGTTTTCAGTGGACAAGGAAGCCAGGGATGAGATCTCTGAGCATCCAGCTCCCGGATCTTGGAAAAAGGCATAGCCAAGGCCCTCCTTACTCCTCCCCACCAGCCATATCTAATATCTGCTAACATCCTTGCAAGCAGCTTCATGCCTGCATGAATGAAGCACAAGTAGCTGCTGCTAACTCAGGAGGAAGGACTTTACTCTGCATGTCCTAGGCCCTTTCTATTGAAAGTGGGGCCCAGGATTCGGACCAGACGGCAGCATCCTCTGGGAGCTTGTTCCAAATGCATCATCTTGGATCCCCATCCTGGATCTCCCGAATCAGCACTGCATTTTCACAGGATTCCCTGGCACTGTCTTTAGACCATGTGCCAATAAACATTTCAGTGTAATAGACACGTATTGGGTACCTGCTGTGTACCGGGCACTGTGCTGGGTGCTAAGGTGATAAAATTCTGAAAGTGGAATCCCTAATCCAGTGAGTATACAGGACAGACTGGCTCGTGGCAATAATGCCCTGTCCCTGCAGGCTGAGTGTGGATATAGAGTAAGGGGTCCATGGTCTTCCCTCATGGAGGTGAAGGCTCTAATTTGTCCAGCCCAACCTTGTGACTTCAGATGCTTCCATACCCTGCATTTTCAGTAGAATTCTGTGACTGATATTGGTTTGCTACCCAAAGTCTCCCCTGAAAAAGGTAAGATACTTTGTCAGCCTCCCTTGCAGCCAGTTGTAGCTAGTTAATTGGATTGTGTCACTAAGAGTAAGGAGAAGTAGCCTTGCACCTTGCTACTCAAAATGCAGTTTCCAGCCACACTGACACACTCTGGCAGCTTGATCAAAATGTGGAATTTCAGGCTCTACCCAAGATCTACTACATCCAAACCTATATTTTAACAAGATTCCCAGGGGATCCTTGTGTAGATTAAATTCAAGAAGTACTATGCTAGGGACTTCTGGGAAAGCCTCTGTTTTATGTAAAAAAAAAAAAAAGGGCCAGAGTGTTATTGGCTCCACTCCTTCCTGGTTCCACCTGCCTTGAATGGGGGTGTGATGCCTGGAGCCCCATTGACAACCATCTTGCAACCATAAGGAAATCAGCTTGAATATGAAAAGCCAACAGACTTAGTATAAGGAAGTGGAAAGAGAGAAAGAGCCTTGGTTCTCAGTGGCATCTTGAGCTGCTGAACCAATTCAGAGTCCTTAAGTATCCTGTTACTTGAAGTCGAGAACATTCCTAACTTACATGTACTCTCTGTTCTTTAAATGAGCACAGGTCTTGAGGTGGCTGATCAAGCCTGAAGAAAGCTAAAGATTCTGCTGAGACCTGCCGCAGCCAGACTGCAGGTCTCCTTTTCTCTGGCAGGAGGCGGGTGCGCTGTACCTGACCACTCATTCAGCAGGCACAGCTGACTCTGATCCCATGAGCTGTGAGGGAAGGAGTGGTTTTGGTGACCTCCTCCTAAGGTCATTGTCTCAGACAAAGCTTTCCAGGCCTACAGGGGAGCCTGAGTTTTCTTCCGGGTGTTGACTTGGAACTCAGTTTCCATAAAGCTGCTGTTCCTGTCTCACTCCTGTGAGAGGCTCCCTAAGTCTTCCCTATTGAGAGGGAAATCCGGGCGTTCAGCCCTGTCTGCCAAGAGTGTGCTAGGGCTGTCTAGTGCCTTTGGGCTCACAGGACTCTCCTTACTTTGGGGATAGGAAAGAAGAAGAGGGAGGAAGCAGGAGAAATTGGATGTACCCTAATCCAGCCTCTAAAATGTCAAGTCCTGCGAAGTCCCCCAAATTCCAGGAATGTCACCCCCTGTGTTCCCTCCCTCCAGAATCTCCAATCGGTAGTTTGGCTTTGGGAACAGAAGCTCTGGATTGGTTCTGAAATAATAATCATTATAAAATTAGGTAAATCCCCCTAGGTTCTTCTAAAGGAAGGAAGATAAGGAATGAGGGAGGGAAGAAGGCAGGCAAATTATGTATGGCAAAAAAAGAGAAGATTCATAAACACATAGTATAGGAACTATCCAAAATGAAGGACATAGAAAAAAAAGAATTAAATAAAATGAAAGTGCCAGTGATCTGTTCGACAATGTCAAGCAGCCTAATACATGTGTAATTAGAGTTCTCACAGGAATGGGGGGAGAAGCAAAAAAAAAATTATAAATAATAGCCAGAAATTTATCAATTTTAATTTTAAAAATATAAACCCACAGGTTCCAGAAGCTCAAGGAATGCCAAGCACTAGAAACATGAAAAAAGAATTATACCAAGGCACATCATAATCAAATTCCTCAAAGCAGTGATCAAGAGAAAATGTTAGAAGTAGCCAGGGCATAAAGACACATTTAGGTACAGTGGAACAGACAAGAGGGACAGCAGGTTTCTTATTAGAAACAACACAAGCAAGAAGACAGTGGAATCATAGCTTTACAGTCATGGAAGGAAAAACTATCACCTGAGAATTCTATACTAAGTAAAAATATCCTTCGGAAATAAAAGTGAAAAATAAAGACTTCTCTTCAGACATAGAAAAGCTAAAAGATTTTAATCCTAGCAGACTTGCACTGCAAGACATGTTAAAGGAAGTCCTTTAGGCAGAAGGAAAATAATATGAGATAGAAGTGTGGATCTACATAAAGGAATCAAGGGTACCAGAAATGGTACTGACATGGTTAAGTATATATGATTTTCATTGAAAAGATCATTGACTGCCTAAACAAAAATAGTAACAATGTATTGTGAGGTTTAGAACAAATGCACAATTAGCATGTATGGCAGCAACGGCATAAAGGCCAGGAAGGGAGTGATCTAAGTGTGCTATTGTGAAGTTCCCGTACTATATGTGAAGGGGTTTAGTAACAACTGAAGACAAACTGCGATGATTAAGGCCTGTTGTGGGGTGGGGGCGGGGGGAGGGAGAGCATTTGGAGATATACCTCATGTTAAATGACGAGTTACTGGGTGCAGCACACCAACATGGCACATGTATACATATGTAACTAACCTGCACGTTGTGCACATGTACCCTAAAACTTAAAGTATAATAAAAAAAGGATGTATACTATGAGCCCTACAGCAACTGTTAAAATAACAAAACAATGGATTTTAGCTAATAAGTCAACAGAAGAGATGAAACTGAATCCTTAAAAATACTCAGTTAATCCAAAAGGAGGCAGAAAAAGAGGGAAAAGGGAACAAAGCTACATGGGACTAACAGAAAACAACAAGAGGTTAAACCGAAGCACAGCAAGGTATCAAGAGGTTAAACCGAAGCACAGCAAGGTATCAAGAGGTTAAACCGAAGCACAGCAAGGTATCAAGAGGTTAAACCGAAGCACAGCAAGGTATCAAGAGGTTAAACCGAAGCACAGCAAGGTATCAAGAGGTTAAACCGAAGCACAGCAAGGTATCAAGAGGTTAAACCGAAGCACAGCAAGGTATCAAGAGGTTAAACCGAAGCACAGCAAGGTCTCAAGAGGTTAAACCGAAGCACAGCAAAGTATCAAGAGGTTAAACCGAAGCACAGCAAGGTATCAAGAGGTTAAACCGAAGCACAGCAAGGTATCAAGAGGTTAAACCGAAGCACAGCAAGGTATCAAGAGGTCAAACCGAAGCACAGCAAGGTATCAAGAGGTCAAACCGAAGCACAGCAAGGTATCAAGAGGTCAAACCGAAGCACAGCAAGGTATCAAGAGGTCAAACCGAAGCACAGCAAGGTATCAAGAGGTTAAACCGAAGCACAGCAAGGTATCAAGAGGTTAAACCGAAGCACAGCAAGGTCTCAAGAGGTTAAACCGAAGCACAGCAAGGTCTCAAGAGGTTAAACCGAAGCACAGCAAAGTATCAAGAGGTTAAACCGAAGCACAGCAAAGTATCAAGAGGTTAAACCGAAGCACAGCAAGGCATCAACAGCAAATTGGTTGAATATGCCAATTAAGTCAGGCTGAATAAAAGAGCAAGACCCATCTATCTGCTGCTTATGAGAAATCCACTGTAAATATAAAGACACAAATAGGTTAAGAGTAAAGGAACAGAAAAAGATATGCAGCTGTCCCTCAGTAACTGTAGGGGATTGATTCTAGGACACACCTCCTCCTGCCCCACAGATACCCAAATCCTCAGATGCTCATGTCCCTTATATAAAATGGTATGATATTTGCATATAACCTATCCACATCCCTCCATATGCTTTAAATCATCTCTAGATTACTTATAAAAACCAATACAATATAAATGCTATGTAAATAGTTGATACTGTATTTTTCATTTGCATTATTTTTGTTATATTTTTTATTTTTATTTTCCAATATTTTCAATTTGCATGTGCAGAACCTGAGAATACAAAGGACCAACTATACGATACTAACACAGTCAAAAGGACACTGGACTGTCTATATTAATATCAGGCAAAATAAATTTCAGCGCAAAGGCTATCACTAGGGATTAGAAAGGGCTTTTCAAAACAGCAAAGAGGTCAAGTCTTCAAGGGTGCATAACAATCCTAAATGTTCATGCACCTATTAACAGAGCTTTCAAATAAATACATGAAGCAAACACTTTTCTTTGTAGAAATAGGCAAACTGATTTTAAAATTCATATGGAAATGCAGAAGGTCTAGAATAACCAAACAACTATGAAAAATCACAAAGATGAAGGGGTAACTAGCACTATCTGATTTTAAGCCTTATTATTATAAAGCTATAGTAATCAAAGCAGTGTGGTATTGGTGTAAAAATAGACAAATGGATCAATGGAACTGAACAGATGGTCTAGAAATAGACCAACACATATATGGAAAATGACTTCCAACAAAGATGAGAGAGAAAAGATGACACAGACTGAGATAAAATATTTGCAAAGCACATATCTGATTTTAAAAAAAACTTATAGCCAGCCAGAATATATAAAGAAACCTCATAATGCAATAATATGAAAATGACCCAAATATAATGTATGCAAAATATATGAACAGATACTTCACCAAAAAATATACGAGTGGCCAATAACCACAGGAAAGATGTTCAATATTGTTAGTCTTCAGGAAAATGCAAATTTAAAACACAATGAGATACCACTGCATACACATTATAATGACTAAAATTAAAATTAAAAATACTGACCACACCAGGTGTTGGTGAGGATGTAGAAGAACCAAAACTCTCATACACTGCTGATGGCAGCACAAAATGGCACAACCACTTTGGAAAAGAGTTTGGCAACTTCTTAAAACACTAAACGTACACTACCACATGATGTAACCATTCCACTCCCAGGTATCTACCCAAGAGAAAAGGAAAGCATACATCCGTACGAAGCCTTATACACAAATGTTCATAGCTGCTTTATTTAAATAGCTCAAAACTGGAAACAGCTCAACATGGATGGATAAACTGTGCTATATCCATACAATGGAACACAACTAAGCAATAAAAAGGAATAAGCTATCAGTACATCCAGAGACATGTGTAAACCTCAAAATAATTATGCTGAATGAAGGAAGGCAGTCAAGAGAGTCCATGCTGTATGACTTCATTGATATAAAACAATAGAAAATATAAACTAATCTATGATGACAGAAAAGAGATAGCAGGGGTGGGGAGGAGGGCTGAGCTACTGGGATTACAAAGGGGCAAAAGGAAACTTTTGGGAGTGATGGATATGCTCACCCTCTTGATTGCACTGATGGTCAATGTTGAAACTTTCCAAAGTATACAGTTGAAATATGTGCAGTTTGTTATATGCCAATTATACCTCAGATAAGCTGTTTTTAAAAATTCATAGAACAATAGACTGAGTGGGTGAATCTTATGTATGAAAATTGTACCTAGTCCATTAAAACATCTTTAAAAATAAATGGCAGATATGAAAGCTGGGAGAAAACATCTGGATATTTGGTGACTCCACCCATTGGTTTATTCCTATGGAATTTAAAATCAGATGGCTTCTGTCCCCAGTGCAGATCATGAGGACTGAGATTGGCCCTCACTGCAGGCTTGAGGCCTGTCAGCACCCAGCATGGGTGGCCTGGCCAGCCTCAGTCTGTGCTAAGAGTGGTGTGCCATGCAACCCATCTCAGCACGATGAGTGAGACTGGAGGCAGTTTCTCCATCTAATGCCGCATGCTCAGGACCCTCTGCTCTGCTTGCTCTGTGCGAGTGTAACAGAATCAGGTCCAGTAATGAAGTATTAACATGCAATAAAGCAGCATCAGAGAAAACAAGTCAATTTTTGGTGAGCGGTTATGGTGGGAGGGAGATGGGGAGGACAGGAGCCATCTCCTGTGAGGTAGAGAAGGCAGGAGAGAGAAGGCTTCCTCAGCTCCTTCGGATGTTGCCTGGCTGAGACTCAGAGGTGAAGGACTCAAGCCGCACTGAACTGGGACCTTCAAGAGGAATGGTGTTGGGGGCCTCCTCCTGGAGATCTTTGCAGCAGCCCTTCAGGGTGGGGTGGACCCCACTGTTGCTGCCTGAAGCCTCCTTAGATTTCTGAGCAGGGCTGAGGGTTCTGAAGGGGTTTTTTTGTTAGAGAGCAACAGTTGGGAAACAGCTATGGAGAATCAAGAAGAGAAGTCCTCTTCCCTATCAGCCCTCAGTGTGTGTGTGTGTGTGTGTGTGTGTGTGTGTGTGTGTGTGTGTGTGTGTGTGTGTGTGTGTGTGTCTGTCTGTCTGTCTGTCTGTCTGTCTGTCTACTAGAAGGAGAGAGAGATGAATTAAACCAGACATTTCCAGGACATGAGTTGCTAGAAACAACTATAAGAAGTAATTGTTAATGACAGTGTTTCCAAGTAATGGCTCACGGGGCCCCTGACCCTGTGTTTCCACACCTTTAAAAGAAGGATAATAATAACAATAACAATAGCTACCTCAAGGGGTATTAAGAGAAGCACCTAACATATGAGAGTGTTATATTAACTGTGAAGTGCTATGCAAATGTCAGCTATTAATATTAGTTGAGGACATAGTTCCTGATAGGAAAGCTCAATGCCATCATCTTTTTTGTGACTTTGCAACCCCTGTGATGAGCAGTCTAGGCCGTGGCAGAGGCGCTGGGATTTTCATGCTCCAGGTAGTTTTATGGAGTAGCTAGAGTTTATGTCTGAGACCTTCTCTGGTCTCTCTGGTCTCCCTGGTCCCTGCCCCAGTGATTCAGGCCCCAGCTTCCAGGCTGCCCTGATTCTCACCCTACCCCGCTACCCCACCCTCCGTCATCCCAATGCACTCCAGCTGAACTTGCCCTTCCTATGTTTCAAGCATTTCCATAGTGCTCCAAATATTTCCTTAATCAAAAACTATCCTGTTGGGAACCCTATTCTTTTATCAACCTAGTCTCTGATCTCAATTACTCTGCTAAACACACCCATGCTAATTAAGGTGTAGAAGCTGTTAACGTCTGCACCTATTCATCTGCCCTGGTAATAGAGGCCATAAACATTTCTCACTATACTCCATGGAGCTCTAAAGGTTCTAGCAAGAAGCATAAGGGACCTCGCTGGAGAATCAGGAGAAGCTGAACAGGTCAGCTCTGAATCATCCATTCTTTCCCATGCACTTGAACAAAAGCATCTCTGCTCTTTTCTGTTCTGTGTTGGGTCATGTGGGAAGAAAGAGTTCTTTGGTAATAAGATGTTTGGTAATCCCTGACTTACTTCAAAGGTAATGCTAAAGGTAGAAATTCTAGGGAGGAAATGGCAGATCCCTCAAATTCCAGCACATGGACAGCTGTCTGCTCCAATCCTGAAACCAGCTCAGCCCACTTTTGGACAGACTGCAACAGAGATTCGGGTTCATATCCCAGACCTGGAGCCAACCAACAGTAGTTCTTAAGCATATCCTTGCCTATGTGTTAGGTCTCAGTTTTCTGCTCTGAATAATGAAATACAGTTGGCCCTCTGTACCCGCGGATCCAACCAGCTTTGGGTAAAAAATATTAGGAAAAAAAAATCATTAAAAAATTATACAAATTAAAAAATAAAATATACCATATGTAAAATACATAAAATGGTGTAGTATGTGCATATAATCTACATACATAAAAGGACATGGGCATCCTTGGGTTTTGTATCTGAGAGGGGTCCAGGAATCAGTCTCCCCACAGACACCAAGGGATGACTGTAACTGGGCTTGATGACTTTCCGTCTGGCTCAAAACCCATGTTTTTTGAGGGCTCGCTGCAGACAAGCTTCACCAAAGAACAGAGGGGGCCTGCTGCTGAACATCCACCCGTGGAAGCACTGAGCCCTCCCCACTCTACAGTGCTGGCTGTCTTCTCCCACCTATGCTTCCGTGCCCTAACGATGGTTTCCTGCTCAACCTGGCCCGACCACAAGCGAAAAGGTCAAATCCAATCTGAGACTGGCCGTCTTCTCACAGAGAGAGGGGAAAGATCCAGTGGTGCTGTGGGCTTAGAGTGGTCAGGCCACCTCTCTTCCATGACACAGGCTCCACAAGCAGGTGCAGATGGAGGTGGCAGGTCAAGGGTGGGGCTGCGTGGGGGTTGCGAGCTGGGGGACAGTGGACGGAGGCTGCATGTGGGATGGAACAGGGGGCCAGGAGAGAGCTAGGTCACATGCACAGAGCGATGCGGTACAGCTGGCGGGCTCACCAGACAATCTGTGCGGGCACGAGCCTTCCGGGAAGACACAGCCAGCAGGACTGTCCCCTGTTGGGTGATGGTGAGGAGTCGGGGTCCACAGACAGGCAGAGACACATAGTCATGCCTCTCCCTCGCCCTTGCCACACAGAGCCTGACATGTATTGGGCAAAGGAAAGAAAGATCACGTTTGCCGGGCTAACATTGCTGATGATGACTGCTAGCTAGCAGGACAATGATTACACACCAAACACACTGCCACAACTAATTTTCAAGCAGATCAAAATAAATCAGAAAACAAAACCATTCTGACAGCAGAGAAATGTGGAAACCTGTTAGGAGGTAATTACGGTCCTTTCCGCCTTGTTTCACCTGCATCTCTCCCACCACTGGTGCAGGCATGGAATCCCAATCATCACTCTGTCAAGAGGCCTGTGTGCCTGAAGGTTTGTGCAGGGCAGGCCAGGCTGGGAGTGCTGCCACCATGCCTGGCTGCCAGGGACCAACATCTCCTGACAGGGACATTCGTCCATCCCTGACACTTGAAGACACTGTCTCATCCCAGCCGGGGCCCCACACCAGCCAGCCTGGAACTCCACCATCTCATGTTCCTTCAGACAAACCCCATCAGTCCCCGCTCTAGACTGCACCCTCAGACCATACCGTGGAAAGAGCCCAGCTTCGGAATCAGACAGCCCTAGGTGTAAATCCCAGCTTCACTAATTACGGCCTCCTAGTTAGATGGCCTTGGGCAAACTACGTGAGTTCCAGGGGCCTCAGTTTCCTCATGTGAAAACAGGATACAGGAATGCCTAGCTTATGCAGGGACCGTGTGAATTAGAAACCGTGCACGTCGGGAAGCCACTCCCTGGTTTGCTTTCTGAGGGGCTGCTGTGCTCACCGTCACTGTTCTCTCTCACAAGTCTCACCAGAGCAGTCACCAGCGGCTGAAAACTTTCACTGCAACCCAGTGGCTGCCTGGGAGCCTTCCTGGTTGATGAAGTGTCTCAGGACGTCTCTCCATGGGGCAAAAGGAAACCTTCCCTTTTCCAGATCATGCTTCCCCTATTACCTGAAGGAAGCCCTCCTAGCTCAGAAACATCAGCAGGTACTTGGAGCTGAACGAAGGAAGCAGGCAGTGAGTGAAATGAACACACGCAGTGAGAACGACTCGGGAGTGCTCATATCCTCTGAGAGGACGCCTGGGCCCCACAGCACTTTCTGAGGGAACTGCTGGACGTCCAGCTTAGAAATGGGGCCCACAGGACGAGGACTTGCTGCCATAAACGAGGAGGCCGTGAAGATAAGGGCACGAGGCTCTAGATCATTATCAAGCACCCAAGTGGGACCTTATGCCACTCCTTCGACCCAGGGCCACCTTTTAACACTGAGGCCAGGATAGCTCCTGCCGCGTGCTGGACAGGACGCAGGTGAACAAGCCCTGCCTGCTGGAGGCTGCCAAGCACAGCCCACACCCCTTGCATGGACAGTCGGTCAACAGCCACCCATCAGGTGCTCATCAGGTCAGGGGCACAGCCTGCACACACGTGCTGTCCAGGCATTTGCACTGAGGGAAACAGACAGCCTCCTTGACCCCCTCCCGTTCTCTGCCCCCTAACCAAGCCCGGGGTCAGGGAGAGGGGGTTGACCGTCTCCCTTCCCTGTAGGAACTTTCCCTATGTTGCCCTTTCAGATTTGCAAGCGTCTTCTCTTAGCCCATAGGAAATCGTGCAAAGTTCCTTGAACACCCCTCCGTCTATCTGAGCTTTGTTTGCCAAGTTACCCCAAGAAGTCTAGATTCTTCTTCTGGTTTCACTCTGATTTGATTCCCAGAAAAGGTCACATGCCTCTCCCCATCTCCAAAACCAGCAGCATGTCTCCATGGTTCTGGCCGTCCTGCTGGTCCTAACCCAGCAGCCTGGAGGAGCTCCCAGCCCACAGAAAGAGCCGGCTCTGGGAGTCCAGTTTCTTCTCTGCCAGCCCTGTACTTCCCCTAATGATCCGTGCCTGGGCCCTGGGCTCTCCACTTTGAGCTGTTGATACAGTTGGCCCTTTGCATTCTTGGTGATTCAACCAGCCACAGATAGAAAATATTTGAAAAGAAAATTTTTAATAAAAATAATATGACAATAAAAATCATACCAGTAAATGAAAACAGTACATCATAAGAACTATTTATATAGCACTTACACCGTATTAGGTAGTATAAGTAACCTGGAGATGATTTAAGGTACACAAGAGGATGTGCATAGGTTATATGAAAACACTATGCATTTTATGCAAGGGACTTGAGTACCTAAGGATTTTGGTATCCAAGGGGTTGGGGAGTCCTGGAACCAATCACCTGTGGATACCAAGGGACAACTGTATTTAGATTGGAAAAGATAAAAAAGTCACCTGGGCAAATAACCTTTAAACACTAGACTACAGTCAAGAAGCAAAGATATCACTGGGACCTTCTAACGCGGACAAAATTAAACTGTAATATGTAATATGAGCAGTTTCTTTTTAAGGGCCAACATCAGAGTCTTGTTTGCCTATAAACTGATTTCTTCTAGCTGTGGAGCTATTTTATTCTGATCCTGGGCCTACGAACATGTGTCCAATAGAACGGATAAATGTAACGTAGCACTAGTCATAGAAAGTGTCCCTGTTTCAGCGAAGGATCAAGTCCCAGGCAGTGGCCACAGCCCTTTTGCTGTCATCTCACGGCACAATGCAGAGGAAGCTCCACATTATAATACTGATGGGGTGAGAAGAACAACAAAGCAAATCAACTGCCTTGGAGTGACTGCTCTACACAGCCAACCGTCAAACTCCCATGATGCTGGCCCTAGGAATAACTTCCAGGAAGTTCAGCCTTTCTTGTGTTCTTAAGAAATTATAGCAAATTTACAGGCAAATCCACAGGTTTTCAGTTTTGGAATATCTGCTGTCTGGCTTCCGGCTCAAGGCATCAGTAGAGAAAGCAATAGGCTGCTTGGGAGGAGGTGACTGATGATACGAGGCAGACACCAGCCGGGGAAGCAGGAGGAGGCAGGAGGCAGAGGATGGTGATCCACAGGCATGGACAAGCCTTCAGGGCAGAACTGGAGCTGGAATCGAAGAATGGATAGGCTTTGGAGGGAAAGGTGAGGAAGGAGAGCTTTTCAGGCAGGGTAAGGCAGAGGTGAAAACAAGTAGGAGAATGGGGCCCATAAACAGATTTTCCTGGTGAAGCAGAGGGTTTGTGGCCAGGAATGGGCACAGCCAGACAGCAGATTGTAGACAGGATTGATTTGGCCTGCATCTCCAGACAAGCAACTCACTGAGGGGTTGTGAGCAAGGCAATAGCTCGATGGAAGAGATGCTTGGGGAACACTGGGGGATACTAGTCCCGTTGGTGGCCTTGCGGATGCTCCATCTCTCCAGAGTCCTAGGAGGATGCTCTGCCCAGAAGAGTATGCTTCTTGAAATAAATAAGAGCAAACATTTGCATGGCACATGGCATGCATTAAGCACTGTTTTCTGCACTTGACACACTTAAACATTTTTTTTTAGACAGTCTCACTCTCTCACCCAGGCTGGAGTACAGTGGTGTGATCACAGCTCACTGCAGCCTCAAACTCCTGGGCCCAGGCAATCCTCCTGCCTTAGCCTCCCAAGTAGCTGGGACTACAGGCATGCACCACCATGCTCTGCTAATTTTTTTTTTTGTAGAGATGGGGTTCACTATGTTTCCCAGGCTGGTGTCAAACTCCTGGGCTCAAGCAATTCTCCTGCCTCGGCCTCCCTAAATGCTGGCATTACAAGAGTGAGCCACCATGCCTGGCCTTGACACAATTTAAACTGTTTAATCTTCATACTAATTCCCTACCATAGACACTATTTTCATCCCCATTTTATAGATTAGGGTATCGAGGAACTAAAATGTTAAACAACTTATACCCAGCTAGTAAGTGGCAACACCAGGACTTGAACTCAGGCAGTCTGAGCTGGAATGGAAAGAGCGAACAGCCTTTGGAGGTACTCAGAATACCTAACTCCTTAAGCTACACTGCCTCATGGGGGAGATTCTCTCTGAGTACTTTTCCCAAGGCTCAGGGTAGCCTCCACTTCTCAAAAGGGAAAATACCCGCTCTGGGGCTGCACCTTGGACTTAAACCTACAGAAATGTTTTCCATTTAGAATGAAACTGGGAAGTAGAAACACAGGAGTCGAAGAACAACTGAATTTCACCCAAATTGGCCCTGGAAGCCATGAACTGGATCCCACACCCCACCCCTCACAGGCCCTTCCAACCCGGCCTGAGTAGTGGCAGGTGGCTACCCAATACTGGCTGGAGGTGACAGAGCCTATCGGGCCCAGGACCCTGTGGGACTCAGAAGAGGAAGAGACAGCTGGATGCGAAAGAAAAGTGTCTGCCATTACCCCAAACAGATCCACGTTGTCCTAGAGAGCAAGCAACAGGCCACCAGCCCTCGGCAAAGGGAGTGTCTAGACACCCTTCATCTCCCCTTTCATGCTTACTTCACCCACACCCCCCACCACCATCCAGCCCCTCCAGCCTGGCCAGAGAGGGGAATGGCTGTCTGTGCCAGCACTTGCTAATGATTTCATGTGCTCTCCCCGCAGGTGGAGTAAGACTTCACCCAAAAGAAGAATTGGAATAGTGGCAATACAGACATTGTGGCATCAGGATGGAGGTGACATTTGAGGACCACGAGCCCTACTTAAGACATCCCATGGCCAAGCTTAAACCAGAAAGGGAGTCCAATGACCTTCCACTCCTGCTTCCTCCATCCTGGCCTCCTGAGTTCCTGTCTGGCTGGGTGGCATGGCCGTGGGCTCTCTATACCGTAGAGGGTTCCATCACCACGTCTGGAGTGCTGTGGCCCCCACTCAAAGAGACTACTCGTGTTCTCTCACTGGAGAACTCAGGCCACTCAGCAAGACGGTTGCCTTGACCAATTCAAAAGCCTCAAAACATTGACATGAGGGGTCACTGAGTACGGCATTCTGGAAAGTGTAAGGCACTCCAGGTGTGGAGGGTTGAAGTGATTCAAGACAACTGCTCATAAAAGAATCAGGCCCTGCCCTCAAAAAGCTGACATTTCACAGAGAAGGAGGGTGTATGGGAGACATTTCAGAATTTCATTACAGCTGGCTCAAGGTAGTTTGCAAGGTAAACACACTAGTCTTGACGATGGAATACTTTAAGAGTCAGTAATAGCTTTCGAAGCTCGCCTTCTCAGGACGAGCCTTCTAGAGTTGGCTAAACAAGACAAATATTACAAATGAGCTCCAGCTCCCTGCTGGCTCCCCTAGACCCCTTCCACCCTCTGTTCCCTGACCCCGTGCCCTGGAAGCTTGGTGCATGGGGACTGCTTGAGGTGCCCGGCTCCCTGGCCCTCCAGCTTCAGGTTGGTTTGGCCAATGAGCAGTGTCAATAAGAGAGTGGAGATGGGAGGACAGAGAAGGCAGGGTGTTTTCTTTCCATGTCCCCCTACCTTGGTGTCTTGGTCCTGGCAGTGACAACATCCTTCCATGACTATGGTTTCTCCCTCATGGTCCTCCTCCCAGCTACAGCTCCCACCAGGCCCCCCAAACAGTATTTTCTCCCCTTCCTCCTCAGGCCCTAGGGTGATGACAGCTTCCCTCTAAGTTTAGCCCTGGGTGCCTCAATATCCCTTGCTGGTCTCCTTACCCCTCCATAAATATGCCCCTCAAGAAACTCTGTTCCGTTGAACCATCTGTGTAGAATTCTGTTTCCTATTATGATGCCAACTGAACACTCGGTACCCATTCTTTGTCCGTAGTCAAGGACAGCTTATACAGAAAACACAAAGCTTCCATGGTTAGAAGCTGGTTCCTGGCTTCCATGAGTGGCTGTACCCAAACCTGTCCTAAGTAGATAATCACCATTCTCGTTTTTCAAATTCTCCACAAAGACTGTACGACTGTACATCTATGTTATCTAGAGGGCTGTGTATGATTTTGAATCCAGAACCCAGGGGCTCAGAATTCCTCCACCCTAAACCTTCCTTCATCAGGAACTTCACTGTCACTCCCATCAGTAGAGAAGAGACAGTCTCAAAGTTCATTGAGCCCATCCCCTTAAGCACATACACAGATAGCAGAATTTAGGCAGGTTTAACCTAGGTGATTTCTTTCAGCCGGTCTATAAATCAAGAACTAATTCCCATGACTCCCTCCTGGCTCTAGAATGAGCATTCCCTCCCGGACTCCTTGGAATGTCTTTTGCATATTGAAGTCATTTTCCTCATTGCTCACCCTTCCCTGAGTAGACGCGGAGGCATTTTGTAACTGTCAGTGTTTTGACAAAGCATGAGTATTTAATCATGTGCCCGCTACTCCCTGTAACCCACACGGCACACAGGCTTGCTGGTACCTGCTGCCAGGGCAGGACAGTGGGCAGAGAGCCGGCAAGCACCCAAGACATCCGACCCTGGGCAGGGGGTGGGGACAAAGCCAAGGAGGTAAGACTCTCCCTTTCACAAGATGCTCAGAGTCTGCCCAAGGCCGAGTCTGTCTTCCATTCCACTTCAGGAAGGGAATGCTCAGCCCGGAATGAACAGCACCAAGATTAACTGGGACAGAAAGGACCATCTCGTTCTATCCCTTGCCTCTTCCGGAACTAAATCATCTTTGGCAGATGGTGTTTCTAGCCACAGTCTCCCGGGGAACCTCCCCCAGCGCCTAGCAACCTTCAGCATTGGGGAGCCCTTCCCGTGGTTTGGTCTAAATGCCCACGATGCTCCCAGGCTCAGGGGTCCACACTCCTCTGTCCATTAGGGTCCCTCAGAGGAACCCTCCCCCCAGGACACCACAGGTCCAACTGTTCCCTCGCTGGGAGCCCTTGGCCATCCCACCATGGGGCGAATGTGACCTCCCACTCCAGCCAACACTCCCCACACCCCCAGCCTGCCCAGGAGCATTTGCTTTTCAAAACTTCCCTTTCTTAAAAAAGACACAATTTTCCAAAGCCCAGGGAGTTAATCCATGAAATCTTCTGGAACAAGAGCAGCTGGCCCAGGCCTTGGATAAGTCGATCAACAAACATGCCAGAGCCCCGTGTGGTTCAAAACATTCTTTGTTCCAGCCACCGAGCCTGGATCTCGCTGGATCCTGCCGGTGAGTTGGCTTCTCAAAGTCACACCCCTCTGGCTGTCGACCCCACCCCTGCCATACCCTTGAAAGCTAAACCCTCTTCAGAGGGACCACATCATCACTTTCCCCTCAGTCTTTCCCTCTTTCAGAAACCACCTGAAGTGAAAATGTTTGGAGCCAGTCAAGGTTTGCTGACAATGGAAACAAACCAGTCCCTGGCACAAGGCACAGGCTGCTCAGTGTAAGTGGAGGCCCCATATGGTTGTTATTCTGGGAGAGAATCAAAGAACCTAAAAACCTGCTTCTTAGATGACAACAGGGGGAAAAACACACAAAAAAACCTGTTTTTTAAATACCCATTCTTCATTTTATGTGCAATCGATCCTGAACAGTGTCAGATGTTTGGCGGGTGCTCCGAGACCAAAAGAACAGTGGAAAAAAGGACTGGCGAGGCCAGCATGATTTCCCAAGTATCACCAGGGGGAATACCCCTCCCAGATGTGCCACAGGGAAGGAATTCCAGCAGGCTCCTTCCTCGCTGCCCTCCGCAGACACATTCCAACCCCCCTGCTCAGAGAGGGCGGGAAGCTGAGTGCAGCTGCCTGGCAAGGCTGAGCATCCTACTCTGGGATGAAGGAACTCTGGAAATTCATTTGCCCTTCTTATTATTCTGTTCTTTTACCTGAACTCTCTCTGGCTGGAGCTGAGCTTCGGGTTCTTTCTCCCTCTCAGCCTCAGTTTCTCATCTGTAAAATGGGCATGGCTGGAGGCCGTTATGAGAGATAGGATTCCATGTATCTTCATGGGGGCAGATGGTGAATCCGGCAGGTGCTCAGCTGTTTCCTCCCTGCCCAGTCCTGCCCACACCCTTTTCCCAAGCTTCCAAGGAGGCTCTGACAAGTACTGTACAAGAAGGCTTTGTTCCCTAGTTCCTAGTTGAGTGATCTAGGGCACAGCACTTAACCTCTCCTGACCTCAGTTTAGTCATTTTTAACTGGGGAGAATAATTATATATTATGAACCCAAAGCTCAGCTCCAGCCTGAGAGAGTTCAGGTGAAGGAACTGAATAATAAGAAGGGTAAATGAATTTCCCGGGTTCTCCTTGCCAGGCAGCTGCACCCCCTTGACTGCATGAACATTTCTTAAGCGCCCACCGTGGGCCAGGCACATGCTGGGCTTTGGAAACACAGCGCCGGGCAATACCCGTAGAACCCCTGCTCTCACAGAGACACTACACAAACCAGCCAAAGTCCACGTGAAGTAATGTGTGATTACAAATCCGGCTACATTTTATGGAGGTTTTAAAAAGGAAAGGAAGAAAGGTCCTGGCTCAACATAAGCGTTTAATAAATAACAGATACTCCTGTTATCACTGTGAGTAACCAGTCAGTGTAGCTTCATTATCCCTTGGTTGACAGAAGAGCAAAGAAAAGCTCAGAAGAGGTAAGTACATTTCCCTAGGCAGCACAGCCTGAAGAGAAACACTGGAATTCACACCCAGGCCTGCCCAGCTCGAGCCCTTACTCCTCCCTCTGTGTCCCATGGCCTCTGTGTTTCATAGGTAGACTCCCTTGCAGCTTTCCTAAGAATTTCACATGATCTCACTTGATCCTTATAACATTCCTTGAAGTGGGAAGACTTACTGTTATCCTATTTCTGCTTCTAGGGAAACTAAGTCCAAGGTCACTCACTTACCAAACCAGAGCCAGGTCTATTTTCACTACAAGACCAAATCAGTTCCTGCTTCTCTTGGAACCCAATGCACCTTCCCAACTCCCAGGTCCATAAAGGGAGCAGGAGTGCAAGCACATCATGCCAGCCCTGGCAGTGACAACCTTGAAAGTCCCAGGTTCCATCTAACAGGTGTGCCTAGAGCACGAGAGGGTCACTGCAGAAGGAGCATGAGAACAGGTGTTGGAGGTTGCAGCATGCCCAAGGCCCTGCAACCCCCAGGTCAATATGCTCAGCTTAATTATTTCCAGGACCTGGCCAGTGGCTGGTGCATCCCACTAGGAGCTCCATCAAAATAACAAGGCCATATGCCCCCAGTACTGCCCGCCCGGCCCATTCTCAAATGCCAGCAGGCTCGAAGGCATTGTTCTGGAGGTGGAGGAAGGGAAAAAGTGAGGCTGCTTTGGGGAAAAACAGGGGCTTTGGGGCAGGGAGAATGTGTTTTTGCCCAATGATGGGCACATGGCAAGCCACATGCCTGCTCATCCTGCCTTGGTTGCCTGAGTTTCTGAGCTCTTTGATAGCAGAATAGAATTGCTACTCTGTGTCCACGGAGCCCAACGATGAGGCATTTATCTCATCAGATTGTTAAGATACAGTGTGGGTGTTTGGATGTCATTACTGCATGGATAGGAGCGTGGAGCGCAGGGGGGCAGAGATGCTGAGATAAATAACACAGGATCCTTTAAAAATACACTGGGAACCAGGAGGCTACAGAGAACTGCAGGAGGTCTGAGCCAAAAGGGGCTCCAGAGATTGCTGGGCCACCCAGCTCTCCCTCTCTGTGGGAGACTGAGGCCCAAAGGGGGCGGGAGCACTCAGGCTGACAGAAAGGAAGGGGTGGAGCACACTGGAGCCCCCGCGTCTTCATCCTTGCTACCAGGCACATTCCATTGCACCATGGGTTTATGCTCTGGCATCCCCAGCAGAGAAAAGATGATGGCAGAGAAACCACTGCACAGCGTCACCCTGCATTTGCAGGGAAGATGGTCCCCTGGGGGATGCTATTCAGCAACCACAGAACAAAGAGGTTGGACTATCTGTAATGAAGGGACAGGGGTGTGGGAGGAGAATGAGATAGGGTACAGGAGTCCTGGATCCTTGCCAACGTTCCAGCCCCCCACTCTGCAGTAAGGTGGAAGTAGAGGAAACCACAACGCCAGATAGAGAGGGCATCTGCCCCTTTAGCCTTGGGATGAAGCATCAAGCACCTCTGGTTTTAGAGACCCAGGCCTAAGTTTTGTCCCTGAAACAGGAGTGGAACAAATGCTCCCGTGTGCTGTTTCCAGCTCTGTAATTCACAACTACAGTTGAGGAGCAGAGGGTCGGGAGTGCTTCACCTAGATAGCCAGACATTTGCGGTAACTAACTGTTCCCTCCCAAAGCCTGTGCAGAAGGTCAGCATCACTCTATCCACCCCCAGCAGGCCAAGGGCCTCCCTCAGGCCAGCAAAGATGCTGATCTTCAAACTCACTGTCCTGGAATCCCTGGTATTGTTGCTTAATTCACCAGGTCACTTGAGGGTAGGAATGACCTCAGCTCATCAGGCAGGCGTCCTAGAGCTGATATTTAAGGAGAAATCCAGAGGCTTAAGAAGTAGTCAAGAAAAAGGCAGCTCAGACAACGGGAAGGACAGAAGGGTTTGCAGAGAGTGAAAGGAGCCAACGCAGGATAGGGCAAGCCAGAGCAAACAGCTCTGGGCTGGGGTGGAGGTGGACTCTGGCAAATGGAGAAGAACTTGGGATGGAACTAACTCTCTGCCCCACCAAGGGCATGGGGAATAGCAAAGCCAAAGGGGGGCCATCAATTTTAAGCAAGATATCTCTTGAGGAAGTACTCGCTGCCAAGGGAGTCCATGTTTCATCAGCCAGTGGGCAGATTTGACTGGATTGCCAAAAGGGCTGGCTGGCCTCCGGGCTGCCAATCATTCCCCAAACCCTGATCGGGCAGTAAAAAACCCATGTGGAAGAGGGTTAGGGAGAAACAGGAGGAACCACGAGCACACAGCCATCTCTGAGCCACAGCATTTAGGAAAATGCTCTCAACTTGGCATGATTGCAAGGGTTAAGTGATTTGCCCTAGGTCATGAAGCTTCTAACTTGGACAAGTCCCATCATCTCCCTGGACCTCAGTTCCCCCATCTGTAAGAGGAGGGAGTTGAACGGGATGCTTTCTGCAGTTCTTGTCAGTGCAGACATTCTGCAGGTCTAATCAAGGGCTTCTGATCTGCCAATTTCATCTCCCTGGATTACTGTGGTTATCTGAAGACAGGCCCAAGGGAACAACAGAGCCAGAGGGCTGATCTGAGAAAGGCAGAGCCTGCTCCTCTTTGAGAGCCCCCTGGAGCCCTTGCAGAGGCATCCCCAGGCTTAGGAGGCATCACTATACAGGAGAGTCCATTCCAGTTCCAGCGGGGTCCTCACCCTACCCCTACTCCCTGGGAGTCACACCTGTGAGGTAAGCTTTGAGCCCTGCCTCTTGCCACCCGTGAGTGCAACAGGGGCTCTGCAGCACCACCGGGGTGGAGGGGTGGATACCCCAGGCTACTCTGCTGCTCTTTGGGATTAAGCTCAGGGTTAGAGGCTGGCTCTGAGATTTCCTTTCCTTTATGCATTTGATCTCCGAGGCAGGACTTGGCTGAACAAGTGCTACTGCTGCTGTTTCCCTCTTTCCTTTGCACATCCTGGGTCTTTCTGCCTGCTCCAGCCTAGACCTCTACAGTCAGTCTCTACTTGGGCATCTCAAACTTGGCATGTCCAAACCCCAATTCTTGAGCCTCCCCCACCCCAACCAGCTCCTGCCCATCTCGGATCATGGTGACTCTCCAGCCTTCCATTCACTCAAGCCAAGATATAGAGTCCATCTTCCCTCTTCCTTTGTTCATACCTCATGTCCGGTCTGTTAGCAGATCATTTCTGGTGTACTTCTAGAATGTATCAAGGATCTAGCAACTTCTCTCCACCTCCACCTTTATCACTCTGGTCCAAGCTGCTAACATCTGCCTCTTGGATTACTGATCCAGCCTCCTGACTGACCGTCACACTTCTACCAACACCGAGAAGCTCCCAGCAATGATTCTCTTTCAAAACAGATCAGTCACTCCTTTGCTAAAAAGCCTCCACTAGCTTCACACTTCACCCCAAGTTAGCACCACAGTCATCACAATGACTTACAAGACCCTAAGTGCCCTCTGTTCCTCACTGACCTCACCTCTGAGCACTTGCTGTGTTCCAGCCATACCTGCCTCCTCCCTGCTCCTACCTGAGGGCCTCCGCACCTGGCCCTCCTGCTCCCAGACACGCTGGGCATACTCCCACCTGAGGGCCTCCGCACCTGGCCCTCCTGCTCCCAGACACGCTGGGCATACTCCCACCTGAGGGCCTCTGCACCTGGCCCTCCTGCTCCCTTGAATGCCCTCTCCCCAGATCCACAGCACTTACCTCGCCATTTCCCACTGGTCTGCTCAAACGTTATCTTCACAGTAACACCTTCCCTGACCCCTCTATTAAAAGCTATAACCCCACCCTGAAGCACCCTATCTCCATCCCTGCATTCATCCCTCCACTGTGTCTAATATTATGTATCGTATTTATATTTTTTCCTTTATGTTCTCCTTTCCTTTATTTTCTTCTTCCCACAAAAGTGCAACCTCCTTGCAGGTAGGAATTGTCTGTTTTATTCACTGAGGTAACTAGTGATGCACCTACAACAATGCCCAGCCCTTGACCATTATTTGTTGACTGAATAGTAGCTTCTGCCCACTGTGGGCATTCAGATAACATTTAAAAAGCAGGGGCAAGGAGCACTTTTCACATCTGCTGTGTGTTTCTGAGCTTCTGCCTGCGGTCACTAACTTTCTGATTCTTAGCATTCATCCCATATTTTAGACACAGCCTCCACCCCACCCCAGTCCTGCAAGGCATCCCTCTGGCTCCTGGATGCCTCCTGGCCTCCTGCACCACCAGCCACAGCATCACACAGATGCTGGTCTGTTCTGCCCACAGCTCTTGGTGCAGGTCAGATTCCTGATCCTGGCTCCCTGCATTTCATTGTCAACCTATGGCTGCACACACCACTGCAGATGCTGAAGACACCGTCTTGGCCACAGGGAAGACTGTACTACTGAGACTACAAGACTGAGCCTGCCTTTTGATTGGTCAATGTTGCTTTTCCCTTGGTGGGAGATGAACAAGAAAACAGACTGGGGACTCAAAACACACCAGGTGTTTAATAGGTGGCTAAGTGAATAGGCTTTCCAAATTACATGCCAACACAGCAGCTTGCCACAGCTTTCAGCCCACTGCTTGCACTATGGTTTCTGGACTCAACAGAAAGGTCAAGGGAGTGCCAGCTGACTGTCACATGGTCTGCAAGCCCCTGATGGGAGGACCAAGTCATCGACTCTAGCCTGCATCTTAGCATCTCCTGGGTTGAACTGACAAGCTGTTTCCAGCATTCAGCCCCAGCAACTGTGAGTCCTGAAGCACTCCACTGTGCCCCTTGGCGAGCCTCTGCCTGCCCTCTTTAGCCTGACTCTGCTGTAGATCAGAAAGGCAGGTTCAGGTCCTGGCCCTGGCACTGCCTTCCCAAGGGACTGGACTGGCTCCCTCCCCCATGAGGATAACTGCAGGGTGATGGGGAGGTGAGTGCTTTGCCTCCTAGGAGGAAAGGCTACTATGTGATGCAATGTCCACTCACTGTCATTCCCATATTAGTACTGCACACATCCCAGCACAGCAGCTTCAGATACATCCAGACACTTTCAGGGCTCCCCCCAGCCAGATGGGATGGCATGGAACTGCTGGTGGCAACAGCAGAAGCACCTGTTGTGTGTGTGTGTGTGTTGCACAAGGACCCTTCTAGAGCTTGGCCCATATATGTATAGAAAACCACCTCTGATGCTATATCTCCTAGTAAATAGTGCTGTTTGTAATAATGTTTTACTCAGTGATTACCATATGCAAGGTGTTATACTAAACACTTGTCATGACTTATTAATCCAGTGTTTCTCAAAGTGTGTCCCAAGGAACCCCAGCAGGATCTCTGAGACCTTTTTCGTGTATCTGTGAGGAGAGAACTATTTTTATAACAACTCTAACATTTTCACTGTAATGCTCTCACAAATACACAGCAGAGTTTCCCAGAGCCTACATGATGTGATACCATAACACACTGAATGACAGAGCAGATATGAGAACCCAGCTGTTTTCTAGTAAGTCAGACACTAATCTATACAAATGTAAAGCAATGTCACTCTTCTGTTTTTTTGTTTTACAAAAAAATTATTTTTCAGAAACAATATTGCTTATGTTAACATGCAATCAGTTTTTTTTGTTTTTGTTTTTGTTTTTTTTTTTGAGACGGAGTCTCGCTCTGTCACCCAGGCTGGAGTGCAGTGGCACTATCTCGGCTCACTGCAAGCTCCACCTCCCAGGTTCACGCCATTCTCCTGCCTCAGCCTTCCGAGTAGCTGGGACTACAGGTGCTTGCCACCACACCTGGCTAAATTTTTTTGTATTTTTAGTAGAGACAGGGTTTTACCATGTTAGCCAGGATGGTCTCGATCTCCTGACCTTGTGATCTGCCAGCCTCGGCCTCTCAAAGTGCTGGGATTACAGGTGTGAGCCACACCACCTGGCCACAATCGGTTTTTTAATGAATTAAGTTGATTTCTAATACAATAAACATGAGTAGCTATAATTTACACAAATAAAAACTCTCTGGGATTCTCAGTAGTTATTGAGAATATAAAGGAGTCCTGAGACCAAAAAGGCTCAGAACTTCTGCATTAACTCATTTAATTCTCAGAATAGCCCTGCAAGGTATATATAATTAACCCCACTTTAGGAGCAAGAATGTTGAGGCAGAGAGAAACAGTGCCTAATCTAAGATCACACAGCCAACAAGTGTTCAAAACAGGACTTTAGCCAAGGAGTCCATGTGATCTCAACCATGATGCTACCCCGACTCCAGGACGGGCCGAGGGCCCCACCAGCAGAAGTGAGAGCCTTGCCTCCATGGGGTTGAGCAATCTGTGCTCCTCTCCTTTTCTCTCTTCTTTCTTTTCTTTCTGTCTCTTTCTTCTTCTTGTTCTTTTTTTTTTTTTTTTTTTTAATAGAGACAGGGTCTCTGTCACCAAGGCTGTAGCACAGTGATATGATCATGGCTCACTACAACCTCAAACTCCTGGGCTCAAGCAATCCTCCCACCTCAACCTCCCAGGTAGCTGGGACTACAGGCACGTGGCATTATGGCCAGCTAATTATTTTTATTTTTGTAGAGACAAGGTCCCACCATCTTGCCCAGGCTGATCTAATTCCTAGGCTCAAGCAATCTTCCTGCTGCTGCCTCCTAAAGTGCTGGGATTAACCAGTGAGAGCCACAGTACTCAGCCCATACTTCTCTTTTTTCCCCAGATTGTGTCAGCCAAGTCAGGCCAAAATGTGCCCCCCACAGCAGGGAATTAGTGACCATGTGGAGGTGCAGGATGTCGGTCTTCCTTCTGATGGTTTGGGACTGCTGGACCCAGGCTGCCAGGCAAGCTGGTTTCTCCTGCACACCAGTGTGCAGTCTGGTGGATGCTGGTGGGGAGAGGGGGATTCTCTGAGCATGACCATGAGAACACCCAAGAAAGCGGGACTTAGCTCACAAAGCTATTACTAGTGCTTTCTGTCACCCAGGCTGGAGTGCAGAAGTACAGTTCTAGCTCACTGCAGCCTCCACCTCCTGGGCTCAAGCAATTCTCCCACCTCAGCCTCCCAAGTAGCTAGGACCAAAGGCACGTGCCACCATGCCTGGCTAATTATTTTACTTTTTTAGTAGAGACCAGGTCTTGCTACATTGCCCAGGCTGTAATGCACTCATTCTTACTGATAAAATGAAAAACAAAACAAAACGTATAGCTCCTGCTCTGCATTACATTAAGAAAGCTACACACTTAGATCTGATACAATGCTTAGTCTAATAATGACAGGCTGTCTCCGGGCCAAAAAAATAAGTCGTCCCCAACCACTTCCTCCTGTCAAAAGACACTGGAAAATTCTGCCCTGCTCTTAGCTCCCCCTTGCAACATCTCAAAGCGGCTCTGCTTCTTAAAGAGGCAACTTACTTCTGGTCTCCTGAGGTTTGTTTTGTTCTTTTTTTCTTTTTTTGATAAAGACATTAATTTTCCTCATTAGCATTTTGAATTCACTCAGGGATGTTTTAACTACTTAGTTATGATCCAAATAAAGAGTGGCTTGCAGCCCCTCTCAGAGGCTGTTTTAAGCTAACCAGTCTCAAACTTCAGCATACATCACAAAAACCTGGTGGGCTTGTTAGAACACAAACTGCTGGGTCCCGTGTGGGGCAGGGCGGGGTGTGGGGAGCTTCCTTTTTGTAGAATCGGCACTTCTAGTAGGTTCCCAGGTGATTTTGATGCAGCTGGTTCAGGGCCATATTCTGAGAACCACTGCTTTAAGCTACCTTTCCTTAAATGGAAAAGAAAAACAATTAAGTGAAGGAAATATTGAGTTCCGTGATTTCCCCAGGGCCAGGTGAAAGACTTCCACTTATGAAAAGGCCTTGGTTAGGAATCATGCTGAACTCACTAGTGTAATTCCATCTCCCTCATCTATTTTTGGAATTTGAAAACACATATGTTAATTTATATTGAATTCATAATATTACTTTATTAATCCATCTCTCAAATGGATTACTTTTTAAGGGAGATTTGTGCCTTCTTCTCTCCTGAAAACTTAAATATTCATTTTAATGAGACAAAAATAACCAGAATTTGATCAGAAATATTCGGTAACTTTAAGGAGCTGATGCTCACATATCTACAATAATAAGATAGAAAATATTCAGGCGTCTTAAAATACGAGTTATCTGAAATCGAGAGGGAAGAGATTAAAGTGATGATGAAAGGGACAGTCTGGAAGGGCAGCATTGATACAGCAGAAGGGGCCCTGGATTAAATCTGGTTGGGAAACCCAGTCCCAGTTACCCCACTGAGGAGCCTTATGGGCTCGGAAAATTGGTTTTTATGGACCTCAGGTTCTACATATGCAAGATGAAGATAACACCGTCCTCCAAAGACGATGATATAATTAAATTTAGTTGTTTTATCCCACATCATTTTTTAAGAACTTGAGATTTTTAAAATTTCACATTTAAAAAAAAAACTTGAGGAAAAAATGAGTTTTCAAAAATTAATGAGTAAAATACATATTTTAAAACAATATATACCAACCAAAAACACACAGTAAAATTATTCTGACTAATCACAAATGCTGGCCTAAGTTTCCTGGCAGTTAAACTGAAGAAGGGAATTATTACATAACTCTCATTATCTCATAAATTGAGAGGCGGAAACAAGCGAATTCCTCAAAGCAATGAATGAGATCATGTGTGTGAAAGCTTCTGGCAAATAACCAGAAATAAGATGTCATTATTAAGGTTTCAGGAAGAGGTGGGATATGAGCTTTACTATGGTGGGACAGGGCAGACCCCAAACACAGCAGGTGATGAGATGTAGTACAAAGAAACTCTGCCTCCCTCTTCTCTTTCCTTTGGCTTGGTTCTCAAACCTCTGCCTACTGCAGAGTGGGAGTGCACGTGCTGAAGGCAGATTGAGGGTGCTCTTCAATCAAGTTGAGAGTGTAGCATTCACTTGTATGAAAATGCCGCTTCTGTAGGTCAAAAAATATCAGTGATTTCCTAAGGTTAAACCTAACAGTAAGACCAAGTGAAGTGGAGGCAACAGGTATAAAGAATATACCATTTCAAGGCTGTCTTTGCAGTTCTAACAGTTAGAAAAGAACATTCTGAAGACTAGAGAGTTAAACCTTAGTTTGGAACCTCACTGCTTGAGAACCTGGGAGAATCTGGAGGAGAAGAGATCAATGAAAATGCTTAAAGACTTGGAGAGGAAGGGAACACGCTAGAGCGGGGGTCCCCAGCCCCCAGGTACCGGTCCATGGCCTGTTAGGAACCAGGCTGCACAGCAGGAGATGAGCGGTGGGCAAGCCAGCATTACAGCCTGAGCTCCAGCTCCTGTCAGATCAGCAGCAGCATTAGATTCTCATGGGAGCAAACCCTATTGTGAACTGTGCATGCTGGGGATCTAGGTTGCATGCTCCTGATGAGAATCTAATGCCTGATGATCTGAAGTGGAACAATTTCATCCCAAAACCATCCCCTCTCGGTCCTCCATGGAAAAATTGTCTTCCACGAAACTGATTCCTGGTGCCAAAAAGGTTGGAGACCGCTGTGCTAGAGAAGACTGAACTGTCCCACCACAGCCTGGTCCCGTCCTCCAGGGTACTCAGCTGGACTACATTTCTCAACCTCCTTTGGAGACAGGTGTGGCCCATGGCTGACTTCTGGCCAGTGAAATGTCAGTGAAAGTGATAGTCACAACTTCCGGGCCTGGACGATCTTGGCCGCCATTACAAACAACTGTGTTCATTCCTCTGTGACTGTCTGAGTGCTGGATGTTAACACCCAGGGAGGCCTGGAAAGCCACCAACGAAGACAGCAAAGCCCTGGTCCCCTACAATATGGAGCAGAGCCACCCCCGTCCTGATTGGGTTTACATTCTGTTGTGTTGAGTCACCACGATTTTTGAGTGCAACTGTAACATATCTGGTGTAATAGAAGAATGGATAAAGGAACTGTTGTTCTCATGCCCCCTCTAAAAAAGAGATAACTAATCCATTTACTATTTTAAAAGGTAGCATGCTGGTTTCCAAACCTGGAAACACCCATCAGAATCACCTGTGGAGTGTTTTAATCAAACAGATTCCTATACTACACCCTGAATCTCCTGAATTTTTCCAGGATTTTTTTTAAGTTCTTTAGGAGTTTACAACTGATCATTAGGCTGGAATCTGAGGATGGCTAGAAAGGATGTGGCTGCAATGCTGACCTGCCGATGTCCTCATTTCTCTACCCCTGGAAACGCGCCATCTGCTTTACGTCCTGGCTCTTAATCTTGCACCATCTTCTCGTCATCTCTAACTGGTTAACTGGTGTGTTTTATCAACTCAAGAACCCTGTACGCTCATCAGGGGCCAGGATTATAGCTTTTATATTTATTTTCCAAACAGCATGAAGCTAGACAGGTAATGAAAGCTCAATCAACACATTAATTCATTTGATTTAAGCAGTTGTTTTCTTCTATACCATCAGAATAAGGGGAAAAAGGGCTTTTCTAGCAACGTAGACACAGGCTAGACTTAGCAAAACAGTTCCAATTATGTGTTTAAGTCATTTTTAAGACACCAATGTGCCCAAGGTGACTGATTACCCCATGCATTGATGGAGAAGTAACCAGTTCTCAAAATTTAATATGTGCAAGGCTGAACTATGAAGCTTGTTAAAAATGTAGATTCCTGGGCTTAGCCTCCAGGTAGTCTGATCTAGTAGCTCCAGTGTAAGGCACAGGAATTTGCATTTATGATATTCCTCCTCCTACCCCATCCCTGAGTTGTGTGCAAGTGGCAAGAAACAGGAGGTGTGATTGTAAACTAGTAAGGTCAGGATCGTGTGATTGTAAAGTAGTCAGGTCAGGATCGTGTGATTGTAAACTAGTCAGGTCAGGGTCGTGTGATTGTAAACTAGTCAGGTCAGGGTCGTGTGATTGTAAACTAGTCAGGTCAGGGTCGTGTGGTTGTAAACTAGTAAGGTCAGGGTCGTGTGATTGTAAACTAGTCAGGTCAGGGTCGTGTGATTGTAAACTAGTCAGGTCAGGATCCTGTGATTGTAAACTAGTAAGGTCAGGATCGTGTGATTGTAAACTAGTAAGGTCAGGGTCAGGTCTATTTTGTTTAATGTGATATCCGTAGGGCCAAGCATATTGCTTAACTCACAATAAAGCTTATTATCTGTCCAATGAGGAGGAATCTCATCTGACTTATCCTAAACACTGCCCTTCCTTCCAGAAAGGAAATGAACCAGGTGACCCTCCTGGTCTTCTGAAGGCCACCAGCTTACTGTCACACACTTAGTAAACTGGGAAGTGCCCCTTCTGGCTGCCTCAGCCCCATCTGCTCAGAGTTCTAATTGAAGAGGCCGACCTCCTTTGATTGGCACTGCCTTCTTGCTGTGCCAGGGACCATCTGTAGCCACCACCTCCTGGCAGTTCAGACATCTCTTCCTTCTTGCAGGCATGGATGGGCAAGGACATTAGTAAATGGACCTGGATCTAGGAGAGAGGGCCTGCCTGTCACACCCCGAATGACCCCAGGTCTGTTAGCAAACTCCACACAGGTACTGAGAACTCCCACACCTGGGGAATGGTGCTTTCCTAGTAACTAGGTTTTTTTTTTTTTTTTTTCTGCAGCAGAATGCTGAGCATCCCATAACCGTGATTTCACTGGCTCTCACAGTACCTCAGTAAAACCAGGAGGGAGCACGGGTCTGTATCCATATTTTGCAGATGGCAAACAGAGAGGAAATCTGACTTGCCCAAGGTCACACAGCAGGTCAGCCATGAAGCCAGGGAGGGTACCCAAGCTCTACGCATCCACAGCCGTGGCATCTGCAGGGCCACAGCCCCTTCACAGGGGCGGGGAATCACAGCTGCTTCCATTTAAGGCTGTTGCTCCTCAATTTTACACAGGGGTATGTGCTCTTCAGAAAGGAAATACTAAGCTAAGCTTTGCCTCTCTTCACTTAAAAGACCTTCGGGATGAATCTCTTTCAGAGACTCAACTGCCATCCAAGTGAAGAGAGGACGGGGGGATATGAAAAGATCTTTTTCTTGGCAGTGGTAATGAACCTGTAGTTCTCAAAGTGTAGATGGGACGTATCAGAATCACCCAGGCACTTTCTCAACATATATCGTCCCCCATTCACAGATTCTGCAAGTCAACCAACCCCACTTCAGCCCTGACTCCATAGCAAATCTCACAATGGAGTAGTTTGAGTGGCTTTTTTCTTTTCCCTTATCCCACGGGCAGGTGTTAACAGCAAAGGGGACAGGGGTGAGCAGTAGGAAGGGGAAGCCTGGACCCTGGACAATCCACAGCAGAGGGTGCGGAGCTGACATCCCCTGTGCCAGTTTGCCGCAGCACGATACAAAAGGTGCACAGGACACAAGAGTAATGGGGCAATCCGGGCCCACACCTTCGTTCTCATACTAAGAGGAAAACAGAAAATACAGGGTTACAGAGTTCACAGCCAACACTCAAAACAACAGACTGGAGTATGTGTCTAAGGAAGACATGAAATGGAAGGGCCACTACAGACAACTGGCGGTTGAGAAGATAAGACTCAGCCTACATCCTCCAGAAGCATACTGACAGACAGAGTCTGGGGTCGTTTGAGGCTCTCCTCTGTACTGATACTCTCCACCCCACTCCCTGAGAACAACTGGAGGGAGGGTGCCTGCCTAGGGGCTCTCGAGTGGTGAGCACAGTGCTGGGCACACACAGTAAAGCTCCAGAAAAGTGAGTTGTTTTTGCATTGCGAGTTTTTCTGGACTGTGTCAAGTTTTACTTTAAATAAGGCACATCCAAACTAAGAAGTGCCCAGGTGAGGTTGGTCACCCAGTGATGGCTTCCAGGCTCACCAGCACACCCTCAGTCCTATCCATGACTGAGCCCTTCCCATCCAGCCCTCCCCTGGATCCCAGTACTGTTGCTTCTCCCACTCAGTACGCATCCCTTACTTCCCTGTTGGTTTCAAAGTTTTCTCTCTCCAGTGATCCCATAAATCAGGCATGTGAGACAGAAGGTTTTCACATCATGTATTAAAGGTTATTAAGTGCTCCCAATGAGATAGAAGAAATCTTCCATTGCAACATGAGAGGCATACTTTGGACATCAGAATGAATAGTGGTAAGCGCTACTTAAACAATGTAGGTTACCAGTGGATGGACGGAGAGGCAGAAACTGACATTTACTGACTACCTACGTGTGTGAATGTGCTTGATTTTATTTAATCCTCAACACCCTCCTGCGAGGAAGGTATCATTATTTCAGGGATGAAGAAAGAGGAAAAGAATAGCATTTCCACAGCAGATGTTCTTAGAAAACAGAAGCCACGGACTTAGGTTCCAATGACTTGCAAATAGTACCCTGGTGGGGAAAAGTATGCACATATGTTTGGCCTCCACTGTACCCAGAGCTGCTTGGAGAGCCTTCCACATGGATCAGTCAATGACCAAGGAGGAGTTCTAAGCCTTTGGGTGGCAGCCAATAAATAATCATCCTTTCTGCCCCTTATAAACTCAGAACCAATTAAGAAGTAAGATATAGGACACACAGATTAAATCAAACCAAAAGCTTGATTAGAAACAAATTATAAAATGGAGGAAGTGGCTTAGACGGGCTTCGAAGGACTTCCTAATATTTCAACCACTATTAAATGTACTTACCCTGCCAGAAGGTGAGACCATCACAGGTTTTCCCCACAGGGCCAGATCAGTCCCAATAACTTGGTGAACCCTTCTTTGGGGATAAGTGGATTCAAAAGAGAGTCCCAGAAGGGGCTACACCAAACTCACCAGTCAGATAGGTCACTTCTCCCCTGGGGACAAGGGCATAAAGAGACAGGGAAAAGTGGGATGTGTTCCTGCCATACCTTCCCTTCCGGGAACATGAGCTAGAAACTCCCTCCTTCCCCTGCCCATGTAACACAAGGGGTAGGGAGTAAATGATATTCCTTTTGCGGGAGAGGGCCATCAACACTTTCAAGCTAACTCGAATGTATGGGAAAGACTGAAAAAAAAAAAAAAAGTTAAACCCATGGACCCAGCAAAGTGCCATCCTCTAAGGAGGACTTGGAAGGACCCAAGAAAGTCTTGGGAAGTAAAAACTGGGGAAGAGTAAGAGCTTAGAAAAAAGAAAGAAGGGGTTTGACCTAACAGGTCTGTAACAGAAAACATACAGCTGTCCCCGCACAAACACCTTCATCTGATCTGGAATTTGCTCTACATAGAACCTGAATAATCTCCTGGAACCCACCAGGCCTCTACCACCTACAAAGGCAACCTTGACATTTAAAGTGCATAACTCTTGTCCCTGCTTCTTGATAGACAGTGGAGGACAAATGATGACTCACACAAGAAGCCCCCAAGCCTGCTCCGGGGCTTCTTAGCCTCAGCTGCACGGTTGCTGCTTTCCATGTCCTTCCACCTTCCACTCAGCACGTTGGCCTCCCAGAGGGTCCTCTTTCTACACTGTCCTACAACCCAAACGTTTGTGTATCGTATCAGAGCTGCTGATGTGAAGAAGCCTTTGACTGTGGCCAGATTGCAGAGGCCACTCTGTCTAAACCAGCCCTTTTTTGGACTTTCTTTTTCAGGCGGACTATTTACACACTTCAAGCAAGCCCCACAAGAGCCCCCAGCAAATAATACATTCATCCAAGCAGCCATCTCTGGTGGAAAAAAATCGTTATTAATTGGGGTTACAGCACTCATTTTAACCGCAGCAGGAGCTGAGCCAACTTGATTTAGTGGTGTGCAGTCTTTTTCTGAACTCCAGTGGATACTTCACAAATAACAATAAAAATTTTAATGGTAGGACAGACATGGAGTGGGCTACACAGCTTCACTCATTAAACAAACTCCATCCACCATGCTCAAGGATTCAAGCTGTTTTATGTGGCCAGCCACTTTGCCTAAGCCTGCTGCAGATGAGAGACTAAATTTTCATGGTGTCAAGTTGCAGTAAGAAACAGGTTTCATTAGCCCTCTTAACAGATGCAGAAACCGAAGGCCAGAGTGAGAAAGTGATTTAGGATCAATCAGAGGAGGTGCCAGGAGTCCATCCTCAGCCCCACCTCTCGCCCCAGCCTCATTCAGTTCTGATTTCCGAAACATTTTCGCTTCATGGAAACTAGGAAGACTCCATTCTCTGGAGAACTGCAGGGCAGCTGTTTCTGATTATTTTTCCAAGAGAGACACATAACCAAAAGGGTATTTTGGTTATAAAGCAATTTATTTCTCTAACCATTAGAAGATATGTATGTTCATTCCCATGGGCCCGGGGCTGGGTTTGGTTGCCCTGCAATGACAACGTCTAGCAGGACTCCACTGAATCCAGGAGGCCAGTAATGGAAACTCAAAGACTGTGGCAGTGCCACTTAGATAAGCACCTGCGGCCTCCCTGACCTACCTCAACCTCCCTGGCTTGGAAACCTCTGCTGGAAATTTCATAGAAGCTACTTCTCCCCTTGCAGGGGAGAATTTTCATTACAAAGGAGGATTTCAACACGCTTCAGCCATGTCCTTTAGGATCACTGTACTAGAAAGCTGGGTATAGCTCTGACCAGCCATTGACCGCCTGCCCTCATGATGGTCACGATCCCAGGAGACATGTCAGTAGACCACACTGTCCAGCAGCAACTCAGCTTCCCTTTGCCCTTCACCCCCATGACCTTATGCTGACTGTCAACGTGATCTATTTTCTCCCCTGCTCTTCAGAAGCCCTCAGCAACGATTCTCCACTCCCCAGATACTGATGACAGAAACTAAATGATCAAGAAGTATTCATATGAGCAGACACACATCCCTCTCAAACTCAGGCTCTTCCAAAGTGACATGACTGTTCTGCAGACGGGCTGAGCCAACGCAGAACACACTGTCCCTCCTTCTGCGTCATGCTGGAAGTTGCTCTAAGTGCAGGATGTGGTAGAAGTCACCAGGGTGGATGGGATGGTCTGTGTTCCAGCAAACCCACAAGGACAGAAGAGCCAGCCTGGGCTGGTTAGGGAGAGGACAGCTTCAAGGCTGAAGACTAAAAAGTAGAGCTATTATTCTGGGTGGCTTGTCGTCATCTCCACTGAGAGCAGAACAAACCCCTAAAGCATGTGGAATTTCCATTACAGACAAAAAAGAATTATTGGACAGTGAGGGTCATTAGACAATGGAATGAGTGCCCAAGGCTACAGCACTGGCATCACCACAATGATCAAGTCAGGAGGGCCGGCTGGGGTTGGGAGGTCACTGGATTAGAGATGGATGACCAGGGCTCCATTGGCTCAGTGGGTATTTAACGCATGGCCTTGGAGGAGGTGCCAGTCTCTCTCCACTTCAGCTACAGCGTAGGCCATCACCCAGTTTGTCCCCCTGAGTAGTTGCTATGAAGATCAAATGAGATCATGGATGTAAAAGTGTTCAGTGAACCATAAATTGCTACCCAGATATCAGCTGTCATCAACCACACCCACAATCCTGACTAAAGGTCTCGGGATGGAGAGAGGGTCTTGGCCTGTGCCCTTCAGGATTCGGTGCTGTGCGTGCAACCTGGGAGTTTCTGCCCTGTTAATAAGCTGAGTGCTCCCAACTCCAGGTGCTGGGAGGTGAACGGCCCAGGGTTGGAAATGTCTCTTCCTGGAGTGCTCAGTGCTGATGCTGGCCAGGTGGAGCACAGAAGACAAATGAACTCCGCAGATACTGACTGGGTGGGCTCTGTGAGGCACTGTCCATGCCTCAGGGAGATGGACTGATGCATCCTTGTCCTTGAGGAATCTAAAGAGAAGGCAAGGCAGGCCGGGTGCAGTGGCTCACGCCTGTAATCCCAGCACTCTGGGAGGCCGAGGCAGGTGGATCACGAGGTCAGGAGATCGAGACCATCCTGGCTAACACGGTGAAACCCCGTCTCCACTGAAAATACAAAAAATTAGCCAGGCGTGGTGGCGGGCGCCTGTAGTCTCAGCTACTCGAGAGACTGAGGCAGGAGAATGGTGTGAACCCGGGAGGCGGAGCTTGAGGCAGGAGAATCGCGTGAACCTGGGAGGCGGCGCTTGCAATGAGCCAGGATCGCGCCACTGCACTCCAGCCTGGGCAACAGAGTGAGACTCCATCTCAAAAAAAAAAAAAAAAGAGAGAAGGCAAGGCAGATGTCACTGATTCGGAGCCACCGGCCGAGTGAGCCCTAGACTAGATTTTAGGCCTGGCCTCACCTTGGACAGGTCACGTGAGTCCCCTGAATCCCAGGTGCAATAAACAGGGAACAATCATCACCTCTGTGTGCCCACTTCACAGAGCTAATGTGAGGGTTGGGGGTGACGAACTGCAGAGGAGTACCAGCAGGAATAACAGCAAACATTTACCTGGCATCTGCTCTGTGCCACACACTGTTTAAACCTTTTACAATCAGAGGGCAACAAACTTTTTCTGTAAAGGGTCAGGTAGTAAATATTTTAGGATTTTATTTTAGGATTTGTAGGACAGACAGTCTCTGTCACAATTACTCATCTCTGCTGCTGCTGCAGAGAAACAGTCACAGACAAGACATAAATGGATACGTGTGGCTATGTTCTGATACCATTTTATTTACAAAAGCAGATGGCAGGCCGGATGTGGCCTGTTCGCCAGTTCACCAACTCCTGCTTTGCATACTTCCCCTCACCATGACCCAGTGAAGTATACGTCACTTCATACTCACTTTACAGATGAGAAAAGTGAGGCCCAGTCACATGAATTAACTTGCTCAATGTCAGAGAGCTGTTAAGTGGCAGGCTTGGGATTTGAAGAAAGGCAGTCTGGCCCCAGAGTCCTTACCTCCTTACCTCTCTACTGACAGCCTATTCAGAACGCTAGAAATGAAACGTGACAACCACTACATCAAACTGAGGTGCCAGTCAAGCATGGCCATAATAATAGCCAACATTTCCTGAGGGCCTATTTTACGCCAGGCACGGTGCCAGGTGCTTCCCAGATGCAACCTTCATAGCAGCTCTGTGAGAACAGGACTATCGTGATGCTCATTGTACAGAGGGAGAAACAGAGGCTGAGGGTTACCATAACTTGCTCAAGGTCCCAGAGTCAGCAAGTATTAGAGCCATAATAGAACCTAAGTCCGTCACCGCCAAGGTTGGCATTGCCCCTCCACACCGTGAGGCCCTCTTGCCAGGAGGCAACATCCGCTCCTGTCTTTCGGTTACTTCTTTCCAGAGTAAAGGTAGACACTGTTCTCTTCGAGAGTTTATACCACTGCGGCTTTGAACACGGGAGCGTGATGCACTGCCTTGGGGATGATCACCCCCAGGAAGACAGGAAGGCTCACTTCTCTGCCCCAGTTGCAGCCATCGCCTCTCCAGCACCGACTCCTGTCTGTCCTGCACACCACTCAACACAGAGCATCTGCCAGTTTCTACAGCACTGCAGGCAGAACACTCACTTGCAGGCTGCTAACTAAAAATACTGGAAAATGGAGCCCAGTGAGGCGGCCTCGGTTCCTTCACAATGGAAAGGGATGATCCCGTGGGTCCTTGGCCCGGTGCAGAGAAATGTTCCCTGGAAGGACAGCACGGAGATTCCCAGCATCCAACTCTGGTTCCTGGACTCATCTCCTCCTCCCCTTAACTGGTCAGGAGCTGAGCATGAAAGAGACACTGCTCACTGGTTATATTTATAGAGCAGAGTCCAGCAGCCAGGAAGTGGACATTATGGGAATGTACAGTGTAAACACAGCATAGGAGAGGAGATTCTTAATTACTTTGCAATGGACATTTGAGCCAAACCTTCCTAGGTTAGCTAAGTTGTGTGTGGTGTTACTGTTTCTCCAATGAACACACACACACATATATACATAGAACTTAATTTTAAGTTAAAAAAAGTTTGAGTGGAAAAAGATGCCCACGATTCAGCTCAATTTTAGAAATAACTAATTATATTTGAGAATGGGAGAGAAGAGTTCTTTCTGGCTTACAAAGGTTCTCAGCCACCTGTCCCCCCTCTGCAGTGGCCACAGCACCTTTTCTCCTTTCCATGTACTGTTTCTTGCTTTGTTCCTAAAATTCAAGTTGTCTTCCCCTCCCTTGGAGAATAAAGAGAAAGGAGCAGGTGAGAACGAGACTAAGTGGAGGTGACAGAGAATGAAAAGAGGAAGCACAAAGAGGCTCGGCAAGAATCCAGAATTTTAGAAGGAAAAAGAACAAGTGATTAAAGACCTAGAAGGTTTCAGCAAAAGTTTCCTTTTGTCCCTTTGCAAAATCTTGCCATCGTCCATAGGGAACTGAGGAGGGACCAGGAAGTCTAGATTTCGCCGTGGCTGCCCACCAGGAAGGTCAGGAAGCCTGAAACTCAGCCATGGGGACAAAGTGCCCACCAGGCGGATGAAGTCTGCAGTCACATTGCCGTGTTAAACTGGGACACTCCATCACAAAATGGCATGGTCGATTTCTCCCAGCCTAGAAAGCTGTGAGGAATTTCCCCACGAAGGTTATATCTCATTTTGTCACATGCAAATTTAGCTAATTAAAACCCACCCGGAAAAGGAGTTCAAGGACAAGAGAGCATCAGACTTATAGGAAAAACAGACCCTGCGGCATTGACAGGGCAGAGAGGGTGCAGGAAATCAAAGAGTGACCTCACAGGAAAAGGCGAGGGTGCTCCCAACTTCCATGCAATGCACTGTGACCATATAGAGAGAGCAAGGTTATAACAGGCCATCCCCGCTGCCCAAAGAAAATGTCCTGCCTATTTTTAAGACAAGAATAAAGGATAATCAGGGTGAAAACTGGAAAAAAATTCCAGAATGAATTGAAGGAAGCTACAGATTTGCAGGAGTCAAAGGGAAGAAGGAAGGAAGCTGATTTAGCCTTTCTTACTTTATAGTCTTAGCTTAAGTTTTTCAAAATTTTAATTCTACCTATCGGGGAGTTATTGCAGGCATGTGTAGGCATGTGTGTGCATGGGGGAAGAACGGCCTGGAAGGGGATGGAGAAGTGGGGAGACAGGGATGCAGCCGCTATGCATGAAGCGTCAGCCCAGGGAACTGGCCTCCTTGAAGACAGGAGATTACAGTTCTTGGATGGGTCATGACATCACCCCTCACCCCCAACCTTGGCCAATGTGCCAGCAGGTTTCTCCATGCCCAGGCAGCGGTGTGGACCAGGAGAAAAGCTTCCTTGCTGGGACCTATAAAAGAACAGGTTAGGACAGAGCGTAGCAGTTAAGAGCACACACACACCATGCTGGCTGGGTTCTCACCACAGCCCCCACACTCGCGACTCACGGGACCTGACGACCTACCCTCGGTGTGCCTCAGTTTTCTCATCTATACAAAGGGGACAACAACGGTATGAATTGCACAGAGTCGTCATGGGTCCAGCAGTTACAGGAGTGCCTATTACACAGGAAGCACTGTGTAAGTGTTAGCTGCTATTACTCAGAAACACGTTTCAGGCAGGGAGGCATGGCTCAGTGGGATAAGGAAAGCCTGAGATTCAGGATCCTGTTCACTCCGGGAGCCACCATCTAAAAGGCCTTACTACAGCCTCCTATTCAGCAGATTACTTTCCTGCTCAGAATTCAGCCTCGGCCCCCGATCTACAGAATTGGGTCCACTCTCATCTGCTGGGCAGCAAGGTCTCCAGCATCTGCATCCCCTGCCCAGCTCTGCCGAGCCTGCCCCACTGCAGTTGTCCTGCCACAGCACTGACTGTGGGCACTGTTCACCTTAACTGTCCCCACGCCATGCCCTGTGCTGTTTGCTGCCGGCACCATCTTCTCTTGCTCTGTTTGCTTGCCCTTCCTCCTGCCACCCTAACGGCAGGTGCTTTGTGGTGACTCTGAACAGGGGGCCTGGTTCTATGTCCATCCCACCATGGGTGTACCACGCACAAAGTTAGGGTACTGAGGTTTCACTCCAACTAAGCAACAACATGCAGGTAGTGCTCACTGTGTGCAGGGCCTTCTAGAGCTCCACGGTCCCTTATTGGAAACCCTTGGGGCCAAATGCATTTCAGAATTCAGAATGTGTCAGGTAAAGTCATTTGCATATCTACTGTATGTAATAGCACAGCAGGGTGAAGGGCCCCAGAAGCCAACGTATTTCTGCAGTAAATCATATGAATATTCACTCTAAGCAGGTTAAATAAGACTGCAACTACCCTTGTGTCAGTTTAGGACAACTCTGCCCCAGATGAATTCAGGAAAGGCCAGATTTTGCTGTCAAAGGGATAATAAATGAACTTTCACTTTTCAGAGACTTGGGGATTTCAGAATTACAGAGAAATGGCTATGGATCTGTACTAGGTGTTCTGGGGTCATAAAGATAAATATTTTTACACAAAGGAAATAGTATAACTGCTGCCTTTGGGAGGAACAAGGAAAGGAGCCCAAGCATGGGCACATTCTAGACCACCCGCTCTGAGCCTCAGTTGCCTGGTCTGTGAAATGGGATGACACTCTCCCGGCAAGGAGAGGTTTATTATAAAGCACCTGAAACACACTGCTCAGAGATCTCATGTGTGTTTGCTTCTCCCCTTTACTGTTCAGTCAATGAAAATTTAAACCCGGGTGGCTAAGCAAGCATGCATGTGCTGAAGGGTTCTCAATGGAGAATGGAGCTGAGAATGGCTCAGCTAAGAAGCTTCCTGGAGGGAGGACTCAGCAAATCCTTATGCTTCCATTTTGCTGTCTTCAACTAGGAGGAACAGAATGCCATTAATTGAACCACCTTCTTAAAGTATGCAAATCCCAAAGAATAATACAATTCCCTTTGCTCTCACGATCAGCGCGGCCCCTCCACATGGCCATGCTGTTTCTGTCTTGCCTGCTCCTCTTTTGCACTTTCCTAGACACTTTCTTTTTGAAAGACATCAAGCACACAAGTACGTTCAGGCAATCAGTTCAGCAGCAGAATTGCATTTACAGCCCCAGAGAAAAACCCTGTGGGAATGTCAGGGTGAGCAGACAAGAAGGCCTTGGCTTCGATGGGTCTGGGTTTACAGTTTACTCTGTTTGTTTTTTGTTGATAAAAGTAAAGTCTTCCCCTGCCCAGTATCCATTGTGAAGCATTCCCTTTTACATAAATGAACCTAATCCCCCTGTTTATTAACATTAAACTTGATATTTACAGCCCAAGTGCTTTATCAGCATTAACCAATAATCCTCAGTGAATTCTTGCAGGGGGAGTCCACGTGAGGCACTGAACTGCTCAACAAGAGCCTTGGCACAGCCCAAAGCAGGTGATGGCTCTGCTCTAGGAAGGAGGAGGTGCTTATAGGACTGACCTGTGGCTTCACCCCTCATGCCCTACACGGCAGACTTCTGCATTCCCTTCTCTCTAAACACAGAGGGAAGTGTGTGCAGCCTGAAAGGTAGTGGGCACAACATGGTTAACAGGGGAATCCTGAACTACTGCTGGGACCTGGGGGGCAGTTTCCGGAGGAGATGACTGTATTTAGTGTTTTGCATAGGTAATGATGGAAGGATGAGGTCTGTGTTCACCTGGCACCTTCCCTTAGGACCTTCCCTGCCTAGTGATAAATACAGGCTCAGGCCCTGAGTGCTTCTGTTCAAAAGCGGAGCTGCAGCCATGAGTCAACACCGCATTCCTGGGCTAGTGGTAATGAGCACAGCAGGCAGCTGACGTCCCACAACGCATGCTAGGGGAGCCGAAGGCCCCTTCACAATGAAATTAATGAAGGCTGTAGCTGAAAGACTCTTGGAGCAAGTGGCTAACTACAGACTCAGGAGGGCAAAGGCCCTGAAACAGATAGATGAATCTGAGCCAAGAGCAGCAGGGGATGGCCCCACAGAGTGGGCAGGATGCTTAAGGGAGCTCTCCAGAGATGCTTCTCTCTGGTAACAGTTCACCCAGGTCCTCAGTGGAGAGAAACTGGAATTCCACATCATAACTCAGTTCTATATCCATAGTTGTACATAGTTGGCCTGAAGTTTAATTGAAAACAGCACCATTTCCCTTATGTGCACCTAGTCATTCTCCAGTTGTCTTTATTATCTTAATAAAACCTCAAGTTAAAAGGCTCCTACCAGTACTGTTATAAAGGAATATTTGTATTGACTGAACCTCATCTGACAATTGCAGCGAGGAATTCAGTGCCCAGCATTGGCAAAACCAGATAAACAGTGCCCTTGTGAGTACTGCTCTAACAAAGCAATTTATAACTGGACTACACATTGCACTTGAGCACCTGGCCTGTTCCAGGGACAGACTCATGAGGTAGCTACTATTATCCCATTATATAGGTAAAGAAACTAAGGCTCAACAGAGTTAAGTTGCCCCACAGCCAGGGATTAGTCAAACCCAGATCTGACTCCAAAATGCCATTTCCACTATGTCATTTCATACCTTCTCATCATCCCCCCATGTGGTCTTCTTGGATGGTGATCGCACTGATGGCAGCAGTCACACGTGCTATCATGCATGTTTGATCAGTGGCTACCAGCAGACCATGAGCTGAGGGTTTAGGACTATGAGCCACCAGGCCCCTGACTAACCTCAGGCACAGCCCAGCTTTGGTTTCAAGTTATGGTTCTCTCTCAGGTGGCATCTCCACTTTCCTATGATTCAATTCATCAGCAATTACTTACCAAATGATTCTATGGGCCTCTCTGCACTAGACTTCATCCCTGCTTCCAGGTACTCACACACAACCTGGTTAGAGAGGTAAGATCATGACATATCAAATCGTCAGAGCTCAATTACCATGGTGTATGGATGAGTGCCACACTATGAGGAAATGGAGGGCATACACTTATTAGTAATAACCCATATAAGTAAGCTCCTTACTCCTTCTTATGCACCCACATAGCACTTAACAGCTTACAAAGACAGATCTCATTCTATCCAAAAGTTCAAACAAAACACCAAACCACACAGCAGATAAAAGACCCAAATGACACAGCCAGCTCTACCAATTATAAACCCTATGATCGTGGGTAAGTCACTTCACCTCTCAGACCCTCAGTTCTTTCCTCTTAAATTAAGAATAACCACACTTGCCCCTGCTAACCACACAGGGTTCTTTTGAGGATCAAATGAAATCACGCATATGAAAGCACTTTGAAACTACAAGCCACACAGCTGTACCATGGTAGATTATTGGACAAGCCAAATATTATTGCTCTCATTTACAAACAAGGAAACTGAGGCTGGAAGCAGACCCGGGACCAGGGCCCAAGTCTTTAGGTTCTTTGGCCAGAGGTCTGTCCTCTCCATGACGATGCTTCACTAACTAGGAGCAGGTAGGAAGTAAAGAATCCGGTTGGGCCTCAATAATCTAGGAAGACTCCCTGAAGTAGAGGCCAACAGGCCACTGACATAGTTGATTAAGAATAAATTTTTTTGAGTCATCATTTAAGAAACAGTAGGTTTCATACAAAATCCAAATTTTTGCCTTGAAAAGTCAGAAGAGCTCATAACAGCGGGCACAGACTTCCTCAGTGATGACCGTCTGCTGTGGCCGCCACCTTTAGGAAACACCTGTCATTTCAGTTCATCACAGTTACCCTGGTCCCCCATTGTTCCTCCAGCACGGAGGCCAAGTGTCAGTAGCTAGTTTTCATTATCCTTGCATTGCTGTCTCTGTGTAGCAATGGAAGTGAGTATGTTTCTGCGGGAAAGTGAAGACTCCTCCTGCACCTGTGTACCTTTCTTGCTTATTTCAGCAAGATTTAAGTTTGCATTGTCTGACCTGAAGGACAAAGAGACTCCCAGGAGATAGGGTGGCAGGAATGTAGCAAGAGCAAAGTATGGCTGGGAAAACTGAGCGTGGAGGTGGGAGGCCAGGTCGGAGGATGCGGCCTGACTGGGAGGAGGGGCTATGCAGAGGGCACAAGGACAATGGAGGACTGGGAAGACTTTACAGCTAAGAAATGAGGCTGCAAGATGGAGCAGGGAGCTTGAATGATGATGGCGATGGCAGGGACAAGGGCACCATGCATGGTAGTGCCAGCCCAGGGAGCAGGAGAAATGGAAATTCTGATGGGCAAGAACCAGGAGAAACGCCTTGCGAACTCATTCATTCAAAAATTTACTGCGGACCCACTGCGTGCCAGGCACACTGAGTTCTCTGGGAATACAGCAGGGGATCAAACATAACAAAAAATCTCCACTTTATGGCAGATGCAGCCACATTGGGAGGGATCTTTCCACAAAATTCCCCCATGAATGATTAAGGATAGCTGCTTCTGAGCCACGGAGGACAATAGGCAGAGCTGACTGTGACAGGGAGAGGGGATAGTCAAGGCGTGAGGTTAAAAATGCCCCACCTGCCAGTGCTCAGCTGGTGAAGGCACAAAGCAGCTGGAACTACCTGCCCCATCTGTCTTCGGAAGACCCAGAGGAACTTGAGCATGAGAATACACATAGCTGGTCCTGCCACTCCCCCACCTGCTTGGCCAGGCTGCACACGTTTTGCAATTGATCCCATCCCACACGCGTGCTCTCCTCTGCTTGCCACACTCTGGGACAAGGGGGGAGGCATAAAAAACATGGCATGATAAAAAGATCTGGAATTGGGATGACTTGAACTCCAGCTCTTTCACGTGACCTTGGGCAAATTACAGGATCCTTGGCTTCTGGTTTCTCATCTTTAAAAATGGGGACAATATGATTTGCCTCAGAGAATTTCTCTAAGGCTGCCATGACATCATCTATGTGACAATACACAGCCAGGCCAGCGCGGGGACATAGCGGGGCTGCAGTCAATGCTGGTCTTCTCCATGCGTGGGAGGATGGAGGCTTCTTGAACCACTCGCAAGTCAGAAATAAAGCTGCCAGGAGCCTCGCAAGGAAATGCTTGCCCTCTTCCCACCCCCCTCACCTCGTACTGGTTATGTAAACCTTGGCTCACTCTGGCATTATTTGAGAAACATGTGAAATCCCCTCTGTGGTAACTCCATTTGGGTTAATACTTCCATCCCCAGTAAATTCCTGTTAAGATGCAAGCATAATCCCTGGCGAGATCCCACCCTGGCAGAAGCACCCACTGAGACGGTGTAGAGAGGGGACTCTCACCCTGGAAATTCAGGCCCTGAGGGAGTTGGGTGAGCACTGCTGAGGGGAGCTCTGGGCTGCCAGAGGTCAGGGGGTGGGGGAGAGGGCAAGGAAAATGGCCAAAAGAGAGGTGGAAGAGGAGGCCACGCGTGCCCACCTAACCATGTGCTAATGACCAAGCATGGGTGGAGAAGGCACCTTGTCCCTTCAGTCAATACCCATTAGCATCCGCCATGCAGCAAGGTCACCAATATCAGGCACTCTGGGGGATGGTGTGCCCAACGCTGACGCTGGCCTCCCAGATCTTATGAAATGTCTCACCCCTCCAGGAGTCCTTCCAGCCAGCTTGTGGCTCAGGCCGCTGTCACCATAACCCTCAGTGCAGGCCCTGCCCCATGCCTGGAGCCCTATCAGTGGCTTTTGTTGGATTCTACCTGCCTCAGTAAAGGTGCAGATGTGTCTTCACACATCACAGACCCCAACAGAAGATTGCTAAAATGCAATCCAAATCCCTTTTTAACCTCTCTACTTTTTAGGACTGTTCAATATCACTGATTTCAAGGACCATGGTACGTCTTTGTTTTTCTAAATAGGGGGAAATGTCTGCAACCAGCATCCACCTTTAACTCCAGCAAGAAGGGGAGCAAGGGAGGGGAAACTGCATGTCAGCTGAGCAGGAAACAATCGAGGTTTCTCTGCTTCTCTGAAGACTACAGATCAAGCCAAGCAAAGAGCGACCATCCTGAGCTATTTGTGTTTCATGTAATAATGCCCTAATGATCCAATTAGCATTGATTCTTCAGCAGCAACAATATTTTCTGACTGATCCAGCAATTTAGCGATCACTGTTGATTGATACAATTTCTATGAGTAATAAAGCAGTTTGAAAGAAATTTGTTTAAGTCTTCACAAATCACTTTTTAAAAACATTTCAATTTTAACCTTATTTCCATTTTCCATTTTTTCCCAACCAGTGGACCCTTTATGACATTTCCCTTGGGCATCCCACTCCCCTGGCCATCACGTGGGCCAGCCCTCCCTGCCCCTTGTCTGGGCATCCTCAGCCTTCACCGCCCCCCGCAGATGCTCGCTGGCTGCAGCCCGGGGAACAGATGGGCGCAATGGCTGAGCCTTAGGGAATGGTAGCCGGGCACACAGCCTCTGTGGAAATGGCCCAGGAGAGAGCCACTGGAGCAGGCTTCCTGAAAACCTGCCCTGGTAACACCGCTAAAATTGGAAACCAGGCAGGGGTGGGGGACAGCGTGGGAGGCGAGTGGGAGGGAAGAGGGACAGTCACAAACAGGGAAGGGAGCTAGAACAGACTGTCGGGATAGAATCTCCTACCCGGGAAGCGCCGGGCTTCCCAGGAAAAGAGCTGAGACCCAGCAGCTGGGTGGAGAGAGCAGCCCTGGGAATGAACGGCCCTTTTGACGTCAGGGACTGGGCAGAGGGCCGCGAGGTCTGTGCAGCTGACCCTTCCTCCAGCAGTGCCCCAGCTGTGTCTCCCACCAAGAGCCTTACGAGATGAAGCCTGTGTGTGTGGAAGGAAAGCCTCACCGCCTGGGAGAGCTGGTATTGGCCCAGCCCTCACCGTCATTCAGGTGACTGACACGGTACCCGATGACCAGTGGGCCCTGATGGAGGGGACCAAACCGGAGTGCTCTGGAGGCAACTTCTCCCAAACAGTTCTCTGGCTGTTTTGGTACCCACTCTAACGCTGACCTCCTGATTATCTTCACGGCTCCTCCCTTTTGCCCTGCCCACGGACGCTTTCCCAGTCAGGTTATTGTAGTAAAACTAGGAGTAAAAATAGCTGCTAAAATTTCACGAGCTACCATGTGACAGGCATGACGCTAGCTAAATGGTTCATATGTGTTATGTCATGTAATCCTCTTAACCACCTTCTGAAACAAGTGTTATTCCCACTTTACAGGTAAGGAAACTAAGGCTTAGGGTGGTTTAGCCACTCAGTCAAAGACATTTAATAAGCCAAGGAGTGAAGCCAGTCAAAATGAAAATCCCTGGCCTCCAAAACCAGGGTTAGGCATTACAGAACCTCTCTGGATCATGAGTCCCCAAATTTCAGCCTTAACCAGGCAGATTTTCTCCTGACTTTACTTCCTCCTCTCGGCTTCCTGCAAGTTCAGCCCTCATCCTCTGCTTCTCAGAGAAAATACCTAGATGGGGAACACCTTTCCAGGACACTCTCCTTGGACAAAGAACCACATCATCCAGGTTCCCTCTGCTCCCAGAGAATGGCTAGTCCTCTTCTCAGAGGGCACTTGGTAGGTCAGTTCCAAAGCCTATTTCTTTGAGGCCTGTCAGAGCTACCTGACCATTCTCATTCACAAGAAAGTCAGACTGACAGACTCATCCCATTTCTCTGTAAGATTCAACATGATTTTGGTGGAGTTCCTATAGCAGTTCCCCAATTCCCAAACCTTTTACTGTTCACCACTATCTCAAGGAATGTGAGAAACTTCCGAGTCTGCAGCTCAGAAATCACATTGAAGGCAAGGGTGAGGAGACAGTTTTTGGCCACACTTCAGTTCTTTCTATATTAAGTGAAAGCTTATCTTTGTCTATATATGGTCCAGCACCGTTATTTCCGTGGGAAGGTCATGCCAAAGTCACCTAGTTACCTCGTCACTCCATCACAGGAGATACATCCCAGTTTATACACATATCATGCCTACTAACTATATTGGTTACTCAGGGGAACAAAAAATGCTTCTTCTGCATAATAGTTTTCCAGGCTCCTGTGTAGAAGCCTTGCTCCCAAACCTGATTCTGTCTGTTTTGACGACGAAGGCTAGAACAAAGAGTCTCTGCCACCCGTGGGATTGTTTGGCTTTTAAACAAACCTCCTTAAAGAACATACAGATAGGAACAGCAATCAAAACTGCATTTATTAATGTTAGGTCTTCAATACTAAAACCTATCATTGTCGCCTTGATACCACTGGAAATGTTTTGGGTACGTAAATAAAGGTGGAGCTAGGGAGGGCAGAGGGAGCAGCACAGGTCTTCATTTGGACTGACGGCACATTTGTTAATTAATGTTCTATCGAAGGATGCTCTTTCCTGAAGTTTTGCTTAGCAGTAAAAACAGTGCTGTTGGCTAATGCTGGTTTTTTGAAGCTTGGATATAAAAATGAAGAACAAGGCTAGTGAGATTAAAGCCACCATCTGCCCAGTTCTTCCCAGGAAATGTCTTTTTAAGGCAACATCATAGGGAGCAGAAAGGCCCATCCTTCCTTCCAACTGGTTATGTCTCAAAACAGGCCAACCATTGACCACTAGGAATTGAGTGCTTAGGGTCTTCCCAGAGACTCAATACAACACTCTGAAGCATCTCCAAATCTGAAAGCTGCCTGTCAAGACATCACGTGGCCAGGCTACTGCATCTTAGTTCATTACTTCCTTTCTGTCAAACAACAGGAACAGAAATCAGCATTTATATTCCATTGGGTCATTTTGGTTTATTTTCTCTCAGCTCCACAAAACATTAGGTCCTGTCACAGGCCTCAGTGGAGAGATACAGAATGCATCTTCGCTGATGTCATCCAAATGAGATGGACAAAGTGAACCCACACTATCATACCCTAGGCAATGGAGGCTGCTGTGTGCAGAGGCAGAAAGAGAAGAGATAACAGGTTGCTTTTTGCTTGAACGTATATTTTTAAAATTGACCCAGAAAATCATACTTTCACTGGTTTCACACATTGGAATTAAGATTTCCCCCCAAGGGCACCATGTGATAAGGTCTGGTCTTCCCCAGCCCATCCACTACTGGACTTGGCATATGCCCCACACGACAAGCAAGCAGATACACCAAAATACAGACACATTAACACAGCAAGACTCAGATGTGCTTATCTACCAAAACTCAAACCAGAAGAACAAGAGTATCACAAGGCATTGTAGTAATCTCATGGTGGTGGAAGTTTAGGACCAGAAACCCCTGGAGGCTAACTGCAGGACTGGAGGGAGGGGAGGAGATTTTGAGTGTCTGGAGTCTTCAGAGTAAACAGAAGCCCCTCACTGTAGGGAGGAAGATACCACAGCCTAGTGTGGGCCCGGCACCACTCCCCTCCATTTCTCAGGAGAACTTGGTTCACTTCAACTATCGCCTCTGCTCAGGTTGCTGGGCACACTCAAGAATCAAAGGATGCAGTTGCCATGGTGATTCTGCTTTTGTGATGGATTCAACCTTGTGTCTGATCCCTTGCACACTGCTGGGGTGTGGCTGGGAGAACTGCATATAATGGTAACTGAGAAAAGTTAGGACTAAAGTAGCCTAGAAGTGCCAAGTTAAACCCAGCAACAAAGGAAAGACCCTTGGCAAAGATACGAAAAAGGGGGACATAACCTTTCCATTTTCCATTAGAGTCCTAGGAAACTTAGTTTTTAAACAAAAAATTGATTACTAACTGCTACTATAGTTGATCACTCATTAAAAATTCTTACTGGTATTATTCTATTGCTGAAAGAGCTCCCTATCCAAATGCAGTTAACTCCAATCTGACAGTGAAATTAGTACACAGGCATGATAGTAGTCTACTACAGCACTGCTGCTCAATGTGTGGACCAGCAATCAGTCACACTGACATTACCTGGGAGCTTGCTGGACCTGAGATTCTCAGGCCCCAACCCGAACCTGCTGAATCAGGATGTGCATTTTACCAGGATCCCCAGATGGCTCTTGGGCACATTCAAACCTGAAAGGTACTGTCCTGAGAGACACTGTGAGGTCTCCGGCTCTGAAAACACTTCGGGCTGAGATGGAATGGAACTTATGTAATTGATAGCAAGACTTTGATAGAGCCAAGTGGACTCTGAAGCCAAACTGCCTGGTCCAGCTCCAGAAGCAAATGTCCATAAGCAAAATTATTAACCTTTCAATGATTCAGTATTCTCATTTATAAAACAGGGACAATGGTAATGCCTATCTGTGATGTCCTGTGAACGTCAAATGAATTCATTTATGTAAAGCACTTAGACTAGGTAAGGCATGTAGTAAGCACTGTACACAGTGGGCAGGCAGATGGGAGGATGGATGCAAAGTGGAAGTGAAAAATGGAACCTGGGAGTCATTCCACAGCTCTGGTGCACCGGACTGCTCCTACCTGCCTGCCAGAGACAGCTTCTTTGTTAGTCATTCAGACCTTTGTCCTGGCCATCACATCAGACACGGCCCTGCTTTGCAACTGATTCCCAAGGGGGCCACAAATACAACCTGAAGCGTAATACACTGCACCCCATCCCATCCCTGGGTAAACCGGCATCACCCAGAGATGGTCTACGTAGAGAAGCACTGCAAGGCAGCATGTGGGAGAGATGGACCCCTAGTGATGGCAAGATCTCCTCATCTACCAGAAATAATAAAAATGCTGCAAAATAAGCCAGCAATTTAAAAATATCTAACCCATGATTTTCTGGGTGAAAAAAAATTAGCCTTGGGTTGCTCCAGCCCTTGGCATCCTCGTCCTGCCACATCAGGGTTGGTGCAGTGCCCAGCAGCTGAGCTGGGTGCAGAGGGGAGAAAATCTGTGTTGGACCCCGGCTGAATGGCTTTCCTGACTTGGTAGCTCCAGATGTTAGCTTGTCATTGCAGAGCAACTGAGTTAATTAGGCATTTCTGTGGAATCAGAATTCTGAACAGTAGAGAAGAAATGGAAAGGGAGGAAGAATGGCCCCCCTGTACCACAGACAGTGTTTACTCTCCAGGTATTCCCCCGGGAGCAGGCCGAAGGGGCTGGGAGAACACTGGCCCTCAGAGAGCCACGTATAGAGACACTGGAAATGGAAGAGCGGATGTGCAGAAGAGCAAGGAATAATGCTGCCTGAATCCTTCCCTTGAAGAGAGTTTGCTTGGCACCATCCCACAAAGGCTATGTGTTCATAGCAGGCGGATATCCAGAAGCCACCTTTGTGAGAACCTCACCCATGGAAAGGGTGTCAGAGCTTCCATGACAACTATCAGTCATGCCTTCTTCCCAGAATCGCTCGTCACTTCTATTGTTTTGTCTGAACCAAAGCTCCTGGGAGGGATCTTCCCCTCCCTCTCCTCCACCTCTTGCCAATCTATACTGCCTGTTACTTTTAATTGAAATAGTTAAGCTATGTAGGTCAGCTAATTTAAAATTCTCAAGGGCAGATCACTGCATTACAAGCAGGATGGGACATACGAGGCTGTTCTCTAAACCGGATTTCATATATTAAAATACACACACACACACAGAAAATTTTTGTGAAAAACACCAACATAAAAATGGAGGGAGGCACTAAAGACTCATTTCCACAATCTGGCCCCTGGCCCTACACCAGGCTCAAAGCTGGGGCGAACGCTCCAGGCTGTTGAGGAGCCTGCATACAGGAGCCCATCTCTGGCAGTATCTTCGGCACACCTGACGAACAGATGCTCAGGTGCCTAGACCCTACATTACTTTTCAAGGCACATGCAGGTGACCCATGGTGCCCTCACATTTTTGACCACAGAGTGCCTGGCAATCAACTCACCACAGCTTGAGTGTTCCCTTCCTCTCAAGAACAGGCAATCGGTCAGCCATTGTGTGCATATTTTGCATGCTGAGAACACATATTTGTTCAGAACACAAAAGACATAATTTAACACATGCCAGAAAGGAACCAATAGAAACAGAGAACCAGCCTCAGCATGAGTTTTCAGCACTCCCATCTTTTCCAAAAGAAAAGGAGACACGGGACACTTCCAGCTAACTGACTCGTTTGAAAAGGCTGCATCGTCCAGCAGAACACTCCTTGCTGGAGACACCTTTCTGGGCCGTGAAAGTGATTCTTATTCCATTTATGCTCAAAAAGTTAAAGGAAATGCTAATAAACAGCCAAAGGGAGAAGTGTTGGAATAATGCCAGATTGTATTAAATCAAGTGGGAAGGGTGGACCTGGGAGTAAGGATCATGCCCATCCAAATGACCTTAACTGACCTCACTTTCGACCCCCTTGAAGCTGAACCCAGATCCAACTTGACTTGTAGGTGGAGGAAAGTCAAGCAAGAGAATCTTTGCTGAAGGGATCCTTTTGGGGTCTGAGAGTGGTTTGAAGAGGAGGATGCCTCCCCTATACCCCAACCCCATAGGAGAGGGAAGCACTGACCAGAGAGTATTGGTTAGAGGGAGCAGCTAAGACTTCAGAGGTCTTATCAAGTCAAAGTATATATCTTCAGCCTCCTTGCATCTGAAGAAGTCAACCATCTATGTATCAGAAACAAGGCATGGGCAAAGGTTTTTAATGGCCCCAGGAGCTACTGGGACAGGGAATGGTATCTTCATATTCCAACAACCTCTGAATCTAAAATCAAAATTTAAAATTCCCTAGGCTGAACTTACATGATTTTAGAATGCTGAACAATCTGAGATGAGTTCTGATAATATACAGAACCAAGAAAAGGAGTAATGTCTCCTAGACGCCATCAAAGAAACTATAGTATAAACTTGTTAAAGGCAGAATTTTACTCACTAATGTAAACCCAGTGCCTATCACAAGGCCCAACACACAGTGTACATGCAAGACATATTGACTTAATGAATGAGTGAAAGGATAACACTGATTCATAACTTTAATTCAATAGAATTTGAAATTACCCCCAGATGAGTCACATGGACACGGTGACACAACAGAACTTAAAGATCACTGAGACTCAAAGTGGGAGAGTCACGAACTGGTCCTGATATGATGAGATAGGAAGCTAGCACCAAAATGTGAATCAACACACTACTTCCTTCATCAGGAGAGTCTCCATATAAACACAAGCTGATAGGAATGAGCACACCTAGTGCCCAGGTCTTGGTTTTCACATACTACCACTCTCCAATAAAACGAATCAGTACTCCTTGGAGTAACAGTTGATTCTAGGGCTGAGGGGGAAATAAAAGATGTGCCTGGAATATCTTGTGGTCCCAAAGCAAGAAAACACTTGAGAAAGGTTGGGGGTATGTCAAGAGGCACAGAAGCCAACCAGAAAGCGCTCCCAATGGCCAAAGCTAAAACAATTTGAGCAAGAAAATAAATTAACAGTAGTAGTGGATTATTACTCATAGAATAAAATAAATAAACATGATACTGGTATAAATTAATGACTAAATAAATAAATAACTGGGGAAGAAGGGACAGTTTTTCCTTAATGGGAGAAGTCTAGTTAATAAATATGGAGGCAAAAAGGACAATAGAAAAATCATAATTAGCCAAACATAATAACTGTTGTAAACAAGATGTACCAGGGAATGCTAAAACTATGGGCAAAAGCTTGACAAAAAGCATGATATTTGCATAGTCTCAAAATATCTCCCCCAGGATACTTATTAGAAGTGGGGAAATAGCAGCTTTATAGTGAAGAAACTCAAAAGACACCACCTTCACCAAGTGATGAAGGTTAACAGCACCAGTAGAAAGACATCAACATCCTTTACCCTTTGATAGGACACATTGTGAAGGGAACATCACTTCTGTGATATTCAGAAGTATGCATTTAGTATGCAACAAATGCATACCCTCCATCTAATCATGAGTAAACATCAGACAAACCCAGATTAAGAGACATTCTACATGATAACTGACCCGGATTCTTCAAAAGTGTCAAAGTCATTAAAAACAAACAAACAAACAAACAAAAAAAAAAAAAAAAAAAAAAAAACAAGGAAAGACTGAGAACTACCACCACTTGGATGAGACAAAGGAGACACGATGACTAAATGTCATGTGGGATCTTGGATTGGATCTGCACCAGAAAAAAAGGACTGAAGTGGAGAAACTCGTAAGATCAAAATGAAGTCTGAAGTTTGTTAAAAGTATTATACCCATGTCAGTTTCTCAGTTTTAATCACTATATTATGGTCATGCAAGATATTAACATTAGAGGAAGTTCCCAAAGGGTTTATGGGAACTCTACACTATTCTTCTACTTTAAGCCTAAAATTATTTCAAAATAAAATGTAAAAAAAAATAAAAAGACAAACTAAGCAGTGTGTTTATAGACACAGCTGATTTACATTCTGTCACAAGCTCCTGATCTTGCCAAAAACTGGTAAGTGATAACCTGCCTACCGGTCAAAGGATCACATTCTAGATAGTGCTAGTGCACAGTCTAGCACTGTGCAAGACTGTTAGCAGCTTGCAGGAGTCAAAACACCCTGTTGTTCATGCCTAGCGAACAATTAGGTCCTGTGTTCAAGCTGTGTATCCAACAGGTGTGTACCGGGCGCTGCTTGCAAAATAGGAAGACCAGGAGATGATGGTTCTGATCTCCGCTCTGATTTTAAAAACAAAATCAGAAACAGAAACAAAACCCATTTGTGATCTTGGATAGCTCATTTGTTGTCTCTGCCTTCAGTTTTCTCATTTTCTTATAATTAAGTAATGCGTGCCTCCCACTCTCAAAAGGGTTAGCAGGAAGACGAAACAAGATAAACTGTGCGGAAGCATTTTGAAAACCATAAAAACATTATGCAGCTGTAACTGTGTTATGATTCACATATTTAAAGGTTCTCATTCTCATTGTTTTCAGAACGGAATGGCTTAAGTGAGAGCTGGTTACCACATGCATCCATTTAACGTTAGAAATGATTTAGTATTTACTGAGCACCTATTATGTTAAAAGCACTGGCTTAGATACTATGGTGAATATAAAAATGGATTGCACATGGACTCTGGCCTCATGAGTCTCCAGCCTTAGGAAGAGGGATGACATATACATCAATAAATTATAACATAAAATAAGAAGTGAAAATTGCCAGTCACCAGCTGCCTGGCAGGTGCTCACATGGATATGGGAAGAAAGGGGCTTAAGCCGGTTTTTATTTTCCCTTTCTGACCTTTGTGCGTATCTGTATATGTTATTTCCAAAAACTCCCTCCCAATAGTCCGCGTGGCAAATAAGAAATTAAGAGATTGACAAAGTCAGAAGCATGCGTTTGGATAATGTCCCAACACCTGTTAGCAAGGGTCTTTGGGCCAAGTCCTTCTTTGGTTTCCTCCTCTGCAAAATCGGGATAATAATACGACCCACCTCACCAGATCATTCTTTAAGATTAAAGGAGTTAGTACAAACCAAGCACTCAGAACAGGACCTTGTGCAAAATAAGCACCGGAGAAGGGTTAGCTGCTGTTACTCTTTTCTTGTCTTGGAGAAATGTATTTATGGCTTTGTGACTGACAGTGGAATAAAGTCCCGCACAACCCAAGATGGAAGATTCTAGCCTCTTTTCTCCAGAAGGCCCAGGCCTCCCACCGTTAGTGATCAGGCGCGGGAAGAGCCCGGTCAGCAGGGCGGGGACGGCCAGCTACTGAGGCCGTCGAGGGTCACGATGGGTGCTGTGTAACCTCAGCCAGCATTCCCTTCTGTTCTCCTCTTAGCCTTTTGGACACTCAGGTTCTACCCTCAGCTTTTAAGTTCTCAGTCTCTTCCTGAGGGGTCGCACTGAGAGTTCCTCGCCGGCAGAGGGCTGACTGTGCTTCCAGGCTCGGCCCCGCCTCCCCTTCCGGGACCGCCATTGCTCCTCACAAGGCACCTTGCGCGCCACCAAGGCGAGAGGCCCCGCTTGCCCTCAGCAGGCCCTGGCGGCTCAGCCGCAGCCCGGCGCCGTCCCCACGTACACCCATGGCGCCCTTCCCGACCTCTGACCGCGAGCTAGACGCGCCAGGCCCGCCCCCCGGGCTGCGGAGCTCGGCAGCAGCCCCTCACTGCCTGCCCGCGGCTCCAGGTCGCAGCCCCGGGAGGGGACATCCTGAGCACAGTCAGCGAGGGCCGCGCCACCACGAGAACCACACCTCTCCAGGCCCCTTCTTCCCCTTCCGCCTCTAACCTGAGGGAATCGCTGCCGGAGCTTAAGGCAGTTCTCAGAGCTACTGCGGAGCCAGGCGGGCGCGCACACAGGACAGACCCCTCGTCACCTCCCATACAGCAGCCATGCTCACCTGGGATAGCCCGCGTCAGACCACGCCACACCCGCTCAAAATCTGCAATGGCTCTGGCCTCCTTCCGGGCAAAAGCTGCCGTGCTCACCGTGGCCTGCAACGCCCTGCTCCGCCCGCCTCGGGACCCCTCACCTGCAACCAGCGCCCACCCTGCTCATGCCGCTCCCTCGCCCTTGAGCCTGCCAGGCCGTTCGTCTGTCAGTGTCTGTAACTGCAATTCCCTCTGCCTGGAATGCGTTCCTCTCGAATGTCAGTCTACCCTGCTGACCCCCTCATTCCCATAGATGGTGCTCAGGCATCCCCTGCGGAGGCCTTCCCTCATCGTCTTATTTAAAAGTAAACCTCCACTCACACCCCATTCCCCTGCTTTACCTTTCTCCACAGCCCCTACTGCCACCCAACAAAGTGTGTTTAACTTATTTTATTCATTGTCTCTCTACTAGATTGTAAGCTCCCCGTGGGCAGGGATTCAGGCCTGTTTTATTTATTGCTAACTCCCTGACACCTAGAACAGATACACGATAAATATTTGATGAATGAAGGACGGACTTTTAAAACCCATACACACATATACAAACGCATATGTATATATTCCTAGGTGTGCATATCAAGGCTGCCACTGAGGGAGCACCAGCAATTAATACATCCCAGGCCCTGGAAGAGGCCTGTATCAAGCCTGCACTCTGAGTGTCTAATTAATTCTTTCAATGAGGCCGAGGTAAAAATGGACTACCCACATTATAAAACTGAAACTAAAGCTTGGAGTTTAAGGAACTTGCCCAAGTGAGCCAGCAAGGAAAAGACAAAGCTCAACGTGCTCTTCAGAACTCCAAATCCTGTGCTCTTTCCACCAATCAACCGTTCTCTTGGTTCTCACACCCCTAAGAACTTGCCCCGCTAATAGTAATGGGCCCATACATCTGCTGTCTTCACTACCAAACTGAGCTCTCTTGAGGCTACAGGAGCGTCTCCTCCTCTCTGTTTTTCCAGGAGATATGCACACACACACACATAATATTCTAGCTCCTGGAAAATACTCCATCTCAATCACTCACTGTTAGAGATGTTAATTTTCTTTCTACCTGACTTGACAGACCATCAAGCACATACTCCTCTTTCCCTGGCACCTGGGGCATATCTGATTCAAGGCAGAAGACAGAAAAAGTCACAGATGGGAAAAGTGGGGCACTGTTCATGCCAGGTAGCCAGAGTCACCCCTGGCCCTGGAACCATGCTGGCACAGTGCCAGAGATGAAATGATGGAATGAGTGTACCTGGAGAAAAGGAGCTGAATATTCACTCAGAAAGGCTCAAAATCTGTACTGGGTTTTCCTCCTCTCCATCCCCCCTTTTCTACAAACTCTATAAGCTACCCCTACCTCTTTAGCACATACCTTGTCAACCAGATTCTTAGGAGAACGAAAACTCAGGCTTAACTCCTATGCTGTTTTGTCATTGCCACTAGGTAAGGCAGAGTTGCCAACTCAGGCTTGGAGAGAAGCAGAAGGACAGAGAGATTCAGATCAGGACATTTGGAGCCAGACAGATCTGAGTTTAAGACCTGGGCAAGTAAGTTAATTCCTAAGCCTGGGTTTGTGTAAGATAAAGAAGTACCTACTTTATGGAGTAATCATATTAATTAAAAGAGTATACACGTGTCAAGTGCTTAACAGGGCCTAATACACAGTATGCACTCAATAAATGTTGGTTGAAAAGCCCACTTTGAATATTACATGATAGGGAGTTCCCTGTGTAAGGTGTGGGAAAACATCTCGGGGCCAAACACAGGGGCGGGGTTGCACAAGCCAACTGAACTCTGACACAAGAATGCAACCCTAAGTGTCATTTGCACTCTATTCACATGTGTCCCAGAAGCCCAGAAACTCTTCTTCCTGCTGCCCCTTTATCCAGATGGCAGCCCACCACCTAAGGACATCTTGCAGACGCTCCAGCACAAGGCACCTGGGAAGAGACTGCATCAAGAATCACCAGGTCAGGGCAGTTGTTTGCCATTTGAGTTCAGGGAATTTAAAGTCAGGTGTTTAAAAATAATTACCATATGTCCATCAAGTCAAAGTTGTAAGTTGTAAGATGTGCCCATTATTTTATGTATCAATGAGAAAGAAAAAATGGTGCCAACTAAAGTGTAACCTATTAGTTTAGATTGCACTTTAGTTTTAGAGAAATGAAAATGTAGGGGAAAACATGTCTTAGGATCAGTAGAATCAGTAAAATATAGTAGGTCAAACCAAAAACTAATTGACACCTGGGGTGTATTGTCAAGTAGGAGTGATAACTGATGGGAGAATGACCTTTGGCTTCTGCCTAGTTCTTAGCAAGTCATCCAATGACCTTGAACAGATAAAGAGGCTTTGTGAGTTCTTCAGGAGAGAAACAGAAAAACGGAACTGACATATAATGATTCACCACAGGCTGAGCACATCCAGGTACTTTATGTGATATCATTTAATCCTTCTAACAGGACAATAGCATTGTCTTCATTTGGCAGACTCTGAAAGGTTAGGTAACTTGCCAAAAGTCAGTCAAAGGTGGTATAGAGATTCAAACTCAAGTCCCTCTGATCACAGAGTCACTATGACTCTGAATCAACAGAATGAAGTGTCTGTCTGGGAAACTCCTGTGACTGGATAAATTCCCGAATCAGCACTCAAAGCTTGAAATGCTCATGTTCTTGGGGAAAATTGACACTGAAGTGCAAGAACCATTTTTCCAGAAAGTTGGTCCTGGTTAGAGGAAGGCGAGGAGCTGGAAGGAGATCCTGGACTAAAGTCAGGAGGGGATGATTTCAGAGAGGAGGGGAATAGCTAAAAAGGGGAGGGCAGGGAACAGAGAAAGCATGCAGCAATCCCCCCATCACCCAGCAGTTGTGGAGGGAGTTCTTGGTGAGGACTGCCTCCCCACACAGGCCATGGCATCAGCAGTAACGGCAGCAATATCTGCAAGTGGGCTAAGGACAGGCATATTTGAAAACCTTAGGCCAGTTTAGCATCTTCCACCTGGACCGGGATTCAGATGCATCCCTTTCAGATTTATTGCCTGCCCAGCGCATTCATTAGAAAAGAATTTGCACTGTGATGGGCTATTTTTCAAGAGCCCTTCTCCTGCCGAAAGAATACTTGAAACTCGTGCTGAAAACCAACAGGCAGAGAGCTCGAGAACTGGAGGGAGATGGGAGTCAAACTCGGTGTATTTTGTAGCTGTTTAAGACCCAAGTGCAGTGAAGGACAAGTTCCTGGCTTGCTAGCTTCCACTGTGAGTCTCCGTGGAGGAAACAATGACACTATGTAATTATTAAGAGCAGCAAGCCAGGTCTTAAGCATGCTGTGCACTATGGTGACACAAAATAGTAATTTAAAAACATGAGATATGGAGAGGAAAACTAGGTATCTAGATGGGGCTTGAAATCTTTGTATGCAAAATTTGTGATAGGTGGTATTTAAATACATTGGCTTTAGACTGCTGACCATCTTCCAGAGAGAAAGTCAGGGTATTACAGTGAATATCTAAATCTGGTCTCTGCCAGATTCACACTGGTTGTGTGACCTTGGCCAAGTTATTTAACCTCTGAGTCTTGGTTTCCTTTTATGTACAATGGGGATGATTAATCTTAGTCTCACCTACCTTGACAGCTAGTCTTTTTATGTCAAATGAGATCAAATCAGTGAAAGGATGCTGTAAACTATAAGAGAAACACAAATAATAGCTAATTTAATTAATTTCCTGACAGGTTTTACTACCCCTGTATGAAGAAAACTGTGTGTGTGTGTGTGTGTGTGTGTGTGTGTGTGTGTGTGTGTGTGTGCGCGTCCCCATATCCAAGCGGCATACCTTGGGAGTTCAGCTTTTCTAAGAAGTCACAGGAAATAATTTAGTTAGTAATCTCGGTCTCATCACCTTCCTCTCCTAGCATTGGGGAAGCAAATGGTACTCTTCTCCCTAGAGCTTTCCTTTCAAAGTGTGTAACTGATGGGGAAGTCAGATGTATACAGACTTGTAGAATTTTCTCAAGATGATTCAGACAGCTCAGTGATTACATTTGTATGGCGTCCTCACTCTCTGGGGCCTCATCCATGTGGTTTCCATCCAGCTTGGTTTGGATCTCATCCTCATGATGGTTCATAATTCAATGAAGGCCCATAATGCAATGACCACAATATTCACAAGAGGAATGATGGTTGCCTACCACTCTACAGCATCCTCTCTAAAGCATAGACCTTTCCCCTTAACAGGGTCTTAAGCCTTAATGTCTGAGTATTAGTTGACTTTGGAGGGAGAAGAGACAGTGACAGAAACCCAAATACCAGAATCCCAAGTAAAACTCTCCAGAACACTTTCCCTCCCCACTCCGCCCACTAGGATCTTCTTCTTGCTCAGGTTCCAGGGGGCAGTATCGCAATTTCATTTACATAAAACCAGGTTCTTGCATGACTTGGCTCCAGAAAGTTGAGAAATTTCTGATAATTTTATCTATGTATTTTTGATAACTATTTCTGTGTATTCTTGATAACTGATTTCTTTGCGTATTGGTGCTTGTTAATTATTTATGCTACTGTTATTTGTGTAGCTTAAAAGATAACATTTGAATTATTGCTCTCTTTAGTTGCCTAGTTTCTGCCTTTTTAAGAAGATATTAGAATATAACCTAGCAGACAAGGCAGGGATCTAGTCTTTATAATTCTCTTTGTGCAATGCTACATAAGTGCTGAATAAATGCTTTTTAATGATGCAGCAGCTGACAGCGTTCCACACATTATCTTCTTCATATTGAAGATATCCTGGCAAAGTGAGCAATGTCTCACAGATGGAAAAACAAAAAGCAGAGAGGTGAAGTGACTTGCATGAGATCAGAAAGCAAACCAGAAATGGAGCCTTGACAAGCCTTCACACTCTTAAGTTTAGAGTGCGAACGTTTATTCATCCATTCTGAAAAGCCACAACCTTAAATGTCTGAGTTCTGCGGTCCTGCAAAAATTTGGGTGTGACAAAAATCACTTTATAAATTGTGCTAGAAGAAAAACAGCCCTAACAGTTGGCTAAGGTACATAACCGTCTCTTTCAACCCAACATCAGAAAACCATTTTGCAAGCAAATACGACATTATCATCCCCTCCAGACAATGATGGCAATAGCACAGTAGTACTTACATGAGGCCTCCCACCTCTGGGACCCACGGTGCTTCATGATGTAATTATCTCCAACACTGACCTGTTTACTTATACGAAGAATGCTAAGTTGCCTTTTCTTCATCAGGAAATTGATGGCAAAGTAAGCTACTCCCCAAAATCCCAAAGTGAGCCAAAACAACAGCCTGACCTCCAAAGTCATCTTATAACACACAACTCTGGACCCACCACCCCATTCTTCCCTTACTACTAACATGCAATGCAGCTGACCACCCTGGCTATCACCACAAGGGGTGGAGCAGAACAGGGGCTGGGAATGTGGGAGCTCATGTACAAGGGAGTCTGGGAAGGTCATGCATTCATGACCTTAAATCATGTTTCAACCTTAAATCTAGAAGAATGCTGGATAACCAGGATCAGAGGCTCCGCCAGGGGGATTAGCAGTTCAAAAGAGAGCTCTAGAATGAAGATACAGATGTGTGACTCGTTTGCATATCGGAGACGGTGGAGAGGAGACCAGAAATCATACTTTCTCTTGTAGGCCTCTTGTGGCAAGTCAGGTTTATCAGAATAAAAACTTCATTTCCCAGCTCCCAGTTGTTGATATCATTAAGAAGTGGAATTACAAAGCAGAAACAAACCAGGGCACCTAGGGTCTACTGCAGGAACCAATCAGCAGGCAGGAGGTTCAGGGTGGGAACCAAGCCTCACCATCTCTACCTGTCAGAGTGTTTACAGGTCTTTAAGACCCATCTCAAATGATACATCCAACTTTTATTTTCCTGATTTCTCCAGAGGTATTCTCTCCCGTCTTTAAACTCCGATGGGATTTTGTGTGTGCACCTTTTATGAGATGCATCATAATCTGATTGGGGTTATGGATATCTATAAATAAACTAGAATATATTTGTGTATTATCATTTACTCAATAATTATTTATTGAGCTCTTGCTATGCACTTCAAACTCTTAAATAATAATACATATAAGTTTCTTGAGGGATGGAACCATGATTTATTCATTTTCTACGATGTATAACATTTTCATTCTAATGTACGTAGGGTACAATTGAATTCAAATCCAATAGCACTGGCAAAACAACTCTATAAGAGGAAGGATAATGGAGGACTTCAGAGCAGGAGTCTTAGAGTCAGAGAGATCCGATTCAAACTCTAGATTAATACCTCTGTAGCTTTATGGCCTTAAGCAAGCAGCTTAGCTTATCAGCAGGTGGGTCTGTAGGGTCATCCACCACAGGAAGGACGATGAATGTTACATCACAAGGAACCCACTATTGACACACTTAATCAGCAGCTATGGGGCCCTTATTCAAAATGGCCAGGTTAGGGTCCTCTTCTTAGGATCAGAAGGCACTACTGACCACCAGCATTCTTTCCAACCAGGCAGTTCCATCCAGGAACAGGTATCCTTGTTGGTAACTGGTATGTGCTATATTTTCTACACCTCAATGGAGCTGGGAGTCCCCAAGAAATAAACCTCTGCAGTTGGTTAGACCTGGCTGCTTCATCTCCCTTTACCCAAAAATCCCAGCTGAAAACAGGGGCTCAAACCCTTATGTTTGGACCCATTCACCACACAGCTTCTTTTTGGAGGTGTGACTCCCCAGTAAGACATTCCGATGCAGACAACATTGTCCAGTATGCTATGAGTCTTGCAGAGCCAAGTAGGATATCCCTGTCCTTGAACAATCAAGGATTTAAAAATTAAGTGCCTGCTGAGCTGTTCATCAGCATTTATGTGCGTGTCCATTCCAGTATGTAAAGATTGTGACATTTCAGATCCCAGTGTTTAGGGTCCATTAAAAAGCAAATGTCTCCTTTAAATGGAGAGGTAGTGCATTTCTCCTTTGTCCTTATTCCAATGGGCACCTCCCTCTGCTCAACTCCTTTGCAGGTTCATTTCCAATAGGTTTATGTAACAGAACAGCTGAACCATGTATCAAAGGGGCTCTGGGTGTGGCTGCTGAAGCAGCATTTCACTTACAGTTTTCCAGTGAATGAGAAAGCACTCCTCACTTGAGAGCCGCCTGCCACTCAGGACAACTCATTGTCCCTCATGTTCAGATTGCTCACTTAATTCAGGGCTTGGGATCAGACGTGAGCTGGCCATTTGGTTGCATGAGATGTACACCAGGCAAAGGTGTACTAAAGGGCACGACAGGGTACCATAAATGATCCATCCAAAAATCTATTGGTGCCCATAGTCACGTCCATGTCAAAGACTTGGGCCCTGAAATATTAATATTTACATTGTGGTTTTCCTCTTACAAAATATTTTCTAATTCCCTATCACTGAATCCTCACAACTCCGTGAAAGCATTATTCTTGTTCTTGTTATCACCATTCATTCCCACTGCAAATTGAAGCAGCCAAGAGTCTGTGCATTAGAGGTTAAGCGTCGTGTTCAAGATCACAAAGCCAGTGAATGGCTGAGCTGGGACTCCAACTCCAAGTCTTCTGACTCAAATCCAGTGACTTACTCAACACAAACTTTCTGAATACAAATGGTTGTCCTATGTATGGCAGTGTATTAAGAAGGGCCACCAGCCCACTGATTTATTCACTTTTCAGTTTATACTTGGACATGGTAAGACATCACAAGTTTTTTCAAATAACAGGGCTTTTTTTAAGTTTTTATTTCAAATGTTTATGTTAGAAAATTTAGAAGAATCATAAATAGAGAATGAAATAAAATAATTTGTAATTTTGTTCCCTGAATTGGCTTATCATTAACACTCTAATGTATACCTATTATACCTTCCAGGGTATAGTATATCCTGTCTACACTCATATGAGATGTAAATAGAGGTTATATATCTTATAAAATTTGGGATCATATTGTAGATAACTTTCTATGTTTGTTCATTTAGCAGTGCAGTTGAACATCTTTATGTGCCATTAACTGTCCTTCTAGGTTATCATTTGAATGGCTACATGGTGTTCCATCATATGGACGCATCCTAACTTAGTTACCCAGCCCTCTGGTGATTAATAGAGGAGAGAAATTATCCCAGGTTTAGCTCCATTACAAATAAGACTACAATGAACACACTTGTAAGTAATCCTTGTGTATTTCTGACTGTTTCTGTAGGATAAAATCCTATGGACTTGCTGAACCAAAAGAAATGAGCATTTTGAAGCCTTTGAACATTTTGTCAAATGACCCTCCAAGGTGAGTGGAACTTCTGCACTGCCATCAGCTGTATCTAAAAATGTCCAACTTCCCAACACTCTTGACAAGACTTTCACTGTTGATGTTTATTCTGAACAAACTGCCTGGCATCCTTTGAGGCCTCCTTGCCCAACTGCCCAGCAGGCCCTGGCAACTCTGCCTCCCAGGCACTTGCATTCATCCCACTGGCCAAATTCTGTCCATTCATCTCACCTCCACTGCTGGCACCTGGTCCCAGCCTCTATTCTCCTACCCAACTGGCCTCCCAACCAGTTTCTCATTCCCTCCCAACTCCCTTTTCTAATCCACAGGCAGAATGATGGTATTCTAAAAATAAAAAAGACACGTCACCCTCCCTACCAGTCATGATCTAGCACTCCCTCTCCCCACACCGCCAACCCTTTGACCAGTTCACCTGCACCCGCCTGGTCATTCACTGTGTGCCAGCCTTGCTCTTCTGTTTCTGACACATGCCAAGGTTGTCCTGCCTCTGGGCCTTTGTACTTGCTATGCCATCCCCCGGAAGGCTCTTCCTCTCTTTCTTTGCAAGCCTAGCTCCTTCTTGTCTTCCAGGTCCCAGAGGGGACCTCCCTGACCAACAGCTTAAAGTAACCCCCACCCACAGTCATGTTACCACAAAACTCTGCTTGTTTCTCTTTGATTTCTTTTTCATAGCACCTACCATAATATGAAGCTCTCTCATTTATTTGCTTACATCTTAAATTTTCTCTCTCTTCTCTTCTTGCCCTCATATGCACAGAGAATGTAAACTCTCGCTCAGCGCCAAGCACAGCATCATCAGTGCCTGTCAAAGTGCCTCGCATATAGTTCATCCTCGATAAATACATGTTGAATAGATGAATGCACAGGAAAAAGGAAATAATTTTAGTATTGCGCTAACCAAGCATAATACTCAAGCTAAAACTAATGTAAAACTTACCACCAGCTGCCTTCCGGAAACAAGTGAAAAAAGACAAGAGACACCACAAACAATGGTGAGTCAAGACTGGTCAGTAACTACAGATCCCAAAGCTCCAGCTGAAGATGGCTCTCCTACATCAGACTGATCTAGGAGAACCCAACCTAGTATCAGCACCCCTTCACACCTAGTATCAGCACCCCTTCACACCTAGTATCAGCACCCCTTCACATCTAGTGTCAGCACCTCTTCACACCAAATATCAGCACCCCCTGTCTCATGGGAGGGCAGAGGTAATGCTTGTACCAGTTCCCCATGCCTGAGCCTTACCAGGGAGCCAGCACTGTAGCTGGTGTATCACATGCGTTAGCATGCACAGGCCTCACAACTCTGCAGTATCATCATTCCCACTCTTACAGATAATGAAACTGAGGTTCAGAGAGCTATGGATTAAGCTCAGCTCAAAGGAGTTGAGCAGAGGGAGCTTTGAATTGTGTCAGTATTCCAGCACATATCTATCTGACTCTATATACATGCTTTCTGTACAATTGCCCAGGGACCCCACAGCACTGCCAGTTGGAGAACAGGGGAGCCCAGATGCTGGTCCCTGACCACTTCCACCGTCTTGTGCTGATTCTGGATGCAGGATGCAAAGAACCATTTCCCTCAGCATCTGAGGAGGAGGAAATCCTTTCTATCATGGAAAGCAGCTTGGGTTCTCATGACAAATTCAATGTCAGAGAGCTGAACCAACATCATAGAGTGCTCTTCAAGGAAAGCCTCCCTCCTGGGCCCTCCACTGCCTAGGTCACCAGGCCTCCAGACTCCAGGCCTCCAGATCCCAGGCCAAAAGGCTGCTTGTATTTCCTTACTCTCCCAGGGCCTCTCCTGATACCTGGCCTCTGAAATTCTTTCCACATATAAGGGTGCACTCAGTGTTCGTGAAAGCAAGTGTTTCCAGGGTTTCAGATGCTCCACAGAGAAACTTTCATAGTCATTCAAAAAGATTAGCTTTTCTCTCTAATTCACATCATCACCAAGGAATAAAGCCTCACAGGTTACGGGCTGGAGCTTCTTCCTCTGAGGGTCTAACAGGAAAAGCTGGACAAGGATATATTTGTTCTTTTCTACTTACAGCCCGAAAGAGTGGCACAGTCCCCAAAAATACTTCATTCTGTAGTTTTTTTAAATAAATGGACAAAAAAATAAAACACTTGGTTTCTAGATGGCCAGGTAAAATAAGAAAAGAGCATTTCCAGGGTTGAGTTGGCAGCCCTATCTGTTGGTCTCTCCACTTCAGTGAGGTCCTCTGAATGGTAAATGAATGAAGGCAGAAGAGGGGAGAAGAGCTTTTTCTGACCTCACACTAAAAAGTAACAGGAGTCAAGAAGGAAACAGGCAGAAGCCTGAAGGGATAGGAACAATGTGAAAAGTAAAGTAGGTCTGTGAGCTCCTTCCCCAAATCCCTGCATGGCCAGTTAGCCCAGAAATGCACCAGGGCAGAGCTCCACAAAGGGAGAGAAGCGTCCAGCAGCCATGGCGCTTATGACCATCATAAAAGGGACAGCAGTTCTGGAGATGGAACTCTACCTGGCTGATTTTTAGATCATATAGTCAGATACATATTTGTTGATCTAACTCAGCATTGGTTCATACTCAACCCTTCCCTTCCACATGTCAAGCACACAAATACACATCCCAGATTTACAAACTGACAGTTTCCCATTCCTGTGCCGAATGCCTTGGCTTAACTTGAAAGGCATTTCAGAGGCTGAACTACTGAGACAGATTCAACGCATACAGTGACACTCAGGCTGCTAGATACTGACTAGTCAACCGTTGGCCAGCAGCTGCCAGATGCTTAAAAACCACACTGAAATGATCAGACCCCTACGTGCAACCTGCAACTGATCTGAGAACCTCCCTGTTTTGTATTTTCTGTTGTTCTAACAAAAAAAGGATCTTCTTAAATCTATTTCACGTATTACAGTAGCCCGGACATCAAATGTTTCCCAGAGTGAAATTAAATATAGCATTTTATTTGGAACAAGCCATCCTAACTCAATTTCCCTCCCCAGCATTGCCACAGAGAGACCTTCCATTTGGCAGCTGAAAGATGCGCTGAGCTCTAGGCTGGACGTAGGACTTCTTTCCACGCTCTTGGTAATGCATCTGCTTCCTCTGCCCCAGTACAAGCACTACAGGAATAAAAAAGGGAGTTTTGCCCCTCTGCCCCTATGCACTGCCTTTAGGGAAAAATATCCCTGTCTTTCCAGCACACCCTATCCAAACTCCTGCAGAATATGGTGCTGCACCAGCAGAAATTTTCTTCCTGAAGAAAAGTCAATGAGTTTGCCATAAAGCAGGTTTCTCTCTTTGGAGGGAGCCGGTCATATCTGGGATATTGTTGCATGTTGTTGATGATTAACCTGCAGGAGACGCGTTGTCAATAAACATTTACTGGACATCCACTGAGGGCCCTGCATCTCAGGGAGTGAGAGGCTACGGAGAGGCAAAGGATGCTAGAGTAGGGACGTGGGAGGAGCCCAGAGACCCCAAAACCCAATGTGTTCACTTTGTAAATGTAGTAACAGAGACCGAGAAAGAATCTGGTGTTGCCAAGGTCACAGCACCATGTGGCAGCCCTGGCGACTTCCTGAATCTCAGATCAGGGCTTCTCCGAAGCTCTCTCCTAAGTTAGACGGGTAGAAGTGGAGACTGAATATCTATCTCAAGTACGTAAAAGTGTCCGTGGAAGTCTCCGGTGACTCTGCAGTTACAGCTCCCATTTCCCGACGGCCTGAGCAGGGACCTGGCACCTAAGTTATCTTTAACTTCCCAAACAAGTCTGAAATAAGGACACTTAGGCTCAGAATGAGGCCCAAGGTCACACCGATCGTGAACATGACAGGTGCAAATTTGAACCCAGTAGTGTCTGATTCCAAAGCTGAATATACGGATATGTTAGGATGCCCACCTACTATGTCACCTCACTTACTCCACCCTTGAGATGGAACCATCTCTGTCAAGAAATAAGGATTAAACCAAATCAAGTACAAATGAAAACCCAGACTGCAAGCCATCATAGAAAGTAAGATTCAATGTGTGTATGTATTTGCATGATTAAGCACATGCAGAGAAAGAATACATCTAGATATCAAGTGGTAATTTTGAAATTTTCTCCTTTATACATTTCTGTTTTTCTCAAATATTAAAATAGATGATTCTTATTAATCTGAAATTAATTTTTTAGGTTGTGGTAAAATATATACATGTAACATAAATTTTACAATCTTAACCATTTTTAAGTGTACAATTTAGTAGCATTAAAAACATTTACATTGTTGTTTAACCATCACCTCCATCCATCTCCAGAACACTTTGCTATTCCTGAAAATCTGAAATCCTGAACCCATTAAACAACAGCTCCGCACTTCCCCCTGCACCAGCCCCTGGCAACCACCATTCTACTTCTGTCTCTATAAATTTGTCTATTCTGGGTACCTCACATAAGTGGAATCATACCATATTTCTCCTTTTGTGTCTGGCTTATTTTATTTAGCATAATGTTCTCAAGGTTCATCCATGTTGTAGCATGTATCAGGATCTCCTTCCTTTTTAAGGCCGAATGATATTCCACTGTATGTATATACCACATCCTGTTTATCCATTTATCCACGAATGAATACTTGGATTGCATCTGCTTTTTGGCCATTACAAATAATGTTGATATGAACATGGGCAAACAAATATTTCCAAAAGCCCCTAGACTTTTTAAATCCTGGAGTATACTTTTAGAATGTGCCGCTGTGAATTAAAATCAGGATATGCTTTCTATTGGTCTCAGCCTGGAAAACAGCAAATTCTGTGCTGGAGTCTACACATTTTGCCTTCTGTCTTTAAACACCTCTAAACCAGTGGTTCTCAACCCTGGCTGCCTATTAGAATCACCTGGGGGTGCTTTCAAAAAATACTGATGTCCCAGCCCTATGAAGGCCACTGAATCAGAACTCCTCTGAGTTGAGGCAGAGGAATTGAGTATTTTTAAAAGGCTGCCCAGATTATTCTACTGTACAGACAAGAGTAAGAATCAGTGTCCTGAAGCCTCTTCTTCTGGGGGGCCCTTCTCTTTATTTAAGAAAACTCTGCCTTATGAGTAATTCCTCTTCTTTCCTCCCATCAAAACCCAGGAGGGTTTGATAACCAGTCAATTGCCCTAGTTGTTTGACTGATTGCATTCCAACTGAAACATTCGCTCCACGGCCTTACCTCCTCCAGTTGAAGCCTTTTATCTCTAATTGTGGACTGCGTGCCTGCTTCTTTCTTGGAAGGAATGTTGATATGAGTAAGCAGTTAGGGAAGTATTTCTAGGCCTACTCAGTCCTTCAGGTAATTATAATCTAGTCCTTTCAAGGCAGTAGGGACAATAAGAGGGGCCAGAAGATGTGGTCCCAGTCCATATCCAGTGCCCGACTGAGGCACTGAGCCAGCTCAAGAGGCCCCTCCCCATCCTCACATTTCATCCCTAAGCCCTGGCCTCCCCTCGCTCTTGCCCAAGACTCCCAGCTAGTTAATTGGCGTGCCCCAGGGACCTCTGGTGGTTTTGCCCAGTTCTGTCTTTGCTAATTTTCTTTTGTGATGGGGTTCCTTCCTCTAACACCCTAGGACACATCTCTGCTGAGTGTGCTTTCTCTCTGGTTCTTGTGTTCTTGACAACAGAGCATGTCAACTGATGGGCGGCATGGTGACTTCGAGAACAGGATGAGTTCCCAGCATCTTTGTCAGAAATTTCACAACCACGGCTGATGTCACACTGGTGGCAGCAGGGCGTGTTCTAGGACACAGATTCGCCATCAGCTGCTCCCCAGGCAGGCAGGCCTGGGGCTCCAGGGCCCTTCAACTCACCTTGGGGCTCTTCTGCCTCTTTGCAAAGAGCCCTCCAAACAGGGTACTGGAAGCTGAAGCCATGGCAGCAGCTCCAAGGACTGGCCTGTTTGGGAGAGAACATGGTCCTTCCCTCTGCCAGGCCTACCCTGGAGCCTGTCCCTGAAGGGCTGGGACATCCTGATCCTCCACAGGGGACTGGCTGCAGTGCCCCTTTATGTCCATGTGCAATGCTGATGTAAAAGTGTTAACGGTGTGGGGGACAGGGACTGTGGTAGGAGCTCTGAGGAAAGACAGAGCATGAGCTGGAGGAATCAGGCCCCGAGGAAGGAGAGGAACCAAGCCTAGGAGGAGGGAGAGCGCATCCCACCCAGAGGAACAGGCCCCACTCAGAACCCTTTTGCCCTCACAGGCATGCTGGGCCCTGCAAGCTGGCAAGCCATCAGGGTAACAGAGCCCTCAGCACCACCACCTGATCCACTGACCAGGATCCATCCTAGCAAGTGGGCAAGCTCGCAGAAAGGGAATGATGAGGAAGTGCAAAGGACAAGGAAAATGAAGACTGAAGCCCCACTGAATGCAACAGAACACCCACAAATAGCAGATTAAATCCAAGCAAAGGGACTCAGATTGACATGTCTCTGATGTCTCAGTGACCAGGGAACCCCAGATATGCCGGCAAACATGGCTTCGTTTCCCCATCTCATGCAGCACACGTTTGCTGAGCCCTCCGACACACCCGCTGCAATGCAGGTCCTCACTGCCTCCGGCTCCTCCCGACTTCACACCCATGAGGTGCTCCAGTCCAAACCCAGAGAGAGCCCCTGTGCCTCGCTGGGGGAAAGGGGACGTGGGGAGAAGACACTGAACACTCCTCTTCTCTCTTCTTGAGTACCTCTTTTGGCGGGGATGAGACATGGCTGCACATTTTCTAGATAAAGAAGCAGAAGCATAGACTAGAAGGGATGGGGTCAAAGGAACCTCACATGTCCATCAACCATGTGCGCTAACTAGAAGTGTCTGCCTGTGAATGAGTGCTGGGCCTACAGGGAAGACAGGAAGGGGGCTGGCGGTGACACCTCTTATCCAAGGAGTGCAAGGTCCTCAGGCACACTCCTGGGGTCCCGGGCCCACCTCCCCGGAGCAGGGAGAAGTCACTGAGGGCATACAGGGCCATCCCCTTCAGGCTCACCTTGCAATGTGCAGTGTGGTGACTCAGGGCACGCCTAGGCTTCATGTTGCTTCCAGCGACCTTGGCAGTTGCTCAACCTCTCCATGCTTCAGTTTCCTTCTTTGTAATTCAAGAATAATAGTCCTAGTTCACGAGATCAGTGTGAAGACTGAATAATGACCACACGTAGTAAGAACTAAGATTTATTGAACCATGATTTTATTATAAGCCCCGGACACATATGTATCTGGTTGGAGTCCTGCAATGACACTCTGAGGTAGGTACTATTACTATCCTTATTTACAAGTGAGAAGTGGAGTCACAGAGGGGTCGAGCAAGTTACCCACATCATAGAAATGGTGAGCAGGAGCCCAGAGCACTTCACATGAACCCCTCCTCAGCAGCGCCAACTTAAGGACCATCCAATTTCAGATATGCGCTGCTTTAGAGATGGACAAACTGAGGCACAAGGAGGCTGGAGCAGACTCTGCCTGCTCTTCCTCACAATTATTGTAATGCTGCAAAGGCACCCTTGAGGGACAGATGTCAGAGAAGCAAGACAAGAAGCTATGGTGGTGTTACTGACTCTCAGCCTAAGAGCTGAAGGTGCAGGTCTTCCCTCCCCAATGTGAGCGCCAGTTCCAGCCACAAATCTCCTCTCCCAAACTCGCGATTCAGCCCTGCTGATCAACTGCAGAGAAGGTGCTGTAAAAACCGGCTCAAATCTTGAGGTGCCCTAGACATGAGAAAATGGGCTACAGCTACCGCTTAAAAATGTGGACGGATGGACTGCGGGAGGAGGGGCAGTGCGAGAGCAGCAGCCCATCCGTGAAGAGAGGAGAAGCTGGGAATGTGTAAGCAGAGCCATAAATCCCTTGTCAACGCTGCCTCCGTGCCTTCCCTCTGTGGACGGGGCCCGGGGCCTGGGAGGCCTGCAGAGGGGAAGGAAGCCTAGCGTTTAGCCTCTGATGGCCAGAAAGATAGCTCCACACGGTGTCTGTCAGAGCACCAGGAGAGCAGACACACTGAGAGTTTCACTCATTAACATCGGTGTTGCCATGACAATAAGCTGTTGCCAGGTAGCAGCGAACTAGGAGAAGAGTGAGAATTAGCAAAGCCTAAAAATAAAGCTGTTATGTTTCTTCCCCCGTCTAGATGTCCATGTGTAACAGGCAATAATCTCGCCGCCTCCTCCTCACCCCAGCCCTGGAAGACCACATGGGACAGACAGGGCCCTGCACAGAAGGGGAAGGTCACCTCTCCAAGGGAGGCAGAGAAAATAGTACCCGAAGATAGTGGTGGCCAAAATCTGAAGGCCAGCAACAAGCAGCACCAGAGAAAGCTCAAAGTAAAAAAATCCCTGGGAGGGATTTTTCCTTCCCTTAGGAAGTAGCTGACCTGAAGCGTTAACCTCAGTTCCAGATTGGAGCAGGGCCCTTCCAGGCTGTCAGATGCCCGTCCAGCTCCTTGGCTCTGAAAGAATGGGAAATGGCAGGCGCTGGCTCCTGACTGACTTTTCTCCTGGAAAATATTTAGCCGGGCCCCAGCCCCAGAGGCATCTGTGGGAGTCAGGAGCCTAGACTGGGCACATGGGCAGTTCCTGGTTGCTTTTATAAGCATGCTACCGCCAGAGGAGCCACTGTGATAACAATTCCAAACAAGAGGATATTTTAACAATCAACATCACTGAGCAATGTGTTAATATCTCCAAGGGACATGCAATAGAATTATTTTCAGGATCTTCCAGTTTGGCTCTGATGTCAGAGGAGAAAATGCATGGTGTCCAGTTCTGTGCTTCCTTTGTCCATCCCTCCCACCAGACTGTAAGCTCCATGAAGGCAGAAACCATGTCTAACTAGTCACCCTCATGACCGCAGCACCTGCTGTCACACCAGACACTTAGTCAGTGTGCAATAAATACACAGAGGAAAGAGGAAGTGGGGAAGGGGCAACTGACTCAATCATAACAGAGTCAACATTCTAGATAAAACAGTAAATATATTAACAGTAAAAATACCTGGCCTAAATAAAATACATACCTTTCTAAAATTATAAGCTCTGCATTCTAAGGACTGAATCCTATTCCTGATCTAACTCTCTATTCTCAAAAAATAAGTTAGCAAGTATGCAGGTGTCATGCTTTAAGCAGATCAGATTAGTTGAAATCCAGAATTTTGGGGCAATGATTTCCTTTATAAGCAACCGTAAGATTTCCTCAAACACAGAACCTGCATGATCTCTCTAAAGTAAAATTGTTTAATTCAGATAATATGTAATAATCTGGATCTATACATTGAATGAAGCTAGCGGCAACCACTGGATTCCCGGTTTCTTTCCTTGCAACCACACTTACCTTTGAGTTCTCTCTACCACAGGCTGATGAGTGCTCAGGAAATGTAAACAGTGGCTAATTTTGCTATCAGTGCAAGAAACACACATTTAGGAAACAAAATTCATTCTTTGTTTCACCATCACCCCATAAAAACATATAACCTGGAACAAAATATTAATAATTTCTTGGTTCTTTAACTGCTCTGGATTACCCAGCCATTGATCCAAATACCAGCTCCTGCCTCTAGGCCTCCAAGCTTGTGTAAATAACGTAAAGGTAGCAGAAAGAGGCCGGGCGCGGTGGCTCATGCCTATAATCCCAGCACGTTGGGAGGCTGAGGCGGGTGGATCACCTGAGGTCAGGAGTTCAAGACCAGCCTGGCCAACATGGTGAAACCCCATCTCTACTAAAAATACAAAAAAATTAGCCGGGAGTGGTGGTGGGCGCCTGGAGTCCCAGCTACTCGGGAGGCTGAGGCAGGAGAATCGCTTGAACCTGGAAGGCGGAGGTTGCAGTGAGCCGAGACCATGCCATTGCACTCTAGCCTGGGAGAAAAGAGCAAGACTCTGTCTCAAAAAAAAAAAAAAAAAAAAAGCAGCAGAAAGAGTAACAGGTGAAAGAAAGGAGGAGCCAAATGACTGGGAATTTGAGGGCAAGCCCTGCTCATGTCCCCCCAAGCCCTAACCTCCAAGCAAGGCCAAACCTGCATGAATGACTTTACACTCTTAGAAGAAGGAGAGTCTGCTGGTGGGGTCCTACTGAATTAATCATAAAGATGCATAAGGCTGCTAGAGTTAAAGAGGCCTCAACAGAGGGTCATAGATTTACAAAACTACAGCAGCAACAGCTATCCAGTTTGCCTTTGGCATTGCCTCTAGAGAAGTTAGAGTCCACGGACATACTCCTTCTCTACCAACATGAGACACCCCAGACCTCTCCTGGTGAAGCCATGTGCCCACAAAACCTGACGTTCTCACCACCAGGCACAGCCTGGACCAATCCAATAAGCTGCTGGAACATGGTTACTGTGAGGTGTAAGAAAGTGGGTAGCATCCTGTAAACTACAAAATCCCAAATTAAATCTGACCTTGACCTGACTGCCTGGGAGGACTCCTAATTCAGGGAGCTCTGCCTGATTTACTGCTCTCATTGCTGACGCTGAAGGGACCTTCATGCAAACACCCACCTTGATTCCTGGGTTTTCAGTAGGGCCTTCCTTGACCACAGAACAAAGAAAAGTCAGTCCTGACACTAACTAGAGAATAGAACTCTTTTGAATGCTTTATGTTCCTTTCTGCTAAAATGCATCCCAAGAGATAGTTCCTCCATTACTATAACCATCTTGATACACATAATCCCAGCTTGCCCACCTGTATACTTTCTTCCTTCTCTGTGGCACAAAATACCAGTTATAGCTGCAGATTCAATTGGAAAGGAGTTACCAGAGAGGAGATGATACTGCACCTAGCTTCAATCTGCCCCCAAATACAGCCTCCAGAAATGTGCTGGGGTCCTGGCAGATGATCAAGAAAGGTATGTTGCATGACTGAATGACTGAATGAAAAAATTAACTTAATGCTTTTTTCTCTAATACACTTTGATCAATGAAATGTTTCTAAACTTTGAAACTGGGACCCTGTCCTCTCAGATTCTGCCAGTCTAACATTGATAATGTTTGCCTCAACTTCCAGATCATGCAGCACAAAATGTCAGTGTCAGCACAAGCACCACGTGAACTGGGTTAAAAATCCACTTATAAACTTGAGTCAACAAACCCCCCACCAATTTCCCAGACTTCAGGTTGGAGGTACCAACATCAATCCCAGGCTTCCTCCTAGGAAAGAGAAACAAGGCTAGCTATTTAAATGCTTCCAAAGAAAGAGGGCATAAGTCTTAAAGCTATTGTGATAAGCACTATCATCACATCCCACTGATGGCATGCACTGTTACAGATGCCACTGTTTCAGCCTACCCCTTCCTCAACTCCCAACTATGGAAGAGTTCATATTTTCTATCACAGCCCTGGGAAATAAAGGTCTGTGACCCTAATGAAACTGTTGAAACATAGGCATACCCCAATTCTCACTTGCCTCCCAGATGTTCTATTGCAAAAGCATTCAGATAAAAACATATCACATCAGGCTGAAGATCAGATTCCCCTCTCTGTCCTTCCTTCCTTCCTGCAACAGATACATTTGTTTTCTTACTTTGCATCTGCCATTTTTAGAAACAAGTTGAAAGTAAAATTCGAGCCTCTCCTGGAGAAAAGGATAAGCATCTCTTTCTCTCTTTCAATCTCTCTCTCTTCCCTCCTTCCTTCTCTGGCATGTGTTACTGAATTTTATATAGCTTGACTTGCTGCATCTCTGATATGAGCCACTTATATACACAACATAACCAGACACACATTTTTAAGAGTATGCAGCACTTAAAATAACTGTATCTTAAACCTTCTGATTTTAGTTGAGAATTTGATTTAGGGACTGGATGGATCTTGGCTCTTGAGGAAACAAAGCAATTACTATTTTAAAGGAATACGAACATAATCTTTAAGGAGTCCATTAACTGAAAAGTAGAGAAATCTGACTTGCTTCTTGCCCCATCAGATTCCCTTGGAAGTACAAATATCCCTCTGTGAATATTTTCCAGAGATGAGCTTTCTGAAGCTCAAGATAGTTATTTTAAACTTCAGCTCCCTAAATTGTATTTCTAAAATATAATTCGGATTCTTTATTCTTGGGTAAACAACTGGTAATAGGGCGCTGTGTGACGGTGGTACCAGTCAGTGAACCACCTTATGAAACAGCACCCCAGCTACAGAGCAGCCACGGGCGTGCCTCCCCCACTCCCTCGCTCCCTTTCACACAGATGGAGCGCCATTTGTCTTCAGAGAGCCACCAAACTTCAAGCACACTATGACTCCTCCCCGTGAGTTTCTTACTATTACAACCGTCGAACATACCCCTTCCCACTCCTTTGTTCATAAGGATTGTTGGTGTTTGTTTTACTTGGTTTTCTTTCAGACCATACTGGTTTGCAGAGGGGAGGCTTACACAGGTTTTTAGGATGATTATTGTTTTTATAAAAACAAATTCTTATAATCACATACCTCATCCAAAACCAAGACTTCACTGTGGTACTGTGTGACTCGCTGCGTCTTACTGATAGAAGTGGCAGGCATGGGAACCAGGGGGGTGATAGCTACAAGATTTCATACCAGGTGCTGCACAAACACCACCATCAGCATGGACGCTGCTGGCCGGGAGAGCTGGCGCGGGGCTCTGCGGCCCTCAGCTTTGCCATGCACAAACCCTCTATTTACTGGATGGGGGTGAGGCCCAGGGGTCTGGGGCAGGGATCACAGTGCTGGAGCACTTTGATTAGAATCATTAGAGTGGTCAGGTCACAGGTTTCTCTATTATTTCAATGTAGGGTACTTAAACCCTAAGTTAGACCCTTAGGTTACGCCAGGTGGAACACCCTCCAAGAACACAGGACTGTTGTTATTGGGTAAAATACATTTCCTGGATTGGGACAAAAGAGGATGGATAGCCTACACCTCTGGCTTCATTAGCTTACCTACCCCTGGGGTCCAATTTGGGCTGATCTTCAGCTACTGTGCATGGTAAAACATACTGGTCATTAAACAGTAAAACACTGTATGGGTTGGTAAATATCAGTGCCCTGAGTCCCTCAAATGCCACCCACCACCCAGACATCCTTCCTTAGGTCCCTGGAGCTTCCCTCCAATGCACTGCATAGCAGATTTATGCCTAGGGGACAGAGGGCTCCAGAGCCTGCCAGCTCCCTCAGCCGGCGGCATCCACTCTAACGGGCACTGCAGTGCCAGGTGTTAATAACATGGGCAGCCCTCATCAAGACCTTGCCTTAAGGCCATCTCAGCTAAGATAACTGTCCTAGCCAAAGCCACAGCAACCTCTCAGATGTGCACGTCATCTCCCCTCTCTGAGCAGTGCGTTGTCTAGCTGTTCTTCTCTTTTAGCACATTGTAACTTTTCTACCTTGAATCATGTTGTGCTGTGTGTTTTTAATGTCTTCTCATTCCTCTTAGACATAGAGAAGTTCAGGCTGGGCATCATGCTACGTTTTCCGCTTCCTTGCTTATCACTTTATACTTGGCACAGCACCTGTGCATGACAGGTACTTAAGGAACATTCATTGAGAAACTGCTAAAGTCTGAAATTCCAAGAGCCATGGCGTATGTGGTTGCTACCCATCCTCTCCAGCCCTGCCGTCCTCAAAGGTCCACTAATTTGGCTGCGTACCTCCTTGTGCTATTTGTTATGTTCCTTATATGAATGCTCCATTCTTATTGTTTGTTCTGTCTCCCTAAAAACACTATCCACGCCTTGAAGATAGGGACCATTTGTAAAAAAGGCACACATCAATAAGACTTTCCCGAAAGTCAGATGTTCTGTGGGAAACGCTAGCCAATTTCTCATGGTTTTTTTTGTTTGTTTTGTTTTTGAGACAGGGTCTGGCTCTGTCACCCAAGCTGGAATACAGTGGCACGATCTCAACTCTCAGCTCACTGCAGCCTCAACTTCCTGGGCCCAAGTAATCATCCTGTGTCAGCCTCCAGAATAAATGAGACTACAGGTGCACACCACCACACCTGACTAATTTTTTTTACTTTTTTTTGTAGAGACGAGGTGTTGCTATGTTGCCCAGGCTGGTCTCCAACTCCTGAGCTCAAGTGAGCCTCCCACCTCAGCCTCCCAAAATACTGGGATTACAGGCTTGAGCCACCGCACCTGGCCTATTTCTCATCTTTTAAATAAGAAAAATTATAATGCATTACATGTCAACTCAAAGCCAATTTCCTAAAATGTAACCAAAACACTTCATCATGTATTTCCTAAAAGTAACAAAATACAGCATAATGTCTATTATATAGTAGAACTATCACACAAACTATCACAATGAATATAACGTGCTCCTGACCTCTCCGCTTAATGTGCAGAAGCCCGTCAGCTGACTTCACACAGCCCCATGGAGGGGCCAAACAAATGACCTCTTTCTAGGAAGACTGTCAGCCAGAAAAAGGGAAGGGAAGAGTCCAGGTGTGTCATGGGTCGGGAAAGCAGCCTGGTCTATCCCCCAAATCCTGGCTCTGCAAATCCTCCAACACATGTAGCCAAGATGCCTTGCCTTGGGAAGGGAAAGATGCTCCTCGAATGTGGTCCTGGGGCCCAGACACATCCCCAAAGCAAGTCCCCTTTATTGACACTCGACGGGCTCTACACAACACCCACAAGAGATTCCCACATTCTATCAACTGTACTTGAAATGTAACTCAAGACTTTTCACTAAAATGTTATATTGCATTTGGAGGCTGTAAATATAATTTCCTATATAAACAGCAGCTTAAAATCATTTTATTAAAATATGTGTATAAAATACGAAGCATGGGTATTAAAAATCCAAAATGTATTCTCCCAGGAACACATTCATGTGGGAGATGGTCTGCAGGATAAATCTGTGCTCCTAAATCTTCACCACCCTTCACACAACAATGGGTCCATTACATGCATATAATATGCACCTATGGACTACCTAGTTAGTAGATGTGACAGCTGACAGAATAAATTAGACTAGATTGGAGAGCAAGAGAAATTTAAAACTGGCCACGCTGGCTATTCAAGAGAGAAAAGGAACAAAGAACAAACACTCATTGGACAGTGAGTAGGTAGGGAGGTGGGTACACACATCATCTCATTGAATATTCATGACAACTCAAAGAGGGCAGTGTTACTAGCCCCATTTTGCAGATAAAAATGCTGAGTCTCAGACTGGATAAGTGACTTGGCCAAAAGCTACATAACTACTCAGCGGTGAAATCTAGAATCAAATGCAGGTTCCATTCCAAAGCCCAAGCTCTTTCCACATCTCACAGTGCCTCCTCTCGGATCCGAAGCAGCCTCCACTTCCCATGCTCTGCCATTCTCCCAACCCTCAGAGTCTCATCTGCTTTTTTAAAATACTACTCTGCACTTCTGAAAATACAAATCCACATTTCATAAGTCATCAACTGGCCTTCTTCCCTCTGGATCTCCTTCCAAGGGCTGGGTTGTAAGTCTCCTGGAGCTCCTTAGAAGGGCCGGATCTCAAGCAGGCTCCCAGGATGCTGCAGACACGGTTTACGCGGAGCCATCCCAGGTCTGTCCAGCTCGCCCTCCCCCTCCCTAAACACTCCTCAAATCAGGGTAATTCCCACTGCACAGTCCATGTACATGGTGACAGACTGAATGTGTCCCCCCAAATTCCTATGCTGAAATCCTAGCCCCCAGTGTGATGATATTGGGGGAGGGGCTTTCGTAGGCAATTAGGTCATGGGGCAGAGCACTCACGAATGAGATTAACACTCTTAGAGACTCCAGAGAGCTCCCTCGCCCCTTCCACTATATGAGGACACAGTGAGGAGACAAATGTCCACGAGCCAGGAAGAAGGCCCTCACCAGACACCAAATCTGCTGGCACCTTGATCCTGGGGCTGCCCAGCCTCCAGGTCTGTGAGAAATACATTTCCGTCTTTGTAGTCCCCCCACTGCGGTATTTTGTTATAGGAGCCTGAGCAAACTAAGATGACCCCAAACCTTCTGCCTACTTCCTACTCTAAAAACTCAGCCGGAGAGGATGCTACTGCCACTGTTTATTCATTCTGCAGCTACTAAGATGCCAGCACTTGCAATGCACAGGACCCCAACTCATGCAGTTTACCATCTACTGGGGGTGACAGATAATAAACATATAAATAAATATAGAATTACACATTGTTTTCAGTGCTATAGGAGCCAAGAGCACCACAGGGCAAGATGAAAGGTTAAGGTGATTTAGAATAGGAGTCTAAAGCAGACTTTTCACATTAAGTGACACATAATGAGACCCGAAGAGAAAGCCAAATTAAGAGTGAGTGCCTCTGGGCAGTCCCCCTCCTCCCTGTACCCAGGCTACATGCCCTGCCCCCACCAGCCAAGCCCCACAGCCAAGTGTGGACACCTGGCCTCTCAGGACTGGTTCAGGTCACGCTGCACCTCCACACACTGGCTTTCCCAGTGTAACGTGCAGAAGTCTGTTGCCTAGTTTCACCCAGCCCTTCAGAAGTGCCCGAATACATGGCTTCCTTCTAGAAAGTCTGGCAACCAGGAAAGGGAAGGAGGAATGTCAGGGCCCTGGGACTGCTGTGGGTGGAAGAGCTCACTGGCTTTGCAGAGCCTCCCACACATGTGGCCAAGACCCTCTCCCTGGGAAGGGAGGAGGTTCTTTGGGGAGGAACGTGAGCATGAGGGAATGAGTATCTAAGAGGTTTTTTTTTTGTTTTTGTTTTTTTTAATTAATTTATTTTTTTTTATTAAAGTTTTAGGGTACATGTGCACATTGTGCAGGTTAGTTACATATGTATACATGTGCCATGCTGGTGCGCTGCACCCACTAACTCATCATCTAGCATTAGGTATATCTCCCAATGCTATCCCTCCCCCCTCCCCCAACCCCACCACAGTCCCCAGAGTGTGATATTCCCCTTCCTGTGTCCATGTGATCTCACTGTTCAATTCCCACCTATGAGTGAGAATATGCAGTGTTTAGTTTTTTGTTCTTGTGATAGTTTACTGAGAATGATGATTTCCAATTTCATCCATGTCCCTACAAAGGACACGAACTCATCATTTTTTATGGCTGCATAGTATTCCATGATGTATATGTGCCACATTTTCTTAATCCAGTCTATCATTGTTGGACATTTGGGTTGGTTCCAAGTCTTTGCTATTGTGAATAATGCTGCAATAAACATACGTGTGCATGTGTCTTTATAGCAACATGATTTATAGTCATTTGGGTATATATCCAGTAATGGGATGGCTGGGTCAAATGGTATTTCTAGGTCTAGATCCCTGAGGAATCGCCACACTGACTTCCACAATGGTTGAACTAGGGCTAATATCCAGAATCTACAATGAACTCAAACAAATTTACAAGAAAAAAACAAACAACCCCATCAAAAAGTGGGCGAAGGACATGAACAGACACTTCTCAAAAGAAGACATTTATGCAGCCAAGAAACACATGAAAAAATGCTCATCATCACTGGCCATCAGAGAAATGCAAATCAAAACCACAATGAGATACCATCTCACACCAGTTAGAATGGCGATCATTAAAAAGTCAGGAAACAACAGGTGCTGGAGAGGATGTGGAGAAATAGGAACACTTTTACACTGTTGGTGGGACTGTAATCTAAGAGGTTTTAAATGTCCCTCGTCTGCTTCTGATTCATTCCTAACTCATCACATTGTTGTTTTGCAAGCATCATTTAATGTCCAAAAGACTGCAGAGCCTCCTGGTCCCCCATGAAGGGGCAGAAATCACACGCAGCAAAGACCTGTGCCGGGGACCTGGGCCCTGAGATTTGGCCAGAAGTAGGCCTATAGGTCACTTCACTCAGTTCCATCCCCTTGGGCTCTGTCTAGCAAGCTCTCTGGTGTGAAAACATATCCCAAATGCATGCAACCCAGGACCAAGTATGAAGGCAGAGGAGATGCCAGAGGGCCCCAAGGAGATACAATGTGCTTCTTGGCTGAGTGAAGCCATGAGGGGCTGGTGGGTGACCCTGAAGGAGCAGTGTCCCCTGGTGCTCTCTTTCCCTACATTCAGAAAACCCTCCTAAGAATGCGGATCCCTGGAGGTACAGGTACCGGCTTGGCCATAGGACTGCAGCCACCTCCAGAATCCTGACTCCTAATCCGTCCTGTAACAGAGGCCCAGAGCAGTCTGCTCCACGGGAGATGGCGAGAAGCTGGTGCGGGACTTCTGGTTGCTGCAATACCTGGGTGGGTAATTGAATGCAGGTAAAAGCCAAGGATCCTAAACCTTCAAGGATCCTTAACCTTAACCAAGGTCTACCCTTCAGTGGGTGAGACAGCCCCTAACAACGAACAGTCCCTGCAAAAATGCCAACAGCACCACAACTGAGGGGGACTGTAAGAAGGAAAAGTCCAATGTCCATAACTGTTCCTATGGGGACATGAGGACAGGACAGCATGGAGATGGATCGCAGGCGGACATCCCATCCTACACCACCTTCTCAGTCCTGGCTGGTCGCTCCTGTGGCCTGATACTTTGAATAGTTTGCAGGCACTTCCCTTCATGGAAAATACTATGTACGTTTCACTATAGACAGGGTATGCATGGCTACACCCCCAGCATGGAAATCAAGACCTTTCTAAATTCCCCAGAGAACTTTAATAGGATCCTGATGGGGATTCCATTCACACAGAAAAAAAGAAAACTTTCGGTGTACAAATGGCCAGCTCCTAGGTTTCTAGGATTGTACTTGGGTTTCCAGAAGCAAAGCATCTCTTCATAGAGAAGAGAGGTCCTCTCCTTGGATGCAGACTTGGGGACCTCTGTCAGACAGACAACTTCATCTCCGGGGCTTGAAGCATTCTCAAGGCCCAGGGTCCTTTATCCTCAAGCCTCATTCCACCCTCCGCTCATGGGGAAGAGGACAACAGAGCTCAGAAGTTGCTCATGAAACATTTTTAAATTAAATAAGCGTCCAAGGATGCTTCAGGTGAGACACTCCTTCCCACGTGAAGCAAGTCCCCTTCCTCTTCTCCTCTGTGGCTGTTAGTGGTGGCAGAGCTGCCTTCGAGGAGGAAGGGGCAGAAGAGGCACCACCCAGATGATGTGGTTCTGAAGGACCAAGAAGAGGACTGAAGGTCCTCATCCCCCAAAACAACTTCCATACCTGTTAATAAGTGATTGAAATGTCTTTAAATGATTCAAGAGAAGACTTAAAATAAGAAATATCTAATATTCATGCTGAGCTATATATGACTACTACTTAGTTCTCCAGTTCTGGTGCAGGTTTCAACTGAGATAAAGACCTAAACGTGTACAATAGCATTGATTAGCTGGAGGCAAACGGGGACCAGGCTTCATGAAATTAGGAAAAAGACACAAAGTAAGAGCCTGTGCACCCAAAGCGTGCGGGCCTCAGCTGAACAAGCGGTGAGGTCCTGGGCAGGCCACATGGCAGCCTGGGCTCAGTGTCCCTGTGTGGAAAGACAAAGACTGAACTGGCTGTTCTTTAAGGCTTTCCAAGTCTAAAATCCTCTAAGTCAATCCAATTTATCAAAAGCAATGCCTGTGCATTGTGAAGGCCCAGCTCAGGCAAGGGGAAACAAAGGCCCACGATCATTATCATTTCTCTAATCATTATAACAAAAGACATTCTTGCATGTGATGAAGAACCAGAAAAATATAAATGGTCAGTATCTTCTGAGTCCTTGCCAGGAAGACAAATGATAAAGTTGGAATCGTTGCCTACCCAGAAGCACTCCCTCCTTCTCCCTTGCTGGGAGTGCCCAGATTTTGTTTGGATGTCACCTCTCCCCAAGCAATGGAGGCACATCACAATTCACCCAAGCCAATCCCATCTTCCCTGCTAAAGAGATATCTGGCCAGCCCCTGGCCAATGAAGCATGGCGGAGTCTGCTGGAGGGTTCTTGGAGAGGGTTCCTCACTCAAGGAAGACACGCTTTCCTGTTCCCCCTGGAATTCCCTCTCCCAGAACTTGATATGTGACACAGTAACTTGTTGTTAGGGTCATGAGGACACTTGCAGCCAAAAGCAACCTGACTGACACACAAGCAGTAAAAAAAGTGACATTTATAGCGAGGATAAATACATGCTAGAAGTATAGAAAGAAAAGCTAATTCCTTTGACATTTCCCAGATTGGCAGCAAAGACCTAAGGGAAGACATTTCCAGTCTTCTGTTCAGTCTGGGAGAACACAGAGAAAGATGTAGAATTTCTCTGGGACTCTGTATGGACATGCGACTCCTAAGAGGAGGAGCCAGGCTGGGCAGTGAAGAAAAAAGTGTTAGTGGGTTTGTAGCACAATGGTATTGAATTATACTGCGTTTTAGGGCTTTATAACCTAACACATAAGAACACCAAACTATTATTGAGGAAATTAAAGTGATCTTTCAGGCTCAATTATTGAATCTCCAACTGCGGCTAAGTTGCGGGGAAGGTCCCCCACCTTCTCTGTGCCCTTCTTTATTTTTTGGAATGTCCTATCCTGGGACTGTGTGTGTGATTCTCTGAGCACTGAGTGGAGAGACAAAGCTGTAAGACTCCCAATTCTGGGAAAGGGGAGGAGGAATCAACATGGCAGCCAACCTCAGAAAGATAAACCACCACTCTTAAGGAACTCTGAAGTCTAGAAAAATACGTTTTTTAGGAAGCTTAGCTCTTTCCAAAAAACGAGATATTGCAAAAAAGAATACTAATCTAATGGTTTTTCAAACAGATGTCTAGGCTACCTTCATTGGATAAAAGCACATTCAAGCCCCAGAGTGAATGGCCCTCTTTGAAACCAACCTAAACCTCAGAACCTTTGGAAAGTTTTCCCCTTCCCCATTAGCACTTGCTGTCTGACTCCTCCTGGTAGGGTCTGCCAGATCTCCAGGGTTGCCTCCAGCTCATCTGGAGGGGTCCCAGCTCATATGCCACCTCTCAGAAAGCTTTCCCCAATCCGTCGATCTAAGTAACTCCCACAGCTACCATCGCAACATTCTATTTGCTTTCTTTGTCAGCCCTTGTCATTCCCAGAATAATCTCATTTGTTTATTGTGTATCTATCCCGGTTCCTGCAACAGAATATAAGCTTCATGGGAGTAGGAGCCTTGCCCTGTCACCACCGTATCCTCAGACTCCAGAACAAGGTTTCTCAACCTCACACTATTGACACTATTGACATTTTGTGCCAGATGATTCTTTGTTGTGGGGCTGTCCTGTGCATGGCAGGATGTTTAGCGGCTTCCCTGGCCTCTATCCGCTAGATGCCAGTAGCAACCTACCACCCACCCTGACAACCAAAAATGTTCCTAGACATTGACAGCTGCCCCTGGAAGGCAAAATCATCCCTAGGTTAGAGCCACTGCTCTAGAATAGTGCCTGACACTTGGTAAACACTCCTCAAGAGTCTGCTGAAGGATTTACCCCTTACAGACTGAGTACTGAATGAAAGCATTCACAGGAGAGTTTTTACACATTACTAACCTTCCTAATGGATATACTGATACAGTGAAACTCCTGAGTGTTGTCTGGATTAAAACATAATAATAACAGAATCGAGGGTCCATCCATTCATTCATCCTTATAATAAATTTTTGTCGAGTGCTCACCATGTGCAGGCACTGCTCAGTGCTAAGGATACGGCAGAGAACAGAGAACATTCTGGTGGGAGGCAGACAAAAAATAAGTAAATAAATGAGATCATTTCAGATAGTAATTGTGCGATGAACAAAATAAGACAGAACCATGGGCTCCTGAGTGATTCCTGGGAGTGAGGAGCTGGGAGGATGGTAGCACTTTTTTTTATTATTGGTATTATTTTTGAGCCAGGGCCTCACTCTGTTGCCCAGACTGAGTGCAGTGATATGGTCCTGCCTCACGGCAGCCTTCACCTCTCGGCTGAAGTAAATGGTGCCACTTTACATAGGCATCCACAGAGGCCTCTCTGTGGTGGTAACCCATGCTCTGGGACCTGACAGAGGAAAAGGGAGGGGGGCAACACCTGTGGGAAGAGCAGTCCAAGAAGATGGAATGCAGTTTGCCCCTAAACAATGTGGGGACTGGGGGCGCTGACTCCCTTACAGTTGAAAATCCAAGGTAACTTCTTACTCCCCAGAGACTTAACTACTCATAGCCTACTATTGACCAGAAGGCTCACCAACAGGATAGTCGATGAACACATATTATATATGTTATATATATTTTATGTTATATTCTTACAGTAGAGTAAGCTAGAGAAAAGAATATATTAAGAAAATCCTAAGGCAGAAAAAATATATTTACTATTCATTAAGTAGAAGTGGACCATCATAAAGGTTTTCACCCTCATCGTCTTCACATTGAGTAGACTGAGGAGGAGGAAGGGGAGGGGTTGGTCTTGCCATCTCAGGGGTGGCAGAGATGGAAGGAAATCCACGTGTAAGTGACCCACACAGTTCAAACCCGTACTGTTCAAGAGTCAGCTGTAGCAAGTGCAACGTCCCTGAGGCCAGAACAAGAGTGGCCCTCTCCTGGTACCAAAAGAAATTGGGTAGTGAGGAAGTATAATTCGTGGCTGGGAGGGGAGTTGAGGGGATGGTGTGGGGAAGGCAGCAAGACAGAGATCAGGGGGATTCACGCTTAAAAGTCTATCAAGATATCATGGACACGATCATGATCAAATGACTTGGAGCCACTCGATGTATCTCAAAAAGGACAAACTTGCAACAAATCTCAGGCAACAGGACTTTATGCAGCCAATACTTAATTTATAAAGTTTGAAATATTTACTGCAGGAAAAGTTCTTAAAAGATCTGTCGATAATAAACCATAACATATGATTAAGAAAAATTAGCATATAGTAAAATGCATCCTCACCTTGAAAACTTAAAAAAAATCACCTAAGATTATTATGCCTCTCTCTGATGTGGTGGGAATGAGGGCCGGCCACAGCAGCCACCAGGTGACAGCACGTAGTGGGCAGTTTCCTTGCCCGTTCCCTTCCTAGCCAGAACCCCCTGTCTCTCCCTCCCCACCTCCCACCTCTGCCTGCTTTACCCTGGTGGAAACTGCAAGCCACAGAGAAGAAAATAAAAAGAATTCATATCAAAGGCATTGTATAAATTTGCCTTTTCCTCCAAGCCTGGTTCAATTTCTGTTTTTTAAAATCGAAGTCCTCACAATTTGGTGATGTGGAGAAGCAGCTCATCAACATGGTGCCGCACGGAGATTACACCCCCATATAGGTGCAGTGCCTACAATATGCGGAGCTGTAATTAATTGTTAAACGGTGAGTCATCCTCATGCCGGAGGAACACATTTAAATAGCCGCAGAGGGGAGGCCTCCGGTTCCACAGAGACAAGGAATTCTCCTGGCCGCCAACAGCAGCCTCCTCAGAAGCCGCCTCTCCGGGGGGAGGCAGAGGCGGGGAGAGAGGCAGGCAGAGCTCCAGGTAATCAGCTCCTGCTTGCTGCAGAAGATGCTGCCAGATCTGGGTATTGTCTTAAAGGACGAAGGCACAAACACAAGCACCTTGCTTCCTGAGGATGCCCTTTGCTGTGGGCCGCACTGTGCTACAGCTTTGGATGCAAACTCGGCCTCGACTCCCAGCCAGGGCGGGTGTCCTCATTCCAAGGCCCGCTCACCCTCTGGGCCAGGCAAGCTGCATAATGAGAGAAGGTGATTTCCATACGGGGGCCTTCCGGTAGTAAAAATGCATTTAGGAGAAAATAAATTTGAATTAAACTTACAAAACCCAGAACATGTAAATCAAGAAAGCGTTCCAAATGAAACCACAGCTTCGTTTGGAAATCATCTCTTAACACTGCAGTTCTAGACCTGGGTTCATTTCTGCACTGAACCCATCAGTAGGTGCTTATTTTCAGAAGCTCTGGTTCTATTAAAGGGTCCTCAAAACTGTCAGATTTTGAAATTAGTAAAATTAATTTCAGTTTGGTGTTACTGGTTCAAAAATTAATCTTCCCCCAATTTGGTTCTATTCAATCATTGACTTAAATGTGAGAAAATCTCACTTCTCTGGATGTTTTTGGAGGAGGGGAAAGGAAGGAAGTCCTGACTGATTAAAAAATGTCAAATTTCTGATTTTTGAAGAAAGGCAGTTTTAGTACTTGCACTGAACATATTACAGGCTGACTTAAATGAACACTAATAAGTAAAATTCAGCTAGTCACTGAAAAATTACTAGCCATAATAGGGCTTTATTACATAATAATAAGTGACATTATATCACTGAGTCTTAATTTTTAAAATCAATGGGAAACACAGTTTGTGTCAGATTTCCTGGGGTACAGTCTGAATGTACGCTGCCTGGCATTAAACTGAGCATTGTCAACAGTCAATGAGAGGATCCAGTGGACACAAGATGCAGGGGGATGGGGGCAGCAAGGAGGTCTTCCCAGAGAGGAACACATGCATTTCCAAGTGTGGAATCTCAGTTTACACACTGTAACAGGGAAAAGCAGCAGAGAGAGTGATGGGATTTAAACTTCCCGAGGGCGTGGTGGGTATGTTCTGGGCCAAGGTGGAGGCCAGTGTGTTGCATTCTCTTGGTTCTGCCAGCTTCCACTCCTGATCTCAAAAGCACAGCACAGCACCTGGAAGGAGGCAGGTGTTCAGGGCCAGCCTGTACCTCGTGGAAAGCCAGGCTCTGGAGGTAGGCATTGCATTTACTTTGCTGGGCAGCTCCAGCCCACCTTTTCTGAGCAAAAGGCAGGTGGCTAACAGGTTCTGTCCTCCTCAAAATCTGAGAAGCCCTAGAGGCTTCGCTTTCCCCAGCCCCCCTGGCTCCTAACAACTCTGGACCCTTGGTCTGGGGCAGTTCTGAAGAGCCCAGGAGCAGTTTTTCAGGAGGTCGTGTGGCTGCACACACCCATGACCATAAGAAGGCTAAACCCTGCTGCTCTGGTCGCTGCTTCCCTGGGACTGCCTGCAGACACCCAGTGACCTCTTGCTCCTCATGGCCCTCACAGCAGAGTAAAGATGCATAAAGCAACCGTCTTTTACGCTTCAGTGTAAATGTGTTCATGTGCTGGCTGGAACCACTGAAGGCCTTCAGGGAGTCTGCAACTGCAATTCTACATTATCCATTTGCAAAAATACTACTTTCCATTATGATTTATGGCAACCATATAGTGTGTCAGCTGTGTTATGCACTAAACAGGCCAGCCTGGAAAACTAAATGCCATTTGCAGTTTTCTAAGTTTGAAACACCAACTTAATAATAAATAAAAGAGCAGTTCAAAAGTTGGGAATCATCTATAAATTACTTCTGTGTGAAAAACTCAAAATATCTTATCAGGCCTCATTTGGGCTTTCACAACACCTAAGCTGGGAAATTCTGACTTGACTTTATCACAATTTATCACCTGAGCGTAGCAGAGAATCCTGGATTCATTACTTCCCACTAAGAGGTGGTTAACTGTTAGACTAAGCTGGCAAATCACAAGTATCCAGGCCAGACAGACAAGAGGAGCTTCCTAAACCAACAGAAGGACCCCAGACTCCTTGCCCCAGGTACACTGCCCTAAACCAGCCTGCCCCATCCACTTTAAGTACAAAAGGAAGTCTCAAGACAGTTCTCATCAGTTACATCATAATCTCTAAAGCAGAAGTTATTGGAAGAGAGGCTGAAGGATCCCAATAAGCTCCACATCCCTGAAGTAAGCCCTGCTCCACTAAGATCTACTTAGCAGGGATGGTACACTTGGTGCACAGGCTGGGGACCATCTGATCTGAACACTCCTCTGCCAGCGATGCTCCAGGAGCTCGGACCACGTGGCCTCAGGAGTCTTTTTCTCCCAAAGGCTGGGATCTCCAGGGATGCTGACATAAAATGAAGGAGTGGACTAAGTGGTCACTGTGGTCCCTTTCCAGATCTGACATACGAATTCTGAGTTTGGGGCTGAGGGGAAGCCCCTTCCCGGTTTCGACATTCCCTATCCTAAGCACTGTCGAATTCCAGGTGCAGAGCGAGAGCTAGAGTAATATAATCTTGCGACTCCCTGAAAAATCAGTTCTAAAATTATTTCCCTATTCTGTTTAGGATGCTCATCCATCTGTCCTCCTTGCCTTCATCCCTACCCCTGCTTCCTACAGAAGTGGTTTCCTAACCCCCATTCAGTTTGTCCAACATCAGAAGACATTTTGATGATGGCATTTTTTCTTGTGACAGCAATGTTTTCCAAAGGAACTTGTCACTGAAATAAGGGAAACAACAAATCATAGATCTTTAGAGCTGGAAACCTACTTAAGTGCATCCAATTCAATCCTGCCACTTTACTACAGGAGAAACTGAGGCCCAGAGATTTGCCCAGTGGTAGTAGCAGTAGCACAGCCATGAGCCCCAGTGAGTTCCTCCCTGCCTGTCCTGTGTTCTGTGGGAAAACTCCATTTCCTGCGGAAGAATCCCTCCTTCCACAGGGAGGGGCGTGGTGAGGTCCTCCAGCTGTGATCAGGACATGCCTTAACCTCCCTGAGGCTTTGGGACACTAAAACCCACTCCTCATGACTTACCGCCTGGACCAACTGACAATGTGTGCAGGCACTTAGCAAGGTGCCAGGCACGGCATGGGTGACTGTCACCATCATCACTGCTGCTATCGGTGATTTAAATACACACACACACACATCTCTTCTTTCATTCAGGGAAGTGTATTTGATTCATTTTCAAGACAACATTAGAATACATTCCCTATTTTAGTAGCTTGAAACTTTCTACCAGATCCCATCATAGCCAAAAAGACATCCTAGTCAGTGTTTGCTCTTGGGAATAAAGTGTCCCCAATGTCCTCAGAAGACCTTAGATCAGAAAACATTCCTATTTTCAACAGTGATGAAATTTTCAGATATTCCAATACGGATGCAGGGTAAGTCCTGGGGAACACTGTGCTCCTCTGAGGCCAGAAACCCAGTGACTCCTCCCCTCAGGTGCTCCACGGCAGGGTCAGGACTTTGGGGAGAAACGTTCCTGCATGGGAAGATGGATCGAGCTGCTGGAACATAAGTGATAACAAGGAAAGCAGCTCAGATAAGGCCCAAAACTTCTCCAGTCACTGAAATACCAGGCTCACAGTGGAGAGGGTATGTAAACAAGAATGTCACAGAGCAGGAAGGGGGAAGGAAGGAAGATAGGCAAGGAGACCCAAGAGCAAAGTCATCAATGAAAAACATTTGGCAGAAAATATCCAAGAGAAAGAACAGTACATGAACAGAAAGGGAGAAACAAAGCTCACCAGCAGCACAAGGTCAACGTGAGTAAGCTATGTAATATGGCTGCTCAGAGGAGGGGGAAGAGGGGACAATCAGGAAGAGGAGGGGGAGCAGGAAGGGGAAGGGGAAGAGCAGGGAGGAGGAGGAGAGGGAGGAAGAGCACAGAGGAGGAGGAACGGGAGGAGGCAGAGGAGGTGTAGGAGGAGGAGGGATAGGAGCAGGAGGAGGAGGAGGAGGAGGAGGAGGCAGTGGAGGAGGAACAAAAGGAGTAGAAGGAGGAGGAGGAACACAGGGGGGAGCAGGAGGGGAAGAAGAGGAGAGGAACAGGAGGAGAAGCACTAGGAGGAGGAGGGAGAGTGGGAGGAGCCAGAGGAGGAGCAGGAGGAGGAGGACGGGGCAGGTAATCTTGGGCTGCATCAGTGGGAATCCGCTGACTCTAAGAGGAAGCCTCTTACTGCCTGGGGTCCAGTTGGAGCTGAGGTATCCTGGGTCAGGAATAAACACTGAGGTTCACATGGGAGTGGCCAGGACTGAGGGAGAGGGTGCAGAGACAAGGATGGCTAACCTCAAGGAAGATAAGTAAGAAGCACAGAAGCACTGTCTTCAATACCAAGACAGACGTCCTAGGGAAGAGAGGACACGTTCCTCCTCTGAGGACAAAATGAAGAGCAGCAGGTAGAAAATAAAGACTGGCAGCTCTAAGAAAAACCTTCCTTCCAATCATAATCTTCCCCACATAGATGGCCAGCCCTGGAGGTGTCAGGGCAGAGGCCAGACAGACCTGTCAAGGCTGCTGTAGGAGAAGGGCCTCCTCGGCTGGGTGGGCTGCAGAGGCCCAGTCTAGCACTGTGATACCAGGAAAGCAGGGGAGAGAAGGGTTCCAACCCAAGGCCCTTGCTCAATTCAGACGGCTTGCTCATCGCTTGCCTGAGTTCTCTTCCTACCTCTAAACAGAAGGAAAGGTGGCGAGCTCTCAACACCAGCCTCTACAGGGAAGGAGTGCATGGAACCTTTACAAGTTTTTTGTTTTTTGTTTTTTTTTGAGACAGGGTCTAGCTCGATTGCCCAGGCTGGAGTTCAATGGTGCAATCTCAGCTCACTGCCACCTCTGCCTCCTGGGCTCAAGCCATCCTCTCACCTCAGCCTCCCAAGTAGCTGGGATGACAGGTATGTGCCACCAGGTCTGGCTAATTTTTGTACTTTTTGTAGAGACAGGGTTTCGCCATGTTTCCCAGGCTGATCTCAAACTCCTGGGTTCAAGTGATCCACCCGCCTCAGCCTCCCAAAGTGCTGGAATTTCAGGCATGGGCCTCTGCACCCGGCCTTGACGTGACAAGTTTCAACCAGATGTTCCTGGCAGGGCCAGTAAGCCCCAGCACACCTGGCAGGAAACCATGATGTTCTCCCCTCACTCCAGGTGTGGAATCACAGCAACTAACAGCTTCTCCTGGGTGTACCCTGCAAATGCAAACCTACATGGAATGACATCTTGAATCCGAGGTGGGGAAATCTGCTCAAACAGACAGCTGTTTAAAAGGTTCTCTTCCCATTTGTACCTGATGAACTCTCTTCTGACTCTGAATGCAGAGGACAAAGGCCCACCTCCTCGGAAAAACACACAGCATGAAACTCTGGCTCAGCGCACCCTCTCCAGCTGTCCCTCACCGCTCCCCATCACACACTACACGTATCACAGCACCGCCAAGTCTTCCAGGGCTCTGTGGAGGAGGGGGAGAGTGGGGGGAGTGCCAGGTACCGTGTGGAGGAGGGGGAGAGTGGGGGGAGTGCCAGGTACCGTGTTACACACTTTCATACATTATCATCTTTAATTCTCACGACAACTTTCCAGTTGTGATGGCAGCATTCACATTTCACATAAGGGAAAATTAACTTTAATGAAATTAAACATAAAAGGAAAAAGTACTTAAAACCGACACAATTAGCTTCTGCCTTCTGAGACAGTGACATCCTTCAAAGCATGGGAAATGGACGTCTTTACTGCCCCTCTCCCTGTGGAAGGAGACAGGGTCCATCCCACGTGAGCCGGCCCGGCCTGCTGTGAGTCCGCAGGCACGGGAATCCACGCGCAGAAGAAGGCTTGGAGCTGAGCTCAGGGGTGGGGACTGGAGAGGGCTGAACTGCTCTGTATAACAAAAACAGGGGGCGGTGGGTGTTAAGAGTTGTTTGGGAGCAGCAAAGTGGGAGAGGTGGAAAGGGCAAGAAATATAGGAAGACACAGCAGCCAACCTGGCAAAAAGGCCTGAGGGGATTTCTCAGCACAGAAGTTTCAGATATTCAACATTCACATTACTGTGATGTCAGCTCCATCTTCCCAAAAACTTGAGTGCAGGCTGAACCAAAAACCGTGAGAGGGAGGGAGGGGGTGTGTGTGTGCGCGCCCATGTGCGTGCATGTGTGTGTGTGTGTCTGTGCCTGAGTGTGTATGTGTGTGCCTGTATGTGTGAGTGCGTGTATATGTGTGAACGTATGTGTGTGAATACATGTGTGCGTGCGTGTACACGTGTGCCTGTGAGTACATGTGTGCGTGTATGAGTGTCCATGTGTAGGTGTGTGCCTGTGTGAGACCATGTGTGCATGTGTGTGCCTGTGTGTACGTGTGCGCCTGTGTATGCGAGTACATGTGTGAGTGCATGTGTGTGCCTGTGTATGTGTGTGTGCATACGTGTGCCTGTGTACGTGAGATCATGTGCATGTATGTGCCTGTGGAGGTGTGCCTGTGTGTGAGTGCATGTGTGTGCCTGTGTGTACGTGTGTGCCTGTATGAGACCATGTGTGCATGTGCCTGGGTGTACGTGTGTGCCTGTATGAGTACATGTGCGTGTGTGTGCCTGTTTACATGTGTGCCTGTGAGTGCATGTGTGCCTGAGCGCATGTGTGTGAGTGCATGTGTGTATGCTTGAGTACATGTGAGTGCATGTGAGTGAATGTGTCCATGTGTGTATGTGTGAGTGTATGTGTGTGTATACATTAAAGAAAAAGCATCAGGCCCATGTCTGGGTTAATCCACAGCAAAAGGAAAGTCACAGCCAGAGAACGTGACTCCCGGTGAGCCTGGAGCCAGCGTGACTGCAGAGGGCCAGTCCCCAGGTGATGCCGGTACGCTGGAGAAGGCCTGGGAAGATGTGCGGAGACAGACACCTGGGACACCTAAGGACCAAGCCCAGAGCCACGCTGCTGGTGAGTGTGGGCCGGCGCTTCAGTCTGTCTCTATCTGAAGACACATCCAGGCCTTTTCCTCTTCCTTGCTTGGGTTGCTGCTCTTCTCATGCCCCTGCTCTCCTGGACCCCACATCCAGCACCCCACACCCCACATCTCCCTGGCAAAATCCCCTCTGACAGAGCCTCTCCTGACGCCCCAGGGTGAACGGGCTGCTCCGTGGAGTGGGGACATGGCTGACGTGCACCACACCTGCTCTTCCTCCTGGGCACGGCACTGGACCACACTTCCCAGTATCCCTGGACAAGGCAGGGCCACAGGCTGAGTCCCAGCCAATGGGACTTGCAGGAAATGACTGGCACCCTTTCTAGGCCTAGACCCTAAAACATGGGTGCGACTTGGGCCCTTATCTGTCAGCCAGACTCAGGGGTTTAAAAGGGGGCGGGTTCCAAGGCCTGAGAGGATGGCACAGCCTGTCGGCAGAAGTATTCTGAGACCCTGAATAACCCTTCTTGCCACCCCACCAATCCAAGCTGGGCTGTGATGTGAACAAGAAACTAACCTTTACTCTGTGAAGCCACCAGCTGCTGGGGGTGACTTGCTACAGCAGACAGGCTACTCAGAGCACTGTGCTCCTCTCTCTACAGCCTCCTCGCCTGCCGGCTGTATTTCCATTTTCCACAAACACACCTGTTTTCCCACTGGATTGACCTCCTTGAGGAAAGGAACTGTATTATACTCATTTCTACGTCCTTTGCACCTAGAATGCACAGCTTATGTCTTCATTGAGTGCGTAATGAATAAATAAGTGAATGGCTGGCAGGGCCTAGTGGAACCCAACACGTCTACGATACCCTGAAAAAATTAAAACAAACAAACAACAAAAAACAGAAAACCAGACCCAATGCTAGATAAACGGCTGATGGAGGGAATGGGGCACTGCGGGGCGGGGATGAGCAAAGCCTTCCCTGCTGTGCAGCCACACCTTGAATGACAAAAACCTTACCTGGGAGAACGCTGGCTGGCAAGGAATTTTTCACTGTGCTCCATCCTACAGTATTTTGAAATCTTTTGTTTAAATCGATTGGCAATGTTTAAACACGCCATTTCACACAGAAGTACAACATTGCTAATTAGGCAATAAGGAGAGAGACAGTGTCATTTCCTGGTAACGCATCATGCACAAAAAGCCCTCCCTCCTTCCAATAAATTTTAAAGGATTTCACATCATCTCATTTTTAGTGCAGAAAGAGGATTCCATTCCATTAACAAAGAGCAGGTTCTGGTTGGCTGTGCTATTCCTTTAACGTTGAACCACAAGGCATGTCCCAAGATGCTTCACTCAGGTGTAAGAAGCACTGGTACCCAGCCTTGAAGGTTTCGGCTCTCACCTGGATCACAGGCAGCCTCTTTTGGGACCTCCTTTGTTCTCTTGCGTCAGTGATCTCAAGGGATCTGCATCTTCTTTTGCTGTAGATAATTGCCTCAAGTACTTTTGTGAGTTTTTTTCTTTCTTCTTTAAATATCACTAGTTGTAAGAGCCCTTAATGAGCACGTTATTTTAATGGGGCTGGCCACAACTTCATGCTGTTTTACTTTAGCTTCTCTTATGGCAGGTAAATCACAATGGCGGAAGATGGCCAAATGTTCCTTGGTTTCCCTGCCCCTACAGGTTTCCACTCCACACGCTGATAGTTTTCCAGCCAGTTAGCAGCCCTCTGCCTGGAAGCTGCCCTTTGGAAGCTGGACCTGGCCCCCTCATCTCGCGCAGCAGCCAGCGCCCAGCTTCAGTCCCCACACAGGCAGCCACGATGGCCCATATGGCAAGTCTCCCTGTTTCCATGGACTGGGCCCTTCTGACACGTCCTGGGGAGCCTGCTCCCGCAGCGTGCAAGGTTTTCTCCAGCCTTCTCTCCTTGTACGCATCCCACTCTTATCCCGAGTCAGTTCTTCCCCATTCCTCTGGTAGCCATTTGGTGCTCAATATTTGCACACACAGCCAGCAAGGGACCTCTGTCCTCGCTGCATCCATCTAGCACAAGGCTCTCTTACTGGGCAAGGGGAGAAATCCTGTATCAGGTTACACCAGATCCACACAATGGTGCTAACCCAGGCACCATCCCAGGAGAACCAGTGTTCTCCACTTCTCCCAACACTTAGAAAAGCTGAGCTGTTTGATGCTTCACGTTGGGAATGTGTCTTTTTTTTTTTTTTTTTTTTTTTTTTGAGACGGAGTCTCGTTCTGTCGCGCAGGCTGGAGTGTAGTGGTGTGATCTCAGCTCACTGCAAGCTCCGCCTCCTGGGTTCACACCATTCTCCTGCCTCAGCCTCCCAAGTAGCTGGGACTACAGGCACCCGCCACCACGGCCGGCTAATTTTTTTGTATTTTTAGTAGAGACGGGGTTTCACCATATTAGCCAGGATGGTCTTGATCTCCTGACCTCGTGATCCGCCTGCCTCGGCCTCCCAAAGGGCTGGGATTACAGGCGTGAGACACCGTGCCTGGCCTTATTCTTCCTTCTTCTAAAGGATTTGGGGCAACTGATTTAGTATCATCTGGGATCGTCAGAAATTTTCCACATTTCTCAGAGAACACTTCTTGTATTTTATAAGGATACCACCAAATAGGAGATTAGAGGACCTGAGACCCAAGTATAATATAGGCCTAAAAACCGAATATCAATTTGCTGAAACAGTGTCTTTCTCTTTTTATTTTTATTTTTTCTCTCTCTCTGGGGATGGGGAGAGACAGAAGAGATTTTATCCATTAGGTGCAATAGGTTCAACTCTTATATCCTATAAGCTTTTTCACTGTCCTGAAAAAAAATGTGAAAATCAGAAACAAAACTAGATTGGGTCCAAAATATAAAACTAGAAAATCAAAATAAATATTTCACACAACATCTACAAAAATTAACATTGTGCCAACTAGTCAAATGCATCTCGATCCATAGTTATCTATCAGAATAAGAGTTTATGTTGCAAGACTAAAATGAATAATTTATTCTTAATAAAACTCAACATTATAAAAAATACAACCATTCTTCCCAATTGTGTTATAGCAAATATATTCTATTTGATGTGCGAGGTAGATGCATTTTCAGATGTTTGATATGCGGAAAGGCAGAGTTGCCAACTATCTGAGGGTCTGGGACTTCAGAGGCCTTAAGAGACCATGGGGAAGATACCACTTACCAGTCCATGTGGCCCCTAGGGTACCTGCTGATAAGAAGTTCCTTTTTGGTGTTTTTAATTCCTAGTGAAAAGCCTCCTAGGCAGGCTGCTTATGCTGCTGGGTGTCTGCTTCTCACAGAAGCAAAGCTAGGGCTTCGGGGAAAGGCAGCTCCCAACCTGTGGCCAATACCACAGCAGGGGCCAAGGTGCCTCTCCTGGCATCCTCCTCGCCCTCAGCTCAGTCCCCGTCCTGGGGGCAGCAGACTCTTCTCTGAGATCAGGATGACCTGTCAGGGGCCTGGAGCCCCCCACCTTCTGCTGCAGGCATGAGGGATGTGGCACCAGGAGGGGTCACCGAGCAAAGTCGGCTTTTGCTCCTTAGTAATCTTTCTCCGGAGGACAGGCAGGGACCCCACAAACCAATCGCCGCCCCTGTGGGGACCACCCTGCTTCCTTGGCTACTCCGGTTCTCACCGCAGTGCCCACATCTTCAGCCCTCTGGCCTGTCGGTCACTGACTCAGAAAGGTGGGTCTCTTCACCCTTGCCTGGAAGAATCAGCTTTTCCCTCTGAGAGGGAGACTTACCTGGAGCTCCCAGGAATGAACAAACTAAGCCCTGCGCAGATGCTCAGCCTTGGGAAGAGGCTGAGGCCTCCAGAGGGAAGTTTCTGTGTGCCCACTCTGTCCCTTGCTGCCTCAGCCTCTCTCCTGCCCACCGCCCCACCTCAGTTCCTCATGCAAATCATTTCCTGGCCGTTGCTGATTTGTATCTTTGGCCCAAGACAGAGAGGCTGCTATGGGGGCTGGCTTTGCACAGAGGTTCCTACCAGGGTAGACTGGTGGATTAGAACTCCGAGCCTCGACTGGGTCCTAGCTCCACCACACAGAGGCTAGGCAGTGCCACCCCAGGCAATCATTTAACCTCTCTGACCTCAGTTTCCCCAACCATAAGACAGAAAATATTCACTCACAGAATGATGGTAAAAATTAAATTAGATACTGCCTGGAAAAGGTTCTGAAAACATGAAAAGGTACACAAATGTAAGATAACGTTTTACCATGAGTCTGTGTGTTTGACTCTGCTGGCAACAAGCTGAGCACCGAGGGATGGGGGCAGCAGGACAGGCAAGGGGGCAGCAGGACAGGAAAGGGGTCGGGTGTGCTCACAGCCAGTTTGTGGGGAAAGGGGACCTCACAGGGAAAAACAGATGGTGCAGCACCAGGAAGGCAAGCAAGAAGTGTCACATATGTTTAAGATAATACACTCTGGGTCAGGCAGACCTGAATGCAGAGCCCCTGCTCTTTTAGTCATGTAACCTACTCTGAGCCTCAGTTTCCTCTTCTGGCAAGTGGGGCTAATGAGAGCTTCCCCATCGGATTGTCGAAAGGATTAAAGGAGGTCGTGTTGATAACTGACTTAGCATAGTACCTGGCATATAGTAATCACTTAAGAAATCCCATTATGATTAAACTGATGTCCATTGTGCTATGGAAACGTGTAAGTGCTGAATTCCAGGCACATGGTATGAACAAGTCAGGGATCAATAAATCCATAAGCAATGTCTCCAGCACATCTCAGTTTGTCTCACAGACCCTGACCCCCAGGGTTTTTAGTCTCTATTTCTCCCTTCATTTCTTTAAAATAAAAAAAAGTGAAGGCAAGTTCTCTTGGGTACAGGCACATTTCACACTGAAAGGAACCCTTACCCCCTCAGCGGCCACCTGCCCATGGCCCGCAGCCGCTTCAGGACACCCCTAGGAGGATGCAGAGGTGGCCACCTTGCCTCACCCACAATGGACCTAGTCACTTGGGCCTAGATCCCAAGACAGCCTGCCTTCCCGGCCACCCATAACATGAGCCGAGAGGACCGACCACACAGCTGGGGACTGTGACTAAATGCCGGGAGGGAACCAGGGAAGGCTCTGTGCTGGCCACATGTCGGGAAGGGAGACCTTTATTGCAACCATCCCACGCTAATTGGTCCTGGGCTGGGCAGTTTTCCCATAAAGATGAGAGGACTGAAAGAAGCTCACCAAAAACCACAGCCCGTAGTGGAGGCAGCTGCTGAGGCGAGTCTGGCCGTAGCCACCTCAGAGTAGGGAACCGAGTGAGGTGCCTGGAAAAGGAGCCAGAGAGCGGCCAGGAAACGATCCGTGCCCTGGCTGAGAAAACCAATCAATCAGGCTACAAGTGTGCATTGGGCGCTCGGCACGGGACAGCCACAGAGAAGCCTGAGAGACTGCAGGAAGTCTAGACTGCTGCCCAGGCGCGGCTGGAGCCCACCGGGCAAAGACACGTGGTGCAGGAGGAAGGGTGAGTGACACTCCCAGGCCGCTTCTGCCCAGGGCCACACAGACAGGGCAGGAGGCAGTGCTGGGACTGCCCTGACAAAGTGCCACAGACAGGGCAGCTTACTCAACAGAAATGAACTTCCTGAAGGCTGGAAGTCCAAGATCAAGGTGCCAGCAGGGTGGATGTCTCATGAGGCCTCCCGCCATGGCTTGCAGTTGCCCCTCTTCTCCCCATGTCTTCACATGCTTTTCCTTCTATGTGTGTCTGTGTCCATGTGTGTCTGTGTCCAAGTTTCTTCTTTTTATAAATCCAATCATATTGGAGTAGGCCCACCCTAATGGTCTCATGCTAACTTAATCACCTCTTTAAAGACCCTGTCTCCAAATGCAGTCACATTCTAGAAGTACAGGAGACAGGGCTTCAACACATGAGTTTTGGGGGGACCCAACTCAGCCCATAGGATTTCAGCCAAGAGACAGGTGGGCTTCCGGGGTTAGGGCAAGGCCCTGAGGGCGTGGTGGGATATGGAGAGTAGACGGGGTGGGGAGCGGTGCAGGAAGTGCTCCAGGCTGGAGGAAGGACTGTCCCCTTCTCTCCTGCAGAACAACTCCTCCCCATTGTCTATCTCGCCTGCCTGCCACACATTCAAATAGAGAAGAATGTGGGCCACAGGTGAGGTGGGAGTGACAAAAGCCAGGGAAATAGGAACCCGAGAGAGACAACTTGGAGATGGCAGTGGGGACATTTGAACTCCTGCTGCTTGGCCACAGCATGGTGAATGAACTACAGCTGCGTTGAGTTGTAAAGCCCAGGAGCAATGAGCCACGCGGAGTAAGATTCCATGGCTGCCAGTAGGGCCTGTCCCCCCAAAAATATTAGCTCCACATGCCTTTCCTTAGGACTTTAACCCCAGTTCAATACTAAATGACTAAATACCCAGAGGTGGGGTCACATTTTAATTCACCATGAGCCCTTTAGATGTCAGTGCTAATGGGCATGTTTGGGGATAGCGGAAGTGGGATATATAAAGAGACTGCACCTCTGAGCAGGGTTGGAAAGCAAGGTTCTCTGCCTGCCTCTCCACGGCGCCTTGTTTGCCTGTCTTCCTCATTAGAACCTAAGTTCCGTGAGCCCAGGACTTAGCCTTGCTTCTCACTCTGCTTCCAGAGCCCATGACATGCCTAGAACATGGTTGACAAGCAAGAAATAGTTGTTGAACAGATAAATGAACAGGCTAATGAATAAACTATGTAGAAAGATACTTAAGCACTCGACAAGTTCATATTCTAGATGTAGCCTCATCAGAGAGGCAAACACATTCTTGGGTTGATGTGGTCTATGATCAGCCCTGCCAGGAACGACGAAGAAACATGTACCCTAACGTATTCACCGAAGACTCCAAACTAACACAAACTTATCTCAAATTATCAGGGAACCAGATCATCTACAGCAACCAGAAGCAGCTGTGAACCTCTGTCCCTGTAGTGGTAAACACAAGGGTATGGTCGGGAAGTCAGAGCTCCTCCTACAGTCCATGGAGCATCCTAGAAGATTTATAAGAATAAAGAAAGCAAGTTACAAAGCCGAGGCCTCGTGGCTTCAGAAGACACATTAAATAACAAGTCCCTTCGGCTGCTAAACACAGAGCCAGCATTCTCTTCCTGCCGGCTTTCAACACGCACACCTGAAAATCCTTCAGAACAACCGCAGCCCCAGCTCTGGTGCCTGCTTGCCTTGCCAAGAAATCAGAAGCTGCAGGCAGTGGGGGATGGGATGGAGAAAAGAGAGGAGATTCCTGCAGAAAAAGACTGGGCCAATTAGGAACAATTGCAAAAGCTTTCAGACCAGGCAGAGGCTGGCCCTCTCCTGCACATACCAGATCACTCTGTCTCCCTCTTCCACGTGGATGGATATAATTCATAACAGATTTTACGTTTACAGGAACCAGGCTGGAACATTTTCCACGCTGACTTTTCAGGCTGGTGACAACTAAGTATCTTAAGAACCTCTAGAGACAGAGCTGATGAGATACCGCTATTTCCTCAGCCACTGCCCTACCTGCTGGAGAGCCCCGTGACTAACCACCTGTTCCTATTTCCTGACCCACCTGGCGGGAAGGCAAGAGACGAGGGCAGAGCAGGGCTGGCCCTGGGGCCTTTCGCCTACCAAGCCCTCATTCTCCAGCCCCACTCTCTGTGCCCGCTAGCACATACCATGAGAGGATGCATCTTCATTTGTGTGGGACCGTGACATTCTGATGAAAGCCGGGGGGGGGTCTGTCCCCAGAAAAAGACGCAGACAACTTTTGTTGGTATATATTGTTAGCACGTCTTCAAACTGAACTATGCATCAGAATCACTGGGGAAACATTTCTGATTCCCGTGCAGCCCCTTCCCACACTTGTGGAAATAGAATCTCTAGAGAAGGCAGCCCAAACTTTGTGTTTAAGAGACCATTCCCGGTGCTTACCAGATCAGCGGGACACAGACCTATGAGCAGGTGTTAGGGAACCTCTGCATAGGGACTCATGCCCCTCAGGCGAAGGAGCTCTGTTCTCCTACAAGGTCAGGAAGGGAAGAAAACTTTCTTTTTTCTTTTTTTTTTTGAGCCAGGAATTATGTTAAGTGGCTTCCCTAAATTAACTCATTTAATTTCATTTTCATAGAAATCACGTCAGGGGGCTGGGCATGGTGGCTCACGCCTATAATCTCAGCACTTTGGGAGGCCGAGATGGGAGGATTGTTTGAGGCCAGGAGTCGGAGACAAGCCTGGTCAACATAGTGAGACCCCATTTCTATTAAAAATACTAAAAATAATAATTTTTTAAAAACAAAATAAAAGATCATCTGGGGGAAGTGATATCCCCATTTAAGAGGTGAAGAACAGAGGCTCAGAAAGGTTAAGGATTACCTGGCATCCGGTGGACTAAGGACCGAAACCAAGACCACCTTCTTCCAAAGTCCTCTCTTCCGAGGACAGCACCATCTAAACCCTGCCTGCAAGATGTCTGCACACGCGCCCCTTCCCTGAGCCGCTGCAGGGTGGGGTGTGCCTTCATCAGGATGGCCGTCATCACAGTGTCATCGTGGACCACTTCCTCTTTCCCCTACCTTGGACTCAGGGATGCTCAGGCGCACATCCCAGTCACCTTGCAGTACACAGTCCCTAGCACACTTCCAGTCCACAGTGAGCACCGGACAAATGTTCTGTGGAGGAATTAGACAAAGGAAAGGAGAGAGTGTAGGGGTAAGCTCACCACCTTCTCCCTATAAAAGCTTCAGAAGAGAAGTCATTTCCCCAAAGTAACTTTACATTTTGTAACATCAATACTATAAGATACCAGCGACCCCCGACAGGGCTCACCAATATGCAAAGAGACTGTGAAATGGCTACAAATGTGAGTGGATTTCGATTTAAGGTGGTTTAGGAGGGGGAAAAAAACCCCATAAGGAGAGATTTGGGAAAGGCATTGGGAGAGGGGCCTCGTAGAAGCAGAAGCAGAAGAAACCATCAGCATACCCACCCCAGGGTGCATGAACCCATCACTGTAACAATGTCATGTTCTCACTCACACAACGGGGAGCCTGTGTTTGGCTTTCACCAGTATTACCTGATTTGCTCACACAATTTTATGGTGGCTGTTCTTGCTTGAATATTACTGAAGAAGATTACATGGGTTCAAGGTTGGTACCGTCATTTTTTTTTTTTTTTTTTTTTTTTGCAGACAGAAACTCACACACAATCTCCCCAGTTCCCTCCCGATGTTAAAATCCCTTCTCCAATACCTCCCACAGCCACCCAACCTCTCCTTGAATGCTTTCAGGGATGGAGAACTCCTGGCCTCTCAACATGTTCCATTTCTGAAGAGCTCCCTATTGAACCCATACCCTCCACCCACTGGTCGGAGTTCTACATTAATGAGTAATCCAGAATCAGTTTACCCCCACTCTGCAGGACCCCCTTAACACACATCTTGCCTGCATCCTCCAGCTGTTCCTCTGGGCCAGAGACAGAGTGTCCTTGCAGTCCATTACTTACCCTCGCTAAGCTCCAGTGTTCTCATCTATAAAAGGGTAATAACAGTAATATCTACCCCATGGGGTTATTGTGAGGATTCAGTAATGAGCTGTAAAAAAACGATATCGTGGATGTGGGTCCCCTGGCCTACAATAACTAGAATATTATTGCTCTTCTTTTTCTTGCCCTGGCCTACACACTACTCACTATTCTGTGGGTGCAGCATGGAATTGTGTCATATTTGTAGCAGTTCTGATGGCAACAAGAATAAAATAAAACACCTGGATTTGTTTTCATGGGCATGACCCTCAAATCTGCGCTCCCCTATTACGCCTTTCAGCAACTGAGTTTTGGAACCTAACATCAGGCTCAAATGTTTTCCTGTTTGTTTCAGCTCGCCGTGTCAGTCTGCTGTGATCATGTTGATCTTAACTCTGTCCCCACACTGAAGGCCTGGGTGCTGCCCCTTCCAGCTGTCTCTCCACTTGTATCTTAGAGATTCTCTAAATAACTTCAAGCATGAGCCCCAAGACTAGAGACTCAGGAACTGCCTCTGTGAAAGGACTGCAATTCAGCTGAACATTTTCTGGATGAGGAAACAGAGGTGCAAAGATGTCAGTTGGCTACAGGAAATAACAGAGGTAGTAATGATCATTGTTACCGCCGTCACGGACTGGGCTCTCCTGTCCACAGGCACTATGCTACATGCTTTACACAGGGGTCTTCCCCAGACTGTAACCCCCCAGAAGAAAACATTTGAGTCTGATATGTAGGTTCCAAAACTCAGTTGCCCAAACACGTAATAGGGGAGTGCAGATTTGAGGGTTATGTTCATGAAACAAATCCAGGTGTTTTATTTTATTCTTGTTGTCATCAGAACTGCTACAAATATAACACAATCCCAAGCTGCACCCGTCCCCAGAGGGCAGGATGCGTGGCTGCAGTATTCAGCACCCCATACTCTGCACTCAGCTCTGTGCCAGACACACACTAGGGACTCAACAAACACTTGCTGAACAACCATTTGACATTTCCAACAACCCTCATTTTGAAAATGATAAAAACTATACTTTAAGAGATTAAACAACTCACTCTAGGTCCCCAGCTGATTCTGGGACACGCTGTGATTAGAACCCAATCTGCCTGGCTCCAAAACCAGCCCCTCACTTTACGGCCTCCCTATCAGCAAAAATGTTCTAGAACGCAGCGCACTGGACAGTCTCTCAGCATTACATCTGGGAACTGAGCCACTGTAGTCACATGCCCCAAACTTATATCTAAACAAGAGAAGTGGGGAAAACCTACCAAGACCTAAAATATCTTTGAGCAGAGAAGATCCTTTAGCCTCTGCTCCCAAAATGACTCACTTTCTGGTTCCATTCTCCCACTGACTCATCCTGCTGGGACATTTCGCTTCCTCCAAAGCAGGAGGGCTCCATGCCAGGCTTGCCAGCACTCAGGCCCTGCTGGGCTTCCTAGCAGAAGCCAGTTCCAGGGAGGAACAAGAACCAGAGCCTCTGTATCCTAATGCTTTCCCCACCACCCCTTTGGCCTTTGCCAGACACCAGGGAAGAAAGAAAGGGTTCTTTCTCTTCATCTACACTTAAGAGTGTGTGGTGTTTCTGTGTGTAGGTATGTGTTTATACTTGCATGCGTGTTTACTCAGAATGAAGGCTTCATCCATCCATCTACCGTGTGCTCAACCTTACAACAGACACTGTTGGGGTTACAGGGAACGAGAAGACGTGCTCTCCATTCTAGCAAGTATGAGCAAAGACCTGAGTGAGGCTGCTCAGGAGGCAGTTGGAGGGCCTGCCTGGCCAAAGGATGAGTGGAGAAGGAAGGGCCTTGAGGACCAAGCTCAGAAAATTTTGATTTTCACCTGTCAGATGAAGAGAAATGATCAAAATTTCATTTGAAGCAGAGAAAGAGCATGGTAGAAGCTGATTCTTGGGAGATCAATCTAGCAACGGTGTGTACAGTGGTTTGGAGGCAGGAAGGCAAGAGCTCTTCCTGAGAGCAGGCTAGCATCCAATGAGCGTGGAGCAAGCATATATCCATTGAACAGCCAAATACTCATTTGTGGTCATTATTAGGAAACTTTGTTCTTTTTCGAGCTACTCTTTGCCAGTCTCCATTTTCCAACTTCACTCATGTCTGTTCCTTCCTCTGGACATCCTTCTTTCTAAATCTCTTCCAACTTTGAGACTCAGGTCTGGAGCCAATATTCTAGCAGCATTCCACTAATTGCAATAATATTTTCTAACGCAATAGGGGTCTGGGTCAATGTTCAGTATTCAGAGCCCGGAGTTTCTGTGGTGCGTATTAATCACGCATCGAGTGGGGCAAGGGGCTAGATGACTTCAAAAGTCCTTCCAACCTTAGAGTCTATGGGTCTAGGGTGCTAACTCCACTAACAGGTTGGTATGTTTTCCTTTCATTAGACAACTTACTTGTTCAGGAACATGGCTAAGACCAACCTATCATCAGCAGGTCCAGGGAACACTTCCTAAGTCTGTGGCAATGCATACCTCCTCCCCGACTTACTTCTGTGCTGAACTCCCAGCTCCACCTGGCAGGATGCCTGCCACAGCCATGAGTGCCTGGAATCACAGAACACTGAGAGTTTTATAAAAGACTGGATTCCAAGTCATCAAACATTCATTTTAATGCCTGTTTATCCATTAAATAACTATTAGGTTGTTCTAAGTACAGAAAAGACCGCCATCACATCTATCTCCTCTTTTAAATTATTTATTTATTTATTTATTTTGAGACAGAGTCTTGCTCTGTCAACCAGGCTGCAGTGCAGTGGTGCAATCACGGCTCACTGCAACCTTTACCTTCTGGGTTCAAGCGATTCTCCTGCCTTAGCCTCCTGGGTAACTGGGACTGCAAGCGCCTGTCACCTCAACTAGCTAATTTTTGTATTTTTAGTACAGACAGGGTTTTGTCATGTTGGCCAGGCTGGTCTTGAACTCCTGACCTCGGGTGATCTGCCCGCCTCGGCCTCCCAAAGTGCTGAGATTAAAAGCAAGAGCCACTGTGCCCAGCCTATCTTCTCCTTTTCTTCTCAGGGTCTGTGAATTTGTACGGGGGAAGAAATCACAATCACGGGTCCTGTTAATAATCTGGTACTCAAGCGGTTCCAAAGGCTCCCGAGTGGGAACCCGGTCATGAAGGAAGTCGGAGAGTCTGTCCTGGGGCCAGGAAAGGAAGGCATTTTCCAGGAGCAGAGAGGTGTTCACAGCCTTCTGTGACACCCCCACAAGGGGCCCAGACTCCAGGTCTTAGCGACCAGCTCTCCAGACACAGGAGCATTGATACCACAAGACAACTGCTTAGACTCCTGCTCAGATCCTGTAGCAAGCCTTCTGCAGATCCCTGGATTGTCGGAAAAACATAATCCTACATGCAGCATCAACTCTGAGTTAGGTTCATCCCATGCAAAAAGCAAAGTCCATGCTTCCTACAGTTAGTGCATGGCCCCTTGAAGAAACTCAGCAAGTGCTAGCTCCCTTCCCTTCTCGATAGCCAGCCGCTGGCTCCTCCAAAATCCTCCTGGCATGACAACTCTATTTCCTCTCCTGTTAAACTGATGGATATTGGTGGCTACCAAGGACGGATACCCATTTGAAATAATCTGCTACTTCCCCAGCAAGCAACTTTCCTTTTAATAAGAGGCAAAGAGTCCATTCCTAAGTCCTGATATCCCTTCCTTGGAGAATCTGCTTCCTTCACTGTGTCCTTCCTTTTCTCTGCAGATCTGCAGTTTGAGAAGAAACTTGCAATTTGGAGATGCCTGCCCTTCTCCTAGCTCCTCACCTCCCTTGGTGTGTCTCATCTTCATGCTAGGCTTGTGGGAATCTCAGAGGGTTACATAGAAACACTGGAAATCAGCCACGGGCAGTGGCTCATGCCTGTAATTCCAGCACTTTGGGAGGCAGAGGCGGATGGATCACCCGAGGTCAGGAGTTCAAGACCTGCCTGGCCAACATGGCAAAATCCCATCTCTACTAAAAATGCAAAAATTAGGCTGGTGTGGTGGCAGAAGCCTATAATCCCAGCTACTTGGGAGGCAGAGGCAGGAGAATCACTTGAACCCAGGAGGCGCAGGTTGCAGTGAGCCAAGATCGTGCCACTGCACTCCAGCCTGGGCAACAGAGCGAGAAGAAAGAAAAAGAAAGAAAGAAAGAAAGAGAGAGAGAAGGAAGGAAGGAAGGAAGGAAGGAAGGAAGGAAGGAAGGGAGGGAGGGAGGGAGGGAGGGAGGGAAGGAAAGGGAAGGAAGGAAAGGGAAGGGAGAGGAGAGGAAGGAAGAAAGAGAGAGGGAGGGAGGGAAAGACAAGAAAAGAAAGAGAAAGAAAGAAAGGGAGAGAAACACTGGAAATCAGGCAGGGAATAATGAGAAGGGATGCTTTCAAGCTGTCTTTGAGGCAAGATCTGCTTGAACTGGATTCTGTGTATTTTTTATTTATTTAGGAAGTTGCTGTTTAAGTTGAGGTGGAGTGTCTCTCTGGCTACTTTCACTGCATATACAAACCCAGAGGAGAAGACGAACAACGGGAGCAGCTACCTGACAGGGATAGAGGCGGCTTGTATCGTCCCCTCTCCTGGTTGCTAAGCACCCAGAAATTCACGAGCAGCCTTTGATAGGAGAGAGTTACAGGCAAGGAGAGATGCTCATCCACAGAAGGGCTCTCTGGGTGTTGGGAAGGCAGCCTGGGTAAAAAGTGCTCTCCAAGCTGGCTGGGAAAATCTGGATGGAAAGGAAAAGGTGCCCTGTTGCTCTGCACCTTATGCCATCAGACACCTATTGATTAAGCCGACCTGGCCATGGGTGGAGGGGTCACCCTCCGTAGACTGATGGCCGATCCCACCACAAATGCTGAGTTCTGGAATCATGAGAAGTTCCCCCTGAATGTGCCTTGCTAGCCAATGCCAATTCTTCAGTGATGGTAAAGACGGTCCAAAAGACTCACCACCAACCATGAAAGAAGATGGGTCAAGTGATAGCATTGTCCTCGTGTATCCCACTTTCAGTATAAAATGGAATTCCAGTTCTCTGGGGTGATGGACATGTAGCCATTGTTTAGAGACTCGGGGAGGAAGGTTTCTGCTCCGGGATTTTATGTCCTGAAGCGCTCGAGAATGCTATGCCTAGGAATTTTAAAGGACGGGATTGAGTTGGAAGCATTTCCTGTAATGCCACATGCACAGAGAACCCCTAGGAACAGGTGAAGCACTTGCTGCCCCCCAGCTCCAACCCCCCCAATAGGCCCTAGCTGACATGGAAGGAAGCTTGACCAGGGCTGAAGGCTCTCTGCTTTCAAGCCTAAACTCAGTTCTACCCTTACTTGACTTCTCCATCTTCTCCCCAAGCGGCCAGCAGGACCCTTTAAAAACGTGAGTCAGACTATACCTCTGCTTACAGTCCTCCAGGGCTGCCCATCTCATCCAGGGGAAAACCAAGGCCCTGAAAATGGTTTCTAAGACTCTGCCTGGTCTGCCCCTGCAACCACCTCTCTAGGCCCGTCTCCTACCATCTTCCCCACACGGGCTCCACACCAGCATCCCTACCTCACGCACTCCAGCCTTCTGCCTGGCCTGCTCCTCTCCAGCAATTTCTCACCTTCTCAAGAGTTTGCTTAAATGTCACCTCCTGAGCCTGCTTACCCTATTCAAGATTGCAAACCCAAATTCCTAGCATCCTCTAGCATCCCACCCCTCTAGCATCCTCATGTCCCTGTCCTGCTTTGCTTTCCTCCATAGCCTGTATCATCCCTGAACTAAATATATAGCACACCAATTTGTTCACTATCCATCTTCCCCCATTGGAATGTAAATTCCAAGAATGCAGGGATTTTTATCTGTTTTGTTCACTGCTGAACCATCAGGATGTTAGAACGATACCCAGCATATAGCAGGAACTCAATAAATACTTGTTTAATCAATTAATTAAAGACCTATCCTCCTTTGCAAGGGACCAACTCATTACTTTGAAAGCCGGTAAGTGATGAGAAAGCACCTGTCCTGCTTTTTCTGCCACATGGTATTTCAGGGTAACCAAACTGTTGATGAGAGAGCGTTCTTCTTTATAGAAGAATTCCAGCTACTCAACGCAAAAGGAATGACAGAATCAGAAAATGAGCATTTCAAGCCCTAATGAAATAATGGATCTGGGCAACAATCGTCAATGGATGTGAAAACCATCAGGGGAAAGGCTGATGGGGCCTCAGTAATAGATGAAGGATGAGGCTGCCAATCCCGGAGCCCACCCACCCATCTCAGTGTCACAACAGGAAGGGGCATAACCACAGCTGGCACATCCTTGACCCTCCCTTCAAAACAAACGGAACCTGAATCTAACTCCGAGGTCACAGAAAACATGGAGGATGAAGGAATAAATTAAGGGACAATAAGGAAGCAGCCAACCAAATCAAAATGAGGGACATTCTGCAGGACAACTGACCTAGTTTCTTCAACAAACAAATGACATGCAAAATGGGAGGGGGAACAATCATAGATAAAAAGAGATTTACAAACCTACAAGCAAATGTAATGTGTAGACTTTATTAGAATCCTGATTCAAACCAACCGGCAAAGATATTTCGACATAATAAGGGAAATTTACATATGAACTGAATATTAGATGATGTTAAGGATCTCTTGCGTTTTACTGTTATTGTTGTCTGGAGTGATAGAGGCATTTGGTGATATATATTTTTTTAAATCTTGTCTGTTAGAGATGCATGCCAAAGTACAGCTGACCTTGAACAACACAGGTTTGAACAGCGTGGGTCACTTACATGTGGATTTTCTTCTGCCTCTGCCACCCGAGATGGCAAGACCTAGCCGCCCTCCTCCTCCTCCTCTTCCTACTTCTCTTCCTCAGTCTGCTCAATGTGAAGACAAGGAGGATGAAGACCTTTACAATGGTTCACTTCCACTTAATGAATAGTAAATATATTTTACCTTCCTTAGGATTTTCTTAATGACATTTGCTTTTCTCTAGCCTACTTTATTGTAAGAATACACTAAATAATACATACAACATACAAAATATGTGTTCATCGACTGTTTATGTTATCAGTCAGGCTTCAGGTAAACAGTAGATTGTTAGTAGTTAGGCTTTGCGGGAGTCAAAATTTATGTGCAGATTTTTGACCATCCAAGGGTCAGCATCTCTAACCCCCATGTTGTTCAAGGGTAAACTGTACTTACAGGTGAAATTATATAATTGCTGGAATTTGCTTCCAAACATCCCAGAAAAGAAAAAAAAATCTTGAGGGAAATAGATAAAACCAAATCAGCAACTGTTTATAACTGTTGAAGCTGGAGCACGGGAACTCATTATCTATGTCTCTTTGATTACATTTGAAATTTTCTGTTATAAAATCATTTTAAAATATAAAAACTACCTGTCTTATAGATGAACTTAATGAGGTTAAAAAAATTCAAAGTACCTAGAATAGTTCTGAGCACCCCATCAATTCTGGTTGGAGGTCAAGTACTAGCAGCTGAAGAGCTGCTCATTTTATGACTATAGGGACTTGCTTTCCCTTCTAGAGAAAGCACCTCTGCCTGCAACAAAGCCCAGGCACTGGTGATGTCTAGAGTTTTCTCTCTTGCCTGAGAGCCCTCGAAGGCTGGCCACCATTTATCTGGGATACCACTTCCCTTTTCCATGCAAAGCCACACATGTCCCTCTCGTCTGCCTCCTTCCCCTTGGGCAGCTCCTTCGCCCCTTAGATGTTCTTTAACCACAACTAAACATATTATGTAATAAATCTGTGAACTTGTGTGGGAAGTATTAAAACTCGCCCTTTGATGTCTGCTGCTGATTCTAAGGGGGAAGGGGGCTAATTTTTCTTAAATTCCAGGCCCTTAAAAGGTAGGTAATATTGTCCCTGATTCCCACATGAGGAAACAAAAGTGCAGAGAGATTGGGGAAGTTACCAAATCACAGGGCTCCCCATCATCATAGCAGGACACATCTGGTGCCTACTTTGAGTCAGGCACAGTTCTAGTAGTAGGTACTATAGTTAGCCCCGTTTTACTGATCAGGGAACTGAGGCACAGAAAGGTTAAGGAGCAAGCCTAGTGGTGGTGGCAGTGGGGCAGTTGTGGTGGAGCAGGTGGGGGTAGGGCTTGAGCTGGATCCTGCTACTGAGGAGAACAGGCTCAGGCGGGGAGAAAGGGAGTCCCGCTCCCAGCAGAAGATGGGGATACAGGGTGAAAACACACACTGCACATAGAGCATGCATCTCACTGCACCTGGTATCAACAAATGGGGTGATTATACATCTCATAGATCATAAGTAAGGTGACCACATGTCCCAGCTGGCATGGGCCAGTCTTTGTTCCCACATAATCTGCCGCCTTTCCTTCTCAAATGTATCCCAATTTGGATGATAAATTGTATGATCACCTTCCATCATAAGCTCTTGTGGGGTAAGAAAAGCACATGATAGCCAATTAATACCCGTTGAATAAAAGGTTAATGAATTTCTTTCCTATGGTGACAAACCTTCCTGGAAATGGAGAACTGACTAAGTAATGGTCTCTGCAGTTTCCTTGGTAACTCTCTAATTCTGTGACCCACAACCCTTTCCTAACTTCTCCCCTCAGACTTAAATATCCACTCTGCCCCCAGTCCCCTCCATCATCCCACTACATCTCTCAGGGCAGTGAAGTGGACCTGGGTTAGGGCCAAACACGGAAACTCCTGCACTCTTCCTTTGTCACTCTTAAGTAAGAGACACCGCCGGACACACTCATCCCACTGCTTCCCTCGCTCACAGTAAGCCCTGCTCTCTCCTGGACAGACGCCAGTCTCCTGTCTGCAAACGTCCCTGCCATTCAGAACTCAGTCCTTCCTGGTGAATCCCCCTCCCAGCTCCTCACCAACTCTGCTGTCCACTGCCACTTCTGGTCCCATGAGGCCCCAGCCAAGGCTGGCCAGTCTCCCTGGACCCACCCTATATCCGTTCTCCACAGACAAGGTCCATCAGGGTAAGTCTATTCCAGTTTTCTCCAATCTTGGCATTTTGCAGTATCTAATTAGCTTCATTCCCTTATTTGTGCCTCATCTCCTTTCTGTGACGTTAAGATAATCCCGTTTCCCTAATCCTATCACTATTCTGGCTTATTGCCAGGAAAGACTAGCTATCTTTATGAAGTCAGAGATAAAGACAAGAGAAAGACGGGAGCCTTATCTTAACGTTGGATGCCATCTTCCCAACTTCTCCGTGGGTCCTCCTTTCTTCCTAATGTAGGATATTTGGACATATTATTTTAATACTTGCATTTTGAGCTCTTCAGAAGAAAAGCAGACATAAAATTGTGAGATTATCATAATTAGTAATATTAATTTTTAGAGCTAAGATAATTTGGGTTTGATTCATTGCAACCATATGGCACTTATTGGACAAGCACATTACTACTTAATTAGAGGACCAAGAGCTCCTGGTGATGTGACAAGAGTCTGGAAAGGCTGCCTTTTAAACTGACATTACAGCAGGATAGAGCCTCTGGCTCAGACTAGCAGAAACAGCCAGCGGCAGAGAGGAGCAGGCCTTTGGTTCTCCCAGGGCCCCTGTTGCTGAGGTGATAATGAGCTTTACTTCCCTGCGCTCAAGCTCCTGGTTGCTTCAGGTCCTGTGTGTACTGCCACACACAATGATTAGACTGCAGTCGTTAGGGTGGCACTAGCTGCTGCAGCAAACACACCCCAACACTGAGGCGGTTTCTAGGCACAATAGGAGTTTATTTATTGTCCACGGTCCAAAGCAGGAACAACCCTGCATTCACGCTCTCCCACAGCTCGGTTCAGAGACTGGTCTCTGTCCTCCCATAGGGCCCTGTGGTCATCTGCATACTGGTCTTCCCTCCTCAGGGCCATGGCATGTGCTGCTGCCTCTGTGCATAGTGGCCGTCCTCCCAGACCTATCATGAGTGGCTCTTTATCACAGGGTCACAGCCCAAGTGGAATTCCCTCGGGGAGGCCTTCCTCTCCTCTGCTATCTGAGATAGTCGCATGCCCCTCTCCACCTGTTATCCTAGTTTCTTGAAAGCACTTACCCGTATTTGAAAGTCTGACTGACTTAGCTGTTTGCTTCATTTTTCCCTCTCTTCCTGCCATAGCACCAGCCTTGTCTATGCTATTCTTCACTGCATTTCCAGCATTTACAACTCCTGATGGGCACTCAGAAAATATTTGTGGGGAAAAGGAAGAGAGGGAGAAAACGAAGAAGGGAGGGAGGAAAGAAGAGAAAGAAGGCTCAAAGAGTTTAAGTGACATTCCTAAGGTTCCCTTCCCAGGAAATGGCGGAACCCTGTGGAGTCCCCACCTCCCCGTCTGTGAGCTTTTCCACCATGGACTCATCTTGACGGACTCCCTGCAGAATGCTCATCCCTCCTCGCACGTGGAGAGAACAGGCCCACAGAGAGCATGTGGGGATGGCGTGTGATCCACCCCACTCCCTTCTCCAGCCTCCTATCTGTGAGCTGGCTGGGGTGGGGGACTCAGGCGAACAAAGGTCCAAGGCTTAATCTCTACGGGGCCAGTTTGCTCAGTTCCAAGGCAAGTCCTGTTCCATCAGACACTCCTCTCACTCTGGCCAAACAGCTACAGACTGTATCGCCCTGACAGGTCAGGCTGCCCCTGCCCTTCCCTGGCCTTCAGAAAAGATGTAAATTAACTTTCCAGACCCGAGTCCACCTCACCTATTCAGGGATCCGCCAGGTAAAAGATGTTCTCAGCAATCCAGCCCCACACGTGAAAAGCCATCCACGGTAAAGGAACCACAGGCTCTGAGGCCATCTCTCCCTGCCACAGGGCACTGTGCAGATGGGAGTGCCCAAGCACAGGGACAGACCAGCCCTTCTCCCTGCCTCCAAGGGCAACACATACCCTCCCAAGCAGCAGGGGTGGGTCCCATTCTCATGCCCACCAACCCCTGCCTCAGGGCCCCTGCAGGCCTGGAGTGCCCTCCCTAGAATCTACGGGCCTAGGAAGCAGACCTCTAATGCGTATTGTGGTACGTACTGAGGTAACGTGTCCTCAACTTCCTTGCTTCCCAGTGAACGTGGGAGAGGAAAGAGAAAAAGCACAGGCAGAAGGAAACAGCTCAGGTCCCCACTCCATGGCCTACCAGCCCAGGCTTCTAGACACACTCTGCACTCCCCAGGGAGCAGGAGCCAGGAGACTTCCACCTCAACTCCCTCACTCTTCAGTTGGAACATAATGTCTTCACAAGGGTGACTCACTATAGCAGTGAAAACTGACTAATTATTTTGATCTTCTTGAAGTCAATTGCCTCATTAGTGAATATTCTCCATCCTGGGCCAAGACCCAGTCTTGCAGTCAAACTTGGCTCAGTCAACCAAGCATGAAGTGGTGGGACAGCCTGGCCTCTCTCTTTTCTTTAGGTCATGCTTAAGGTCTTCTCTCTCTTGCTCTAAAATGGACATTTCCCTCTAAAAACCAGTGTCTGATCTCAGTCACGGCAGGTAAAGCAGAGTAGAGGGCTTATCCCCCTTTTTTCATAACCCTGATCATGCCAAAGCCATGACACCATGGAAAAAGAATAAGATGGCAAAAGTTCCACTATCCAAAAATGCAAAGCGTCCTTTAATGACTCAGACCTGGCCAAGCTGAAATCAAGCCTGAGATTCACAGATTTAACTGTTGGCCATGGTTGGACATGAGGCTTTCATCTCCTAAGCATCTACTATGAGCCAAACATGAGGTTAAGTGCTGGGGATAAAGGAGTGGAAAAAACCAGGCAGAGAGCCTGCCACAACTGACAGGGGAGCCTCCTGTTTCAGGGGAGCCAGCCCTGCTCTTCTGTGTCACTCTCCCTCAACCCCTCAAGCTCACCTCACCCCACTCTTCTGCTGTCCACAGTCCCCAGATGGAGCACCAGAAGTAGGTAATGTGCTCCTCAATCAACCTGTTCTAACAGAATAGGCCTTCACAAATAGGAGAATTCTGGAGGCAATGCTGTAACACATATGAGTTACATCAATGGCAGAAACTTCAGGCCCGGAGTCAAGGAGGCAGGAGACACACTCAGAAAAGGCCTCACAATGCCCTCAAATAGTAGGAGCAGAGTCCACACATAGGCCTGATTCCACCAGAACCAACAAACAGAGGCTGGCAAATGCCAGCCGTGACCTGACTTGAAGGTCACATGCTGCGACCACATGTTCCACTTTCTGGTATTTCTGCCAAATCCAATTCAGTGACCACAACATGACAGAAGAGAGAGACCTGTTATGGAAAGGTACACCATGTCTACAAGCTTGGTTTGCAGCGTAGAAAAGCCACACAGCCAAGGAAGGGGCATGAGCAGGTGCTTAGACTTGGGCCTTCCTGAGGACAAGCATGTTTTCTCAATCATGCTGGTGAATATCCTCAGGCCAAGCTCAGATGCCTAGCAAATATCTGAAGTGATGTACTCACACGTTTCAGATTGGGAACAGATCAGAGAAAAATTTGAGAGCCATATAAGACAATATCATTTAGTCAGCTCTGAGTAAAATGACATTCATCAAAGTAAAAAGCCGTGCAATCCTGGGTAGAAAGCCTTGGTTTACAGTTCACTCAAGCAACAGCACACAAAAATTATATTGCTGCCTCTCCAATTCCTAAAACCTGATGTTTCACGAACTGAGTGCGGGATCGATTTACAGAGGTGGTGCACTCAGCTACTTTCAAGCACTAAAGGACCTGAGCTCTTAACGAGGCAAAGCACAGAAAAATGTGTCATGCTGAAGGCGAGCGGCTGGACTTTGGATCCCCTCCCCAGCAAGGACAGGTGTTGCTGTTCAGTGTGTCATCACAGTCTCTGACTCACACCAGGGCAGAGCAGGAACTCTTTGCTCTCCAGGAAGCCTTAGAAAGGGTAGGGCATCCTGAGGCTCAGGAAGCCTCATTTTCCTATTGGTTCAGAAACAGGAAAGGATGAAACCAACATGCCCATCACACCACCACCAGCATCTCCTGAGGTTCTCATAAGACCATCATAGAATAGCTTCTCACCCTTCCCAATTTGGGTACACTTTGCAATGAATCCCTAGCATTGGGTTCTTGCTAGGCCCACCTCCACCTCTCTGAGGACTGAAAAAAAATCAAAGTCAGGTTAATAGTAGGCCATTTAAGATCACATAAAATGACCAAATACCTGTTGTGATACAGGAGGTCTGAAGGGAGAGCTGGAGAAATTCAAAGGCTGTTACCCACCCGTGGTGCATTCATTTGTGTTGTTTTGTGCCTCCATTACCTTAATCTATTCACAAGCCATAAAATATCACTAAATGGCATTTTTTAAAGCCTGGGCTTCAAGGGCTGTGTATAGTGCTCTGCAAAAAACAGCCTTGTGGGAACTCCTGGCTACAGTAGGACCAAGTAAAGTCATTAATGGGAAGATCGGAATACTAGAGCCATAAGAGACATTAATGATCATCTAGTTCAACCCCTCATCTTCCAGAGGACAAAAACTGAATTCTGTTTCCCCATCAATCCCCTATCTTTCTACCTCTTTTGATTCATCCTTCATACAGATGCCCAGCAATGTTTCTAAGAACAGTTGTGATCATTTTACTCTTAAGATTAAAGCTCTCCATCACAGCCTTCAGGATCTAGTTCAAATTCCTTAATATAACCCAGAAGGCTTTTGATGATCTGACCTCTGCCTTTCTTTAAGCTGTGCATATTTCCATGCCCCTGTAACACACGCATGCACACATGTACACAAACACTCCCCCCCACACACAAACTGACCTACTTGCAGTTCTTGAAATATCCATTGTGGGAGTTTTGCTTCCAATATCTCAGAGTAGTGTATATTGGACCTATCATCTGAACATAACTATTACTTAGCAAAAAATTAAAAATACCTATTTGCATGCACTAGAGAGCAACTCAAAGCAGGCAGAACCTGGGAGAAGGGAGCATTGGATGAGTTTCTGGGTTTCACAGTTTTTTGCTTGAGAGCAGAACCCAATCTGTAGTATATAGAGTGATTAGAAACTAGATAGAAATCTGCAGGATCAGAAGGGCAGCTGGAAAATGGAAGGAGCAAATGGTTGGGGCAGCTGGAAAATGGAAGCAGAAATCCCCAAAAGGAGAAAGCCTCAGAAGGGATGCTCCAAATTCTGCATATAAACTCCATCCAAATCTGTGGCTGACTCCTGAGCTATACATGCATGGGGCAGATTCCAAGCAACCCATCTAAAATTAATAGAACTGATCAGAGATTTCAGCTTCTGCCCCCCATGGAGGAGATAGTTTGGTGTTTGAGTTCAGTCAAATTAAATGCCTGCTAAAATAAAAAGTCAACACTCTCCAGAGAAACATAATAGAATCCATAGTCTCTACACTAGACCATCAACAATGTCTAGAATATAATCCAAAATTACTAGACATAAAAATATGGCCCATACTTAATAGGCAATCAATGGAGACTGACTCTGAGATGAGTTAAATGTGAGAATTAGCAGACAAGGATTTGTCACACACAATGCTCTGTCATCCATGCCTTTCCCCTCACTAGATAACTCTCACTCATCTAATCTTAGGAATCAACTCCTCCCAGAAGCCTTCCCAGGGCACTTCATTCCTCCTGATCACTCAGGAACTTGTTATATAATTGTCTAGTTACTTACCTGCTTCCTTCTTCTGCTTTCTTGAGAGTAGGGAGTGGTTCATTTTTATCTATAACATCAATCAACAGCACAGGTTTGATGATAAACGTGGGTTGAATGAATGAAACAAAGAATGAAGAAACTGAGACTGATAAAAGCTTGAGTATTGTTGACTCATGGGTCGCCCTTTTCTACCTTGCTCACATTGTCTTGAAAATGCTTGGGTTCTTTTTCTGTTACTACGTCTGGTGTAGGTTATTTCTGTGGCAAGGAGGGCGCAGGCACTGCAGAGATGTGCTCACATCCTGCACACTCCCACACTCAGAAGCCTGCTGCCTAGTCTTCTCCCTGATCCCCACTTTTCCCAAGGTGAGTCTTATTCCTTCTTAGCATCAGTTCCAACGTGCCTACTAATCCTCTGCTTAGACTAGTTAACATAATTTCAGCTAACTTTTATTGAGTGCCTGTATGGTGTGAGGCAGGCACAATGCCAAGCATTTAACAAATACTAACCCATTTAGTCCTCCTAACAACGCTATGAGGGATACATTACATTGCTGCCATTTTACATATGACAAAACAGAGACTGTGAGAAGGTTATTTATAAAATTAGTAACCGATAAATTCCTTTGCCCACCATACTAGACAGAGAGCAAGACTTCAAGAGAAGCCCATTGTTCCTCATTGCTGACACTCCTTAGGTATCTCACTTCTAATTTAGAGGCACTTTGAATGGGGACAGTGTGTCTATCCACCATGAAAGTCCTAATAAACGCCCAAGGCTATATGAAGAATTGATCAGCCAATGTAAAGTTAACCTGAGCACATGCTGCTTGCCCATTATCTTTATGTTTCTCTTCCCTTCCAAAGGGGTGTGAGTGATAATCCCAAAGAATGACTACTGATGGTAGAGGCCTCTCTCTGTTCCTGACTGGAGCTGGTGAGGAGGGGGCCAAGCTGGAGGAATATGGGTAAACATGGCACAGAAGCCCATCATCCCAGCAGCACAGAATGTTTGCTGGGTCTAATGGGACTGGAAAGCTGAGGGCTGATGTAACACATTTCCCCAGAGATAATCAATCTTTGAGAAATCGCTGGAGCACTAATGGGATTAATGGATAAAAGACAAGTCTTTGAAGTTTCACCCTGTCCTGTTTCATCAAAAGCTATTTCTTCACTAACTACGTGCCCTCTGCACGTATGCCATTTCCATTATTTCTTTTTGCTCTCTGAGTATTTATTAAAGTTTGGCTTTCTGGTTTTCCTTTATCTTCTGGAATTCTTTCTGACTCTGAGAGTCAATGTTAAAACTCAGTTAAACACAATTGTCAAGACATGGGAGATCTGGAAGTCCTAAGTCTAACTAAGTCTAGCTCACCTACTGCACACTGTGTGCTAGAAACCTTTGCAAGTACTTGAACTTCAGGCTAATACACACACATACACACACACACACATATGGACTCTGTCCAGAAGTTGCTTGAAAGGTAATGTTCACTCACCATGCATTTTCCACTTAAACAGAAAGGGATCATCTTAAGCCAGGTTAAGTTCATCCAGGTTTCACTGTCTAAAGCTGGGCGATGTTCATCCCGCCATCTACCACTCTTTTAGTTGGTAAGATTGAGGTATCCAAGGTTAGGAAGTGACTTTCCAAGCACTCAAAGCAAGGCAGTTGGAAAACTTTGATTCAGACCCAAAGTCTTTCTTGGGTCTTCATTGCTTAGATCACTGAGCCACCCTCCAAATTTAATACTTGAGAAGGCTTCAGTTACTTAAACCCAGAGCAGCTAGAAAAAGAGAAGCAAGTACCACAGTGTGTCTGTTGCTTTTGGTAGTTCAGGGACAATCTGGAAAATCTCTCCTTAGCAAATCACCTCAAGAATGAAGTGTCTTGTTAAAATAGTTTCTTATCACTGGATTTGTTTCCTTTTTCACAATTTTGTTTAAAAGTGCAGGTTTACAATTGATTTATTTGCACTGGCAGGAAGCAAGAGCAGCCTGTTTGAATCACTCACCAGAAACCTAAGACTCTAGAGAGTCAACCCATGTTTTTGTAAGTCTTCCCAATTCCATAAATTATGGAACTCTATTAAAATGCTATCATGTGCACAATTAGTACTGCTAGTGTTCTTATTAGAACTAAAATGGTTTTCCTCAAATCATTACACTGCTTATGAAAATGATAAAGGCACTGTCTTAAAATGCAACCAATAGTTTACAAGTCAGAAAATGCTCACCAAAGGACTAGAAAACACACCCCTCTGCTTCTTTCCCCTCCCCACTTCAATGACGATGACTGCCACCATTGAGTGAGCTCTGACACTGTGTGTGCGCCATACCTGTATTATCTCACATATTCCTCCATTGCCTTGTGAGACTGGCATTAACTCCATGTTTCTGAAAAGAAAGTGGTACTTAACAAGGTGACTTGCTCAAGGCCACACAACTATTAAGTGGTAGGGCTAAGACTGAAACCCAAGTTTGTCTGATTCCCCAGTCTCTGCTTCTAAACACTACTCAACACTCCCTCATTCTCTTTTGTGACCTTCCTGATATTATGAAGACAAGTTTTTAAGTTACATTCAGGCAAATCAGAGGTGCGGGTGATAAGCCACAACAGCTTACCAGGCTGCAATATGGGGAGCAGAGAGAGACAGGTAAAGGCAATGAGCATCTCTTCGGCTTAGTCTACAATTAGTTCCAGAACTTTGAATTTGAAATGGACCTTAAAGATCATCCAGTTCAACTCTCATTTTACAGATATGGACTGAGCAACCCAGAGAGGCAAAGGGATTTGCCCTGGCAACAAAACCTGGTCTCTGGGTTCCCAGGTCTCCATGTTTTCTACGCCCTCCACAATGCCTCATTCAGTGAACCGTCAGCCTTCATGTGTACCCAGCACAGCCAGGCACTGTGAGAGAGGAAGGAAAGCAGACCCAGTGTCTGGCCCCAAAGAACACAGTCAGGATTATTGTCCATGAAGCAGTCATAAAATGGTGCAAGGGGATATTCTTAAAAGCCCCAACATGGATGACAAACAATGAGGTCACATACATTCTGGGAATGGAGACTCCGTGAAAGGAGCAGGGTCTTGCAGCAAGGAGGGTTTAGATAGAGGAGGGGAGGGAGGAAGCCCACTCCAGGCCCTAGGGATAGAAGAAGCCACGGCAAGGTGGCGGGCAGCTTGGTTTTCCAATTACGCAGCCAAACCTAAAGAAAGAAAGAGACGTCACTTTTGGTATCTACTCCACACGGGAACGTGAACTTTTTACTCCAGCTGGGTTATGGGACCCAGAGCCCGAGAAGCCAGCCTCGGATGCAGGTGGCTCCAGTTATGTTTTAGATCAGCCACAAATAGCCCTTGCTTTGTACAGGGCCGTGACCCCGCCGAGCCATCATCATCACTGGAATGCCTCAGAGGCCAAGGGAAACACATGCAGCCGCCAGAGCCGCTGCAAAATCGATCCAAAATCCAGGGAGCGGGGGAGGAGGGCCTGACTCAGCCATGGTCAACTCGCCTGCCAAAGTCTTCTGGCACCTGGACCATGCTGGAAGACGCTTCTGGATCCCATTCTTTCTGTGAACCTTCACCACTGAAAGCCATTTTCCTTACCCCCACTAGAAAACAGAAAAGTGTACCCAGGATGTACCCACCAGGGGGTGGTAAGAAAAGTCACACATCTTGTTCCTAGGCTATCAATAGCAGGGTGGAAGAAGCATCACAGATGACAGAAAAAAAAAAGGAGCGCTGGGTGTGGAGTCCAAAGATTACACCCTGCCTTGGCCATTTACTTACTGTATGAACCTGGCCTGGTGCCCAAGCCATTCCAGCATCCGCTTCCTTATCTTTGAAGTGAGAATACGAATACTGCCTACGTCACAAGGCTGTTGTGAGGCTCAAATGATGGATGAGAAAATGCACTGTCAATTTTAAAGCATTATACACATTTCAGTGGTCACTTTTTTTTTTTTTTTTTTGAGATGGAATTTCACTCTTGTTGCCCAGACTAGAGTGCAATGGCGTGATCTCGGCTCGGCTCACGGTAGCCCCTGCCTCCTGGGTTCAAGTGATTCTCCTGCCTCAGCCTCCCAAGTAGCTGGAATTACAAGCATGCACCACCACGCCTGGCTAATTTTGTATTTTTAGTAGAGATGGGGTTTCTCCATATTGGTCAGGCTGGTCTCGAACTCCAGTCAGTGGTCATATTTTCCATCAGGGAAGGCATATCCGTGGGTTTTCCATGTGCATGGGCAAATGAGGGGCAGAGATTATTCTAGTTTTAATGAAGACGTTCAAGAAGGCAATGGCTTTGTGCTGGTTCTCAATGGAGTGGTTCACAAAAGTATACCAACAAGGAAATTTCATCTCAGCAAAGTTCTCTGTTTAGGGCATGGATGTCAATCTGGAAACGGCAAAGCCACTACTGATGGTAACATCACTATGGGCCAGGCAGTGTCCCAGGGGTTTTGTATTCATCATCTCCAACTCTTCTTGTCAGGAAGGCAATTTCTCCCCCAGGCCTACTGTTCACCCCTCTGCTATTCACGGGGGCACGTCCTTTCCTCTCTCTGCCCCGTCTCTAGGTCTCCCTGTAGAAGGAGTAGCTATTATAACTAGTTACTCTCAGGGACATTCAGTGGGCAGGCTTACTGTGCCTCAAAGACACGGCCTCCTCCTTCTTTTATTTATTTTTTGTTTTGTGGCTGATAAGAAAAAATGGACCACTGCCCTCTGAACTTTGCTTGCTATTTCCCCCAACTTTCTCTTGTACCCTCAGCCTCCATGTGGAAGGCAAACGGGGCAGACTTGTTTCCCTAGACACAAAATCAGCATCCTCATCCAAGCAGGACTGATGGCTGGAGAGCTGCTCCTCAGAGCGGTTTAGGTTCAGCGGGAGGGGACAGGGAGGCCTCGAATGGGAGGGGGTGGTGGTCAGGTGCTTGTGGAGCTCATTAAGAAAGGGACAACCTCTTTGCCATTTGGATATTGTGCTTTGGGAGTAAGGTGTGTCCTGAGAGGCCCTGGAAGGGTAGACAGGTAGACAGGAGCAGTTAGGCCCAAAACTAAACCCTGAACCCCTAACACTCATAGCAAACCTGCATTTTTATCCCCATTCCTACAGATGAGAAAACTAAGACTTACTCGTAAATAAACTACCATTGTTGACCTTACAATCTGGCTGGAAACAGATAATTAGAACATATCACGAGAAACAGAACAGTTAAGTGCCAAGCTCTGGTGGAGGTTCTAAGTGCCAGAGGTCAGGATATATTTTTGAGTGCTTCTGCTTCCAAACATCACTCTTTCAAAACAAAACACAAAGATCCCCAACCAGCATTTCTGCCCCCTGAGGCACCAGCAAGGTATATAAACGGGCTTGCAAAGTTTGATATACGGTCTCCAGCCTGGCTTTCTTTAGTCTGGGCTCAAAAGCCAGAACCTCTGGGGGCCAGAGAGCGCTCTTTGTTTGCCAAACAGCATTCTCGCACATCCTGTTCTACAGCACCGTCAGTTTGGCTGTGCCCCAGAAAAGTGCAAGTGACTCTTACAAAGCAAGAAAGTAGGCCACAGTCCCCATCATTTTTCACGGCTTGAGGCTCCCATTCCCTCTAGATTCGTTTGCCTTGCCGAAGCATTTATCTCCGCTGCCATGGGCTCTGTGATGGGGTCTGGATTGCAGGGAGAGGTGACAGGCGGGGCCCCTGGCACAGCCACACCGGCACCTCCACCAGCCCTCAGCAAAATGACAAAGTGGGCCGACCAAGCTGGCGTTTAGAGCCTCACACCACTCTCTGTGCCCCTGCTCTGCCCCTGTCTGGAGCCCTCTGTCCTCAGTGCAGCTGCCAACAAACCCCAGGAATAACTAAGTAGCATGCAGTGCCCCCGTCTCTCCCCTCCCAGAGACCCCCTTCCCATCCCACCACATCCACACTGCCTTTGGCAAGGTCTTGTCAATCACATAAGCTGTTATTGATCATTATTCTCTCCTTCCATTCTTGTGTTTATCACAGATAGACAGCTATCAACTCAAGCATCTGTTCAGCAAAGGATAACCAGAGCTAGCCGGGTGCGGTGGCTCACGCCTGTTATCCCAACACTTTGGGAGGCCGAGGAGGGTGGATCACGAGGCCAGAAGTTCGAGACCAGTCTGGCTAACATGGTGAAACCCTGTCTGCACTGAAAATATAAAAATTAGTCAAGTGTGGTGGCGCACGCCTGTAGTCCCAGCTACTCAGGAGGCTGAGGCAGGAGAATCGCTTGAACCTGGGAGGCGGAGGTTGCAGTGAGCCAAGATCAAGCCACTGCACTCCCGCCTGGGTGACAGACCAAGACTCCGTCTCAAAAATAATAATAATAAAATAAAAAATAACCAGAGCTACCATACCAAATCGATACTCTTTCACTGGAAAGCAAAGAAACTTGCCATTTTAGTTACTCTTTGCAGCCTTATCTTAAATAAATGGGCAGTTTCCATTAGGTGTTTTGAAATATTAAGAAGTGCTCTCTGGCCACCATTATGCCTGTTATGAGATCCCAGCATGTGGGAGCTCCAGGTTGGAAATTACTGTGATGATGGGTCATAGTATTTTTCCTCTTAGGGACACCTGTATTTTCCTTAATTTCCAAATATTCTTCAAGACGCAAACTACTGGATCTCAAATCATTAGATTTCAGGTAGCAAAAGTGGAAACAACAGGGAACTGGGAAGGCTGCAGCAGGCCCTCTGTGGTGGCCCCTTTTTGCCAAAGTTACGAGCCGTCTGAGGATGCAGGGTGGCAGATATTTGGTCCTCTTTGAGGATCAGAGACAGGAGAGAGAAAGTGAGTACATGTCACAGTTACCATGTTTATTCAGCCACTGAGTGTCTGCTATGTGTCAGGCCATGTGCTAAGCAAATAAACAGTCAACTGTGCCAGCTAGGAATCTGTGGATACAGCACGCTTCTCCCATCTCAGAAGAAAAAGCAAAACGTACCACTTCTGACAACTCACCACTGGAGAGCATGAGAGAAGCATTAAGTAAGACCTCCCTGACATCGCACTAGGGCCACAGCCACACCCAGCAGAAATCCAGAGGCGTATAGGGCAGGTGGTAACTAGCAAATTAAATAGGATCCCAGCAGGACGGTCCAGAACAGGAGCAATGAAAACAAGGGGAAATAAGGAGAAAAGAAATTGCCTCAATGCCCAGCACATAACAGATACTCAAAACAAAATCTGTGGAATAAATGAATGGACAACACAGGACTCTTGTTTTACTTACATGAAATAAGTCTAGGCCAGGAGCGGTGGCTCACGCCTATAATCCCAGCACTTTGGGAGGCCGAGGCGGGCAGATCACCTGAGGTCAGGAGTTCGCTACCAGCCTGGCCAACATGGTGAAACCCCGTCTCTACTAAATACAAAAGATTAGCCAGGCGTAATGGCACATGCCTGTAATCTCAGCTACTTGGGAGGTTGAGGCAGGAGAATTGCTTGAACCCGGGAGGTGAAGGTTGCAGTGAGCCGAGATTATGCCGTTGCACTCCAGCCTGGGCAATGAGAGCGAAACTCCCATCTCAAAAAAAAAAAAAAAAAGAGAAAGAAAGAAATCTAAAGGAGATAAACACCAATAATCAGCTATTCATTTTTCTAGTTTTAATCTTTATCTCTTATGCATACATTTAATTTATTTATTTATTTATTTATTGACAGGGTCTCACTCTGTCCCCAAGGCTGGTACAATCACAGCTCACTGCACTCACTGCAGCCTCAACCTCCCAGACTCAAGCAATCCTCCCACCTCAGCCTCCTGAGTAGCTGGGACCACAGGCACACGTTACCACACCCAGCTAATTTTTGTATTTTCTGTAGAGACGGGGTCTCGCCATGTTGTCCAGGCTGGTCTCAAACTCCTGGGCTCAAGTAATCCTCCCAACCTTGGCCTCCCAAACTGCTGGGATTACAGGCATGAGCCACCATGCCCGGCCTATACACATAATTTAAAGAGTCAATTTGTTCTAAAAGGTTCATTGAAGAAAAAAAATCCACAGTTCTCTTCTTACCCCCCTCCCCAACCTGCCCCTCAACAACAATAAGCTTTCAATTCCTTAGCTGTTTCTTTTGGTATTCCATTCCATATTTTTAATAATATGCTTATGTAGCCCCTTGGTGATTTTTAAGGTTTTTTCCTCATCATAGAAGGTAAGGGTTTAGCCCTCTTTCACCTCTTCCCTATCCTCTGCAATAGTTTTGTCATGATTTAGTTTAGATCAATGTCCTGCATCCACTTTATCACGACTATGAAGGGCCCCCTCTCACATACTCCATCTTCTGTGTTGGCCCCCATTTCCGGGATCCTATGTTTCCCTTGGTTTACTCCCTCCTCATGGTGAAGAACTCCAATAGCTTCCTGAGAGAAGGTGCATCGGGCTAAGTTTTATTTTTTTCTTTTTGTTTTATATTTTTACCTATCTGAAAATGTTTCTCTTTTACCTTCTTGCTTGAGTGATAGTTTGATCAGATATAAAATTGTCAACTGGAAATCATTTTTCTTCAGAACTTTGAGGGCAATTCTCCTTCGCCTTCTAGCTTCCCACATGGCTGCGGGTAAATCAGGCTGATTCCTGACCTTTTGTAATACATTTCTTCTTTCTAGAAACTTTTTTTTTCTTTGAGACAGAGTCTTGCTCCATCGCCCAGGCTCAAGCAATCCTCCCATCTCAACCTCCTGAGTAGCTGGGACTACAGGCACGTACCACCAAGCCTCGCTAATTTTTTGTATCTTTGGTAAAGACATGGTTTCGCCATGTTGCCCAGGCTGGTCTCGAACTCCTGAGCTCAAGCGATCCACCCGCCTCTGCCTCTGGTACTGGGATTACAGGCGTGAGCCACTGTGCCCAGCCTAGAAACTTGTAAGATCCAATTGTCCCTACTTTTCTGAGATGTCACAAAGATGTACCCTTGGGATAGGCCTGTTTCATCTATTTGTAAGGGCACTTAATGAGCCATTTCAATCTGGATACTAATATCCTTCTGTTCTAGCAAATGTACTAGAACTGTCTCATTGGTGATTTCCTCCCCTCTGTTTTTGTAGTTATCTCTTTCTGGAACTCCTAGTATTCAGATACTGGACTTCCTGGACTGTCTAATGGTCATATTTTTTTTACTCCTAATTTCCATCTCTGATTTTTTGCCCTACTTTCTTGGATATTCTTCAATTTTGTTTTCTAACCATTCATAGCACTCAGTCATCACATTTCTTAATTATCAATGTTTTAATTTTTCCCTTTACATAGCAATCAGCTTCTGTATCAAGGATATAATATCTTATCCCTCTAAAGACAGAAAATAATGTGTTTTTTTTAAGTTTTCCTCGTGTATATTCTGATTTAAATAGGCATCCTTTGCTTGTTAGCTTTGGTTTCTATTTTCAAGGCCTTCCTAAGATATTTAGGGACATTTAGGGATCCTTAACTGATGGACCTTATTTAAGAGAGAACCACCAAAAACTGATGGGACATTGTGAGCACAGGTGTGGCTTATGATGCACTAGGCTTTGCTCTAAGGCCCCACAGCTGGAACGCCCTGTTGGCTAGATCTTAGGGCCCCCTTAGGGCTGTCCTCTTTAGGCTGGTCCACTCTGCCAGGGAAAGCCACGCAGATCTTCTGCCTAGAGAGTACAGGCTTATGGGACAGCACTCTGAGAGCAAGTGGGAGATACTCCAGAAGTCTCAGCCCTGTATTCGCCCCGGGCGTGCTGCCCTCCATTGTGCCAGTGGTGCCCCCATGCAGACCTCTTGCTTTATCCCCATTAGAGAACATTCCGCTTTATCCTCCAGTCCTCAGCTGAAATGGGAAGAGTATTAGTTGCTGAGAATAGGAGTAGGGGTCTGAGGTCTAATTAATTTTTTTCAATGGACAGATAAAATTATATATATTTACTGTGTACAACATGTTTTGAAGCATGTTTACATTGTGGAATTACTCAATCTAGCTAATTAACATATGCACCACCTCACATAGTTATTATTTTTGTGGTGAGAACACTGTGCCATCTACTCTTAGCATTTTCTAAGAATACAAACGTTGAACCAATTCTCCAGTTCTTAGCCCCATTTTAACCGTCACTTCCAAAAATACCTGATACCACAATTTCCAAGCCTTTTGGAGGTTGTGAGCTGCAAGTTTAATTGTGTCTCAATTTTCCCCACTGCCGCTTAGGATTCAGCTGTCTCATACAGTACATGCAAAGTCTGTTACTACTTGTCCATCTACTTTCCAGCTTTCCCAGCTGCCACTGGGCTGCATGAAGGCAGAACATCTCCAGTGAGTTCAACATTCAGCTCCAACCTTAAGCCTCCACCATGGCCAAGAAAGGCATTGCTGCTGGGGGAGAAATGGACATTAACACTGCTTCAAAAGGGTGCTGAAGACCACCCTCATCCCCGATGGCTTAGCTTGTGGAATTCACGGGTACTTGCATCTGACCCTCATGAGTCTATGTAGAAAAACCTGGTTGAGGAACTGTTTGTTGACACCCACATCAGCTTAACTGAGGTTGGTCAAACTAAAGGAATGGAGAAGGCCTCTGCAAAATCAGCAGAAAAGCAAAGCCCTGTAAGCAACTGGTTGCAGCTGTATGGTTGTTAAGGCCAGCGCCAAAGAATCAAAGCCAAATATGTCATCAAAGAGTATTTCAAATACAAAAAAATGAACAAATAAACACCGGTGGGTGATGTCTTCTTTGGATTCATTTTGTCTTTGTGGTTTATGCATTTTTTAACGATTCCTTTACCATCATGTTAGTGTGGTTTTGGAAGAGAGCATTCAACCCACCATATGAATCTGCAATTTTTACGCTACTAGCTTTTTTCTGATTTCCATGTCACTTTATTCTATTTTTATTTAAAAGGTACATATGACATATTTTTATAGTTTAATGAATAATAAAGCATACTTTCATGTAACTACCATCAATCCAGAAACACAACATTACCTTGACTTTGCGATCATCATTTCTTGACCTTTCTTTATGCTTTTGCCACGTATGTATGTGTACCTTAAAAGATAGCTTCATTTGGCCCATTTTTAGCTTAACAGGAATGGAGTCCTGCTGAACACACCCCTTTGCCATGTTTCTTTCACTCAACCTTAGGTCTGTCAGATTCACTCTTGTTCTTGTGTCTAAGCTGCAGATTTTTTTTATTTGCGTCTTTACTCTTTAAGGAAAAATGCTTTATAACAATAATAAAAATTAGAGTCATTGGGGAACTATGGAGGGGACAGAAAAAGAAAGATAAATAATTTGTTCAACGTTAAGATAAAAAATCCTCAGGTTCAAAAATATTTCTCTCAAGCACGGAGCATAATTAAACCCTGGAAAACATGAGAAAAGCACCCCTAAACTGGCTTTCCAGGGACATCTGGCTCATCCTCCCACCTCCGGTGGCTCTAAACTAGTCTAAGTGCCCGTTTTCGCTAGGAAAGGAGACACCCTCATTTGAATTGGTGATGTCTTCTAAGAGGTGGTCAGTTTCTCCTTTCAGCAATCCAATATGCTCTCACAGCACTTTTAAGTGAGACACAGCCCCAAGTGACATGAGGCTCTAAAACTGGTAACTCCTTATATAAGGAAAACTGATTGAGGTCAGAAATTCCTTAACAAACAATTGAGCTATTCTAGTCAGTTCCACAAAGGCCAAAGAATGGTGAGAAAATGACAATAAAAACTCATTATGTACGGAATTCTGAAAAAGTCCTTAAGATCCTTTGGGGCAATTCTATTTTTTTTTTCTTTTCATATAGGGAAACTGAAGCCCAAGCAAAGTAAAATTGTGTGTCTAAGTGACAAAGCTCTCTGGGTTGCAGTCTCTTCCTCTGTGGAGGAAAGGTGTTCTAGTACATGATCTCCGGGACCCTGAAGAGCACTAACAAAACTCCTGTTGTCCACAGGTCCATCAATCCCACACCAAGGGAACCACTGTCATAGAAAATGTGTCTTCACGCTCCACGTTCTCCACGCAAAACAACGCCCATGACACACCAGGGGTGTGCCTCTGTGTGTGTGTGACGCCTCTGTGTATGTGTGCGCCTGTGGGATTGCAAGAGAATTATGTCTGTGTTAGGAGAGTCTTCCCACAATGCCAGGATTCACCAAGTGAAAAAAATCTTTCATCTCCCGATAACTCAACACACAGAGATAGACGGCACCTATACTCTAGGACGGCAGGATGGGCCGCTTTCAGAGCACAGAGCCGGCTCCGGAGACCAGCCTGAGGGAATACCCCACTTTGGGGAGCTTTGTCAACACCAACATGATCATCGGGAAGCTCCCACCTACCCACTGTCCTGCGGGGAGCTTCTGTATCATTGGCAAGACAAGGCTGATAAACGAAACTGTGAGAAAACAGTAGAAAGCAGCTAAACTCTCCGATCAGACATTCTGTGCCTTTGGAGCTGAGAGAAGGAAGGAGGCAGCGTAGGCAGCAGTCATCAGAGAGGGGGGCGTTCTAGGCTTCAGTTTCTCCCCATTTATAAGTCTGCCTGGTAAACCTTCAGTGACTTCTTCCCTGGAGCCCAGGATTCCCCACTAGGCAAATCCCAAGGCCTTGGAGTTGTAGCTGCAAACACAGGACTCCAGGTTGAGACCCCTGAGCCCTAACCCCAGCCTCTTCCCTGACCCACTGCTGGCCCCGGGTGAGGAGTCTCCCTCATTGCTCCTGTTTGTTAAGTGGGCGCCAGGCTGCTGGACACAGCTGGCCACGACCACGATGAGTGGGGCAGGGAGCAGGAAGATTCCGTGTGTGCGGGAAGGAAGCAGCTCTGTGCATTGGAGGTGGTGTCCTTTTGATAACCTGGCAGGTTTTGTTTTCTGACCGCCCACTCTTTGATTGCCTTTCCAAGTGTACCATCCCCTGTCCCTCCCCGGCCAGGCTCTGCAGCACAAGCTGGAGTGGGATGTAGGATTTCTTCGTTGTTTGTTTTTAAGTAGGGCCTGTCACTGGGGGAAGATGACTAAGCCTCCTTTTGTCAGGAAGAACCCAAGATTTTTAAACAGAGAAGCTGGAGGAAAAAGAACTCCTCTGGGTGGACCTGTTGTTGAATTTCATACAGGAAATCACTCGAGTGAGAGAAGAGGCCGGGAATGTCACTGGGGAGAAGGGGAAGTCTGATTTTTTTCTTGAATTTTAAAGAACCTCTACCCAGCATTTTGGGAGAAAGGGAACAGAGTGCAGACAAAGGGAAATAAATGTCCAAGGACGGGTGAAAGCTGCACTTGTTGAGGTGGCACTTGGTGAGACCCTGTGATTATTCAGCTTCTCTGAGACAGTTAATATTTCAGATTTTGCCAAGTACCTTCCAATTATCTTATTAATGATCTATGCCTGTGTGCTCCAAATAGACAAGGCAGGCACCATTTGCTCCATCTCCCAGGAAGGAAAAGTAAAGATGAAATGAGGAGAGCCTTTTCCCCAAGAGGGCTGCCCCACCCCACGCAGAGGACAAAGGAAAACTGCAGGGCGGAGGCCTCATGGTCCCTGTCAACACGGCCCTGTCCTTCCTACCAGCAAGGGATCCACTTGCCTCTCCCATGACTTAGCCAAAACTAGCTCCAGTCACAAAAGGACAAATACTCTGAGATTCCACTTATATGAGGTTCCCAGAGTGGTCAAATTCATAGACAGAAAGTAGAATGGTGGGTGCCAGGGGCTGGGGGAAGGGGGAATGGGAACTGATTGTTTAATAGGTAGAGCGTTTCAGTTTTGCAGGAAGAAAACAGTCCTGGAGATGGATGGTTGTGATGGTTGCACAACAGTATGAATGTACTCAATGCCACTTTAAAATGGTTAAAATGTGAATGTTATATTATGTATATTTTACCACAGTAAAAAAAAAAGTAGCCTCCATTCTAAATTGGAGAAAGAGTTCTGTAAGTGGGAAGCTTCTTGAGTGTTGTCTTTCATTAACCTCAAGGATAAGGGCCAATTCCTCAGGCAAGTCCCAATAGGCTTTGCAGGAACAACAGACACAGAGAGAGGATTGAGAGGAAAATCAACTGCTCCATTCGCTCAAGGGTCATTAAAATTGATTATTAAAGTTAGATCCGAAATGAGTCTATCTCCTAGCCCTTCACTCTGCTGATCTCTGCCATAGTGACCACCACTGAAAGGCAGCTGGATGCCCAAAACTGTTTGTTTTCCTTTGCTTTGTAACTACCTCCTTGAGCTTTCACCTCCCAATTTTAATTTTTCTGCCACCATTCCCAATCTCTAGGAGAATCCAGTTCCAATATTATCCAATATAAAGGGCCGTAGGACACTCGGGACCAGTGGGACCTACCAATCTTTCCTACCGGGCACACCAGTCCTGTGGGTGACATGGGAAACGGAAAGAGGAGGAGGAGAAACAAGGCACTTCCACCTCCTGGTTCCATGTCCTGACTTTTTTGTGTTACTTGAACTTGGCCAACTTATCCAAGTGCTATCTGTTGTTTTATTTTTATTTCTTAATTTTTAAATTTCTTTGCCTTCCAAAATCAAAGTTCCCAATAAGTAGGGTATAACTTAAGTTATGAATTGAACCATGGTTGACAGAGACCAAAACAACAGGGATTCCCCATGAGAGACATTTACTTCCTCTCTCCCATGGAAGCCCTCCCCCAGCCATCACCGCCTTCTGAATGGTTGCTCCAGCACCTGGAAAGGGTCTTTTAGTCTGCATGATATGAAATGGCTCCTCACCATGACGGCAACACGCCTGCAGAGGGAGAAAGGGAAAGGGCAGGCATGACTTTGCCTTCAAGGGCACACACCGGAAGTCACACGCATCACCTCTGCTGACATCCTACTATCTAGAACTTAGTCACAAAACCTCACTTAGCCACAAGGGAGGATGAGAACTGTAGTTCTTCATTCTAAGCAGTCATGTGCCCAGCTGAAAATTCTATCCCTATGAAAGAGGTAGAGAACAGACACTGGGTAACAGTCATTTCTGTCACAAGTGGCATCTTTGCCCTCTTTTGTATGAACAATCCCTACATTAATGTGCATGCCATAATGTGGTCCATTGCAACGCAGCTATCTAGGGAAGGGCACCATCGATGTTTTCCTGAAACTAAATGACCATTACCACAAATAGCAATGAGACTGAGTTTCAAGTTTCTCACACTAGTCAAGGCACTAAAAACGCCAGGGTTTAAAATCTGCCCAGATAGGCTGACTGTAAGTCATCCACCGGCTGCCACACCCTCGCTTGGTTCAGATCTCCCAGAGGATACTCTGTCCCTGGGGCAGCACTAGCTCAGATATACCTGGCAAGCATTAAGCTATTGAAATGGCCTCTGCCCAGCCCTTGGCTCATCCACCCGTGCATCAGAATGGATTCCTGAGGGTCCACTGACCTATGTATTTGGGATGGAGGAAGACAAGCTTCGTGTGTGTCTCCGAGAGTGGCCTGCTGTCATCTGTACTTTTTTGTAACACTCTCTTCATGATGGAGGCCAAGACAAGGTAAAAATCTCCCTTCTTCATCAATACAAAGCCATTTCTGCAAACCTGGCTCTCTGCCCAGCTTCACGACCCATTCTATGACAAGCGCTTATTCTCTGAGACGTACCCAGCCTCCCAGCCAGATGCCTTGGCCTGGCTACTGAAATGTATGTGATAGGGACAGAGTCCAAAGCCAGTGAGTCTTCTGTGCAGAGTTGCTCCTGAAAAGGGAAAGACTATTTCTGGTTCTGCTACTCCAAACCAATGCAAATGTCTATAAAAACCTATAAAAATGGCTCCTCAGTCAGACACCCCTCCTACCATCTCAAATCCCTTTTTTTTTTTTTTTCAGCTACCACTGGTCAGCCAGTGGTATATACAAAGAATCCTGGCTATGGTAAGGGTGCCTTCAATTTTATTCAGACCTGGGCAAAAAATAAAAAAAAAAATCTTACTGTGCCTCAGTTTCCTCATTCTGTAAAGTCAGGGAATTGGATGAGATGATCTGATCTGCAAGTTTTCTTTTAGCTCCAATGATCCATAAACATTGATTTCTACGGAGTTGAGTTGAGTTGTGGCCATAGGAATCCTGTACCACTTGTAGAGTCTGTTATGAACAAAGTTCATGAGTTCAGTAGAACTCAGGGAAGCTGTGACTGTCATGCTTCTCCGTAATTGCCACAGACAGACCAACAGTGAACTCAGCCAGAGGAACCAGCCAACACAAAGGAAAGCATGCAGGACCCAAAGACACAGGCTGCTACAGGCCTTGGCACCTGCCCAGAAGTGGCGTTGACCACCATTTTTACATGTCACCTTCCCAAGAGGCATTTCCCAAGTGCACTGTACCTTATATAGCACTCTACTAATGGAAAAGATTGTTATCAGAGTGAGAAAATAAGAGCGGTAGAGACAGTTTCTCCATCTCTACCTCTCAAAGGAGAGAAGCAGAAGGAAACTGAAAACCTAAACTTGTGGGTTAAATTTTGATTCTGTGTCATTGTCTTCAAAACACCCATGTAAATAAGTATTCATTGCATGCCAACCCACACGTGTTTTTCGCCAAATGCCCCTTTCATCAGAACTCACAGAAGGAATGAAATTAGCCTTACCTATTTTAAAGCCACCTAACTTTCTAGAGGAGAGGGAGTGCACTGCTGTTATCAAAGCTGCTCTGTAGCCTGGGAGCCCTGTTTGGGAATTAAGAGGGCGGAATATCATGATGTGAACACGGCTCTTGTTCTTCTTTGGTGAGCATTCCACATTCTGGGTGCATGAAGCTTATCCTGGAATTCCCCTACTCTGTCTTCCCTCTGCCCTGTTCCCCAGGGAATGTTGGGAGACTGGGGAATGGAGGTGACATTCACTCCTCTTGAGTTCTGTGATGTCACTTGATAGACACCTGCCTTCTACCTCTTTCTTCCATGTAGTGGCTGCTCTAGAGACCAAGGACAAGACCCATCCTATTCTCCGTGTTATTTTTACAGTGCAGCCAGACACGGGCTTATCCTGCAAGCTCCAGGCCAGCCAAAACTGGAACTGCGTCTCTGCTCCTGACCAACATGAAAAGTTCCTAAGCTGATACAAAAGGTTGCCAGCCAGCCCCTCTGGGAGCTGCTACTCTTGCTGCCCAGATTCCATGAGCACAGCATGGCTCTCTGTTACCCAGTCTCCATGCTGGGTCCTTGACCCCCTTTTAGTGCCTCTGGGCCTGGACACCCCATGCATCACTAGTTATCATAACCTGGCTCCTCATCCTTGCTTCCTGCTTCCTGCCCAGTCTTGACTCATAATTCCAGTTTGGTCCTTTAAACTCTGCCTGCTATCCAAATTGCTGGGCTACTAGAGGTGCTGATGTTCTACTTCAGCCTGGGCCCCAGGTCAGGCCTCCGGATCCACCGGCAGCCCTTTCCTGGGGTGTGCTCCCCCCTGGGTCCTACACAGCTCCCAGTGAGAGCTGATCTTCCTTACTTGGGGTTGGCTCTCTTAAATTTGGGTCCCACCTTCCGCCTAAAACTGAAAGAAATTTCTCTCGCCCTGCATTTCAGGTCATTGTCTCTTACTCAAGGGAAGTCCCAATCTGAGAAGTTCTCTGATAGGGCAGACAGTTAATAAATGTTCAGGAAAAATAAGATACTGTTGAAAACCAGAAAAGTCAGTAGCCCACTCTCTACTGCTATGAGCATTCCTAAAGCGGGAATGTTCACAGCAGTAGAGCATTCCTACAGCCAGGATTTTCCTAAACTCCAGCTTTCCAAAACACCATCCAGTAGAGATATGTCTTGCAATCGAAATATTAAATGGGTCTTGGGCTTTTTAAGAGAGTCCAGAAAAGACCGTGACATTTCCTATGATATTTCACCAGGCCTCTCTTTCTTTCTCTTGGCTTTGAGCCTCGGAAGGATGCATACTCAGCTTGATTCTTCACACTGGCCTGGCATGAGTCTGAACATGTGCACTCATCTGAGCATTTCCACAGGGTCACAAGAACAAAATGCAAAACCCCAAGATAGGTCATAGCTGCCCTTTCTTCCTCAACATCCTTTGTGAGTTCTCAGATCAAGCAAACTCATCAGTCTATTAGTTAATTCCACATTAGCCCCAAATGTCATCTTGCAAGGTTTCCTCTGCTGCTTAGGTGACCCCCAAGACCACATCTTCCCAGATGCAAGACATCCCTTGCCAAGTCTTTACAGATGACCCAAGGAAAAGTCATATTCTCTGTGGACTCTCCACTGGAAAAGTCAAAAAAATAAACTGTTAGGGATGGTCCAGACAGGCTGCAAAGCAATGAGTCCCAGGGCCACCCGCCAGGCTGCCCACTGGACTGCGTCTGGTAGTGCATAGAGCCAAGGAAGCACAGGTCCCAAGGCAACTCCTCCAGACCGCAGGGAGGGAGGGTACTTTGGAGGTCGAGGCAGGAGGACAGCTTGAGCCCGGGAGTTTGAGACCAGCTTAGGACAGCAAGACCCTGTTTCTACAAAAAATTACAAAAACTCGCCGGGTGTAGTGTCACATGCCTTGTAGTCCCAGATACTCAGGAGGCTGAGGTGGGAAGATCGCTTGAGCCCAGGAGGCAGAGGTTGCAGTGAGCCGAGATCATGCCACTGCCCTCCAGCCTGGGAGACAGAGTGAGACCCTGTCCCAAGAAAACCAAAAAGATGACAAATTCAAAGTTCCTGGCACATAATACATGCTGTAGATGGTAATCATTACTAGTATGATCAAAGTAAATGGCAGCTAGAGGGAAGATGTGACCCAGAACCCCTGGAGCCTGGTCTGGCCATGAAAAGAGTTTGATCAAATATACAAATGTGAGCAGCAGGGATTTCCATCTGCAATCTTTGAGCCATGGCTGGAAGACAAGTTCAGACGCCCTCTTGCCCATAAGTGGGATCAACATCTCCATGGCAGGTCTTTTCAGTGCGATATTTCAATACGAAAGACAGAGACAAAGTTTCCAAAAAGAACCATCGGGCAACAGGGAGTTTAGTTCATAAGAGATTTATCAGAGATTTCTGTGGTTGTGTGGATGATTGGTTTGCTGCAGAGTGATATATTTAGGCTTTTTCTCACATCTTTCTCTACTCTAAAGTCCCTTCAGAGATTCCTTATGACTTTATAATGCTAATCCTTTCAAAAATTTTTGAAAAATTTGACAGGTTTTATATAAGTGTGCATGTATGTGTATATATGCATGTAAACATACAATTTTTAGAAGCCTAGAAGTTGCATAAATATTCTGTATTCCCATTCCTAGCATCCTCCTGTTACCAGATGTACTGATGGCATATTGCTTTCCAATGGGATTCTGCACAACTGACAATGGTAATCCTAGGATTATGAACCAAGAACATGAAAACTCAAGTGTGAAGAGGTGGGTTTTTCAAAAGGTGTGAAAACCTACTGCCTATTTGCCCCCCCAAAATCCCCCCAAAACATTTGAGAGTAGAAAGAAGTCTTCTTTCACTCTGTAATTTGCATTTTCTCTCCTTCCAATCTGACCATCGTATTTTCATTAATTTCATTTTACATTTTATCCTCAGATATATACTTCTTCACATCTTTATCTTCCCTCTTCCTCCAGTTAGTTCTGACACTCATTCAATCTTTACTCTCTCCACTCTCTCACCTTTCTGCTTTCTCCATCAATAATGCAGTTAATGGAAATTATCTAACATTTGTCACAAAGAGGCAACAGGTCCCTGGAAGTATTTAATAGCAGATAATTCTGGCAAAGCCCCAATACCAATAAAGCTAGAGGTCTGCTTTGCCCAAATTTGGCATTTCACTCCCCAAAGTTGCCTAAGGAAGTTGTCAATCACTTTCCCATTTATTAACATCATACAGAAGCACACTGGAAGGAAGCCTGGCCTGGCTGAAACAGCAGAGTTTATTCCCACCATCAACCTCTATAGCACGCTGTTTCTAACTTTCCTCTCTCTCTAGTCAGCCCCACTTCTTGAAATTTAATCTAAATTGCTCAATTTCTTTGAAGCTCCTGAAACATTAAACAAGCAACTCACAACATTTTGGAGGTTCCCCCCCTCTCTCAGTGATTCGTTTGCTGTAATTTCCCTAGAAATCCCTTAAGCCCTGAATTTATAGACCTAGAGATAGGGACAGGAGAAAGGATAGAGCTAGTATGGAGATATGACTTAGAGTGACATTGATTTGCTTTGATAATTGGGGGGGTTGGAGAGCTCTCAGGGAGGATATGTCTGTCCTCTCTCCTTTGCCTGTGTCTGGAAGGGCTCAGGCTGTCCTTCCCCTCTCTTCCCTGCTTCCCCTAACTCAGCCCTGCTTGGGTCCAGTTAACTCAGCCCTGCTTGGGTCCAGCCCTGCTTGGGTCCACCCTTAGACATTCACCTTGGATGATTAAAGGCCTGAAAAATCACAGTCAAGTCATAACAAACCCATTCTGCAGAAAAGAGGGGAAAGGGTGAAGAAGGCTACGCGAGTTTGGTTGTGTGACGCTCTGCCCACCAGCAGGTAAACAGAATGGGGTACTGAGAGCAGAAAGCTGAATGGGAAAACCAATAATTGAGGCTGTCAATAGTGGAAACACAGAATATGCCTTTCCAATGGCTCTGCTTTCGTCTAAATCCTGCCCTTCCCTAGGCCTGTGCCCACCGCCTCCCCACACCTTTCCCAAAGACCTCAGGCCCGGGGCTGCCCCTCCTGTGGCGCCAGTGGAGGGAATTTTGTACCATTCATTATCATTTTTTATCCAAGTAACCTGACTCCTCAACCAAAATGTATTTGTGAGTCCCTTGCCACATACTGCTACTCAATCAATATTTATTTTACTATGATGAGCACACAAAGATGATTCTGATTCCTATGCTGATGACGGCCTCACTCAAGTGCCACTTCACAAGTGAAGCCTTTCCTGACTCCTACTGTAGAATTTTGGAGCCAGAAAGGCGCGGAGAGATTCTTGAGCCCTCTATCCCTTCTCTCAACTACCATTACCTGCTTCTCAAACTGGTTCTTGTCTCCCCAGTCTGATCATAAATTCCTCGAGGGTGAGAACCTTTCCTTGCCCCAATCTAAACGTGACAGGGAAGAGGGGTGATAATAACCCCTCTCTTCTTTTGTTACTATCCCAGTGTTGAATTAGAAGGCACTCAATAATAAAAATAACAATAACTTCCATTTGAATGCTACACAATTTACAAAGAGCTTTTAAAAACATTATCTCTAATGAGATAATGCCCCTCACAAAAAGCCTGGGTGTTAAGTAGGTATAATCAGCTCTAAGTGACAGATGGAAACTGAGGCTCAGGAGGGTTAAGTGACTTGCCCAAGGGCAGAGAGCCAGGTTCGCATTTCTGGTGTGGATCAGCATTTTCCTCTACACTGCAGGGCCTCCCCAGAGACTTTAAAACATCCCTAGCATGAAATGACTATCAGGCAAATTGAGGCAAGAAAGACAAATTCCAGGAAAGCTCACTCCTGCCACGAAATCCCACACTTGGCCATACTTGACATTTACAGTAATCAAGATTTAATCTAGCGTTTTCCTCACAAGCCCACGGACTACTTAAGCCCGCAGGTACCATACCCTCTCTCACAGAATGCCCCTTGCCCAGTGCCTGGTACACAGTAGGCACTCAATAACTGGTAATAAAATGAGCAAATGATGACAAAATAAATGAGCAAGCAAACACATGTATAAACCTACAATGAGAGGCGTGTTGAAGCTATAAACGTAACCAAGAATAGATTTCAAATCTAAAGGAATCCACAAGTGTAAGAAAAGCTGATTTCAATTTATAGAATTACAAATGTTTGAGATAAAACAGCTCTAACACAAGCAAAGACCCAGCAGAATAAACAAAGAGTTTTATTACTTAGCTCCAAAAGGCCAAAACCAGCAATTCTACACTGGAGAAAATGAAAAGAAAAAAAAGTTATTCAGGCAGGAAGCTCTTCCAATTCCAAAAGGATAAATTAACTATAACCATTTTTTTTACAAAAATAAAAATAAACAAGCTTTACTAGAAATGGCTAGCTACAGGGGGAAATACGTACTTCAGCAAGTCAGAATTTAAAGTCTTGCTAATAGGTAATGACAGCAGGCAGCCCTTAGCAGCTCAGCATCTCACCAACAGTTAAAACAGCCTTAAACACATATACTTTTTGTGCATGCTAATTGAGTTTTCAGTTTAACAATCTCTCCAATATAGTGCTGCCCTCCTGTCCACCTCTAATACTGCAGAGGGTTGAAAGTTTGCTCAGTTCTTTCCCTGGTATGTTCTCTTTCCTCCTAGAAGCCTCTCCTGGTCCCTCATGACAGGTGTGGCTTTACTTCAAACAGACACAATCTACTCCCCATGAAGATTTGTAGGTCCTCCTCACTCTTTTATCCCTTTCATTCAGCAAGTCTCAAGTTTTATGATTTAGGGATCACTTTAGCAGGATGAAAAACTCTACAAACAATCTACCCTAAAACATTTTTTTCAATCATAATTTAAGACAAATGTCATCTTCATGAGACAGCCCCCGCTTCCATGAAATACAGTGATCATTAGTTTGGGTTTTGTTTTTTCAGTAGCACGCGTAAAATATTAACTTAAAACAAATATAGTCACACCCCAAACCTAAACATTTTAGAGGTGAGTTATAAATGAATAAATAATTATGTAAATAGATACTGAATACCTGTCTCCCTTAGATAGAAGGATGCCCTATGAAGGCAGGAACTGTGTGTGTTTTAAGCACTGCTGTGTCTCATACATGATAGGTGCTCGATAGGTAATTGTTGAATGAATGAAAACAGACCACCCTAAGAATGATCTTAGACTGAACTTTGGAAATTCTGTGTTTATATGTCAAAATGATATCTTTCACATGGAATGGTGTCTCTTCTTTTCCTTACCTGGAATCCCAGCACTCCTACCATTGGTCCAGACAATTCTTCTACACCCTTCAAGATGGCACTCAAGCCCGGCTTCTTCCAAGAAATCCTTTTCTACCACTCCAATTCATGCTAACCACTGCCTTATTGGCTTTCTAATAATCACATTACAGTCAGAATCCTGCAGATAGCTCCTAATTTTTCCATGTGTCTTAGTTGTTTTCTCAGCGTTTACACAGGAATGATTAGTCCTCCTGTGTGCCCACGTGGTGCTGACCACAAGCAACAGAGCAGGGATCAGTTCATCTTTGTTTGACTGGACCAACTAACTAGCCTACTGTTACCAATACCAGTGATTATAAATTCACAGTCAGGCAGCTGAAAAGTAAAGACACAACTTACATCATATAGATAGCATGTAAATAGCACTGGGTGTTGGGGTGAGGTGGAGAGAGGAAATAGCAAATCGAAAGGGTGGGCATTGGGGTGGGGCAGGGAGAAAAATCATAGGAAGGCTCTGCATCACTAGAGGAGGTACCACAACCCAACCAAATCCAGGAAGCCCCACATGAATGGTCTTCTCAACAAAGTCCTTTAAAGTTTACCCCTAATTATAGTCTTGTATCTCCTGATGACAGGGATACATTCTGAGAAATAAGTCGTTAGGTGATTTTGTTGTTGTGTGAACATCAGAAAGTGCACTTACACAAACCTGGATGGCACAGCCTACGACACACGCAGACTGTATGCTACATACAGCCTAGTGCTCCCAGGCCTCTGACCGTGCCTGAGACTGTACTGAACACTGTAGCAACTGTCGCACAATGGTAAGTATTTGTGTATCTAAACATGTCTAAACATAGATAAGGTACATAAAAAATAATCTATAAAAGACAAAAAATGGTGCACCTGTATAGGGCACTTACCATGAACGGAGCTTGCAGGACTGAAAGTTGCTCTGTGTGAGTCAGTGAGTGAGTGGTGAGTGAATTTGAGGGCCTAGGACATTACAGGACACTACTGTCGACTTTACAAACATTGTGCACTTAGGCTACACTACATTTATTTTAAAGATTTTCTAGGCCAGGTGCGGTGGCTCACACCTGGAATCCCAGCACTTTGGGAGGCCAAAGCGGGTGGATCACCTGAGTTCGAGACCAGCCTGGCCAACATGGTGAAACCCCGTCTCTACTAAAAATACAAAACTTAGCCGGGCATGGTGGCAGGCACCTGTAATCTCAGCTACTCGAGAGGCTGAGGCAGAAGAATTGCTTGAACCTGGGAGGCGGAGGTAGCAGTGAGCCAAGATAGCACCATTGCACTCCAGCCTGGGCAACAGAGAGAGACTCCGTCTCAAAAAACAAAAAAAAAAATTTAAAGATTTTCTTTATTCAATTAAAAATTAACCTCAGCTTACTGTAACTTTTCTACTTTACAAACCTTTTAATTTTTTTTAACTTTTTGACTCTTTTGTAATAACACTTAGCTTAAAACACAAACACACTGTATAGCTGTACAAAAATACTTTTCTTTTATCCATATTCTATAAGCTTTTTTCTATTTGTAACATTTTCTTAACTTTCAAGGTTTTTGTTAAAAACTAACACACAAATGTCCACATTAGCCTAGGCCAGGATCGTCGATATCAAGGATCAGGATCCTTGGTCAGGATCATCCATATCACTGTCTTCCACATCTTGTGCCACTGGAAGGTCTTCGGGGAAAATAATACACAGCTGCATGTCCTAAGATGACAATGCCTTCTTATGGCTACCTCCTGAAGGACGTGCCTGAGGCTGTTTTACAGTTAACGTTTGTTTTAATAAGTAGGAGTATACTCTAAAATAACAGTTAAAAGTATAGCACAGTAAATACGTAAATCAGTAACAGTCATTTATTATCAAGTATTGTGTACTGTACAGTACTGTACAGAACTGTCTGTGCTAGACTTTGATAAGACTGTCAGCCCAGTAGGTTTGTTTACAACAGCACCACACCACCACACACACGTAAGTAATGAGTGCCACTGCACCATTACGACGGCAGAAAGATAGGGAGGTTTCGGCTCCGTGATAGTTTTATGGGACTACCATCGTACATGTGCTCTGTCCTTGATCAGACTCTTGTTATGCAGTGCCTGACTGTATGATCCACCCCACACGGTCCTTGGGAGATGGTGGGAGGTGACGTGTGTAAGGCACAGAGCTGCACACTGCGGCACTCATAAGCATTAGGCATTCTTGCCACCATCACGTGCCAGGTGGTGGCTGTCCCCCACCAGACCAGGGACTTCCCCATTCAGTGCTGCCTCCCCAATACAGAGTCTTGTCCCAAGGAGGCAGTGCTCCCCAAATGAAGGAATGCTGGAAAGGAGAGGATACCCTTCCCACGTCATCCCTTCAAAGAGCCGCCCGGCTTCCGCTTTATGGTATCCTCATGCAGGCTGGGTTATTATGGCTTACACAGGGCTGGTCACCCACCCCAGCTGCCATAAAGGAAAGGGTTGAGCTTGAAAATGCAGTCTGCCTCACCCCACTTCCAGATAGATGGGGGCCAAGCGCTGTCAGATATACAGCAATCTGGGTGTCCACAGCTGTCTCCACGCTCCTTTCCCCTGAGGCCAAAGTCTACCCAGGGCCAGAGGCGCTAAGGAGTGGCCTGCTGCATGGGCCAACCTTCTGGAACCTCGCAGCCCCCATCAGCGAGGAGCCTGAGTGCTCGTTACGGAGCTTGCATCCCTTATGGGGTGACCAGAAAGGTTTCTCTTATGGATCTGGATGTAGAGAAGTTGCTAGGGAAATGAAGGCTGGATGGCCAAGCCCACAGTGTACACAAAAGAGACGGGAAAACACCTCACAAGAGCCTTGTGTCCCAGAAGCTTCTGGCAGGTCCCTTTGACATGTTTCCATGACCGACTTCCCTTCAAGAAATGGCAGCTTGCACCGTCCAGGGCTTTCTTCCCCAGTGAGCTCTGGCCAGGCCCTCTGGCAACCACATCAACTGCTCTGGGAATGCTAAAGTCAAGGCCGTAACCCTCGCCTATCTCTGCTACCTTCCTAACCCTCCTCCAGATCCTTCCTGCTCCTCTGGAGCCTTGGGAAGCACACAGACCTGCCAACGTCACACTCACAACAAACTCCTCATGCTGACCCACATAATTCAGCCCCTGTCTGCCCCTCCAACCCCACTCACATCCTCCTTCATCTCCCCTCCTGAGCAGCAGCCACAGTGGGCCCTGCTCACCTCGGGGTCCTGGCCCTGCTGTCCCCTGCCCGCAGCCTCCTCCCCAGGTCTGCCCAGAGCCAGCCCATCTTGTCACCACCTCTCAGCCCCAGTGCCACCTCCTCAGAGAGACCCTCCCTGCCTACCCGCTCCAGGTGGGCCCTTACCCTGGAACTCTCCATCTCATTATCTCCTTTACTTTCTCCATGGTATTAATATTCACAGTGCTCTGAAAGCATGGTGTGTATGAAGTTGCCAGTTGTTTATTGGCTGGCATCATAAGAACGTAAGCTCTTATCAAACCTGACAAGCTCTGTGAGGGCAGAGACCCTGCGCACCCTTGTTTCCGCACATCTTGCTTTTCCAGCACCTAGCCTGGTACACAGTAGGCATTTAATAAATATGACAGAAGGAATGCATGAAGGAATGTGCTCATATGAAGTCAAATGGTCTACTTGTCAGGCAAAAGACCACAGATGCACAGAACATAAAAGAATCCTCTACATATACTCCTCTCCTAGATTAAGAAAAATGAACAAACAGAGGTCAAGAGAAGCAAAGACATTTGCCCAAGGTCACTCAGCTGGTGAGGAGCAGAGAGAGGTCTGGGATGGAGGCCTCCTAGCCTCTCATCTGGTGCTGTCTCAGCCATGCCACACCTTGCCAGAATCCCTAGTCCATGAACAGCTTCTCTTCTTCACATATTCATTCAGTTATTTATTCAGCAAATACTCATCGAGTGCCTTCTATGTTTCAGGAACTGTGTTAAGAACAGACACCAAACCAAAAGTGACTGGGAGGCCCTTGTCTGCAATCCCAAAGAAATCACCCTGCAGTCGTGAACAATGGATCCTCTTGCTGGAGGGTCTCCGACCATTCTGCAAATCGTCCACCCACCGTGACTGTTCCCAGAGTGAGCTGGGGCCTGTCCCTGTCCCAGGACAGAGGTTCTCTGGTTATGGGACAGGTTCTCTGCCAAAATATGATGACAACACACAGCCGTATGGGCAGTGAGAGAGGGGTCTGCAGGGAGGGACGCCCTCCAAAGCTCCTAGCCTAGTACACAGCACCAGGAGCTGCCTGGGTCACCGCTGGTCCACCAAGAGCTGCTCATCCTGTTTGGACTGAACTGTGGCAGAGATAAGCCCCTGCTGAGACCCCTGCCAAACCTGATTCACAGCACCCTGAGAGCCAGGGAGGAGGCCAGCCCTTCCCTGGATGGCCTCGGTGCTTAGGGATCCAGAAGCCAGGGCATGTCGCATGAGGCCCGCTGTGTCCTGGGAGCGGCCTCACCCCTTACACCTCCAGTTCACACTGCATGCTCCCATCTTTAGGGCGCATGTCTGAGGCCAGCGGGCAGAGGAGGCAGAGAATGAGGAGGCATTGGTGCTAAGCTGCAGGACTAAGATATAACTGGAGGACCTCAGGGGCGCAAGAGATCTCCTCTGCCACACATGCCACGGTCCCTCAGGCGGCTATACTGTAAACGGGTACAGAAGCCCACCCTGTCTGGAGCTAACAGGCAAGGGCAGCGGCCCAGTCAGGACCAGCATCCACACTGAAGCACACCTTCCTTCAAGAAACACTCTAACAGCCTGGCCTGGCCCTCACAGACATGCGCAAGGCCCCAGCTGTACTCCAGGTACTGCACTGGATCTGTGTAGATGTGATCCCTTCTTGCACAGGGCTCGCTGCTGGTGAGAGCTGCAGATGGACTTTATTTGGAAATAAAGTCTTTGCAGATGGAATCATGTGAAAATGAGGTTATACTGGATTAAGGTGAAGGAGCCCTAATCCAATGACTGCTGTCCTTATCAGAGGAGGGAAAGCTGGACACAGAGACACAAACACCCAGGGGAGCGCGCCATGTGAAGACGGAGGCAGAGATCTGGAGTGAGGCACCTAGAAGCCAAGGGATGCCAGGCGCTGCTGGCAACACTGGAGCCAGGGCAGGAGCACGGAACACACTCCTCAGAGTGCCCAGAGGAACCAATGCTACTAACACCTGGACTTTGAAACTCTGGCCTCTGGAACTGTGAGACAATAAATTTCTATTGTTTTAAGCCACCAAATGCATGGTATTTTCACAGCAGTGCTAGAAAACAAACACACTGAGAGACGCAGATGAGTAAGCAGGAGGCTAAATGTGCTTTGATAGGGGTCATCTAGAATGCTATGGAAACACAGAGGGCAGCACCAAAGCCAGTCATGGAGGAGCAGAGAAAACTTCCTACAAGAAGGGACTCCAAGTCTGGGCCTTGGGGATTGTCTAAGTCCATTTGTGTTGCTATAAAGGAATACCTGAGGCAGGGTTACTTAAAAAGAAAAGAGGCGTATTTGGCTCACGGTTCTGCAGGCCGCACAAGAGGCATGGCTCTAGCATCTGCTTCTGGTGAGGGCCTCAGGCTGCTTCCACTCATGGCAGAAGGGGAAGGGGAGCCCGGCGTGTGGCTGAAAGACCATGTTGGGCTTCACCTCTCTCTGGGATAACCTCTGGAACATTCCTCCGATGGGCAGGAAGCGTGGAAGTGACCCCGGCCTGCTGCTGGTCACTCTCTTACCTGCTCTCTCTGGTCAGTCTAGCAGAAGTGGGACTCGGAGCCACACCCTGGCCTTCGACACCTTCTCCCACAAGGCCCGTCCCTATCAACCGTGCCCAACTGCCAGGGTTCAAGCACCTCCACACTGTGAGCTGCGTACACAGCCCAGCCCTCAAGCATAGCATCCACCACCTGCCACCTGCCTTCCCCCACACAACCAGGATCCATCTGCAAGCACAGGCCACACCAAGGCTTGTGCTCCCCAGCCCTGTGAAGGCTGGCCTGGCCACAGGGACCACAGCACTTCCAGTCAGATCTGATGAAGCCTCGGTGCAGACGTGAGGTCTCCTCCTGGATATCCTGGCCTTCCTTATTCTTGATGCCTGACCTTGTTCCTCAGGACTCAAAGGCACAGAGAAGAGAGGCTGCCCCAGGCCATGTTTCTGACTGTGTGCCCGAGAGCCCAGATAATAAAAGCCCTGGGGTTTTCCCACTATTTCTGCTATGCATTTGAGGAAGGGGTTTGCAAGTCACAGGACAGCACCAAACGAACTACTCAGCAGCTACACTCGCTGTGCCAGAGTTCAGCTAGACCCAGTGAGAAAACAGGGAGTGGCCCGCATGAGCTCCCGGCAGGGGCGCCTGTGTGAGGCGATGTGTCGGCTCCAGGACTGCACACAAAGACAGGGTCCACTGGCCTGGCGCTCCCGGACCCCGGCAGCCCTGCCAGACTCTTGGCAGCAGGCAGGTTGCAGCCACACCACTCACCACCCATCTTGGAAAGGTCAAGAACTAAATTTGGAACTTGGCTTCTAGTTCTTTTGCATCTCTAAGTTATCTTGAGAGGAGGCTGAGGAAAAAGGTTCACAGAGGAATGTGCCAGAAAAAAAAAAACAGTAAGTATTTTAGAGACAAATATATCTGTCTAGTTTGAATCATAACAGTAATAATGATCACAATAATGCCTCTATGTTTATATGGCACTTTGCATTTTTCCAGAGCATTTTAAAAAATAAACATGGGGTCTCGCCCCATCACCCTGGTGTAATCATAGCTCACTGCTGCCTTGAACTCCTGGGTTGAAGCACTCCTCCCGTCTCAGCCTCCCAAGCAGCTAAAACTACAGGTGCAAGCCACCATGCCCAGCTAATGTGTGTGTATGTGTGTGTATATATATACTTTTTTTTTTGGTAGAGCTGGGCGGAGCATTTCTATCTATATTCTCATTTGCCCTTGCCATAACTCAGTGAGGTAGGAATTATTATCTTTATTTCACAGCCGAGAAACCTAAAACTCAGAGAAGTGAAGTGACAAGGCCGTGCCACCAGGCAGAGGTAGAACTGGAACCAGAGCCCAGGGCTAGGACATGCAGCTCAGCACTCTCTTACTACCCATCCCACATCCTGGTGTTCAGGCCGTAGCTCTTCGATGTTTCCACGTCTCCAGTGGGGCCTAGGGTGCACAGGCAAAACCTGTGGAGCCTCTCGGCACGAGAGGGGGACTGCTCTCACCTGGGCGGGGCGCCGTGGGGTCCCCCACATGTTATGCTCTGAGCCCTGCCAACCACCAGTACTGACTGGGGTCCCATGAAGGCCCCAAGTTCAAATGCAGGCCCAGCAGCTCCCAAGATCTGCTTCCAAGGACTCAGTCCACGAGAAGGGTCCCTCAAGTTTTAAGTTTGTCTCAGAAAGTCAGGCTGATTCTGGGTTCCCTCACCCCAACCAGAGATTCTCATCTATTTAGGAAGAGGCCCGGGGGCCTGTTTGGTTGAGGATCTCAGGTAATATGAATCACTGATCCCTGGGAAAATATGGCCTCAAAGCCAAGTCTACCTCTCAGGTAGTAGCAGATGAAAAGGCCTCCCCTTTGCCTACCCCTTATGCTTTCCAAATGGCATGGCCTGGGGGCTCCATGGCATGCCCCCAGGACCCCTACAGACACCACCCAGCCTGGGGACGTTCACTCCCTCCTTCACTGTTGCTCCTCCCTTGGTCCTCTTGGTAAAGACAGAAGCGCACACACTGCATAAACTCTAGTTGAAGGCCTGATAATTAAGGCATCGTATTCAAAGCAAAATACCCCTCCCATTTATACCTTAGTTGGGGGCCACACAGCATAGCAGTTAAAAGCACAGACTTGGGAGCCACACACCCAGGCTGGAATCCCAGCTCCACTGCTTCATAGCTATGCAAACTTGGGCAAGTTAGTTCATTGCCCTGTGCCCCTTCCTCATCTTTAAAATGGGGTGATTACAAGAAAGGTCTCGAGGAGGAGCCAAGATGGCCGAATAGGAACAGCTCCGGTCTACAGCTCTCAGCGTGACCGACGCAGAAGACGGGTGATTTCTGCATTTCCATCTGAGGTACCGGGTTCATCTCACTAGGGAGTGCCAGACAGTGGGCGCAGGCCAGTGGGTGCGCGAGCCAAAGCAGGGCGAGGCATTGCCTCACCTGGGAAGCGCAAGCGGTCAGGGAGTTCCCTTTCCGAGTCAAAGAAAGGGGTGACGGACGCACCTGGAAAATTGGGTCACTCCCACCCGAATATTGCGCTTTTCAGACCGGCTTAAAAAACGGCGCACCACGAGACTATATCCCACACCTGGCTCGGAGGGTCCTACGCCCACGGAGTCTCGCTGATTGCTAGCACAGCAGTCTGAGATCAAACTGCAAGGCGGCAGCGAGGCTGGGGGAGGGGCGCCCGCCATTGCCCGGGCTTGATTAGGTAAACAAAGCAGCCGGGAAGCTCGAACTGGGTGGAGCCTACCACAGCTCAAGGAGGCCTGCCTGCCTCTGTAGGCTCCACCTCTGGGGGCAGGGCACAGACAAACAAAAAGACAGCAGTAACTTCTGCAGACTTAAATGTCCCTGTCTGACAGCTTTGAAGAGAGCAGTGGTTCTCCCAGCACGCGGCTGGAGATCTGAGAACGGGCAGACTGCCTCTTCAAGTGGGTCCCTGACCCCTGACCCCTGAGCAGCCTAACTGGGAGGCACCCCCCAGCAGGGGCAGACTGACACCTCTCACAGCAGGGTACTCCAACAGACCTGCAGCTGAGGGTCCTGTCTGTTAGAAGGAAAACTAACAAACAGAAAGGACATCCACACCAAAAACCCATCTGTACATCACCATCATCAAAGACCAAAAGTAGATAAAACCACAAAGATGGGGAAAAAACAGAACAGAAAAACTGGAAGCTCTAAAAATCAGAGCGCCTCTCCTCCTCCAAAGGAACGCAGCTCCTCACCAGCAACAGAACAAAGCTGGATGGAGAATGACTTTGACGAGCTGAGAGAAGAAGGCTTCAGACAATCAAATTACTCTGAGCTACGGGAGGACACTCAAACCAAAGGCAAAGAAGTTGAAAACTTTGAAAAAAATTTAGAAGAATGTATAACTAGAATAACCAATACAGAGAAGTGCTTAAAGGAGCTGATGGAGCTGAAAACCAAGGCTCAAGAACTACATGAAGAATGCAGAAGCCTCAGGAGCTGATGCGATCAACTGGAAGAAAGGGTGTCAGCAATGGAAGATGAAATGAATGAAATGAAGTGAGAAGGGAAGTTTAGAGAAAAAAGAATAAAAAGAAATGAGCAAAGCCTCCAAGAAATATGGGACTATGTGAAAAGACCAAATCTACGTCTGATTGGTGTACCTGAAAGTGATGGGGAGAATGGAACCAAGTTGGAAAACACTCTGCAGGATATTATCCAGGAGAACTTCCCCAATCTAGCAAGGCAGGCCAACGTTCAGATTCAGGAAATACAGAGAACGCCACAAAGATACTCCTCGAGAAGAGCAACTCCAAGACACATAATTGTCAGATTCACCAAAGTTGAAATGAAGGAAAAAATGTTAAGGGCAGCCAGAGAGAAAGGTCGGGTTACCCTCAAAGGGAAGCCCATCAGACTAACAGCGGATCTCTCGGCAGAAACCCTACAAGCCAGAAGAGAGTGGGGGCCAATATTCAACATTCTTAAAGAAAAGAATTTCCAACCCAGAATTTCATATCCAGCCAAGCTAAGCTTCATAAGTGAAGGAGAAATAAAATACTTTACAGACAAGCAAATGCTGAGAGATTTTGTCACCACCAGACCTGCCCTAAAAGAGCTCCTGAAGGAAGCGCTAAACATGGAAAGGAACAACCAGTACCAGCCGCTGCAAAATCATGCCAAAATGTAAAGACCATCGAGACTAGGAAGAAACTGCATCAACTAATGAGCAAAATAACCAGCTAACATCATAATGACAGGATCAAATTCACACATAACAATATTAACTTTAAATGTAAATGGACTAAATGCTCCAATTAAAAGACACAGACTGGCAAATTGGATAAAGAGTCAAGACCCATCAGTGTGCTGTATTCAGGAAACCCATCTCACGTGCAGAGACACACATAGGCTCAAAATAAAAGGATGGAGGAAGATCTACCAAGCCAATGGAAAACAAAAAAAGGCAGGGGTTGCAATCCTAGTCTCTGATAAAACAGACTTTAAACCAACAAAGATCAAAAGAGACAAAGAAGGCCATTACATAATGGTAAAGGGATCAATTCAACAAGAAGAGCTAACTATCCTAAATATATATGCACCCAATACAGGAGCACCCAGATTCATAAAGCAAGTCCTGAGTGACCTACAAATTGACTTAGACTCCCACACAATAATAATGGGAGACTTTAACACCCCACTGTCAACATTAGACAGATCAACGAGACAGAAAGTCAACAAGGATACCCAGGAATTGAACTCAGCTCTGCACCAAGCGGACCTAATAGACATCTACAGAACTCTCCACCCCAAATCAACAGAATATACATTTTTTTCAGCACCACACCACACCTATTCCAAAATTGACCACATAGTTGGAAGTAAAGCTCTCCTCAGCAAATGTAAAAGAACAGAAATTATAACAAACTATCTCTCAGACCACAGTGCAATCAAACTAGAACTCAGGATTAAGAATCTCACTCAAAGCCACTCAACTACATGGAAACTGAACAACCTGCTCCTGAATGACTACTGGGTACATAACGAAATGAAGTCAGAAATAAAGATGTTCTTTGAAACCAACGAGAACAAAGACACAACATACCAGAATCTCTGGGATGCATTCAAAGCAGTGTGTAGAGGGAAATTTATAGCACTAAATGCCCACAAGAGAAAGCAGGAAAGATCCAAAATTGACACCCTAACATCACAATTAAAAGAACTAGAAAAGCAAGAGCAAACACATTCAAAAGCTAGCAGAAGGCAAGAAATAACTAAAATCAGAGCAGAACTGAAGGAAATAGAGACACAAAAAACCCTTCAAAAAATCAATGAATCCAGGAGCTGGTTTTTTGAAAGGATCAACAAAATTGATAGACCACTAGCAAGACTAATAAAGAAAAAAAGAGAGAAGAATCAAATAGACACAATAAAAAATGATAAAGGGGATATCACCACCGATCCCACAGAAATACAAACTACCATCAGAGAATACTACAAACACCTCTACGCAAATAAACTAGAAAATCTAGAAGAAATGGATAAATTCCTCGACACATACACTCTCCCAAGACTAAACCAGGAAGAAGTTGAATCTCTTAATAGACCAATAACAGGAGCTGAAATTGTGGCAATAATCAATAGCTTACCAACCAAAAAGAGTCCAGGACCAGATGGATTCACAGCCGAATTCTACCAGAGGTACAAGGAGGAACTGGTACCATTCCTTCTGAAACTATTCCAATCAATAGAAAAAGAGGGAATCCTCCCTAACTCATTTTATGAGGCCAGCATCATTCTGATACCAAAGCCGGGCAGAGACACAACAAAAAAAGAGAATTTTAGACCAATATCCTTGATGAACACTGATGCAAAAATCCTCAATAAAATACTGGCAAACCGAATCCAGCAGCACATCAAAAAGCTTATCCACCATGATCAAGTGGGCTTCATCCCTGGGATGCAAGGCTGGTTCAATATACGCAAATCAATAAATGTAATCCAGCACATAAACAGAACCAAAGACAAAAACCACATGATTATCTCAATAGATGCAGAAAAAGCCTTTGACAAAATTCAACAACCCTTCATGCTAAAAACTCTCAATAAATTAGGTATTGATGGGACGTATTTCAAAATAATAAGAGCTATCTATGAAAAACCCACAGCCAATATCATACTGAATGGGCAAAAACTGGAAGCATTCCCTTTGAAAACTGGCACAAGACAGGGATGCCCTCTCTCACCACTCCTATTCAACATAGTGTTGGAAGTTCTGGCCAGGGCAATTAGGCAGGAGAAGGAAATAAAGGGTATTCAATTAGGAAAAGAGGAAGTCAAATTGTCCCTGTTTGCAGATGACATGATTGTATATCTACAAAACCCCATTGTCTCAGCCCAAAATCTCCTTAAGCTGATAAGCAATTTCAGCAAAGTCTCAGGATACAAAATCAATGTACAAAAATCACAAGCATTCTTATACACCAACAACAGACAAACAGAGAGCCAAATCATAAGTGAACTCCCATTCACAATTGCTCAAAGAGAATAAAATACCTAGGAATCCAACTTACAAGGGTTGTGAAGGACCTCTTCAAGGAGAACTACAAACCACTGCTCAAGGAAATAAAAGAGGATACAAACAAATGGAAGAACATTCCATGCTCATGGGTAGGAAGAATCAATATTGTGAAAATGGCCATACTGCCCAAGGTAATTTACAGATTCAATGCCATCCCCATCAAGCTACCAATGACTTTCTTCACAGAATTGGAAAAAACTACTTTAAACTTCATATGGAACCAAAAAAGAGCCCGCATTGCCAAGTCAATCCTAAGCCAAAAGAACAAAGCTGGAGGCATCACACTACCTGACTTCAAACTTTACTACAAGGCTACAGTAACCAAAACAGCATGGTATTGGTACCAAAACAGAGATATAGATCAATGGAACAGAACAGAGCCCTCAGAAATAACACCGCATACCTACAACTGTCTGATCTTTGACAAACCTGAGAAAAACAAGAAATGGGGAAAGGATTCCCTATTTAATAAATGGTGCTGGGAAAACTGGCTAGCCATATGTAGAAAGCTGAAACTGGATCCCTTCCTTACACCTTATACAAAAATCAATTCAAGATGGATTAAAGATTTAAACGTTAGACCTAAAACCATAAAAACCCTAGAAGAAAACCTAGGCATTACCATTCAGGACATAGGCATGGGCAAGGACTTCATGTCCAAAACACCAAAAGCAATGGCAACAAAAGACAAAATTGACAAATGGGATCTAATTAAACTAAAGAGCTTCTGCACAGCAAAAGAAACTACCATCAGAGTGAACAGGCAACCTACAACATGGGAGAAAATTTTCGCAACCTACTCATCTGACAAAGGGCTAATATCCAGAATCTACAATGAACTCAACCAAATTTACAAGAAAAAAACAAACAACCCCATCAAAAAGTGGGCGAAGGACATGAACAGACACTTCTCAAAAGAAGACATTTATGCAGCCAAAAAACACATGAAAAAATGCTCATCATCACTGGCCATCAGAGAAATGCAAATCAAAACCACAATGAGATACCATCTCACACCAGTTAGAATGGCAATCATTAAAAAGTCAGGAAACAACAGGTGCTGGAGAGGATGTGGAGAAATACGAACACTTTTACATTGTTGGTGGGACTGTAAACTAGTTCAACCATTGTGGAAGTCAGTGTGGCGATTCCTCAGGGATCTAGAACTAGAAATACCATTTGACCCAGCCATCCCATTACTGGGTATATACCCAAATGACTATAAATCATGCTGCTATAAAGACACATGCACACGTATGTTTATTGCGGCATTATTCACAATAGCAAAGACTTGGAACCAACCCAAATGTCCAACAATGATAGACTGGATTAAGAAAATGTGGCACATATACACCATGGAATACTATGCAGCCATAAAAAATGATGAGTTCATGTCCTTTGTAGGGACATGGATGAAATTGGAAATCATCATTCTCAGTAAACTATCACAAGAACAAAAAACCAAACACCGCATATTCTCACTCATAGGTGGGAATTGAACAATGAGATCACATGGACACAGGAAAGGGAATATCACACTCTGGGGACTGTGGTGGGGTGGGGGGAGGGGGGAGGGATAGCATTGGGAGATATACCTAATGCTAGATGATGAGTTAGTGGGTGCAGCGCACCAGCATGGCACATGTATACATATGTAACTAACCTGCACAATGTGCACATGTACCCTAAAACCTAAAGTATAATAAAAAAAGAAAAGAAAAAAAAAAGAGATATTTAAATGTATTTGCTAATAAACGCAAAGCTGGTTAATAAGCTCAAAGGTAATAAAATGTAATGTTTGGCATTAAAAAAAAAAAAAAAAAAAAGAAAGGTCTCATGGGGTAGTCGAGGGGACTAAATGAGTTAACACACGGACCATAGAGCAATGCCAGCAGCGTAAGGGCTGAAGTTATTGCTGCTATTATTATTAGTTAGAAGGCGCCAATCCAACAACTTCAATCATACAGAAACTAGAGAGAACAAAGAGAATAAAGGGGAAAAATGGCTTCTAAGAAGCCAAAATCAATGTTATAAAACCCATAAATTAAAGCTAATGCACTTTATTCATAAGTAAGCCCCATAGGTCCTCAATCAGGATCTATTTACTCTAACTTTGCACATAACTGTAATGGACTTGATCAACTGGTTCCCAAGCCTGCAGGAGAGAGGGGGGAGCAAATTAATCAGGCTGGTGCTGGAGGAGGCTGACACCCCAACAGGGTGGTGCATGAAAGGCACATCCCAAATCTTCCCCAGGTCAGGACGTTCCGGGACCCTGTGCGGGTTGCTTAGCTCTCCTGACAGCTCCCCAGCATTACAACAGGTGCAATCATTGAAATTCCTAAGAATTGTATAGTCCCAGAAAAAGGATGAAATATGTTCAGATTTTTCTTTTAAGGATCCAGGGATTTGTATTTTATATTCTGGAAAGACTTCCTTCAAATATACTTAAATTACAAGAAGTTTGGTACATGAAAGGGGTTCTATTACATAAACAGTGAATTTATTTGGAAGATTCTCCCCCAAAAAATGAATAAAGATGGATAAAACTGGAGCAAGAGGTGTCACCATATTTAGACTTCAAATCATCATCTCTCTTTTCCCATCCGCTGGCAAACGCAGAGCAGACAATGCTTTCTCCTCTCTCTGAAATATTTAGTGAGTAAACCCTGAGTCAAACAATTGCCCCAGGCTCTCTGCGGGTTTATGACCATGAGATGAAGCACAGACCCATCCAGAAGCTGCCATCTATTTTGAAATGCCATGTTCCTGATGAAGACAGTCCTGTGGTCTTTGCTCCTTTCCTACACCAGCCTTGCAACGTGTCTCATCCCGTTTCCAGCTCTGTCCTTTCTCCTAATGCATCGGTTCTTGGGGCAACACAGAGCAGCATTTCCCAAAGGTGTGAGCCCGGGAACACCATTCTTCAAGATGTCTGTGATGGTATGAGTGGGAAAGGTGATGTGCTGTCTGGCTAGTCCAGGGACTCACGGAGCACCTTACCACACAAGGAGGCAGCTGTAGCAGAATGGCTAAGAACACAGACCGGGAGATGCCTCACCCACTTCTGCATGGCCATGACTTCGCTTCAGGGCTACATCTCACAGGGTGAATTATTTACCTTCTCTGAGCTTGTGTGTGCTCATCTATTGAATGGGATAATAACATCTCATCGTGCTATAATCATGTTTAAACGCATTTATACGCAAGGCACTTAGGACAGCATCTGCACATGGTGTGAAGTCATAAGTAGTGTCTGTTGCTGTTGTGTTAGAGGCTTGGAGAAGTCTTATAATAATGTATTTACCTGGCCGGGCGCAGTGGCTCACGCCTGTAATCCCAGCATTTTGGGAGGCCGAGGCGGGCAGATCACGAGGTCAGGAGATCGAGACCATCCTGACTAACACGGTGAAACCCCGTCTCTACTAAAAATACAAAAAAATTAGCTGGGCATGGTGCTGAGCGCGTGTAGTCCCAGCTACTCGGGAGGCTGAGACGGGAGAACGGCGTGAACCCGGGAGGTGGAGCTTGCAGTGAGCCGAGATCGCGCCACTGCACTCCAGCCTGGGCGACAGAGAGAGACTCTGTCTCAAAAAAAAGGTAAAAAAATAATGTATTTACCTTTGGCTAACTTGGTACTTACTGAATTTATTTTGCAACAGAACCAAATTTTGTTTGTTTTTATTTTAAATCTGTTAATACTGCTACAGAGTGTTTAATCTTTAAAATATTTTCACATATACTTCATTGGATACTCACAGCGACCCTACACATCCCAGGGAACAGAGCAAAGAACCCAAGCTGTGGTTTCATACAGTCCTAAGTTCCAACTACAGCCCTGCCACTGCCTCACCAAGTCACTTTACTTCTCTGAGACTTTACTTTCTTATCTGAAATAAAGGGATAACACTTCACAGGATCCATTCATTCACCCAGGGTTCACTCAGCAGATATTTATGGAGAGCCTTACGTGTGCCAGTTATTGCCAAAGCACTGGGGATACAGCCATGAACAAGAGGGATACATTCTCTACCATCAAGTAAACAAATAAATAGAAAGCATAATTTACAGTTGTGGAGATTAGAAACATTGCACGCAAAGCTCTGGTACCTGGTGGTCACTCAATAAAGGCAATTACAATGACTAAGCAAGCATTACTACTCCACGTGCCAAAAGAGATACCAACAGAGAGGTTAAGTGACTGACCTAAGGCCACACAGTTCAGATCTCTCTTCCTAGGTCAGTGCCTGCAACTCTGGCTCTGGTATAGCTTTTAAGACACACCCACACCCAGGTCCCACTCAGACCCATTCAGCCGGAAAATCTGAGGGGAGAACTGACTCCGTAGAAGCACTTTCCCAATGCGCTGTGTCAAGCTCATTCTCTCATCCAAAAACAGGCTCTCCACCCTGCCTTCCACACCCCACTACACAGCACAGGACAGGGTGTTTGTACATGATACAGTAGCTATGTGGTTTGTTGCTTGTAGTTATCTATTAGTGTATTTTATAACCCTAGCATTTCTGCAAACCCTAACACCTGCTGCATTAGGACAACACATAAGAGATAGCAATAATAAAGCTCATTTCATTGTCATCATTATTGTTGATGCATGAAAGCCCTATAAAAATACTTCTCACTCTTAGGCAAACCTGATAATAAAAGAAAACACAGTTCACTGCAGGGAGAGGAGGGGAACCCAAAGTGGCATTTCCATTCACTTCTCAAAGCACGGGGGGCGATAGGGCTCAGACGCATCTCAGAACTTGCGGTGGTGGTCCAAGTGCAGGGCCCCATGTCGGGTGATTCAACCCAGCACTGTGTGGGAATGGGGGAACCTCAGGCTGACAGGCACCTCCTGAGCAGACTGGCAAGAGACACACAAAGCTCAGGGGTGGGGGAGTGGGGTCCCCCACCAGTGCTCTCCCTCTGGGGCTCTTCTTTGGCCATTAATGGATCCCAGCTTCTCTCCCTGTGTAGTCAGAAGGCAAGGGTGAGCACACAGACACTAATCTTGCTGGGTCACAGCTGCCAAAAAGCACAGCGTTTTGGTCTCTTCTTTCCCACCCTTCTGAGGCCAAAGCTAGCACAAGGTGCCAATGACTGTGACTTACCCCCAGGGACCAGGCAGAGGGGAGGGGCCCTCAGCCTGGCTTAGAGTTCCAAAGAGCAACACACATTCGCCTGTGCTGGGCATGTCCTGTGAAGTTTACTTATGGTAACTCACTTAATCCTCTCAGCCAGGTTATGAGGCAACTCTGGTTGCCCCAATTTTACACCAATAAATGGGCAAATCTGACATCTCAACCTTCTTCCTAGTCTAGCTCAAGCCCCTCTGACGGACGGCTTCTCCTCTCACAACCTCTGAAGGAAGAAAGCCCAGCCAAAAGATGATCCCTTTGATGGCCTCATCCCGTCTTCTCTCCACCTCCACTTCAAGCTTGGCTCTTGCTCCAGAAAGTACATGCACTGTTCTTTGCACAAGGTCAAATGCCAAATATATTCTCTTAATATTTCAACTCAAGCCAAGTCTTCGTGGGCTTCAGGGTATGCAGAGGACAGGAAGTTTTCCACACACAATGAGTCGGCTCCGCTTGCAGAGCTTGTTCAACAGACATCAGACAATCTACCTAACAGGTAATAGCTCTTGGTAGACAGGGGTTACAGCTGCTATATTATAAACGATGTGCTGCATAGAGGTGGCATTGCCAATAACAGCACTAAATCTAAAGAAAGAATTGTCATGTCATGGCCCAGTTCAGCTTTCATTATGCTTCACTAGCATGAGGAAAAGATAACAAAGATGATGGATTTTGGTGCAAAAGTGTATGTTAGATGGAGCATACAACAAACAGACTTTTATTTAAATAATGAGAGAGAGATCTTTTAAAAAAAAAACTCTATTCTGGAATACTTTTCATCTCTTGGAAACAGAAGAAAGCAAAGTGTTAGAAAAATAAGTGGGAGAAAGGAAAGGGCCTGCGACAGAATGGGTGGAAGCCGATGCGTTTGCGAGGGAATCTGAGAGCAGGAGCAAGCACAGATGTGAATTTGCAAGTGTGTGTGAAAAGAAGAATCTTTTCTAATTCTGTGACAGTGTGAGTGTGCTTTGCTAAATAGATTATTCTTGAACCCAATGGAGTGGGAAAGCTCTCAGCAGTTGACGTGTGTCGTCTTTCTGCTTGGATCCTAAAGGGAACCTGTGGGTAGACAGAGCTGATTGCGGAGGGAGCTGAAGGTGGATCCAATCACACCATGAGGAACATTCTAGGTCACTGTTCTCAAAGAGCAGCCCAGGACCACTTGCATCAGAACCCCAGGGGAGCTTATTAAAAATTCAAACTCCTAGGGCCCACTCCAGAGTCAGAATCTCTGGGAGCAGGGCCTGGGAACATGCATTTTAATCATCTCTATGAACTTATGCCACAGGGGTTGAGAGCCACCTGCTTCAGGTGCATCAGCATCTCTTCTTTGCTGTTTCTCAGAGTAGGGCTCTGAAATCGCAATTCTTTAATTTTTTAAAAAAAGCTATGAAACTAATGGAGGATTTCTCAAGCTTCATTTTCGGGGTACATAAGTGATTTGGGGCATCCCACTCTGGCACAACAATGGGAATGTTTCAAGCATTGAACCTCAGCAAACAGTTGTCATGCACCTACTACTTCAGGGCCTCCATAGGGGTACAGACACAGATCAATATCCTCTTCTCGTACTTTTGGCCCTAAGCTCAGCTCTTCTCAGTCAGGCCAATCCTCTTGTCATTGGCCTTGAGTTGCCATGAGCCACGATTTTGAACTACCAACCAGCCCCTCTTGAATATCTTAAACTCTCTGTTCCCTTAGCTTCTAAGACTCCACTCTCAGCAGGTTCCCCTCCTACCTCTCAGGCTAAGCCTTCCTGACACGTGGTGTATGACCTTCCTTTGCTCCTCTTCCTCCACCCTCTGCAAACGTCACTGTTCTCCAGGGTCTGGCTGTGGTCACTGCTACCCTCCCACTCCACCCTGATGCAGGTGCTCTGGGCCATACCTACAGCTTCTCCTTGTGTCTCTCCTCCTGTTGCCCCCAAGTCTCCATCCTCAGCATAAACAGTCTCCTGGGTTGCAGGCTCCTGTCGACCGCCGGTAGGACATCCCCAGCCTCACGCTCCACGGGCTCCTCCACTTGACAATCCCTAATCGTACGCATCATTCCCTGCCCCTCAAATATGACCTTCCTCCTGAAGTCTTTCTCCTGGCCAAGGGCACCTGGCTCCTCGTATCACCATCCTGGGAGCCAGCTCTCTCCGCCACCCATGATATCCAACTGGTTACCCGTCCAGGCAAGCTTGCCTCCTAAATCCACTGCCCCCTCTCTATCCTTATTGTCACCACCATCTGGACTCTGGCAAGCTTTCTTTTTCTCTTCACAAACAGTGAGGCCTCCGTCTGAGCCATCTTCCTCATGCTGCAAGAGCACTCCTCTGCCGTTAAAGCCTTCGAGCCTCCTCCTCACCTGCAGTTAAGTCCAACAGTTTGCATGGGCCATCAAGCCCCCATCACCTGGCTCTTCTCATCCCCTCAAAACCAGCACCCCTTCCTCTGGTCCTAAAGAATGTGACCACATGTATACTCATGCCTTTGCACATGAGTACACTTCAACCTGAAGTATCTCTTATGGCATCCTCTTCTTGAGAGACGCAATGCAAATATGTCAACCTATGTGAAACTTGCCATTAATCCTTTCTCTACAGCAAAATGAATCAGTTCTTCCACCCTGACACCCTGGCCCTTTATAAGACCTTTCACTATTTGAAACAACTGTTTACAGTTTCATCTTCCCTATTAATCATAGTGCCTATCTGTTGGTATAGATGTTTGGCAAATGACTGCACACACACACACACACACACACACACACACACACACACACGAGCTAGACCAGTGGAAGGAGAGACCAGAGGGAGGACAGCAGGAAGGAGGTGACTGTAAGAGTCCATGAAAAAGGCAACAGGGCCTGGGTTAGGTTGACAAGGATGATGATGATGACAATAATAACAATAGTATCCAGCACTATTAACAAGACCCAACACTTCGCCCTTACTAAGGTGCTCTCCTAAGGGCTTTACATATTTTGGCTCATTTAATCTTCACAACAACCCTATGAGGTAGGTACTGTCATTATCGTTATTTCCATTTTATAAATGAAGAAACTAAGGCACAGGAAGTCTGAACAAATGACTTTGAGAATAGAAAGAAAGCTAAATGTGATACATTGCAAATTACAATCTCCAAGACTGGATTCCTGCTCAGATGGGCATGGCAAGGGGAAGAAGATGTCAGAGATGGTTCCATGTGACAGCAAGGCCAGCAATGCCATCAACCCGGCCAAGGGAAAAGAAAAGGAGCAGCATTCACCTGGGCTATGTTTCGTTTTCTTCAGGGGGACAGGGTCGTGTGGTGGGAGAGAGAATGAGTTCTATTTGGGGCTTGTTTGAGGTATTGGCAAGACATCCTGGCACATATAATTGTCACTGCCCGCCCTACTCTTCCCTAGAACCCTCTGAGGTCACTTCCATTTTACAAGCTGGGGAACTGAGGTTTGGAAAGACTAAATAACCTCAGACTAAGATTCAGACTTAACCTTTTTTTTTTTTTTTTTTTTTTGAGATGGAGTCTCCTTCTGTCACCCAGGCTGGAGTGCGGTGGCGCGATCTCGGCTCACTGCAAGCTCCGCCTCCCACGTTCACACCATTCTCCTGCCTCAGCCTCCTGAGTAGCTGGGACTACAGGTGCCCGCCACCACGCCTGGCTAATTTTTTGTATTTTTAGTAGAGATGGGGTTTTACCGTGTTAGCCAGGCTGGTCTCGATCTCCTGACCTCATGATCCACCTGCCTCAACCTCCCAAAGTGCTGGGATTACAGGCATGGGCCACTGCGCCCGGCCCAGACTTAATCTTAAAGTGGAGAAGCCAAGATTTGAAGTCAGGTCTGTCCAACTCAAATTTTGCTCTGCCCAAGAGGCCGGTTGTTCCCAAAGCTGACTAATCATCGGCATCCCTGCGAGGAAATTTTTTGATGCGCATCCCCAGACCATGCCCCAGAACTACTAAATGTGAATCAGATCCGCAGGGGAGCTGGGGTCTGCACAGTTGGAGTTCTCTCGGGTTGTAATGATGTGCAGGCCTCAGCGGTCGCTGCACCGGTCCACAGGCCTCTCCAATGCGGGAAATATGGGGCCAGGCCTTTGGAAAGGCTTAGCACTGGAGATGTCAGTCTTAGCAACAATTTACTTGGAAAGGTAACTTAAATCTGTGGACACAGATGAGCTCCCCAAAGGGAGAGTGCAGAAGAAGAAAATCAGAGGGCTCAGGACAAAAGCCTAGTAAACGTTCGTGTAGACACAGGAGGAGAGGCTGGAAGAAGCAAGGGGAGAATGTGCTTTGTAAAGGGGGCATCTGCAAAGATGCTGCAGCTTCAAGATGCTGTAGAGAGCAAGGACCGGGAGGCCGGGTCACAGCACTCGCGATGGGTTTCTCCATGGGGCAGAATCGTGTTCTGATTTATTAGCTGATATGAGGTCGTATTTATTCATCTGTTTTAAGGGTTTTCTGATGCCACCCCCCACCTTCAGCTGGCAGCATTCACTGCCCCAGGGGAAGTGCGACATTGTGGAATGCAGAGAATGAGAAGTCATCTGCAGCTTTTTTGAGGTATCATTACCATACCATAAAGTTCACCCCCTGTAAGTACACAATTCGATGATGTTTGGTAAAGTTACACAGTTGTGCAAGCAGCCCCACCACCTCCTTTAGAATTCTTCCATCACTCTGTGATGTGATAAAAACCTGCCATCCCTCCCACCTCATCTGTACACAGCAACCTCACTCCAGCTCCAGAAGAAGTCCAGGGTGACCTCTTGTCCTCTCCTACGAGCCCCTCTGCCTCCAGGAGGTCCAGAGTTGAGGGGTCTCAGCCAGCCCAGGGCTTCCCTCTAGCTCAGCAAGCCAAGTGGCTCCCTTAATCCTCCTGGAAACCGAGGGGTGAAGGGGCTACATGTGGCCATCTCAGGACCTAAGAAAAACCAAACTCCTCTACACACCTTCACCACTGCATGGGCCTTGAGCAGCCCCAAGTGTCATCAGCTTAAGAACAAGATACGGATTCTATGTGGAACGAAGGCTCCTCTTTAAAAGTTGCAGATTAAATGTGAAACTGTAGGAGGGTTGGGAGGACCATGGCAGAGGAAGGAGGTGGCTACACAGGGAAGAAATGGAACCAAGGGAAGGAGTTCCTGCTTCAGGGAGACACTTTGGCTTGTATTTATTTTGACACAGTAAAGATTTCTTGCCCCTTAAGAGATGAGGTCACGCTTCGGATGGCCTCACGGACGGCGGCCGATGCTCTGCCTTCCGACTCTGGCCATGCCATCACTCAGTGGTGTGCCCAGCTTTGAAATTTTTGGAGCCTGTCCCCAACAAAGGGCCCCAAGCCGAGCCACAAGACACCACAGCCCGCAGGCGGTGAACACCTTACCTGCTATGCATCAGCGGTTACCTGAAAAAACTGGGGCGACAGCTGAGAAGTTAAAACGTGCATCATATTTTTTTTTGCTGAAAGGGCCCAAGAAAATGTCAAAGGTTACAAAATACAAGAACCACCCTGTGATGGCATCAGCCCAGCAGCTGTGGAAAGGAGAATCCTATAAGCTGCCTGCTTCTTTTAAAAACCATCTCATTGGACGGTTCCATCTCAGTAATTAAAGGAAGGTACTGACGGCAGGGGAAAGACGGTGGCTCTGATGACCAAACACGCCATGTGGAAATCACGTGGAGAGTGACGGTGTCTCTGCAATGGAGGGGGAGAAAGAGACGGGATTTTCCCTGCATGCCTTTTGCAGAGGCATCCTGGAGTGCCCCAATTTTGCCAACTGCATTCCAGAGCTCTTTTCCTCACATGCCCAGATGGAGCAAAAGTCTTTGTAATGACTTCAAGCTCAGCCAAAAGTAAACACACTCTCCACTTTTTCCATGGACCAATTCTAACCCCAAATTGCCAGAGCTGGCCCCTCAACAATCCAAATGGAAAGCCGCCTTTCCCAATAAAATAAGGCCCTTCTAACTCAATAATACATGTTGGCTGCAAAAGCAAATGTTCCTAAAAGCTTCCTAGAAATTATTTATCGTGCAGCAACACTCCAGATCACCTGAGCAAACCCCACCAATGGAACAAAGACATTCAAAGGAAATACAACACAATCCAAGAACAGATGTTCGCTGCAGCGAACACCTGCACTCACAACTTTTGCAGCACATTTTGTAGCAGTCACGGGATTTGCTACTAAACACACACACACACACACACACACACACACACACACACACAGAGCTCACCACCACCTAACTGGAATATTCTTTTGGAAAACAGGCCGGAATGAGACAGGTGCTGATTTGAATAAAGAGTAAAACAGCACTCGGGATGTGAGCTCTGCAGGGCTCCTGCACATGCCAAACACACGTCTCACTTCTCTCCCACATTCCATGCATCTATGTGATCTGAACGCAGTTCTCCATCGAGTGAAAAAGCAGAGACTTGAGGATGGTGGACTTACCAGGTTGGAATTGGTGGCGTTGGAATCATCTTCTGGAAAGGGAATATAGATCGCTAAGGCCACACAATTGGCAAAAATAGTCAGTAAAATAATTATTTCAAATGGTCTGAGAAAGGGAGTCAAGGAAGTTAATGCCACAGAAAGTACAAGTGAAACAAACATAATCTACATATTTTTTAAAATGAATCAAAGATTCATAAGAATTTTGTTTAAACAATGCATTCCAAGCCCCTTGTATTCTGAAAAGAAACATATGCCTTTTTAAGTGCTTCTAGTGGGTCCCCGCCAAAATTTTCCCTAATATGTCAAAAGCAGTGGAGGCCAGTCGCGTGCCAGAGTAAACACAGATTTCTAAAAACTTGTTCCCCTCCTTTCATTTATTTAGATTGCATTGGTCTTCATTCTCCCCAATGTGTGCCTGAGGTTGCCTCTAAAGAGCATGGCCTGCGCCAAGCACCCCGTTTCTTCACAGTTTATGCCGAACGGCCTGTGGGCCCACGCCCACCTGGAACGGGGGACATGGGTGGAACAGGATTCCAAGACAGAGAGACTTTCTCTGGGTTTCATTGAAATTTGGAGATTTTATTTTTAATCTTTTAAACTAAGGTTAAGAGTGGTTTCCATTTCTTCTCTCTCATTCTCTGGCAGGTTCCAGAGATCCTGAAGACCCCCAAGAGTACGGCAGGGGGTCCGTCCTGAGTGTAGGGAAGGAAAGCTGTCTCCTCTTTAAGGCTGAGTCTCACAGACAGCATAGAAACCCCTCTGGTCTGCAGAGGTCCCGCTTCAGCAGGCAAAGCTTTGATTCCAAGGCCTCCTGATTTTTCCTTGGTGTGTGCTGGGCTCTAGTGGGACAGCCCAAGGTTCCCTCACCAGTAGTAGTGCAGGCAGAGGTTCCCATGCCCTGACTTCTTCATCACATTTTCAGGGCAGGACACGCTCTCAAGAGAAAAATGAGCTAATGTGATAATACCCCTTCCGACGGGACCACCCCACACCCTCCATGGAAGGCCAGCAAGGGGAAGCTTCCCAGGAAGGGCCCGTCTATGCTCTTCCAGCTCCACTCCCACCTACCCCGCTCCCACTGCCAAGTTTGCAGCCCAGTTCATGGAGTCTCACAGGAGGAGGAGGAGGAAGACAGAGAGGGGTGGAGATCCGGGGTGAAGGGACCACCATAATTCTCTCAGGGAAATCCATACTCACAAAGTTAGTGAATATTGAGGCAGAAAGAGACCTTAGAGATGATCTAGTCTAACCCTCTGAGGCCCAGAGAGCCTGAGGAACTTTCCCAAGGCCCCACAGCAAGTTAATGACCAGCTGAGACTAGAGCCCGGATTTCCCGATCACCAAGTCCAGTGTTCACTCCCCTGCCACAGACGGCCTTCTGACGTGTTAAGGGGCAGCCCTGGGCCAGCGTCACAGAATTCTGAACTGGGAGGAACCCGAGTGATTATCTTAGCACTAGTCTCCCTAGTCCTGTGGGTACTTCTGAGGATCCATTTTCCTGTAGAACATTTTCTATGTCCACCTTGATATCAAAAAAGATGCCACACAGTGGACCTGTCAATCTCCCAACTTTGCAGGGGTGAAAAGTAAAGCAGCCAGTCCAAGACCCCAAGCTGGCATATAGCAGAGCCTGGACCGGAACCCAGACGGACTAAGCTTTTACATTCTGCTGCCCTTGTGTTGGATGAGGCACAAGTAGTGATGATGGGAGACAGACGCTGATGCTGGTGCTGGTGACAGTAAGGACAGAAGCTGACCTCTGCCAAGAGCTTGCTCAGTGCCAGGCACATTCTTACGGCCCAACAGAAATGCTCTGTGTGGAATGTACGCTTGTGATCCCCACTTTCTAAATGAGAAAACTGAGGCACAGAAGGGTCAGACGTTAACTTGTGCCAGGTCACAGAGCAAGTAGTAGGATGGGATCCAAGCTCAGGCAGTCTCAGTGTTAAGGACTATTCTATACTGATCCACTCTAAAGTTACCTTGAAGCCTTCATAGGCAGTTCTTTTAGCCCTCCTACCACGCCACCTCTTGCCTCCCAAACCTTTTCTCGCCTGCTTAGGAAAGTGACACCGAGCCCACAGGCTGGCCAGTTTCATTCCATCAGCTGGTGCCTGTGCTCTCCCCATCGGGACAAGGATGCAACAACCCAGCCAAACCAGACCCGTGCACACACACCCAGAACATGTCACTTCATTGCCTCCACCACAGTGGGGCACAGCTGAGCTTGGGGTTTCTGGCACTATCAGTTCCCCTCCCCTCATTCAGACTCTCCACCTATCCATCCTTCACTTCATGCTAAAGGCACTGGGCTAATGCCAGAGAAGATCATGTGTAAAAACCAATCAGGCAGAGAAGAAAAGCCACTGGCTGAAAAGCAGAGAACCCAGGTAAGCCCTGGGAAGTGCTCTGTGTCGCCTTTTGAGGCCCAGATTACTTTTTAAGCTGAGTTCCCTTCCTAATGACAGGGTCGGATTCCACTTCTTCAAGAAGAACTGGCTGGCTAGTACTCCAGGCTATCTCCTTCCCTGTCCAGCCAGTCTTCCCAAGCAATCTTGGAATGCCACCCACCTGGCACTGCTAAGGCTGGGCCCCCTTCCTCTCCTCCAGGTGGGAAGGCACACTCCCCCGGAGGGGTGGCCACAGCACCCAGGGAGTAGGTGTTAGGCCCGGATCCAGGTCCGGCGTGTCCCAGTGCACCTGGACTGCAGGCCCTGAGCATCCTCCTAAGACCTCACCGGTCCCACCTAGTATCTACTAGTACCTGCCTAGTCCTACCCAGTACTATGGATGCATGGGGTGTGGGATGGGCATGGACTTCGGGGTCAGGGGAACCTGGATTTGAAGTCCAGCTCTGTCAGTTGCCAGCTGCGTGATTTAGGGCAAGCCCTTTGTCTTCTCTGGGCCTTGCTGCCCTTCTCTCAGGGGTGCCTGACCTGCAGGGCCCTCAGCTCTCCCACTCCCTGACTCCACCGTGAGCAGATATGCAAGCAGTCCTATGGGGCTGACTAAAGCCTAGTCTCCCATCCAGTACCCCGGGCACTAAAACCATGCTTGGCCACTCAGGCAGCTGCAGCCACTTGTTTTAAAATGCATTTTCTTAAAATACTTTTAAGTTGAGGGGCTCAAACATTTATATTTATTTATTTATTTATTTGAGACAGAGTTTCACTCTTTTCCTCAGGCTGGAGTGCAGTGGCATGATCTCAGCTCACTGCAACCTCTTCGTCCCGAGTTCAAGCAATTCTCTTGCCTCAGCCTCCCGAGCAGCTGGAATTACTGGCATGTGCCCCAACGCCTGGCTAATTTTTGTATTATTAGCAGAGATAAGGTTTCACCTCATGTTGGCCAGGCTGGTCTCGAACTCCTGACCTCAGGTGATCCACCTGCCTTGGCTTCCCAAAGTGCTGGGATTACAGGCGTGAGCCACCGCACCTGGCCTCAAACATTTATAGAACATTTCTGTCTCAATAGAAACTTTCTTTATCTCTAGGCTACCTTCTTTCAACCAGTACCTGAGACTTTTAAATCTTTCCATAGAAACTCATCGATGAAGCCTAATGCTCCCATCCTGGCCCTTGAGAGACACAGCAGTCCTGCCTGGAGGAATCCTTATTATAAAAATTCCCACAGTCAGTACCAGGGTTCTAGTCCCATCTGTTCCTGACCACATGACCCTGGGGAGCCTCTCCTGTGGGGCTCAATTTCATCACTCGTGGAAGTGGGGGAGGAACTTCAGCACTTAAAGGTCCTTTCTGGGCTGGGCACGGTGGCAGATTACACCTGTAATCCCAACACTTTGGGAGGCCGAGGCAGGCAGATCACGAGGTTAGGAGATCGAGACCATCCTGGCTAACACGGTGAAACCCCGTTTCTACTAAAAATACAAAAAAGAATAGCCGAGCGTGGTGGCGGGCACCTGTGGTCCCGGCTATACAGGAGGCTGAGGCAGGACAATGGTGCGAACCCAGGAGCTTGCAGTGAGCCGAGACGGCACCACTGCACTCCAGCCTGGGTGACAGAGCGAGACTCCGTCTCAAAAAAAAAAAAAAAAAAGTCCTTCCCAATTTCTACAGCCCCAGGATTCTGATGAAGTAAGGGGCTTGTAACTCCACAGCGAGCGCCCATCCCTTCAAAGCCACTGTTTCTGAAGGACCCATTTGCTTGTTTCTATATGGACAAACAGAACACTTCCAGACAGTGTTCTCAACTTTGTCTGCACATTAGAATTACCCAGAGAGTTTTCCGTTGTTGTTTTTTGTTTGTTTGTTTTTATGCCTAGGTGGAACTGAGTGGTCTGTAGTTTGTTATAACTTTCCAGGAGACTCTAATGTGCAATCAGGGCTGAGAACCACTGCTTCAGGGCCCTCCAGCCAACAGCCAGGGGCCCTGACCACTACGCTCTTCCATCTCCTGAGCCCCTTCACCCTAGAGAGAGGGAAGGCCGTGAAAGCATCCAGCGCCATGGCACAGAAGGGAAAGAAGGGAATGAGGCAGCATGTAACTAACGACTGTTACCCCAACACATGAGTGGGCCCCTGGGCAAGCTCAGCTACAGGAGATGATATTTCATAACTTCTTAGGCTGATTTTCTCAAATGTTGCTTATTATATGAAAAAAACAAAAAACAAAAACCCAACCCAGGCAGCTTATTATACAAGCAGATTGCTGGGCCCCGTCCCCAGATATTCTGATTCATCCAGTCTAGGGCGGGGCCCAGAACTCTGCATTTCACAGCACCCCAGTGATGCAGATGCAGTAGGCCCGAGGCCCCGTTTGTAGCCCAGCACAGCTGACACAGCTCGTGGCCCAGGGAGCCTCGGAGGGCTGGACCCAGCGTGCAGGTCCCAGGAGCATGCCCAGCCCGGTGAACAAAGGATATTTCCATTCGACAATGCTGATGCAGGCCCTCCGGATGGGGTTCTTCAGGGTCAGGCAGAGCAGGGCTCGGGGCGGGCGTGTGGCCGTGGTGCTGCCCTGCTTCTTGGGTTTCCCATATTGCTGCCGCTTCCGCTGCGTGGAGCTGACTGTGGAGATGGTCGCATTGCCAGCGCTGCCCATCAGCTTAGCCTGCCGGGCTGCGTCGATGGCCGCCTGCCACGACAGGGCAGCCCCCGGGGTGGGGATGTGCTCAGGGGCCAGCCCCGCTGCCGCATTGGCATTCATGTTGGCATGGGCGGGGCGTGGGCTCCCATAGTTGGAACCTGTGGCAAAAGAGAAAAGAACACAACAGTTACTAGATAGAAAACAGGGGCACTTCCGACACTCTCTGGACCCCAGATTCACAATTTTTTCAAAACCTTATTTCAAGCTATTGCAGGCGGTTAGGAGGTGGCACGTGGAAACATGAGTGTGAGATGCTGAGGGAAGAGGGCCAGGATCGTTGCGGTCCTGGTTTAGCTGGGTGACCTTGGGCGTGTCACTCCGCTCTAGTCTCCTTGCCTCACCTTAGGTGGGCAAGAGATGAGATCCGTGCATTACAGCACGTATGGACCTCAGCAGAAACAGATACAACACAACACATTACCTAGAAATTAAAATACATATTTTAAGAACCCATGCAAATGAAAGGATATTCATGAAATCGAATAGAATGATTGTTTAAGGAAGGTGAGGAGGAAAATGAGCATAAGATACAGGGGCAAGGAGGAAGCATAAATGAATGAGTGAGTGAATATGAGAGGTCACTGCATGAATCAATGATGGAAAACGTACAATGAACTGGAGTATGATTCACTCAACTCTCTGCACCTGAGTTCCAATAAACAAAAATAAATATAATAAAATGAGAAGGGCTGGACTAGAGTAAGGTCACATCCAGCTACCTCAAAGCCATCTGGGCTTTAAGTGTTGGTTGACCAGGAGGGGCCAGGGGAGCTGTGATGGTTTTAAATCATGTCAACAAATCCCTTTATATCTGACATCCCTTTTCATTGAGAAAGATCTAGGCCCTCCTCTTGAAATGAGGTCAGCCTTTGGTGACTGTTTTACCAATAAAGTACAGCAAAAGTGACACTGTGTGACTTCCAAGGATAGGTTAAAAAAAAAGCCACGTTGCATCCCCCTGACTGTCTCTGGATGGTCGTCCTGGAGGAAGCCAGCCCCCACACAAGGCAGCCTTTCAGCCCTGAGCTGCCATGCTGTGAGGAAGCCCAGACTAGCCTCAACAGAGAGGCCATGTGGCAAGAGGGAGCCCTGGCCAGCCCCCAGCTGCTCCAATCACCATCTGACTGCCACCCCAGGAGAGACCCCAAGTCAGGACTGCCCCAAATCAGTAACTTTTTGAATTACTGACCCACACAAGAACTTCCTGAATTCCTGAGCCACAGAGACTGAGCAGTAACAGGGTGTCTGCTGTTGTGAGCCACTTTGTTTTGGGGTGATTCATTAGACAGCATTTGCTATCTGGGAAAAGGAGCTGTGAGTGGCAGGGGTTGATGGGGTAGGGGAGAGGGACAGTGTCAGGAAGGAAACCTGATTGGAACCAGTGCAACCCAGGGCTCCAACCTGCGCAGGGACAGCTGCCCTGCTCTGGTGTCTAGGCAACGAAGCCTCTGAGACTGTCCCTAAGACAGCACATATGCTTGGCAAACACTCTTTGGCCTGTTAGGCTGGATGCCTCGCTCTAGAGTCTGTAAGGTTTGCCAAGCGATCAGCTCAGCCTGGCCCAAACCTGAATCTCCCAGAACACATGCATGACCTTGAGACGTGGTACCGCTAGTCAATTGGCCAGGTGCCGCAGGATCAAGAAAAGCCGCAGATAAGAGGGTGCTACTGTGGGCGGTGAGGTTGGCATCTGAGGACACTTCAGCTGCCCAGAGACTGTGGCCGAAGCAGCCAGACCAGTTGCACATACATGACACCCAAGGCCGCCCACAGTGGCCTTTTCTGGTCCATGTGCACAGGGTCTTCCAGGGAAGCTGCTGGGTCCTAAGGTTGCTGGCTCAACCTTATTGACCCCCTCCCTCTCCTCACCTGTTAAGACACAGATGAACACTTGGCGCCTCTCCCAGCCACCTCCCCAACTCTTATCTTGGGCTGATCCTTCTATGTTTGACCTCCAAGATAACTTTGCTCCCCATGTGACCTGCTTTCCAGAACCTATCACCCCCACCTCCACCCCGTCCCCACAGGAACCTGTGAAGAGCACATGACCTGGCTTAGCCATGTGAACATTTTCACCTAGAGAGAGCCTGCCCCAGAGGCAGAGCCCGAGCAACCTCACCAGATTCCTCATCCAGCCACACCTGAAGTTAGCCCTTACCTGAGCCACACGCAGGTGAGGCAGGTGAGACAGGTGTGGCCTCTTGGGGCTGACCTCCATTAGGGCTGTACTGCAAGGCTGGCTGAGCCTCCCCTTCTCCAAGTGATTTTCCCCCACACACTGTGATGTTTAAGTGACTTAAGTGACTTAGCTAAAGCTAATGTGAATTGGGTCTCTGTCCCTTGCAACCGAAAAACGAGCTAATATGCTTGGTAGGTGCCCAAAGCTTGGACCTGGTGGGGCTGTCATTTCTGCTGGACTCCAGTCTATATCCTTTCCATCACACCAGTGACAGACAATAAGTTTCAACTTTTATGCCAATTGATTGACATCACTGTCCACAATGCTATATACTTAAGGGACTCTGAGGATGATAGATTAGTGTTGCCCACCATGGGCACAAAGGGCAGGGAATGGCATCACTCATGCCACATAGCTACCACCCCTGCATGATCCCAAGAAGACCCCTCAGGTCCTCTTGGAGACCAGCTGGTCAGCTGCCTCCTGTCCCGCAACAGTTGCCACCTGCTCTACCGCCATCTGGCCCCTGTAGCATTACAGCCCCGCCTCCACTCCTCAAGGCCTGGAAAATTGCCTCTCTGCCACACCCAGTTCATAGCCACATTCTCAATGTGACACCGACTCTCACCTCACCATATATATTCCCTTCACCTTCCTCCTGTTCTCTGCCCCAGGGATAAACTGCATTAAACAGAACATCAGGCTCACGGAGGACGTGACACTCCCTACAATGAGACGTCTCATCTCTCCTGTAACTCGTCCCTGTCCTCCCTGCACTCACTGTGTAGATCCCAAGCCTAACGTGAGGAAGACCCCAATAAGGCCGGGACCTTAACCTTTCTCATAAGATCCAGCAGGAAAAGATGTAAAGAGTGCATTGGAATTAATGAAGGCACCCAAAGCATGAGAACTGCTTGAACACCCAGCAAGCATGCGTGTCTCCATTTAACACATAAGAAGACAAAGGAGTGTCTGACTCACTAAAGGTCACAGAATGGGGCGACGGAGGGTTGCTGCAGCAGGCACAGGGCTCACGGTGAGCTGCTAGACTCTACCCCTGCCTCCTCAGCCCTCTCTCACACACTCCACATGCACGCACACATGTGCTCGTGTACATGGTGACAGACAAGGTGCACGCCTCCTCCTGGGCTTCTCCAGGCCTCGAGATACAAGGGGCTGGATTTCTGACCCCAAGAACATTCTTTCTGTTTACTATGATCTCCACGTGACAGCATCCACTACACCACCTGCCCCCGCAGTAACCTCGGGGCGCCTCTTAGGCAAAAGTGGAAAGCGCCCTGTTTCCATCTGCTGTACTGGAGCCACTGAGCAACTCCTGCTTCTCTGGCTTGCCAGGGAAGGCTGGAACTCTAATTTTGCTCCATTCAATCTGTGGTATATAATTTTTTCTTCCTAGACTCTCTGTTTGGCACTGACAAAATTTAATAGACTATTTTAGTTCCCAGACTAACTTCTCCTTTTCCCTCAGATACATAAAAGCTGCCCTGTCCCCAACTGTTGGCATTCCCAGCCCCCAATTCACTCATGGTAAGCCCTCCACAGCTCACGCCTCCCCTGAGACGGCTGTCCCCAGACCTTAATCTTTGTACTCACCCCCCTGCATTGCCCTTAATCCCCCCATCTCATACGGGCTGCCAGTTCCAAAAACCAAGAGTCCCAGGAGTTTGGGGACAACACTTGGAAAGAGGGCAGGAAGCCCCAGCCTGAGAACACATCCACCACCCAGAAAAGCTGCGTGAGGGGAGCATCCCTGCACCCGGAGCACGAGGTAGAAGCTACCAAGACGGCAGCTGGCTGTGCAGAGCCCTGGGGCAGCTCTGAAAACCACATCCTGGTGGGCTGCCTTCTGAGCCCTCCCAAAACTCCATGAGGGACCTTATTTATATTGTAAACCATTCCCAGAGCGCAAGGACCTTTCTGGAGCACACCATCTGGAGAAAGCACATATGAACCAGCCCATGGGGAAAAATGGAATGTCAACCTCTCCCTAGCCAGAGGCCAAGAAAACAACCTACACTATTTTGGTCCTGGCAGCTCTGCGCATTGCTGCGGTCCCATGACATGACTAGGGCCCTGCACAGGAGTGCAGAGCCGCACACAGGTGAGACAGACAGGTATGGCCTCTCGGGTGAGACAGGTGTGGCCTCTCGGGTGAGACAGGTGTGGCCTCTCGGGTGAGACAGGTATGGCCTCTCGGGACTGACCACCTCCGGGCCTGGGCCTCCCCTTCTCCAAGTAATTTTCCCACCCACTGCGGTAGATCCCCACCCTGACCTCAGACATATAGACCAGTCTGTAGCAACACTGTCTAATACAATGCTTACAGTAATGGAAACGTTCTATAATCCTAGGCTGTCCAATACCCTGGCTACCAGTCATATGTGGCTCCTGAGCACTTGAAATGTTCTACCAGTATCTCCGGGTCACCCACAACAGGGTGGCACAACTACCGAAGACTCCCAGGAGTGGAAAATCCCCATCTCTGGCTCAATGTTTTGAATCCAGAGTGGTGCCATGAAGGTAGGGCAGGCAGCATTGTGTCCCTGACGGCTTTTGTTAGCACGAAATCACCACCCAATGCAAAGAGATCAATTTTCAAATTATAAAGCTGATTCAAAGCTCAGCCTCCTGGCTGCCAGCTGAAAGGATGCCACCATTTAAGTCTGCTCTGGCTCTGTCTGACTGGGCTGTTTCCACGGATGCTCCCACCCCTGAACAAGGCCCTGAGCAGCTGCCTCGCAGATCAGGCCACACACCAACAGGTAGGTGCCCCCAGCAGTGACCTCATCCCCAGTCATAAGAAAATGCCTCCCACCTGTCAAATGGCCCAGCTCCCCTGAAGACAGCATCTGCGTCCTCCTCCTGCACCCAGGTGCTGCTGCTGGGGACCAGGATGAGGGCAGGACCCCAGCACGGTCTGGCCAGCCTCGTGTCATTCTGCTCTGCAAGGGTCCAAGTGAGGAGTCCAAGTTAGGAGTCAGTGGCATGTGCCTCCTGGGTGTCCCCTGTGAGTGAGGGGCTTGGTGCTGGGGACTTGGAAGGTGTTCAGTGATGAAACAATTTTTTTTTCTTTAATCCATCTCTATTTCTGCACCTGATTCAGGGCCATATCCCAGAAAATGCTCAACACAGTTTGCTAAGGACTGTAACGATAATGCTGTCATGATACAGGTGAAGGTGGACTACAGTGACACTGTAGAAGGAACACTGCTGGAGTCAGTCCAGCCACCCCTAAAGAATGGGCTTATTCTCAAGCCATATGCTCTTCTACTGATTTCTTGGATGTAACCATGGGGGAGAAGTTCTAAGGAAAGGGGTTGTGAGGAAGATCTCCATCCTAGTCCAGGCCACTACCTATCTCTTGCCCACAAGTGCTGCAGTAGCCACCCTGACCTTTTCCTCAGTCCACTCTTGGCCATCCCCAAGCCAATCTCCATGCAGCAGCCAAAGTCACCTTTTAAAAACAGAACTCGTAAATTGGGCCCTGTCATTCCCCTAGTTAGATCCCTTCAAAATCCAAACTCCTTGTCAACAGCTTACAACACCTGCACAGACTGGCCCTGGCCCACTTCTCTGAGTTCACCTCACTCCCCTCTGGGCCCGGTCCAATGCACTCCTGACACAGTGGCTCATTTCATGCCTCAGACATGCTCAGCTCTTGCCTGCCGCAGTGCCTTTGCATGTACTTAGAATGTCCTTCATGTTCTTCCCTCTGCCCTTTGCTAGGCAATCCCTTCTCACGTTTCAGGTTTGGGCTCAGGTGATCCCTTCTTCAAGCCCCCACTCCAAACAAGCAGAACTCAAACACTAGCTGCCAGTGTTCTCCCCACTTCCCTGCCTCCATGCCACCGTTGAATAAACATGCCCAACGCCCCTGGCATTGGAAAGGGACCCCCCAATCAGCCGTGAGTAGGAAAAGGTCTGGGGCTGCCAGCCTGCTTCAGCAGCAGTCACCCTGCTTGGCCTTGGTGCCTTCTGTGAGCACAAAAGCAGGTCACTCCTCCACCTTCGTAGACACAGACACCCACATCGATTTAGAGAGGGTGAGCAGCCGCAGCTCACACCTAGAAAGGGAAGAACTGCAAATAAATTTCTCCCTAAAGTCCTGACCACTGAGCAATCTCTGCAGGGCAAAGGAAATGCCTTCTCTCAGGCCAACATGTCACCCAGAAGCCCACTTGGCTCTTGCTGTCTGTCATCTTGCTGTAGTGACAAGGGGCCTGCATTCCCTTTAAGAGTATCGCAGACAACCTGGAACAGAAACCGGACTTTCTCCACCCACTAAAGGCCCAATGACTAGAAAGCTGGGCCATTAATCTTCCCTATCTATTGCAGTACACAGATAGCTGGAGGACGTGAACAGAGAGGACACCGTCTCTCGATCTCAGACGATAACCCGAGGCCCTGTCATCTCAACCCCAGTGGCACTCCTCTCTGGAAGGATGGTGTGTGCTGAGCACCATGTGGTGGGTGGGAGGCTGGTAAACTTGCGGTCTCAGCAGCTCTTCCACCCTCCTCCTACGGTGCCCCGCTGGACTGCAGGGGCCAGAGGGCTAAACACAATGGCTCCCAACCTCCCTTGGAGCGAGAATTCCTGACACAACTTTTGCCAATCAAGAACTGAATCAAAACTACGTCAGGTGGGGAAGCATCTATTTTGCAGGTATCTGGCTGGCAGGGCCACACCAGTGGCTTCCTGATTCCTGGATCATGCATAAGGCGGTGTGATCCCAGAGCCAGCCCTTGGCACAGTGGCTTCCAGGTCCCCCAGCCTCATAATTGTACCCGAACCGCAGTTCCCTCGGGGGGCCTGTTCTGCAGCACTGTTTTGGGAATCATTCCCACAGACCCGGCCTAAAGCCTGCTCTTGCAGCATTTCCAATTATTGTATAAGCCCCTAAATTCCTGTACTATCTTTCCTCTAAACACGGCTACAGAAGTTTCTGTTATAGGCCTGAACCCTGACTGAGATATATAGACCAGTCTATAGCAACACTGTCCAATACAACATTTACAGTAATAGAAATGCTCTATAATCCTAGGCTGGATTACGGAGCCCTTGCTACCAGTCATACGCAGCTCCTGAGCACCTGAAATGTAGCTAGCACGTCTGACAAAATGCATTTTGCATTTTACTTAATTTTCAATTACGGTACATTCAGATAGTCACATGTGGCTAGAGGCGCCCACACTGGGCAACACAGGTTGTGCTGTATTAAGACAAAGTCCTTGTGGGAAGAGCATGGTGACAAAGAAATGTGAGAAGTGGGGAAGATAACGAGCAGAGCACTGAATTCAAAATTGTGGGAAAACTTTTTAAAAAGGCAATAGCGAATGAATTCAGATGTTGATGGGTGGGTGGATTTTCTGATCAAGAATTAACCACCCTATGCAAAAAGACATATTTTCAAAGCATAAGAGAGTCTAAGACCCAAAAAACAATGTAGAAACCAAAAGTCCTTTTTCAGTGTCTAATATTTTCATCACATAAATGAGAGATGACTTTCTTCTCAATGGCCAAATGGGGAAGCTGGCATTCCCCTCCAGCCTAAGCGAGAGAAATCCTCAGGACACCCCAGCTGAGGTGGAAACCCTCTCCAGGGTGAGCACCCAGTGGCTTCAGGACGCCCAGCTGAGGTGGAAACCCTCCCCGGGGTGGGCGCCCAGTGGTTTCAGCACACCCCAGCTGAGGTGGAAACCCTCTCCAGGGTGAGCACCCAGTGGCTTCAGGACGCCCAGCTGAGGTGGAAACCCTCCCCGGGGTGGGCGCCCAGTGGTTTCAGCACACCCCAGCTGAGGTGGAAACCCTCTCCAGGGTGAGCACCCAGTGGCTTCAGGACGCCCAGCTGAGGTGGAAACTCTCTCCAGGGTGGGCGCCCAGTGGCTTAAGGACGCCCAGCGGCTTCAGGACACCCCAGCTGAGGTGGAAACCCTCTCCAGGGTGAGCACCCAGTGGCTTCAGGACACCCCAGCTGAGGTGGAAACCCTCCCCGGGGTGGGCACCCAGTGGCTTCAGGACACCCCAGCTGAAGTGGAAACCCTCCCTGGGGTGAGCACCCAGTGGTTTCAGGACACCCCAGCTGAGGTGGAAAACCTCCCCGGGGTGGGCACCCAGTGGCTTCAGGACACCCCAGCTGAGGTGGAAACCCTCCCCGGGGTGGGCGCCCAGTGGCTTCAGGACGCCCCAGCTGAGGTGGAAACCCTCCCCGGGGTGGGCGCCCAGTGGCTTCAGGATGCCCAGCTGAGGTGGAAACCCTCTCCAGGGTGGGCGCCCAGTGGCTTCAGGACGCCCAGCTGAGGTGGAAACCCTCCCCGGGGTGAGCACCCAGTGGCTTCAGGACGCCCAGCTGAGGTGGAAACCCTCTCCAGGGTGAGCACCCAGTGGCTTCAGGACGCCCAGCTGAGGTGGAAACCCTCCCCGGGGTGGGCGCCCAGTGGCTTCAGGACGCCCCAGCTGAGGTGGAAACCCTCCCCGGGGTGGGCGCCCAGTGGCTTCAGGATGCCCAGCTGAGGTGGAAACCCTCTCCAGGGTGAGCACCCAGTGGCTTCAGGATGCCCAGCTGAGGTGGAAACCCTCTCCAGGGTGGGCGCCCAGTGGCTTCAGGACACCCAGCTGAGGTGGAAACCCTCCCCGGGGTGGGCTCCCAGTGGCTTCAGGACACCCCAGCTGAGGTGGAAACCCTCCCCAGGGTGGGCGCCCAGTGGCTTCAGGACGCCCAGCTCAGGTGGAAACCCTCCCCGGGGTGGGCGCCCAGTGGCTTCACGATGCCCAGCTGAGGTGGAAACCCTCCCCGGGGTGGGTGCCCAGTGGCTTCAGGACGCCCCAGATGAGGTAGAAATCCTCCCCGGGGTGGGCGCCCAGTGGCTTCAGGACGCCCAGCTCAGGTGGAAACCCTCTCCGGGGTGGGCACCCAGTGGCTTCAGGACGCCCAGCTGAGGTGGAAACTCTCTCCAGGGTGGGCGCCCAGTGGCTTCAGGACGCCCAGCTCAGGTGGAAACCCTCTCCAGGGTGGGCGCCCAGTGGCTTCAGGACGCCCAGCTGAGGTGGAAACCTTCTCCAGGGTGGGCGCCCAGTGGCTTCAGGACGCCCCAGCTGAGGTGGAAACCCTCCCCGGGGTGGGCGCCCAGTGGCTTCAGGACGCCCCAGCTGAGGTGGAAACCCTCCCCGGGGTGGGCGCCCAGTGGCTTCAGGACGCCCAGCTGAGGTGGAAACCCTCCCCGGGGTGGGCGCCCAGTGGCTTCACGATGCCCAGCTGAGGTGGAAACCCTCCCCAGGGTGGGCGCCCAGTGGCTTCAGGATGCCCAGCTGAGGTGGAAACCCTCCCCGGGGTGGGCGCCCAGTGGCTTCAGGACGCCCAGCTGAGGTGGAAACCCTCCCCGGGGTGGGCGCCCAGTGGCTTCACGATGCCCAGCTGAGGTGGAAACCCTCCCCGGGGTGGGCGCCCAGTGGCTTCAGGATGCCCAGCTGAGGTGGAAACCCTCCCCGGGGTGGGCACCCAGTGGCTTCAGGACGCCCAGCTGAGGTGGAAACCCTCCCCGGGGTGGGCGCCCAGTGGTTTCCCGATGCGCCCGCCGCCATGCCGCATCTGACTGCGCTTCCTCCTACCTGAGCTATTTTCACACCATTTCCAGCAGCATTCTGTCACTCTGCCGGTCCTCCTCTCCCCCATCCTGCTACAGACACAGTTCATGAGAGGTGGGGTGCCCAGAACAGGCCCCATGACCACAGCAGTCAAATGTGCTCCAAAACAAGGAGACCGTGAGGGCGCCAGGAGATCTGCGGCTCTCTCCCCAACCCAACTGACGAGTACTCCCTCAAATACAACTGTATCTTTTCTGTCCTACAACCCACCTGCCTCTGATGACTACATGAAGGCTGGAGAAGGCAAAGAGCCTGGAGCACTTCAGAGGCCCAAGCCAATGGGAAAAGCGGAAAAGCTACAGCATTCACACCTGCTAGTGATCCAGTAAACCACACTTGCTCTCTGTTATTTATGGGGCAGCTGGCTGAAAGAAGGTAAAGAAAGGAAAAGGAAGCCTCGTAAGGAACGCCTGGAAGCAAACCACCTGCGATGACCACAAGGCCAACACTGCTTCGGTGAGAGGACCCTGATATAACGCCCTTGGCACTCGAGGGCTCTCATATTGACATCAGAGACCATAGGGAAGAAAACAAACTGACAGACACACAGCTAAGCCACGGCCTTCAACTGAAGATGACAAATTGCCATAATTTTTGCCATAATAACCAAATGCTTCCTCCACTTATTTCCAAGCATGGAGAGGAAGGAAGTCAAGACCTCTTGCTACTTGAACTAAGGCGCCTATCAGCACCTGGTGATAGCAAATCTAAATTACAGGCCCTAGTTAAGGATTAATTCACATTTATTGAAAAATCAGCATTTCAACTTTTTTAGTGTGGCAGCAGAGATTACGGAATGGGCAAAAACTGGAAGCATTCCCTTTGAAAGCTGGCACAAGACAAGGATGCCCTCTCTCACCACTCCTATTCAACATAGTATTGGAAGTTCTGGCCAGGGCAATCAGGCAAGAGAAAGAAATAAAGGGTATTCAAATACAAACAGAGGAAGTCAAATTGTCTCTGTTTGCAGATAACATGATTATATATTTAGAAAACTCCATTGTCTCAGCCCCAAATCTCCTTAAGCTGATAAGCAACTTCAGCAAAGTCTCAGGATACAAAATCAATGTGCAAAAATCACAAGCATTCCTATACACCAATAACGGACAGACAGCCAAATCATGAGTGAACTCCCATTCACAACTGCAACAAAGAGAATAAAATACCTAGGAATACAACTTACAAGGGATGTGAAGGACCTCTTCAAGGAGAACTACAAACCACTGTTCAAGGAAATAAGAGAGGACACAAACAAATGGGAAAACATTCCATGCTCATAGATAGGAAGAATCAATATCAAAATGGCCATACTGCCCAAAGTAATTTATAGATATAATGCTATCCTTATCAAGCTACCGTTGACTTTCCTCACAGAATTGGAAAAAACTACTTTAAATTTCATATGGAACCAAAAAAGAGCCCGCATAGCCAAGACAATCCTAAGCAGAAAGAGCAAAGCTGGGGGCATCACGCTACCTGACTTCAAACTATCTACAAGGCTACAGTAACCAAAACGGCATGGTACTGGTACCAAAACAGATATATAGACCAATGGAACAGAACAGAGGCCCTCAGAAATAATGCCACACATCTACAACCATCTGATCTTTCACAAATCTGACAAAAACAAGCAATGGGGAAAGGATTCCCTATTTAATAAATGGTGTTGGAAATATTGGCTAGCCATATGCGGAAAGCTGAAACTGGATCCCTTCCTTATACCTTATACAAAAATTAACTTAAGATGGATTAAAGACTTAAACTTAAGACCTAAAACCGTAAAAACCCTAGAAGAAAACCTAGGCAATACCATTAAGGACATTGGCATGGGCAAAGACTTCATGACTAAAACACCAAAAGCAATGGCAACAAAAGCCAGAATAGACAAATGGGATCTGATTAAACTGAAGAGCTTCTGCACACCAAAAGAAATTATCATCTGAGTGAACAGGCAACCTACAGAATGGAAGAAAATTTTTACAATCTACTCATCTGACAAAGCGCTAATATCCAGAATCTACAAAGAACTTAAACAGATTTACAAGAAAAAAAAATCCCATCAAAAACTAGGTAAAGGATATGAACAGACACTTCTCAAAAGAAGACATTTATGCAGGCAACTATATAAAAAAAGCTCATCATCACTGGTCATTAAAGAAATGCAAATCAAAACCACAATGAGGTACCATCTCATGCCAGTTAGAATGGTTATCATTAAAAACTCAGGAAACAACAGATGCTGGAAAGGATGTGGAGAAATAGGAACACTTTTACACTGTTGGTGAGAGTGTAAATTAGTTCAACCATTGTGGAAGACAGTGTGGCGATTCCTCAAGGAACTAGAACTAGAAATACCATTTGACCCAGCAATCCCATTACTGGGTATATAGCCAAAGGATTATAAATCATTCTACTATAAACACACATGCACACATATGTTTACTGCGGCACCGTTCACAATAGCAAAGACTTGGAACCAACCCAAATGCCCATCAATGATAGACTGGATAAAGAAAATGTGGCACATATATGCCATGGAATACTATGCAGCCATAAAAAAGGATGAGTTCATGTCCTTTGCAGGGACATGGATGATGCTGGAAAACATCATTCTCAGCAAACTAGTGCAAGAACAGAAAACCAAACACTGTGTGTTCTCACTCATACGTGGCCAGTTGAACAATGAGAACACATGGACACAGGGTAAGGAACATCATACACCAGGGCCTTTCGGGGAGTACGGGGATAGGGGAGGGATAGCATTAGGAGAAATACAAATGTAGATGATGGGTTGATGGGCGAAGCAAACCACCACGGCATGTCTATACCTATGTAACAAACAAGCACATTCTGCACATGTACCCCAGAATTTAAGTGTAATTAAAAAAAATAAAAAATAATCTGCCTGCCTGAGGACAGACAGCCATCTACAAAAAGGAGAAATCCTTCAGGTTGCTGATGTCTGGGGAGAAGGGAGGGTGTGCAGACAGTGGGGAAGAATGCCCCAGAGCCAGGTACCACACTGAGGGGACCCAGACACTGGCTCAGCCTCCCCTTTCCTTCAGCTGCTGAACGCCTGAGATGAGTTAAAGTCTAATACTTGGGTCCTTCTCTTATTTTCCCAGCAACTCACAAGCTCCTTGAGAGCAGGAAACAGCACTGTGGCCTCAAATCCTAGTACAGTGTTGCCAGGAGGCACTCAAAACACATTGGCTGCATGGAAGTTCTTTTACAGAACTTTAATTTGGCCTTCAAAGGTTTCCGTGCAGAAGTATACGGGGAAGATGCTCTTCCGTTATTTTAAATTAGTATGTTTGCCATATGTTCAATGTATCTATTATCATTGGTTAAATGAATATGTGTTTCTTGTTCCCAACAGGAGGGAAGTCCCAGGAAGCATGAGCCTTTGTTTTGCACCACTGTATTCTCAGAGCCCAGGGCAGCCTGGAGTGTGGTATGTGCACACTACCAATGTGTTGAATAAAAGGATGACTCAAAACGTAACTGTCCCAAGGCTTTTTTCCCCATAATAGTAATTACTTGGACTTTGGTCCCATGATGCAGGGGTTCTGTTGCTCTGGCCCAGTTTATTGGTAGGAGGGCAGAGGCAGAGGGTGAGTACAGCTTTCCCAGGCAGCAGAACTAGAACACAGGAGGCAGCGACCTTGTGAGGGCAGTTTTTAGTATTCTCGGTGGCCCCAGCCTCCTTCTGCCACCATCCGAGAGAATGGCTCCCTCAGCTAATCCTCACTCACCCTGCGCATTCACTGTCACCCACTGAACTGGGCGGGCACCCTTGGGAACCGGCAGGACCTGCTCGCACTCCACCTCGTGCCTCTGAACACCCAGCCTCGTGGGTCACGGGACTCAGTGGGATGGCACAGTGGTCCCTGCAGCAGAGGCTGCCCCTACTCCTGAGGCTCGGAGCTCACGGACCCACAGGCCTGACACTCAGGGAGGCGGAGCGTGCATTTCTGTTCTGCACGGTGAGGACGACGATGGAGCTGTAGCTCCCACAGCCCCACCTGGGAGGGGGAGGTTGAGCCCCTAACCCCTCCTAGAGCCTCCTGCACTTTGCCCGGGGGAAGCGTGGTCTGCTCCACCCTGTCAGGACAGCAGTTCAGCACTCTGGTGGGAGTTGTTAAGAAATTCCAACATTCACCACCCTTCTCAGGAGCTACCCTGAGAGAACTAATCCAAGAGTCTGGCAAAGCTCTGCGCCTGGGTACTCGTCACGGTGTGAATGATACCAGTACCAAATTGAAGACAACCTAGAAGCCCGTCACTGGAGAAATGGTTAGAGAAATCAATGCACATCCACTGACAGCATTTTAGGAAGCCATGAAAATTACATTTTGAAAAATATGAAATAATACAGAAATTGTTTCCACAGTCTAATATTAAGCAAAAACAGGGTCCACAAAAGTATATACAATGGGACCACAATTTTTTTTCTTTTTTCTTTTTTTTTTTTTTTTGAGATGGGTCTCACCCTTGTCGCCCAGGCTAGACTGCAGTGGCAGAATCACGGCTCACTGCAGCCACGACTCCCCCAGACTCAGGTGATCCTCCTACCTCAGATTTTTGTTTTGTTTTTAGTAGAGACACCCTGTTGCCCAGGCTGGTCTCCAACTCCTGGGCTCAAGCAATCCATCCACCTTGGCCTCCCAAAGTGCTAGGATTACAGGTATGAGCCACTGCCCCCGACCTTTTTTTCTTTTTTTGAGACAGTCTCGTTCTGTCACTCAGGCTGGAATGCAGTGCCGTGATCACAGCTCACTGCAGCCTCAACCTCCCTGGGCTCAAGCAATCCTCCCACCTTAGCCTCCCAAGTAGCTGGGACTACAGGCATGAGTCACCGTGCCCAGCTAATTTTTTTTTTTTTTTTTTTTTTTTTGGTAGAAACAGGGCTATGTTGCCCAGGCCAGTCCTGAACCCCTAGGCTCAAGTGATCCTCCTGCATCAGGCTCCCATCCAATTTTTGTTGTTTTTTTTTTTTGTTTTTTTTTTTTTGAGATGGAGTCTCGCTCTGTCTCCCAGGCTGGAGTGTAGTGGTGCAATCTTGGCTCACTGCATCTTCTGCCTCCCGGGTTCAAGCAATTCCTTGAACCTCCTTCAAGGAATTCCTTCCTCAGCCTCCCAAGTAGCTGGGATTACAGGCACGTGCCACCACACCCAGCTAATTTTTGTATTTTTACTAGAGATGGGATTTTGCCATGTTGGCCAGGCTGGTCTCGAAGTCCTGACCTCAGGTGATCCACCCACCTCAGCCTCCAAAAGTGCTAGGATTACAGGTGTGAGCCACTGCACCCGGCCCCCATCCAATTTTATGTTTGTTTTCATAGAAGAAATACTAGAAGGAAACACTAGTGTTATTTTTAAGTGTCAGGTAATATACACGTGCTGAGAGGCAGTACAGCCTGGCACTCAGGGGCATGGACCTGGAAACCAGGCAGAATGGATCCAAATTCGAGCCTCTGTCAGTTGCTAGCTGTGAGACTTGAAAAGGTACCTAGCCTCTCTGTGCCTCAGCTTCCTCACTTGTAAAAAGCAGATAATAACACTGCCTATCTCATAGCACTGTGTGACAATCAAATGAGTTAATGAACATCACACTCTCAGGACAGAGCTGCAAGGAGCTGCCTGTGTTTCCCTGTGGTGCTGGGGGTAATGGGGAAGCGGCCTCAGGCAGGTTGGCAGGCAGGCAGCGTGTCTGCCCCCTTCCAGAGTGGGACTGTCCGTGGCTGGGCAAGAATCTGGCACTGGCGTGGCCACAGTAAGAGAAAATACAATATATAATAAATGGTACTAGGTATTTTTGTGATTAATTTTCCAAAATTCTGTGCAATAAGTAATTATTTGGTAATCAGAAAGAAAACCAAGTTACAGTTTGGTTTTGTTGCTTAAGTATACTTCCAATATGACTGTGGCCACCCCAGTGCCAGATTCCTGCCTCTGGAAGGGGACAGACAGGCCGCCTGCCTCCCAACCTGCCTGAGGCCACTTCCTCCTCATCCCCAGCACTGCAGGCAAACAGAGGCAGCTCCCTGCAGCCACAGAGAAAGAAGCAAGAAGTCCCATAAGAACTCAGCACACCTCTCGGCAGCCGTCTCAACTCCAGCCTAAGCTCTGGACAGAGGGCCACTTGCACTCCTGGGTTTCCAACTGTGGTTCTCTGCAGAAGGATCTAGGTTCAGGGTAAAGTAACACAGTAAGACGGTTGGTTTGAAAATTAGCTGAGAAACATGGGCAAGATCCTTTCCTTTTTCTCTTCATCTTTTCCTTTTTCTTTTCGTCTTGTTTAAAAACCATTCTGTTTCCTATCTGCTCGCCTCCATGAAGCATGAGCAGGGCTATGCGCCCAGAGTGAGCGGCAGCGAGACTAAGCCCCGGTCCAGAGTGCACCATGCACATAACCTCAGAACCAGGTTCCAGGGAGGGAGGGCTTCCCCAGCCACACAGCCACGTGGCTTCAGCAAGCAGGCCCTAGCTCTACGGCCGCCCCTCACACGGTGAGCAGTGCTACCAGTGCCAAGTGACACATGCTCTCCACGCCTCAATGTCCCCATCTGTAAAACTGAGATGATACCACACCCCTCACAGAACAATGGTGAAGACTACAAGGGATTATGTCTATGAAAGTACTACCTGAATATGAAGAATTATTTAGTAAAAATCATTCCAGAGATAAAGCCTCGGGGCACGCAAGAAGAACCTCATTTCAATGAAGTAAAATAAAACATGAAAGCTGGGTTTTTAAAACTCTTTTTCCCAGAAGCACATTTTCCATGTTAAGCAACCAACTCTTAAAAACAATCGCTATATCCCATACACAGATATTAATGGATCTCTCCAGATAATTCAGAACACAGAATTCCAGAGATCCTTGAAAATGGTGCTGCATTCCTCAAGGATCCTCTATTAGTAAAAGGCTCTGAAATTCTTCCATTGTCAGGGGATCGCACTGTATGGGGAAGGTGGGTCACCCTGCATATGTACACACTAAAAACATTACATACACAAATGTACCCACACACAGCCTATTTGTGCCACTCCTGGAAGTCTCTAATTCTCACTAAGGCACGACAAAAGAAACAGCATCAGCTTATTTCTACACACTCACAGGCCGTTTAATAACAATGCTTTGTATAAAATACAATGCTTCTTTCATTTAGAAAAGTCAAAGCTATTTATCTGATTAATCCCTACAAAACCCCACCAGACAGCAGGCAGACAAGAAGGTAGAAGGCAACGAAAAAATATGCAAGTCTCCCCTGAGGCTGTCATTCCTTGGTAAATATCAAACTTCATATAGACATGAAGTTATCTTGACTCCTCCCCAAGTTCGGTGGGAAAAGAACTAGGCCAGAAGTCAGTAAATCTGAATTCCAGCCCCAGGCCCATCACTCATTTGCTCTGCGCACTCAGACAAATCACGTTCCTTCTCTGGCTCTCAATCTCTTCCATAGAATGAGGAGGCTCCACCAGATACCGTACGAGGTCCTTCTAGTTCAGACAGCTCAGGTTCTAGAACTCATTGGTCCAGACATCTCACTGCTCCCCTCAGCCTCTCCAGCCGGCCTCATCCCCCACTCCCAGTTGTCTGGTGCCTGGATCTCCTCCCCTACTGATCTCAAAGCAGGGGCTGAACCAGGTGCAGCCCAGCAGCCACCCCGCTCTGCCCATGGCTGGGCTCTCCCAGCTGCAGAGGTGGCCTGAGAGCACACTCAGCTATGCTGAGCGGCTGCCTCCAATCTACCTGTGCTTACAGGGCAAGCTCAACCCAAGGGGCCCCCAGCTAGGAACAGCCACACAGAGAGCCCCGGCGGCTCACTGTAATTTACATGGAAATCCTCAAAGCCAGAGATGGCTCTTCAAACCCCTTAGGACGGCTATTATCGAAAAAATCAGAAAATAACAAGTATTGGCAATCATGTGGAAAAATTGGAAACTTCATGTGTTGCTGGTGGGGAATGTAAAATGGTGCAACCGCTATGGAAAACAGGATGAAAGTTCCTCAAAAAAATTAAATGTGGCCAGGCGCGGTGGCTCACATCTGTAATCCCAGCACTTTGGGAGGTCGAGGCGGGCGGATCACAAGGTCAGGAGATCGAGACTATCCTGGCTAACATGGTGAAACCCCGTCTCTACTAAAAATACAAAAAAATTAGCTGGGCGTGGTGGCAGGCGCCTGTAGTCCCAGCTACACGGGAGGCTGAGGCAGGAGAATGGTGTGAACCTGGGAGGCGGAGCTTGCAGTGAGCCGAGATCGCGCCACTGCACTCCAGCCTGGGTGACAGAGCAAGACTCCATCTCAAAAAAATAAATAAATAAAAATTTAAAAATTAAACATAAAATTACCATATGAACCAGCAATTCCATTTCTGGGTATATACCCAAAAGAATTGAAGGCGAGGACTTGAACAGATACTTGTACACCCATGTCCATAGCAGCATTATCCAAAGAGACAAAAGATAGAAACAACCCAAGTGTCCGTCAACAAATGGATGGGCAAACATAGTGTGGTCTATCCATACAATGGAGTATTATTCAGCCTTAAAAAGAATACAATACTGCTACAGGCTACAACATGGATGAGCCTTGAGGACATGGTGCTGAGTGAAGTAAGCCATACACACAAGAACATGTATTGAATAATTCTACTTATATGAGGTACCTAGAATAGTTGTAAAGAGAGAAAGTAGAATAGAGTTTGCCAGGGCTGGGGAGGAAGAGAAAATGGGAGTTAATGGTTATAAAGTTTTGGTTTGGAATGACAAAAAGTTCTAGAGACAGATAGTGCTTGATGGTTATACAACATGGTGAACGTACTTAATGCCACTAAATTGTACACTTAAAATGGTTAAAATGATAATTTTTATGTTGCATATATTTTACCATAACAAAAAGTTACCTCAATTTAATGTGTTTTAAAAAGCCAAAGAGACTCAGAATACTTGGAAGAACATCCCAAGAGGAAAGAGAAAGAGGTCTGTCCTCAGGAAAAGAACCAGAGGGGAAGGCATTTGGAAGCTGTCCTTCAGGAAGGAGATGGGAGGATAGACTTTAGGCCAGTCCAGAGGAGAGATATGTGGCAGGACAAGTCTCTACCCTATACAAGTGCTTCCGGCAAGCCCTCAGCACATGACATAGGCCCAGAGAAGGATGCAAAGAATTCTGGTCATAAATTGTTTTCAAATATCAAATAAATCATATGTGCACATGCACAAACATGCCTTCACAACTGAGTAAAACCAGACTCACCTTCAAATATATCAACAGTTTTCTCAAGCGCCGTTAAAAATCAGGCATCGGACCTCTGGCTGCGAGAGCTGGTTTGATGGGAAGTTAGATCAACCCCTCATCTCTGCACAGTTTCAGTCCTGTCCAAAAGCTCCACTCTGGGCACCTGTGAGTATCTCCAGGGCAGGCCATGACGTGCTCATCTCTGTGGCTCTGTGCCTAGCCCAGAGCCTGGCACACAGCCAGTATGAAAAGAAGTGTTTGCTGAAGGAATGCTGATTTCAACTCAGTGCCTGATCACTTTAAGTAAGGAGACAAAAGACATTATTCCCAATGATGGTGAATGATGAAACCAAGGCAGAGAGAAGCACACAGCCTCCATCCAGTGGGACCCAGGCTAAGACTGACCTCTCCACTCCTAAACCTTCCAGTTTCTCTGGCATCATAAATCCACGCTCCGTCCTCATAGGATGCATGCACTCTCCTCTTCTGTGGGCGTCTGTTTGCCATCTTCCTATGTCCTGCACTCCCCCTTCTCTTCTTTCTGCTTAGGTTTTTCTGACACTCTCTGGAGCCAGTGGTATCCGACCCTGCCTAGCCCTTCTCCTCCAGGGTCCTTGAAGGACTGGCGAAACACTGGATGGCCTGACTCGGGCCGAGGGCACTTACAGTGCTGCCCGGATTCTCCCGCAGCCTCAACTGCACTGAAAGTCTGGGCCAAAAGGGAGAAGAAGGGGAGGTCAGGAGAAGTCCATCTTTAAGAACCCGAAAGCAGAAGGCAGAAGTCAATGGCACTACCATTTTTCATCTCAGAATGGAGTCAGGATTCACAGAGCAGAACCTAGAGCTGTAAAAACGCTGTAACACTCGATCATCTCTGTGACTCTGTCCCCCTATCTCTGTTCCTCTCCTCTGTCTGTGTCCCCACAGGAATTAGGAGGGTCATAACCTTTAAGACAAATTGGACCTGCTTCTGGTCTATGAAGACAGGAAAGAAAAAGTGGACAGGTGGGAGTGCAGGATCTAGAAATACTGAGTTTTATGGGGACAGGACTGCAAGCACATTGAGTGAATTACAGCAGCCACCTCCAAGAAGAGATAGTGTGATCTGGTGGTTAACAGCAAAAGCAGGAGCCCTAAGTTCCCGTCTGTATTGCCATTTACTAGCCCTGTGAGCCCGGGCAACTTATTTACGTTTCTGAGACTTAGATATCTCTGAGTTGTGACAAGAGTCTTGAAACATTTATAAGCACTTAGCATGGTGCAGCCATCGACTAAGTTCTCAGGGGGAAGTAGTCATTAAATGGTCTCATTTTGTTATTGTTAAAGGGGGTTGAGCCCCTGGGGCCTGCAGCAATGAAGGAGAGGCACAGGAAGGGCTGAGCACCTGGAAGGCCCTTGTAGGCACCCCAGCATGGCCCCATCCAGAGTGGCTGCATTTCACAACCCCCAACATTTCCCCTGAAGCACAGACAGTCCCAGCCACTCCCACTTCCTGGTCGGCTCTCCCTCTTGAGTCACTTTTTTGAGTGGGGCTGAATGCATGAGTCTCTTCCTCCCTTTCCCACTAAGCAGCTGTGTGACTCTAGACAAGTTTATCTCCCTCTCTGTGCTTCAGTCACCTCATCTGTAAACTGAGGGTGTTCACCAAATGACCTCTAAGGTCCTATGCACTTTTCTGGCATTCAGTGATTCTGCAATTCACTAGTGGGTGCTGGAGAAGTTTATCATTCAGGACATGCTGGCCAAAGAAATAGGCTTCCCAAAAGAGAGGAGGCCCCTGCTCGCCCACCTCCACCCCTGAATTTCCTCCCTTAATATTGATAAAGACTTGAATCTGAAAAGTACTCCTGAATAGGGCAGCCACTTACTGGGGGTGCTCCGCTGAGTCTCAACAAACGTGGCTAATGGGCTAGGACCACCGGAACTCCTTGAGCATGGGATGTGCACTGTCCATAGGGCTCAGCTTCTGAAATGTCTGCTGGTTTCTTAAGCTGCTCTCCCTAACCCTTGGGGATGCACTTCAGATTGTGGAGTGGGATGCCACTGAGATTACAACTGCCTGCTCATTCATTTCCCTTGAATACCAGGCTCTTTGGCAGCCTTCCTGCCTTTGCCTTTCCCACCTGTGAAATGGGGCTAATAACAGCTACACACATACAAGGAGGCACCCAACAGCATGTATGTGGAATCTTTGGGGTGACCCAGCAGCATCTTTCTCAAGGTGACAGCTGCCCAGTTTTCACACATGCGGAGGTTACTGGGGAAAATGGGATGTCTGCTTTGGTCTGCTCTATGCACTCAGTATGCTGCTGAAGAAAAATGTCCTTTCAGCACGAAACACAGATGGCCTCAACATAGCTTTGTTATTGGGTGGTCCCCTGGCAGCCTGCAACTGCAGGCACTAGGCACTGAGTGTCATGAAAGAGGGGCGGTTTCCAGCATAAAACTATGGTCTTAGGGCTCACACTCAGGGTAGCAAATACCTGCTCCAACTTCCCAGTTGAGCCAAAGAGTTACGAAGCTGCCCCCATGGGCCCCAGATCACCCATGATCATACAGTTGTGTAAAGTGCTCCGCGATGAGGGAAAGGAGCAGCCACCACCTGCCCAGGGTAAGGGGCTCAGGAGGCAAGTCCCCCACATGACCCCACAGTCACCCTTGAGTACATGCACGCAGGTACACGAGTACAGGTACGAACACATGTTGCCAGCGTGGAACACGGAGGCACAAAGCATACCCACTTCCATCTGTGCAGCTCATGGCCTTGGTCACTGCCTTTCTTATATCCATGTAACTTCTCCTCCTGCTCCAACATAACCCTGAGAGCAGAGTCCTGTCTCATTCCACTATGTGGCCTCACAATGCCTAGCATAGGACAAGTGGTCAAGAAGCATCAGGGTGCAGGCCTACCAGGGGCTCCACTGGTACAGGGGAGTGGGAGGCACGGCTGTGTAAGATACTACCCTGCCACAAGAAGCCACTAGCCTCCCTGGGAAGGAGAGGCCCCACTGCATAGTCACCCACACAGACACATACCCACGTACACTCTCTGGTAACTTTGCCCTGCCAGGGGCCTTGCTCTTTCTGACTCTGTAACTAAATTTGGGCCTGAAACGAAAGTGGCCAACACAAGATTGGCCCACAGTTAGCTCCAGGCAGCCTGGCATTCCAAAGCGGTTGACTGGCCTCTGCCAGAGTGCGGGGTTTGCAGCCGTCACCTCCTCCAGGCTGTGGCTCACTGCCTCCTCCTTCATTCACAGCTCCACATTCCACTCCCAAGGGCAATGGTTTTAGGTGAAGGGAAGAGGCCAGAAGATATGATGTGGCATAGTAGAAAGAGATGCATTTTGAAATTCGACATTTAATTAGACATGAGACTCATTTCCATTTGAGTCTCAGCTCTCCACTTGTTGACCATGTGATCTTTGCTAAGTTAACTTAACCTCTTTGATCCCCAGCTTTCTTATCGGTAAAACAGGGATAATATAATAAGGATTAAATAGGGTGCATTAATACTAATGCATGCTTACTAAAGGTTAACTATTTCAAGTCAACATTCTCCCTTGAGTTGGAAGTGATGAAGAATGACACAAGGACCCAAGAGTCACCCTCTCCTTCCCCAGCCACTGAAGGACGCCAACTGTCCTTGGCAACTTCTCCCAGCCTGCTCCAGAGGAGAGTCGGGCCACCTGTCCCAAAGAGAACAAACAACACCTTTTCTTGCCCCTCAATGCCACGTCCAGGGTGCGAGGCTCCTTCCCTTCCTTGAATACGGATGCCCATGCCAGTCACCACACATATTGAGTTACAGGATATCCAAGCCACAAGGAGACACATCTTCCATCTGGCTGGCAGTTTACAAATATTTGAGCTTATCAGGTTTGAACTGGAAGAGGGGGCTAATTGAAGTTTCATAGGAAATCACTGTACAAGTTATGTATGACCCAATTAGGCTTACAGGGTGTGCAGTATTTCCATTTGTTTGTTCCAAGGATGCTTTATGTAGGGGCTGGGGGAAGGAGGCGGGCAATAAAGCAGTGCCTTCGCGCCCTTCATTCCTGCTATTCCTGTCCTCCTTTGAATTAGCTGGTGCCCAGGAGCCATTTCCCCAAAGTTTCATATAACTTTCCTCTTCTACCCTTCAGGGCAGCCTCAGTCTCTCCATAGCCAATGGGAAAAGGCAATGTGAGGACACCACATGAGAAATGAGAGCAGGTGAGGATATGGCAGAGCGAGAGGGACCTAAAGAGCACCTGGCCCACCCACCTCCTTTAAAAGGTGAGGTCACAGGAGCTCAGAGAAAGCAAGCCTCTTGTCCCCTAGGTTCCCACCCAGGCAAAGCCAAACCAAAGTCAAGCCCAAGCCTTCAGATCCCTAGATGCTGTTCCTACTAACCCAGGGTAAAGTTTAAGTCCAGAAGGCACAGAATAAGAACCCTCCCTACAAAAGATGCTCTTACCCCTGCCTTCCACATAGCAGAGGCCCAGTGTGGGCTGAATAATGACCATCACCCCCAGACACGTCCTTGTCCTCATCCCTGGTACTTGTGAATAAGTTACCTTATGTGGCAAAAGAAACTTTGCCAATGTGATTAAGTTAAGGATGTTGAGATGGGATTATCCATGTGGGTCTGAGGTCATCACAAGGGTCCTCGGAAGAGGAAGGCACGAGAGGAGAGCAAAAGATGCTACATTGTTCTCTTTGCAGGTAGAGGAGAGGGCCATGAGCCAAGGAATGTGGGCATTCTCTAGAGCTGGAAAAGGTAAGGAAACAGTCTTCCAAGTGCCTCCAGAAGTATTGCAGCCCTGCAGACCCATTTTAGACATCTGACCTTCAAAAATATAAGATAATAAAACTGTGTTGTTTTAAGCCACTAAGTCTGTGGTAATGTATTAATACTGAAGCAAGAAGAAATGAACATACCCAGCCTCTCATCCATGTAAATCATCGCAAGGTAGAAACAGCAGGATGGGCAGAGCTAAGCAGTCCAGAGGGGTGCTAGTTATATGGCCAATGGGGACAAGTAACCCGCATACTTTTGGGACTTGCAGAGGGAGAAGCCCCTGCTGCCCTATGCCTCTGCTGGTGCAGGGTTGATCTGGCCCCCTCTGCAGAAGCAAGCCAGTCCCGATATCTGAGGATATGGGCAGAGCAGAAAGAGAAATCCTCGAGTATTGATGTTAAAATGGGCAAAAGACTTGAATAGCTATTTCTCCAAGATGATATACACATGGCCAACATCACTGATCATCAGAGAAACACAAATCCAAACCACCATGAGCTATCACTTCACACCCATTAGGATGGCTGCTATCAAAAAATAGAAATTAACAAGAGCCAGCGAGGATGTGGAGGAATAAGAACGTTAAGCACTGTTGGCGGGAAAGTAAAATGGAGCAGCCACCGTGGAAAACTGTATGGCGATTCCTCAGAAAATTAAAAATAGAACTACTACATGATCCAGCAATCCTACTTCTGGATATGTATCCAAAAGAACTCAAAGCAGGATTTCCAAGAGATATTTGCATGCCCAGGTTCATAGCAGTACTATTCACAATAACAAGTCCAAATGTCCATTGACAGAAGAATGGACAAACAAAATATAATCTATCCGTGGCTGGGCACGGTGGCTCATGCCTGTAATCCCAGCACTTTGGGAGGCCAAGGCGAGCAGATCACTTGAGGTCAGGAGTTCAAGACCAGCCTGGCCAACATGGTGAAACCCTGTCTCTACTAAGAATACAAAAATTAGCCAGGCAGGGTAGTGCACACCTGTAATCCCAGCTACTCAGGAGGCTGAGGCAGGAGAATCATTTGAACCTGGGAGACCGAGGTTGCAGTGAGCCGAGATCATGCCACTGCACTCCAGCCTGGGTGACAGAGCAAGACTCCATCTCAAAAAAAAAAAAAAAAAAAAAAAAAGTAGTCTATCCATAAAATGGACTATTATTCAGCCTTTAAAAGCAATGAAATTCTGACACACACTGTAAGACAGATGAACTTTCAGTCCATTATGCTACGTGAAATAAACCAGTCACAAAGGACAAATATTCAATGATTCCACTTTAACATCAGGTATCTAAAGTAGTCAAATGCATAAAAACAGAGAGTAGAATGGTGGTTGCCAGGGGCTGGAGGCAGGGAGAAATGGGGAGTTGTTTAATGGGTGTGTAGTTACAATTTTTCATTTCTTTTTTTTCCTTTGAGACGGAGTCTCACACTGTCACCCAGGCTGGAGTGCAATGGCATGATCGCAGCTCACCGCAACCTCCGCCTCCCGGGTTCACGCCATTCTCCTGCCTCAGCCTCCCAAGTAGCTGGGACTACAGGCGCCTGCCACCACGCCCGGCTAATTTTTTGTATTTTTAGTAGGGGTTTCACTATGTTGGCCAGGCTGGTCTCGATCTCCCGACCTTGTGATCCGCCCACCTCAGCCTCCCCAAGTGCTGGGATTACAGGTGTCAGCCACCGCGCCCAGCCAGTTACAATTTTTCAAGATGAAAAAGTTCTGGAGATGTGTTCCACAACAATATATTTAACACTACTGAACTGTAACACTTAAAAATGATTCAGATTGAAAACTGTGTTACGTACTTTTTACCACAGTTTTTAAAAATTAAAAAATGTCAAGTCTCTGGGTACATAACATGCCCCGGATGGGCCCGGCAGAGCCCCAAGATTCTTATGGCATCCTGTCACCACGCTCTGTTGCCATGTTCATCACAACCTGTTTTATTCCTGTGTTTGTCTCCCCCAAGAGATCTTGAGCTCGTTGAGGACAGGAGTCAAGTCTTACTACTCCAAGTACCTCGCACGGCGTCCAGCATGGTGCTTTACACATAGGAGGTGCTCAGCAGACCTCTGTTGTATTTAATATTTCAAAAGTGTGTTCCTAGCTTCATGCAAATTAATCCTTTTCTTCCAAAGGGATGCTTAGTCTACCACTCGCCCCCACATCAATGGCTTACCTCAGGGTCGGGGGGACAGACAGGGGTGGTTTAGGGCTTACGGAAGAAGCCCAGGCTGTAAGTGACACAGTGCAGCTATTGTCTATACACTCATGCAATGTCACTCCTTTACCCACTGCCCCACCCTTCCACGTGTGCACGAACCATGAATCCCTCAAGAGCACAGAATCAGCAGTAAAAGCAGAATGAATCACTGGGAGCAAGGGACCACTTCAAGTTGGTTGGACTAAGAAGTGCAAAGTCTCAGAGCCCCACAGGGTCTCCCAGAAGTAAGAATATAGGTCTGCGCGCACAGCCCTCCCTCCGCATTTAACAACGTGATTCATTTAAGAATATCAACGGCAAGCAAGTGCCCAGCCCGCCTAATGCAGTGGAGTCCTCTGATATTCCCTCCACGCTGCAGTGACATATAGTAACCAGTCCGACTAAATCCTATGAACTGAAAAATTGCTTTCCCCGTGTGTTGATGGTCATCTCTTAACGTAAGCTGAGCCCACCCGAGGACAGTGGGAAGGTCCTTCTCCGCATGTCTGCAAGCACGAAGGCTGCTCTGAGGCCCTTCAGATACATGGGAGGAGGTTGTTTCGTCAGCAAGTAACCAAGGAGAACGCATCTGAGGCAAAGCATCTTTCTAAAATACCTGTTTAAAAATAAGAGTTAATACTTGCAGAGTACTCCCTGTGGGCCAGACCCTGTTCTCATGATTTTACATACATTGATTTATTTAATCCTCTCAGCACCCCCATAAGGTAGGCATTATTATGACGCCCACTTCACAGATGAGAACACTGAGGCACAGAGGGACTAACCAGCTTGTGCCAAGCCTCCGGCAAACCAAGCAGCCTGACAGCAAAGTACGTGCTCTAACCACCGTGTTCACGGCCTCTAGAGTTAGGGCCCTGGCCTGAGGGTGTTGACTTTCAGCCTCCTCTCCTTCCTCCCCAGCCTCCAACCCAGCAGAGGGTACCATTTCAGCCCTCACTAGGAGAGGCACACACATTTAAAGAGCTATTTCTAGGAAACAGCATTTGCAAAAAGCTGCATGTCTCAAGGCAAGAACCAAAGAACCAGCATACGGAGAAATAAACCTAACAAAAGTGTAATTGTATTTTGAATTCCCATAGGATGTTGTACTTATGTATTCTGAAGCGTGTTAGAAACATGAATTACTTCTCATTCAAACCTCCTGAAAATTCATCCTGTTCCCATTCCCACTTAATAGATAAGCAGACCATCAAAAGAATGGAGAAGTGGCCTACCCAAGTGAGTAACCTGCAGAATGAGTGGGTGACAAAACAGGTAATGGAACTCAGGCATCATAGTTCCTGAAACCTTACAAGACAATACCCGTTCCATTTACAAAATCATCCGGAACCATTACCCAGAGACAAACACGTTCAGTATGAGCATCTCTCAAACAAGGTCAGAGTCAAAAGCAGAACACCCAGCTTTTTTATTTTTTTCAAAGAATCATGGCAGAAGAAGAGATTTTGAGCTTGCTTATCCATCTCCTGCCACCCAGCAGGTCACTGCAAAGCCTTCTGAGATGGGCTCTTCCACTCCCATTTTTTTCTAGGAAAGCACATTACTTAACCTCTCCATAATGGCATCCCAAATTCTGGAATTTATGATTTTTTTCTTTGTCTCTTACCTAAAATTCTCACACTAAAATGTGACACTTTCTTCTTTTTCAGAGTAACAAAAAAACATGTACTCTAGCATCACCACCTTTGCAATTTTTCTACATATACGTACAGATTATCCATTAACTTCAGGCTTATCTGCTTCAGGACATACAGCATGGATACTTTTGGCTTCCCAAAGCCCACATCTCCCAGTGGCTCTCACTGTAACTCCCTCAGTTCTCTAATTATCTCTAAAAACAGAGTTCAAATCCATACTCTGTACTCATAGGAAGGACTTCAAAGCACAGGACAGAGTGAAAGGACTCTCCCCCATTGTGCCAGGACTTGGAATGGGATGGGCTGTCCCTGAGGAACACATCTGGCAATGGCAAGCAGGTACCAAGAATCAGATGGTCCAGTCCCAGACACGTGAGCAAGTGAGGATCAGCTGCTGGGAAACTGGAGCGATGAGGAGTCAAGATCAGACAGGCCAGCAAGAAAAGAGAAATGAGGTACCAATGGCCAAGAGGGCTTGAGAGAACAGAGAGGCAAAGGGCAGAGATAAAAAAACCCAGCCTGGGAGATAGAAGATCAAAGGGCTTGGAGCACAGAAAATGCCCTGACTAAGAAGAGCTCTGGAAGGCAGCCCTGGGAATCACGAGGTCCAGAATCTAAGAATGGGTGCAATGGCAACTGTTCATGCTCACAAATATCTGTGTTCCCTTTTTCTTCCTGGGGTCACAGCTAGCCTACATTTTCCAGCTGCCGTGGCAGTCAGACATGACCATATGACTAAGTTCTGGCCAGTGAAATGTGCACAGAAGTGATGGTGTGCTAGTCCAGGCCGGGCCAGTGAGAAGCTCCCACGCACCATCCCTCTGTTTCCTCACCTGCAATTGCTTCTCTTTCTCCATACATTAGCTGAATGGAGAAAACGTCAAAGACCACAAAGAGAGAAGCCCTGCAGAATGAAATGGACCATGCTCACTGAGTCACCATGTGGAAGGCCACCTGACCAGGAGTAACTGCACTGGACTGTCACGTAACTGAAAATTAAACTCGTATTGCATCAAGCCAGTGAGATTTTGGGCTGCTTGTAACAGCTGCTAGCCTTCCCTAACTAATACAGGATCAGAGAAACAAACATGCAACTAAGTGGTAAAAATGGAGTTTAACAAGCCTAGAATAGATTAGAAATCGGATGACTTGGAACATATATGGAGAAAAAACCTAATCAATGTCAAGTACACTTTCACTTTTTGAATGGAATTATATGGCCAGTACATCAAAGGGATGCCACAGATGCAGAATCATAGAGTAATGCTAAAAGGGAAGTAATGGTCACTCAGTTCAAGGCAAATTGGAAATGATTTGTCAAATCCTCCATTCATCCATTTTTTCAACAAATCCCAAGTGCCTACTACTATGTGCTAAGAGCTGTGGCTCCAGTGGTAAACAGAGCACAGGCATTGCCCTGCAAGGGCCCTCCACCAAGTGGGAGAGGCAGACAAACAGTCTACCATGTAGTGATGAGTTTTCCAATGGGTACACTTAGAGTGCTGCAGTGGTGCTGAAAAGGGATGCCCAACCCGCTGCATCTGCGGAAGAAGTCCCAAAGGAGGGGATGCTTGATCTGAATCCTAAAGAAGCAGTAGAAGTCAGTTGACTAGAAGGAGTGAAAGGCATCCCAGGTACAGGGAACGGCATATCCAAAGCATGAATTTACATGCTGCAGTTGGGAACCAGCAGTAGACAGTACATCTGAAGTGTAGGGTTGGTAGAAGAAACAGTAAAAGCTGAGAACAGTAAGACGATGCAGGACCACCTATCATTTACAGTGGACAGGGTGCTAGCAAAGGCCTCAGTGCAGTACACTGACATAATCTGAGTGAGGCTTTTGTTTCCTGGTGACACAGTACAGGATGAGGGCTAGAAGGAGTCAGGCCAGGAGTACAGAATCTAGTTAGAAGGTTCTTACAGTTGTATAGGCAAGACGGATCAGAGTCCGAGGGGTGTATTATGAGGTATTAAGGAGGTAGAATCTCTTAGAACAGCTAAGGGTATTTATAATTACCCCACTCAATTGAATTAGCTGTGGAGTGAGAAGAAAGCAAAAGCACTGAGAATGGCTTCCAGGTACCTGGCTTGGCCAACTTGGTGGCACCAAGTTGATCACAGAAAGAGAAGAAGGTTTCAGAGGACGTGGAGATAGTGCATTTACTTTGAAAAATTAAAACATTCTGCAGCTATTCAATTAAAAAATTAAAAATGTAAAAGAGACAGATATCTGGGCTGAAAAGGTAAATTTGAAAGTCATAATCCTACCAATGGTGGTTCAATAATGGAAAAGGTTGACATTGCCTTAAAAAATGAGAAGTAGAAGAGTCTGAAAATAGAACTCACATCACCAGTGTGATTAATACACTCAGGAGGGTCTGCAGTTGGCTGATCCAGAGATGCACTGATGATTGACACATTCATAGGTGCACTGATTCTATGCACAGATGCCTAGGGATTGACTCACTGATACATTTACCCTGGGAGGTCTCTACTGATGTGACCCAAGGCTCTGTCTTTGGCTCTAGCCTTTTGAACACTAAATTAAAAAGTTGGATGAAGACAAATTTGCCAAATGTGCTGCTGACACAAATCTGGGAGGAATAGCTAGTAAATTGGAAGTTTCAGTCAGAATAAAAATGACCTCAACAAGCTGAAACTATGGTCCACACTAACGAGATGAAATAGAATAAGCACAATGTAAAGGACTATACTTAGATGAAAAAATTCACTGCATAAACATAGGGTAGGTGGAACCCTGGCTTGCCTTATCAGCAATTTATATGACAAGGACCCTAGGGATTTTAGTAGGCTACGACTCAATATGAGTCAACAGTAGAGCACAGCTGCCAAAAAGGCAAACGCAATCTTTACTTCTTCCTTAATCTGCATTCAGAGCTCTGAATCAGGGACATAGCAGGCTGAGCACTCCATCCAAGTCGGCACACAGCTGAAGCCCTGTGTCCCTTCTGGGGAACAGACTGCAAGAGGAACACTGGCAAGTAGAAGCTGACCAGCAGAGGTGGGGCAAGAGGGAGAGGAATGAAGCCACGGGAGAACGTGGGTAAAGAAAGTGGGGACAAGAAGTCTGGAAAATATGCTTGGAAGAAACATAATAGTCTGCTTCAAAAATCTGGAGGGCTATAAGAAAATGAAGTAAATATATTTTGTTTGCTCCAGATGGAGGACTCAAGCTTGATGAGCAGAAGTTATAGGATGGTAGATTTCCACTTAATATAAAAAAGAACACTCAAAAGATAATGGCTGTTTAACATTTGAATGGCTGCGTGTTGAAGTTAGTGAGGTCCCCTTCCCTGGAACTATCCAAGTAGAAACTAGATGACCACTTGTTGAGAATGCTAAAGACAGGCCTGCCCTGGGTGGGGAGTTGGGCTAGATCAGTCATCCCCAAGCTGGATTTCAAGGACAACTAACAACACCTTTTCAAATTTGACTATGTGAAAAGTTTTTCAAAAATCAACTATCACCATCATCACACAAAAGAAGAGACATTTTAATACCAAAGAGGAGGACAGATATACTATCAGCATTTTAAAATCCTTTATATATATAGAATAATTTAATTTTATGAAAACAACACACCTAATTTTTCTAACTCTGTGAAAGCCAGAGGAAACATTAGTCATGATTCCACTTGTTTTATTCAGTGTTTTATTCCCAGTGCCTCGTGTTTAGTAGGAACTCAATAAATATTTGCTCAATGAATGATCCAATGAATACATGCATTTAATATATAAAGCACTGGCTTCCACAGAGTCAAATGGCTTCTCCCCCTCATCATTCATCAGTATTTATTGACAGCTCTTGTGGTTCTTGGCACTGAAATATGGCAGAGCAAGGGCCATTAACTTCCCACAAAACATCCTCCAAGCACTGAGAGTAGCAATGCCTTACATTTGTATTGTTTTAAAGTTTACACAGCATTTTCTTCAGTATCATAAATTCTCTTTACAATGTGGAGACAAATATCACCAATCTACAGCTGGGGAAACTGAGGATCAAAGACTCTCCCAAGAGCACAACCTGAGATGGCTGGGTGAATCACAGCATAAACCCAGCTTCTCCAATGGCAAGGTACATGCTGTTTCCACCCACCTCAACTGTGTCCCTAAGAAAGGGATAGCCTGATCCTCTGGCACACCCCTGGGAGAGTCGAAATGCTCTTGGCCACCAAAACACAGGACACAGTCCTCAACAACACAGGCTGCCTGGCAATGCTGGGATCTACGGCCAGGGCCTCTTTGGGGGAAAAGGAGAAATTGGAGGAGTCCATGGCTTCCATCAGCAGCAAGCCAAGAGCCTTTGTTTGCCTGTAAGACACCATCTGTCCACCAGGCCTTTTAACACTGACAGTTTAAATCAGGAATCCCTTTGGTATGGAATGATTTGAGCTCAGGTCAAGAAAAACCCTCCAAAGAATGATGACAGTGTGTGAGAAGCCAGTAATCAGAACCTAAATGCATCAGAGCTCCCTGTTCCTTCTATGTTCAAGCCAGGCCATGTGGGACTACCTGATTAACTGCCTTAGCCTGAAATTAACTGGCAATTCAGGAAACCAAACAGCACAGTCCATGATTAAACGAACCAAAGGGGCAAAAAACAAACACCACCAAAAAACTATTTTCACAGGCGTAACGAGTTAATTATTCAGTGTGTGTATGTACACATATGTGTGTGCATATCTATATATAAATATACGATATAAAGTAGACTTGAGCAGAGATAGGCGTTTTGTTGAAAATATAGGAAACTGAATGAAAATTCCTTGAACGCAAGACATCCCACTCTCAGCACCTCTTCTCCAGTGTGTGACTAGAACAGGGTCCAGTGTAGCTTAGCAACCCCAGGCTCCAGTTTTCTCCCTGATAATTCCTCCATTAAGAAAACCCAAGCTCTGAGGTCCACAGTCTAGAATGAGGTGGAGCATCTCAGTGTGGCAGGGTCAAGGTGCCAGGAGCATCCTGAACAGATGGTAAAGGCAGGTGTGTACAGGAGGCAGGAGAGAGGGCCCCTGCTCCAAATGCTATGATCGCTCCTGCATTTCCTAGCAACACCATGCGGGGGGTGTTGTCTGACTGCCACATAGAAACTGGGGAGCGACAGCCGGCCCAGTCTTGTTGAAAGCAAAGCAAGGATGCAGGAGACGCTGCCGGGCTGTATGACACCTGGAAAGACACCACTAGGACATCAGGGCCTGAATGGGACAAGTCACACAGACCAAAGCATGTGTGAGAGGGGAAAAGCGGGGCATTAATTCACAGGAAGTGCAGGGCCAGCGTCTGACTCGTCTACTCAGAGAAGGAAACAGTGAGGGGCAGACACTGTGGAAAAGAGCAGGGAGTCTCAGGCTAGACAGGCCTGAGTTAGAACCACAGTTTCATCACTTCTCTAACATGTGACACGAGCAAGGTGCTTATTATAGTTTAACCTCAGCTTGGTTTGGTTCATCCACATTCACGGAACACAGACTATTGCTGTGTGTTACCCTCAGTGATGGCAGCACTGAAGTGAATATCCCCCCTGTCCCCCCTGTTTTCTTACCTCTCAAAATGGCAGCGTTACCTTTTTCATACGGTTGCTGTGAGATTAAATGGAATAACATCATAAAAGACCTTGGCACACAGTAAGAACTCCGCATATATTAGTTGTTATTCTAGTGATAATGATGGTGCCCAAAGGTCAATGTCTGGGTATTTCTGTCTGCTTTCTTTTGAATTATGAAATATTTCAAATAATAGTTCATTATTTCCCTGAAAAATACCAAGACCTTAGAACACATTAAATTCTGATCTTTGCACCCACCCCATCCTAAATTTCAATCATCCTAAATCTTAATCTTCTTAAAAAAAATACATTTGCAATGCCAGGTTCATGAAAAAATTAATGCTTCTTTATTAAGCATGTCCCTTGGTAGTTCTCTCAGCACAGATCACTTTAGAGGTAAATACTCTCAGCCTTTGTTTATAGGAAAAATGTCTTTTTTTTTTTTTTGAGACTGAGTCTCGCTCTGTCGCCCAGGCTGGAGTGCAGTGGCGCGATCTCGGCTCACTGCAAGCTCCACCTCCCGGGTTCACGCCATTCTCCTGCCTCAGCCTCCCGAGTAGCGGGGACTACAGGCGCCCGCCAATATGCTCGGCTAATTTTTTGTATTTTTTAGTAGAGACGGGGTTTCACTGTGTTAGCCAGGATGGTCTAGATCTCCTGACCTCATGATCCACCCACCTCAGCCTCCCAGAGTGTTGGGATTACAGGCGTGAGCCACCGCACCTGGCCGAAAAATGTCTTTCCATCCTAACTCTTGAATGATAATTTAGCTTTGTATAGAATTCTAGTTTGATATTCACTGAGCACTTTGAAGATATTATTTCATTGTCTTCTGGCGTCTGTTGTGGTTGATGAAGTCTGGTGTTTGTACAGAAATAATCTGTCTTTTCTCCCTGCTTGCTTTTAAGATTTTCTTTGACATTTAAGCAGTTTTCTACACTGAGTGTCTAGATCGAGATGTATTTTTAATTACCCTACTCAATACTCAGTGTGCTGGTATAATCTAAAAATCAATATCTTTCTTAAATTTCAAAACATTCTTGGCATTATCCTTTAAAGTAATGCCTTTTCATCATTCTCTCCACTGTTTCCTAGAACTCCATTTAGATGTAAGTTAACCTTTTTCATTCTTTCCACCAATTCTTTCAATGGCTCCTTCATATATGCAATATTTTAATATCTGGGCTGTATTCTATGCAATTTCCTCAGATCTAACTTCCAATCCACTGATATTACCTTCTACCATATCTAACCTAATGTTTAATCCATCCATTAAGTTATTTATTTAAATGTGTTTTTCATTTCTAAAAATACAGTTGGGCCCTTTTTAAAAATCTTCTCCTTTTTCATATAGCACTATTATTTTATTATGCTTTCTATTTCTTCCTTTATCTCTTTGTTTTTTGTTTTTTTTTTTGAGACAGAGTCTCACTCTGTTGCCCATGCTGGAGTGCAGTGGCGCGATCTTGGCTCACTGCAAGCTCCGCCTCCCGGGTTCATGCCATTCTCCTGCCTCAGCCTCCCAAGTAGCTGGGATTACAGGCGCCTGCCACCATGTCCAGCTAATTTTTTGTATTTTTAGTAGAGATGGGGTTTCACCATGTTAGCCAGGATGGCCTCAATCTCCTGACCTCGTGATCCACCCGCCTCAGCTTCTCAAAGTGCTGGAATTACAGGCATGGGCCACCACGCCCGGCCATCTCTTTGATTTAAACAAGGTTATTTTATTTGTTTTTTTTGTTTTTGTTTTTTGTTTGAGACAGGGTCTCACTCTGTCATCCAGTCTGGAGTGCAGTGGCACAATCTCAGCTCACTGTAACCTCTGCCTCCTGGGTTCAAAACATTCTCCTGCCTCAGCCTCCCAGGGAGCTGGGACTATAGGTGTGTGCCACCATGCCCAGATAATTTTTGTTATTTTTAGTAGAGACAAGGTTTCACCATGTTGGCCAGGCTGGTCTTGAACTCCTGGCCTCAAGTGATCTGCCCGCCTCAGCCTCCCAAAGTGTTGGGATTACAGGTGTGAGCCACCACACCCAGCCTAAACAAGGTTATTTTATATTCTCCTCAAATTGTCCTGTGACTTCAGTTTTCAAGGTAGTAATTCTGTTTGTTATATCTGCTGACTCTTCCTCAACTCTGTTGTGAGGTGTACATTATTTTTTACTGTAAGCTCATCTTCAGCCTGGACTGCTTATTTTATAAAAGTCTGAAGGGTCCTGAGCTGTGGAAGAAGGCTTCAGAGTTTTTGTGATTATTTTTGAAGGGTCCTATGGGTATCAGTTATCCTAGATCTAGTTTTGTGGGGTTCTTGTTATTGAGGCAAAAATATATATATAAAATTTACCATTGTTATGGACTAAATGTTTGTGTCTCCCCAAAATTTATATGTTGAAGCACTGGACTCCCAGTGTGATGGTATGAGGAGGTGCGGCCTTCTGGAGGTAATTAGGTCATAAAGATGGTTCCTCATGAGTGGGATTCGTGCCCTTATAGAAAGAGCCATGAGAGAGCTCTTCAGTTCTCAACTCTCTGCCAGTGAGGAGACAATGAGAAGGCAGTCATCCAGGAAGCAGGTCCTCACCAGATATCAAATCTGCTAGCACCATGATCTTGGACTTCCCAGCCTCCAGAATTGTGAGAAATGAGTACTTGCTGTTTAAGCCACCCAGTCTATGGTAAATTGTTATGGCAGCCAAACTGACTAAGACAACCATCTTAACTATTTTTTTTTAATTATTATTATATTTTAAGTTTTAGGGTACATGTGCACAACGTGCAGGTTTGTCACATATGTATACATGTGCCATGTTGGTGTGCTGCACCCATTAACTCTTCATTTAATATTAGGTATATCTCCTAATGCTATCCCTCCCCCCTCCCCCCACCCCACAACAGCCCCTGGTGTGTGATGTACCCCTTCTTGTGTCCATGTGTTCTCATTGTTCAATTCCCACCTATAAGTGAGAACATGTGGCGTTTGGTTTTTTGTCCTTGTGATAGTTTGCTGAGAATGATGGTTTCCAGCTTCATCCATGTCCCTACAAAGGACATGAACTCATCATTTTTTATGGCTGCATAGTATTCCATGGTGTATATGTGCCACATTTTCTTATTCCAGTCTATCATTATTGGACATTTGGGTTGGTTCCAAGTCTTTGCTATTGTGAATAGTGCCGCAATAAACATACGTGTGCATGTGTCTTTATAGCAGCATGATTTATAATCCTTTGGGTATATACCCAGTAATGGGATGGCTGGGTCAAATGGTATTTCTAGTTCTAGATCCCTGAGGAATCGCCACACCGACTTCCACGATAAGCGTTTTTAGGTGTACAGTTAAACTAGTGTTAACTATATGTGCATTGTTGTGATCAGATCTCTAGAACTTTTTCATCTTGTGTAACTGAAACTCTATATCCATTGAACAACCCCCTCTGCACCCCTCGTTCAGCCCTTGGCAACCACAATTCTACTTCTAAGAGTTTGACTACTTTAGATACCTCATATAAATAGGATCATGCAGTATTCATCCTTCTGTGACCAGCTTATTTCACTTAGCACAACGTCCTCAAGGTTCATCCCCGTTGTAGCATATGACAGGATTTCTTTCTTTTTTTCAGGCTGAATAATACTCCGCTGTATGTATCTTAATCAGCTCAGGCTGTCATAGCAAAATACCATAGACTAGCCGGCTTAAGAAACAAAAATTTATTTCCTCACAGTTCTAGAGGCTGGAACTCCAAGATCAAGGTGCCAGCAGATGGATTTCTAGTGAGGGCTCTCCTTTTGGCTTGCAGATGGCCACCTTCTCTCTGTGTCCTCACGTGGCAGGGAGAAAGTGAGAGCAAGCTCTCTGGTGTTTCTTCTTCTAAGGGCACTAATCCCATCAGGAAGGCCCACCTCCTGGCCTCATCTGAACCTAATCAACTCCCAAAGGCCCTATCCCCAAATACCATCACATTGGAGGCTAGGGCTTCCACACATGAATTTGCTTCCACACACTATTCAGTCCACAGCAGTATGTATACACCACATTTTCTTTATCCATTAATCTATCAATGTCTTAGATTTCATTTTTATGTTAATTGTTATCCTAAATTTCCTATAGTATGCAAGTAGTATGAATTCAGGTGCCACACATGTGGTTGATACAGCCCGAGAGTTTTGCTCTCTCAAAGGTGACACAGCAAGCCCCAGGACACACAGAACACTTCCTTGCTGTTGACTCCAAAGCAGTAAACAGAGTTTCTCATCTCCCTTCTCTGAACAGGAAGCTCTTTAAGGTTCTGGGCTTTATGCAAGGGTTCCATTCCAGCTCCCCCAATTTTTATAGGCCTGAGGCCGTAACTCTTGCCTCCTCAGCCCCAAACCCTATATCCAGCTCCAAACTTCTATGGGCTGCCATGGCATTAGCTATTTTGAACCTATTCTCTCCTTTGTTCACACTCATATCTACAACACAGGGTTGTTGTGAGAATTAAGTTATACAAGTCACATAAAGTTCCTGACATAAGGCCTGGCATACACTAGATACTCAATAAAGTAAGGCTATTTTTACTTGCAAATCCCAACTCAACCCAGTCTAGCCAATACTACTACTTCATCTTCCTCTTTAAAAAGTAATACAAATTTAAAACTGTGATATAAAACATTATGTACCTTGGACTACCCATACATTAAGATCTCCCCTTTCTCTTGAAAAAGACAGAAGAAAACATTTAGAAAAGAGAGATGTGCAATCAATTGCAAAGTCTGAACCCTAATGTCATTTTTATATGTGGGATACCCCATTATGAAACACTTACCTAGAAGGTTAGCTAATGTTCAAATTTAAACAACATGCCTGAAACTCTCATCAACCTACCACACACATACTCACACATGCAGCTATTAGCTGTACCTAAATTAAATTTCCCTGTTGATCATAAACGGTACACATCTTAAATCAAACTTAAGTGGGCAATGCGTTGTAATGAATGTTGCTCGACCTCATTGCTAAACATGAAGCCACAGCTAGTGAGCCCAGCATGGCGTCCGCTCCAGGGCACGTGCCAGCCAGTGCTTCAGCCCTCTCCTGGATTCCAGGGGTGGCTGGTTCATGTTCCATGTCTCAATTTCCCACTCAGTAGAAAGTGCCGTATAGCAGAACCCAGTGTCCTTCACACACAGCAACTGCGTGTTTAAAGAGCCAGAGGTCTCCCGGGCCTTCCAACCAGGGTGACCCGTCTAACAAGTCCCATTCTATAAAGCAGGGGCTCATTTTAACTGTGTCATCCCATTAAAAACAGCAATGGTTCCGATACAAGTGTAGAATAAATGGGAATCGAACTTGGGAAAAAAGCCAGAGGCAAATAATTTTGTGACTGAAAAATACAGGGTACTAGAGATACCATCTCTGTTGCCTTTTCACATCCCTTGGAAAACTGTTTTTGCTCATGAATGAAAAAATTATTTTGCTTAACAAAGGAAGAAAGGAGGGGGAAAAGTGAAGGGAGGAAGGGAGGGGGGAGGTAGGTAGGGAGGGAGTGAGGCGAGGGAAGGAAGGGGAGAAGAAACATGGCCCGCTCCCAAAAGCAGCAGACCCATGTGAGCCACGTGGCCACTGAGCTGTATGTGTACGAGCCCCTTTATTTATCGTATCCTCTTGGAATGCTTTCAAAGCAAGAACATTACGCATGTGTAATATCCAGAAGTGAAAACAGACCCATTTGACATTGCTCTGCAAGTTTCTGCCCTAAATTAGACAGTGAATCAGAAGGTTACGTCTGCGGGTGGGTTGCAGAGAGAAAACAAAAAACCCTAGCACATGTGAGCACGTTGGAGAAAGATGGGAATCGAAGGCAAGCCTGTGTAAGGATCTTTTTTTCTCAAGTCAGGAAAGGCAGATCCAGGCGAGTCTTGTTTTACTGCAGTGCAGACAGCGACAATTCCAAACCGATAATGAAAGACCCTAAAATAGGCCCTATGTATCAGGCTGCCCTGTGTCCCTGGGAAAGAGCCATGTGTCAACTGGATGTCAACCCCAGCATTTTCTTACTGACCCACCTCCCTGACTTTTATCTCTGAGCATGCAGATAAGCACATATGACAGTCTCTAGAGATTATTTCTAAATATACCAACCCCTGTTTATACCAAAATGGGTTCCCTGACTGTCAGTTCTCCATGGGTGCAGGCAGACTCCCAAGAACAAGCCCTGGCACATCCGCTCCCAGGAGAAACCTGGGGCACAGCACAAGCCAGGACTCTGGGAACCTGGCTCCACTGTTCTACATCTGAGGTTGGGACAAGGACAAGTCCATGGTACTGACGCCACTTCTGTGAACATTCCTACCGGAGGTCAGGGCAGTATCCACAGGCTTGTTCTGCCAACCTATGGACTGCTATTTAAGCAAGCAAGAAAGATCTCAAAAGCCCAGCAACAAAGCCTCCAAATTAGACAGGAAATAACATAAACATGGCAAAGCGTTTTAGAAGCCAGAGCTCAGAAAACAAGCTGCCTACGTTCAAATTCCAGCTCTCCCATTCAATAGCTGTGTGACCTTGAGCAAATTAATGAGGCCCTGGGAACGTCAGGTTTCTTCTCTGTAAAATGGGTTTCCATAAATGTAAAATTTTCTCTAAAGTGTAAAATGTAAGAGGTCCCCACTTCATCAATGGGAGGGGAAGATTAAACAAGATAGAGTATGGGACACACTTAGATTAGTGCCCACCAGGAGCTGATGAGCAGGTCCCATGCCTGCACCCAGTGAGCGGCTGCCACCCCAGGAGTCAGGGCTCCATAAACAATGGTTATTTGTCTTCAGAATGGCCTCCCTATCATCCCTTGCAATCATCAAAGTCTCTGGCTGTAGAAACAAATCCAAATGGAGGCCTGGGCTAAGGAGAGCGGGGGTGAAAAGATGTTGGCTGTCATGGCTCTAAACTGTTTATAACTGAAGGAATGCATTAAGACACTCACACTCAGGGAACTGATTTATGTTAAGTAAATGGCCCTACATCCCTTGGACGTCTCCACTGGAGCTCCCTCCACAGCCCAGTCATTTAAACACATGGCTTGATCCGGGTCCCCATGTGGGTGTTGGCAGGTTGAAAGGCACTTCCAAAGCCAGCAGGCTCCAGAATGCCAAATATGGCCAAGCTCAGACCCCGCAAGGTAGACCACAGGGAGGCTCCCCACAGGTGCCAGAAGATGGGGAGGGGTGACTCAGATGGCATTAGCTGACAGCTTCAGGGTATGGATGGCTATGGGCTATTTTCATTTCCAAACAAAATTTTCCACCCTATAAACCCTAAAGTATTTTATCGAAGCAGGGGGGTCTAATTCATCCATTTGCTGCGGAAAGGGCAACATCTTCAGCAGGGAAGAGACAGCTATTTTGAGTCACGGCACTGGCAGTCTCCTCCCCCTGAGAGGGCCTATCAATAACAGTACTCCCTGGATGGAAATTTCCATCTCCCAGAGGAGACCCCAGAGGAGTCGCAACAAGTTCATGGTACAAAGGAAGAAGAGCAGGGCCAAGCCTGCACCTGCTCAGACTTGCCATTCAACTTTCGGCAAGTCAGATCATCTCCGAGCCTCAGTTTCCCCACCTGTATGCTGGAAACAAATCTGTCATGGGGTCAAGTAAACAATGCAATGAGACAACATGCATGAGATGTTTTGAAAAATCCTTAGAATGAAGGTGCAGTAAAACTATAAAGTATTATTTGCAGACTCCTTCAGGAGTCTAGAACAGAAATTAGAAGCTCTCAAATTAATTCACCTTTAAAAATATGTCTATGATTTACCAACCTAGCTGAATAAAAAGGGAAGAATATAATTTTTAATGGGCAGATGTTTTTTCCTACATTATCTACATTATCCTAACACATACTTCAACTGATTTTTTTTTCACTGAATTGGGTATTTGTTTGATGGCAATGATTGAATCAACTTGCTGTATAAAATACAACCTAAGCAACTCTCTGACTCTATGAGGAATGGCCAGAATTGCAGTGGTGCCGCTTACCTTCACTCCTGCCTAGGCCTATGGCAGACATCACTAATCCATCACTGAACACTTTCCCCTAGGAGCTTAGGCAATGGTTCAGGGTCCTTTCAACAGAGCACTCCAGGTGGCCATAACCAGTCCTGGATCCACACAGGATCTGAAACCTATTTGTCATCTTAGATTTCTCCTTTGCCGGATTTAACTGGAAGTCATAGGCTGGGCAAAATCATCCACAGGATGATTTCCATCTTACTAATTCCTCCTGAACTTATTTGCTGATGCCTGAAATTCTTGGAAAGGAGACAGTCTTTCATTTCACAATTAGAGAAAAGGCTGAACATGCAAATACTTCAGAGGGAAGACAAAATGACTTAAATTTATACAAAAATGTAAATAGTTGATTCCAGCCGCCCTCTGAGCAGGTTCCAGGTGGCTCTGCTCCTGTGGGGCTTTCAGCTACATCCTAAAGACCGTTCTCCTCCCACCTGTGCTGTCTCCTGGCAAAGTTGGCCTGGAGGGCCAGCCCAGCTCCTCCAAGACACAGCCAGCACTGCATTGCCAGGATGAGCAAGAACAGTGCAGCAAGGGCCCTTTCTCTGTGGTCATGTTTCAGCAGAGGGAAGGAGAGATACAAGGGAGAAGCCCTAGATCCCTGAGGGTGAAGTGAGAATGTTCCACAGCAATGGAAGGGCACAGAAGGGTAAGGTGACAACCAAAGACAAACTTCAGTGACATAGAGATAGCCACTCAACCTCACAAAATATCATGTTTCATCCTGTATTTGACCCCCTTATACCAAAAGCTGCTGATCTGTTGGACCACGTTTTTTTAAACACTTGGTCCTTGATGGAGCCAGGGTATCTGCCTGTGCACTGGAGCTCCATGGAAAACAGAGCAAGACTTTGAGAGCTGAAAGATTCACTCACTTCTCAAACGAGTGTGGTTTAACAATGGTCCGTGTTGCCGCCACTGAGAATGTGTGATGCACTTCCAGCCAGCGGCCCCACTGTCCGCTCTAGCACAGCAGATGCCCATCTGTTTTATTCATCAACGTATCTATCACTGTGTCCGTCTGGTATCTAGTAGACACTTAATACATGGCTGTCAAAATTGGTTATGCTTGTTTATGCCCTCTGCCAATGGCTATTACAGTGCCAAGCTCACAGTGAGCACACATTTAACATGGATTGATTGATTGTTGACTGACAGTCTGCCCTGTCTTCGGTTCCCTAAATGAAGGTAGTAGAATGAGTTAGCCTAATATACCTGACATATACCCAATACACCTAACCTAATTTACCTAATAGATACCTAATGTACCAAAAATATATTTTAATGTAGATCTGATATATACCTCATATACCAAATTATATACCAAAACATTGAAAAGGAGAAACCATGGACTAACATCTTGAAAGTTTAAAACACTCTGTAAATAAGTAAGTTCCATCGAACAGACTAGAAATCATTAGGTGCCATGAATAGGAGGCAATAAAGGAGGTAAGCTATTAAATATTATCTTGTCAGGCTGGGTGCAGTGGCTCATACCTATAATCCTAGCACTCTGGGAGGCCGAGGCGGGCGGATTGCCTGACCTCAGGAGTTTGAGACCAGCCAGGGCAACACAGTGAAACCCCGTCTCTACTAAAATACAAAAAAATTAGCCAGGCACGGTGGCGTGTGCCTGTAGTCCCAGCTACTCAGGAGGCTGGGGCAGGAGAACTGCTTGAACCCGGAACGTGGAGGTTGCAGTGAGCCAAGATAGCATCACTGCACTCCAGCCTGGGTGACACAGCGAGACTCTGTTTCCAAATATATATATATTTTTTGTATATATATATATTTGTATATATATAATCTTGTTGCATACATTTGAAGAGTTTCCCCTTACAAATACAGTTTTATTAAATGTCTGATTCAAGAGAGAATTATTTAACAAGCCAAGCAGAGGTATATTTATTATAACCCCTTTCCGGTAAATATACGAATACTTTCAAAGCATGTCCACATCCATTATCTCATTTGTCTTCACAACATCCTTGTGATGGTAGTAAAGTATTATTAGTGGACTATAAAACACAGGTTCAAATTTCCAGTTCTGGCAGTATGGCAGGCCATGCTCAGAGCACCAAGGAATGGAGAATTCACGCACATATTGTGAAATCATTCACAATGGAAATTATAAAGGGAAAAAGATACTCTATGAAAAAACTAAAATATTTGAAAAAGTAGAACTTCCAGGAATAAAATGTCATTGAAATTGCAAATGCATTTAAAGGCTAAGCAGCAGATACAAATGAGGGGGAAACTGGTGAACTGGAAAGCAAAGCAGAAGAAATTATCCAGAGTGTAGCAGAGGATAGATAACAAAATATGGAATATGAAAGAACATTTAAAAGAAAGAGTAAAATGAGAAAGATCAATACATGTTTTAATAATAGAGTTCCAGAGGAACAAAATAGAGTGACTAGGGGAGAGATAATATTTGAAAAGATCGTGAGGCTGGGAGCGGTAGTAGCTCATGCCTATAATCCCAGCACTTTAAGAAGCTGAGGTGGTATCATCACTGGAGCTTAGGAGTTCAAGATCAGCCTCGGCAACATAGCAAGACCTCATCTCATCTCTACTAAAAATGAAACAATTAGTTGGGCATGGTGCCGCACATCTCCAGTCCCAGCTACTCAGGAGGCTGAGGTGGAAGGATTGCTTGAGCCTGGGAGGTCAAGGCTGCAGTGAGCCAAGTACTCACTGTGCTCAAGCCTGGGCAACAGAGTGAGACCCTGTCAAAGGAAAGGGAAGCAAAGGGAAGGAGGAAGGCAGGCAGGCAGGCAGGCAGGCAGGCAGGCAGGCAGGGAGGGAGGGAGGGAGGGAGGGAGGGAGGGAGGAGGGGGAAGCGGGAAGGGGGAAGGGGAAAGGGAAGGAAGGAGGAAGGAAGGAGAAAGAGAAGGAAGGAAGGAAGGGAGGGAGGGAGGAAGGGAAGGGGAAAGGGAAGGAAGGAGGAAGGAAGGAAGGAGAAAGAGAAGGAAGGAAGGAGAGAGAGAAGGAAGGAAGGCAGGCAGGCAGGGAGGGAGGGAGGGAAGGGGAAAGGGGAAAGGGAAGGAAGGAGGAAGGAAGGAGAGAGAAAAGGAAGGAAGGAAGGAAGGGAAAGAAAGAAAATAAAGAAAGAAAAAGGAAGAGAGAAAGAAAGAAAAAAAAAGAAAGGAAGGGAAAGAAAGAAAGAGATAATGACTAAGAACTGGTGAGTGATACGAATCTTCAAGTTGAAGTATCTCACCAACTCCCAGCAATATATTTTAATCTATGTAATTAACACATCATTGTAAAACTGCGTAACACTAATATATCTTTTCAAAAATTAGAATATTGATTATTCATTTAGACTGACAGCAGACTTCTCATCAGCAACAATAGAATCCAGAAGATAATGGAATATCTTTAAACTGCTGAAGAAAGATAACTGCTAACACAGAATCCTGTACCTGACTAAACTATCATTCTAGAATGAGAAGCCAAAAGGAATAAAAGAAAATTTCAGACAAAGACTGAGGAAGTTTACCACTCATAGACCATTGCTGAAAGAACTAAAAAATATATGCTTCAGTACTAGGAAAGAAACTCAGAAAGAAGAAAAGGAATGCAAGATGCAATAAAGCTTCCTCTCAAAGACTTTCTTGAAAATGGGTGTGACTTCTTAGTCACACCTACCACAAGTAAGATAAAGCATCCCCGATTTAAGACTCTCTCAGTAGTTTCATATGCAAGGCCAGGCAAACATGGGACATCCTCATTCCTTTAAGACCCAAAGTCCTTTGTCTCTGGTACTATTTTTGAAGTCATGGAGCAAGGCTCTTTTATACTCTTCCCGCTCGACCCCCAAGACATTCTTTCTTAATGCAAATTTAGCTCAGAAATGCTCTTTAAGGCTGGGCATGGTGGCTCAAGCCTATAATGCCAGCATTTTGGGAGGCCAAGGCGGGAAGATCACTTGAGGCCAGGAGTTTGAAACAAGCCTGGAAAAGACAGTGAGACCCTGCCTCTACAAAAAATTTAAAATGTATCCAGGCATGGTGGCAGACACTTGTAGTCCCAGCTACTCAGGAGGATTGCTTGAGTCCAGGAATTTGAGGCTGCCGTGAGCCATTATCACATGACTGCACTCCAGCCTGGACAACAGAGTGACGCCGTCTCAAGAAAAAAAGAAAAGAAAAGACTCTTTAAGCATTTGAGTCTATGCTATAATGTCCCAATGCAGCCAATAGTACGTAAAGGACCAGACACAAAGTTTTCTCCTGCCATATTTCCATCAATCCCTTTGAAATACTCAAGTAACGGTCATTATAAGTGAGGTTACAAGAATAAATAGATTCATATGGTAGGAAGGTCAGATGCAGAATCCTAGACATGGGAAAATTAAATGGTTCGAACAAAATGCCAATGTGACAGATAACAATACATCTAAAACATAAATTCCTGCTCCCAGATATGGCTGTATCTTGTGACCACATGCTGTCTTTCAGGGGTTACAAGCTCGGTCACACTGCTCTCTCCTCCTCTGCTTCTTATTTTCTCTCTGACACACACAAATGCACATCCACACACGTACAGGCACACCCCCCACATGCAAGTCAAATAACTTGGGGTTTGGCTCCCAAGTGTTAGAGGAATCTTTCCATAAGGCTCCGTCTTTGGTTTAACTTTTCTGTTCATTTCCTTCTGGGCCTGAAAGATGTAAGTTGATGACCCTGATTGCCATTTTATCCTCACCCTTTCAGACAGACCCAGGAAAAATCATTAGGAGGGATGCTAGCTGTACCAGTCTGAGGGCCAAGGACGCATGGGATTGCAGGCTGTGATGTCTACAGGTCTCTGAAGAAGAGCTGAGTCCACTTCTCAGGATACCAGCCCATTCCATGGCTTCCCTCAACTCAAGGACATTCTTCTTCTGGTCATTTTCTTCCTCAAAATTTTCTTTTCTCCTTCATTTTATTAAAGCCAAGTCAAACTCCAAAGAAATGCAGAGGACCAGTTGTCTGAGTATGGCAGCAGCTGGAACTGCGGAACCCTGTCCATCTGGACTCTGAGTTCATTCCCCAACTGATACCCTCAGAGGAAAACATTGCATTCCGCCTAAGTTTCACTGGAGTGGAAAAAAGGAAAAATCCCAAAGCCTTTTGTTGCCCAGACCCAGCAAGAGATCAAGCTGGGGTCAGCGCTGCCCTTGAGGTTCATCAGAATAAGGCCAAACTCTGCAAGTAGGTTTCCAGATGAGGCCAGACGGGGTGAGATGGTGGCCACAGGGCCTGCCATGCCAACTCCCACGAGGGCCGTCATAACACACTGTTTCCAGGCAAGGCACACAGAAGACTAGTGCTACTTCCCTAGCCAAAAATGGAAGAACAAAGGCAAGGACTTGGGGCCACTGGACTGTCTATGCATTTTACCATGAGGAGCTAGTATTGCAAACATCACGAAAATTGGCATCTATGAGAAGTCAACAACTGTGCCTCTTTTGGGAACAATGCCAACATATAAGAATGGATGCAGGGGCTCTGGCCGCTGCAGAGAATTTGAGTGAGGTGCAGAAGCCCAGCCTCCTCAACTCAGAGACACTAGGTCTTTGCAGCCACCGCCTCTCTGCCTGCCTCCGGGAAAGGCCTCCAGGCCACTCACAACCCTCCCCCACACCAGACCCCTCCCAACCAGAGTCCTCTGCATATGTGACAGGGACTGGGGCAGGGTCTGGGGGGTACCTGCTGGTCATTCACACCTTCCTACACCAAGGGTAAGCTCAGAGCCACTCAGCAGAGCATATTTCCATGGCATTCAAGGAGTGTTACTGTCCTTGGCATCAAAGACTCACATCCTTTCATGAAACATTCAGGATATCATATTTTTCTTGATTACAGGGAAATCAAGGCATTGTAAAGCTCAAGTGGGATCCAACCAGAGGCTTTCCAGTGGTTTGTAACATTTTTCTTGTGGGATTACAACAGGGGAGAGGATGAAGAAAAAAATAACAAAATGTTCTGTTCTCAGGAATTTGATATTCTGATATAATTATAAGGATATAAAATCGCAGGGCTTAACACTCCACAAAGGCTAACCGGTTCTCCAGAGAGCCAATATCATAGGCTGTGAAGCTGGGCTTGGTTTGGATGGAAGGGCATGGAAAGACAGGGGTGGGAACAGTGTGAAGGTAAGTATTCTCCAGGTGAGTGCGCTGAGGTTGGCACTTGTGGTCTTGATTGCCCCATCACTCCTCCTTTCTACCGTTGCGCCCTGACTGAGGTTAACAGTGCAGGTTCCTTGTCCTTGATGCCCAAGACAGTCTGTGGGAAGCCTGGTGTCTGACGTCCACCTCCACCAGTCCTCCCATCCCCTGCTTCCTTCCATCCACGTCACAAACGTGACCTCAGGGCTGCACACCACGAGCTCTCTCTGCTTTGGTGTCAGCACCCAGAAGACCCTCTGGAGGCCAAACTGTGAAACCAATAAAGTCTGTCTTCATGTGCCTGCCCTTACATACAGGCACGCACACGCGCGCACACACACACACACACACACACACACACACACGTGCATCCTAGTCCACAGTCCTAAGCCCACATCCTTAAACTGCCACCATCTCCACCACCCAGGCTTTTGTCATCTTCTTCCTGTTATGCTCCCCAAAGAAAGTCCACCTGGCCCTTTGTGCATCCACTCAGAGCTCAAGGGGCCCATTGGCTATTCTGATGACTAATCCACCTGGGATGGAGGCAGGCTGGGGGATTCAGACTCCCTGACTCCCACTAAAACGATGCATCCTGGCTCCTGCATCCCACTGGCCACCTTGATTCTCCCACACCAGCTCGAGCTTGGCACGCCTCCTACAGAGCTAGAACCCTTTGCCCCCAGACCTAGTCAGCAGCTGTCTCACTTTGCCAAATTCATTTCTGGGGAAGCTTTCTCTAGGAATGCCAATCACTCCTGGCCCCTAACTCATGCTTCCAGACCTCGGCCGGTGCCTCTGGGACCTGGGCACCCTTGTGGATTTCTTTGGGTGTCTCATAGTGTTTCCCACTGACCGTTCCCTCTTCCGGTCTCCTCAAGCTCAGGCCCCACTCCAGCTGCCTCATCCCTCCCAGGATTCAGCACCCCTGCCCGAGGCCCCTCCTGTCCTCCTTTCCAGCTCCCCCCATGCCCCTCTACGTTTCCTCATCCCCTGCTTTACTGCATGTCTGCCTCTGAAGACAGAGTGCTACCTCCTTTGCTGGGGTTGAGCCTTCCACTCCCATCCCCAACGCCACTGCCTACTGCCTTCTTCCCCATCTGCTCCCCTCTCTTGCATTTCCAATCTCTCATGTGCCAACAAATCCCTCCCCTCTCCTTTTATTCACAGCCAAAATTCTTGAAAGAGTGGTCCCCATGTGCTGCCCCTGCTTCACAACCACCACGCCTCATCATTGCACAGTTCGGCGGGACAACAGTCACTCTGAACCCACTCTCCAGCCCAATCATTCAATCCAGCGGGCTTCTCAGTTCCCATCTTCCCTTTCACGACTCCATTCAGCAATGACGGCCTCCTGGAAATGCTCTCCTGCCTTGATCCCCAAGACCCTGCAGTAGTAAGGCTCTCCCGCTACCTCCCTGACTACTCTGTCATTGTCTCCTCCATTTTACCCTCCTCCTGTCTGTCTTCAGCTCTCCATCGTTCCTTCCCTCTGCTCTCTCTCTCCCCAATGGCTCCACCTCCACAGCTTCAAATAGCACCTTCTTAGACAGAACTCTAATTCTGCGTGCATGCTGGGCATCTTCTACTTGCCTCCAAATACAACCTCTACCCTTCCCATCCAGATCACAGCACAGGGCTCCCTTGTCTCTGGCTTTCTGCTGGGAAAATCACTCCTTCCCTCTCTTGCCTGGACAGTGGCAACAGCCTCAGAACTGCCCCTCTACCTGCAGCCTCGACTCCCCTACCTTATCCTCTAGCCTGCTGCCTGGAAGAGCAGCTCTGAGTATACCCTCTCTCCACTCAAACACTTTAAACGGCCCTCCATTGCCTACCAAATGCCATGCAAACTCTTCAGCCCAATACAGGGTGCTCCACGCATTATCCCCTTCCTGCCATTCCAACTTTCTCTCCCACTTCTTCCCCCTGCAAAACCTTGCTCCAGCCAAACTCAACTCACTACTCCTTTGAAATCCAACGCACATCCCTGTGAATACATTACAGGCCATCCCACCCTTTCTGTTGGGAATGTGCGCCTCTCCTCTCCACCCCATTTCTATCCACCCTTCAAGGGACGGCTCAGTCACAACCTCCATATAACACTTCCTCCATTTATTCCATCTTTCCATACCACCCTTCTTCTTTAAATCTGTGAGCCTTTATCTTTATATCCTTGTAACATCAAGCATGTTCTGCCTTTTATTACAGTTGCGGATGTCTGTGTGTCTAGGCATAAATCTTACCTCCTAGAATAGATACTTCCCTTAAAGGAAGGGATAGTTGAGGGCTGTACCTTGAAGATACCCTTGAATCCAGAGATCCTATAAGCAAACTGCCTTGCAGATAGCAGACGCTCAATAACTTTTTGTTAATGACTAACCATTCCTATTCTGGAGGAAAAAAAACTATTTAGAATTGTTTTCATCACAACTGGCATGAGACAGTTCATTTTCAGAGATATTTCACAGTCAATTTATCCTAGAAAAGGCTTCTTATCTCCTGGTCTTTCAGACAGCTGGGCATAGGTCAAAATTTTTGCCTTTTAAATAATTTTAAAAACAGAGGCACAAGATCCTATTCACGACAGACCAAATATGAGCTCTGAGTCACTGAAATCCACTTGGATGTATAGCTCGAATCCCCAGGATGTCTCAGGCAGCCAGATATGGCAACAGAAGCTTCCACCTTGGAGAAATGCTGTGCAACATTCCAGCTCTGCACAGCGGCCCAGAGGCACCTGTGAGCAGGGCCAGTGAGGGGGTGTGAGGGCAGAGCCCAAAGGAGAGGAATTTACTAATAGTCGGTTGGATTAAATTAAGTACATTGGCCTTCAAAGTGCAAAGTCTTCTGAGCTTCACATACCTCCATGAGCCTGTGCGCTTTTTTATCCATACCCAGGTCTCTGATTAATGGGTTCAGCTGAGGCATCAATGTATGTGTGTGTTTCTTCCTCAGATTAGCAGAGTTCAACATGCTAAGACAGAAATGCAGCCGATGATATTATCACTCTTAGGTAAAATGATCACCAAGAAAATACCTATCCCAAGACTGGAAAGAGGCTTCCAGAGTCATTTAACTGGGGCATCAATCCACAGCCAAGAGCCTACCACGTGCTGCTGTTTCCCCTGGCTGTCTACCCACTGCTCGCTTCCCTCTCCCCTTCCTCCTTTCCCAATTTTCTCCCCGGACTGTTTACCTTTCTTCTCACGTTTTTGCCTCTCTTGCCTAGACTTTAGATGTATGAGGAGCAGGTGAGAGCCCTGGGAAGCTGCTTTTCCCCTCTGAAGGCAGCTTTCAGGCTGAAGGCAGAGATCCCTTATTAATCAGTCATGCCTGGGGCAGGGCAGGCAGCACCTGGCCAGCACAGAGCACAGAGCTGCCTCCCCCTCACAGTCCAGGGAGGACTCGGCCCAGCCACACATGAGGGGAGCCACCCTCTCCCAACAGTCCCCAGGCTTATCAGGCCCACATCTCTAGCCACAGACATGGGTGCTCCTGGACTAGACACACAGGCAGAGGGAGAGACAGAGACAGACTAAATAGCTTTGTCTTGCCAAACACCAATTTCCTGTTGAGTTACGAAGCCAGGTCAGCAACGAGGTGAAAGCTGAACTGGATATAGAGACACCGGTTTTTTTTGTTTCGTTTTTGTTTCATTTTGTTTTTTTGAACAGAGGCAGTATCAGTCACTCCTCATCAAAAGGCAGCTGTCAGATTGTGAAACACCAATTAAAGTCAAATTTCTGGTATAGGAACTGGGAGCCCAGACTAAATACCAAACCCTCACTACTGACACAATAGGATTTCCTAATGCTGTAGTCTCATCTACGTGGGCTTCAAATTTGGGGCACTACCCAAGGAAGTGGGCTCTTAAAGCTAAAAAGTCATATTGCAGGGCCAGCAATTCCACTCCTAGGTAAACCCAAAATAACTAAAAATGGATTCAAATAGATACTTGAATACTGGTGTTCATTGCAGCACCATTCACAATAGCCAAAAGGTGAAAACGCAAGTGTCCATCAACAGAAGAATGGATAAGCAAAATGTGGCGTGTGCTTTCAATGAAATACTATTCAGCCATAAAAAGGAACGAAGTCCTGACACATGGTACAACGTGGATGAACCTTGAAGACATTATGCTAAGATACCTTTGAAAAATGCTAAAACCACTTTTTTGTATAATTGAAAGAAAACGCTTAATCCCACCTCCAAATGACAGCCAGCTCCCTAATTTCACGTGCTTCCTTTCAATGTCATCATTTATCATGTAAATTGTCATGACCTATCTAGGTCTGAAATTTGTGAGATATGTTATCAACAGTCAGACTACACAGCAAACTCCAACTGTAGAATTATTATTGCTGTTGGCTGGGCACAGTGGTTCACGCCTGTAATCCCAGCACTTTGGGAGGCCAAGCGGGTGGATCAAGAGGTCAGGAGATGGAGACCATCCTGGCCAACATGGTGAAATCCCATCTCTACTAAAAATACAAAAATAAGCCAGGCATGGTGGTGGGTGCCTGTAGTCCCAGCTACTCAGGAGACTGAGGCAGGAGAATCGCTTGAACCAGGGAGTCGGAGGTTGCAGTGAGACGAGATCGTACCACTGCACTCCAGCCTGGTGACAGAGCGAGACTACACCTCAGGAAAAAAAAAAAAAAGGAATTATTATTGCTGTCAATAACACATGAAAATCCATAGAGACAAAAGTAAATTCATGGTTGCCAAGGGCTGGAGAGAGAGGGGAATGAAAAGTGACTACCAATGGGTAAAGGGTATTTTTTGCGGGTGATGAAAATATTGGGGAAGTAGGTAGACCACTGAATCATACACATCAAAAGGGTAAATTTTACGGTATGCGAATTATACCTCAACAAAGCTGCTATTTCAAAATAAATAAATAAATAATGCATGAAGTCTGGAGAGCTCAGCTTACAGGGATGGTCCCCGGGACTCACGGGAATCTCGTTTGAGAATGGAGAGTGTCTATTTTCCTGGAGGGAGTGACTGAGGAAATATTCCAAGAATGGGTGGTGAAGCAAGGCCATGCCACAAATGGGTCCCCCGGGAGACAAGGTGTACTGACCTAGGTGGTCTGTGAAGGCCTGTGAGGAGATGTGAAGAAGCAAGGAGGGCCCTGGCAGAAACCCTGGGAATAAGGGGAAAGAAAGCCAGAGGACGGGACCAGGAGGGGAGGCGGGGTACCACGACAACATGCAGCCATCAAGTAAGAACAAGGATTCCAGCTCTGAGCTTCCACAAGGCAAATCTAAGCCAGGTTCCAGAAGGCAAGGACAAGGTCATTTTCCCAGGATAGAGAGATAGTGGGTTTCTCTTTCTACTGTTCTCCATGGGGAGAAGTAACAGAAAGAGCAAATGTTTTGAAAGTCCGACAGACCTGAATTTAATTCCCAGCCCCAACACTGTCTGGGTGGCTGTGGCCACATTGCTTAAGACTTTGGTCCTCAGTTTCCTTATCTAAAAAATATAATTAAAACCCACGTGGTAGGATTACTGTAAGGATAAAACATATTAAGCACATGAAGCACCAAGAACATTGTCTAACACATGCTAGGCATTCAATAAATGGTGGCTATTACTCTTGCTCTATTTTAAAATTATAACAAGGTAGATGTTATACCTCAATACAGCTTTTTTTCTTTAGAGAAAAATTAAAACATATATGGCTCCACAGATCACAGGACCAGAGCTGGGGGTAGAACAAGGTGCAAACAAATGCGAAAGTGCGAAAGTTTCCCAGCATACTTTTTGATGATGGGATTATTTTTGCTTTGGGAAACTAAAACTAATCCTGTCACTTAGACTATAATGTTAAAGCTCTTTCCTATTTTGATCAGTGTCTTAGGGAGCTACACAGAACTGTCCCCTCTATCTCCAAACCTGCAACATTTTGGCTATGAAAAATAAATAAGTTTATTTTCCAAACCCAAAGTTTACTTTTGAAGCAAAGTTTTATTTTCCAGCCCGTCCTCCTGTACTGGGAAGTTGGGTTTAGGTTTGGGGAATTCACGTTCAAAAGTGAGGAGACATTGGTTGCCCAGGTGGTGTTCTTCCTGCCCTCAATGGCCCTATTTTCAGGCCATGAAAGGACTTCAGGCCAGCGTGGCTTTGGACTTGAGGCCGAAGCCAGGCAGCCATGTGTGGTGGCAGTGAGGGGACAGCAGCATGGCAGGTGGACAGCTGCCAGGCGTCGGATACCCTGCATCCCCATGTCCTCACCCTCAGCTTGGAAACAGCAGCAGTGCCAGCAGTGCACATGGCTCCACCGTCCTGGGAGCCTACTGGCCACAGGCTCCTAGACTCTCTGGAGGGCAAAATACCAGGCCCATCTCAACCAATGGTTCACTTCCTCCCTGATTATTCTGGTATCAGCCAGACCACCTCAGACTCTGGTTTCTCTTTGTTTTACATTTTCACCTTTAAAATATTGAATAATGTCAGCCCTCCCACAACACCTCCAAAGTTGTTTGAAATGCTGTGAATGTTACTTCATGGCGTTGCTTTTCCAAACTCTGGTGCTCTGCTCGCTGATGGGGAGAATAAGAGTAGCTGATGTTTGAACAGCGATATACACTCATTCTCCTATTTGGATCCTCACAGCTGCCCTGCGAAGTGAATTGGCTAAGGATTATTATCTCCACTTTACAGACAAAAAAAAAAAAAGGGATTTGATTCCTTCTGAACTCTCAGAGAAAGAGATGAAGTCAAAGAATGTGACCCAAGACCCAAGTCATTTCTCTAGCCTACAGCCTTATTTATTCTTTAGCTATTTACTTTGTTACTTTTGTTAATGTCTTTGAAAGGTTTTAGCCCAACGTAGATTATTTTGGAAGAAAGAAAGGAATATAAATGACTGTACATGACACAATGGTTATAAAGTAAATAGAGCTTAATTGAGTACTCAAGTCAACATTTCTGCCCACAGGCAATATGGAGAAGAACATTCATTCACTGTCTAGATTTTGGCTTGGTTCTCTAAAGGACAGGAGACAAGATTATTTTATTTTCCTTTTAGCTAGGTTCAAGTGGGCAACACCAAGTGTAGCCGAGTGTATTAAAAGAAACCCCTGTTGGCAAATTGGCAGCTTGAATATTTCATGAAATTATCACAACACTATGTTCTGAAATGATGGCTTCCTCCAGGGAACTCAAAAGCCACATCTCTAAGCATGAGCCTGGCTCATGCCTCCGTCTTCAAGCTAGACCGAGTCAGCCTCAGAGGCCTTCCAGTTTCTCAGAGATGACTTGAAAGAGTATGAAACAAGTCAGCCAATGAACACTTCAAGGAAGATGGGAATGTCAGAGGCAGGTCCTAGTGATTCTCTTCCATGGGCTGAGTCTACCACCACTGCTGGGAATGTCTCCTGGGAGTAGGCCGGGGGTCCTAGGAGACCAACCCTGACATGGGAGCAGAAAGACGCCCTTGGTCGCCCAGCTCAGGTGGAGTCTGTGGCAGCCTGTCTCACAGTCTCTACCCTGGGGCTGATCTGTGTGTCTATACCCCAGCTACTGGTAATGCCAGCTGGTCCATGAAGAATCCCAGCAGCTCACCAGGGAAGTCCCACAGCACAGCCCGGCTTCCCATCCCCATCCCACTCTCGCAAAGGGGCTGAAACAAGCCTAGATTGGGGCCGAGAGGAAGTGAGCAAATAAAAAAGGCTTAGAGGCAGATCTGTTTGCAGACAAAATCGTGATCTGAATTTTGCAGGAGTTTCTTGTGGACATGTATGAACTTCTACTCTGTAGCCTAAGAAAGTGTTTTTAAACCTTTCCAATGATAGATTTCCCCCACCCCACCCTTCCAACTCCATTCCTAAATCTAACATCGCAGAAATTATTTTAAGGCAGTACAAAGGTGGAGGCAGGGGGAGGAAGAATAGAGAGGTTGAAAGATCTACCAAGCAAAATTTAGCCAGAAGCACTAACAATGCTCTCTCAGGGGGCCAGCACCAAGTGTGGTACAGGCAGGAGGATGAAGAGACTGAAGACCTTGTATTTAGTTACATCCCTGCCTCCATGAACCTTTAGGGGCCTCTGTTTTCTCAACTGGAAATGAGGATTGTCTCTAAGGTTCCTTTACCCATAAAATGTCCTGATCCTAGAAAGTAAATTCCCAAAGAGACATTACATTTATTCTATGTTTGACAAACCCTTTAACGAACCAGAGCCTAGCCCCTTGCCCCCTATACACACAGGGTATAGCACAAGAAGCCCATTTTAAAGTGAAGGTGTTTTGCAGAGAACTGTTCTGTGGGGTTTTGGGGAGGGGAGGGGCTGAGAGGTTTGGGTTTCTTGCCAGTTAACCCCCGCTTTCCTCACCCTCTGCTTCAGCCAGATGAACCCTTCCTCTAGTTCCCTCGGCTTCCAGGGAAGGAAGGGTCTATTTTCAACCTCGGTCCGACTCCTGAGCTCCAGGCCCAAACTTCTCTCCTACAGTCCCTACAATCCCAACTTAAATTCAGTTCAGCTCCACAAGGAGTAACTGACTACCCTGATGACCTTGTTCCCCAAACCCTCCCAGACACCCTAGGGAGTTGGGGCTCCTCTGGCTTCCCCTCACCTTCTGCATCTCAGCTCTCGGAGGCTCCAGCCATCTCACAGCTCTGCTTTTCTGTGGGGTCATCCTGGGCTCCCCATCTCCCAGCTGGGGTCCTGCCCACACGGTACACACAGCTAGCACTGAAGCAAGGTTCTCCAGGGACCTGCGCGGGTCCTGCCTGAATTCGGCAGGGGAAAGGGGGCAGTAGAGAATGCATCCACTTCCCTTCCTGCCATGATAAACAGCTGCCTCCAGGGGTGCCTCAACTATAGAAACCAAGAGGGTCTGTCTACCTGCTCCAGGCCCGTGTCTACACAGGCTCAGGAAAGCCTGGTCTTGAGCAAATAAGCACCCCATCTAGGAATTAAAACACAGAGAAGAGCTCTTCTGGAGTGCCCAGGTTTCAGTTCAAATGATGGCATTCATTATTTCAGCCTTCCATTTTGCTTTTTCTGCAGTGGGTTCAGTTTAAGTCTACACACCCGGCTTCGAAATGACACCGAAAAACATTCCATTCCATTTTCCCCGAGGGATCCTGTCACTTTTACTTGTTTTACGTGGTATCTAACCTTGAGGTACATGTAAACAGGTGTTTACTAAATTATTTTAATAATGACAGCCATGGCTCAGAGTGTTATTTCATTATCAGAATGTTTAGCACTTCTGTCCCTAAATATTTGGCACCTGATATGTTGCAAAACAATTCCCCATGCCTTTTTTTTTAAAACCAATCTTCTGTTCTCCTCCACAGTGCCCAACATTAACCTAGGCAACTGTGAGGATGGAATCTAGAAACAGATGAAATCAGTGTGATTATTTTGTTAATTAGGCTTGTTGTTAAGTCTCCAGGTGTTTCGCAAACAGTCTATCAGCTTTCTGTAGTCCATATTGGAAAATAAAATTGTCTGCTAAATCTGAATGCTCAGCACTGATTTCAGGGTCCCAGCAAGGAAGAGGTGAGATGACGCCGGCTGACCTGTACCTCCTACAGAACAAACAGCTGCTGTATCAGGCGGGAGGAATTACTGTAAAAGGAAGAAAGTGCTGCCAGCCACTCACCCCTTCTTAGCACAGTGCCAAGGGCTTCTCAGACCTCATGGAACTTGCCACACAACTAAGAAAACCGAGTGAAGAAAGGAATAGAAAAGAAAATGCCAGGCGCTGGAAAACATCACTGGAAATTAGAACAAATCTCAGTTACTTCCTAACCTGGGTCTCCTGAGCTTTTCTGCCATTACCCAGCAGGAGATCCAGGCAGACTCATAAACGGAAATCAACTGTGAAGTGCACCCAGTTGTTTTTGTGTTCTTTTCCCTATTAAAGTTAGGAAAATGTCCTCCTGCCTTTGGCTGGCAAGCTCTGTGACTGCACAGGTCTGGGTTCCCAGATCCCATGCTTCAGGTCACCCCATGCTCCACTGGGCTTGGGCACCACCGGGCCCTCTGGTTACTAAACCATCAGTGAAAAATCAGGGAGAAAATTAACATCTGGCCATACCAAGTTCAGCGATTCACCCAAAAGGCTTCCTCCAGGCTCGGCGGGATGCTGTCTGTGCTGGAAGGGAACAGACGTCTGTGGGAAGAGCCTGCGACGGACTGGGTGGGCTCCAAAGGAGTTCTCATTACAACAGGGTGGAGAGGTCACTGTGGGACCTGGGTCCCTCAGTGATGCCGCGAGGGCCTCCAGTGTGTGCGGCGGCACGGAGACACACTGGTCTTTTGGGTTACCTGTGCCGGGGCAGGTGTGGGCCTGATGGAAGCAGCACAGCCCCAACAGGTCACAAGCTCTAAACTCCCCCTACACCTTTCATCACCAGGCGGACCCTGAAGCCCCTTTCCTGACTCCTAAGCCCTGTGGCGCCACCTACTGGAAGAGGCAGAAGCCACATCTACTGCAGGTCTGGCCAGGTCGCATTCATTCATTCACGCAGACATTTATTTGTTCAGCCTTGCATCGAGGCCCTGGACTGAGCAGCGGCCTGTACTAGGAAGCAGGGATCCCAAGATGAGCAGGGCCTCGAAATCTCCAGTCAGTATGCTCCTTGGATCCCTTTGATAGGTCTTACAGAAGAACCCAACTCAAGCAGTTTTATTTGAAGAACAAATTGAAGAGACCTAGGTCATTGCCAAGACTGAGAGATGGTCCCACGGGGCTAACGGCTCATCATTTCATTTACAAAGCACTGTGCCTGCAGCATCTACCTGTAAGAACAAGTCTCCCTTTACTATGAAGAAGAAATCTTTAAACAGTCTTAGGAGACTGCATTATCAATACTTCTCTCTCAACACCCCAGGTCCCTGAAGGGCATTAGCCTCTCGTGTGATCTATTTAAAATAGCTTTTCCTTATTCCATGTGTGTATGTATACACACACACACTTAAATACTGTTAGTGTGTATTCTATGGAAATAATGAAAAATTGACTCTTTTTAATATATTGTCATATTCTAAAACACTAAAAAGTGCCTGACCAATAGTAGGAATAATATGATGAACTCCAATAGCCCCTTTCCTCCAGTTTTCTCCATGCAGGATCAAGAAAAAGCAAAGCTATTGCCACAGCTTTCTTTAACCTGCTCAAGCTGATGTGCGAGCAATGTTGTTCTCTGACCATTTGTAAAGAAAGTTAACTGTGATCATTATTATTATTACCTTATTACAGTGATTCTTATTCTGCTGAATCGCTAAGTAGTTAAAAGAAAAGCACAGTGTGTCTTGCACTCCCCAAACACATGTTTCTCCCCTCTGCCTTGTCTCTAGCAGATAAGGGACATTCTGGTGTTTTATTTGTTCAATGGTTGACTATTAAGACACTCATTTGCTAGCTGGAGCCTGCAATAGAAAATCGGCCCAGAAAAGTGGGAGGCTGGCACAGGCCCAGAGCAGACAGGGCACCAGAGGCGAGGCAAGGCTTGAGTGTGCCACCCCAGCCTGAAACCCAGGGTCAGAAGCTGGTCCTTCAATGAACTTCCAGGCTGTTCCCAGGCACTGACCTCCAGTCTCCAGTTCGACCCTCAACACACACACACACACACACACACACACACACACACACACACTCACACACACTCACACATGCACACACTCCACGGAAAAGGTGAGGGAGCAAGGACTGGTGCATTCCACATCTCAGAGCATGTCGGGAAGAGAGGAATGCACAGCCCCCGCCACTGACAACTTTTTTGGTTCTCGACTCTTTGTTTCGTCACCATTACTGATCTTCTGAGGCAGTCCTAGACTCCTCTTCTGTCTCCTGAAACTCTAACCCCTATGATGGCTCACCCGCCCCCTTTAGTGATTAGCCACAGCAACCTCTTCCTTGTCAATATTCATTCTGTTCTAGGTCTGCCCTTCCCACCTCCACCACCCTCCTCCCCTCTCCTACCCCAACAACCTCGGCAATGCCAACCAACTAAAGAAGAGAAGATGGAGAGTAGAGGGGAGACAGGGATCTTGGTGCTCTTCCACCTGGGAACCGCATCTAGAAATGGAGGCAAAACTGCTCCCATGAATTATATAATCACTGCAGCTTCAAGGGAGAGAACTGGAATTCAGGTTGCCATAGCGTTTGCTGGCATGTTGCTGGAAAGGTAGAGCTCTCAGCCGCTGGCTCCCTTGCTCCCTTCCCCTCTACCTTTCTCAGGAACCTCTCTGGGGTTGGCACTCCTACTTTTAATGTCTGCTCCCAGCATACAGCAGGGAGATGCTGAGAGGCAAAGGGGCCAAAGAAAACAACCAGAGTAAGGAAATGGGTTCAGAAGGGGTTTATCCTGCACTAAGAGGAGACCTTGTAAACTAGTTAAGATTATCATCCTGTGAATAAGGTGAATAATCACTATTATTACCACAGTACATTGCCATTGACAGTGATACTTAGGGCAATACTACAGAGCTCTCCTCTTCAATGCTGCTTAGACTGAGGAGGTGGGTAAAGCACGCAGTCTCAGAACCTGGAGGGGAGTCATCTTGCATCCCCACTCTTCACAAATACCACCCTCTTTTGTGTCTCACTCCTTCCCTCCTAAACCATTCACTAGCCCATCAGCTACAGAAGGGAGAGGGGATCAGGTGAGGGATGGGGTCAACAGTAGAGAAATCCAAACATGGATACTGCCCTTGTGACCCCAAAGCTCTGGCTCACCCTAGAACCCATGACCCTTGACAAGATTCTTTCTTCCAAAGGAGGCCACAATCCCCAAGCTGCCACCCATGCTGGAAAGCAGAGAAGACTGGCCCCAAAATCGGTTTCAGGATAGATGGAGACCAGGCAGGCTGGATGGCAGCTTCTGGCTCTAAAGAGTGAAGGCCCTGTCCCCAAAAGGTGGAGCTGGGAGCAAACAGAGGGAAAAAGCTGGACAAAAAGACCTGGAGACAACTCCTTCCACCAGGCTGGTCTTCAGAGGATCACTGGGAAGAACCCAGGGAAGGAACAGAGACCAGCAGTGACAGATAGGCTTTCAGGGGAAGAGAAGAGGAAGAGTGCAAACAGGGAGGCTCTGGGAACTGGGAGAGAAAAGGGAGAGACTACACCCAAAGAGACAGAGCAGTGGCGAGAAGAAAGAGATGTCATGCCTGGAGGTTGCCAGAAAGCCCCGCTGGACCACCCTGTCTGCACCCCCCGTCCCCAAAACCTTAAATGCTAAGCAACGTCCAAGAAAACAACTTGTTAATATGGGGGGAGAGCGGTGAGGGAGAAAGTTTCCAGGAAGTAGGGAGTTACCTGACTGCCTTTCACCATCACAGGGGGAGCTGGTGACACTCGCGGCCAAGGATGGAGATGCTCGGAAAACACTGGGCAATAGTATGGAGCCGCGTGAGCCAGGCACACCCTTTCATGATCTCCTTCAAACACGAAACAGCAAAGCCCACACACCGCCCGGCTCCTCGCCGCTTCCATCCTCAGGTGCTAGCCCACATGTGGGTGCGAATGAGAACACACGCGGCGTGGGCGCGCTCGGGGTCAACAGCAGTGGAGAGGTGGGTGGGTGTAGGTGAGCGGCGGAGGAGGGAGGGAGAGAGGAAGAAGGGGACCTACAGAGGGGGAACCAGAGGGGCGCGCTGGGCTTCACATCTGCACCGCCGCCCCCACCCGCCACCTGGAGCGCGCCGCCCAGGGCAGGGGCGCCTGGACGAGAGTGGACGCCGGGCAGCGCGAGGGCGCCCCAGGGGCGGCCGTGGGCGCCGGGCTCTGCCGGCGCAGGGTGCGCGCGCGCGCGCTCCCAGCCGCGCCCCGAGCCGGGCGAGGGACCCCGGGCCTCTGGGCTCCGCGGCGCCGGCGCCCTCTGCCCCCCGCGCGGCTGGCCAGGCAGCCGGGCTCTCCAGGCGGACGCGAGAAAGCGAGGCGGCGGCAGCCACTTGGGGAACTTTTCCCCCCTCGCCTGGAATTTCACAGGAAACACATGCTCTGGAGAAGCTGGGGCCCGGAGGGGGAGGGGCGGGAATTTTCCGCTCCGTCTCGCGCGGCGGTTCGGGCCCCGGTCCCGCCGGGCTCCCGGGCGCTCCGACGAGGCGGAGGCGCCCCTCGCGGACGCGGCCCCGGGCCACTCCGCAGGGACCGGCCCCGGGGCCGCGGGGAGCGCGGGTAGGGCAGGAACCCGGTGGAAAAGGCAGGGAGCCCCGGCGAGGCGGCGGGGTCCAGCCTTACCTTGGTGGTTTTCCTCTGGAATGTACATCCTCGTATTCTCATTGACCATGGACCAAAAATGGTTTTAATAGGAGGAGCAGCCACGAAGAGGAAGAAATGTGAAAACACCCCCCGGCGGGTCTGGATTAATCCCTCCTCCGAGGCCGGCGGCTTTCGCGCAAGATTCGAGGAAGCCGTGGTCTGCAGCGTTTCTTCTTCCCCGCCGACGATTACCTGATTCCCATTATGGCATCAAACCCCAAAAACTGCTCCTTTCCACTACTGCCTCCTCGAGTGAAACTGTAACGCATCCTCAGTACATCCGGGCCCCTTCCAAGAACTGAGCACCGCACCTCCGGCGGCTACACCATTTGAAAAAATAAATCGGGAGAGGCAGGGCGAGAAGAGGCGGAGAGGAGGGGCGGGGGGCGCGCGGGGCCCGCCTGGGCCGGCAGGGGCCGAGGCGCCTCTGCCCACTCCCAGCGAGTCCTCCTGAGGCCCCTGCCCGGCTCTCTGCTGTCAAAGGGAGCCGGCAACTCCTGGGCGCGGAGGCAGGAAGAGCCGCCGCCGCCGCTCCGGGCCCGCCGCGCCGCGCCGAGCGCCGCTCTGGCAGGAGCTGTTTCTGCAGAGGCAGCGAGAGGGAGACACCGGGCGCGCGAGAGCGCCGCGCTCACTCCCCCCGGCCCAGCCCCGCCGCGCCCGCGCCCGCCCCTGCCCGCGCCGCCCGCCCGCCCGCCCGGCGCGCCGGAGGCAGACGCGCTGAACGCTTCCAGATGTGGCTGCGGCGGCGCGCAGGGAGCCGGGCGCACGGCGCGGGGCGCACGGCGGCGGACTGGAGCCCGAAGTCGGGCCCCCTCCCGGCGCCCGCGGCAGCGCCGCCCGAGCGAGCCCTCCGCCCGCATGACGTCAAAGGGAGCGGGCCCCGGCCGCCGGCGGGCGAGGGGCGGCGTGAGGAGCCCCCGGGGAGGCCGGGGCGCGCGGCGCACCCGGGCGCCAGCCGCGGTGGCCGCGGTGGCCGCGGCGCGGACACACCCCCTCGCGCCCCGCCGGCGGCGTCGCGCCCCCCGCGCCGGCCTGCAGCCCCCCGCCCGCGTTCTCTCCTCCGCTGCGGCGGCGCGTCCCTGCTGGGCCGGCCACGCCGGGAAGGCCTCTGTGAGCGGAATTCCAAGGAGGAGGAATACAATTTGCCCGACTACCAGAGTCTCGTTTCGGATCGGGCCACTGAACAAAACGGCAAGATGAGCCGTGATTCCGTGATTCTGTTTGATCAATTATAATCAGAGCGGTTGTAGAAGTGACAGATAGAGGAGGGGAGGGGAAGCGGGAGGGGCAGCGAGGCGGAGCCTGGTAGGCGAGGCAGCGGTGCCCAGATGTCTGAACAGATTCCTAGACCCAGGTTTAATAATTCCTTGGAGGCAGCCGAGCACGTGTTCTACTAGGATATCCTTACCTACTTCTCTTAATTATTTCTGCAACTCCGGCAGGAATCTATCCAGCACCTCTCCTTCCCGGAGAAGCAAACACTTCCCTCCATCACTCCCTGCAACCACAGCAAGTTCCACGGCACCCCCTGCAGGACCGGGCTCCCCTCCAGTGGGGCTTCGTGATCCCTTTCAGGGGGGCCTACAACTCCCTCTTGGGGAAAACCTCTACCTGCCTCCACATAAGACCTCCTCGCCTCCACATCCACCCTCATTCCCTGGGTGACCCTAACCATTCCCGTGGCTTTCAGCAGCTGTCTATATCAAATGTCTATCTCCAGCCCAGACCTCTCTCCTGAATTCCAGACTACAGCTGACTCCGTCTGATAGACATTTCAAGCCTAATACATCCAAACACTGGATTCCTGATCTCTTCAAAGCCTGCTCCTCCTCACACAGCCTTCCCCATCGCAGTCGATGACCATCCCATACTTCTAGTTGCTCAGTTCAAAATCCTGGAGTCACTCTTGACTCCTTTCTCTCATCATTCCACGTCTAGTCCATCAGGAGATCCTGTTGACCCTACCTTCAGGTGAATTCAGAACCTGACCACTTCTCATTTCCTGCACTGCCACCACCTGGGGCTGAACCAGCATCCTTCACCCAGGTTTCTCCTGTGGCTGATCCCCCTGGTCTACCTTCCCTCTCCCCTCTGGTATTTTCTCAATACAGCAGTCGGAGTAACCCATTTAAAACATCACATCCCAGCACTCCTCTGCTCAAAACCATCCATGGTTACCCATTTCACTTAGTAAAAGCCATGGTCCTTGTGGTGACCTACAGGAATGGCTGAGTACAAATCCCCTTACATCATCTCCTACTGCTGTCCCCCTCACTCGGGATACACTAGCCTCCTGGCTGGGCCCCAGACACTCCAGGAATGACCCCTCAACACACACGCACATTGTAAGGCCTTTGCTCTAGCTATTCCCACTGCCTGAAACACAAACTCCCTCGGCTTCTTCAAGGCTTTCCGCAAATCTCACCTGTTCAGTGAGGCTCACCAGGACCTCATCCTGATTCAGTACTGACAGACCCCCACAGCGCTCCCTATCTCCCCTTACTCTTACTGAAATCCTGTCTAACATACTATATAGTTTACTTATTCATTAACTTTATTGCTTATTGTCTGTATCCCCCCACTAAAATGTAACCCCCATGAAGGCAGGTGTCTCATCTATTTTGTTCACCAGTGCCTAGAGCAGTATCTGGCAGATAGTAAGTACATAATATGTATTGAATAAATGAGTGAGTGCCTGAGATACTTTCAGGAGTGTTGCAATTCCCCCTATGAAAATGCATCTGTCCGTCCCTTGGTACCTGAAACCTTACCACTCCTGTTTCCTTCCTTTGTCCAGTGGTTCTGGCCCCAGTGTAAAATGCAAGTGCCCCTGGGAGAAGTATTAAGCTGTTTCGGTCATCTTCATTCTAATGTTAATAGCGATCTCAATTTTGTTGGTTACAAGAGAAATCTGGCCTCTTTGCCATTCTGGTGTGTTCATACTCAATTTTCAACTTAATAGAGAAAATTAGAAATGACACAAATTCAAATATTTCGCATTTACTTTAGGATGCATTATAGGCCTGTGTTTCAGAGGCTGCTGTAGCTGATAATTTGTTTAAATGAATAGTAAAATTGGTTTGCATCCCCTTTACACACAAGTGCAGGAATAATAATAATAGCTAACACTACTGAGTGCTCTGTGCCAGGTACTGTGATAGGCCCTTTACAGCCTTTATCTTATTTAATCCTCACTGCGATCCAATAAGCTATGTGTTATCGTCATGATTATCCCCATTTTACAGATATGGAAACTGAGACTTCGAGACTTGAATTACAATGTCCAGGGTCACCCAGCTGAGTAAATGTGGAGCCTGGACTTAGCCCAGGCATATCTGACACCAAACTCAGTCTCTACTATTATCTTACTCATTCTTCTGAGGGGTGAAGTGTGGGTGAGCTGGTGGGGGCAGGGCTGCAGGGAGATGAACAGGGTGAAATGATTGCAAAATATGCTGCAGATAATTCACAAAGAGCCAAGTCACTGGGAACAGAGTGTATGTGTGTTAGGGGGTCACGTGCAGGATTTATAGCCCAGCTTTTCTAAAGGTAGGCACTGTATAAATCTAGCAAGTAAATATTACCTCCACGCTTCTTTAGTTTCATTTTTCACTTCTCTTTTCAGCTGTGAAATGTGTTCTTTCCTTTCCAGAAAAAGGTATTTCCTAAATATTTGGTCTTGCAGTATACGCCCATATCCCAGCTTTTAACTTTGGAACACAGCCCTGGGTGTGCTCTTTCGAGGTAACAAATTCTCAACATGACAAAAGGAGACCATTGTGAATTCCGATTTGGGGATTTGGGAGGTGGTGGGAGCAGAGGAGGGAGTCTGCATTTCTCTGTCATTGAATGATTTGATTCTCCAGCTAAAGAATCTCCCATAGGTCTTCATGTGTGCCCTCTTTCTGCATAGTATTTTGCTTATATTTGCATGAGCCTTTTTCTCTCCTCTTCCTTACTACATTTTAGGTGTCTTCAAGAAGAGAACTGTGTTTATTCTTTGTGCATAACATAATGCCTTGTACATATGGACACTCAATTTGTGTTGAGTGCATGATTCACTCTGGAAAAGATTTTTAAATGTGACCACAGATATTTTCTTTGGAAGCAATTAAGAGTGCACTGAATTTGTTAATTACAGTATATTTGTAAGAGTGAAAACCTGGAAATGAACTAAATATTCAACAAAAATGTTGGTTAAATAATAACACTGAGAGATTATTCTAAGTGCCTCACATACATAAAGTCATTTGCTCCTCCAAACAACCCTGTGAAGGAATTGCTTTTATCCACATTTTACCGGTGAGGAAACCAAAGCACAGAAACGTTTACTCACTTGCCCATGTTTCACAGCCAGTTGATGTTGAAAGACCTGGGATTTGAACCCTAGCAGTCTTCAGAGCCTACGCTCTTAACCACCGCATAGATGAACTAGAGTGCATTCATACAGTTAAATTCTACATAGACATGAACAATATTAAGGAAGAATATTAGTAACGTGGAAAAAGATGATTTACATTAAAAGAAAAACAAGTCACGAAAATATTACAGGCACTATGATTTCATTTTCCTTTTAAAGTCAGGTTTATATTTGAACTAGGGAAAAGACTAAATAGGGTTCACACCAAAATGTTGACAGTATCCTCAATCTGGGGCAGGTGGGGAAAAAAAGTGTTGACAGTAGCTGTCTTTGGGAGGTGGGATTACACGTAAATGTTTCTTCTTCTTCTTCTTCTTCCCTGTCTGGTCCAAGGCTTGAAAAGCCAGGTTGCCAAGCAGGCTCTTCCTCTTCCCTTAGCACACACACACCTCTTGACACAGAGCCCTCCCCCCACTGCCTAGCCAGGGACAACACTGCTAATCAATCTCTTCAGAATAAGTCTCCCATCAAGTCTGCAAGGTGTCCCTTCTATTTCTCTCCCTCTGCCCACCACAACAGCCACTCAGCACTAAATGCTGCCACCCACCTGCAAAAATTACCTGTGCAGTGTTTCCAGCCCAAATGCATTGCATTGTCCTCATTGCAATCCAAGCTGCCTGGTTGAAGTGTCAGCCACTCTGTGTTGGTCGTAGAGAGCTAGGAGCACCAAGATGATGGGTAAATCTTAACAGTGACCTTTTGGGAAGATGTTTCATCCTTAATTTCTAATCCACATAATTGCCTGTATATAAGGGTGGGCATTTCAAACCAGGTAAAGTTGATTAGCAAGCCAGAGTAGGAAGAGTGGAGTCAGAAAGCCCAGCTTAAATGTGCCTTCTGACACCTTACCTTCTTTATCTCCACATAGGGCCACGCACAACCGTTCCTTCTCAAAGGCCAGCGATGGGAACATCAGTGTGGTGGTTTTGCATTAGGTCAACTTCACTAAGCTGGAACCTATTTCCCAGAATTGCCTTCCTTATGTGGTTCTGCGTTAAGGTTGTCCACAACAGGTATTTGTGGAGCCTCTGGAAGGTGGACATGAAGCAGCAGCATGCGCTCATTGTCACCGAATTGCTGGCTCACCCTGATGGTGGAGCCCACAGCTCCTCCAGCTCCTGCTAGATCTCCTCCTTCAGCTACTCTGAGGCCTGGGCAAAGTACGTGTCCAGCTCTGTAGTCAAGATTCCAGCTTTATGTTTCATGGTCGAGATCGGAAGTGGTGAAAGGCAAACAAGGGTTTTATTTGTCCTTGTGGGCTCCACTTTGGCCTCACTCTCTCCCACATCATGTCCTGCTTTCCTCCGGCCTTTTGGCATTACGGCAACTTCACACCCATCCTCAGATGCAGAGGCAGCAGCCTTCTAGAGATTCTTCACCAGCTTCCACAACTGGATAAGGTCTAATCTCTGCAATCAATCCCTTCCTCCACATCACTCACGGTGGTACCACTTCCCTGACCAAAGCTGGCTGATGCAACAGTGTAGTGCTCCCACCTGTGACCAGGTTACTTGTTTAGATATTTTTATGGGTAAATAGTGCCTGGCACATAGTTGCCCTCAATATATATGTTTGTTGAATTCATACTAATTATCATCATTTAATATGCCTGGTGAGTATCAGGTGCTATGATAGGCACTTTAAATACAGCGAAGAGCCTGGTCTTTGGAGACAGGCCAGACACAGAGCCAGGTTCTGCCTGCTATGAGCTATGGGCATGTGGACACCTGGCTTTACCTCTTAACACCCAGTTTTTACAATATGAAGCTAATAATGGTACCTACCTCCATAGGGTGGTTGTGAGAATGAAATGAAATAGTCCAAGTAAAGTGTGTGGGGTGCACAGTGTGCTCATTTAATGTTAGCTGTTATCATCCTTCACCCCTGTGAAAAAGATTTGTTGAGTATCTACTATGTGCCCTGAATTCACCACAGCCCTGCCAAAGAGACTTACCACCATTGTACAGGTGCAAAACAGTAGCTAAGAGGTTAACTTTCTTGCGGAAGATTGCTTTGTCAGCAAATTATAGAATCAGGATTTGAACCCAAGTCTACACAAACCCAGAGGCCGTGCACTGGCCGCTACTGTGGGCAACATTTCAGGCACTAGAACTAGAATGGAGGAGAGAAGAAGGCTTTGGGGGAAATCCCCCAACCCACGGTTCAGAGAGCAAAGCTGAAGAGGGTGCAGAATGGCCTTTCTCCTTCTTTTGGAAGACCCATAATAACGCTGAGGCCTTCACAACTTATGTTAGTATTTAAAAACCTCTGCTGGCAGAGTTCTCCCTTCCATCACATCTCCATCTTTCCTCCTGTCTGTTTATCTAGAAGCCATAGGATGGACCAGATCCCACCTAACCCACTGGGCTGTTATACACTACACTTAGGGAAAACTCTCCTGGCAGCTCAGCCCCAGCGTCCGTCCCAAGGGGAAGCCAGAGTACTCGGAGTGTGAGGAGAATTCAAGCTTATTCTACAGCAGCCTAAGTTGTTAGGATAACAAGGTGTGGTAACATGACTAACATGACTAGCCTTGTGATTTTCAGCAATGCTTAGCCCCCAAAGACAGAACGCAGCGAGGTTATTTATGGCCTGATCCTGGGGACTGGCTCTCCCGGTGGGAGAATTCATCTACCATGTGTGAATTCAAATGATGGCCCTCTACCTCAGCAAGCCAGTGGTGCATGCTAATTATGTAACTATCTTGGACTTCTGTTTGCTCATCTGCAAAATGGGAATGTGTGGCCTCATCTCCTGAGGCTCTTTGGAAAGAGAAGTTGATACCAAGGGAAGCGCTCAGTCACCAAAGCTGTACCTTCATTACTTGTTAAGGCCCTGAGAAAGTTTGTTTCATCTGGGTGACCTGCTGACCCCCAGAAGGAACCACATAGTCAAGGCTCAGACCTATCCACTATTGTGTCCACTTTTTTAGGTGCTCAAAGGCCTTCACAAAGTGCGAGCCGTTCCCACATGTATTCAGTTTTTGCCATAGCAAATTACCACTAGCTGGGTGTTTTAAAACAACAGCAATTTATTCTCTCACAGTTTTGAGGCCAGAAGTTGAAAATCCAGCAGGGTGTGCTGCCTGCAGTGGCTCTCAGGGAGAACCCCTTCTTTGTCCCTTTCCAACTTCTGCTGGCTGGCAGCATTCCTTGACTTGTGGCCACATCACACTGTCTCCATGGTCACCTTGCCTCCTCATCTTCTGGCAGTCAGATCTCCTTCTGCTTGGCTTTTACAAGGACACCTGTCATTGGAATTAGGGCTCCCCAGATAATCCCAGACGATGTCTTCATCTCAAAATTCTTAAGTTAATTACATCTGCAAAGACCCTTTTTCCTGATAAGCTAACACTGACACTCTCTGGGGATTAGGACATGGACTTACATTCTGAGCGGCTGCTATTCAACCCACTGCGCTACCCTAACCTACAGGAATGTTTCTTCACCCATTTTCACTTGAATCTCAAGTCCAACATTTGCTAATTCCTGAAACTTTAGCAACCTCTTTCTCTCACTGAGGCTCAGTTTCTTCACTTATAATACAGAAGTTATTGCCATATGTTAGAGCTTAAGTGAGTGGTGACGAAGGTGCTGCACTATGGAGGATGCTTCTTCCCACAGAACTTGGTCTTACACTTAAACAATCCTTTCAGTCAATCACCCTCGGCTATTTAATTAGAGAAATTGAATGCTTGGAGAGGTTCAGTAACCTGGCCAAGCCAACTCAGCTGGGTAGAAGTGGACCTGGCTTTAAACCCCAAAGACCATTCTGATCCTCAACCTCCCTAACCCCTTTACCTTCTTAACTGTTCCAGGCCAGTTCAAACGTATTCAATGGAGCTAGATAGAAAATGTCTTCTCAAAGGAAGCTGAAAAGTGTTCTTTTCAGTAGGGCTTTCAGAACCTTCCTCTTCTAATTAGCTTTATAAATGTTCTCTCTTCTCTTTTTACCCTTCTGTGAATGCATTCTAAGTTCTCTGTCATTTTCAAAACACGGTCCTAAGAGTAAACACATTTATTTGGCCATCAGAAATCAGCCATCAACCCTCATTCTATTCACAGTCCCCCTACTAATATAACTCTTGGCAAACTCACCTTTCCTTCCATATTTCAGCTGGCATTCAATCTGTAATGTCTTCTCTCTCTGACCCCTGGTTCTTCTCCCTCTCACCCAAGGATGAATAATAAATGACGGCTCAGTTTGTATTTGCATTCTGGATTATTCCTTCCCAAATGGTCACTTTGCTTGCATCTCTCTTAGAATTCCACACATTAATTTCCAGCTTGCTTTCCTACAGTATCAGAAGTCATGCGAGACTAGGGTTATGCAGCCAGGAACATTTCTGGTTCCTAGTCTTACACAGGTCAGGTAACCCTTTCCTTGATATGACATTTGGGACCAGGCCACCTCAATAGACAAAAAGGGATATTTGTTCCCTGAAACCTCTTTTTTAAAGATGATGCACTCTTGTAATTGTAGATTCCAAGGATCTTTTATAGGGATACCCTTGGGTCAACCTGCAGCGGTCCCATCCCTGAAATCTAAAAGAATATAGATAACACTGATAGGAATAATTCCAAATATTTACATTCCTGGAACGGTAAACCTCAATGCCATATAACTAATTAACACTTGGCTAGTTCACTCTAAGTTGTTGATTCGGCCATTTTCCAAGTACCTGGGGGCGGGGAAGTTACAACTAATCACCACCGCCCTGCTAGAGAGGTCATTGCTCCATAATACATCTAGAAATAGGCAAAGTCACGAGGGCAACCAAAGGGATATCTTCTCAGTAGTGACTCTCATGAACTTGCCGAATGACTTCCACTTAGTGGCCAAGTGGAGCCTGGTGGAAACAAGAGCTGGGCAGAGTTGTCAAGTATGGCAGGACACTTCCAGTCATGTATTCGTATGACCCAGCTGAAGTACCTCTGCCAGCTAGATAGGTCTTCCTTCAGTCAAAGTCATACTTGAAGGTAAGTTTCAATCTCCCAAGGTTTACATTTTTGCCTCTTTACATAGCAGATTCAAATTTTCTGCCTTTGTCATGTTCGGTCCTGCTTACATAATGATTTTTTGTGATGAATATAACCCCATTATTTTATTATTAATCACTAACTCTTGGTAATCATTTTTTTAACCAATGACCAATTGACCAATGCCACCCATATCAACTTCTACTATAGTTTAGTTAGCAAGAATATTCTGTTTTTGGCCGGGCGCGGTGGCTCACGCCTGTAATCCCAGCACTTTGGGAGGCCGAGGCGGGTGGATCATGAGGTCAGGAGATCGAGACCATCCTGGCTAACAAGGTGAAACCCCGTCTCTACTAAAAATACAAAAAATTAGCCGGGCGCAATGGCGGGCGCCTGTAGTCCCAGCTACTGGGGAGGCTGAGGCAGGAGAATGGCGTGAACCCGGGAAGCGGAGCTTGCAGTGAGCCGAGATTGCGCCACTGCAGTCCGCAGTCCGGCCTGGGCGACAGAGCGAGACTCTGTCTCAAAAAAAAAAAAAAAAAAAAAAAAGAATATTCTGTTTTCTTCTCCTCTGGGGCACATGGCAGAGTGAGCTTCTCAGCCATTCTGCATTTGGACACAACTATTGGACTAGTCCTGACGAATGAAATGTAAGCAGAAGTGACTGTGTCACCTCCAGGTTGAGGAGATGGAAGACCTGTTTCAATTCTTCTGTCTCTCCCCTCTCCTGCCACATTATCCAGATGGTACAGCTGCAAGATAGAGAAGCATCCATCAACCCTGAGTCCCTGAGTGACTTTGTGAACCAGAACCTCTCACTAGCCCCCTCTGGATATAGTATGATCAAGAAATAGATTTGTATTATATTAAGCTCCAGGAATGTGGAAAATATTACCATAGTATGTTAACTATCTTGACTAACAGGCTGGAATAAATCAACAACCGCATGTGTGTGAACCATGTGTGGTTAGGGATTTGCCAAGTTCTGATGCATTGAATTGACTTCTGTTCCAATCAGCATAATATCAGTCAATGATTCTAATTCATAGGAGGGCAGGCTGTAACCATAATGATCTTGCGATGAAGTAATATTGCAATCATTTATAATTTATGTAGCACATAATAGTTCTATTTGTTCCAGATAAACGGGTGACAGTGTCTATTGCAACTGATTATCCAGATGAAACACCCCAAAACACGTCTTCCTCTTAAAGTACAGGCATATTTCTCAAAGTACAGGCATATTTATGCTTGTATTTATATTGAATAGCTTATGCAAACTATTCTTATGTGGATGAATCAAGAACATGCTAACAATTTCCCAAGTGGCCTTCGAAAGTGATTGGAGTAGTGTAGGACATCTTGAAACTTGTGTACAAGTCATGATTTAATAGAATTCATTTCCAGACCCTCAACTTTCATATGTGCTCAGTCTTCACGTTCACCGGAGGACAACCCGGGGCAGAGCCTGGAGCCCACCTGCCGCTTCTCCTGTCTCTCAAAGGGGCATCCTTATCCTACACTTCAGCAGAGAAGCACACCTGTCATTCACCCTGCATCCTTCCAGGTCCATATCCCTGTGGTGTGAATGCCCCCAGGACACCAAACAAGGAAATCTAGGAAATACTGGTGCCCAGACAAGGAGACATTTGAAATACAGGTGTCTAGAAAGCCTCTTGAATCGGACAACATATCCCTTCGATCATGTAAAATATATTATTTCTGGTACATTTTATATTAAGAATTACCTCGAAAAGCTCATAATGTAAATATGTTGTTTTGCTCAGTTGTACATTAATAGTATCTGTGATGAAAATTCAATCCAAAAGAAGCGTATAACACAAAGCCTTATGTTTATAAAATTTTTAAATTTTAAATTTTAATTTATAAGCCTCTTTTTGTTGCAGAGTAATATGGTAGCGTGATCAGTAAAAGACTTTCCAGCATAAAAATATATCGTATTAGGGTAAAATTTTAAGAAGGAAATGGAATGTAAATATGTATCCAAGGAGAAAAAGAAATGATGAAAAATCTTTGACTGTTAAAAACAGGGCTTTTATATATCTTTGAATACATAATAGAAGGTATCAAATAGCTGCAGTGTTTATATTTTATTGGAAACTTTAAAAGAGTAATGCAACAATTTTATGTTAAACTGTCAAGATTTATAAAGCACCAGAAATTGCATCATTTACAACCATTTAAAATTATCATGAAACTTTTGGGATGTCAACTTGAAAACGCATGATGAGGCACAGACTTTTTCACAACTCTTTTGGGGGGATCTGCAAGCAAAGCACTGTGGAGGCCCTGGGTCAGCACAGGCTGCAGCCCCGTAAGGTCCTGGCTCGGCAGCCCCGGCCACTGAACGTTGGTTCAGGCTGCTGCTCTTCACAGGGAAGGCCAGGGCTACAGACCTTGGCAGATAAGTAAATGTTCATAAAACAAATGAACATCTCTGCTTTCTCATTCTCACTCTGTCTTCTATCCCCAACATGATCTTGAACAAGATGCCTCCCTTCTTGGGGTTTGTAGTCTTCTTGAGATTCTTGGAGAAAGCAAGCAAGGTGTCCTGTGGTCACATTATCCCAGCGGATATCAAGAATACCCTTAGCGGGCCGGGCGCAGTGGCTCATGCCTGTAATCCCAGCACTTTGGGAGGCCGAGGCGGGCAGATCACGAGGTCAGGAGATCGAGACCATCCTGGCGAACATGGTGAAACCCCGTCTCTACTAAAAATACAAAAAATTAGCCGGACGCGGTGGCAAGCGCCTGTAGTCCCAGCTACTCGGGAGGCTGAGGCGGGAGAATGGCATGAACCTGGGAGGCAGAGCTTGCAGTGAGCCAAGACAGCGCCACTGCACTCTGGCCTGGGCGAAACAGCAAGACTCCGTCTCAAAAAAAAAAAAAAAAAAAAAAAAGAATACCCTTAGCATCACTGTGACCCACACACCCCTAAGCAGTCTTTTTCAACCCAGATTGTTTGGATTTTATTCCACAACAGAGTCACTCAATTTTAAGTATGTTTTTAACCCAGAAAGGCCAAACAGAGCAGGCACTAGGACTTCACTGCCTATTTCTACCCTTTCAATGTTTGAGATGGAATTTTTCTCAGCCTCAGAAGAAATACTTTCAGTTCTGGCCTTCAATCAGGATTTATTGGACAGATCTGATTCTGCTGTATTTTCATTTACAGCCTAGAAGACAAAAGTGTCAGGTATTAGAAAGAACTCTGAGTTTAAAGCTTGTATCTATTACCACTTGGCTGTGTAACTTTAGCCAGGTCTCTTAATGTTCTTTGAGTATCAGTTCCCTCAACCATAAACCAAGGAACTTTCAAGGAATGGATTCTGAGTACAAAGTGAAATGTTAGTATGAAAAAGCTTGTCAAGGAAAAGTATAGACATAGCAGGGTACTTATTACCACAAAGATGGAATTTTCTGTCATCTTTGACAATCCATTGAAGCACCCAATAATCTTTCTTGGTCCAACCTGAATATCATTAACCACAATTCCAACCATTTTCTTTTTGTCTTTTATTCCTCTTTGGAAAAAGAGACTAGTTGGTCACCATCTCTTATGTAAGAATTAATTGTCTATTTGAAAAGAGGATGCTTAAAACCAGTTCTTCAGAAGTGAAAGTCAAGGTATTCGACATCTCCACATCACCCAGCCTACCGCTTAGACTTTGATAACAAAATTCTCTCACATTTCTTATAAAAGTCTAATTAAATCTCAACAATTTTATCCATGTAACCATTTTCTGCTTGAAAATTTCCCTTAAAACTCTGAAAGTAAATCCTATAGGGGAGGTAGTTAGATCAGCTACATTATTTGCTGTCACTTCTATGCATTTAGTGAAGGCTCACCAAGATGGATGTTCTGCAGAGAGCAGTTCAATGTTAAAAGAGTTTGGGAAGCACAGAGCTAAGAACATTTCCTATCACACAAAGACCTCATTTAAGCCATCTTTGATAGTTTCTACAATACCCAAATCATGAATGTTAAAAACAGAAACAAACGAACAAAAAAAAAATAGATGGAGTTTTGCTGTCCATCCTCAAAGTCTTAACTCTCTCCCTGCTGAAGTCATGGGTGTGCCACAGCTGGGTAGAAAAGTACCTGGATGGGAAAGCAAGTTGAATGAAGAGGTGATGACTTGAAAGAAAAATCTAGTGCCGTCAGGCTTTCCATGGCATCCAAGTAGATGCATTGGTCTCTGCCATCCTCCATCTCCTCTTTGCATAAATCCTACCCCCATCCCCATCTCCAGAAGCACTCTCTCTACATATATAGGCAGCCAACACTGACATGATGCCCCACAGGAACCCAAGAACTGTAATCCCAGCTCAGGCACAGGGATGCTCACCCCTATGGCCCAATGGTCCAAAATCATCCCTTATTCCTTCTCCCCTCCCACACCCAAACTGCAGACCTCCATCCTTTGCATCTGTGTGCAAACTCCTACTCATCCTTTAAGACTCAGCTCAAGAGTCCCGGGTCAAGTTCTTCTTCCTCTGTGTTCCCATAGAGCCTACCGCTATCTCTATCAAAGCACTAGTTATATTGCTGTAGTTATTTGTTTACCTCCTGTATTCCCAACTAGACTCTCAACATCTCAAGGGCAAGAACGATGTTGTACTTACCTTTGAATTTCCTTTACCAAGAATAGTACTTGGCTCACAGTAAGTGCTTAATAAACATCTGATGAATAAATGAATGATTGCTCTATCTATCCTGTTGGTGGTAGAGAATTAATCCAAAAAATATATTGCTAATGGTGCAATTTCAGGCATATTACAGGCTGGTAAAAGAGAAATTTTGAAACCAAGAGACCTGCCCTACTTCTATCAATCATCTCATAAAAGTATCTACATGAAAGGCTGCTCTTGAGCTGGTAGCTAATGTTCCTGGAAAAACTCCCTGGCAGGTTACCCAGGGAGATTAGTTTAAAGGGAGGTTGTTACACTTGTCCTCTCATCATTGTTTAGTGAGTTACTTAGCCAAAAAGATCCTCTACCAGGGGATTGGAACTCTGCATGAAAGTTTCAGCTCTTATTTGTCTATTAAAAGGCCCATGTTATTTGCAAAGGGCTGTCTGTTGGCCTCATAGACCAATATTCACAGCACCTGTCTTTTGCAATTTCCTACCTATGGACATTGTGTTTACTTATATAACATTTGCAATCCTTGCATTTAACAGTGTCCCATTTGTAACACCTGGATTTATCAATTTCCACTTCCCAGCATCTGTCTTTTACAGGCTTTTTTTTTTGACAAAATTTATGTTAAGGGATTTCACCTGTCAACATACCTGGGCACAGGACAGTCAGGGTGTTGCTGTAATATTGGAGTGAATTGCTAGGAAGTGACTTGCATGGGGAAAAAAACATCAGGTCAAGCAATAAAAAGGAGAAATACCATGTAAGCCAGATTTATTTCTACAATAACTGGAAATTAAAAGGAGAAACAGTTGTCACATGTCAAAGCTGCCCGGCAAAACTAGCACCCTATTAAGCATGGGTTCAGCTATCTCCAGAAATAGTTCCTGAATCATATCTCAACAATTCTCTTCTTTTATGTTTCTTTGACTTATCAAAAACTCTCCTAAAATCCATTCCTTATTTTGAAAACTGGACTCTGTATCTTAAGTGGCCAAACATAGCAAAATAATAAAGATAAGAAAGAAGTATCTGAGAAGCAGCACTAAGAATTCAGTGTCTGTGAGCAATAATGAGGGCTTACTGAGCTGGGAAGTTTTGGGGGTCACCCAAAGCTTGGGGGTCCAGTCTGTTACATAGTCGGATTAAGTAGTCACCCACATAGCATCCTATTAGTGATTATAAAAGTCACCCTATCCCCAGATATCTGCAATCTCTGTCAGAGTGCCACCGTGACTCGAATTCTATGAAAGGAAATATAATCTTTAGGTTAAACAGTGATTCATTAAGTACCCTATTTTAGAGTGCAATATCCATATGAGAAAGAACCCTGCAAATCCTAAGTCACTAACAGCTTCATAGGAATTATTTAATCATGTCTCTTTTCTCCAGTATGTCAGGGACCTGGGCTATGTTGAGTGCACAGTCTTCGTCAGTAGGGTTTTGTCTGGGTGCTTTTGGGAGGGAGTGAAGGGAAATGCAGAGAAAAGGAAGCTTTAATGAGAGAAAAGAATATTGAAAATAGAGTCGGTGGTCCCGAAGAGAAGCCTCACCTGCTTTACAACGTTGCCTAGAACAATACACTCGAAATCCACCAAGAAGGACTCTGTTTTCCAGTGGGCTAGACCAGGGGGCCTCAAACTTAAATGTGCATAAGAATCCCCTGGGGTTATTTTTAAAATACAGATTCTGATTCAGTAGATCTGGGTAGAGCCTGAGATTCTGGATTTCTTATAAGCTTCCAGGTGAGGCTGATGCTGCTCTACCCCAGACCATGCTCTGAGAAGTGAGGGTTATATAGAAGGCACAAGTATCTTCAGAACTTCGTGCTGTTCCTCCAGTGGGACACAATTACAATCCTGAGCTGATGGAAACCCTTCCATGACTGGTACGATGGTGGAAACCAGTTCTGCAGTGCACCCCTGCCTGACCTGCACAAAGTGGGGAACACGTCCCTTCCCAGGAGACTTGCATCTGAGTTGGGACCATTCTGACCCTTTTCTCCCCTTCAGAGGCCCAAGGACATTTTTGGTGTACCCAATGCCTTTTAACAATTTCAAGACCAAGTGGGGCCCGAAGATACTTTAACTCACAGCTAACTCTGAAATAATAATACAAGAATTGCTGTTAGCGGACAGTGAGCCCAATGCAGTGTTTGATGATACCAGTAATAAAGGCAAGAGAAATCCTACAATCTCACATTTACATGTGCAGAAGATTAAAATTCCTCCCATGCCTACCAAACAAGGAAGTCTTTATTTCTGTCTCAAACAACTTGAGGAGGTAAGAGAATACAAGTAAATAGCAGATTACTCCGTCTCATGATGTGATCCAGTCGTTGGCTGAAGCTCTGTTTACTCCTATGTATAGATGAGGCAGGATGCTCAGAGAGCTTTGGCTGGTGGAACTTTGCCTAGAATGAATCCTGCCTAAAAACTGCCCCCTAAAGCAAGGTAACTCATGCCACCTGGAGCAAGAACCAGCTCCTAAGGACATACATAGCAAAGTAAGCAGACAAGAAGGTTTTGAAAACAAGGGGAAATGAGTGAACTTGGTCTCTTGCCGCTGGTGTGGAGCCTTTGTTTTGCTGTTAGCAAACCTTCCTCCCAGGGTACCCCGAATCCTCCTGTGCTAACCCCTCCAGTGTCAAGACTAAGCAGCTACTCTGTAGCCCATTTCCTCATCTGGTCACTAAAGGGTTACCTGATAATGACTTAAGGTATAACCCTTCCTAGGGCATTTGCTTTTTAAAGATAGGAAAGGGGAGGCTGGGCGCCGTGGCTCATGCCTGTAATCCCAGCACTTTGGGAGGCCGAAGAGGGCAGATCACAAGGTCAGGGGTTCAAGGCCAGCCTGACCAACATGGTGAAACCCTGTCTCTACTAAAAAGACAAAAATTAGCCGGGCGTGGTGGCGCATGCCTGTAATCGCAGCTACTGGGGAGGCTGAGGCAGGAGAATCTCTTGAACCCGAGAGGCAGAGGTTGCAGTGAGCCAACATCGCACCTACAGCCTGTGTGACAAAGCAAGACTCTGTCTCAAAAAAAAAGATAGGAAAGGGGAGGGAGGATGAAAATCCACTGTCCCATACAACTGCCCTCTGCTGGGTGTTCATTTCTGAGCTCTCCAGAGCTAGAGGCTGGGGCAGCACCCACAAAGCCTGATTCCCCTTTTCTGTGCAATAGATGATCAGAGCGCCTACCCTGAAGTGACTTCTGGAAGGTCCAGCTGTGAGTGGCCCAGCCCACTCCACTGCTCATTCCTTCCCACGGCCCACTCAGACACTAAGGGATAGATGGCTTTCTGGACTAGGTCTACGTGGCATCATTTCAGATTTCAGCTACACGCTTTTCAATGCAACAAAGCGTTATTATTTCCACTAAGTATTGAATTGCACACGATACCAATGCAGCACTTGTCTAAAAGCTATGACATTTGAGAAGTCCTTGGGAACCATCCCTAACTCACCCTCCAACCCCATTTACCAGTAAAGAAAATAAACCCCAAAGAAGGTGTTACAAGAGATAACTTATTCACAAGACCGCAAAATTAGCACCAGAATCCTCTCCTCCCCTGAAGCAGAAGAGCCACAGCGTCTACCCTCAAGGAAAAAGACTTAAATCACAACGGTGGAGATTTAGATCCGGCATAAAGAAGAACTCGCTGGTAATGAACATGATTAAATACTAGAACAGACAGCCACAGGGAATTGTGAAATCGTCCTCCCCAGAGATATTTTAAAATAGGACAGTTAACCATCTGTCTGAGATGGTTTAAGTACCGTCCTGCCTCGGAAGTAGGAAAATAATAAGATGATCCCCTCACCTGTCGCATTTGTGGTTCTATAGGCACACCTGGCTGCAGGTGCACATATTATGGGGATCCCAGCTTGAATCTGGGCTGTGTCCCCTAGTGGCACTCAGATGAGTCCGCGCACTTACACAGCGTGGGAGGCCCACAGGGCTCTGTTGAGGTTGGGTGGGAAGGTGTCTGCACAGAAGAGGTTCGCACAGGAGATTCTGGGGAGAAAAGAAGGGAGGAGGAAGAAATGGAAATGTCTATTTCCCTGCACCCCATCACCTCCCGGCCGCTTGTAGCACCATCCTACCCACTCCCTGCCTTGCAAGCCTCATGACTGCCCCTCTTGCAGACAGAACCCAGGGGCTCCAAGAAACAGAGCCCTTCTTTGTTTCCAAATGACATCGCACATCATCCGGTAAGAGGAAAGAATGGTTTTCTCGTTTCCTTAAAACATCCAGAATGGCTCCGGCCAGGTGCAAATGACAGGAAAACGGCCTCCTTCAGGACTTGGAAGGTGGCAGTTCTGGAGCAGCAGGAGAACGTGCCTTGGCGCAGACGCCGGCGCCCCGCGGAGGGCCCGGGCACACGCGCCGGCGCAGGGGAGGCCACGCCCCCGGGCCTTGCGGTCTCCGCGCATCTCCGCGCACCAGCAGGGGGCGCCGGCACCTGAGGTGGACGACGGGGCTGTCGCGGTTGCGGCTCTGAACCGGCGTCGGCCTTTACCGTTTCCACGTGTGCCGCTTCCAGTGCCCAGACCTCCTTCTCCTCTTCACCCCCTCGCCTCGCCAGCTCCTAAGGCTTCTTCCCCTGTCCCGCAAAGTTGGATTCGGTGTCCCATAGCATCCTGTACTTTCCTAATTATATTTACACACAGAATGAAAATCACCTGTCTGCCTGTCTCTCCCCATTCCCATCTATAGATTCCTTGCACAGGGACTATCTGTTATTCACAGCTATATCTGCAGAGCCTGGCACGAAGGAGGCACTCCGAAAGGTGTTTTTTGAAGAAGTGAGTACATACATGAATGGGAAACTACGAGCTTAAATCACACTAGATGAGCCAGTTAGCCCTCGAATTATTTCAAAGTCGTCGGATATTGAACCAGCATATTACACTGGCCTTCTCTTTGAGCTGTGTGCTGGGGAAGTTTACTTTAGAGTAATAAAACAGAAAGTATTAAGAGGGACTCTTAGTATTAAATACCCACCACAGTACCCTCAACCTTAGTACCTCAGCCTCTGCCTGAGACCTCCGAGGGATGGAAATGCAGCCCCAGCTGGGCTTGTTCATCCCATCTCTGGACAACTCTGACCATGAGCAAGTTCTTTATCAGGTTGCGTGGAATCTCGTTCCTCTGACATCTTCCCTGTAGTTCTCTTTCAGTTATCTGGCATCTCACGGAGAAAGTGTACTCCCTTCCACACACCAGGGAGGCTTACAAAAAGGAACACGGCCTTGGATCTAAAAGGACTTGGATGTGGCAAAATCTTAACTTTCCCACACTAAGCATGTGAGTTTGGGCGAGTCACTGAACCGCTCTCTTCAAGCCTCAGTTTCATCATCTGTATAATAGGAATAAAGATATCCACCTCATGGGGTTGCTGTGAGGATTAAAATGAGTTAGTATGTTCCAACGGCCTAAGGTGTAGCAGATGTTAAAAATGTGGTCGTTATTATTATTAATAAATGTTGCAATACAGTTACTGTATTCTCTTCCTCCCCTCTCTACGAATCTTTGCTTCTCTAGGCCAGAACATGAGCCACTCTCCCATCCTCTTCCATGCTCCTCTGTCTTTCTCTGTCAGTGCTTCTCTCGGAACATGCTGCCAGCACTAAGCTGTCTTCGAGGGCAGTATGGCCAGGGCCAGGCAAACTCTCACCACCTCTATTTGGAATGCTAGACATCTATTCACGGTGCCTACATTTACTTTAACTTTATTGGCAGCTGCATCTGCTGAGGTTCCTGGGCATTTTGACTATGTTATTCTCACTTCTCTAGAGGGATGTTTGCTGGAGATTTGACCTGGGGAATGATTTTAAATGAGAGCGAGCTGGGATGTTGTTGTTGTTTTGTTGTTGTTGTTGTGTTGTTGTTTTCTCATGTTTTAGCATGAGGTTGCCAGAAAAACTTTGTCCTTAGGATTATACTGTGAATCATGTCCAAAGCTCTGAACACAATGCCCCCAAGCCCCAAGGACTCTGAGACTCCAGGAGACATATAGCCCAGAGGAGTGGAGATGAAGCTCCATTTTTCAGGAAAGAAGGGACAGTCGGCCTTATGTGTTTTGAAGATGTAAACATAGCCTGGGTTTGGAGAGAAAATGGGATCCATGTCCTGGGTTCCAGGGTGTCGGATGCCAGAGCTGCCCCCTCAGCATCCCAGGATAGACTTGCAGGCCAGGTGGTGGCCGAGCACATGGGCGGACTTGAGCCTGCAGAGGGCGGGCATCATGGGGGCATCTGTGTCAGGGCCAGAAAGAGGACCCAGCTGGACACAGAGACTGGCTTCACTTGTTCTGGGACATCCTGTCCACACCTTCCTCAGGGTTCCTTGTACGTCAAGGAATGGAGAATCAAGCACCTCCCCTCTGGAAGTGGAATGGCCAGCGGAACTCCCCCAGGGTGGGTTAGCTACATCACTGCACCTAACCAGGCACTGCCTGTCAGTGTCATAGGCTCACCTGGCATTTTACTCCACCACCCCCTACCTTCAGTTTAAAACCCTTCTGATCAAACTGGGAAACATTAATTTTTCACAAAGAAGTCCCCTCGAAAGCAAGCACTGGAGGGATGTTTTATAGGGAGAGAGGTTCTCTTTCCTGACTTGTGTTATTATTTCCAGGACCAGCGCTTCAGCGTTGTTAAATCAGGACCTCGTTCTATAAATATTTCTGATTTGAAAAGCCGCATTCATGTTCTCTACTGCAAAATCTAAGCCCGAGATGGCAGCAGCATCTCAGGAATACGGAATATGAAGAAAACACAGCACAGTTGTTAGCTCCAGCTGCTGATGTTCTGAGCTGCCTGTCCATAATTCAGAGGACAAGACAAGGTCACTCATAAACACCACTGAACTGTGTCTCCTTTCACGGGTTCTGCATAAAAATATTGCAGCCCCAATGAACATCAAACAAGTGTAATGGATTGGTTTAATTCACATCCGAACACTCACAAACACAGTGGCCCTAATAACATTCCTGTTTCCAGTGGATTTCCATGCTTGTCAATTATTCTGAAACATCAACTGTCTTAACGTTGACAAACAAGATGCTAACTTGATTTTTTAACAATCCTTTTCAAGAGCAACAGAGTCCATTCTCTATGTGTGCCATCCACAGGCATGGGCTTGAGCCTCCTGGCCGGGTGTGCTAAGTGCCCCTAGGGTACACCCAAAATACGGCAGGTGACAGAGAAATTGATGTTCACTTTAGGGACTGTCCATGGCACTAAGGCTGATGTGAGTTATACTGATATAAGCACTCATATGACACCTAAAACTGGGAAGGAACTCAAGCAGAGATGGATGGGTGTTTGGGACCACAGGAACTCCTCCAAGTTGCTCCCTTAGAGCATGCCCGCCCCCTCCGGTTACCGAGACTGCCGCAAGCCGTGCTCCCACTCACGTGTGAGCCACCCCTCCTCCCTCTACCTTGCAGCATGGGGATGGGAGCTGTGGTTACACTGCTCTTACCCCTTCCAAACACATACACACAGACACACACACACACACACACAAACACACTCACACACACACTCACACAGAAAGAGCAACACATTTGTCTCCAGGGTGGGGAAATAATAAACAAAGGTGACTATTGCATACTCATGAAAAGACACAGCCCACAGCTGCCCTCTCTCTCCTGAGATCCTGCCACTGTTGCTCAGGAGGCCAGTATTCTCGGGGCATCTCAGGAGGATTGAGCAGGACTTGGAGAAAGCCAAAGAAAGCCACTGAGCCATCTACATTCAAAATGGTATCAAAGCATTCCTTACTGTATAGTAAAATCCAACCATGAATTTGATTTGGGATACAGCCTGGGCATCAGAATTTTAAAATCTCCCCAATAACTTTATTTTACATTCAGAACCTTTACTCTAAGGTAAGGGGTAGTAGGATAGGTAGAGAGATAGAGACCCAAGGAGACTGGCTTTCAAGCTTCATGTCCATAGAAAATAAGGATGGAAATAAAAAAGAAACTCATTATCCAATCCTCTTTTGTTCAAACAAAAGACATGGGACAAGGAATGCAGCAGAGGAGACAGGCACGCATTGTCTTCTGGAAGGTTGAGCCTGAAGAACACAGCACAGCCCCCCATTCACCGTGCTGCCACTTGTGTGCCAATGAATCTGGCCTCCCACTTAGTCCAAACTCACTTGGACACCAGAGGGTTTGGAGAAGAGAAGAGTGAACAAGCTCTTGAGTGCCACGAGTTTTGGTTTCTCCGTACTGAGACCACAATGCTGAGAAAGACAAAATCCAGGTTGGACCCCCAAGAGAGTGATTGGACCCTCCAATTCGGATGAGGAGGAGAGGGTCTGCCTGGTAGGCAAGAACCAAGGATGCCCATGGGCACTTAGGCAGCAAGTCTCTGGGTGCCTTTACTACAAAAGAACAAAATCTATTGTCAGCAACTCACATTAGGAAACCACTGAGAGGTCTAGGCTGCTGTCCATCCTTAATTATGGGTAAGTTGAACCTGTAGAGACCTGTCTTGCCTTCTAGCAGCACACACCTGTGAGTTCTTGCCTAACATAGGACAAAGGAGAAGGCAAAGATGTCAGGACAAAGCTTGCCTCTGTCTTATGAACTAAACTCATGGGTAATGTTCCCAACTTGTTGCTGGGTCTCCAGCTTCCACCTGCCTCACCTCAGGTGACTTTTGAGCCTTTCTGCCTCAACTAAGTTCCCTGAGCCCAAGCTCCCTGCTCCTTCAGGCCTGTGGAATGTGGCCTCATGCCTGCCTAACTTTACGGCCCAAGAGGATGCTGGCACCCAGTCCTGACCCCTTCCAGGCATCTCTGCCCTGCTGTGGCCTGTGCCCGGGCTCCAGAAAGATTAGCACAAATAACCCCATCAGCAAGGCAGACACAACTTCACACGCACCTAAGGAACTAGAACACAGGCCCCTGTGTGGACAAAATGCAGCCCCAAGGGCACATCTGAGAGCCGTGGAGCAGCCCACTGCAACATGTGAACCAAGGGGAAGGAAGATGCTACTTCCTCAGCACAGCCCAAATAAAGACAAACCAGGGATTTGGCTCTAAAAATTCATTATTGGCAAAGTAACCTAAGAAGGTCTTGGTTTATGAGAGTAAGGAAATTAAAACAAAAAAAAAAACTATGTTGGGCAAGATTTTATCTTGACAATGTTCCTTTAACTGATGTAAAATGTGAAGAAATTGACTGTAATTGATTCCAAGGAAGGATGCCAGAGATTCCTCAGCATTGGATCCAAGCTTAAAAAAGGAATTATTGGGCCTGATTAATATGGTGATTTTATTTTTTTAATCTCTCCTCTACAGTTCAGATGTTCATGTTTATAGACAAGAAATTCACCTCATTAACAAATGGAACACCTCAACATTGCAAAATGACACTGTGACATATTGCTCTGGTAATCCGCGTTATGACATTGTTGCCAAGACCCAGAGGGCCCACCTATCAGTGTGGTTCCCCTGTCAGGCTTGAGGTTGTGACAAGAAGCTGACAGCAAAGGTGCTGATAAGAGATAGCCTCTCCACTGCCATGTGGGCTCTGTGCAACACCCAGGTATCATGGTGGGGCCAAATCGCCCAGCCCTTGAAGTCCCTTCCTTCTTCATGCCCTCACAAACACCTGGGCACAAGAGCAGTGACAGGCAGGGAACCTAACAGAGCAGGTCCCACCAGCATAGCAGCAGCTAGACTTTCTCTGCTGTTGGTCTCCTGACCCGAGAAACCAGAAACAAGTTTTCTGTAAATAATAGAACCACAGTGTTAGCCCCTTACTAATGACCAAGTTGTGGGGTGGAAAGAAACAGAAAACTGTGTCACAGTCAGTTAGCCTCACTTCGGGAGTGGTGAGAGACAAAGGCAACAAAATTCTTTAACCAAAGTGCAACGTAAAAGCCATAAAAAGGAATGAAATATTGATTTATGCTACAATGTGGATGAACCTCGAAAACATTATGCTAAGTGAAAGAAGCCAGACACTAAAGTTCACCTAGTGCATGATTCCATTTCTGTGAAAAATACAGAATAGGTAAATCCACGGAGACAGAAAGCAGAGCGGTGGCTGCCAGGGCCCTGGGTGAGGCGGGAATAGGGAGTGTCTTCTTAATGGGTACAGGGTTTCCTTCGGGACTAATGAAAAAGTTAGTGGTGATGGTGTATATTGCGGATGTGTTACATAGCTCTGGATTTCACATTGTACACAGGTTAATTTTATGTGAAATGAATCACACCTCAATTTTTAAAAATTTATAAATGCAGCATCAACATATTGGCCCCACGAATGACAACTGGCTTTCCGATAGAATGCAGGTTCCCAGGACTGTGTCAGGAGTCTCTCCTTCCCTGCCCCCTGCCCTTTTGGAAAAAGCCCCTTAAGATTACTGAGCAAGTCATTTCCACTCATGGGGCCTCAGTTCTCACTCAGGTACTTGTAACATAAGACATGCCTCCAGTCCAAATGGTCTATGATCCTATTACTCCTCCTACCTCTGGGAGAACGGTTTTAACAGACATGAGAGAACACACATCCATGACCACGGTCATCCTCAGCGCCAAACACAGAAGGCAGAAGGACTGACACACTACAGAGTATCTAACGGAAACTTAGAGAAAGACTGATGATTCCAACTTTTAAATAAAAACTAATGTTTATTATTCACTACTTGCCACACACTGTTCTCAGTATTTGTATATGCACTGGTTTATTTCATCATCATCACAGCCTTTTACAATCGAGAAAACAGAGCTACAGGAAGGTAAGTAACTTATACAAGGTTCCCTGCATCATACAGAAATATTCCCTGCATCATACAGGAAATACTCGGTGGAGTAGAGATTTGATCCCAGGAAGTCTAGGTCCAGAGTCTACGTGCTTAACCTCTCTGTGTCACAGCCTCTCCATAGACAGGATCCATTTTATTTTGTATTTTATTTTAGTTCTAACGTTGGTGCTGATAGGACCATGCTTGTCCTGGATAAAAGGAGGAATTCAATAGTAAATAGGATAATAAAAGAACATTGGACTGATAGAAGATCTGTATTCTAGATCCATCTTGGTCACTGGTATTGTGACTTTGAGCAGATTATAAAACTCTCTGGCCCTCAGCATCCTCCTCTATAAAATGAGAAGTTGGACTAGATCAATAGTTTTCCAATGATTTAATCAATGTAACTGTCTTCAGATTAAGCCTCACTTAGAAACCCAATACACAAGCATGGGGTTGTTCTGGCTCAAGATGGGGGAGGGAGGATGCAGACCCGCTCTCCATGCCCCAAGCAGCTCCTGAGACACTGTCTTGGAACCCTTGTAACTCTGTGGAATACAATTTGAAAACCTCTAAAGTTTCTTTTGAAAATAAAACCTAAAAACCTTAAATTCAAATACTGCATCCTTAGGCATTCTTTAACACTGTGGGAAAACTTATAATATTCTGCTCACTTTGCTCAAAAACATTTGTTTGGATTGATGGCTTTGTGCAGAGGAGGCGAAGGTTTCAGGTATGAAGCATGAGGGGATCATACCAAGGACGGATAAGGATGTCCAAAACCTAAACACAGCCCCCTCTTAACTGCTAGATGCTACCAGCCCAGTGGGCCCCTCTTGGGAGACAAGCTGCTCAATTCTCAATCTGTGTGTTTTCTCTAAATAGCTCTACAATTACTAAGCTGGGTTATTTATTAGAGTTTTACATTGATCAAAGTAGTACTACTTAATTCTTCATAAAACTTCATACTGATATTTCCTCTGGTCCCCATCATTAAGCTTGGTCAATGAATAATTGGACAAAAAGTGTCAGGGAGAGAGTGAGTCCCTCATGCTCACTCTGGAAAGATCAGAGTGAGCCTCCAGGGAAGGGACTTTCCGCTTTAAATGCCCACGCTCAAGTCAATTCCATTCTCTCCTCTCACTTCATAGGCATTTATAAATTTAAGTTTGCTGCAGTGCTTGGAAGAGGTTATACAATTGTTATGATGCAGTGTTCAAGGCAGACAGCTCCCCATAACTCAGAGGCCAAGACAAACAGGAATATATTAATAGCAGCCGCAGCATAAAGATAATTTATTTTCAGTATCTAGGAGCTGCGGGGATCAGCAGATAAGACTGTTAAGCATTTAAGCATTAAAGCAAAGGAGCTTAACAAATGGGGGGAAGACAGAAGGAGAGAGATGGAGAGAAGAAAGATTGATCTCCTTTGGAAACAATGTAGCATCTGAACCAATTAACCAAGAAACAATTATGTAGTTATGGGCAACACCAGGCAAAAAGGAAAAGACATTCTCCTAAACCCCCTTGCTCTGCCATTTGGGTGGTATATGCCACCCAAAGGGCAAAGCACTTGTTTAGCACTGGAAGAGAGTTTAAACCAGGAAACATTTTCCTTTTCTTTACACCCCTGCTCCCCAGCATCATCTGGCTTACTAGCCTGATGACAATAAACAAAAAAATAACCATTTTAATTTAATGAAATATCACAGTATCTTTCTTTGGGAAATGGCAAGAAAGAATTAGAAAGCTATTTCTCCACTAACTTTTTTTTCAACCCACAAAACCTGAAGGAAAAGCATCGTTTTGTAGTTTTAGTTCTTTTAAAACATAACAGGGTACACATTTTGATTTTGTACTCCAAGAATGTATACTGTGTACTCCTCAAAATTTCCCCAATAGTACTTCATAAGAAAAGAATCTGACCACCAGCTAGACTGAAAATCAACACTGCAAAGTCTTGTACACAGTAAACTCTCACATGAAATCTTTACAATCCATTTTTTAAGAAGAATATTCACATGGTTTCAGTCTTACAAGTTTGTGTCAAAACCCAAATGTTCAGAAAAGCATACACCATTTGTACACAGTGTAAAAAAGCCAATATTTATTGAATAAAAAAAGACATTGCCTTATACAGAGTGAAGTCTTCCAGCATCTGCAACTTCCCACGCATCCAATTACTCATTTTCAGTGTCTCTTAAATGTGTTCCCTTCATTCATTCCTACCCATTGCCACTGCTAATAATTCAGAGCTCTCCTCACCTCTCACCTTTGCTGGTGTCATTGTCTGGCAGAAATTTGTATCTAACTGATCCATCTGACTTGAGGCTCACTCCTCAACCCCAATCAATTTTTCCCTCCAAATCCAACCTCATCATTCTAATACACAGATGGGACCATCCACCTTCCCTCCCGAAGAATTTTCAAGGCTCCCCGTTACCAACAGGAAAATCCAAAAGCTTTAGCAGAGCCAATAAGTACTTGCCCATCTTGCCCAACTCAGCTTTTCAGCTTTATCTTCTATTCATCCATCCTTCTCTTTTGTATCCTTTTCTCCCACCCAAATAAATAGACCTCCAACTCTCACCTTCTTCAAATTGTTGATCATTTATACTCATACTTCTTCCAGCCAGCAACTGTTTCCATCCATCCACCACTGAATAGGCCAATAAGAATGCCAGCTCCCCCATGAAACTTTCCGACATTGCCAGGCAGTTGGCTTTCTTCTGGTCTTTCAAAGGCTTTTGCACATATGTCTACTAGTAAGGTAATAATTTGTTCTGTTATTGTTTCCAGTAAATGTCTTCCCCCCTTGGTTACCCTAGCGAAGTGCTACACAGGGGAATTATTTGTCTTTGTCTGCTCTGTGCCTAGCAAATCCTAGTAAATAACTGATAAATGCATGAATAAAACAAGTCAGGAGTTTAAAACCTGAGAAGAGGACAAAAATATGTGAAGTTAAATACTGAACAATAGAGATTGGTAATGGCTCTGCTCGGCCAGTGAAAGAAATTTGGGGAGAATTGACAAGGTAATAAAAATCCCAAGGCTGGTATTTTAGGTGAAAGCTTCTCCAAGAGGAGTTATTGGAGTCTTCAAAGGATGAAGAGGATTTGAGTCAGAAGACAGAAGATGGAACAGCATTTTGGGAGGCTGAGATGTGAGAGAATAAAGGAAAACAGGACGGCCCAAACTGTGTTGGGAGGCTAAAAGTAAAATGGGCCCAGAACCATTTTGGAGGCTTAGAGTAAACTAAGTCCTCAACAAGAAGGTGTCTGGCCCTCAACTCTGCAGAGAGTGCAGAGCTGGAACGGGAAAAGGTGACCACCACATTCACCTCTAGAGTCTCTAACACACACCACAACACCCAGGGTACTCACCTAATGGATGTCAACCATGGCAGGGGGCAGACAGCACTGCCCCAGCTGTGCTGAGACACCACCGCTTGGAATCAGCTCTTCCAGATGTTCTGTGGAACGCAGAACCATGGAACATGTCTCTGCACAGCTGGAGGTCATCTTTCCAGTCTGAATCTAAGTTGGAAGTGACCCTTCCCACTAGAAGGGGCCCCCTCGCCTTCACTACGACCACAGAATTGCACAAAGAGACAGAGAACGCAGGGTAAGGGAACTGAGAGCAGCACTTTGCAGAGGCCGTGGGGAAGGCTAAGCCTGCCTTCCCCAGAAATAAGTGCCTGGAGCCTCCACTGTGACAAATGCATAAATGAAGTTTAGTACCTAATCAGAAGAACTGTGAAGAAAAGTTGGCACTCCAGAGCAATCCAAACAAGAACAGTGCAGGATAGTCAGAGAAGACCCAGACTGGACTAGCACAGAGACCACAGCCATGGCCACACCAGCTGAGGGTCTGCACCAGCTCCTTGGAGGAGGGATGGGTGATTGGTGCCACAGCCTGCTTTGGTCTTCGTGGTTTGTTGCATATAAGTTCGTGGCCTACAGTGTATAGAGATCTCCTGACAGGTCAGAGTGCAGATGCTCTCAACAGGCCCTTTGGTTCATCTTAATCAAATCCCAAGACACAGGCCACATGTCAGAACCTGCTACTTGTCTGCCAGTATCCACTCTCCCACATGGCTGCCCAGAACAAAGACTGCATTTCCTACCTTTCAGTGGACTGAGTTCTGGTTGTTGGGCTGAGAGGGAAAAGAGATGGGTGCAACCTGGCTTTGACTCCCCTTCTTCCATCCTGCTGCCTGGACTGTGAACACAGTGGGAAGCCATCATGGGCCATGCAGGGAGGGCAACACTCTAGGTGGGCAGGAGCAACAACACAGAAGGGGCCTGGGAGTCTGACATGGAGACACCCTGGATTGCTTGAGAGAGAAATAAATGTCTACCCCCCTTAAATTCACTGTTATTTTGGGTTTCTATTATAGCAGCTAGCTCTGTGTTCCCCATCTAAGGATGTCATCTATAAATACCTGGCCCAGGTGGAGCTGGCCTGACAGTCAGAACCAAGATTCCTGGGCCATACGTGGAAGTCAGGAGAGAAGCCCCTTATGCAATTTTCTCATAATGAGCCTCAGGTTTTCCTGTATATCATTCTGCCACAGGGCTTGCAGTGCAGTAAATGAAAAGATCTAGGTAAATATCTCTGGATTGATTAAAAGCCTGTTCACTTTGAGCCAAGAGAAGGAAACCCAAGCTCAACATCTGTCAATTCCCAAAAGAGGGAGCCTCCTACAATGTCTGCACTGGGTACTAAGTGCAGGGCTTAGCTATTGCCTAATTCAACTCCTCCCCTTAATCTGGGAAGATTAAACTAGGTGGAAACCCAGGTTTCCTGACTCCCGGTGCAGTGCTCTTTTCAAGATATCTTACTGCCACTTTGAAGGCATTCATAATCTGAATGAAGTCTATTAAGCAGCAAAACATAATATCAGGCCCTGGTGTTCTGAAGAAGGTGTTGGGTAGCTATGCATTCTTCCATGTTACATCTGTCCTTTTTATTTTTCATTGGCAACCATAAGCTGTGAGCTGCATTTACTTAGAAAGGCACATTTTTGTCAAACTGGACTTACTAAGATGACTGGAAGCAGACATCCAAGAAGCACAGTAAGTACCTCTCCCAAATGACTTGTCCTGGAACAGTTACTAACAGCGCACCTCTGCCTGCTTTTGTGAAACCTGCATTCCTGGCATTTATGACAGGCTGAGGAAATAATGAGGAGAGCCCAGAGCTTCCACATTAGCCAATAGGAGGAAGTTCTCACTCGGCAGGTGGAAGCTTCTCCTGGGGAAATCCTGGAGGCTCGTTGTTCCTGTCAACTACTAAAATGTACCCATAAATTTCCTGTGACAGGAGACACAGTGTCTGAGGAGTAGAAAGTGATAAAAGCCAAAAATGTAAAAGCATTCCTGCCAGAACTCAGCCCTTCTCCACGCATGGCATTAAATATACAAGAAAGGAAGCCACTCTCCACACCCTACACTCCATCCCTGACCACTGAGGCTGTCCAGGGCAGTAAGACCAGAAGCCACAGAATAGAGAATGGGTTCTAAAGTTCACTCCAACATATGAACCTACAGAACGACAGAACACTCGATGCACCACCACCAAAGCAGGTGTTCTATTTGTCAGCTTGACTGTTTTCTTTCGTTTTTAATGGCAGACCCAGAACAAGTTAATAATTTGGGGGGCTCAGTGCAGAATGAAAATACAGGGCTCCCTGTTCAAAACTTATTAAGAATTTCAAGGCTGTGACAGCAGAGTATAAAACCAGGCTCAGAGCCCTTCTCAGTGGGAGACTGTACAAGCTGCACGTTCTCAAAGCTAAACCTGGGTAGACTCTACCTTCCACAGCATTCTCTTTTTATACCAGGTGGAATGAATGATTTATTTAAGTACAATAAGTCTTCACTTAATGCCACTGATAGGTTCTCAGGAATTGTCACTTTAAGTGAAATGATGATATAAGGGTATTACAAAATTGGTATAACAAAACCCATTTTACCGTAGGCTAATGGATACGAACAAGAGTTAAGGCTGGGTGACGTGGCTCATGCCTGTAATCTCAACACTTTGGGAGGCTGAGGCGGGAGGATCATTTGAGCCCAGGAGTTTGAGACCAGACTGGACAACATAGAGAGACCCCCTTCTCTACAAAAAATACAAAAATTAGCTGGGTGTAGTCACATGCACCTGTAGTCCCAGCTACTCAGGAGGCTGAGGCAGGAGGACCACTTGGACCCAGAGGTCCAAGTTATGACTGTGCCACTGCACTCCCCCGAGGGTGAGACTCTGTCTCAAAAAAAAAAAAAAAAAGTTCCTTAGGGCATCTTTCTGGTCACAAAAACATTACCAAACCAAAACAAAACCCCAAATTTCTAAATAAAGACCAAAACACTTCTAATACTAAACATTGAAACAAATGTGAGCTATACATACATTTAAGAAAGATTACAGAAATGAGATAATTATTTACCCAAGTATTCCGGTTCCCCTGAACTCAGGTGGCCAGAGCCTGTCCTGGCAGCTCAGTGTGCACAGCAGGATCCAATCCTGGACAGGAGGCCATTCCATCACATAGAGCACTCGCACACACACCCACGCTCACTCATGCTGGGACCCTGTCAATACAGCAGTTCACCTAAGTGCACAGCTTTGGGATGTGGGAGGAAACAGGAAAGGCTAAGAAAACCCATACAGATGTGGGGAGAACTTGCCAACTCCACCTAGACAGTGGCCCTGGCTGGGAATCCATTTTTTCTTCCCATCAATGTCATAATGAAAAGGTGTTGAACACAATAAATGTATTCAAAGACCTGCTGTACTTGCGATAGTCTGACTGTGTCCCCCGAAACGTATGTGTTGGAAACTTAACCCCCAATGCAATAATGTTGGGAGGTGGAGCCTTTTAGAGGTGTTTAGCTTGCAAAGGCTTTACTCTCATGAGTGGATTAACACCACCATGAAAAGGACTTGCATATCTCTCTCTTGCCTTCTGCCATGTGAGAAGCAGTAAGAAAGCCTTCACCAGATGCTGGCGCCTAGATCTTGGACTTCCCAGCCTCCAGAACTGTGAGAGAAAAGATGTCTTTTTTTTTTTAGATGGAGTTTCTCTCTTGTTGCCCAGGCTGGAGTGCAATGGTGTGATCTCAGCTCACTGCAACCTCCACCTCCCGGGTTCAAGCGATTCTCCTGTCTCAGCCTCCTGAGTAGCTGGAATTACAGGTGCCTACCACTACGCCCTGCTTATTTTTAGTATTTTTAGTAGAGACGGGGTTTCACCATGTTGGCCAGGCTGGTCTCAAACTCCTGACCTCAGGTGATCCACCCACCTCAGCCCCCCAAAGTGCTGGGATTACAGGTGTGAGCCATAGTGCCCGGCAAAAATGAGTGTCTTTATAAATTACCCAGTCTCGGGTTTCTGGTATAGCAGCACCAAATTGACTATAGTGCTCTATCTCTGTGTTTAAATTACCTGTAGCAAATTCTGACTGCTCTGCCTATAGTGTAGGTGACCCTGAGCAAGTTATTTAAGCTCTCTGAGCCTCAGCTTCCTCAACTGTAAGATAAAAATGACAACATAAAAAATGATCTATGCAAAGCTATTTGCAGTTGGTTATTATCAACTATTATTATTACCTAGCAAAAAGGCAGTTGATTAAGAAATGTACTGAGTGATAATTAGTGATTAGGAAGCATTTGTGAACGCAGTATCCAGAAATAATTTTACCATTAGGGAAAAATAGTTGACGTGTAGATATTTTCCTACTTACCCTGGAAACTATTCTATGAAAGACTTTTCATGTATGGCCCCAAGAAGTCAGTTCCTGGCCACTGAGCAGAAGTTACTGGTAGGCAAATATGGGTTCCATACAGGGAAGAACTTTCTAATTCACCATCTGTTGAGAGGAGCTAATGAGTTCTTCATGGCCAAGGGCATTCAAGGAGGCTGAACCACCACCTTGTCAAGATGCAGAGCAAATTTATGTATTAGGCAGATGGCGTTCAAATCTCCTCCACTCCTGAGAGTCTATGGATTTGGTGCAATTTCAGTGCTTCTATTCTGTAGCTATGATGTCTAATTTTATTCCTCCCATGGCCCTCCACCAAATCAGCCCTTCTGTCTTCCCTTCTTTCCTGCTCAACCATTTTGTTGTAGCCAAGTGTACTTATAGTCCCAGGAAGCTTTACAGCATCTAGAGTTCTCCTTTCCTACTGTCTCCTCTGCTGCCGTAAGTAGTCCACTTTCTCCCATTCCACGGCATCCTCTATTTTTATTCCTTTATTCTTGTTATATGCATGCAGCCTTACTTCAGGAAATTTGTGCTGATTACATGACATGAGAGGGGAGGAACCAGAGCTAAGGGTGCAAGGCACAGGTTTGGAGACAAACAGCCCTAGGCATCCAAACCAGCTCTCTCAGCTACCAGGGGTGACACTGGACAACTTATTCAATCTCCCTGATCCTCAGTATTGTATCTGAAAAATCTAGAAAATATTAGCACCCACTTTATAGAGTTTTTCTGAGGTTTCGATGATCTAATACAAGCAAAGCGCTTCACATGGTATCTGGCACATAAGTAGTCCTCAGTGAAAGTTAGCAGTTGTTATTATTGCTGTCCACCAAAGAGCATTTGTTAATGGCATCATATTCTTGCCTCCTTCAGTTTCCAAGAGAAGTGTGTGTGTGCACTTATGTGTGCATGTGAGAGAGGGAAAGAGAGACACAGGAGATACACACACACTGTCAGAGAGAGAAAGAGAGAGAAAAAGTTCTCTGAAAGAAATGTATACCTTTAAACATTTGTCTTTCATACTATTTTAAAGCTCACTCTCCATATTCATGGTGCAATGCTGCATAGTAAGAAACATAAAAAGAAATTTAACAAATGGTTCCTCCCTGCAGAAAGTTTAAAAACATGAGAAATAAACAGAAACATAAACCATCTACCACTGATATCTTCAGGATTCAATTAAGTGGTAAATATTAAATACATGTAGGTACATATTTCATATTTAAAAATACTTAACATATTATGGACACTAAAAACTAAATCAATCTGTGAGCAAATCAAATGATTGCTATAGTTAACAGTATCCTCTCACAAAAATACCATGTTACATTAGAAGCCATCTAGATTTTCTTTTTCTTTCTTTCTTTTTCTTTCTTCTTTCTTTCCTTCTCTTTCTTTCTCTCTCTCTTTCTTTTCTTTCCTTCCTTCCTTCCTTCTTTCCTTCCTTCCTTTCTTTTCCTTCCTTCCTTCCTTCCTCCCTCCCTCCCTCCCTCCCTTTCTTTTCTTTCTTTGTTATGTTTATTTTAGATACAGGGTCTTGCTTTGTGGCCTAGGCTAGAGTGCAGTGGCGTAATCATTGCTCACTGCAGCCTTGCACTCCTGGGCTCAAGTGATCTGCCTCAGCCTCCTGAGTGGCTGGGACTACAGGCACGTGCCACAACACCCAGCTACTTTTTAAAAATTTTTTGTAGTGATGGGATCTCACTATGTTGCCCAGGCTGGTCTTGAACTTCTGGGCTCAAATGATCCTCCCACCTCAACCTCCCAAAGGGTCAGGATTACAGGTGTGAGCCACTGTACCCAGCCCCAGATTCCATTTCTAATCCTCAGTCAGCTCCAACTCTGTTTTTCCCTTTGCCCTGCCAACCTATCAAACCATAGACTCACCGAGTTCAGAGCCAAAGATGTAACTCAGAGAGTCACCCAGTTTGGTTTCTCCTTTTTCCCCTTTAACAGCAGCCATGAGAATCCCATCTGTTAAGGGAGAGTGACACATTTTGCTCCCTCATTAGATAATATTTAGGGAAGGGTTAAATGTTTTTTTTATTAAAACCTTGGGACCACTTCTTTAGCTGGTTCAGTTTATTTGCATGTTTGTAGGAGAGCTAGGTTAGGAAAGAAAATCCAATGTTATCGTAAGGGAAAAGTTCTGTCTTCTGTTTCATCACGATCATTCTACTCACATGTAAATTTTGAGCACAGTACTATATTTTTATAATTAGATTTACTATATATTAAGTCAAGCTACCTGTCCCTGCCAGGTACTGGCCAACTGAACTGAGTTTTCTTCCCAAATTAGTTGAGTTGTGCTTATTAAGACAGAGGGCCTGAATGAGCTCCGTCCCATCATTGGCTGCTGCCCTGTGCAACGCCCACGCATGGCTCCATCTCAGCTGATGGAGGAAGCGCTCGTCCACAGCCATAAACTTCAGCTTTCCTTGCTCTGTTGCTTTCATCCTGACTGCCTCTCAACATTCTAGCTTCCCCTCTCCAGCCGTGGTGTACTGGAGCCAGCTTGTACTAGTTTGTGAGAGAATATTGTTAAATTTTCAGAAATTTTGCCAGCCGATTGTTCAACATGGCCAGTATAAAAACCGAATTATGTGAACTTACAACTAAATAAATTATATTAGAAACAAAGAGAATAAATACTCAAAAACTCCTTCCTTCCTAATTATTTTACCACATTTTACCATTCCCTTTGCTCTCAAGGTTGCTTATCATACATGTCAGCCTATGCTATCCGCGTGGTGGAAAGAGCACACCACGGTAAACCACTGCTCAACTCTCCCTAGCTCCCCTCGCAGCAGTGTTTACGTGGACATTCTCGAATCAAGTCATTGTGAGAGTATTTACAACAGGGAGGTCAGCAAATGTGACATATCCGGGCTTGATTTATTGTTCTGTTAATTGTTTAGACCACGCGTCTGCAACCTCTGGCCTGTGGCCTGTTTTCCTGTGTCCCTTGAGCTAAGAATGGTTTTTATGTTTTCAAAGGTTTTAAAAAAATATTCAGAACCTCCCATTGGTAGACACAATAGTATTGTGTTGAGTCCGTGTAGAAGGCAAGCAATGGTTTTTCTAATTTGTGGTGCTACTGCCTTCAAGCCAAAATGGGAGCCTCCCGCTGGGCTCTTCTTGCCTCTTCTGTCTCCTTCCTAATTACAATGAGTCTGGCATGAGGACACACCGACAGCTGACTCTGATGGAGCACAAGGCAAATGGAATGCAGTCCTCTCACTATCACAGTCATACTAGTTCCACAGAACCAATAATAGTAAAAATATTTTTATCAGTAGAGGCATTAGGTCAGAAAAAAAAAAAACAGAAAAAAGATACATTGACTGAAACCATGCTTACATCACCATGTTTAGTGGGTATCTGGCAATTATCCAGGTAATTGGATCCTAAGTAGCCAGACCATCTCTTCTCCCCTCACTCCCTGTGAAAAACTCTATCTGGAAGCTTAATGATCTACATTACCAAAATTAACTGGGTAGCTGTAAAAGCTAACTGAGTTCTTTTATTTTTTAAGGGTGATCAGTTATCTTGTATCATTCTGAAACCCATAAATGCTTGAGCGTTCTTGAAGGGGCTGTCCCCATTTACAGCCAAGCTAAAAAGTACTAACGGAATTCTTTATATGATTACTAACGAGGCCACAATTAAATTTCAAAGCTGAAAACCAGCAGAAGCAGAACATTTTTAGTTGCTTACTCTTTTTCCACCCGTGTGCCAGGGTTTCCGCTGCTACCTAGCATCAGAGTGCCACCATCCCAGTCTCATGTAGGCCCTCGGTGTCATCTCTTCCTCCTAACAATTACCCTGTGTCCAGCCTTTCCAATTTTCTAAATTGTAGCCAGAATTACCTTTCTGAAACTTTGATGTCACTTCCCCTTTTAAAGACTTTTCATTGTACTTCATTGCCTAGAGAATAAACTCCAAATTCCCAAAGTCCAAACGTGGTCCCAGAAGACTCCTAACCACCCAGCGCCAGCCTGTTTTTCCAGAGTTGGCTATATCCTTAAGGAACAGGAAGCTTCTAAACCAGTGCTTCCCAAACTTGGAGGCACATTATAATTACCTGGGAGCTTTAAAGAAACTCAATGCCCAGGCCACGTCCTACATCAATTAAATCAGAATGTCTGTGGGTAAAGCCAGTGTCTGGCACCTTAGGTAATACCAAAACTATATTAGGATTTTGGTGACCCAGATTGCCTGGTAGATCAGGTACTGTTCTCAGAAATGTTTTAAACAGATGGGCATGGTGGCTCACGCCTGTAATCTCAGCACTTTGGGAGGCTGAGAGGAGCGGATCACCTGAGATCAGGAGTTTGAGACCAGCCTGGCCAACATGGTGAAACCCTGTCTCTACTAAAAATACAAAAAATTAGCCAGGCGTGGTGGCAGCACCTGTAATCCCAACTACTCGAGAGGCTGAGGCAGGAGAATTGCTTGACCCCGGGAGGAGGAGGTTGCAGTGAGCCAAAATCGTGCCATTGCACTCCAGCCTGGGCAACAAGAGTAAAACTTCGTCTCAAAAAAAAAAGAAAAAGAAAAATGTTTTAAACAAACCCATTGTCACAATCAATACATTGATACATTGTACAATAGTTAGTTTTAGTGTATCTCCTCCATTAAACTTTAAGCTCCTGGAAGGCAGGGTCTGTATTTATTTTGTTGTACTGATGTATTTTGTTGTACTGAGTACTGTTGTTTGACAGTACTCGGGACCTGATAAGTACTTGGCACCTAATAAGACACTCAGGAAATGTTTGTCAAATCAAAGAACAAACAAATGAACAAATATATGAATGATTTCAACCAGGAGACACCGAACTAAGAAATGAAGTCATTCATGTCTTTTTGAATAAAGGTAATTATTTTAAAGATGGAGCACCCCATTTCCCACTGAATTGGTCATTATAAGCCTTGATAAATCCTCCTGGTAGAAAGAGCATTGCCTGGAAATCGGAGACCTGAAGTCTAGTCCTGTTCTGTCATTACCAAATAACAAAGTCAGTGATTTGTATTTATTAAGTGCTTGATATGTCCCAGGTACTTTATTTGTATTTTCTTGTTTAATCCTCAAAAATAATCTTACCAAATAGATATGATTAGCAACCTCATTTTATTGAGAAGGAAGCTGAGGTTTACCTAGGACAGGTGAACTGCCCAAGTACCATACTAGCTGAGAGAGATCTGAACCCAGGAAGTGCAGAGGCTGCCAACCAGGCTGTCCAGTGGTTCTCCATTCTGCCTGCTGTTTGAATCACTTTGAGACTGACCAGGGCCCAACTTCAGAATCCTATTAACTCCTCTGGATGAGCCCTGGCCATGGGGCTTCTTTTTAAATGCCTTCCAGCAATTTTAAAGTGTGGCCAGGGTTGAGAACTTTCGCCCTAGGCTCTCTCTACTCTATGCCATTGTATCCTCCCAAAAGCCACTTCTCTGTGCTTCAGTCTCTTCTGTACAAAGAGGTGGCTGAAGCCACCTATCTTGGCAATAATTCTAGCTTGAATGCCTACAAATTATCCCTGCCCTTGCTCCACTTCCCACCTTAGGCCCTGGCAAACAGGGGACTCCTAGACTCTCCACATCTGACTCCAGACAGCTTTCCCCTGAAGTTTTCAGCCTCCACTACAGAAAACTTGGGGCTGGGATAAGCTAACACAGTCTTATTTTGTTAGATGCTGTACAGCAAGTAAAAGCTGTAGCTTCTTAAGAATAAGGAGGATAAATGTAGCCCAACGGGTGCCCCTTGTCAGCCCTAATTGAGGATGGTCTTTCGGCACCAGGTAAAGGGAGAGAGAGTACAGAAGCAGAGTCCCCTGACTGGTAAACTAGCCCTTTCATAGAGCAACATGGTCTTCTCAGCCCTGCCTCAGAGGGATGGGTTTGGAGAAGCAGAAGATCCAGTCTGTTTTCTTGGGAAAGGAAACTCCAAGAAGGAGAACAGGAGAAAGCTGAGCAGGTAAAAACTACTGGTGGCTCAAGGATATACTATTTGCATAGGTGAATCCCTGGGCCAAGACCTGCCAGTCCGTGAGCAGGAAGGGATTGCTCCCATTCCCAGTGCTCTTGGGAGGCTCTGAGTCTGACTAGCTCCAAGGCCAGTGGGGACAAGGTGGCTTTAGCATGACACCTATGGCACTACCCAGACAAGTCTCTGGCTCCTCTGTAAGGCCTAAAGCTCAAGCCAACCAGAAAAGTCTTATGTCCAAGAATAACTGAGACCAGCCTCTAACTCTTAGGACCATTCTACCCTGGTCTAGGCACAAAGACAGGAGGTACAGTGTCTTCAGGTCGATACACTTGGCAATTCATGTAAAGAAACTGGAGCCTCTCTTGGGCCTCTGCCATGCTCCCATAGCATCCCAAACTTTTCACACTCAACGCACTTTATTTTGATTACCTGCTTATGTGTCCATTTTCCCCGTGAGACTCTAAGTTCTAGGAAGGCAGGGAATGTGCCTGTCTTGTTCACTGCAATATTCCCAGCTCCTAGCCCGGTGCCTGTCTCATGGTAAGAGCTTCATAAATATTCATTGAATGGACAAGTGATTAAATGTAAAGGTTATCTCATAAGCGAATAAGCAATACTTGCTACCTACTCCATGGGAAAGTGCTGAGCCATGAGTTGCTATGCTTATTATAAGAACTCTCCCATTATAGACTAAACACAGGCTTATTTGGGTTAAAAAAAAAAAAGATGCCTATTTTTCTGACAGTTTGTTGTTTTCTTCTAAAGTCCATATAATTTTTAATAAAAGCGAACAAAACCAAACAGTGGTTTCAGTGTTTGGGGTTGTTTATAAATACACTAATACTGAAGGCCCACGGAGCCAGCCCTGTTAATAACACGGGCCTGGCTGGCTGCAGTCCTGGTCACTGCTCCTAGGAGTCTCCATAGCAGCAGGGGAAGGTCAAAGCACTGGGAGAGGGCTATTTATTACCAACAGGAAATGTGGAAAACACCCTTCCCTTTAATCTTCAAATTACCTCAAGGAAAACAGAAAACAATGTTATCATCAGACATTATCCACAGAGAAAACAGAGCCTTCTGTGGATGCTCAAACCCTACTTCTAAAGCCTCATATTTTATGATTACATCAAAACACTTAAAGTGTTTCTAAGAGCTCTTTCAGCAATACTCACAACAAGCACAAAAATAAATGTTATAACATTATCTCCTTATTAGAGATAAGAAAAACTGGTCTGGATTCTACGTAATTTCTTCCATACCCACAGAAATGGGTGAGAACCTACAGATGCTGCCTTCCAGCCCACAAGGCTGGTACCACTGCCCTCTGCCTTACCTCCAAAGACAGTCACAACAGGTCCTGAAAACACCCAAGATTCCTGCATTAGTATCAGAGCAGAGATCTGTATCTGTGTTTTTTGCATCATGCTCCTGGTCCCAAGATCCCCAAGGACATCACAGAAATAAATCAGGGGCCTGGCAATGGCAATTTGTTAAAAATTAAAAATTATAACCATTAGTAAACCAAAAAATGAGGAGCAGTAATTCTTTGCTTTACATTAGTACATTTTGTTATAAGTGCCTTTATAAATGATAAAGTACTAATTTTTGTTCTGGAACTAAGTATGACTCTTTTGTGCAGGATATAAATCTTGCTATTCTCAGGAGCAAGGGCCAATGACTAAACACTCATGGAGACCTAGCTTCATACCAGGCAGGCACTTTATATTCTAAACACGTCACAGGCATTATATTATCTAGTTGTCACAGTAACGCTAGCAGGTTACCACTATTGTTGTCTCTATTTTATAGATGAAGAAACTGAGGCCCAGAGCTTTAGAGTCTCCCCAAGTTTACACAGCTAGAGGGAGATTGAGACGGGTTTCTTTGACTGCAGAGCTCATGCTTGCAATCATTTTGCTGTATTGTCTCCAAAAGAGAAAGACATTATGCCACTATGGCTAGGTTTAATTTTCTGTAGTTTAGGGAGATTGAAGGAATCCCAAATCCCAGAAAAATCAGTCAGCTAAAGTCACTCAGAAATATTTCTGGTCATTTAGGTGTCCTCTAAGCACAAGGCCAAAAATAACAGTGATTTAAATGACACTGGAGTAGAAATACAGGTCACATCCAATTACAATGGATCTCAAGGGAGCATCCAAGCTCTTATTGTGTCCTGGAACTTTTTATACTAAATATTGCTTTCCCCAACTACTAGAGGTCTCACTGATCCTCCTTCCTTTTCTCCAAATTCTGGTACTTGCCTGTACATCACAGCTGAACCCTTGATTATACACTGTATTTTACTGTTCACATTTTTTCATGTATGCTAGTCTTTGTCTCCTCAACTAGATTTTAAATTCCTTGAGAATAGAAACTGGGCTTCCAATCTATTGTGTATTTACAATGTGCACAAACTGGGTGCCTACTGAGCATGTAGAGAGTCCTCAGTATAACTCACGTATGGATTTGTTTAAATAATACAGGCCAAAAGCCTTTTTCTGTAAAGGACTAGATAGTAAATATTTTAGGCTTTGCAGATCACATGGTCTCTGTTGCAACTACTCAACTCTGCTGTTGCAAGGTGCAAACAGCCATAGACAATCCAGTGAGCATGGCTGTGTTCAAACAAAATTTTATTTACACGACAGGCAGAGGGCCAGATTTAGCCTGTGAGCTGTAATTTGTCAACCCAATATAGAATATTTATGATAGGCTTGAGGGACCGGGTAAGGAAATATTCTTAAATCTCAGCATTATAGAAGTAGATACTATACCTCCCCTTCATCCCTCTACCCCCTAGTCCCCACTATTAGAGTTCTAGCTCCTGACCAAGCCAAGTATTTTTCCAAAGCCTCTCATCTTGGACTTAAGGTTAGTTTAGCACAATATTTTGCAGTTCAATTACCTTTGGGGCTTCATACATCAGTTTAAAAAGAGAAAAATCAATGACAAGGTGAAAAGGTAACATAGTAGGTTGTAAGAACAATAAGTAATTACAAAATTCTTCAAATGCATTCCACCAAGGAGGCTCTGACACTCTTTCCCAACTGCTTCTTACAGACTGCCATGCAAATCATCACAGGTGATTTGAAATACTCATTTCACCTGGATTAGCAATCTACAGCGAGAGCCCATCCACCCTGGCAGGAAGCCACCTACAGGATGGCAAGGGGAAACATTCCTTTCTCCCCACAACAACAGCTTTCCTTCGAGCATGAGGGAACACAACAAATGGAAGAAGAAAGGCTTTTCGGCCCTTAGTTTTGATTTAACGTTAAAAAGTCTTTAATGGGCTGCTTTCCTGACCTAATTTCAATGTGAGATGTTTCCCTAAACATATTGTTCAGTATTGTTTCTGGGCTTTTCTACATGTTTGTAAAGATTTGATACGCATTTGATATGAACCGAGGTAGCTTAATAGAGAACCACAGAATCCGTAGCTGCGTAGCACTCTTCTAATTCAATCTCTTTATTACACAGAGAAGTGAAGTGACTTGCCCAGAACTGTGGGTTCTTTGCTCAAAGCAGATAATCATTCGGGTCATCCCTCTATGACCTTAGCGCTATGATAATGAATCAGCTAGTGCACACCTAGTTAATGGGAAAGGCAATCTGGTGACCACCCTCAACACTCCTCCATGTCCCAGGACAAGGCTCCTGTATGTGAAATCAGCCACATCCAATATCATCTTCCTCAATAATGTGACACAGAGCTGCCTGTGTTTTCAGAGGCATGGCCAGCAACTTCCATTGTCCTTTCCATGGTACACTGAGAATAAAACAGAGATTTGTCTTCTGCAGTTTCTACTTCCTCCTTTTTCCCTTTCTTTTTTTTTTTTTTTTTTTTTGAGACTCAGTTTCGCTCTTATCTCCCAGGCCGGAGTGCAGTGGTGCAATCTTGGTTCCCTGCAACATCTGCCTCCCGGGTTCAAGTGATTCTCCTGCCTCAGCCTCCCGAGTAGCTGGGATTACAGACGCCTGCCACCACGCCCAGCTAATTTTTTTGTATTTTTAGTAGAGACAGGGTTTTGCTATGTTGGCCAGGCTGGTCTCGAACTCCTGACGTCAGGTGATCCGCTCATCTCGGCCTCCCAAAGTGCTGAGATTACAGGCGTGAGCCACCGTGCCCGACCTCTACTTCCTCTTTCTTAACATCTTTTTCTCCCTGTTGATAATCAAATGACTGATTACTTTGAGACTCGTGGACGTTGGGTAGCACTATCAGGTCTTTGCATTTTAAGCCAATGATCTCTTCATGTGGAATTAAAGGTGCTTCCTCATATCTTAGGGTGATGCCCAGAAATACAAAGAAGCAAATCAAAAGGTGTAGCTATTGTAGAGATCCTCTAGACCCACTGAGCTTTCACCTGACTCCTGACAGTGACAGTAAATTAATAGATTTCATGGGACTGGCAGAGAGAAGCAAAGAGAGTGGTCAATTCAAGAGTGATCTCTCCACTCCAAAAAGCTCTAATTACCCCAGTCCCCCTCCAGGTCAAGTTAAGAGAGGTCTAGTCCAGGGAGCTATAAGGCCCAGACTGGAGAATTTCTGACTTTTTCAAAGGTACAGGTTACCTCTTACCCTAGCAAAAGCCCCCCCTGGTAGATGTCTGCCTTCCCCACATTCCCCAGTCTTCACCCCATTATCTGCCCCTTCTCATTCTGCTCTGGCTCTCAAACAATTGTTTCAAATCTTAACCTTTTGTATAACCCTGCAGAACAAAGAGCTATGTCTCCTATATTTTATCTTCCTCTGTGAAGTTTCTGATAAATATGTTTTAACTTGCATCCTTTAGCGTATAAAAATATTGGGAATGTGCTGCCCTGGGAATTAACATATTCTTTGTCACTTATGCAGAATTTTTTTGATTTGAACACTAATTGGGTAATTGGATTAAAAGTATCGCTTCTGGGCTTCTATTAGAAAGAATAATACTGGTCATGAAACTAATAATAATGATGATGAAGATAGTGATACTCTTACTACTACTAATTGTAATAGTTTTTTGGGTTTTTTTTCTATTTGCAGTACATTGTACAGATTGCAAAGCTTTTTCTGGTACATTTTCTCACTTGATCTCATTTACCCAGTGAAATTGGTAGAGCAAATATTATGTTCCCCAGGGTATAGGTGAGGTCATTTGTTGAAGGTCACGTAGATAGAAAGAGGTGAAACTAGTTTCCCTTTCCAGGAGGGGGTGCCCTTCCTACTGTGCTCTGCTGCTTAAAACATAAATGAACCATGCATTGAAAACAACTGATAACACACTGCTTCAAACTGTTCTCCTCCACAGGGAGAGAGAGTTAATTGTTCACTTCTATCATCCTTTGGAATAAAATTCCTAGCAAAAAAAGGGCAACTCATACAGATGGCAAAAGCATAGCATCAGAGGCTAAGTCATCTCAGAATCACAAATTCTTAGGGGCATCCTGAAAGCTCCTCTCTTCCTCTCCATTCTAACATATTCTACTACAGGACAAATGCCAGACTTAGAGGGTATTTACACAACAAAGAAAAGAGTACTAATAAAGCAGACTGTGTATTTGTGTTTTAAAATTGTGATGATATAGTCAATCTATATTTGTATGCAAACATTCATTCATGCCTACAAAACCAGTTTTCAGTTATATTCTGATTTTCAAAGAATCTAAACATACTGTCTTCTTACAATTACCTTAATTGATTAGATGCTGAATTTTGTCTTACTCAGTCATTGCCATGGTATAAAAATTCCAGACCCAAACATTATTTTTTTATCATTCTACAAACTTGTTTTAAATTGCAGTATCCAACTTTGTAAAACCAAGTGTGAGCATATGTTTAATCTCATAATGACAATTATAATATAATCATGAAACTCGAAGTCACCAATATTTGTCCAAGGTATCATCATGAGGCTTATGGAAACACAGTGGAAGTACGCCAGCACTCTGGGCGCCAACAGAAATGGAAGTTACACGGATTAAAAAAGAATTTGCCTATTCGAAATGGTCTTTTACTAATATCGAGCCTGCAACTTAGTATATTTGGTTAAGTGATGATGACCTGGTTTTACAAACACAGATTATTCAAATAGAAAGAAGGCAGAAGGCTGGCGTCATCCTAGAAGGTCAGAGCTTTAGGCCTTTGTGGGGAGGAAAAAAGAATAAAAAATAAATAAATCTCTGTGGGCCAGGGAGATGAACAATATGGCAATGCTGAAGTCATTGCAACATTATTTATCTTTTTTCTCTGAGTATGATTTCTAATCTTCAAGAGTTTTTTGTTTGAAAGTTAAAAAACCAAAAACCTTTCCATGTTTTTCTATCTCCCTTAGAATATAAAATCTGAGAGAACAGGACTTGCTATTGCACGTTTTTTTATCCCAACTTGGATTTCATTATTTTATAAATCATGAGCTCTTTAAAAAATGCTGACATTTAATGAGTAAATTCAACTAACTCAGGGTTTAGTTCAAAAGAATAAGCATTTATTGAATCTCTATTATGTACAAGGCATTGGACCAAGTGCTAGGGAGACTACGTGGTGATAAGCACATAAAAAATAACATCTCCATCCTGAGCAACGTAGTGAGACCCCATCACTACAAAACATAAAAAGTAACATCTCCATCCTGAGCAACATAGTGAGACCCCATCACTACAAAACATGAAAAATAACATCTCCATCCTGAGCAACGTAGTGAGACCCCATCACTACAAAATATAAAAAACATTGGCCGGGCATGGTGGCACCAGCCTGTGGTCCCAGCTACCTGGGAGGCTGGGGTGGGAGGAGTGCTTGAACCCAGGAGGTCAAGTCTGCAGTGAGCTGTGATTGTGCCACTGCACTCCAGCCTGAGCGACAGAGAAAGACCCTGTCTCAAAAAATAAATAAATAAATAAATAAATAAGTAAAACTTTATGAAACATACTATTTCCTCCTTTTTGCTTATCTGTCAAGAAACTCAAAGCCCAATTTCTTGTTCAATTGCAATAATGTTTTCAGGCTAGATTTTCTATAACAATTCTCTTTTATTACAATGACTGTTTTTTTTTAGAATTGGAAAAAAATGTATATGTAACGTAGTAAATAAATAAGTCTAAGTCAGGATAAAGTGAGCTAAGTGCCACAAGAAAAATCGCAACAGAATGCAATGAGGATTCATAGGCTGAAAGGATTGTATGGGAGAAGACAGGAGGTGAGTTTTCCAGGAAAAGGTCATTCCAAGCTAAGAAGACAGATGGGCAAAGGTACAGAGATAGGAATGTGTAAGATACTTGGGAGAAAAGAGTTCAGATACAAGGAGGTTAGAACAGAAGATGGGTTGTTTCATTAACTCTAAACACACAAAAAATTAACTCTTCTCTACTAAGGGTCATATTAGCATGTTGTTCACATATGTGAAATTTTCCCCGTAAGCAAAGTAAGGGTATCTTCATCTTACTCATCAGTGAGATCAAAGACTGGAGAAGACATGACCATGTAATTTCAGCACAGACACAAGAAGCAATAATAAATCATGAAGAATTAATGAATTTCATCAAGTGAGCACTCCATAAATGCTTTGCAATTGTAGTCATACAGATCACTAAGACTTGTATACACTTTTGTTTTATGAACATTTAAGCTTTTACAATGGCCCCTATATTGCCTGTCTTCTCTAATGAGCTCAAAGCAATTCGTTCTTTGGAGGCCATGATCTATTCTTTACACTTTAAAGATGGAAAGACTGAAAAATTATGAGGACAATGATCTGTGTAAGGATCATGGAACTTAACAGACAAAAGAAAAACAATGCCTCATTATATGTACGAGGGAAATGCAAAGTAGAATCTGTGGGTTCATGCTGAAAAATCAAAATTAGAACAGCTAATCAAGTGAGAGAGTGTGACTAGTTCAAGAATTAATCACAAAATTCTCCATTGCCCATATTACAGATTAAACTTGTTTTTAGAAGCACATATGTGATTAAGAGCAAAGAGGTCAGTAACACTGGAAAAAGGTAGTGAACTAACATGGAAAGTTGTCTAGTCAGCTTTGTGTGGTTGCTCAGTTGCTGCAGCCCTATGTTTTTCAAACTACAGGTCACAATCCATTAGTTGGTCATGAAACCAATTTACAAAGTCACAAATAGCATTTTAAAAAATGTCTGTATACTTAGTATTGAAACATTTATTCTAGTTAATATCAGGTATAAATATATAAACATATGTTCTCAGTCAGACTGCAAATGACCCCAGCCTCAGTCAAAAAAAAGTTGTTTGAAAGCCATTGCTGTATTCTTCCCCACTGGGAAGTTAGGCTTGGGAGTCAATAGGACTGAGACTCCAAAATGCAGCTTAACCAAGAATTTCAGTACAATTGAAATTGTGACTGCAAAGATTATATTGCAACATATTATTATGAGAGGGTATGTGTGCCGTATCTATGATATTTCTATATCAAATAGGTAAGAATTTATGAATGTGAGTAGTAATGTCTGCACAGTTGTTCTAATATTTAATGCTAGATAAATGGTTTAGATCAACCATTCTCAACTTTTTAGTCTCAAGACTCCTTTACACTCTTAAAAATTATTTTTTTAATTACTTTTTATTTATTTTATTTTTGAGATGGAGTCTCGCTCTATCACCCAGGCTGGAGTGCAGTGGCAGGATCTCGGCTCACTGCAACCTCTGCCTCCCGGGTTCAAGCGATTCTCCTGCCTCAGCCTCCCGAGTATCCGGGATTACAGGTACCTGCCACCACTCCTGGCTAATTTTTGTATTTTTAGTAGAGACGGGGTTTCACCATGTTGGCCAGGCTGGTCTTGAACTACTGACCTTGTGATCCGCCCGCCTCAGCCTCCCAAAGTGCTGGGATTACAGGCAGGAGCCACCGCACCTGGCCCACTCTTAAAAATTATTAAGGACTCCCTCAGAGAACTTTTGTTTATGTGAGTTATACCCACCTATATTTACCATATTGGAAATTAAAAATAACTTTAAAGACCCCGGGCTATGTGTGTTTTGTTTGGAGTATATGAAGAAACTCTGGCCTCATATGTAGATAATGTAGTTGGAAAAGAGATGGATATTTTAATAGAGTTTTTCAGACAATTGTGGATATTCTTCTTGGATAATATACCAAAACTTGACAAGCTGGAGTTTCTCAAAGCTTAGCTGCAATGTACTATCTGAAATCCTATTAACTTTTCATACTGTTACATTAAAAATCCATTAGTCCACCTTGTCCTTGAATGGATCTTTTGCCTGTGCATGATTATGTAGCATGAGACATTGGTCTTTTGGAAAATACTGGACCACTGAGTTAAGCAGATCTTTGAGATATTGACACTTTCCATTATACAAGATTTGTTAAAATTGCGCTCATTAATATCATCACTGATCTCATCAGAAAAAAAAACATTAAGTACTGAGATGTCAAGCTCATGGCAGTAGATACACATTTTCTAAACTTTTAATTCTGGCTTGAAGGCTTAAAAATTATCATTGGCAGCAGTAATTGTCCCTTGTTTTCCTGAAAGTGACAGGCACACTTTATTTATTTTCAGAAAAATGTCTGTCAAGTACCTGTTTGAATAATCATAGTTTGCCCATCTTTCTTTCAAGTAAAAATGTTTTATGAAAATAAAAATAAAAACATGAATTCGGCCTACAACTCAAGCACAGAAGTATTTTCCTAGAGACAAATATGACACACTTCATTTTGCAGCAGACGTGCTTTATGCCTATTTCCTATTTTTTCATGCAGAATGTTAAAAAGAATTGTACCCAAGGATTAAGCTTCAATGAAATTAATAATTCTTACTGCTTATCAAGAACACCATCAGGTGACACTGGCTCTCTACCTTCTTCTTTTTTTTTTTTTCTTTTGTAACTGAGAGTGCAGATTAGTGACGCGTACTTTGACTAGCAATACAGTTTGGTGCCCCTGCCTTGATTGGGTTAAACCACCGGCGCTTTTAACCACCATTGTCTGCAAAACGTCACCACAGTGAACAAGTCAAATAAGTAAGTCTCAGCATTGTCATAAAAGGTTTTGTTTTTTTTTTGACCTTGCAGATCCCCTGAAAGGGTCTCAGAAACTCCCAAAGGGTTCCAGGACCACACCACACTTTGAGAACCACTGGGTGTTAGCGCATTCAGAAATCAATTCAGTTCTCTTTCTCTTCAGAGTTCTTGATGCTCGAGGCTTATTTATTGTGATAGATTTGATCACTGAAGCGCCAAAGAAAAGATATGCCAAGGGGTCGAACACATCCAAGAAGGAAATCCTACCGCACACACAGCTCAAAGGCTCGAGCGCGTAGAAAAACAGCTCTTGGAGAAAGAAACGGGATGCAGAGGGCAGGCCTGGGCTTGTCGTTGCCAGTGGCAACGATCCTCAGTGGGCGGGGCGCGGCCATCGATTAGTGAGGCCTTGCGTCTGTCGGCGGGCAGGAGGGTGGGGGTGACTGGAGCCGGAAGGCCTCCCGGGCCGTGTGGTCGCCGTGGGTTCTCGGTTGCGAGGCAGCTCGCTCGTTCTGCGATCTATTGAGAGTGGCTTCCAAGAGCCCCGTGCCTATGTCTGGGAGGGAGGGAAGATGGCAGCCGTGGCGGCAGGCGGCCTGGTGGGAAAGGGGCGCGACATCAGCCTAGCGGCCCTGCAGCGCCACGACCCCTATATCAACCGCATCGTGGACGTGGCCAGCCAGGTGGCTCTGTACACCTTCGGCCATCGGGCCAACGAGTGGGTGCGTGCGGACGCGGCGGAGCAGTGCAGCCCAGGGTTGGGGTGGAGGCGGGGGGCGTCAGACTCAGGACTTGAGGACCCGGTGAGGGGGAGGAGACGTTGACGCCCTGGAAGTGGGTGGATCTGGGGACTGAGGCCGAAGTTGTGGAGATGGGGTCTCGGGGGTTTGGGGGAAGGAAGGCGGATCTGTGGAGCTACCTGGAGTTGGGGAAAAGACTTAAATCTCTAACGTACCCAACGCTGGGAGACCAGACCGATCGGGTACGGCACCATAAGAGCCGAAGGAAAGGAAGGACCTGATACCTTATGGCCGGAAGACCGATGTGCTCGAGAAAGTAGAGCAGAGTTCTGTTACAGTGAATCTGTGGCTATGGGGGAGGCAGGGACAGCAGACGAATAAAAGTGCAGAGTTCTGATTTTGGAATGTCAGTCTTAGATGGGGCAAAGAGAAATCAAAACTTGATAGAAGGGGAGAAATCTGCAAGTTGTAAACTTAAGGGGAAACACCAAGAAAAGAGCCAACCTCGTCAAATAAAAGACAAAATGGGGCAGGGTCTAACACTTAGAAGGAAGCTGATGCTCTTGGGAAGATTATTACACGGCAGCACACCAAGTTCGATATTGGAGGTCATTTGGGAGCCAAATTATTTTAGTGCTCTTCTCAAAGCAGAGTCCCAGTAAATGGTAATGGAATGAAATTTCATTTTCCTCATAGTTAGAATGGGGTAGAAGCCTAGAACACTGGAATCCTGTTGCAGGGATTGCTGCTTGTAATTTTGTAACCCACCCACTCGAATGTAGAGACATGTAATTTTGTTTCTTTACTCATAATGAGTTTTGTCCAAATAATATTCATCATCCATTATGTATCACATACATGATATCCATCATTTTAAAATAAGTTACAAAACAGTATGGAGAACTTAGCCTTGATGAATGGATTTCAGATAAACTTTTTGTGTTCTTCAAGTCGGTTGTATAAACATCAAAACTTAATCTAGGAAAACATCCATGTTGAACAACTCTGTATTTTTTTTAACACCCACATTCATAAGCCTACTTATCTGCAGTATAGTTCAGCAGCCTGTAGTAAAAAACTCACCTGAAAATCATTAACATAAAAATAAAAAGACAAGCAAGAATGGGGTAGACAAACAGTTTTGCCCAAAGTTCTTAACGGAGGAAATTTGCCGGAATGGGGCAAAGAATTTAGGTCTGCTCTCCTAGTAGCCAAACACAAAAGGAGAACAGGAAGAGCTCTTTAATATTCGTTCTTCTGTAATAGAAAGTGTACCTCTTGATCAGGAGAAAGAGGTTATTTCCCCCTAGTTTCCAGGGGAATTTGTCACCTACTTTTTTTGTTTGTTTTTGTTTGTTTGTTTTTTCGAGGTGTCACCTTCGTTTTTACATAAAGAACATTGAGCAACATAGACAGTTTCCTCCATGGTAATTAAAAATATATAAAAAGATATTCTACATATGGCTATTTTGCTGCTCTGTAGAAAAATGCTAAAGGTATAATGTTATAATCCTGTAAAAGTAATTCCGTAGTAGAGAGATGAGGACCAGGGATGTATAGTTCTGTAAGTTGACTTGACACTGGGATTCGAGTCTGGAGAATCCCAAGAAACTGTCAGTATAAAGAGAGTAGAGCATTTCTCTTGAATAATAGTTGTTTCCTATAGGCTTTTGACCCTTATCAATGTGATAGATACCTTTTTAAGATAGTTACAGATGTTTATTAGATACCTAAAGCCTCATCAAAAAGCAGATGTGTCACAATGCATTAATTACAGGAGTTATGTTTTCCTGCTTGCTGGATATGTTGCCTTCAGACAGGGCATAATTCATTCAGGAAAAGGTCATTCTTTCAAAGTTCTAATCTTCAAGGCTGTGGTAGCCAGAAAAACAGAGAGACCTAGTTCAACTGCAGAGCAGTTGCTGGAGGCAAACTAATTATGACCACTGTCTCCATGTGCTGTCACTGTGGATGGGAGCCGTTTGAATGTAAACCTAATAAGAATATGAGAACATTGTTGAGAATAGAGGAGAAAGTATTTACAAGAAGGCAGGGGGGATCTTAAGGAGGGGAATTCTTATTGCCCTGAAAATGGATGAAGAATGACTTCAGCCTTTCAAAGGAGGAGAAATTAGGAAGGAAAGGTGTCTAGAAAATGAACTGCTTTAAAGAAGGATTAAGAAAGATTATGTGATGACTGGAATAGGAATTTTAGAGTTAGACCTACTCCCTGTTGCCAGGAAAGACTGCCCCCCGCCTCCAAAATATTAATACCTATGTGTCAATTGAAGACCATAACCCTGGTATTTTCCAGCTGTCAGTCCTTAGACCAGTGGCTCTCAGCTGGAGTTGATTTTGCCCCCAGGTGACATTTGGCAGTGTCTGGAGACGTTTTTGGTTGTCACACTGAAGGGAAGAGTGTTGTGACATCTATAGAGTAGAGGCCAGGGAATGCTGAGCCTGAAAACTGCCCTAAAGTGACTAACGTTGTGTTCCTAGCTAGTGGTTTTCTAAGTTTTTGGTGTATCCAAATAAGTCAGAGTTTTTTAAAAGTGAAAAATGCCAAACTAAAACCTCTGGATAATGAGACCCAGGCATTTCATATTGTTGAAAGCCTCATAGGTGACTCACGTGCTACATGCATGATGAAGAGAGATTTGGGAGGATAAGTTGAGACCTACTTTTTGATTATTTTAACTGAGAATAATCAAGTTAAAATAGAGATTGCGTTGAGCTAGTTTGTGTCAGACAGTGTGCAGAGTCCCCAAAATTTGCAAAACAGCACTATTTTATATTCCATTTTGGGTTTTTTAGTATTTTGAATTCTGAATTGCTTATTTCTTTAGCACTTGTTAGATTTTATAATACAGTATAATATTAAATCCTCAAATTGTACTTTTAAAATTTAAGCTAAAATACCCCAGGACTGGTAACTAATACTTTCACATAAAAGTCCTCCTTAAAGGATCTAAGGAACATCTAATCTTGTTTTAGCTATTCTCCACATCCCTAACCCTGGACTTTGCTCAGAAAGAAAAAAAAAATCTGGTTGCCCTTGGATAACTATGGAGGGGCCAGGAAAATGCGTGAATTTGGGCAGCTGTAATAGAACAGAAATGTATATTTTCAAAGTCTCTTTTATCCAGGTGTCATAGAGCGCCTGACGTTTTTTCATCAAAAGATCTGAGTAGTGTAAGCTGATTATCTCTCTTTTTTTTTTTTTTTTGAGACGAAGTCTCGCTCTTGTTCCCCAGGCTGGAGTGCAATGGCGTGACCATGGCTCACTGCAACCTCTGCCTCCTGGGTTCAAGCTATTCTCCTGCCTCAGCCTCCAGAGTATCCAGGATTACAGGCGCCTGCCACCACTCCTGGCTAATTTTTGCATTTTTAGTAGAGACGGGGTTTCACCATGTTGGCCAGGCTGGTCTTGAACTCCTGACCTCAGGTGATCCACCCGCCTCGGCCTCCCAAAGTGCTGGGGTTACAGGCGTGAGCCCCTGTGCCCGGCCTGGTTATCTCTTTTCAATGGAGAAACTGAGACATATAATAATAAACTAATTAGCCCAGCATGATCTGGCAAGAACCCCACTACAGGTCCCAGGTTGTGATTACTGAAACACAACTCCTTCCTATGAACAAACTCATATTCTTTGTGTGTAATGCTAAATAAAAATCTTAGTTTTAAGAATTACTTGTTATAAGTTAGAGATTAATTTTAGGAGAAGCATGCCTTTTACATTTTTGACCTTGGAATTTAAAAACTAAAATGTGGCATTAAAGGTTTTTTTTTTTTAATTAAGAAAAGAGAATTTCTGTTACATCAAGGAAGAAAGGAAACAAGTCAGAAGCTATTTAGTTTTATGTGTGCTGATATATATAGATATCCTTATTCAGATCTCTAAGATGAAACAGTCCAAGGTCAGATACTGGAAGACCAGGAGAGTGTTTTGATCTTGTGGGGAGTGATCCTGACTACATAGAGGTTCTGCAAAGTCCTAGTTCTATCACCTGTATCTTGGCTCAGTTTCCTAACAATGTAATGGATAATACCAAATACTTTCTACAAATTTATTTTTAAATGCTTTGTGGACTTGTGAATACTTGCTGACTGAATCAGTTAAACTTTAGGGACAGCCAAAAATTTGTATACTGTTCAGGTAGCATTTACTGTACTGTAGGGGCCATTTTCCTGATTAATACTTTGGTGGTTTGGGTGTAAGTAATTCTTAGTGCTTCAGGTACACTCAGGATATACATTTGTCAGCAGATAGGAATTAACCATGTTTGTTTTCAAAGAAAGATAAGTAATGTTTCTGTATATATATTTTTTCATTTTGACTTGGATATTTTTCAAAGTACAGGGGCAAACGAGCCACATTTCAGAAATAAGGATATGTTTCACAGTATGTTGTGGTGATTTATACAAACTTCATAGTGAATCTAGTTTAAGGATGAACTCCCTGACTTACCTATGCTTTTATGTTAGGGAAAAAACTGGCTAAAGTTGTTTTAATTGTTATTTATTTATTTATTTATAAGAAACAGGGTCTCCCTCTGTTGCCCAGGCTGGAATGCAGAGGTACAATCATAGCTCACTGTAGCCTCAAACTCCTGGGCTGAAGCAATCCTCCCTCCTCAGCCTCCTGAGTAGCTGAGACTACCGGCATGTGCCACCACACCTGGCTAATTAAAAAAATTTTTGTTTTGTAGAGGCAAGGTCTCACTATGTTGCCCAGGCTGGTCTCAAACTGAACTCCTGGCCACAAGCGATCCTCCTGCCTGCCTCAGCCTCCCAGAGTGCTGGGATTACAGACATGAGCCACTGTGCCTGGTCTAAATTCTTTATTTATAATTTCATATTCCATAATAATAAACATCTTGAGATTAAATATTTTGTTACTAGGTAATGATTTTTTATAGCCATTTACTCTTGATAATAGCTTGATATGATTTGTGCCATAATGGATTTTGTTTTCAGGACTTGTAATATAATTTCATGGGCAGAGAGTATGTTGTTGAACTAAGGCAGTGAGTGGCTCTCAAACTAGCATACATCAGAATCACCTGGACAGTTTAATAAAACCCAGATTGCTGAGCACCATCCCCAGAGTTTCTGATTCAGTAGGTTTGGGCAGGAGCCCAAGAGCTTGCATTTCTAATAAGTTCCCAGGTGACGCTGATGCCGCTGATCTGGGGATAACACTTTGAGACCCACTGAACTAAAGTGAATGAGAAATTTGCTGAAATTGCCTGAGCATGTGAAAGGATCATGCCTTGTGTGCCTTTTAAAAACTGCTGTTTTGACATTACGCTTTTTTTAAAAGGGCGTATTTTTCACCAGAATTACAGAGTACTTAAATTTTGAATGATTATGGTGATGAATATTAATAATAAAATATCAGGGGTTTAAATAGAATGCTGAAATTAAACCATGTAAATTGCAAAAGTACATTTTAAATTCTGAATTACAGTAGGTCTGGTTCGTGGTTAGTCAAACACCTGGATACTTACATGTGTGTTTTTTAGTATGCATTATATGGATGAATATTATAATGGCCTAGCTTCCTGCCTTTGGAGAAATGGAAAAGAAATGTGAAGTGACCTAGTTAAACCATCATTTTAACTTTACCACCTCTCCCAGATTTTCTCAGGCAGATTTCTTGAGTCCTAACTTGGTAATACTTGTGTAACTTTACTTCAGTGATCTCGGGTCAGACCTTGACTGTAAATATACTACACTAAGTAGGTGATTGATTCATCTGAGAACTCTGTGGCATCATTGCCCTCTCTGTCTAGCAGTCAAAGTAAAGTTATTGACAGATCATCTGCTCTCCTAAGTCACTGGATATGGCAGGAGAAAATGAACCCAGAAAACAAAATGAAGGATAGTGAAATGCAGACACCAGTGATGTCTGCAGCTTTCTCTATACCCAGTGTGGTGGAAGGAGAAAAAGGCAGCACTCTTCTTTCTAATTAAATCCGCATAGCACACTTATTTTCTCATTGTTTCAGCTAAGGGTATGCTGCTATCCCTGTATTTGGTAAAGAGAGATAATGATGATTTGTTTTATAAATGACAAAAGAAAGACTGCTTCCTGCTGCCTAATCTGCAGAGGCACAATGATGACATAGAACTTGCTTTCTCCTTTTCCTGAGAATAACTCCTCATGTTGGGTATATTTGGCCCATTGAAGTTATATATAATTCCTATTCTATGAGAATTTGTTTTATACCTTTGTGAATTGAAGAGAACATACATGTCTTGTGTGTTTTGTTTTTATTGTTTAGGAGAAAACTGATGTGGAAGGAACCTTATTTGTTTATACAAGGTAAGAGTGTTTCACTTTTATAAAGAAACTAATCTTCAAAATAATATTTTAGCTCCGTTGTGTCACTCTTCTTCAAGTGCATGCAGTTTTATTTCAAAAAGAAGTAAAAGAATTAAATCTCAGTTTTGAAATTATTAGTTGACACGAAGAAGGGAATACCAAATAATGTCACCTGGTATATCGTGATGAATACTAATTTCAGAATATAATTTAAACTTCAATGTAGATGAACTTAAATCATTGACTGGGCACTGTTTAAAATAGATTAAATATTCTTTGATTCAAGTGAATGGCACAAAGTTCTTGAATATAATGCATTGGCAAGGAGCTAGAAGAACACTATCAGAAATACTAGATTGTTCAGTTAATATTTGGAAAAGGGTTTCATTGATCATTTTTCTTTTTTTTGAGATGGAGTCTCGCTCTGTCACCAAGGCTGGAGTGCAGTGGCACGATCACAGCTCTTGGCTTGCTGCAACCTCTGCCTCCTGAGTTCAAGTGATTCTCCTGCCTCAGCCTTCTGAGTAGCTGGGATTACAGGCATGCGCCACCACGCCCAGCTAATTTTTAGTAGCAACGGAGGTTTCACCATGTTGGTCAGGCTGGTCTCAAACTCCTGACCTCGTGATCCACCCGCCTTGGCCTCCTAAAGTGCTGGGATTACAGGCGTGAGCCACCGCACCTGGCTGTTGATCACTTTTCTCCCACCCCTGACTCTTTAAAAAAGCATGATCCAAAATTGAAGATGTCTTTCAGTCCTCCATTGTCTAGTCAATAGAATATGTTTCAGGATAGATTTAATAAACTCATGTTTTTAGTCATTTCTTGTTATCAGATATTAATATCAAATTACGAGTGCATATAGAGACATACATTATGTATATTGGCTCAATAAATAAACTTTTCATTCACATAAACATTCACATAAAATGTCATAGCCAAAGGTCATCACCTTCAATGAGGGTACAAAGATGAAATTAAAAGACCTAATATAAACCTTTCTAGGGGTATCTGTTTCACTGGGGAGACAGGAAATACACACACACAAGTGTATTTTCTTTCCACATATATTCATGTTTATGGTAAGCCACAATACAGGATAGAGTATCCTAAGTGCCAGTGGATAGATTCTGAGCAATGAATGGGCTGCTGTGATCATGGAAGGCTTTATCGCAAGCTTGTCCAACCCACGGCCCATAGGACACGTGGCCCAAGATGGCTTTGAATGTAGCCTGACAGAAATTCGTAAACTTCTTTAAAACATTAGAAGAGTTTGTTGTTTTTTTTTTTTTTTTTTTTTTTTTTTTTTTTTTTTTTTAGCTCATCAGCTATTATTAGTGTATTTTATGTGTGGCCCAAGACAATTCTTCCCTTTCCAAGGTGTCCCAGGAAGGCCAAAAGATTGGACACCCCTGCTTTATAGAGTGATGTGTCTTGAATTGGGCCTCAGGAATATGGTGGAACTTAGCTTGCATAGAGGAGAGGGAAGGCAGTCTCAACAGGAAGAATGGCAAAAGCAGGGGCGGAGAACCTGGTGTGTTAAAGGGACAGTGAGGGAGATGTGGTGCAGAGGGCTTATACTGGTTTATAGTAGTTAGCAAGTGTAAAGAGATTTGCTAGCTTGGAATGGCAGACTCTGGATTTTGAGATTATTTTCTTAGCAGTAGGAAGTTATTGAAGGCTTATGAACAGGAGAGTAATAGAGAAAATGTATGGGGAAAGTCAGTGTATTCACTTCATGGGGACGCACTAGTTCTGGAAGAAATTGGAGTCAGGACAGTGAGAAGATTATTGCAGTGGGGTAGATATGAAATGATGAGAGTTGGGATTAGAATAATAGAAATTGAAATGGAAAGGGTATTGCAATGGTGAAATTTTAAAAATGACAATATTTTGAACATGGAAGATTGAGAATGACAGAAGCATTGGTGGAAAAGAAAGACAGGAGGTCAAGAATGTGGCTTGAGGATCAGCCCTCATTTTACTTTGAAGTAATGATTTGGAACTGGTAGCAGGACACTTGGGTGGAGGTGGCCAGCCCCTCAGAGTAAGGGCAGGGCTGGAGATGGTTTAGAGTTGTCTGAAGTAATTTGGTAGTTGAAACCATGAAATAAAAGCTGTTCCCTGAAGGAGTGAGTATAAAGAGGAACCGATGAGGGTTTATGGTTAGGTTTGAGGGCCAGCAAGGATACAGATGAGTCAGCTGGAAAGATAAAAGCAGGACTAGAACAGCACAGAGAGGCCCATTTGGGGCAAAGTGTGGGCATGATGGAGGTCTGTGTATGCTGGGCAGGAGGGAGCTCAGCTGCAGGGGAGGAAGGTCTGTTCCAGTGGAGGCAACAATGGGAGGTGGAAGGAAGGAATGGGAGGCAAGGCCAGCACACTTGGTGACAAGGAGGTCAGGTTCTTCACAGTCTCAGAAGAGCAGTGGAGTACCCAAGAACCGTTGGTATATGAGTCTACATTATGCTCCCAAACATCCAGAGCACCAGAGCATGCCCCCAGGCAAGTTTATTGGGTAGAGTATGAGCACTCTTGAGGATTCTGAAGTTTACAACAAAAGCCATAGGGTTGCACTGTACTATGTGCCATGCACACAGGGTGCGTTCTCACTCATCTCTCACAACACGCATTATGATTCTTTGGAGAAGTGACAGAAAAGATGTATTAGTAAGTATTAATGATTGATTTGGGGAATTTTTAGTAGGGTTTTTTTTTAACTATGGAAGAGGAACAAATCATACAAATATTTTCTTTTGTACATCCAGACCAAATATAAGTTTGTATTTTCAAGGATTTCTTACTATACTCTAAGTCTCTAATGGAACTCTCAATTAAACAAAACATTAAATTGAGAAAAAAATCCTTTGCTGTTTTTTAGTCTTTTCTCCAAATCTAACTCCTCAAGAATGGGATGCCTCCCTTATCCCCTGCAAAACAAAAACCTCCCAGATCCTAGAATGTTGAAGGCTTTCTTCAGTAGCGAATTACAAAAAGCATGTAAAACTCATGGTGGGTGGGGGGTGGGAGGCTTGTTACAGGGAATGGAGCTGGCAGTGATTTATTTTGACTTCTCTTACAGAAGTTGCTTTAGAGCAGTTGGCACATTTATCCCCTGGGCCTATTTTCTAAATTATGAGATGCTATAGTAGCTGTACTATTAAAGAGGTGAGATCCTGTTGTGATAATGAAATACATGCAGAATCAAATTCTCATTCTTGTATGAAAACACTTAATCCCATTTAAAAAATCATTTATTTCCTCCCATGCCTTCCTTTCTGTAATAGAGAGTTCATAGAGACACCCACTGGTGATTTCTGAACTTGACAGTTCCAGAAGACCCCTAACAGAGCTCTTTGGGAGTACATTTTCATTCTTCCTCTGAATTTAAGTTGAAGTGATGATCATGATTATTTCTGGTATTGATTGTATGCTTACCACCACTTTACCCCTTTGTAAAATAAGCTAGGCAAGGATTGCCTCCCATCAATTTTAAAATTGGAGGTTTCAGAAGAAAATCCTGGTAGTGGTTATGTAGCTGTGTTCCTTGATCAGTATCAAATAGAGGTAAAATAAAACTAAGACATAAACAACTTGTCTTCCTGTTGCTCATAACATTTCTGTGGGTTTGTTAATAACAGCCCTAGCACCCTCATTTAAAGTAAATAAATGAATTCTGCTTGCTTCAGCTTCAGTGTGTAAGTATGTGGTGTTTCATTTGTCACCGGAAGTTGCGCAGTTGAATTACTATATGGCTGTCACCCAAGGGTAGATGAATGCACATGTAGTTGTTAGAGTTTATACTCAGTATAATTTGGATTCTTTCTGCCTGGCAGAGCAGGCATTCAAGGTTTATTGAGTGAAATGAAAATAAAACATCACTAAATGTCACATTTTTATAGAGAAAAACTTATAGTGGTTTATCTGTGAAGCTGTTTGCTTTGCATTGAAGAAAACAAAGTATCTGCCCTTTGCACTGTTATGTAAACTTCTAGTTCAGGCTGTGTCCTCACAAGTTCATTGTTCAGAGTTGCTTCATATCACTAAGAGATTTTGCAGGCTTCAATTTCAGACTAACACTTAAAATTTTCTATGAAAATTTTCTTCATATAATTGTGATGTACACTCTAATATTAACTACCAAGATTGTTTAAAATATCTTTAATTAATTTAACTTTTAAAAAGTATTCTTTAAAAGTCAGTAATGTTTTAAAAAGTAGTTACTCTGCCTTAAAGGAATTTACAACGTTAGGTTAAGAAATAAACAACATCTGTATACACACACACACACACACACACACACACACCACAAATGAAGTATGACTCAATTTTACCAAATGAATCATCATGCCAGTGCTGCTGCATTACATGGGAATTAGTCCATAATGATGCCAGTGGTGAAGAAGTACGTGTACAGGCTGCTTATATAAAGCTGCATATACAAACAAAGGTTGAGAGACACATCAGAATGTACTTATACTGAAAATATAGCATACTAAGCAATTTGTCTATTGATTTCCCCCTGACTCCTTGTGATTTTTAGGTCTGCTTCTCCAAAGCATGGATTCACCATTATGAATAGGCTGAGCATGGAAAATAGGACAGAACCTATTACTAAAGACTTGGATTTCCAACTCCAGGACCCTTTCCTTCTCTACAGAAATGCCAGATGTGAGTCTTTCTTACTACAGTGGGTTGTTTTACTTCTGAAGTTTGGCCAAGTGTTTAAAATTGTACAGTGTTTGCCATTGTGTTTGCATTTGGTATCAGTGGCTATGGGGGGTGTCAGCATTTTAACAAATGTTAATGTTTAGGAAATGCATGCCCTAATGATGGAATAGATTCTTCCTTGGAAGAGTTTAAGTGAATATAAATATGATGATATAAACCTAAACCCTGTCTTTTGAAGCTTTATGGATTTGTAGTGTGAACCCATTGCTGATCTTAAGCCTGAGCAGGGCTGGGTGAGGCAAGTTCTTAGTGAGGAGACTGCAGAGACACACACATAGGTGGCTCCCTGAACGAAGAATTAACGAGTCTGCTATGGCACTTTTTCTTTATGTATCACTTTTGGCCGAGTGAGCTGACAAAGTGTTTGAGGGCCTGTATTGTAGGAGTGCCATCTTCTGAATACAAGTAAATAAAAAATCAAAGTCCAAAAAGTTTCTTTCAGTCATTAAGAATTTAATAACCCTTTGTAATGTGGAAGTCGTAGTAGGTAACTAAATAGTCCTTGTCAGATTTGAAATGAAGTAGCCATCGCCTTTCTCATACTACATTTTACTCTCGTATCGTTTCTGACCACTTGTGTTGCACTGCTGGTCAGCCCAGAGGAAGATTGCTGAAAATATGCCAGTTGCAGGGACATCTCTACACACAGAAAACAAGAACATAATACTCAATATATAAATACATATGTGTGCACACACATGCACCTTATGCTTTGTGGACAGCTTTCATAAAGACCTTGCAGTGAAGAAATGTTTTCTGTATATTTTTCATCCTACTCTTTGAACTCAAGATACATGAATTTGCCTACCATATACTATTCAGTGTAATTTTAATGAGTATAATGTAAATAATATTTGACATTTTAACCCCAATGCATCATTAAGATGCATTAAAATGATGCTGTATATAATTGTCATAATAGGTGGTTATCCTATTATTTAGAGAATAAATTTTTATGAGAGAAAAAAATAAAGCTATTGAAACTATAATATGACTTACTAATGGCAGGTCCTGTGAAATGAAAAGTTTTGCAATATAGAAAAATATTGTGTTTTCTCCTCATGTTTCTTTGCCGAAAGGTACACTTTATCAATTGTAGTTTATTACTAAAGACTTGGAATTCCAACTCCAGGACCCTTTCCTTCTCTACAGAAATGCCAGTTTGAATTGTTTATAGTTTGAATTGTTTTGTGTGCTTATAGTTATGTCAGGGTTTTTTTTGAGATTATTAGATTTTATGTCAAATTAATATATAATTTAAGTCCTAATAAAATAACTACAAAGTTACCTGTAATCATCACTTTTGGTTGCTTTTATTTTGGATAAATACATGGTCTGATCAGTTATAGGTAATATTTTATTTTAAATTCTTATTATAGATCACATATTAACTACTATACCAAAAATATAAAAACACAAACTCTCTTTAATGCATCAATTTAAAAAATAACCTTCTTAAGTCCCACAGGGTTTATCTGATAGAAAATACTATTTAGATCTAATAAACATACACCTTGGTTCTAAGCGTGTGCTGTCCACTATGATAGTCACTAACTACTGTGGCCGTTTAGTACCTGAAGTGTGGCTAGTCTAAACGGAGCTGCACTGTGAGTGTCCAACAGGCACCAACTGTCAGACAGTGCAAAAAAAAAAGGAAAAAACCTCAATTATTAATTATTTTATATTAACATGTTGAAATGACAATATTTTGGATAAATTGGGCAAAATAAAATATATTATTAATTTCACTTGCTTCTTTGTATTTTTTAATTTAAAATAACAGATGTGGCTCACGTTCGTGGTTCCCCTCATATTTCTATTGAATGGCACTGTTCTATTTTAATTTGTTTTTCATATTTTATTTTATGTTTCCGTATTTTATAATGATTTTCATTTATTTTACCATGTTTAATAATCACAATTTTGTGGAGTAGACATTTTCATTGCCATTTTGCAGATGAGGAAACTGAGACTCCAGTGAGGAGGCAGACTGTGTAAAAACCCACAGATTCTGATTTCACTTCCGTTGCTTTTTCCACACCACCTGTACTGCTCTACTATTAAACATGGATGCAAATTAAAGGTAGCCTTTGGGATGCATATTAAAATGTTTCTAATGAATTTCCATACAAAAGAAATAGAATCAGTTGAACAACAAAGAGTGAAAGGGAATGGATCTATTTACTTTTCTGGATTCATTTTGCCTTTTTTTTTTTTTTGTCCTTTCTATCTGATACTGATTGCCTTTGCACCCAGAGTCATTTGGTTTTATGTTGTTTGCAAAAGCCTTTTCAATCCCGGGCATCAAAGGTACACAGAAGGGTTTACCACAGGTGCTGTCAGAGTGTCAGATACCTCTTAAACGTTTTAATAGAATTCAAATATGTTATATAATAATTATGTATGGTTTACATGTTCTTTGGTGGCATATAGATTGGTTGGCCTTTCTTTGGGCAAGGAACTCAGCTTTACTCAGGATTGTTTTTGTAAGACTATTTCCTCAAGATATTCTGTATAGTCAAGAATCTCTCTGTCTGGTCTTTGCATTTCACATTGGCTTATGTATGTCATAGGCCATATTTGGGCATTTCAAATAGACAAAGGTAGAATTGATAGAGGTTTGTGGTGAGGTTTTTTAGATTCATTAGGAGAGAAAAAAAAAATCCCTTTCTTGAATTGGATGAATGTAGAAGAGCAAAATAAAGAAATGAAAATCCCAAACTCTCTTCATTTAATCAGCCAAAAAAAGATGCTTGATAAATAGAGTAACTTCATTCAAACACAAAATAGATTACTTTATTACAGAAAAGGGTTTATACATTGTTTAAAGGGTTTAAACATTGTTAAAATGGGGTTTGACCTGTATGAACTTTAAAAGTAAGTAAGATAGCTGTTAAAGTTAGGGCAAACATTTCATTCATTCATTTATTCAACAAACATTTACTGTCTGCCAAACACTATGTTCAGGTTTTATATGGGTTATCCCATAACTTTTTCTTGAAAATACTGTTATTCCTGTTTTATAAATGAGAATACTAAGGTTAAAGGGATTAAGTGATACGCTGTGGTCCATGACTATTTTGAGATGGAAACACCACTTGAACCAAGAAACCTTAACTTCGAGACCCAAGGCCCAAGCAGTGAAGTACTAGCAGTAAATAATGCATTTGAGCCAAGTTTATCATTTACAAACACTTAGTTATTTTAGAGTACGCTCCAAGGTTTAAAAAGCAAGTTTTTTTAGCCTTGAGATTCAAGCATATATCAGTTATTAGAGAGATTAGTTTTTACCAGATTAAAAACTAATTTAACAAAAAGCTGAATTAGACCACTTCTTTTGTAATATTCCCATATAGTAATCACTTACTGTGTTTTTCATTTCGCAACTAAATAAGATATTAGCATATGGAAATATATTTTCCCAAATATAATACTTAAGTTATAGACAGCAATGACATGGGGATTCCTTTCTTTTCTTGCTTTTTCAATTGAGACGGAGTCTTGCTCTATTTGTCCAGGCTGGAGTGCAGTGGCACAATCTCGGCTTATTGCAGCCTCCACCTCCCAAGTTCAAGCAATTCTCCTGCCTCAGCCTCTGAGTAGCTGGGATTATAGGTGTATGGCACCATGCCTGGCTGATTTTTGTGTTTTTAGTAGAGACAGGGTTTCACCGTGTTGGCCAGGATGGTCTCAAACTCCTGACTTCAAGTGATCACCCACCTTGGCCTCCCAAAGGGCTGGGATTATAGGCGTGAGCCACCACGCCCAGCCCCTTTCCTTTCCCTTTCCCTTTCCCTTTTCTTTCCTCTTTCCTTTTTCTCTTTGCTCTGCTCCTGCTCCTGCTCCTGCTCCTGCTCTGCTCTTTAGAGACAAGTTCTTGCTCTGTCACCCAGGCTGGAGTGCCATGGCATTGGTCATAGCCTCATTGCAACCTTGAACTCCTGGGCTAAACCGCCATATCCAGATAATTTAAAACAACCTTTTTAGAGACAGGATCTTGCTGTGTTTCCCAGGCTGGTTTCAAATTCCTGGCCTCAAGTGATCTTCCCACCTCAGCCTCCTGAGTAGTTGGCATTACAGGCGGGAGCCACCATGCCCAGCTGACAGGGATATTTCAGAGCTAGGCCAACAAGTTGAATATAGGATATAATCCACAGTTATAGGATTGCAATGAAATTCTTTTTAGATGCTGGATTTTATTGCAGATGTAAACCTGAAGTTTAGATCAAATCAGAAAAGAAAAACTTAAGATATTTAGGACCAAAACTATTTTAGAAAACTCCTCCTAAGTCTTAAAGTGAATTTACCATTTTGGGTAGTTTTGTATGAAAAAAGAAATGACAGTTTAAATCCTTGATTAACATTCATAGGATCTGGGAAAAACTGCTATAAATAACGGAAATAGTACCCTGAATGAAAAGGAAAATTACAGGTAGCCCCCATCTTCTAAATAGGCCATCTTCATAAAAGTTGCCTTCTAAAGTGAGTGGTTGGTAGACTTTTGGGTAAACGATGGCAGAGTGAGCACACTCCTAGTTTTCCTGAAATTCTCTTGAAATGACAGTAAAAAAATTAAAAAGACATAAACCCAAAGGATGAAGGATCCATTTTACGAAAGAGATAGAATAAACAAGAAATAGGAAGCGTGCTGTAATAGCTTTATTGTTCACAAACATGAGCGTTGCCTCCTCACAGAGGGTTATTTATCTTTGCTCTGTTGGCTATACCACGCATTGACCCACCCTGCAGAATGGTAATATGTACTCACCTTGTTGTACTCAAGTATGGCTATACTAATTGCTTTGGCCAGTGAAATGTGGCTGAAAGTGATATGTATCACTTCTGAGCAAATATTTTAAGAACTAGCTTAAGATTTACTGCCTTTTTTCCTTCTGCCATGATGACCAGCAATATTCCAGGCAGAGGCTGCTTTGTGAGCCTAGGTTCTGAAATGAAGATAACATGGCACAGAGGTAACAATGACCCATGATGGACACGTAGCTTGTAGAAATAAACCTGTGTCATTGTAAGCTAAGCCATTGAGATTTTGGTGTCATTTGTTACTGTAGCATAACTTGGCCTATTGTGACTGATATACAAATCATCCAGGAAGAAGGGAATCTCCCAGAGCAAAGGTGAAGAGTCCCGTAATGACCCCTGTGCAACTGGAGGGGATTTAAATTAAAGTCAAAGGGTGAATTGCTTCAGGAATGGTATCCAAGAAAAAATTTACAACTGATAGTTTGAATCTATTGGGACATTTACAGCTACTTTTTAAGAGTTTGGTGATGATATGAGGAGCATTGAAAACTAAGGGGGAGGGAGACAGAAGAAACCCTTTTTAATTCCTGGGAAAACAAAATATTGAACAAAAAAGGAAATGTAATCATAGTACACCATGTAGCTCTGCAAATCATAATACATAGTTAAAGACACTGAATATGAAAGCATTATATTGGAAGGATGGGGTTGTATGTGTGTGTATCTGTGTGTGAATTTGTGTGTATTGTAAGAAAACTGAATCCTCTTCAGTCAATTTTTGAAAATCAAGAAATGGTACATACATGATATATGGGAAAGGGATTTAAATACCATAAGAAAAATTGGATGAGAAATAAATGGAGAGCAGAAAGAACTGTCGTAGATGTAATTTAAATTGCTTTCAGGGAGCAGTAATCAAGAATGGAGTGACTAGAGAAGGGTTCTATTTGCTATGAAGTTCACAGTATTATTTAACTTCTAAAATTATGTACATGTATTATTTTTATGGAAATAAAAACCAAAAATATAATTGGATATCAAAATACATTCTCTCATAAAAAACATAATTTTAGTTGTGGTTAGCTTTCCAAGTCAACTCACAAAAGCCTTTCTAGCCCAGTGTGCACCTGTTTAAGAGTAGCATACTAGTATTATAATGATGTACATATGAAATACAGCACTAGCATATGTAGGATTATTTCTGTAGGAAAATCCATTCAAGAATAAAACTGTATAGAGGCCAAGAATATAATTTCCTTAGCAGCAGGGCAGAGTACTTCTAATGCCCATTTGTATTAACAAATCGTTTGTAAAGCTGGGAGTTCCTGTAAGTTCTTTTTTTTAAGCATGCGTGGTAATAGTAAACCTTTTGAAGCCTTCACAGCCATGTTTCTTAATTCTGGAGTGGTTCTGTAGCTTCTCTCCTTCGTTCTATCCCCACTTCTATTCCAGTTCAGGCTTTCATTATGTGTTACTTGGGATGTTTCATAACCCCCCATAGCAAAAAGGGATTGAACTTCTGGCATCATCCAAAATAGAATAAGTTCACTACAGTATATCTCTCCCACTGTTTACAACTAAAAGTTCTGGGCAGATTACAAAAGCAACTAACTGGGGCCTCTGAAAGTAAATGACAACAGACACACTGAGGAGAGCAATCAGAACTTGAAGAAAAACTGCTATGGTGGTGAGTTCCTGGCTTTATTCTTTCCTCTTTTATCAACTGGCTTTGACCCAAGAATGCGCCAAGTCACAGAACGCTAGGAAAAAAAAAATAACAAAACCTGAGAGAAACTCCTCTTTCTAAAAACTTCCCCCTTTTCTTTCCCTACCTCCCTTTTACTCTTCTACCCCTACCGTGAAGCCAGTTGCAGGGAAAGCTGAACTGCCACTGTGGTGGTCATGGTGGTAGCACAGGCACCTGACATCCCAAGAAAGACCCTGTCTCTGCCCCTGTGGTCTGAAGAGTGGAGGAAAATCCCATTATGTATTTTTATTTTTATTTTCTTTTGCTGCACAGACTGTCTGACAGTGTGAGAGTCTAAAACCCTGAGATAAACCCTGACTTTGTAGTCGGAAGACTGGGGAAAAAGGCCCCTGACAGCTGGCGAGTGGGAGCAATTCTAGAGGAGGGAGCTGGATGAGGAGATCTCCTAATTCTGTCTAGGAACTCATGCAAATCCTGGGTCCACCTGTGAGCTACATACATGTAACAGAACCCAGGAAATAACAACAGCTTTGAGAATTAACTTACAATATAAACCATTATTCCAAATTCAGACTAGTATATGTATAGGGCAGACATAAACACCTTTGAAAATAGAACTGACGGCTGGGCGCAGTGGCTCACGCCTGTAATCCCAGCACTTTGGGAGGCCAAGGCGGGCAGATCACGAGGTCAGGAGATCGAGACCATCCTGGCTAACACGGTGAAACTCCATCTCTACTAAAAATACAAAACAAAATTAGCCAAGTGTGGTGGCAGGCACCTGCAGTCCCAGCTACTTGGGAGGCTGAGGCAGGAGAATGGCGTGAACCCAGGAGGTGGAGCTTGCAGTGAGCCAAGATCGCACCACTGCACTCCAGCCTGGGCGACAGAGGGAGACTCGTCTCAAAAAAAAAGAAAAAAGAAAATGGAACTGATATGGGAAGCATCATCCACAGGCAGCAAGACAGAGCTTCTTATCTAAACCTAACTGAATTGATTGCTTTCTCAAATATACAAAGTGAACATTCTCTGGAGGGTTTCAAGAGGACTCTGAGTCTCACAAAATAATAAAAATGTCCAGGGTGCAATCCAAAATTACTAGCCAGGAAAATATGCCAAACTGTCAAGGAAAAAATCAGTAGCCACCCTGAGATGATCTGGATGTTAGAATTATAAGATAGTGACATTAAGATAGTTATTACCATGCTCTGTGAGGTAAAACTGGATACTCTTGAAAAGAATGGAAAGATAGAAATTCTTGGCACAAAAATAGGTATAAAAAATAACCAAATGGAAAATTTGGAACTGAATAATATACTATTTCTTGGATGGTCTTAATAGCAAAATGCAGATGACAGTGGAAAGAAGAGTTAGTGAACTCATAGATAGGTCAATAGAAATTTTCAAACCTGAAGAATATAGAGCCAAGATGTTTTTTAAAAATGAACAGGGCCTTCAGAAATCCGTGGGGCAATATCAGAAGGTCTAATTTGTGCCATTGAAGTCTAATAAAGAGGAGAGACTCATAAATATTTGAAAAAATAATGTCCAAAACCTTTCCCAGTCTAATGAAGGAGACAAATGTATAGATTCAAGGAACTCAGTGAATCCCCAAACAGAATAAACCCAAAGAAAACCATGCCCATGACATGACAGTCACAATCAAACTGCTGAAAAACAAAGATTTTTTTTTTTTTTTAATCTTGAAAGCAAACCAGAGAAAACCATTGTGTTACATCTAGGATAATAATGTTTTGAATGACTGCAGATTTCTTATCAGAAATTATGTAGGCCAGAAGACAGTGGAGCAACATTTTCAAGTTTGGAAATAAAAGAGCTATTAACCTAGAATTCTATTTCCAGCAAAAATATCATTCAGGAATGAAGGTGAAATAAAGACATATACTCTGATAAAGGAAACATAAAAAGAACCTTTTTTTTTTTTTTTTTTTTTTTACCAGAAGACCCACTGTAGAATAAATGCTAAAAGAAATTCTTCAGGCTGGAAGGAATAATATCAAAGGGAAAGCTGGAATTGCAGGATGAAGTAGGAACAACAGAAATAGTAAATATACGGGTAATTACAAAAGATTTATTTTTTCTCCTCTCAAATTCTTTAAAATACATGTGACTGTTGAAAGCAAAAGTTATAACATTGTCAGGAAGGAGGTTCAGTGTATACGGATGTGATACATGTGACAACTATAACATAAAAAGAGAGGGTAAATGGACCTGTACACTTATAGAGCCTTTACATTCTGTTTGAAGTGGTAAAAGAAAAACTCTAAGTATAGACTGGGTAAAGTTAGATATGTATATTGTATTTCTTAGAGCAACCACTAAAAAGAAATATAGAGATATCACCAAGAGATAAAATAGAATACTAAAAAATTCAAATAACCCAAAAGAAGACAAGAAAGAGGGTAACAGGAGAGCAAAAAACATGACAAACATTAAACAAAAAATAAAACGGTAGACCTACCCAAGTTCAACCATATCGGTAGTTACGTTACATGTAAATGGGCTAACATAGTGATTAAAAGAGATTGCCAGATTGGATTAAAAAAGCATGGCCTAACTATATGCTTTCTACACAAAACCCATTTTAAATGTAACAATATAGATAGGTTAAAGGTAAAAGGATGAAGAAAGATATACCATGCAAATACTAATGAAAAGAAAACTGGGGTGTCTAGATTAACATCAGACAAAGTAGATGTCAGAACAATGAAAATTACCAGGGATAAAAAACGACATTGCATAATGATATAGGGATAAAGTCATCCAAAAGGCATAATAATTATTAATGTGTATGCACCTAAATACAGAGCTTCAAAGTGTGTGAAGCAAAAAGTGATAGAACCGAAAGGAGAAGTTTTTGTTTTTTTTTTAATTCTGCAGTTACTTGGAGAATTTAGTGCTCCACTTTCTACAATCAATAGAGCAAGAGGACAGAAAACAGCAAGTATATGGAAGACTTGAACAACACTATCAACTAAACACAGCTGTCATTTATATTATATTCTATCGAATGACAGCAGAATGGACGTTCTTCTCAAGTGCACGTGAAACATTCCCCAAGATAAACCTTATCGTAGGTCATAAAGCAAACCTTAAAAATTTTTAAAGAGTTGAAATCATACAAAGTATATTCTTGGGACCACAATAGAATTAAATTAGACATCAACAACAGAAAGGTATCTGGAATATCCCCAAATATTTGGAAATTAAACAGCATACTTCTGAAAAAGTCATGTCAAAGAAGAAAGAAAATTAGAGAACATTTGAACTGAATAACAATGAAAATTATAATATTTCAGTTGCAACCAAAGTTGGACTTACAGGGAAATTTATAGCATCAAATACTTGTATTGGAAAAGAAGAAAGTTCTTAAGTCAGTAATTCAAACGTTCACTTAAAGAAAATAGGAGAAGAGTATATTAAATCCAAAGCAAACAGAAGGAAAGAAATAAAAAGAAGAGAAATCAATGAGATAAAAAACAAAAAAACTGTTTAGAGAAAATTAGTGAAACCAAAACCTGATTATCTTTGAAAAGAATCAGTAAAACTGGTAAACACCTGGCCAGACTGATGAAGGAAAAAAAAAAAGAAGACACAAATTAGCAGTATCAGAAATGAAAGAAAGGCTATCTACAGACATTAAAAGGATAATAAGGGAGTACTATAATTCAGCAACTTAGATGAAATGGACTAATTCACTGAGAAATACAAATCATCAGAATTAACTCAAGAAAAATAGGTAAGCTGAATAGTCCCATAATAAGGAATTGAATTTGTAATTAAAAATCTAACAAAACTCCAAGTTCAGATAGTTTAACTGGTGAATTCTACCAAATGTTCAAGGGAGGAATAATACCAATTCTATACAATCTCTTTCAGAAAGTAGAAGAGGTATTATTTTCCAACTCATTTTATGAGGGCAGCATTATCCTGATACCAAAACAAGGCAAAGACATTTCAAGAAAAGAAAATTATTGATCAATGTCTCTTGTGAATATAGGTATAAAAATCCTCAGCAAAATGCGAACAAAAAAATGTTTATAGTAGCATTATTCACAGTAGCCAAATGGTGGGAATAACCCAAACATCCATCAGTGAATGAATGGATAAACAAAATATTATATACACATACAATGGAATATTATTCAACCTCAAAAGAGAATAAAATTATATATATAGTACAACGTGAATGAACCTTGAAGACATTATGCTAAGTTAAACCAGACACAAAAGAACAAATATTGTATGATTCCACTTCTGTGAGGTACCTAGAGTAGTCAAATTCATACAGACAGAAAGTAAAATAGTGGTTTTCAGGGGCTTCAGGGAATGGAGAGTGGGGAGTTATCTTCTAATGGGTACAGAGTTTTAGTTTGGGATGATGAAAAAGTTCTGGAGATGGATAGCGGTGATGGTTGCACAATATTGTGGATGTGCTTAATGCCACTGAACTGCATATTTTAAACTGTAAATTTAATGTTTTTAATATTTTAACACAATAAAAAAGGAAAAAATACTAGCAAATTGAATCCAGCAATTCATAAAAAGGATATGTCGTTAGCCTTATAATTCACATCTGGCTTATCCCCTCCATCCAAAACCACAGCTGGATTTATCTTCCTGTAGCACAAGCCTAATTAATTTGCTTTCCTTCTCAAAATCTGAAATGCCTTCCAAGTAAAACTTTTCACCTAACATTTAAAGCTGGCTGTAGTCAGGTCAGTTACCCTTTCAGATCACATCTGCTGCTACTCTTGCACGCTTGCCTAATGCTCCAAGCAAACAACTACATATACACTTTCCCAGAACACTCTTACCTGCATGCTTTTAAATATTCTTTTTTCTCCTTAAATTCTCTCCCTCATTCTGACCAATCTCTACCAGATAAATTCTACTCATATTTCAAAACCCAGCTGGAACTTTACCTCCCTGGATGTTTTTGTGAGTCCCCTGTGTAGCTGTGATGTCTCACTGCAGCATATATGTCTTTTATGTTGTACTTATATTTGCTTTGCTCATTTGTTATTGAGCACTTGTCTGTTGAAACTGATTCTGTGTTGGGTTTTGGCAGTAACGAATAAGCTATATCCCTTCCCCCTTACAGTTTACCATCCTAGCACGAAAGACAGACATGTAAACATATATGTTCAAAATAACATGCTAAATCTGAGCTAGAAATAAAGGCAATTACTAGTTGTGCTTATAGTTTACCTTATGTATAATATTTTGTCCTGGCTTCTCTGTTAGAGTGCAGGCACCTTCAGGGCAAAGGTGTCTTTCCAGTCCCCCATAGCACTGAATTCCTTGCATTAAATGTGCACAATTAAATATTTGCAATGAGTACTGAATTGTTTTTATTGGATTTCTTTATTCAAAGCTATGGCTGAAACTTAACCTAAAAGTTCACAACTATTTCTTTAGTTTTTCTTTTGGAGCATTAGCCATTAGGCATTAAGGAGCCTCTGTGGTTCCTGTGTAGAAACCCGAAGCAGTGAGTGATTTTAGCAGCTTACCTAGGAGCCGCTCAGCTTCTCAAGGTTACTTTAATATGTGTAGTGGTAACATTTACCTACAAGTTCCTAGAGGTGATTGTGAGTTGTGAGAATGCCATACATCCTCATCATGGGAAATTTAATAGTTCAAGGAAGAGATATGTAATGTGGGAAAATGTTAGTTTTATCTATGTGAACAAGATGATGTATAATGCATATATATAATATAAATTTTCTTTATAGAACTTTATTTAAATTCTAAAAAGCACTGTTATGGATGTCTCCTTCAACTTGTTTTATGCTTATTGAGATATTGTGATTTGATATTTAAGAAGTTTATTCACTGTGTTAAACTTGATATCTTAATTATGATACATGAAAACAGGCCACATCTCTGTTTCCTCCTGGCCCTGTTAAACCATGGCCGTGTGGTTTAAACAGAAAAGCTTATGCTATCGATGTTTTATCTGCAAATGAAATAAGAACTTTTTTTCATTTTTATAGAAGCAACGAAATAAATAACTCTTTATTAAAAATAGTTAAAGGTAGTATTACCAAACACTGGATTTAAAATGACACTTATAAGCATTTACTATAAAACAAAAAATGATAAATTTTACCTCATCAAAAGTAAAAATTTCATCAAATTAAAAACTTCTGTTCTTAAGATACCTTTGGGATAATGAAAAGAAAAACCACAGACTGGGAAAACATATTGAGAACATGTACATATATCTGACTCAGCACTATATTGAGAATATGTAAATAACACTTAGAAATTAACAACAGAAAGACAAGCCAACTTAAAAATTAGCAAAAGATTTGAAAAGACGCTTTTAAAAAGAAGATATACAAATACCAATAGTCACATGAAAAGATTCTTAACATGATTCCTCAGGTACTTTGAAGTGAATGCATGTAGCCGTAGTTTCTTGCTTTTTATTCTGTGTAGTACTCCACTGCATCATTATATTGCAGTCTATTTATTCTCCTATCGATAGATACTTGAATTATTTCCAAATTTGAGCTATTCTGAATAAAGTTGCCATGAACATTCCTGTCCATGTTTTTTAGGTGGATATGTATGCCTATCTATCTTGGGTTTATACCTAGGAGTGAAATTGATGGGGACATAGTGTATGGGTTTGTTTAGCTTTAGAGATACTGCTGAACAGTTATGTGCCTATTTGTACTCTCTCCAATAATGTCTAAGACTTCCCATTTGCTCCACATCCTTGTCAAAACTTGATATTGTTTGTTTTTTTTAATTTTCTGGGAATTCTGAAGTGATATCTCATTGTGATTTTAATTTGCATTTTACCATAACAACAGACTGTATTGAGCATTTCTTCATATGCTTATTGGACATTGGAAACCTATGCAGATTAAAGCCCAAATAAGAATATCACATACTCCTTAGAATGGCTAAAATTAAAAAGACAAGTGTTAATGAGGATGTGGAGCAATGGAAACTTTGATACATTGCTTGTGAAAGAGTAATATGCTACAACTACTTTGGAGAACTATTTGGCAATTTCTCATAAACTTAAACATATAACTAGCGTATGATCCAACAAGTTCCGTTCGTAGTTATTTACTTAAGAGAAATGGGCTGGGCACGGTGGCTCACGCCTGTAATCCCAACACTATGGGAGGCTGAGGCGGGCGGATCACTTGAGGTCAGGAGTTCGAGACGAGCCTGGCCAACATGGTGAAACCCCCTCTCTACTAAAAATACAAAAATTAGCCAGGCATGGTGGCAGGCCCCTGTGATCCCAGCTACTGGGGAGGCCAAGGCAGGATCACTTGAACCCTGAAGGTGGAGGTTGTAGTGAGCCAAGATGGCACCACTGCACTCCAGCCTGGGCGATGAAGCCAGACTCCGTCTCAAAGACAAACAAACAAAAAATCCAGGCGCTGTGGCTCACGCTTGTAATCCCAACACTTTGGGAGGCCGAAGCAGGCGGATCACCTGAGGTCAGGAGTTTGAGACCAGCCTGGCCAACATGGCGAAACCCCATCTCTACTAAAAATAAAAAAAATTAGCCAGGCTCGATGGCGGGCACGTGTAATCCCAGCCACTTGGGAGCCTGAGGCAGGAGAATTTCTTGAACGCGGGAGGCGGAGGTTGCAGCAGTGAGCCAAGATCGCGCCATTGCACTCCAGCCTGGGTGACAGAGTGAGACTCCGAAAGCACATGTCCACACAAAGACTTTTACACAAATGCTCAAAGCAGTTTTATTCATAATAGCAAAAAACTCTGGTAATAACCTGGATACCCATTAATAGTTACATAGATGAACAAATTTTGGTATATAATAATAGAACACTACTCAGCGATAAGAAGAAATGAACTACTGATATATTCAACAACATGAATTAATTTCAGAAACATGTTGAGCAAAGCAAGCCATCTACAAAAGAGGATATACTGTACGACCCCATTTATATGAAGTTTATATGAAGTTGAAGAACAGGCAAAACTAATCTAGGGTGATAGAAGTAAAAAATTGGTTGTCTCTGCTGGGGCTGGTGGTGGAAGTGGGGTGTGGTTGTTGACTGGAAAAGAGTGATAAAAATATTTTATATCTTGTTTTCAGTGTTGGTTACATAAGAGTGTTTTATTGCCAACTCACTGAGCAGAACACTTTAAGATCTGTGCATTTTCTTGTACATAAATGATTCTTCAATGTAAGAAAGTAGAAATAATTGAACCTTATAAAAGAAGTATTTAAATAAATGAAAATTTAAGGATAATTTTTTACCCTTCTTTATTTTCCTGACATTTATTAACCAGTGTTTCTGCTAACCCTGATCTCTGCTGTGTTGGTTAGAATATTACACTAACTCTTTATTACTTTGCGTCTTGGCTTTTTCAACCTGGAAATAAAGCAGTCCTTGTTCTAAAACACATCTTCAGTACTTTAAACCAACATAATACCAAAAGCTTGATGTCAACTGAAAGCCCCAAGTAATGTGAGGTAATAGAAATAGTTGAGTCTGCATTTCTAGTTTCCAGATCAGTGAGAAGGCTATGCCCCCTTTCTCTGGGTTGCGACATCTGCTTTCTCCCCATGGTCAGAGAAGCAAGATTTCTCTTTGCCAAAAATATGGAAACCGTATAACTTAATATTTTTCCTGAGTGGAAGGAATTAACCTTCCACTTCTCTCTTGAGAGTCAATTTTTTTAAATGTCAATTTCCTAGCAAAGAGGAGCCTTAGCATTATTCTGCAGTGCTTTCTCTAGAATGAAACATATAAAAACAATACAGTTTAAAAATATAATAGTAGATATTTTCTTGGTGGCTATTATAGAACATCTTATGAAGTATAAACTTGATTGTCTTCCAAAGCTCCAAAGTTAAAGTGTACCTGTATATACCCATAGTAAATAATAGCAGTAAGAAAGTCAAATTTAGAGAACAATGATGAGTCATAATTTGGAAACAATATTGCTCACTATACTTAGAATGCATTTTGTAAAACGTTTTCTCTGCCACTATGTTACCATTAATTAATTGGTTGCTAATTATCTAGGCTATTGAGAAGGCAGTGGTATGGATAATAAATTACAGGCCCCTTATGGGCAAAGACCATATCTTATATTTTACTTATATTCTGTGGTGCCAAATAAACACAGGAAATAAACAGATTTAGATAAGAAATAGACATGTACAGTGTACTTAACAAAATTCGCAAATCACTTATATTCTAGAATTGTTATATGTGTATATGTGTATCTGATGATTTTGTGTGGCATCTGGAACATCAGAATGCATAAGACAAAGCTTTGAAGATACGCTGCTTGGAGTGATCAAGCAGGAGTCACAAAGTTGTCGAGCTTTCCAAAATGTCTTCCTGTTTCCCACTTCATGGTAGAGACGGAGAATGACACCTCTCCAACGAAGGCAAACCAGTAGCCACAGCTGAACTGTGTGATTCACCCTCATCATGGCCGAGCATGCTAACAGATCTGTGCTTTTTAAGCTTTCTCCTAGGCTTCAGGCTACATGGAGGAATAAAAGCTCTTCCAACTTAACAAATTCTAAGACTTGGAGACTTTGTTACGTCTTTTCTTAACCTTGCAATCAGTTTAGGCAGTGATTACAAAAGCAATCTGGAAAGTTAAAAGTGAACTCTGTGTAAATTTATTACCAAGTAAATGAAAGACACATTATCTGCCCAGAGATAACTGAGGGTTGTTTTCCATTCTAGGATATTTATTGGCATATTGATAGTCGCAAATAGTAGTTCCTAATCTTCTGTGAGTCACAAACCCCTATGAGAATCTGAAGACTTTTCTTCTTCCCTTTTTTCCTTCATTTCTTCCTTCTTTACTTCCTACTTTCCTTCCTCCCCCTCCCTCCCTCCCTCTCCCCCTTTCCTCAAATATATTTGCTTGACTGCTGTGTGCCAGACATTGTTTTAGAGGGTCTATGCTTTGCACTTTTTCACCTCCCAAAATTTGCATATATACATGACATTTTGCATATAGTTTTAGGGATTTTATTGAACCCCTAAAGCTCTCTAGGGTCAAGAAACTAATATTTAAAGTAACTATATGGCTAAAAATACTTGACATTCTTACTAGGCAAAAACTTAGTATTTGCAGGAATAACAGAATACATTTCTCTTCGGGATCTGCCCAGGAAGACAAGACCTTAAAGTAGACTCATTCACATCATGAGCAGTGAGGAATGGGAGCCGAGGAATTTGACATTTCATATTTAGTCAGAATAGGTAACCTATACAGTCTTGAGGCTCTTTTACTGTATGTGAGAGGAGTGGTTGGTTGAATTAGAAACTTTCAAGGACTCCTTTTAAGCCTGCATTTAATGAGAAAGAAAGAAGAGCCACCAAAATTTAAAAATCATAATGTGGTCACTGAATCTTACTTTGTGTCTCTAAGTCTCCTTTGCCATTCCGACTGAAAAATTGATCTATTTATTATGCACCATTGCTTAGAGAGCTAACATGTTAATATATGATAAAGGGTTATACGTCTACTGTGACTTGAGTGATGAAACTTGTCACTGTGACCTTTAATCCAAAATGACTTTTTTGTTCTCTGTCAGTACTCCACTTAGGCTGAAAGGAAGGGATCTAAACTCTAAAGAAAACTATCCATCTAAAGAAAGGCTCTGAAAAATCTCAAGTAAAGCAGAATTTCACTCTTGAGCCTTGTGGTATCTCTGGATTTCGTATTTCTATTTTTCTGTGTGTTGAGTTGTGACACCAGATAGTTCCTTGAAACACACACATAAGCAGATACACAGTGTGAGTAAACAACCCTTCTCTTCACCCTGACCATCCAATTAACACAGTTTCTACTTCTCCATCATAACTGCCAGGGGACTCACGGAGAGAACCTTCATGTGAATATATACATTTCTTATGTAACTTAACAATCTGACATGCTGAGGTGAGGAAAAACCCATGTGGCAAAGTCATATATGGTGATTTACAGCTGCTACAAAGTAAAGTCACTTGTTTTATCCTAAACCATAAAGACTATTAAGGTTCTCAGCTTGACCAAGAAAACATAGTAATGCTATTCAGATTGATACGCTGCATCTGTGGCTTGGACATGCAGTGTATTTTATGTTTTGTGTTTAAGAGAGCCCAGTTTAGCATGGTGGAAGTCTAAATTCTTGGCAGAGAAAAGCTGGGTTCCAAAACATTTTCTTAAATGCTTAATAAGGAAAGCATCTTTTAGTTTCCCTACCCTTTATCTATAGTAAGTGGTCATTATGGCTATATAATGTGTATTCTTTTAGATTCTGTGTTTTATATTACTAATTTTTGTCCAAAAATCATTTAGTAAATAGTTTCAAATAATCAAGTTCTGGAATCAAAGTAAATTTACTGCTTAACCCACAGAAGGAAAAATTATGGGTTTTGAAGAAGGAAAACAATTTTGGCCAAGAACTTGTATTAGAATTACCTTATGTATAGCCTTAGAGCTCTTATTTCATAGTAGAACCAAAACACAATTTAACTGTTTAAACATAAAGGGTTTTTGGAAAGAGTCTTTTGGAAAGTAGTATCTCCTATGTCTATATTCACAGATTAAGGTAAAAATGAAAAAATAAAGAAACTCTGACTTTTCTTTAATCAGGAAGTAGCACTAGGCTCCTTTGGCTAGACTACTGCTATGTCAAATTGTAGAAATATTTCTGTGATCATGTGTTTTATAGTTAGGCTATTTTCAGCAGAGCTATTCCTATCATTGTTAAACACTCAATTAAATCATCTGGCTCAAATATGAAGAAGTCTGTTCTTCATTGGAACAAATTTTTGACCTGTAGAAATATTCTGTTTTAAAAATAAGCTTAAGCATAAATAGACATGTTTAAACATAGCTTTCTCAAAAACTGCGATTATAGGAGACTGGACTTATTTATGTACATTGAGATTCACTTATGGTGATAGTTGTCAGTGTGTTGCTGGAATGACTGACATGCATCTAAATCTTACATTTTTCAGGTCATTCAGGTGCTTATATATGTAAGCTTGGGATTGCCATTATCAAACGCGACTAGAATATGAATAGCTTGGATTTTCTGGTAGACCAAAGTACTATTAGTTATTATTTGTCCTTTGTTTTTCCATAATGAAGAGAAATGCATGTGATTTTGCAGAATTGTTGCATCCTTTGAGCTCTTAGTTGCCAGTGCCTAACAAGTAGTCAATCAGGAAGAATGGTATATGGTAGAGTTGTAATAGTAAATACACATTAAACGAGTACATTAGTGTCTACATAGTGCTGGATCAATCGAAATATACAGTCTTCGGGAGCTCATATCCTAATGACAGAATCCCATCAACACTACTTAAGCATAAGAAGGTAAAGTGTTTGAAGCAAAATAAACTCTCAGTGAAGGTTGAAGGAGAACAAAAGCGGTGATATGAGGAGACTGTCCATGCTGAAATTTCTGGTAGAAGGTGTAATCAATTGATAGAGAATTCTAGCATATCTAGTCCACATGTTGAATTATTCCAGGAAGTGATAATTATTGATATTAGCAATTACAAGGGTTATTGATGGTAGAAGAGCTTGAAGTCTTAGATTTCATTTCAACTCAGCAAGTATTTGTTGAATGTCTGCACATGCTGTTTGCTGTACTGGGTGTTTTAACAAAGTCCTCCCCTCCAGGAGCTTATAGTCTAGTGGAGGGAACAGATTTATAAATGCTTAATTTATTACCTTTTTTACTACAAGGATATACAAAACTACAGGAGCAAAGAAAAAGTTGGGACTGTTTATTCCTAGAGGAGTGAGAAAGCCTGGGTCTTCAAGGACGAGTAGAGAGAAGGAAAAGATGTATTAGGGACTCCCTGCATGATATTTGTGGCCAAGGAGATTTTGAAATTTTTCAGCAAGATTATGAACAAATGAAAATATAAATTTAAGTGGCCAACAAAGCAGAATAAGTTGTTTCTATTTATATTTGTTGTAAACTATGGACTTTTCTGCTTCCTAATTTTTAAAAGTTTATTTACTCTGTTATATCTCTTAGATTAAAGGAACAAATAAAACTAGGAAATTAGTATACGATGAAAAAGATTCCATATGACCTTTGGTAAACCTGAGGGTAGTAGATGACCTCAAGGTTCCCAGTTTAGGAAGATGATGATCTCTGGGAAGATTAGGAAGATTGAATGATATAACATGAATCCATTATAAATTAAAACTTTCTAAAAGATTAAATCTGTCTTTTACTGGGAAAGTAATAAATTCTCATTTATAGTTGGAGAGTACATATTAATTTAATCCAAATTAGTATAATGCTTTAATTCAGAGAGTTTTGTTTGTTTTTAATGGCATTAACTTTCTAATAACATTAATTTATTTAGAAAGGGGAGGTTTGTTTCTACTGTTTCCCCCAAAATGTTCATGAGTATTAGTCACCCATAAAATAGAAACTGCTTCTCATCTGCTTTGAACCTTCCATTATTCTCAGGTCATGGGATCGCTGATTTGTGAGGTGCAGTAAAACCATGTCATATGAAAAGAAGCAGACCAGGGGCCAAAGATAACAGTGCTATGTAGACTCTCAGTGGCCAGTGAAGATTTTGTTTTACAAGATTGTGTCCGTGTTTGGTCAGTAAAGCTAACGCAGAAGGTGAATGGAAGAACATTACTTTAAAGGCATTAGAGAACATGCCGGAGGAAAGCATTTTGAGTGCAAACATTCCAAATGGGGAAGAAGTACAGAATCCGCACAGAGCCGGCCAAACGCAGCCTGTGTTTCCCATCTATGGATGCCAGCACACAGGCAGCGTCATTGCTGCTCGAGTGTTTACTGCTGTGAAAACACTGCCACTACCAGAAAGCTTAATTCCCTTCCTCTTTCTTTTCTCTCTTTTTCTCCCTCTCCCTCCCTCCCTTCCTCACTGATCTCCCCCCTCCCTTCATTCCATCCTTCTTTTTTTCCTTTTGAGAGTCCATATGAACTTTGGTTTAAAAAGACTAATTCCAGTCTTTTATAACCAAGCCTAGAACTCAATCCAATATGTAAAAACAAATTTGAATGCTTCATGTATTTCATTTGAAAGGCTGGGAGAAGGGCATGTTTTAGGGGAAACAGATTAAACCAAGAAAAATGACTTTGGCTAGCTTATTTAACCTTGTTAGACCACAGATTCCTCATTGGTGAAATAGGTTCTTGAACTGCATGCTTCTTACCTGACTTCTGGCTCTAAAATTTCATGGTTCTATTTTTCTGTTTTTTTTAAATATCTTGGGATCTTTCAAATGCCTAGTAGCTGTGTGTGCATGTGTACTACCATATGCTAGTAACGAGTCATCATCAATGTGGTCAGATTTATTAAAGCTTGATCTAGATAAATGCTATAGTAAATCAAGAAACATTATATTTGAATGAAGTCTCAGAAACAAGTGTTTACACAAATATATGATTAGATATTCTCCATCCTTACATTGAAAATATTATTCTACTCTTGTGAGGAAGACTTCATGAAAGGAGTGGAGTTTGAAGGAATTTTAAATTTTGGTTTATCCTTAGATGCCCAGAAGAGGTTTGTGTAATGTCACACTACCACGTTTCCGTGGCTTTCCAAGTAAAAAGAGGGAACTTAAATGCCTTCCTTGCTGAATGCTAAGAAAAACATATTTCCCTGTCTTTTTGAGAGGAATTAGTGAAGTTATATTAGAAAGAACATTACCAAATCAGATGTCCTGCCTATTTAAATTTTACCCATGTAATTATGTGTTTATCATCCACTTCCTAATTGAATGGATATATATCTTCTTTTAAAAATTTACACAAACATTATCACATGTCCTCATTAGACGATTACAAGCTATCATTCATGATTTGGAGTTGTATGGTATTTGGGTAAAAATATAAAACAAATTATAAATATCTTAAAAGAACAGATCAAACAGAAATATTTATTAGGAACATAAATGAGATAAGGCAAATCCCCAAAGAACATGCAAAATGAACTAATGCACCATGCTAATAAGAATCAAAGGGTTACAAATGAAAATGTACATTTGAATGACGCTGACATGACACTGCCTTTAATGGCCCCTTAACTAGCCTCTTAAAATTTGACCAGCTTTTGGTTTTTCCACTGAAGAAATTTAAAAAGAAAATACCACTACTGAATATAATCAGCTTGCTCTCTGCCTTGTCTTTGTGGACCTAAAAAATCCAGACATGAAGTCTATATGGAAATTTTGATCTCCTTGATCTTACTGACGGAGTTAAAAGGAAAGTAAAAGATTGGTGTTTCATTATGTAAAGGCAGTATTGCATTGCCTGTTGCCTCAAACATCACTTTTTTTCAATTGAGAATTTCCAAAGAACGGCATAAACCAGGATAGTGCAGTTACAGGCAAAATTTTACAACGGTGTGTGGTAAATCCTGATTAAATATGGAGAGATGAGTTCTTAGAGTGAGGAAGTCACATTCTAGGTATCATTAGGATATTTAGAGTAAATTTCAACATGTTCTTCCTACTCTTTATTTCACTTTAGGGTTTCTTACCTCCAGGAGAGATGTAGAAATAGTTGAGTTGAGCTTCATGCACCAAAGTACCCTTAAACTTGACCTCCGTGTTGGCAGACAGGTGGCTGGGAAGCGGCTGGTATGCAGGCGTACCAGGCTGAACAAAGGCTCGAAGCATTGTGAATTTCCAGATGTATATTAATTGGTTGATTTTTAAAGCTAAATAATTATCCTGCTCATGATCTCTTATAATTTTTTAAAACCCAGAAGCTATTCCTGCAGTAACATTTCAGTGCCACAAAAGTTGACATGGCCGTATCGTATCGCTGCAAGTTTAAGTTACAGTAAAATTCCTTTTAAGTTTTAGAATTCTAAAAAACAAAACAAAACACCTTCTTACTTGATTCTTTTCAACCTTGTATTTTCGTCTTCCCTGCTCTGCTCCCTGCCTATGTAGGGATGGGCCTCTCAGCCAGTGGCTTTACGGGAAAACTTGGATTGAAATGTGAACTTCATGGTTTCTGTCAGCCTGTCAGCTCATCACCTCCCTAAGGCATGGTGATCTCTGGTTTTTATATATCTCCACAGACTGCTTTGATAGACCCTCTTGTGTGGAAGAGTGATAGGTTTGTCCAGGGGTTGGTAGACCTTAGGGCTAAGAGGCAGGAAACTTGGAATGCATACTTCCATGGAATTCACAGCCTCTTTCCCAGGGGAATGCACTCAAGTTGCAAAACTATTTTAGGGAGAAGAAAGTTAGGCCCAGTTCTGCATTTTATCTTGGTGCCTCTTTTCGGTAGCCAGAACTCTTGGTTAATGGTTTTTTTTTCCCCTTTGGCTATTTAAATTTTCTGTCCAGACTAAACTGGGATCAAAAGAGTTATCTCAAAATGATCTCATTTTAATTTTTAAAGCCATGTTGCTTTGGAGATAAATGGTTGGGTCCTAAAGAAGTCTTCACGATGTCTTAAATAATTACTGCAAACTCAATCTTTCCTTCATTTTGCTTTGACATTTGAAAGATGTTCCGTAGCATTTTCGCTCCCTAAATCTGCATTTCAGTTATCTCATGGTGATGACACTGTCAAACTGCTTTTCTATTTGTATCAACAGTTTTCTTGGCATCCCACCCTTACGAAAGCCTAATTCCTTATGTCAAATGCCGCAAATGTATAACATCAAACGAAAGATACCCAGAATATTCTTATTAATAGAGCCTATTCATGAGACAACAACGGCCATTTTTTCCTCTGCCATTGGGCCTCGTGTTTCTGAGTTATGCTCTGTTTTTCTCCCTTACTGCCATCTTTCTCCTTTGATAGTTTTGGAAAAGTCAGTCTTCAAGGAAAGAAAACTTACACTATAACCAAAAAAATAGGCCAGGCTCCTAGTTTTGTAACTAAGGTTAAAGTCACCAAGACACGCAAACATACTCAGATTTATTAAGTGGTTGAACGTCAGTGATCCAATCTGCTTTGACTTCAAGAACGTGAGGGTATGCAGGTTAGTGTAGGAATCTGTGTAGGGAATTAGAGTAGGGAATTATTGTTGATGGACTGGAAGCAACCTTGAATATGAAGTTTCAAGATACACATTCAATGATCTTGAGATGAAAGAATTTTGTTTTGATGTAAAAGCTCTCATAGCACATGGGCTTCAGAACTCAGACGTTCTTAAAAAAAAAAAAAAAAAAAAGTCAGTGTACCAAGGAGGAAAATGTGTATGTATTTCCATCTAAGAGAGTAAAATGGTCCTGTTCAAGGAAAAGCTGGGATTTTTTCCCCTACTTCCCCCCCACTTCACGTGCAGGTAGGTAAGATAAAAGATTTCTGGTACACTGATAATTGCAAAACCAAAGTTTAAAGCCCTATTGCCACCTTTTGGCAAGTGAGTAATTCAGATTCATAGGTTCCTCTTTAAGATACCTGCTTAAAATAGCACTATAAAGACATTTCTTGTACCTTTTGATATATGAATCATTACTGACAAGAAGCAGAAATTCCATGCCCAGACATTGGTCAGGTAAGAGGGGAAAAAAGATGTAGTTAGAATATCATAGCTGTTTTAACAGCAAAATACTATTAATATAATTACGTGTTTAGAAAGTTTGAATTTAAAGTCTTTTTTCCCTTGTAAAAACATGTTTTGTTGGTTTTCATTGCCCTATCGTAATATTGCTGCTGTTTTCAGTGAAGATGTTTTAAATGTGTGTGTAGTTAATGCATTACTTAGATGATTAATGCCATCAGATCCTCAACTAGATATTTATAAATGTCTTCTGGAGCTGCTTCAGCCTTTGCTATAAAAATGATATAGATAGGCACATACTAAAGTATACAACTTATTTGAACATTATTGAATGAATCAATAGCAGGTATATTATGTCACAGTTTCTTTCATTACTAAATGAGGAAATCATAGTCATATCTAATCTTTCAGCAGTTATACATTTTCTGTACCATTTTGAAGCCAGAAGTTTATTATTAAATTTTATTTTTTCCAGTGGCCTCTCCCTAACTTACAGCTTACAAAGCCACTTTCTCAGTTAACATGTTCCTGAGAGAAGGAGAAGGGGAGGGAGGCTTCTAGGCATAATTTGAGTATCAGGTTTCTGAATATTTAAAAATAAACATGAAATGTGTTTATGAAATGTGCAAATGGAGTGTAGAAACAATGCTATCTCGCAGCCAGGAAGTATAGAAATTGTGATTTCATTTTCCGTCTGTATTCATTTGCTTCAGAGGATTTTGCCGAGTGCCTGTTGTGTTCAGGTGCCATGTTTTCACGCGGAGCACAGTTTCTTCAATGTGTGTGGGTGCGCGTCTTTGCACAAAACCACCACGGATTTCTCTGTGGACTTAAATTTTGATGCTTTTTTTTTTTTTTTTGAGACAGAGTTTCCCTCTTTTCATCCAGGCTGGCGTCCAATGGCGCGATCCTGGCTCACAGCAACCTCCACCTCCCAGGTTCAAGCGATTCTCCTGCCTCTGCATCCCGAGTAGCTGGGATTATGGACGCCCGCCACCAGGCCTGGCTAATTTTTTTTGTATTTTTAGTAGAGATGGGGTTTCACCATGTTGGCCAGGCTGGTCTTGAACACTTGACCTCAAGTGATCCCAAAGTACTGGGATTACAAGTGTGAGCCACTGTGCCTGGCTTGATGCTGTATTTTTAAGCTTTAACCCCAATGATTGCTTTTATTTATTCAATAATTATTGAATAAATCAATTTAACACATAGATTATTATGTATTTAAGATGGAAAGGAGATTTTTTTCTATTTTGTAGTTTTGAAGATGCTCATAATTTGTTTGATGTGTGTTTTTTGCAGTGTCCATCTATGGAATTTGGTTTTATGATAAGGAAGAATGCCAAAGAATTGCAGAGCTTATGAAAAAGTAAGTACTAAAAGGCTAAATATTTTTCAGGACCTGGTGCTTTTGTTTGTATTTCTAAGTGTGTGTAACTATACTACAGTCTTAACAGAATATATCTCCCATAGCAGTCCTTTTCACTGGTTAGGCAGACATTTAGTATTAATTAATAAATGAAAATTAGACGTAAGAACAACTTGCCGCAGTTTCACTGCATAATATTTATCATCTAGAATGATTCATTTTTTCCTGTGTGTGAAATATATATGAATTGTTCCAGATGGCAGTTTTCTTTAATATTTTCATATGTAAATTAGCAATTTTTTGCTTTGAAAAGTTATCAATATGCCTGTTGGTAAAAAGAACATTCAGAGCCATCCTAAAAGTCTGCTCCCGATTCTGTAAAATCTTTCATTTCCTTCATCCCCCAGATGCTTTCCTTTAACTGTGTATACATGTTTGTGGGAGCTCAGAATTTCCTCCCATGTCTCAGACACTGAGTTAAGGTAGTCTTTATTTTCTGTCTCCTTAGAAATTGCTGAGTTACTATTAGCTTAGTGATCAGTCGACTGTCTCTCTCTTCCTTGTTACTGGTCTCTTTCTTTTAATCTTATGATACCTTGTGATTTGTCCCATTCTGCATTTTGGGCAACTTTAAAATTGCTGTCTGACTTTCCCACTCTTGGCTTCCCTGATTGCGTTGAAAGAGGAGGGCTTGTTCTCTGCTCTGCAGTTGGTTGACTGATCAATTTTTGAGCCCAGGGCTGCTCACTGTGAGGCAGTTATTTCCCTGCCATTTATGGGGATGGGAAGAGTCTCAGAGTGAGATGAGTTTCCTGCACGTGCTGTGTCACAGCCTGGGACTGGACTCAGCCAAGCACATAGGATGGCTGCTGCCACATGGGTATGACACTGTAGCTCTGTGTGCAAAAGAATCAGTCCCCACTTTTAAATCCTGGGGCAATGAAATGACTAGAAAGTGACCTCACGGAAATGAAAAACAGGGAGCACCTTTTAAGAGATGAGATAGATTCCTGAAAGTCTAGCTAGAGGTAGCTAATTTTAGGTAACTAGCTCAAGGTGCAGATGGTGATTAAGTGTATTCAAACTGGTATTTACCACCATAACAACTAGTTCCTAGAACATTCATGTTACTGTAAATTGTGCAGTGGATAATAATAACAGGATTTCATACAGATTAAAAAATACCCTGTAGCTCAGCCAAGAGGCCATGTTATAATTGTCAGCATTCTGCAGTAATTACCTAACAGCTCGGGCAGGAAATTGATTATTTACTAGCAATAAGCAGCTGATTGTGTGGATTCCGACCCCCTCCCCAGTTAGAATTAAGTCTCTCAGTAAGTACTCAGATCTTTGTTACCGTAAACTTCATGGCAATAATAAGAATGTGAGCTGAAAGTTACAGCACATAAAGGGAAAGTATATTTTCCTCGACATCACCTAGCAGCATATAGGAGCAATCTGGTCTATCTTTGTATTGTTTTCCAGGCAACAGAAGAACTCCTCGTTGCTCTAAGTGGTTTTTTAAATGGCCCCTCTTCTCCGAGTTAGAATGGAATCTTTACCATGTTTTGAAACTGCCAGAGAGCTGCAGGATTTGAGTTGCCAGAATCAACCTTGCCTTGACTTCAAGGCAGTCTGTAAAGTAGGGGGTTCTTTCCTCAGTATTTCAGAACTCTAAATTGGGTTTCCTTAGCAACTAATGAGAGCATCCTTTAGAATGCACTGTGTGAGGAGTTGGCAAACTCTTCTCAAAGGGACCAGAGAGTGAGTATTTTAGGCTTTGCAGTCCATAGGATTTGTGTTCCGACTATAGAATTCTGCCCTTGTAATGTGAAAGCAGCCATAAACAACATGTAAACAAAGGAGCATGGCTGTGTTGAGCTTGGCTGTGTTTGTGACTTTCTTTACAAAAAACAGGTGGTGGGCTGGACTTGGCCCACAGATTTGCTGACCCCTATCCTAGATTCATTTGTGTAGTCAGTGAATTCAGGACCTCAACTCTCATTTTTCTCCTTTAAATTCCTAAGCAAGCTTATTTCTAATATGGTTGTAACAGGATGAAAACAACTAGGTGAGAATTGGGATGGTTTTAAACATTGTTTGTGTTGAATTGGCTTTTCTTGTGTGGATTTTCCCCTCTGTTTTTCTAGCCTAACTCAGTATGAACAGTTGAAAGCCCATCAGGGAACTGGAGCAGGAATTTCCCCAGTGATCCTCAATTCAGGAGAGGGCAAAGAAGTAGACATTTTACGAATGCTCATCAAGGCCAAAGACGAATACACAAAGGTGAGTGTTTGCCCTTCCTTGTGATACATACACACTTCAGTTCCGCAGTGGGAATATTCTTGTTTAGCAAGACTAGGTACTGTGGATGCTGTTCCTTCCACCAAACAAAATTATATTACAAATAAAAAATCTTTATTTGTAATATAGATTTTTTATAAGCTGAAGAAAACTGTTTGCCTTTAAGTGGGTTAAAAAATAGCCTGAGAAATCAGTAGCCTTCATATATACAATAGCCTTCATGTATACAATAACCTTCATATACACAACTGGTAGTAAGTCTTGTTAGACTTACTGCAAGACCCCAACTTACAGTAGCAACAAATGAATATAAAATTGTTTGCAATAAAATTCACGAGAAATGGGCAAAACCTATATAAAGAAAATGTTTAAAAACTCCTGAAAGGCATAAAAATAGACTCAAACAAATGGAAATATACACCCTGTTGTTGGATAAGAAGATTCAACATAAAGCTCTTAGAAAAAAAATCTCTACATTTAAGGTGACCACTAAATAAATACCACTGGTTTCTTTTCCCCTCCCCTCCCCACTTCTCCCTTACTCTCTGATCTAGACAAGTTGAGTGTAAGGCTCATGGAAAGAAATATGCAAGAAAGAATAGCTGGGAAAATCCTGGCAAAGAAGTGTGATATTAGTAGGGGTTGGAGGTGGGGGAGATGAGTGGGGGGATGGAGCGAGCTCTCCCTGATTTTAAAACATTGAAGTCAACATTTCAAACAGTATGGTGTTGATGGTATTGATACCTAACAGCCCAATAGACCAATGGGACAGATTTAAGATTCTAAGTCTAGGATTAAATCCAATTGTATATGAAATCTAGGATATGATAAAGATGATAATCTCAAGTCAGCTATTTGAGTGAATTCCTAAATAAATGGTGTTGGGGCAACTGGTAGCCATTTGGAAAAATACAAAACTGAGTCTGTACCTTACAGCATACACCAGGATAAATTCCAAATGTATTAGAAATTTAAATGTAAAAATATAATGATTCAAGTACCAGAAGAAAATTTGTATGGATTTCTTTATAATCTAGGAAAAGAGAAATCTTTCAATTATGCCTAAAAACCCAAAAGCAATTAATTAAACTACATAAAAATAAAAAACATTTTACAAGGTTTAAATACAACACAAGCAAATAGAAAGATACAAAAACAACTCAGAAAAAAATTGTTGACACCAGAATGACAGGAAGGTTATTTTATGAAGAGCTCCTAAAAATTAAGAAGTACAAGATTAACACTAGAAAAATGGGCAAAAAATAAAAATTTTTAAAAATTATAGAATTTGGAAACTAGCTGAAATAAATGTATGTAATTGAATATCATATTGTCACATAATTACTTAGAAAAAAAATTAGAGTGACTTCAAAGCCCGCTGCTTGAACTGAACACTCTTAGTGGGTTATATTTTAAGGACAAAAAGAACTGCAAGACATTATAAACTTCATTCATTGGTTTTATTGTTTGTAGTAATGTTGGCATTTTAATTTTTCTACTGTTGGCATTGTAATTTTTCTACTGTTGTGGATATAATAAATATGAAATTAGATAAACGTGGTTGGAACCAAAACCTTAGTGTAAGGGGAAAAAAATCAAATCTAATAAGTTAAAACTACATAAGATTAAGTGGAAATATCAGAATTAGTTCATGTTTTGTTTCTTAGGTATAAAAACAAAAAATAGAGTTTCTCACTCTTGCCCTGAAAGGACATAAAAATAAAAGTGACTAACTCAGTAGCAGTAAGCATCTATATCACCCAGATTGTTGTTTCGAAATATTACTTCCTTCCAGAAGGTGTCAGGGCTCTTCAAAGAAATTTCTGATTCCAGGTCTGGAATAGTAAAACCAATAGGGTCATGTGAAAGGACACAGAAATCAGCTTCAAGGACACTGACCAGAGCACCACATTCTAACATCAACAGGAGTGACTACAATGGATTAAACCACATTGAATGTATAAAAATCTATGAGTTCCTGGTAATGAGAAAGAGAACAAGCAAACCAAACATATAAAACCAAGCAAAATAATTATTAGTTATCCGTTTGAAGGTGCTAAGGCACCAACTCCTTCCTCTGAAAATTGATAATTAATGGGAATGAAATAAGCTTTTATCCTGCCTGCCCTAAAGGGACTATATCTCAGAGTAATCAAACAGCCCTGGTCAATGAGGGAGAGCTGTTCTCTACCAGAGAATTCCAGCTAGTACGTGTGGAGAGAATAATAGAACTTAAAGACACTCTGCTTAAAATAATTGACTCAGGCAGTGATCATCAGTAATATTAATGTTATGGGAAAGGTTGATAGAAACTTGACAGTGGAAGGATCAGGCTGCCTCCTCCTGAACCCCGCTGATTATCATCATTAAAAGTTAGATAACCAGATTCTCTGGCTTCCTAATGTGATAAGATGTCAAATGTACAGCACCATCTTGAAATATTCTTGCCCAAAGAGTTGATCCTGAATCTCATTAAGCCTTGAGCTCTAACTTTTTAGTTTACAGAAAGTGAAAGTGGGTGGGGAGTGAGGGGAGACAAGGTAGAAAAACAAATTAAATGATGCTATGAGGAAGCAATCAGAAAAATCCTGAATGAAGTGGCACATATAGGCAGTTAGACAAGTTTCTTTAACATGCTTTGCCTTGACTGTGAGCTTCTTGAGTACGAAGAACATCCTTTATTCACTTTTATATCCCTTATTGTCTTCAAAGTACTTAGCACATGGTGAGTGTTAAATAATGGCTATTGAGTGAAGGAAGGAATATGAATGTGAATGAGCCACAGTTTAATTATCCTTCTATTGTATGGCCTGGACAGAGATGCCTTAATCTCAGCTTCAGACAGTAACTATTCTGTATTCATTTTGTGTTTTTTTAATTCTTCAAAAGTCATTAAAAAAAATTATGATGACTTGGCAACTAGTTGAATAATTAGTTATACTTTATTAATTATACTATATTATGCACACTAAAGATTAATCTTCAAAAGGTGACATTTCTGCCCTCCAGGAACTTAATGTTCTGTGAAGACAGTGTAACAATGGTAAATAAATACAAATATTGAAAAAAATTATTTTCCTTTCTTTCCCTCCCTCCTCTCAACACACACATACCTTGTATTGTTTCTGTTTTTTATCTTCTATATGTTATAATGTTTTGACATCTTAAAATCCTTTCTGGCTGGGGAGACTGCCCCTCCTGTGACCAGCCAGTGTTCAGAGATAGCAAAGGGCTTGGCCAGGAGCACGCCTTTAATATGCACACTAACCAATCCTGAGCCATACGTATCTCCTCGTCTCTGGCCTGTACAATATTCCTCTGCCTTAATCATCCCAGGGCCAGGTACCCAGCAACTGGGGACCACTCATACAGTTTAGAGCCTGCTGGAGTTATTCAAACTGGCCAATCTTAACCTGTTTACCATGCCCTGCCTTGCCTTCCTTGAGGAAATTCAGTAAATGCTCTAGCCTACGCCTTCCCCTTGCTGCTGACACCCTGAGGCTTCCACACGTGGCCCTGTGCAGCGTGGCATGCCTCTTGTCTCCAGGACCTGTGAGTATAATAAACTTTGTTTTCCTGAGACTCTCCTGTGTCTCCTCTCTGGCCTCACTTGAGTGACCATCACATAAAAGAACAGCACAAGCACACACATTCTCTGTCTCTCTCAGAAACACTCATATACGGTTCTGGAGATTTAATTTAGGCCATCACTTTATACTGTGCCTATGTCTTGGAATATTTTTCCCCTTACTTTATTTACCCTTCAGAATTTACATATCCTTTAAGGCTTAGTAAAAATGACACTTTTTACGTGGAGTTTTCCCAGGTCTCTTCAGTCAAATTAATTATTCTTCCATGTGAACTCAGTCTATTACTATTTAAAACTTATTTTGTTCTTCCTCATTTATTACATTAAGTCAACTTCTCCCAGTACACTGTAAACTGGTTGAAGTTAAAACAATGTTCTGTTCATCTTTATGCCCTCACAGATTTGTTATAATGTTGACATGAAGTGCAGACACTTAATTCGTGTATAGAAGGTGCTTTTCTGTAAAAATCAAATACATGTTGTTTTATGCGTAATGTCAGTTGCTCCAACTGTGAGATAAATAATAGAGGAAATTATTTCTTCTTCCATTAACAGCCAGATGTTGTGATACAGTGTGCCAGGACACCTGCATGATCACGCTACTTTCCTAGTCTCCGTTTTTCTTGGTTTGTCATTGCCCAGTACAGGAACCCTTGGAGTCTTCAAGCCTTCCCTAAGACGGCCTCAGTTTGTTCTTCTAACCCTACTACCCTCTACAAATATTTGAAACTCCTGCCAAACAGAATACTCATTTTGCTTCCTGAGAGTGCTTTCATGACTTTTCTCATACTGTTCCCACCCCTTCTTCACCCATCAAAATATGATCCAGCTTTCAGGGCCTGTTTCAGATGTTCTTTTTCCATCACCTTATTTTTGGCCGGCCTAACTAGGTGTGCATGCACCCTGCTAGCTGCCAGTGCCTTATGTTTGGAAAGAGCATTCCATCGCCTTCTTACATTGTGTTGTCTCTGCACTCACACACAGATATTTCAGAAAATGTGGAGACCCTGAGTAAAGTGGTTCTGAGACAGAAGAAAGGGGGTGAAATGGAAAGGTAGCGAGAGAGAAGGAAAACAGAATGTTCCTTCAGAGTTCTTGTTGGGAAGTGAGTCTCCGTTACTTAAAGTGTTCAAGAAGAGATTGAACAGTTACATATTGGTGATGTGATAAAAGAATTTGGCTTGTGTTGGATAAGTATTAAACTAAAAGACTTCTGAGATGGTTTTCAGTGCTAGACTTACTTTTATTGAAGTTTTCTTTTTAAAATTATTTTCAATGAAAAATTAAAATTGTATATATTTATGTATGGTATACAACATGATATTTTGATATGCATGTATATTATAGGGTGCCTAAATCAAGCTAATTAACACATGTATTACCTCACATATTTATCATTTTTGTGTGGCAAAAATAATTAAAATCTACTCTTTTAGCAACTTTCAGTATACAATATATTAGTACTAACTGTAGTCATCATGATGTACAATAAATCTCCTGAACTTATTCCTCCTGTCTAATTGAAAGTTTGTATCCTTTGACCAACATCTCCAAAATCCTCCTACCCCCAGCCTCCGGCAACTACCAGCCTACTGTGCTTCAGTGGGTTCAGCTTCTCTGGATTTCATGTAGGAGTGAAATCATGCAGTACTTGCCTTTCTGTGCCTGGTTTATTTCACCTAATGTAATGTCCTCCAGGTTCATCCATGTTGTTGCAAATGACAGAATTTCCTTCTTTTTTGAGGCTGAATAGTATTCCATTGTGTTTATACACCACATTTTCTTTATCCATTCATTCATTGATGAACACTTAGGTTTATTCCATATATTGGCTATTGTAATGTTGTGGTGAACACAGGAATGCAGCTATCTCTTCAACATACTGATTTCATTTTCCCTGGATATATACCCAGAAATGGGATTCTTCGATCATGTGGTAGTTCTATTTCTAATTTTTTGAGGAGCCAACATAAATTTTTTTTTTTTTTTTTGAGACGGAGTCTTGCTCTGTCACCCAAGCTGGAGTGCAGTGGAGCAATCTTGGCTCATGGCAAGCTCTACCTCCTGGGTTCACGCCATTCTCCTACCTCAGCCTCCCAAGTAGCTGGGACTACAGGCGCCCTCCACCATGCCCGGATAATTTTTTTGTATTTTTAGTAGAGACGGGGTTTCACCGTGTTAGCCAGGATGGTCTCGATCTGCTGACCTCGTGATCCGCCCGCCTCAGCCTCACAAAGTGCTGGGATTACAGGCGTGAGCCACTGCACCTGGCCCAACATGCTATTTTCCATAATAGCTATGCTAACTAATATTCCCACCAACAGTATACAAGGATTTCCTTTTCTGTACATCCTTGCCACCACTTATGTTTTGCCTTTTTGATGGTAGACATTCTACCAGGTTTGAGGTGATATTTCACTGTGGTTTTAATTTGCATTTCCCTGATGATTAGCGATGTCGAGCATTTTTCACATACCTATTGGCCACATGTATGTCTTCTTTTGAAAAATGTCCACTCAGGCCCTTTGTCTATATTTTGATCAGAACATTTGTTTTCTTTTCTTACTGTTGAGTTGTTTGAGTTCCTTATCTACTTTGGACATGAATCTCTTATCGTATGTATGTTGTGCAGGTATCTTCCTCCACTCCATAGGTCATCTCTTCACTCTGCTGTTTCCTTTGCTATGCAACAGCCTTGGGTTGGATGTAATCCTGTGTGTCTCTTGCTTTTGTTGCCTGTCCTTAGGGTCACATCGAAAAAGCCATTGCCCAGAGCAACGTTAGGGAGCTTTTCCCCTGTTTCCTTCCAGGAGGTTTATAGAAAAAGTCATTGCCCAGAGCGACGTTGGGGAGCTTTCCCCCTGTTTCCTTCCAGGAGGTTTATAGAAAAAGTCATTGCCCAGAGCAACGTTGGGGAGCTTTCCCCCTGTTTCCTTCCAGGAGGTTTATAGAAAAAGTCATTGCCCAGAGCGACGTTGGGGAGCTTTTCCCCTGTTTCCTTCCAGGAGGTTTATAGAAAAAGTCATTGCCCAGAGCGACGTTGGGGAGCTTTTCCCCTGTTTCCTTCCAGGAGGTTTATAGAAAAAGTCATTGCCCAAAGCGACGTTGGGGAGCTTTTCCCCTGTTTCCTTCCAGGAGGTTTATAGAAAAAGCCATTGCCCAGAGCGACGTTGGGGAGCTTTTCCCCTGTTTCCTTCCGGGAGGTTTATAGAAAAAGTCATTGCCCAGAGCGACGTTGGGGAGCTTTTCCCCTGTCTCCTTCCGGGAGGTTTATGGAAAAAGTCATTGCCCAGAGCGACGTTGGGGAGCTTTTCCCCTGTCTCCTTCCAGGAGGTTTATAGAAAAAGTCATTGCCCAGAGCGACGTTAGGGAGCTTTTCCCCTGTCTTCTTCCAGGAGGTTTATAGAAAAAGCCATTGCGCAGAGCGACGTTAGGGAGCTTTTCCCCTGTCTTCTTCCAGGAGGTTTATAGAAAAAGCCATTGCCCAGAGCGACGTTAGGGAGCTTTTCCCCTGTTTCCTTCCAGGAGGTTTATAGAAAAAGCCATTGCCCAGAGCGACGTTAGGGAGCTTTTCCCCTGTCTTCTTCCAGGAGGTTTATAGAAGAAGCCATTGCCCAGAGCGACGTTAGGGAGCTTTTCCCCTGTCTTCTTCCAGTAGGTTTATAGAAAAAGTCATTACCCAGAGCAACGTTGGGGAGCTTTTCCCCTGTTTCCTTCCAGGAGGTTTATAGAAAAAGTCATTGCCCAGAGCAACGTTAGGGAGCTTTTCCCCTGTTTCCTTCCAGGAGGTTTATAGAAAAAGTCATTGCCCAGAGCGACGTTAGGGAGCTTTTCCCCTGTTTCCTTCCAGGAGGTTCATAGAAAAAGCCATTGCCCAGAGCGACGTTGGGGAGCTTTTCCCCTGTTTCCTTCCAGGAGGTTTATAGAAAAAGTCTGCCCAGAGCGACGTTGGGGAGCTTTTCCCCTGTTTCCTTCCAGGAGGTTTATAGTCTCAGGCCTTACGCTTAAGTCTCTCTAGAATTCTTAAATTTGTGAACATCCCAAGAAGTGGAAGTAGGAAAAATGTTGAGCTATCAGTATATATGATATGGGTAAAGTGAAGTCTGTCTAGTTTACAGGAGGTTAATAAAATAATTTGAAAACTTATTTTGGCTGAAATTTTGTGCATTCTCTTTTGAGAAATAACTTTCTGTGAATCTGCTTTAAAGTAGAAAAGATGTTAATTTGCATTTCATCTCTTTTTATCTCCGCCCTATTCAATTTCTAGTTGAGATGCAAGTGAACAGTAAAATAACCAAATTTTAGTAAGAACAAGAGGCAGGACCAGAAATGATCTACAGGCTGCATAGTTAAGCTTGGAGTATTCAGAAGTGGACTATTTGTGTTTTGTGGTTTAAGACAAGAATTATTGGCTCTTTTCTGGATATAGCTGTGAGTTATTTATGAAATTATAGAAATTTTTTTGTTGAATGATAGAATTCAAAAGAATATAAAAAGAAAAATCACCAATAATCCTATAAACTGAAGATAGAAACTTTTTATACTTTTATTGTATTTTGTTTCAAACATCTCTCTTGGCATAAATACATATGTTTATGTATGTATGTGTTTGTGTGTGATTAAAACTGGATTATATGACATACTTTTTGAGGTTTTATTGTATTTTAACCTCAGCATCCAACAGAGGAAGTTTTTGAAGTTTTAAAGAAATGCCTCAGGTTCTCTGTGAAGAATCCATTATATGCTTTTTCAAAAACTGTTTTTCCCCCCAGGATTTTAAAGATATTTAGGTCGGGAAAAGCATACAAAATTAAACAACTGGAAAATGAGCTACAAACTACTGAGGTGGATGATTAATTCTGAGCACTCTGATAAGAGGGAGCAATTGTTACATAAAAGCAAGGTTTTGTAGGTAGGCAGTTGTAGTGACACAGAAAACAGCTTCTGGAGATAACATTTTAACTAGGAAAAGCTATCAGGCTTATTCATATCAACAGACAAAGCATCCTGTTAGCCCATATGGATATGGGCATAGGGAAGCTGGGAAAAATCTGCCTTTCTTTGCCGGAAATTCAGTGTTTCTGAACATAGAAAAAGAAGAAATACAGAAAGCGTCATTCAAAGAAAGGAAGCATTCACGTTCTTTTAAATAGCAAGGCTTTTCATGCCAAAATTGTGTAAGGGATTAAATGTTAGCCTGTATTCTTGTCTTGTCTTGGTTATCCATGACTTGGGAAAGCCATGCCAGTTGGTCCATGCCGCCATACCCTCATTCACCTAAGAAGAATTGGAAGTAACACTTTATGACTTATAAGGTGATTTTGCATCCCACGTAATACTTGTGCTAAATATACAAATTATTGATAGAATGCCTGGAGGAAGAGAATCTTTTGTATGGTTAACCTCACATACAGTGCATACAGTGGTAATAGATGCCACACCCCCAGATCGTTGGATTAGAGAATACACATTGATAACTGTAAAACACATTGGGAATGCTGGGTTCCTGAGGGACAAGATTGTGTTTATATTTCATTTCATGTCAGGTGTGGAATATTTTGGGGCCTGAGGCCTTGGCTGTACAGTGGAAACAAATGATGCTTCAGAGAGTCTGTAGTACAGAAAGCAGCATTTTATATTGTTTTATTTAGTGTTTTAGCAAACTAGACACCAGTATCATTGCCATGCTCTTTTTGTTATGAATCCTACTGTGTTAGCAATTGCATGGTTGGTTAGATTAATGTATAATAATGAGTCAGTGTTGGAAATGATGAGATTTGTCTCTTGTCTCTTTCTCTACAAAATTCTAATTTGTAGTAAGTAGCTCAGAACGCTCAGATTTGAATTACTCTGTTTATGCAAGAAGTCATTTATTAAATAAAGATGATGTTAGTAATTTTTAAATCAGTGGTTTGAGTCAGCTTTTTGGTTTGTAGACCAAAAAAGATTTAGTTACTTTGATGAAATGTACTCAACTACTCTCCAATTTTAAGTCAACTGCTTAAATTGTCCAGACATGTTATTTAAGGAATGGTTTCTATATTTGTTTATCATTGAAAGACATTAGACTATATATATTTAAACGTATAGTCAATATATTAAGCACAGAACCTTTCAATTATACAGGTGTCTTAAGAACCCCTGGTCCTGGAGGCTGGTGTTGTTAGTAATATTTAGAGCACTGAATTGTCCAACTAAGAAAAATTAAATTTTAACTTGATTTATACTCAAACATAGCTCTTAGAGAAATTTAAGGGATTTTCCTTTGTGCATGAAAATCTATCAAAAACACAGCCGTCTACCAATTAGATAAGAAGTAAAAAGGTAGTCTTTTAAAAAGACTAAAGCTTTTCTAAGCCAAAAATGAGGGGATTTTCTTTTCTATTTCAGTGTAAAACCTGTTCTGAGCCAAAAAAGATAACCAGTTCCTCTGCCATCTATGACAATCCAAATCTCATCAAACCAATTCCAGTGAAACCCAGTGAAAACCAGCAACAGCGTATACCTCAGCCCAACCAGGTACGGAGTTCTCTGCTTGTCATATTCAGTGTGTCTCTAGAATTCTTAAAGAACTTTGACCCAGAATATAGTCAGGGGAGGGCCTGGTGTTGTTGAAGAATGCTTTCAGGTAAACCCAAGAAAGCGGGATTTCAGAATACAGATTTTTTCATTATTAATAACTTACTCTTCCTAGAAGAGGGTTAAAGTTTTTACTTTTGGCATATACCACATTCTGTGCTAATCTCTTGTGAACTTGAACTCCTTAAAAGATAATGTATTTTTTAAAAAACAACAAGCCAGCACAGTGGCTCAAGCCTGTAATCCCAGCACTTTGAGAGGCTGAGGCGAGAGGATCATTTGAGGCCAGAAGTTTGAGAGCAGCCTGGGCAACACAGTGAGACTCCATCTCTACAGGAAAATTAGCCAGGCATGATGGCGTGCACCTGTAGTGCTAGCTGCTCTGGAGGCTGAGGCGGGAGGATCCCTTGAGCTTAGGAGTTTGAGGTTACGGTGAGCTATGGAATGCGCCACTGCACTCCAGCCTGGGCAAGAAAGCAAGACCATGTCTCAGAAAACAAAAACAAACAAACAAGCACCCTAGAAAACTAATAACATTGTCAGAGATGACAGAAACATTACCCATTGGGTCCATATTCTTCTGGGGTGGGTGGCTTCCCAAGGCCACCTGGGAGAACCACCAAGGACACAGAGTTGATTTGAGCACTTCTGAGCACCTCCTCTGTGCCAGATGCAGAGCTAGCACTGTAGACTGGGGTAGCTGCCGCCGAGAGCTCAGAGTCCAAAGGAATGGTATAAAACTCCTCTTCAGATATGATGACTTGTCACTGTCTTTGCAATCTAAATTAGAAATATTACAGCAGCTTTTGTGTTAGTGTATATATATATATATATACACTTCAGAATAGTACAGCAATGACAAAAATTGTCAATCTGTAGGTCCCATTAATGATTGTAAATATAATATTGCTGTGTCATTTTATCATGACTATGACTAATTAAAAAGATTTTCTTAAAGGAATTAGTTTATATCAATTTTGAAAATGAACATGGAGCCAAAAGACATAAAGACTAGTAATGAAAATCTTATATTGAATTTTTAAAGAAAAGAAGTCTTCTAATTTTTTAGCTTTCTTTTTATTGCTTGTTTTATGGAAAGTTTTTATTATATTTTAATAGCGAGACCTGAATATGTTGACTTTAAAATGAAGCTTGTGGTTTTTTTTCTTTCCTCTTTTATTTTTTTTTTTGAGACAGATTTCATTCCTGTTACCCGGGCTGGAGTGCAGTGGCACCATCTCAGCTCACTGCAACTTGTGTCTCCTGGGCTCAAGCAATCCTCCCACCTCAGCCTCCCAAGTAGCTGGGACTACAGGCGTGTGCTGCCACATCTGGCAATTTCTGTATTTTTTGTAGAGATGGGGTTTTGCCATGTTGCCCAGGCTGGTCTTGAACTCCTTAGCTCAAGCAGTCTGCCTGCCTTGGCCTCCCAAAGTGCAGGAATTACAGGCATGAGCCACTGTGCCTAGCCTCATGTTTTCTCAGTGCAACAATGCAGAAAGCAACAGAAGTAAAGAGCAAGAAGGAAGTAGCTTTGTAACTGGCTGGGCCAAGGTAGATTTTATGTATCCAAGGACTTTTTAAATCCTACCAGTATATATTTGAAAGGATCAAGTTAGATTTAAAGTCTTCCGTTTCTTTCCAGCCCTTGATTTCCATAATTCTGTGAAAAACTACTAGAAATTCTGAAATGCTTATATTCCTTTGTATTCTCATATTACTCTGCAGGCTTAGATGGGCTTCCTATTGAACAGATTGTTTATTTTTTTAGTGCATATAATTTCCTACCAAGGTGGTTCCCAATCTGTGAAACCCCAGGCCCTTGAAGATCTTATACCTGTTTTATCGGTCAACAGATATTAAAATATAATAACTGTTTTGGGGGTGCAAGGGGAGCATGCTGTGAAAATTTTTGACATTAAAAAGGGGATCTCATTTTTCAAGTTTATTATTATTATTTTTCATTCTCTCTAATCAATCCTTTGTAAATAGAATAAGTCATCAGATAAGTTATGTTTCATAGCACTTCCTCATATAACCAAATTGTTTGTAGACTCATGTCAGATATCTTTATTTTTTCCAGACCTTAGACCCTGAACCCCAACACTTATCCTTGACAGCTCTGTTTGGGAAGCAGGACAAAGCTACATGTCAGGAAACTGTGGAGCCTCCGCAGACTCTCCACCAGCAGCAGCAGCAGCAGCAGCAGCAGCAAGAGAAGCTTCCAATTAGGCAGGGGGTTGTACGCTCCCTGTCCTATGAGGAACCCAGAAGACACTCACCCCCCATTGAGAAGCAGCTCTGTCCAGCCATTCAGAAACTCATGGTCAGGAGCGCAGACCTCCACCCATTGTCAGAGCTGCCTGAAAACCGGCCTTGTGAAAATGGCAGTACCCATTCTGCGGGAGAATTTTTTACAGGACCTGTCCAGCCAGGGTCTCCTCACAACATTGGAACTTCTCGTGGTGTACAAAATGCTTCCAGAACTCAGAACCTGTTCGAGAAACTTCAGAGTACCCCAGGGGCAGCAAACAAGTGTGACCCTAGTACACCAGCACCTGCCAGCTCAGCTGCCCTGAACCGCAGCAGAGCTCCCACTTCTGTCACCCCTGTGGCTCCAGGAAAGGGTCTGGCTCAGCCACCACAGGCCTATTTCAATGGCTCCCTTCCACCTCAGACAGTAGGACATCAGGCTCATGGAAGAGAACAGTCCACACTCCCAAGACAAACACTCCCCATCTCTGGTAGTCAGACTGGCAGCTCTGGAGTGATCTCCCCTCAAGAGTTACTGAAGAAGCTTCAGATTGTACAGCAGGAGCAGCAGCTGCATGCCTCTAACCGGCCAGCCTTGGCCGCTAAGTTTCCTGTGCTCGCTCAGAGCTCTGGAACAGGGAAACCCTTGGAATCCTGGATCAACAAGACACCCAACACAGAACAGCAGACTCCTCTTTTCCAGGTAAATATGTACCAGGGGCAAAATAAAACAGCCTGGGCAGCATAGCAAGATCCTGTCCCTAAAAAAAAAAAAAAAGTAGCCAGGCTTGGTGTCACACGCCTATAGCACCAGCTACTGAGGAGGCTGAGGTGGGAGGATCCCTTGAGCTCAAGAGGCGGAGGTTACAGTGAACCATGATCGTGCCACTGCACTCCAGCCTGGGTGACAGAGCGAGACCCTGTCTGTTAAGAAAAAAAAAGACAGACAAAGAAAAAGGTATTACTATAATGCAGTGAAATGTAGAGTCCACTTCCATGCTCTAGGGACCAATGTGTCACGTACATTTCTGTTTGGAGCAGGGTGCACCTCCGTGCATCTTGATTGCCTGAACTTTCTACCTGGAAGGAGAATCTTCACTTTGGTTAACAATCTGAGAACTTCCCCCAACCTTTTTGAGAGCATTACTTGTAGAGTTAAATCTTCGTTATATTAGGAGGTCTGAAGACCAACACAGACATGGGAGAAAACCGTAATTTTTGACTGTAGGAACTTAGTATGGTCTGCCTTGAAATCAATCTGGAATGCCAAGCAACTGACCTCCTCTTGTTTTTCAGTCCACAGTAAATTATTCACTTATTTAGTAAATATTTTTGAGCACTTACTACATGTCAGGCATTGTCTACATGTGGGTACATAATGATGAAGAAAACAGACTCCTTACCCACAGCCCATGCTGTAGGTTCTTGAAATAAACAAAAAACAGCCTATTTCCTCCTGAAAGGTGCAGCCAGTTTTTATCTTTCTCTGTATCGTCAGTATAGCCTACTGTAGATCAGGAGAGGTATGCATGCCACCCACCTCCACCCCCCACACAAACTGCCAGAGAGGGAAAATATGACAGTTTTTAGAAAGATTCTCTCCTTTAGAGAAGATGCTTTTCCATGTCCATCACTGACTTGGGACAGTGAGGAAACCACAAGCTATTGATCATCTGCCTGTGGGTAACATCTGGAGATCTGACATTGAATTGTTTTCCCTTTGGATTGGAACACATTCATTGAAAGTACATTGGGTTTAAAAATTGGAAAGTTCTCCCTGTGTATCACATATATCATCACTGGCCCTTTGTCATGTTTTGTTATGTACCTTTTTTTGTTTTTTGAGACAGAGTTTCACTCTTGTCGCCCAGGCTGGAGTACAATGGTGCGATCTCGGCTCACTGCAACCTCCACCTCCCGGGTTCAGGCGATTCTGCTGCCTCAGCCTCCTGAGTAGCAGGGATTACAGGCACCTGCCACCACACCTGGCTAATTTTTTGTATTTTTTTAGTAGAGACGAGGTGTCACGATGTTGGCCTGGCTGGTCTCGAACTTCTGACCTCAGGTGATCCACCCACCTCGGGCTCTCAGAGTGCTGGGATTACAGTCGTGAGCCACTGCACCTGGCCTGTTATGTAACTTATAACAGTTTCTCAAAAATCTTGAACTTTTGGCTGGGCATGGTGACTCGTGCCTGTAATCCCAGCACTTTGGAGGTTAAGATAGGAGAATCGCTTGAACCTAGGAGTTTCAGACCAGCCTGGGCAACATAGACCCTGTCTCTACAAGAATTTTTTGTTTTTAATTAGCCGGGTATGGTGGCATGCCACTGTGGTCCCAGCTACTTGGGAGGCTGAAGTGGGAAGATTGCTTGAGCCCAAGAAGTTGAGGCTGCAGTCAGCCATGTTTGCACCACTGCACTCCAGCCTGGGCAGTAGAGTGAGACCTTGTCTCAAAACAAAAAATTCAGTTTTTTGAAAACAAAGACCTTAGGCATGTGCCAAAAGTCTTTGTGAGCCCCTGAGTCAAAGTGTTCTCATTTATTATTTATTAACATCCCAAATCTGAGTACCGACTGCTATAGAAACAATATTTATAACTCCCACTCCCCCTCATTTCAGTGTTATTGTCCCTTTTTTAAAAATGTCTGCTTTTTTCCTCTTTGATGATTTAGAATTAGAAGCATGCGATGAATATAGTCTGACTTAAATTTCTGATGTACAACTCCCTTGACTTTTCAGTACTCACAAATATCAAGAGCCGAGTGAGAAAGGCAAGCATTTCAGCAGCCCACGCTGTGCTCAGAATGCTTGACTCCACCTCCGGGAGCATCACTGCTCAGCACCGCTCCTCGAAATGTCATGTAGGGACAAGTTAAAAGAAACAGCCTGCCTTCCTCTAGGCCAACTTTTGCTCAAAGAGACGCTAAGGGATTGATTATAAAATTACAGCAACTTCTAGCTTGCTGGCCTCCTTGCCTCCCTCTTAGGAGTTCTTTCGGGGAGTTCGGAGGCTGATAAATAACATTCTTTTTCTTCCCTGAGTTAGAAGCAAATGATAGCTGTAGGAGTCAGTCAGATAAGGATCAAAATGTCACTTGCATAACTGAAAGGGCTGTTAGAAAACTTGGTTTCAGGTCTGTTTGCCAAGGGAGTTAGACTCAGCAGACAGGCTCTGGCAGGGCTGAGCAACAGGCCGCCCGGGTCAGCCCAAACACATCAGCTGCGGAAGCTGAAGATGAGGGCTCTCTGCAGGCAGGCAGATCCTGTCAGGGAAGGACCCAGAAGGGGTGGACCCACACATCACTCTCCCTCCCCACGAGAAGTGAGTGAGGCCGCAGGAGGGGCGGGGAGTTGCTCTCACAGCGCCTCCTGTGCTCCGGGGTCAGGAGGGGAAATGGGGAGGCCCCTAACAAGGGTGGCAGCTCACATAGGTTGTGAGACCTTTAGGTCAGGGTCATGGACAACCAGGTCTAAGGAAAAGGTCAGTAGTCCTAAATGCACTTGCCAAATACTGGTAGCCTGAAAAATAAGCTGTCACCCAGAGGCCAAGCTGCATATGCAGTGGAAAGAATAGTCCCCACAGCAGACGATACCAGAGCTGCTCAGTGATGCTGAAGGAAGGTGCATGGAGCAGTGGAGCAAGAATCAGTTTCCCATAAACTTTTCTCAGCTAGGAAAGCTGTGGACAGGGAATGCTTAGACCACCCGTATCTGCCGCTGCAAGCTATCATGCCGTGAGCTGCTCCTGAACCCCGCTCTCTGTGTGTATTTGCTGTGAGCAGGTCATCTCACCTCAGCGCATCCCTGCTACAGCAGCTCCGTCTCTGCTTATGTCCCCCATGGTGTTCGCACAACCCACCTCCGTCCCGCCAAAGGAAAGGGAGAGCGGCCTCTTGCCTGTGGGAGGCCAGGAGCCACCTGCTGCTGCCACCAGCCTCCTCCTGCCCATACAGAGCCCGGAGCCCTCCGTGATCACCAGCAGCCCACTCACCAAGCTCCAGCTCCAGGAGGCACTGCTGTACCTCATTCAGGTAAGCAAGCACGTCATCTCCCTTCGCACCTGACCACGCCTGTTGGCCTCCTGGCTGCAACTATGAGATAAAGACTCAGCCAAGGCCTGCTTAGCTTCCGTGAGAATAACAGGTGTGTGTAACAACTCATCCTGACCCCAGCGGCTTCTGTGCTCAGTTAGCTAGGTGTTATTTATAATACCAAGTGTGGCTTGGGTGTCTCAGCTCTTCAAGGATTTTGTAATTTGAAGGACTGTCTAAGGCCTCCAAGCTGTCACCTGTCAGAAGAGAAGGAAGCATATGCTGGGGATTAAGCAGTCCCTGAGAGGACCCTGGGTGCTGGAGGCCCAGACAGAAAACTCACCATTGGGAGGTAGAGGTGGGAGCAGTCCTGGGCAAGGGGCCATCTGTTGAGTGGGGAAGAGGCCACTGAGCGAGTGGAAAACAGGGAGGGAAGCAAATAATGGCCATGGCTGCTACAGGTATGTTTTACAAGTCATTTTGAAACCTGCTCATTAGGACGGGATGGAGTGACAGGACTCCTTGTGAGCTGCTAGCCTCACTTGCCTATGAAATTATGAAATAATAATGAGTGCTATAATAGCTAACACTCCACAGAGCTGGCGCCGGGCCCTATTTTCAGTGCTACACACAAGCATATAACTCATTCACTCCTTACATAACAACCCTGTTATTTTTCCCATTCTACAGACAAGGAAACTGAGGCTGAGCAACTGGCCTGAGGCACGGAGCTCGTACATAAGCAGGGCTGGGATGCACCCAGCCTGGCCCCCGAGTGCCACTTCCCACGTACTCTCCCGTGGGCCACGTTCACCACATGAATGTTGGCAGGGACCAGCCTCGGGAGAACATTCAGCACAGGTGCCCTAGCAAAGCACACCCAAGAAATCAACGGCAGTCCTTGAAAAGTGGAACATTTGTAGCCAGACAGACTTCAGACACCCCAGTTAACATATTTAGGTGTCTTTTTGGTAGATAATCTTTAAGAAAACTTGTGTGGTACTTTGCTTAAGCATCAGACGGCCTTTAGAGAGCAGGCCAGCCCTTCTGCGGTTGTCTTATCCTACTTAAAAAGACAGTGGTCTCAATTAGTACAACATTTTTAAAAAGGTTCCATGTTGGCCGGGCACAGTGGCTGCTCACGCCTGTAATCCCAGCACTTTGGGAAGCCAAGGTGGGAGCATTGCTTGAGGCCAGGAGTTCAAGACCAGCCTGAGCAACATAGCGAGACTACAAAAGAAGGAAACATGTTTGAGGAAGAATGAAAGGAATGGGGCTAGAAGTCAGCAGAAGCATAATAACAATCAGAGATAAATAAGGTCAACAGCAAATGATTGAGCCCTACTAATTCATAAGTAAATATCAGGATAAAAATATTTGCCACCTTTTAAAGCTATTCATAGTAAGCTCAGGAGGAATTAGACATCTGTGAACCTCTTTACTTTGAGCCAGTTTCTTAAGTTGTAATTTAAAAGATCCATATGTTTTCTGGCTGATTCCCTTCACATTGTCTTGAGACTCTACTCCAGAGTAGTGGCTGAACATGGCGGATTAGAAATTACATTCCCCTGCCCTCCACTCTGCGTGCATTTTACTTCTTCCCGTGTACCACACCTCATATTCCCAGTCACTCAAGCAGTCTGTTTTTAGTTTCTGCCTCTTGTTAGGACACAATCTCATGCAGAGGAACTTTGTGACTACTTTGCAGGAAAAAGAGGGATAACATCACTCTCTTCATTGCATGAGAATGATGCTAAATCTGTGTGGGGTGCCAAGAGGGAATGAAGGGGGAATGTGAAGTGTGGGTGAATTACTAACACTGTAAAGAATTTGGGTGGGAGGGAGAAGTCTCTAGAATTAAAACATGAGGAAAACCACTGATTAGACCGTGATTCTCACTCCTTAGCCAGGCAAAAGAGCCCAGAGATTACCAGTCTTACTCCTGCCCACTTGCCAAGGCTAGAAACTTTCCATAACTTATGGGAAGACTTATATTAGCTTTGATGAAGTACTGATGAAGCATATTGCAAGTAAAATCCTAAGTAATGCCCAAAACAAAGCAGACACATTGTAGGTGACTTGGAGGGCCTTTAAGAACCACAGTGGCTCATGCCTGTAATCCAACACTTGGGGAGGCCAAAGTGGGAGGCTCACTTGAGCCCAGGAGTTCAAGACCACCCTGAGCAACATAGTGAGACCCTGTCTTAACAAAAAACTTAAAAGCCAGGCATGGTAGCACGCACCTGTAGCCCTAGCTACTCTGGAGGCTGAGGTGGGAGGATCGCTTGAACCCATGAGGTTGAGGCTGCAGTGAGCTATGATGGCACTACTGCACTTTAGCTTGGGTGACAGAGTGAGACCCAGTCTCAAAAACCCAAAAAACAAGAAACAAAAAAACACACCACAGCAATCTCTTAACCAAACTTTGAGACCACTGACTTGGATCATGTCCTCCTAACTCCTCTGTCTGCTGGGGCTTCATGTCTTTTCATGCAGCAGACCCAGGCTGTTCTTGAGTAAACCTTGCTCCATGCTGCCATGTGTCTGGGCTGCCCATCTGTGCTGCATGTAATGAGCTCTTGCTGCTGTGCATACTGACCATGGAAAACCATCAGCTCTGTCCGGCCTTGCCGTCAACCCCACTTAACATTCACACATGCAATTAAAAACCACCAGCTGTTAGACAGGGAGAGATGAGTGTCTCAGTATCCAAAGGCCAGTTCAGCTCTAAGACAGAGGAAGCCTTTTGTGTCTGCCAACCAAGTAACATTCTCTTGGGTCTTTCGATTTGTTTTCCAGAATGATGACAACTTCTTAAATATAATCTATGAAGCCTATCTCTTCAGCATGACTCAAGCAGCCATGAAAAAGACTATGTGACAGCAAGGCCTTTTAAAACTGATTTTCAAGGTCCTTCTAGAACTCCGGCACAAGGTTCTTTCATGTTGAGTGTTGTTTCCTTCAATGTTTCTGCCTTTTTTAAAAAAAAAGTATGTGTAATATGAAGTAAAATGTTTCAGACTTTTTTTTATACTCAAGTGTTTTTTAATTATTATTATACTTTAAGTTCTGGGGTACATGTACAGAACATGCAGGTTTGTTACATAGGTATACACATGCCATGGTGGTTTGCTGCACCCATCAACCCATCATCTACATTAGTATTTCTCCTAACGCGCTTCCTCCCCTAGTCCCCCACCCCGCGACAGACCCCAGTGTGTGATGTTCCCCTCCCTATGTCCGTGTGTTCTCATTGTTCAATTCCCACCTGTGAGTGAGAACATGTGGTGTTTGGTTTTCTGTTACTTTGTTAGTTTGCTGAGAATGATGGTTTCCAGCTTCATCCATGCCCCTGCAAAGGACAAGAACTCATTCTTTTTTATGGCTGCATAGTATTCCCTGGGTGTATATATGCCGTATTTTCTTTATCCAGTCTATCATTAATGGACATTTGGGTTGGTTCCAAGTCTTTGCTATTGTGAATAGTGCTGCAATAAACATACGTGTGCATGTGTCTTGATAGTGGAATGATAATCCTTTGATTATAGTAGAGTTACAATCCTTTGGGTATATACCCAGTAATAAGTAGAGTTATAATCCTTCGGGTATATACCTAGTTATGGGTAATAATTAGAGTTATAATCCTTTGGGTATATACCCAGTAATGGGATTGCTGGGTCAAATGGTATTTCTGGTTCTAGATCCTTGAGGAATCACCACACTGTCTTCCACAATGGTTGAACTAATTTACACTCCCAACAACAATGTAAAAGCGTTCCTGTTTCTCCACATCCTCTCCAGCATCTGTTGTTTCCTGACTTTTTAATGATCACCATTGTAACTGGTGTGAGATGGTATCTCATTGTGGCTTTGATTTGCATTTCTCTAATGACCAGTGATGATGAGCTTTTTTTCATGTTTGTTGGCCACATAAATGTCTTCTTTTGAGAAGTGTCTGTTCATATACTTTGCCCACTTTTTGATGGGATTGTTTTTTTCTTGTAAATTTGTTTAAGTTCTTTGTAGATTCTGGATATTAGCCCTTTGTCAGATGGGCAGATTGCAAAAAATTTCTCCCATTCTGTAGGTTGCCTGTTCATTCTGATATAGTTTCTTTTGATGTGCAGAAACTCTTTAGTTTAATCAGATCCCATTTGTCAATTTTGGCTTTTGTTGCCATTGCTTTTGGTGTTTTAGTCATGAAGTCTTTGCACATGCCTATGTCCTGAACGGTATTGCCTAGGTTTTCTTCTAGGGTTTTTATGGTTTTAGGTCTTACATTTAAGTCTTTAATCCATCTTGAGTTAATTTTTGTATAAGGTGTAAGGAAGGGGTCCAGTTTCAGCTTTCTGCATATGGCTAGCCAGTTTTCCCAACACCACTTATTAAATAGGGAATCCTTTCCCCATTGCTTGTTTTTGTCAGGTTTGTCAAAAGTCAGATGGTTGTAGATGTGTGGCATTATTTCTGAGGGCCTCTGTTCTGTTCCTTGGTCTGTATATCTGTTTTGGTACCAGTACCATGCTGTTTTGGTTACTGTAGCCTTGTAGTATAGTTTGAAGTCAGGTAACATGATGCCTGCAGCTTTGTTCTTTTTACTTAGGATTGTCTTGGCTATACGGGCTCTTTTTTGGTTCCATATGAAATTTAAAGTAGTTTTTTCTAATTCTGTGAAGAAAGTCAATGGTAGCTTGATGGGGATAGCATTGAATCTATAAATTACTTTGGGCAGTGTGGCCATTTTGATCATACTGATTCTTCCTAGCCATGAGCATGGAATGTTTTTCCATTTCTTTGTGTCCTCTCTTATTTCCTTGAGTTGTGGTTTGTAGGTCTCCTTGAAGAGATCCTTCACATCCCTTGTAAGTTGTATTCCTAGGTATTTTATTATCTTTGTAGCAATTGTGAATGGGAGTTCACTTATGATTTGGCTCTCTGTTTGTCTATTATTGGTGTATAGGAATGCTTGTGATTTTTGCACATTGATTTTGTATCCTGAGACTTTGCTGAAATTGCTTATGAGTTTAAGATTTTGGGCTGAGACGATGGGGTTTTCTAAATATACAGTCATGTCATCTGCAAACAGAGACAATTTGACTTCCTCTGTTCCTATTTGAATATTATTTCTTTCTCTTGCCTGATTGCCCTGGCCAGAACTTCCAATACTATGTTGAATAGGAGTATTGAGAGAGGGCATCCTTGTCTTGTGCCAGTTTTCAAAGGGAATGCTTTCAACTTTTGCCCATTCAGTATGATATTGGCTGTGGGTTTGTCATAAATAGCTCTTATTATTTTGAGATACATTCCATCAATACCTAGTTTATTGAGAGTTTTTAGCGTGAAGGGGTGTTGAATTTTATCGAAGGCCTTTTCTGCATCTATTGAGATAATCATGTGGTTTTTGTCATTGGTTCTGTTTATGTGATGGATGACGTTTATTGGTTTGTGTATGTTGAACCAGCCTTGCATCCGAGGGATGAAGCTGACATGATCGTGGTGGATAAGCTTTTTGATGTGCTGCTGGATTCGGTTTGCCAGTATTTTATTAAGGATTTTCGCTTTGATGTTCATCAGGGATATTGACCTGAAATTTTCTTTTTTTGTTGTGTGTCTCTGCCAGGTTTTGGTATCAAGATGATGCTGGCCTCATAAAATGAGTTAGGGAGGAGTCTCTCTTTTTCTACTGTTTGGAATAGTTTCAGAAGGAATGGTACCAGCTCCTCTTTGTACCTCTGGTAGAATTCAGCTGTGAATCCATCTGGTCCTGGGTTGATAGGCTATTAATTACTGCCTCAATTTCAGAACTTGTTATTGGCCTATTCAGGGCTTCGACTTCTTCCTGGTTTAGTCTTGGGAGGGTGTATGTGTCAAGGAATTTATCCATTTCTCCTAGATTTTCTTGTTTATTTGCATAGAGGTGTTTATGGTATTCTCTGATGGTAGTTTGTATTTCTGTGGGATCTGTGGTGATATCCCCTTTGTCATTTTTTATTGTGTCTATTTGACTCTTCTCTCTTTTCTTCTTTATTATTCTGGCTAGCAGTCTATCTATTTTGTTAATCTTTTCAAAAAACCAGGTCCTGGATTCATTGATTTTTTGAAGGGTTTTTCGTGTTTCTGTCTCCTTCAGTTCTGCTCTGATTTTAGTTATTTCTTGTCTTCTGTTAGCTTTTGAATTTGTTTGCCCTTGCTTCTCTAGTTCTTTTAATTGTGATGTTAGGGTGTCAATTTTAGATCATTCCCGCTTTCTTCTGCAGGCATTTTAGTGCTATAAATTTCCCTCTAAACACTCCTTTAGATAGATGTGTCCCAGAGATTCTGGTGCGATATGTCTTTGTTTTCCCTGGTTTCAAAGAACTTACTTATTTCTGCCTTAATTTCGTTATTTACCCAGTAGTCATTCAGGAGCAGGTTGTTCAGTTTCCGTGTAGTTGTGCGGTTTTGAGTGAGTTTCTTAATCCTGAGTTCTAATTTGATTGCACAGTGGTCTGAGAGACTGTTTGTTATGATTTCCATTCTTTTGCATTTGCTAAGGAGTGCTTTACTTCCGATTATGTGGTCAATTTTAGAATAAGTGTGATGTGGTACTGAGAAGAATGTATATTCTGTTGATTTGGAGAGAAGAGTTCTGTAGATGTCTGTTAGGTTCATTTGGTCCAGAGCTGAGTTCAAGTCCTGAATATCCTTGTTAATTTTCCGTCTCATTGATCTGTCTAATATTGACAGAGGGGCGTTAAAGTCTCCCACTATTATTATGTAGGAGTCTAAGTCTCTTTGTATGTTTCTGGGAACTTGCTTTATGAATCTGGGTGCTCCTGTGTTGGGTGCATATATATTTAGGATAGTTAGCTCTTCTTGTTGCATTGATCCCTTTACCATTATGTAATGCCCTTCTTTGTCTTTTTTGATCTTTGTTGGTTTAAAGTCTGTTTTATCAGAGACTAGGATTGCAACTTCTGCTTTTTTTCTTCTTTCCATTTGCTTGGTAAATATTCCTCCATCCCTTTATTTTGAGCCTATGTGTGTCTTTGCACGTGAGATGGGTCTCCTGAATACAGCACACCGATGGGTCTTGCCTCTTTATCCAATTTGCCACTCTGTGTCTTTTAATTGGGGCATTTAGCCCATTTACATTTAAGGTTAATATTGTTGTGTGTAAACTTGATCCTGTCATTATGATGCTAGCTGGTTATTTTGCCCGTTAGTTGATGCAGTTTCTTCATAATGTCGATGGTCTTTACAATTTGGTATGTTTTTGCAGTGGCTGGTACCAGTTTTTCCTTTCCATATTTAGTGCAGAGTGGACCTCCAGCAAACTCCAGCAGACCTGCAGCAGAGGGGCCTGACTGTTAGAAGGAAAACTAACAAACAGAAAGGAATACCATCAACATTAACAAAAAGGACGTCCACGCAAAAACCCCATCCGAAGGTCATCAGTGTCAAAGATAAATCCACGAAGATGGGGAAAAAACAGTGCAAAAAGGCTAAAAATTCCAAAAACCAGAATGCCTCTTCTCCTCCAAAGGATCACAACTCCTCGCCAGCAGGGGAACAAAACTGGATGGAGAATGAATTGACAGAAGTAGGCTTCAGAAGGTGGGTCGTTACAGACTCCTCCAAGCTAAAGGAGCATGTTCTAACCCAATGCAAGGAAGCTAAGAACCTTGAAAAAAGGTTACAGGAACTGCTAACTAGAATAACCAGTTTAGAGAAGAACATATATGACCTGATGGAGCTGAAAAACACAGCACGAGAACTTCGTGATGCATACATAAGTATCAGTAGCCGAATTGATCAAGCAGAAAAAAGGATATCAGAGATTGAAGATCAACTTAATGAAATAAAGCGTGAAGACAAGATTAGAGAAAAAAATGAAAAGGATGAACAAGGCCTCCAAGAAATATGGGACTATGTGAAAAGACCAAACCTACATTTGATTGGTGTACCTGTAAGTGATGGGGAGAATGGAACCAAGTTGGAAAACACTCTTCAGGATATTATCCAGGAGAACTTCCCCAACCTGGCAAGGCAGGCCAACATTCAAATTCAGGAAATACAGAGAACACCACAAAGATACTCCTCGAGAAGAGCAACCCCAAGACACATAATTTTCAGATTCACCAAGGTTGAAATGAAGGAAAAAATGTTAAGGGAGGCCAGAAAGGTCAAGTTACCCACAAAGGGAAGCCCATCAGACTAACAGTGGATATCTCTGCAGAAACCCTACAAGCCAGAAGAGAGTGGGGGCCAACATTCAACATTCTTAAAGAATAGAATTTTCAGGGGCCAGGCGCGGTGGCTCACACCTGTAAGCCCAGCACTTTGGGAGGCTGAGACAGGTGGATCACGAGGTCAGGAGATCGAGACCATCCTGGCTAACACGGTGAAACCCTGTCTCTACTAAAAATACAAAAAATTAGCCGGGCATGATGGAGGGCGCCTGTAGTCCCAGCTACTCGGGCGACAGAGCGAGACTCCGTTTCAAAAAAAAAAAAAGAATAGAATTTTCAACCCAGAATTTCATATCCAGCCAAACTAAGCTTCATAAGCGAAGGAGAAATAAAATCCTTTACACACAAGCAAATGCTGAGAGATTTTGTCACCACCAGGCCTGCCTTTCAAGTGTTTTTGTTTTGTTTTGCTTTTAGAAATCACGTCCTTCAGTACACCTGGTACTAAGAATTGAGCGGGTAGGAAAATTCTTTGCTTAGGTCACTCAGTAAATGCCAAGCTTAGTATGTTTCCTTAAATGTATGGAGCCACTTCAGAAGAATCAGTGTCTCTGTGAGAAGGGCTGTTCTCAGAGCTTAGTTCTTTATTAATAAGTCTGGTGGTTCTTTGAGCAGTGTGTAACTTCCATTGGGGAGCTCCGTGCGCACAGTGCACGCCGACCACCAGGTGGCAGTGTCGTCCCACAAGTTAACCTACAAAGGCTTTAATGAGCCTTTGGAAGTAACGACGGTTTTCTTTTACCAGACAAAGTAAACCTTTCATTTGTAAAAACCCAGTTGGCATGTTTTACCCAATCCTTTGAAGGAAGTTATTTCTAAAGGTATTTATAGCTAGTTTCTAGAGGATAGATGTTCTAGGAGTTGACAAATGGCCCAGATTTCCAGCAACACTTCATCCATCCCAGCCCATGAAGCAGCAGGATGTGCCCGCCTAAGCTTCCGAATGGATAGTATATCACCCTTAGCAGAACACGCTGAGGCGGAGGGCACAGGAGATTGTCACTGTGATGTTCAGGGCGTCATGATCTGCAAGCTGTGTAGCAGATCGAGTTTTATGTTCGCAGAGATGAGGAGCTTAATCTTGGAAGGAGTCAGAAGAGCCCCTGCCAAGTTGTTAAGAGTATCTATGGGAATTCGTCCCTGCTGAGTATTTGTAATAAATAAAGCTTTGCGTTTCAATAGCACTTCTTATTCTCGGATAATAAAAAGATCTTCGATTACTGCACAGCCGACAGGTGTTTTATTCTCATTTTATAGTTCATAAAATGGAAGCGTGAGGAAAACAGGTTTCCCTACCGTTTCTGAGACCTGGGCTTGGACTTTAAGCTCTAGACCTTTGTTCAGCCACAGCATCGAGTGAAAGCATTGTTAGAACACCACCTCCCCTACTCTCCCGCAGGAGGGTGCTTTTTCTTGTGAAGAGAAAGGGTGGGTGGAAAAGGGATTGACTGTTACTGAACCCCTGTTATGTGCCAGACCTTGGCGAGGAGTCTGCTGTGTTACCCTCCAACATTTAGGAAGGGGTGAGTTCTTTTGTTTCGTTGGTATCTCCTACAACATCTAACATAGTGATAAACCATGCAAAGTTTTCACAAAACACTTGAAATTAATAATTGCATATATGGTATCTCAATATTCTTATAAGGAGAACAGGGCGAGGACAGAGACACACTTGGATCTGTTATTCAAAGTCAGTGATCATAGTGCTTGCCTCAGCGATACATGCACAAAAATGGGACAAAATCAATGATCTGATTAACTGCTGGATTCAAAGTCAGTGATCGTAGTGCTTGCCTCAGCGATACATGCACAAAAATGGGGCAAAATCAATGATCTGATTAACTGCTGGCAACCTTAACAATGTATCTTTGATCTTAATTACATGTTTAGAGTTGCTTCGCTAGCTAAGGAGAGATGAATTCCATACTTAATGTTCCTAACGTATTTGCAGTAGCAAATGGCTAATTTCATGAAATATTTATTCTTTTGCTTCAGAACCGAGTAAATAAAACAGAAAGAATATCAGTTGCCGTACCTAATGTGAGAAGGTGCCCATGTTCTGATGCGACGGGGGAACAAACCCAAGCCCAGCATGGTCAGACCTGCCCTGCAGGCTTCAGTCGGGCCTTTCTAGGTCAACACCACAGTCATCTGTTTTGAAAAATAATAAATTCTCCATCCTTTACTGGAATACATCATTTTGAAAGGGACAGGCCCAATTCATTTAGACCAAAGACGAAGTCACCCTTCAAAGGGCAGTTGGTGATGGAGTGCTTATTTCTTCTATACAGCAAAGCAGATGAGAGTGTCTTTGTACAAAAGGACTTTCTCTAGTGAGTCCAAGAAATAGATCAAAAGGGTTATCTAAGGCACCCAAAGCTAGATTTCATAAATAAATGGGCTTTTCTTCTTCCCACTCAGCCCAAATTCTGAGAACATCATGGACGCCACTCCTTAGGTGCCACTGGCTCCCAGGCAGCAGTTTTCACCTGATTGAATCTCAGGTGCAGCCCTGAGATTTCTGTTCGTAGAGGCAGCCTTATCCAGTGCAGTGGGCTTCAGCCTGGTAGACGTTCCAGAAGCCAGAGCCGTCCGGTGTGGGGAAGAGCACCCAGCTATGGAGTCACACAGATCCGCCTTCAACTCCTGAACAAACACATCTTTGGGATGTTGTTTTCTCACTTAGAAAATGAAAGACCCTCACAAGGTCCATATGAGGATTAAATGGGAGCAACATATGGCAGACAGCCCCTCTGTGCCATGACTGTGGTGCGGGGGCCATGCTCCAGTTGTTGGGAGAGGCCCGCAGCTGCTGGGCCGGCCTTTGTTTGCCATCTACCAGGACCTGAGTGTTCAGCCTGGCATTGGCACTTAGGGATCTGTGGCCGCCTTGCTTTACCGCGTTCTCCCCCTCATTTCCTTATCAATGGAATGAAAACAGTAACACTTCTCCCTTCCTTATGAAGGAAGTGCCACAGCTCTTTAAGAGGTCCACATACCCAGCAGTATATTACTTGTAACATACCATGTCGGTATTGTTCTTGCCCCTGCCGTTATGGGTAAAGCACCACCTTAATTGCAAGGCGGGAGAAGGCAGTGCTATTTGATAGGATTTGTACTTCCTGGATCTTCTGAAAAGAAACACTCTGCTCGGTCTCCCCCTTCAGAAGGCCAGACATGGTGATAATTGCAGAGTGAGAGAAACCTTTGTTAGCATCTTCTAGAACTGTCTGGTGTGCATACCCAGCCCTACTGATACACATAGCCCCCTTGTACTGGCTTCTGCCAGCCCTTTTAAGAGGTAAGCCCTGGGCCAACAAACAAAAACAAAACAACAACAACAACAAAATATCGCATGCTGAAGGATTGCCCTGGAAATCACAGATCTGTTGCATTTGGTAAGTTTGTTCTTCCCTCAGACACCAGCAGCCTGCCTGCCCTTTTCAGACCCAGAAAGGACAGAAAGACCTGCTTTCTTCCTCTTGAATGAGAAGGGTGAAAATCTGAAAGTGCGTTTCCACCTCAAGAAATCTCAACTATTGAGTAACAGCCCTCTTTGGTTCTCTCAGGTATAAAGAGAGACCAACAGTCCACCCTTGTTAAGGCCTACTTCCCTGGAGTATGTGGTGCCAAGGATGGGAGGGGCACATTAGAAACGAGTGCTCTGAGCACCAGGCTTTGCTCAGTTTCCATTTGTCAGTGTAGATGCAGGTGGGGCGGGGAGGGGCGGAGTGTTGGGTGCAGTTTTAGGAACCATGTCTCTGGATTAATGTGGACAGATTGGTCGCTCGCTCCTATTAGCAATGAAGCCTTCTGTTTTCTAACAGGGCCTGCTCTATTCAGACATGTGCCGCCTCCTCCCTTCTCCAAGAAATCAGCCTGCCTTGCAGGCTTTGGAACGTGGAGTCATCTTGGAGGTCAAATGCGTCGTTTGCAGCACGCAGGCTGGGGCAGCGCGGCGTGGTGTAAAGGTGCGTGGCCGCGCAGGCTGGGGAGCCTGCCCAGCATTTTGCTGAACACTTGGCTTTCAGATCTCAGATGCTCTGCACCCCACTCCCTCTTACAATTAGAGGAGTGAGGGAGGTGGTTACAAATACTTGGTATATTTAACTCAACCTTGGGTATCTAGATAGATGTTCACTAAATTGAGTCATGAGTAATGCCTGCCAACAGCTTAGAGCCTTGAGAAAAGTACACAAATAAAAACTGCGTGTGCAGACTGTTGGGGGGGAGGAGAGCAGAGCACTGGGTGACTGGCACTCCCGGCGGCTGGGCAGTACAGACAGGCGCGTGGCCCCGCGCCAGCTAGCAGCCCAAGCTGTGCAGCCCAGGCTTCTGAGGGAGGCAGAAGAAAGAAATCCAAGCCTCGGACAAGTTAACTAAGGGCACGGCAGGAAGGAGGTAAAAATATGTACTAAGTGGGCAAGAGAAAGGGTGGGAGAGCAGACAGTCATAAGCCAAAGTCTAAGAATTTCTCTAAAAGTCTGAGGGCCAAGATGAAAGGCGCCAAATGTCTAGGGAGAAGCCAAGGTAAAGCGTCCTGCTGAGGTCGGCAGACACTGAAACAGACATGTGAGGGACGGGTGGGAGTTCTCAGCATTAGAGATGCTGGGGGACAAGCAGGGCCCCGTCTCCAAGACGACGTTCTCCTGGCCCAGGACGGGAGCTGCAGCCCACCCAGCCGTGCACACACACAGTTCTGTGAGTGCCCCAGCTCCTCCCTCCACCTGTCAGGCACACCTGGTACCTACACAATTGAAGGGGCTCAAAAGACCAAGGCGGCAGTCCCAAGATCTAGGCTGTCAGGAGCCCCTCATCCTGTGTGATGTGGTGTAGAGAATACTGCACTCAGAAAGCTCTGGGTTCTAGTCCCACCACCTCCTGTCTCTTTCGCCACCCAGATAAGTATCAAGGGGAAAGGATTTTCTGTGGTGTCAGTCGTAGGAACCTTGCAATGGTTGCTTTGGGCCAGAGCCGCGCATGCTCCACACTGGCGTTTTCTACGTTGGATGGCAGCCCTGTGGGATGTGCCAGGCAAAACTGGCCCTTCCCCCATCAGCCTCACGGGTCAGGTGTGTCCCAGCTTTTCTTATCGCCACTTACGGCTCCGTCATAAGTCGGTCCAAAATTATTTTTGGTGTTGTTATATTTTCTGCCCATAGCACTTCTCCAGGGTCACTTGTTCCTTAGATTTTATTCCCTCCTGCATAGACAGAGGTTTCCCAGCATGCACAGAGGCTGGGAAACTGTGGCTTGATAGGAAATCTTGAGATAACGGGTCCTGAAAGGACAAGGAGCTCTGCCCGGCGGTGCAGCGCCCAGCCTGTGTGTGGATGGCCGCCACCCATCGGATGCCACGCTGGAGACACAGGGATGAGTAAGACCCTGCCCAGGCCCCGAGGATCTCACAGACCAGTGGGAAGGAGAGTTACTGTAGATGACGTTGTGAGGGCCATCACTTAACGTGCAAATGGGAGGCCAGGGAAGGCTTCCAGGAAGAGGTGATGCCTCTCCTGGTTCTCAAAGGGTGGGTAAGAGTTGACAAAATAAGGGGGCAGCAGGAGTTTAAGGCAAAAGAGATGGCATGAGCCAGGACAGGAAGGCAAGAAGCAGCAATAGTGTCTGTGTACATGTGTGCGTGTGTGTATGGGGTTGTGTGTGTGTGATTGGGTGGGAAGTGGGTAGAATACAAGCTATTCGGTGTTCTGGAACTCGAAAGACAGACTGGCGAGAGATGCGGCTGGCAAAGCACCGTCCAGCCCTTCCAGAGACCAGAGACTCCGTGAGGGATTCTGCCCTCTGCTCCCCACTGCCCGGGCCTGGCTGCCAGCAGGGCACCCTGCCCTGTCTGACTGTGACCAGGTGCATAGAGGCAGTGTCCTGCGGAGGGGAGGCGGGGCCCAGGGACCTGGGCTCTAGCTTCTGTATGGCCACTCACAGAGCAGGATGTGGCCGTCTCCCCCTCGGGAGTCTGTTCCTCTCTTTATGAGATAAGGAAATTGATAATGCCAATAATAAAAAATAATAAAATGATGCCTCACACGTGAGGGGCTCCGTGCAGATGAGACTCAGTACGCCCGTGAGCTGCATGGTGATGTGGGTGCCTGTGGGAGAGCACTTAGAAAATGTTAGTCCGATGGGGGCCACCCCGGCTTTGGGGTCTCAGGGAACCTCCTCAGATACTGGGGTCACTCACTTCCCCATCACACCCCACTCTAACGTGAGCAAATGAGGAATAATTTCTTGTTCATGACTTCAGCTGAAGGCTGCAGAACATTTTGGAGGGATTTTGCAGAGAACAGATGTCCAAAAAGTTCTAAAAGTCAAAGATTCTGGAGGTTCAAGTCCTCTTTCTTCTTAAGTGTCACCCAGTTGTCCATCAATGGGGTGACCACGTAATTCCTCATCCAAACTAGGATACTTCTGGATGTGAACTCATCACACAGACAAAAGGCAGAAACATAGACTGTCCTGGGCAAATGCAGACAAATGATCCCCATACATATCGCCAGGTAGGCCCCTGCCAAAATTCCAGCCACAGGGATCCCTTAGATAAGCCTAAAAGAGTCAGATGGCAGGCGACAGCTCCCTTAGAGTCAGGAGGCTGAGTGGGCCAGCTCCATCATTTCTTCGCCCTGGGTGCTAAAGCCAGGCCGTGCAAACACAGGGCAGGTTCCCCTGTCAGACAAAGAGTCTCTACCAGATGTAGTTTCTTCCCATCTCACCATCCAGCCCCCTATCTCCTTTCAGGTCCTTCCTTCTGGTTAAGATGTTATGTTCAGGGGAAATCACTGTCAGAGGTGGCCCCTGGTCCTGAGTGTAGGGTGGCCACCACATTCTCTGCCTCCACATCACCTGGAGAGGCTGCTCCATCTCCAGGTCGGGGTGCTCTGCGGAGCATGGAATGGCCCTGCAGCCCTGGTTTGGCTCTGCCGTGGACAGGAGCCTCCTCCTCTGTGTTGCTTGCCTTTGCTGAGCCTGCTTAGAGAGCTCTGAGCTGGACCTCCACGAACAGGTCACTCCACGGGTGGCTGCAGCCGGCCAGGCTGCCTGCATGTGAGGGGCAGCCACGTGGCCCCTGCCTGCCTCTCTCAGGTGCCCTCTTGTGCTCAGCTGGGGCAACTCTGTGACCTTGGCCACAACAGGCACTTTATAAAATGGGAGCATGAGAAAGGATCTTGTGAGGCCATAATCCAAGCCTTTCCTTTGGCTGCTGAAGACAGGCCCAGAAAGGAGCCAGGGCCTGCCCCTGGAGAAGTAACTTGCTAATGGGGGCCGGGACCGAAACCTCAGTGAACCGCCGCAGCTGCCTCCTTCGCTCAAGGTGCCCCTTCCTCCCACACAGCACAGCTCTCTCCTCTCCCTCGGGGACTCAGGGATTAGTCAACCTTTAGAAGTGTTTATTTATAAAGCTGCTGCTTCTCCTTCCAGCATCTGAACGCATTCTACAGGCATTAATTAAGGAGGCCGCGCAGCAAGCCTGGGAGGCAAAGGAAAAGAGAGTTTGGGGGATTCATTAAAGGACCAGTCACCCCTGCCGGGAGCCTCTCCTGTTTATTCTTTAATTTCTCAGTCTCTCCAGAACACAAGTACACGCACCTGCACACATACATATACACGCGTACACATGCACGCATGCAAGACACGCACACATACTTCACATATACATACACATCACACAAACATGCACACACATACACACACATGAACATGTGTAAACATGCAATACACACATACACCTCATATACATACACATCACACAAACATACACACACACGTGCACATGTGTAAACATGCAATACACACGCAGATACACCTCATATACATACACATCACACACAAACATATGCACATACATTCACACGTACACATACGCACACACAAACACATGCAATAGACATGCACATTCACACAAGCCCATATACGTTCACTCACACACATGCACACACATACATGCACACATACATTAACACAATACACCTCCACATAGCCACATCATAGACACCCATGTACACACATTTGCACACACACGCCCCAGCCCGTTTCCAGCAGTCTCCTGTTATCCTGCGGAACAAACCTCTGCCAGTTCCATCCCAAGCATCGCTGAGTCTCATCCCCTGTGGTTTGGCCCCACAGCACCCAGCGGATGCTCCCTCTGCAGCCAGGGAGAGGCAGGCAGAACCTCTTCACTTCACCTCACATGACCCTCAGCCCACACCCCTTCTCTCCACTTCTGCTCACTAAAACTTTCACTCCTGAATGTTGTGCACGCTCCAGCTCACACCATCTCCCCTGCTGTGGAGAGAGACGCACGATGCACGTTGAGTCTGGCTTCACTGCCAGCTCCCCGCCAGGGCTGGGAAGCTCCAGCCCTGGGTAACCACCGCCAGGAACTCTGTCCTGCGTTCTTCTGTCACGATCTTGGAGTTTGTTCTTGACGTTGAGCAGACCAGGGCGGCCTGCCCTTGGCAATGGGCCTAGGAAGCCGTGGTGCCAGGCTGCCCGCAGAGGCCCCGCCACTCCCCACGTGGTCCAAGCCTCTGAAGCCCTAAACTTCTTGCCTCTGCTATTCTGCTGCTGTTGCTTTTTCTTTTCTCTCCCGACCCCACCCTCGGGCACACAAGCAATCAAGGTAATCTTGCTCCTTAGTGTATATAAACCTTCATCATTGGTTTGGACAAGGACGCTTTAAAAGTTCATTTCCTCCCTTTTACATCCGTACCCCACTCCCATTCCCTACAACCCCTCAGCCATCGTATTCTGTTCAATGTGTTATTTTTTGTTTGTGTTTTTACAAAATGTATATTGTTTTGTGTGCGTGGCTTTATATTAATTCTACAGAGGTGTAAGATGCACACAGAAAAGTATGCAGAGTCCTCAGTGCACAACTCAGCGAAGTTTATAAACAGCCGTCTGTGTGTGTCTGCGTACGTGTGTTAACCCACATCCAGACGGCAATCTAGAACATTTCCGACACTCCAGAAGGTCTTGTATATACCCTGCTTAGTCAAACCAACCTTCCGGGATGTCACTATGCTGATTCCTGTCATCATAGGTTTCTTTCTGGAATTTCACATAAATGGAGTGACACAAAGCAGTGTCTTCACTGTCTTTTATCTGGATTCTTTCACTCCTCATTATGCCCATTTTTAATCACTGTGTCGTATTCATTTGTATGAAACTCTGTGGACCTATTTTTTTTTTAGGACAGGATCTCACTGTCACCCAGGCTACAATGCAGTGGCTCTATCATAGCTCACTGCAGCCTTGACCTCCTGGGCTCAAGTGATCCACCTGCCTCAGCCTCCTGAGTAGCTGGGACCACAGGTGCCCGCTGCCACGCCCAGCTTATCTATTTTTAATTTCTGTGGTTCTGTGTCATGAATCCCGTTCTGGCTTTCCCTCCACTGACTGCCACGTTTAGGTGTCGTCCTCATCGCCATGTGCACGTGTCATCCGTCAGTGCTCCATGCAGTGCTCCACCACGGCATCCGCCACTCTGCCACCAGCTCCGCGGGGATGGACGCACAGGCCCCAGTCATGGCCCTGCCCTGAGGAGATGCTGGTCGTCTTCCTGCTCATTCACTCCCCTGTGCTGCACTGCTGGGGTCAGACAAGGCTCCATCCAAGAACCCATGACTTCAAAAGAAAGAAACCTTTGTCCTCAAATTTGGTAACAGGCAAACGGTCTGCGTGGAAGCCCTGTCTGCAGCCTCTGCTCACTCCAGGACGTGCTGCCCTCACTGCTCCTCTGATGTGCCCCCGGCTCAAGGCTGAGCATTCCCGTATCCACGCAGGAAGGCCGGGGGACTGGCTCCCAAACAGCGGCCAGGACCTTGGGGGCACCCAGGGAGACTGGGGCCCTGCACCTCAGGGCTTTGGATCCAGGTCTGGGACGAGCCCTGGGAATCAGCATGGGAGCAGTGGCAGCCATCCTGTGGCCCTGAGGGGAGCTGGCTGGAGGACAACCTGAAATGCTGAGGGCAGCAGGAGGAAACACAGAAGGAACCTGCGTCCTGGGTGACATCCCGGACCTGCTGCACTCGCCGGCCCTGGAGCCACCTGCCTCTGGCTTCATGTGAGCTGTCACACTGTTATTATTATTTCGTTCCTCAAGTAGGGGTTTCCTGCTCCTTGCAGCCGGAAGCAGTAAGTGGTAGCCACCCCACCCCTGCAGGGCAGTCTTCTGATGGCTCTGAGCTCCCTGAGGTGGGGGCGAGGCAGGGTCTGTGCTCCACTCTGAGGGCCCAGTGGAGCAGCAGGTGTTCGAACACATAGGGTTTACCCCAGGCAGAAACCACCCTCATAAGGGCATGAGACCCAGGCAGAGTGAGCTCTCTGGCCTCTTGGTATTTTCTTTTGTGTCTGTCTTCTCAGCAGCCTATGAGCTCCTCCAGGGCAAAAAACTGCCATCATGCTAAGGGGTTCTGGACCCTGGGGCCAGGCACAGGGCCAGGGACAGAGTGGGCAGGTAACGAAGGCTTGCTGGGCACCGTGGGAGAGAAGGGAACGGAGGCATTGAGGGGCAAGAGAAAAGGAGAAGTGGAAGGCCAGACAGGCAGAGAAGGAAAGGTTCGTGGAGAGCAGTCTCTTCATGGGGACCCAAGGAGGCCCCACCAGAGAGGAACTGAGGCTGTGAAATGGAAGGATGGAGGCCTGAGGGATCCAGGCCAGTGGACAAGTGAGCCCGAGCAGACGGAACCATCCCCATGCCTATCTGGTTGTCTCCTCCTCCTCCTGCTCCTCACCCCCTTCCTCCTCCTCCACCTCCTCCTTCTCCCCCTCCTCCTCCTTCTCCCCCTCTTCCTCCTCGCCCTCTCCCTCCCCCTCTTCTTCCTCCTCCTCCCTCTCTTCCTCCTCCTCCCCCTCTTCCTCCCCCTCTTCATCCCACTCTTCCTCCTCCCCTCTTCCTCCCCCTCTTCCTCCTCCTCCCCCTCTTACTCCTCCCCTTCTTCTTCCCCCTCTTCCTCCTCCCCTCTTCCTCCTCCTCCTCCTCCCCCTTCCTTCTCCTCCTCTTCTTCCTCCTCCTTCCCCTTCCTCCTCCTCCTCCCCCTCTTCTTCCTCCTTCTCCTATCCTCTTTTTCTTCCTCAACCTTTTCCTCCTCCTCCTCCTCCTCCTTCCCCGCCTTACCCCTCCTTCCCCACACTCTGAAATGAGCACATGGCTCAGACTGAGAGGACAAACCTCCAGCTGAATTTAGTTGTAGCTGTGGTTCCCCAAAATGCTTTGAGGATTCATCAGAACCAGTAGCTGCCTCTCTGCTTCCTCATCTACACACCTAATTTTGTAGCTTCAGAACAGGTGTGACTCAGGCAGAGGAAGGGCTACACAGGTGTCACTGTGCCCACCCCTAGGGAGACTGCTACAGACAGACTTCCCGGTGGGACCCGGCCCCCACCCATGCATGGTGGCCACGGGCATGAGGAGGGTGATAATGACAAGGGGAGCCACGATGACCACAGGGTTTATAGAGATCTCGCCATTTGCTGAGCAATGTGGAGGAACGTTACACACACCATGTCGCCTCCCCCGATGCCTGCAGGGCAGGTATCATTGCCCTGCATTCTATTGAGGAGGAAATTGAGTTGGAAGTGCCCAAGATCACGTCGTTAATAAATGGCAGGGCCTAAACAAGCCCTTAGCCGCTACAACACTCCTTGTTGCCACTGTGTTGGAAGCTTAATCAGCATTAATTCTTCTTTCAAACTCAAATGCTACCCCCGTTGTGTTAACCTCTTCAGAAGTGTCTGCCAGTGTGTTCCGTAATGATCCAAGAGCCCTTCTCACATTTATCCTTGACTATTACGGTCTTCACGTTGATTGTATGCCTGGTGTATCTCTGAGCGCAAGGATCCCATCCCCTCACCTCTGTATCACCCCTGCTGTGCCTGACATGGAGAGAGGCCCATCCCACGAAGCCTCCCGCAGGCAGTGCGGTGAGTGCAGGCAGCCTGGGCTCGGTGGTCCTGGCTCTTTCGTGAATGGGGCATGACACCGAGGAGGGCCCTTCTCTCCTGGTCTCAGTTATGTTTCTGGAAAGTTGAGGGCTCAGCTCCAGTAATTCCAGAAGCCCCTTTGAGCATGAGCATTTGATGGCTCCCACTCGCCTCTGCCACTTCCTCCGGGACTGTTTCCAGAGAGGGAACCGGGGTCCGGAGTCCTCCTCTATCCTCCGAGGCGTGCCCAAGGATTTCAGCACGGGAACATCAGCCCAACTAAGGCGAGCCATGGGGCTGGCCCCTGAGGGCGGTGGGCCAAGGGAGCAAGAGTTCACCAGTGAAGGCCAGCCACAGTCACGAAACGGTCACACCCATAATTCCATTTCTCTAACAGGAGACACTTGCACCATTTCTGTACGTTTCCCCCATCAGGGGGAAGTAGATGGACTCTTCCTAAGGCCAATGGGATTCATTTTAATCCCATCATGGCAGTCTGTAAGGCAATGTTTTCTCCACGGATTGCTTGAAGGAGAACCCGGGCAGCAGCCCTGGCTCCTGGCTGGTCTTCATTTGTTGGCCCTGGATAATGCCGACCCTGGTGTGACCCTCAGTAGACCAGGGTCTCTCTGACGTTGACCAGCCCTCTCTGGCGTTTCTGGAATGCTGTCCTTGGGGAGCTCAGAAGAGCAAATTCCCAGCAAGCTGCCAGCCTGGACCAGGCATCCTTCCTGGAAGCTGGCCTGGTTCTCCGAGGAAGCATTCGGCTTCCTGCCAGGCTAGCCCCGCTCCTCACTCTCATTGCTGTGAGTTGCCTCCTCCAGGCTGCTGTGGCCTCTGGGCTTGGCCCGGTGCTCTGAGCCGCACATGGTCACATCTCAGCACGTTTCCAACACCTCGGATTAGCTGGCGTGGGCCCCAGTATTTCTAATGGCAGGGCTTAGGGACTGATTTCCACTGCAGTGGTGGCTGCCCGGCCAGGTGCTCATGCCCACCCTCCTGGTGTAATGCTACACGTGCTGGCTGCCCACCTCCTCCGGGCTCTGACCTGGCACGGCTGCAGAGGTGCAAATCTAAGTGAAGTAGGGAGCTGAAAGGGAGGCTGTGAGGACTTCTGATTCAAAGGGACTCTCCCAGGATTCCATCCCCCTCCCTCCTGACTGCTGGGCAGCCAGGGCTCTGGCCGGCATTGCTTCTGGGCCCCTCTGCTTCCCCTTGTCCTCCTCAGCCTCAGCTGACTGTGTAGTCACAGCCTCTTGCCTGCCCTGAAAGGGATGGAAAAGCTGCAGATGGAGATGACCTGGAGACCAGACTTTCTAGCAACATGACCCTACTGGACGGAGTCACTGCAAAGGGCAGTGAGGTGGCTTCCAAAGAGGAGCAACATGGTCAACACCTGTCCGCATGCCCCAGTGAGCGCCCTGGAAACTCTGCCTTCTGGCCTGATGTGATGGGAATAACCAAGACCATCTTGCTGGGGGCCAGCTGACCTCAGCCCAGCTGCATCCTCCATCTCCCCCTCTCCTTTGACAAAGCTTTTATACCATGTGTCACCAGGGTACATCTTGGCAGACAGCTAACCTGTGTCTTAATGTGTGTGGGATGTGCATTCATCTGCAAGTGCTGCACACGTGCTTGGTTGGTACTGTGTGGTGCATTACATGTGTGCATGCGTGTGTGTGTGTACGTTCATGTGTGTGCTCACTGCCCGCCGCCCGCAGTCACTAAGCTCACTATGTTCCCTAAGCTTGCCTTGCTTCTTCCTCATGAGCTCAAACGTCTCACATTTGTGTAGAACATCATGAGCTCACATGCACTGTCTCCGGTGATCCTCTCACCCAACTCTCTTGTATGTAGATGACAAAATTAAGAGCGAAAAGGCCAAGGTTGCACAGGAGATCGGTTTCAGGGTGCACACTAAAAACCAGGTCTTCTGACTCACATGTGGGTGAGGTTTGTTCCCCTGCACACAACCAGAAAGGCTGTGAAAGGCTCCAAGAGCAAATGGGCCCCTGGGCCCCACAGCTGAGTCCCTGCCCGATCTCTGCCCCTTTTTGTACACCTTTGTTTTCTGCTCTGAAGAAGAGGGGGTGCACCCTTTGCTCGCTCCCCTGAACGTGTCTTGGGAGTTAAGGGTTGCCCATCGGTCCTTAAACAGGGAGAAAACTCACATGTACATGATAATGGTGAGTGTTTTTGAGTGCCAGGCCCTGTGCTGAGAGCTTTACCTGCCTCATTTTGTTCAATACTCACAGGAGTGAGGCAGACCTAGTTGCCCACATCGTACCCTTCTGTTCTTCCTTGATAACAACACCCAGCCCCAGGCAACAGATCATGATTTGTTAGACAAGTTACGGTAATCCTGTTCCCATCTTTCTAGCCTCCCTTGCCGCTGAGGGTGACCATGTTGCCAACTTTTGGCCAATTAGTCAGAGGCATTGCCCTTCTCCTGTCCCCTACTGTGAACTTGGACGTGATGTTGAATGGCAGCAGCCAACTTGTGACTGTGAGGTGAACCACATGAGGATGAAAGCCAGCAGGCAGAGGAGGGAAGGCAGAAAGAAGGAGGGCCTAGGTCTCTGCAGACATCACGGAGCAGCTGAGCCAAGACCGGCTGCTGCTGGAACTGCCCACTCCAAACTTCGTGTTTTCACAAATCCCTATTTGTCATCTGGGTTTTCTGTTACTTGCAGCTGAGTAAATTTCTGCCTGACACAGGTAGTATCATTCCCATTTTATAGATAAGAAAAACGAGATGCTGTGGATAAAAGGGTTAGGAAGGGACAGTGCTGGGGTTCAAGCCCAGACCCCCAGATGCCAGAGCCTGAGCTTGCGCATTGTCTGTAAAGTGTTGGTTAGGCACATTACTAATATCAATGAGACTGCAAGGCAGATGCTCACCCCATTTAACAGGCTAATTACAGACACGTTTTGTCTTTATATTACATAAAGCACAGTGGCCCTGGCTCTCAGGACTGCCGGCACCCTCTCTCTGGCCAAGGTCATGTGGACAGCCCCTCATGAGAAGATCTGGACCAACCAGTGCTGAGCACATGCAAACTCTTTTCAGACATAGGGCCATCTGCAGCAGCTCAGGGAAGTCAGAGCCACCTGTGGAGAACTCCAGCACCCCAGGCCCCTCCCACATACAAATGGGGAAACTGAGGCCCAGAGCGGGAAGTGCTTTGCCCAAAGTTACATTTTGAGTTACAGAGCTGAGACCTGATGCCAGGTCCCCTTCCCCAGGTAGGTGCACTCTCCACCCTCCCGGGAGGTTTCCAGGCCTCCTTCCCCAGGTGGGTGCTCCCTCCATCCTCCTGGGTGGTTTCCAGGTCTCCTTCCCCAGGTGGGTGCTCCCTCCATCCTCCCAGGAGGTTTCCAGGCCTCCTTCCCCAGGTTAGTGCTCTCTCCATCCTCCCAGGAGGTTTCCAGGCCTCCTTCCCCAGGTGAGTGCTTCCTCTGTCTTCCCGGGAGGTTTCCAGGTCTCTTTCCCCAGGTGAGTGCTCCCTCCGTCCTCCCAGGAGGTTTCCAGGCCTTCTTCCCCAGGTGAGTGCTCCCTCTGTCCTCCCCTGCACTGCACCTCAGCGCACCTGGTCAACATAGACCTGGGATTCAGACCAGAGTCCTCACATGCCTCGCCCTTGTCCCCATGGTGAAGTTGCTGTCAGGATGCTGGTGAGCCACTGGCATGGACAATGTCATACTGCCACTCTGCCTCCATTTCCCATTTTCCTACGCATGGGGTCCTGGGGCCAACCCATCACGGGTCAGAACCTGGAACACATCCTCTGGGTTCACAGCTAGCCCTCACTTGTTGGTTAAATGAGGAAATTGCTGGTGCCTCTCAGCACTTCCTCTGGTCTTTCCTCTCAAAACCTGTTCTTTGATGCTTGAATTTCCTCCTGAGGCCTCCCTGCACTCCTCCCGGGCTGTGAAGCTGTGGAAACTCACCAGGTCTTTTCACCACGAAGTCCTCCCCCAGCTCCTAAATCCCCGCTGGGCCCTCTGAGTTTCTTCTGCTTCAGTCTTTGCCTCCCCATACTCTCTCTCTCTCTCTCGCTCTCTCTCTCTCTCTCTCTCTCTCTCTCACACACACACACACACACACACACACACACACACCCTCTAACAAGTTACCTTCAGGGTATTTATAGACATGGCAGGTCCCCAGGGATCCACTCTTTGGCAGACCGCCTCTTCGCACAGCCTCCCAGCGGCTGCCTGCCTGGGCAGCGTCTAATTAGCCCGCTGCCCTCTGCTCCCGGGCTTTGATGTGCTTCAGACTTTCCAGGCAGAAGGTACAATTTGGAGGCCTGACGTCCCGCAGGCAGGAGACTGCACCAGCAAATCTAGGTTGATGCTAGGCTAATGAGCTTGTTTACCATCTGGATTCAAGCTGCATTTCTTAGTGATGGTGGGGAGACGTGCGTGTGCATGTGTGTGCCCATGTGTGTGTGGGTAGTTGCAGGAGGCACATGTTCAAGCAAGACCATTTTGTTTAATGACCTTATTTCTCACTTCCTCCTCCCTTGTTGAGTAAAAATTGGATGGGCTGGCCGGGTGCGGTGGCTGACACCTGTAATCCCAGCACTTTGGGAGGCCGAGGTGGGCGGATCACAAGGTCAGGAGATCGAGACCATCCTGGCTAACATGGTGAAACCCGGTCTCTACTAAAAATACAAAAAAAAAAAATATTAGCCAGGCGTGGTGGCGGGCACCTGTAGTCCCAGCTACTCGGGAGGCTGAGGCAGGAGAATGGCATGAACCCGGGAGGCAGAGCTTGCAGTGAGCCGAGATCGCGCCACTGCACTCCAGCCTGGGCGACAGAGTGAGACTCCGTCTCAAAAAAAAGAAAAAAAAATTGCCTGGGCCATGATGAAAGGCATTAGGAGTCTGAAATGCACTCTCCCTTTCAAAGCTCTGCAATCCAGCCAGACTGGCATTTTGGAGCGATGGATGTGTGAAGAATGGGAAGCAGTCTCTGGGGGATGAGGAAGTTGGGAGGGTTCTGGACTCCTGGTTTTGCCCCGGGCAGCTCTATAGCACCCCCCACACACCTCTTTTTTCTCTCTTCTTTTAAAACATTGTGCTAAAATACACGTAACTCAAAATGTACCATCGTAAGCATGTTTTAGCTCAGTGGTGCTAAATACATTCATGCGCTTGTGAAACCACCACCACCCTCCATCTCCAGAACCCTTTTCACCTTGCAGAACCAAAGCTCTGCACCCACTAAACACTAACTCCCCACTGCTCCCTCCTCCAGCCCTGGGCACCCACCATTCTGCTTTCTGTCTCTGTGAATCTGAGAACCACGTATCAATGGAATCATACAGTATTCGTCTTTCTGTGACTGGCTTATTTCACTCATAATGTCCTCAAGGTTCATCCATGTTGTAGCGTGTGTCAGGATTTCCTTCCTCTTAATAGTTCATCATGTGCAATACCACGTTTTGTTTGTTTGATGACACTTGGATTTATCCATGATCCATGTCCATCCGTGGTGGACACCCGGGTTGCTCCCACCTTCTGCTGTCGTGAATCACACTGCAATGAATAGTGGCGTACAAATACCACAGAAGGCCTTCGTGATGTCCTGTGTCACTTGAAGATGAAATGAGCCGCCGGAGACACATTCGTAAAATGAACGGGAAATGAAAGCCTTTGCCTGGCTACATGGGGGTTTCCAAACTGACCCTGGGGCCCTGGGGCTCCTGTTCAAAGGCCCCAGAGAGCGGAGGCGGAGACAAGCAGGACTTGGCCCAAGCGCCCTCACCTCCACCCAGAATCACCCCCCTTTCAATCCCTCCTTCATTCCAATCACATTTTTATTTCCTTGTGCTGAGGGACTGGGCATACAGCAGGGACAAACAGCCCGCAGGCCCTGCCCCTTATGGAGGCTGCGTGCTAGAGGAGGAGGCCTGTATATGGCACGTCCCATGATAGCCACTGAGGAGAAGAAAGATGCTGTGAAGAAGGACAGGGAACGTCAGGGGTCGGGCCAAGATGGTGGATCTTGTAGCCAGGAAAGTCTTCACTCATTAAAAAGGTGATTTTCAAAAAAAAAAAAAAGGTTTTTTAATGGAGAAGTAATTCACATGCCGTAAAATTCTCCATGTTAAAGTTTGCAGCTCGGTGCTTGACAGGCTATTCACAAAGCCGTGCGTCACTGCCCACCACTCTCTCATTCAAGGACACTTTCATCATAAAAGGTGGCGTTGAAGACCTTGAGCCGGACGCCTCCTGCTGGCCCCTCCGAGTGCTCTCCCTGCCCTGGGGGGCTGTCCTGGGGGGGGAGCGAGGGCACGCGGATAAGTCCCTAAGGTTCCCCGGGTGGAGGCACCAGCAGGAGAGCGGGGGAGGCAGAGGGTGAGTGGGTGTCCACGGCCCCAGCCCTCCCACGGGACTGCTGTGGCTGGCCGCATCCCTTGCCTGGCGGCCACAGTCCCCCCCATACAGCCTGTTCTCTCCAGGGTACAGTGGCTTTCCCGTCCCCGTCCCCGTCCCCCTCCCCGAGGCTTAGGGGCTAGCTCCCGCGGTTTCCAGCCCTGGCCACTGCAGTGTCCCTGCAGGACTCCGTCCACACCTCTGTAAATAGCCTCTCTGTTAAACTCGTCTCAAGCTGCCCGATCCAGGGGTACCAGCTCTTCCTGCAGGAAACCCGACGCCAGACACTGATGGAAATGAGAGGGCCGGCCACGCAGGGGGAAGCAGGCAGACACAGCCGCGGCGCGGACTGCAAGCTCGGGGGTCAGCCGCACCGATGGGGGGCGCGCCTGAGGCACCCAAGGAGCAGCGGGAGCCCGCGCCCAGAGAGGCGCGGTCAGGAGAAGCCAGCTCCAGCCAGGTGGGGCCTCGTGGCTGTGAATTTGGTGGCATTCATCAGCTTCTTAAAATTTGTAATTTGGAATGATTTTTAAAATCAAGCCAGCTCCAGCCAGGTGGGGCCTCGTGGCTGTGAATTTGGTGGCATTCATCAGCTTCTTAAAATTTGTAATTTGGAATGATTTTTAAAATCAAGCCAGCTCCAGCCAGGTGGGGCCTCGTGGCTGTGAATTTGGTGGCATTCATCAGCTTCTTAAAATTTGTAATTTGGAATGATTTTTAAAATCAAGCCAGCTCCAGCCAGGTGGGGCCTCGTGGCTGTGAATTTGGTGGCATTCATCAGCTTCTTAAAATTTGTAATTTGGAATGATTTTTAAAATCAAGCCAGCTCCAGCCAGGTGGGGCCTCGTGGCTGTGAATTTGGTGGCATTCATCAGCTTCTTAAAATTTGTAATTTGGAATGATTTTTAAAATCAAGCCAGCTCCAGCCAGGTGGGGCCTCGTGGCTGTGAATTTGGTGGCATTCATCAGCTTCTTAAAATTTGTAATTTGGAATGATTTTTAAAATCAAGCCAGCTCCAGCCAGGTAGGGCCTCGTGGCTGTGGTCAAAACTGTGGCTTTTCCTCTAAGGGAGATGGGCAGCCCTGGGGGCTTCGGAGCAGAGGGAGGGAGCCACAGGGTCTGACTTACGTTTGAAAAGAGCCTTCGGTTGCTGCATTAAGAATAGATGATGAGAGGCAGGGTGGGGAGGCCCGGTACCAGACAGGGGCCCGCAGGAAACAGGTGGGAAAGCTGGTTTCCAAAGGACTCCTTGGAAAGGGGTGGATGTAGGGGACGCAGGATGCAGCCCAGCTGTACCCCCTCCTCCACCAGTCAGGGAAGGAAGCCGTCGCTGGAGCCTGAAGGGGAAGTGGGCAGAGGCAGCCGCCTGGAGGCCGGCGGTGGCCTTGGGCTGAGAAGGCCTGGTTTTGAGGCTTCCTAAGTATGTCTAAGGGGCGCACAGGACACAGGCCGCCAGTGTGTCTGCGAAGGACGGAGCTTTCCAAGCCGCTGTCACGCTTGACACAGTAGAGGGAGGCGAAGGCTTTCCGGACAGGGTGCTGGAACCCCGTGGGGGCAGTGGGAGCTTGTATAATGTGGGAGTGGTTACCCATAAAAGAAAAATAATGCAAATCCCAGGTACAAACATAAAAATAAAAGTGAATATTTATTATCGAAAGCAGGATCTCGAGAGATATTTGCACACCCGTGTTGACGGCAGCATATTTCACAGTAGCCAAAAGGAGGACACCACCCCAGGGTCCATCGATAGAGGAACGGATGCACAAAATGAGGTCTATCCACACAATGAAATATTAACCCATCATTGGTCACCCCCAAAAAGTAAGGAAATTCTGACACACGCGGCACCGTGGGTGAACCTTACCGACATTGTGCTAAGTGAAATGAGCCAGTCATGGAAGGACAACTATGTGATGACTTCCCTTCTGTGAGGTCCCTAGAACCGTCAACATCAGAGATACAGAAAGGAGAGTGGTGGCCGCCAGCGGCTGGGGGAGGAGGGAACGGGAGCTAGTGTTTAATGGGTTCAGAGTTTCAGTTTTACAAGATGAACGAATTATAGAGATAGATGGCGGCGAAGGTGGAGCAACATGATTAATGTATTTAATTACACTAAACCGTACACTTAAAAAGATGATTAAGATGGCACATTTTATGCCACAATAAATATTGGGCCACAATAAAAAAGTTGAAAAAAGGTGAATATTTATTCAGTTTTAAAAATCATTCCAAATTACAAATTTTAAGAAGCTGGTGAATTCCACCAAATTCACAAAACCTAGAGAAGTTACATTCTTTTTATGTATTGACTGCCCAGTGTGCCTCTGTAGTATTTTTTCTAAATGTGTTTGATTTGTAATCCTCAAAACATGTACAAAATTTATGTGAAATTAAGGCATTCATAGGAATCATTTAGATGCCTTTAAAAAATACATTGTATTCAGCCACAAAACTGTGCCACCAGATTACTCTGATACTACAGCACTGACTTATTGATGAATCTGTGTAGGAGTTTTGTCATCAGAACACTTGCTTCTGCAAGCATTTCTCTGCGTTGGTGGCAATTTTGCTTACCATTTTGCTGGAACCACCAGATTTTGTGAAGACACAGTGCACCAGTTACACTAAGAAAATAATCTGATACGGGGACTGCATAAAATCTATGACTTCACCCCCGGAGAACCCATGTGGTACTACTACTGGTTTGGGCTCACAACACAAGAATTTTGATCAATTCTAATTTGTGTAACTCTCATCAGAACACAAAGCAATGTACGGTGTAATTATATTCTTTCAATATCCACTATTTTCCTAACAGGAGAGAACTTCTGTCCTGGCCAGGCCTTGGTGAGAACCAAATCCTCCACCAACGATGTTACCTGTGTGGCTTTTTGTAGATTTTCTGCAGATGAGCTCCTGACTGTTACTTTGCCCTCCCCACCACACATGGCCAGGGTGGGTGTGACAGCGTGCGCTCACATCACGGCCCAGCCTCTCTTGCTGCATCTGCTGGTGGGATGTCCTGTGGGATGAGTGTTCCTGGAAGCCCTGCCTACACTCAGCTGGAGGTAACTTCTCTGTACAAAGAAGTCACTGTGAACCATGTCAGCATATCCCACTAAGCCCAGATTAAGTGTTTCCCCAGCTCACTTTCCTCTTAACTGGATCCCCCAAGTGCCCTCAGCCACCCAAACATCATCCAACTAAGAGTCCCTCAGACGGAAGAGAAGTTGGGATGGAAAGAGACAGACAGTCTCAACCGGTTATGGTTAAACTATCTCAACTTTTGCATATTTTACAAAAACATTTGGCCACAGGAACACATTGCTAGGGCCTCTCCGGGAAAGGGGGGAGTCTGTGGATTCAGGGGTCCTGAAGCTTCATCAGTTGCACAGCAAATGCGTCCCCAGCCCCGCCCACGAGCAGCTGAGATGTGGAGGCGTGGGTCCACTGACTTCACCTATGACCTATGACCTGTCCCAAAGGCACCAGGCCTGGAAACACCAGCCAGAGTCCCAGCTCTGCCCCTGGGACTCCCCGGGCCTCAAGAGCCTCTGCCAAGCAGGGATGAGGACACACCCCCACCTCAGGGTCAACAAGAGATTTGTGGGTCAATCAGAGTACTGTGCAAACTCAGCTGCTGTCCTCTGGCCATAGTCACAGCAAGCCCTTCCTGGGTCCAGAAGGTGGTTCCACAGGAACGGGGCTGCCTCTTTAAAGCAGAGGGGTGCACTATAGCCCTGAGGGAACCAGCTGCAGTTGTGGTAATCTTGGGAGGCAGCTCCCCACCCCCTGCCACCCCCTCCCTGCTGTCAGGAGAGGATTAGAGGAGAGGCCAGCGGATTAAAGGGTTTCATGTTGCCACAGCCTCTCCCCCAGTCCCTGTCTCCGAGGCCTGCTTGCTAGGTGGGGCGACTCTTCTGTGAGCTGCAGCTGTGGGGCAGAGAGAAGCCCTCCCCACCCAGGACTGAGAGGCTGGAGACCCCAGGCTCGCCAAGGCACGGAAGACAAAGGCCTGGGGCGTCCTGGGGTCTGGGAGGAAGGCAGACAGAGCTCATGGTCTGTGGCTGCTCTGCCCTCCTTCCCCTCCCCAACCCCAGGCCCACCATGCCTGCAACTCCCAACTTCCTCGCAAACCCCAGCTCCAGCAGCCGCTGGATTCCCCTCCAGCCAATGCCCGTGGCCTGGGCCTTTGTGCAGAAGACCTCGGCCCTCCTGTGGCTGCTGCTTCTAGGCACCTCCCTGTCCCCTGCGTGGGGACAGGCCAAGATTCCTCTGGAAACGTAAGCATCACGTTCAACCCCACCCCAAAAACCCGGTCACCCTTTCCCACTTTCTTCCCGGGCTGGGCCTCCATCCTCTGCCCACTCCTCCCGCCCCTGCCCTCCCTCTGGGCTTTTCCCCAGTGGCTGCGACTGACCACTCTCTTGCTGTAAAGCCCTTTGCTTCTCCGGCCTCCTCTTTCTCCTCCCAAAAGCTCTGTGAGTTCTGGAGTCCCACCTGCCTCTCCCCAGGAGCCGGATGGCTTTAGGAAGAACTGATCATCAGGGCTGCTGTCTTCCTGGCCTGACAAGCAGCTTCTGGGACACCTGAAGGGCGGGTGCTCCTTCAGGATAATCGCTGAGATGAGGCAGCCTGGAGGAGCCGGGTTATCTCAGCATCGCAGCTCCCCGAAGCATTTGGCAGGAAATGCGTATTTTGACATTCCAAAAAGGGGAAGCAGTTCTGAACCCACAGAACGTCTCATGCGCACAGGAGGTGGCTTGTCCAGGAACTGGGGAAAAAAATGGATTTTGGTGGCCGCAGTCTTCCCTTTCTACACCTTTCTGCCTCCTTCCAACCTTGATTCTCTAGCCGGCCATTAAGACCGGCTCCAGGAAAGAACCCGGTATCAGTCATGTGCACCTTGGTGTACATGTAAATTACTGTGCAACCTCTCTGGGGTGTCTGTGTTTTAGGCCCTAGCTCAGGTGGTCCTAGGAAGGAAATTTCCAATACATGTGGGTAGCAGAGCCTTCTAGACTGTAGGTGCTACAGACCCCATCCTGTTTACTCCAGCCGCTTGAGCCCAGCACCATAGCCAGGCCACCAACAGAGCCACCTGCCAACTGCATGTCTTAGCAGGAGTGGGGACAGGGAGCCTAAATGACACACCGTGCCTGTGCTTAGCCTTTGCTGACCAGTGGATTAGGCAGCATCGTTTCCCATCGAGCCGCATAGCTCTCCTTGTTCCCTGCCTGGCACGGAGCTGGGCGCTTCACAAATGACACCGTTAGTTTGCAGAGCCATTCAGTGGGGGCTTATTTTTATCCCTATTTTGCAGCTGAGGAAACAGAGGCCCCGAGAGGTCAGGTGACTTCCCCAAGTTCACAAGGCCAGGAAGTGAAGGTGCTGGGATTTGAACTCCTGTCAGCCTGGACTGCACTTTCACCATTACACCCGCCGCCAGCCCGTAACGCTATCTGTTGCTGCAGGAGATGTTCAGAACAATTTTCATCCCCAGAACACACACCAGCTGATAGGAGAGGGCCAACTCCAGGAGTGGGCTGAGGGCCAAGTCGGGGTGGCTGGAATCCAGGCCTTCAGGGAGGGGGGCCCCAGCGGCCATCTATGCAGAAGCCCTGGGTGCTGCCAGAGACAACAGCCTGCACACAGCCTCATCTGCCTGCCCAGGACTTGGCCCCACCTGTCCTCACTCCCGCCGAACCTCTCTTCTCAGTCTTTCCCTCCAGCCGGGCTTCCACCTCCTCCCAAGTCTGTTTCCACAGGGTTCCCAAAGCCCTCCTCATGCCCAATCCAGGAGACATTCCTGGCCTTGTCACCCCAGACCCTGTTGCTTGGGACACACAAGCCCCCGTCTTCTTTTATCCCAGTCCTTGACTTCCGTGGCACTGCGCTCCGCTGGGCCTGCATGGGCACGGCTTATCTCTGCTGTCCTCAAGTGCTCCTCCTCCTCTGCCTGCCCCGGAGGTGGGGGGTGCTCCCCAGCAGCTGTCGACGCTCAGAGATCTCACGCTGCACACTCTCCTTGAGAGAGCCCTCCTGCCCTCAGAATTTCAATCCCTACCTTTGCATCAATGACTCCCAGCCCTGTCTCTACCTACTAGACACATACCCAGTGCTTATGGGCAGCTTTTCCTAAACATCATGTGAGGTTTTAAATTCAGATTTGTGTCTTTCAAGGTAAAACACAATTGGTGCCTTCTAGAGTTGTGCAGTGCACAACCTTCCCAATGGTACTTGGTAGCTCTACAACGGGAACCTCACATTCAGCAGAGCCCAAGGTACACACATCACTTTTCACCCTCCTCAGCTCATTCCCCCTGCCCTTCCTGATAGTCTTAATTGTATTCAGTAACAACACCATCAGGTCAACAACCCACACTGGAAGCCCGGAAGTCACGTTTTACTCCTCCAAGCTCTTCTGTACTCCCGACCTAGAATCCTCTCCCAGACCCCTTTGCAGGCTAACCTCTACCAAACTTCTAACCTGGAGCTCAGATCTCCCTCCCCAGGGAAGCCTTCCCTTATACCACTACCCCTCCCCAACCTTCATGGGCACCTTCAAACATGTACTATGCTACCCGCATGACAAAGCTGTCCCTGCAAGGGTGGGGACTGTGGGGTGGCTCCAGGCTGCCACATGGTAGGACCTTGATAAACATTGGTTGAGTGATGACTGCTGATCTTGAAAGGATCGCACAGGCAAACCACTTCCGCTCCATCTGGAGAGGCTCAGCCCCAGCCCTGTGTACCTGCCCCCAGGACCCCACCAGCCTGGCCAAGATGGTGGGATTGTGGTGCATTTCTGGGGCATGGGCGAGAGGTCGGGGCTCCCCACTAGGCTGCCTACACAGAGGGTGAGGTGTGGCCTCCTTATGCCCTCCTGGCCTGCCCTGCCCTCAGGCTCAGCAGTGGCAGCTCAGAGCCTTTTCCTGCTGTGCCCTTGCCTCACGCGTTCTCTGAGGTTTCAACAGAGGGTTCGGCAGCCCCCAGTGGCTTTGAGTGGAGTGCACTGGAGGGAACGATTTATTGAGAGGCCACAGCTGTGGCCAGGCAGGTTGTCCTTTGTCCTCAGGGTCCTCCGGCCCTGGCCTGAGGCTGTCCACTGCCTCTCCCCTCCTTCTCTCCTCTCAGTCTGCCACTCTCCAACCAGAGGCCCTGGAAGCTTGGGGTCAAGCTCAGTCCTGGGCTCGTCAGCCCGGCCCCACAACCCTCAGCAGGAGAACCTGCCGAGGACATTCAGCACACAGCAGTGCAGCCGCTGGGTCCTGAGGGTTCTCCGCGTCTCCTGCCCAGGCCATGGCTGTAGCTTTAGGGACAAGGAGGAGGGACAGGTGCTCTTTTGTGTGTTTCTGGGCATATGTCACGTGTGTGTATGCATATGCATGTGTGTGGGGGGTATGTATGTGTGTGTACGTGTGTGTGCATTTCTTATGCATTATGTGTCTGTGTGTTGGAGTATGCATGCATCAGCAGGTGTCTGTGTGTAGACACTGGCTTTCTATGTGTGTGAACCCATATGTCTACGCGTGTGTTTCTGTATTTGTGCGTGTACGTGTGTGTATACGCGTGTCCTTTCATTGCCTGGCAGAGTGAAGCTATGGGCTGACACCTTCGGCGGGGACCTGTATAACACTGTGACCAAATACTCAGGCTCTCTCTTGCTGCAGAAGGTCAGTCACCCCCTTCCAGAGAGCCCACCGGGTGGCAGAGGGCAGTCAGCCATCGAAGCCCCCAAATGCCGGTGCTGTGAGGGGCCTTGGGCATCCCATCAAATCGGTTTATTTCAGATGGGGCCACTGAGGCCCAGGGAGGTGAATGATTTTCTCAACTCCCAAAGCAGGGCAGTGGGGGTGGTTCGGGGGCGTGGTCAAGAGCATTGTGTCAGGTCCTCAGGGAGCAGAGGCCAAGGTGGAATTAGACCTGCAGATGTACTGGGTGGAGGTGGGGTGAAGAATAAAGGAGAGACGGAGGGAGTGGATGCAGTGGGATGCAGGCCTAACACCTGTGATGCCAGCGGAGACTTGGAGGGCACGTGCAGGGCCCTGGAAGCTGCTCGGGCCGTAGAAGGTGAAAGGGCTGTGGCCTCTGCGCAGGGAGACCTCCCATACCTCCAGCTGTCAGCCCCCGAGCCATGTCCAGCATCCGCCCCCTTAATATGCATTGCTTTCTGTGCCGATTTATGGCTGGCTGGTCTTCTTACCAGGTTATAAACAACTTCACTGTTCTCTAATATTTGTAACTCCCCAGAGCAGTTCCAATGGCAGCTCACCCTTCTCTATCATTGCCACTCACTAAGAGCTTCATTGTCATGATTTCATTCCCACCACCAATTCATGAGGCACCTTTTCCATATCACAAAGATCCTGAATCCCAGGCTCTTATGCCTGCATGTGACCACATGTCCCTGCTCAACTGCCCTGCCCACAGCCCCCAGGCCTGTCCCTGGTGGAAGTAAGAGGAGCCAGGGTGGGCGGCTCCCCGGGCCCCCACAGGCCACTGTAGCGATGACAGCTGAGGCCCCGCCTGCCCCTCACAGCACGCTCCTATGCTTCAGAGCACCACAGCCCGGGGAGAGGAGCATAGAGCAGTACGGATGTGGCCGTTTGGGGTAAAAACATTCTGTAAAATCTGTGCATTCTAGAACATTCACTAAAGCTATGTAAATGTCACATCTTACAGATGAGGAAAGTGATTGACTGGCTTGCCTGTGGTCACACGGCCAATACATTGCAGAGCTGGGTGAATAGACATTCACAATACACAGTCAGTGAGAGCTGGTCTCCCCTGGGCCCAGAGAGAAAACCCAAACCCCATTCCAGGCTTTCCTGGGCTCACTGGCAATTGTCAGGCAGCCATCCTCAGTGCCTGGAGCTGCTGAGCTCTGCTGGGACAGTGGGAACTGAGGTTCACATCCATGTGCACGGGGGCACTTTCATAGCAAGATGCCTCTTCTGGGACATTGAGGAAAGGTGAACTGATGCCAGGGGTGGTTTCACAAGCCCTGGGATGCAGCGTGGCTCTGCACAAAGGACATGGCTGGGGATGCCTGAGAGACCTGGCCCCATCAGGGGTCACCTGCTCACCTGGCTGTTGACCTTGGTCAAGTTCACTGACTTCTCTGAGCCTCGGTCTACTCCCCTGTTAAGGCTATAACTGCAATGCGTCTAGAGCACCTGGAACAGAGAGGATATTTGAGGAGAGGCAGCTATTCTATCACTGGGGATGTTGTCCAGGGAGGAGAGGGCTGGGCCTCACCCTAGTTGAGTAAACCAGGCTCCATGTGCCGGAATGCATCTGTGGAGAGGTTGGAGGCCATGCATACACAGGTGCAACTATCCTGGTACAAAACCACATGCACGCATCTCTCCCACTTTCCCCAAACAGAAGTACAAGGATGTGGAGTCCAGTCTGAAGATCGAGGAGGTGGATGGCTTGGAGCTGGTGAGGAAGTTCTCAGAGGACATGGAGAACATGCTGCGGAGGAAAGTCGAGGCGGTCCAGGTACTCCAGGCCTGTGATCTGCAGGGCGTTTCTCCCCAGCCCCATGACGCAGGTGGCAGAGTGACCCTCCCGATGTCATGGCCCTGCATCCTCCCCCCTCGTGACCCTCTCCTATCTTACAAGATTCCGCCTTGTACCTTCGTTAGCCAAAAGAACCCTCACTCCAAGAATCCCTGTGAAAGAGGAAATGACAGGAAGCAAGAGGAGAGGGGAGGGGCTGGGATCAGAGCTCTGCCCCGAGGCGGCCATGCCCAGCACTGCCGGGTCAGCCTGCAGCATTGTGAGGAACTCTGAGTCACCAGGCCATACCCAGTGACCAGTACAGAGCACTGCACGGGGTGAGCACCTAGGAATTGCTTTGGGAATGGATGGACAGAGGAGCAGAAGGAGGGTGGGAGTCGAGCTAGCTGGAGCCAGCAAAGCCAAGCTCCCCCCTCCCCTCTCCTCCTTCTCATCTGTCCTCATTCCTCCCTCACCCTCATTCAGCCATCAGGACCCACCTTCATGGCTTCCAAGTGCTCTGAGGGCCACCCGGGCAGCAGAGGTGCTTACAGGGATGGGCCTTGTGCCCAGGTGACTCTGTTACTGGACATCCACCAAGCCTGGTGGGGCCCAGGAGAAACAGAAGCTTTCCCCTTCTCTGGGGTGAAGTGTCTGCACTGAGGCCTATGGGGACCTGGATGGTATAAACCAGTAGATACAGTGTGGTTGGAGAGACACAGTCCTCCACTCCATCCAGCCAAGAATCGGACCATCCAAGACCAGTGCTCTCCCTGAAAGGACTCGTAAGACCAGCCAGGAGAACAAGGAGAGAGGAGATCGGGAGTGGTTGGCTGGATTGGGAGGCTGAGGCCAGGGCCAAGCAGCAGGGGAAGGGGCAGATAGGGCAGGCGAGCTGCGGCCTCTCCAGTGTACTGTCAGTGTACCCCCACCCCCATCACAACCCCCACTCTGGGAGGAGGCCGGGGTCAGGGTTGCTGGGGCCTTCTTTCCCACTTGTTATAATGTGCAGCATTTCTGCAGGGCAAGGGATCTTAGCATCAGGAACCAATGAGAAGATGCCTGGGGACTCAAGAGCCTATCCTGGGTCCCTGAATCACACACCACAGCAGGAAAGCACTAGCCTCACACACAGCCTGGCACCCGCAGTAACACCTGCCTCTTTCAATCAGTGAGCGTTGTGTAAACAGCCTCCTTGGATCAAACACAGACAGTGGGGTATGAGACTCGCCTGACTTCAGGCGTCGGTCCTTGTGTCACTAGAGCAGCGAGCAGTCCTGAGACACCCCCAGAGGCTGGGGCTCCAGGCTCCCTGTGCCCTTCCACAGCCTCAGAGACCAAAGAAGTGCTGCTCTGCAGACTTTCTCTGAGGACCGGTCCCTGCGCCTCCTGCGGGTGGTGTATGGGGGCCTCAGACCTTCCATGAGGGTGCGCGTGGGAAGTTTCCTGCAAAGCCTCCCTGAAATGAGCTTTCCCCTGTGGGATTTCCTTATCCTAGGATCTGTAGGCTGAGAGTGGGGAGGCAGGAATTATCCTACCCAATTTATAGTTGTGCAAGCAGAGGACCAGAGAGGCTTAGTGGCTTGGCCCTGACAAAGCCAGAATAGGATCTTGGGTCCTCTGACTCCCAAAGCACTTCCCCCACCCTGACTTCCCCTGACACTCTGCGATGCTGGCCTGCTCTTTAGAAAAAAAGAAAAAAAAATTGTGCCAGGCACGGTGGCTCACGTGGAAGGCACTTTGGGAAGCCAAGGCCGGCAGATCACGAGGTCAAGAGATCAAGACCATCCTGGCCAACACGTGAAACCCTGTCTCTACTAAAAATACAAAAATTAGCTGGGTATGGTGGTGGGTGCCTGTAGTCCCAGCTACTCGGGAGTCTGAGGCAGGAGAATCGCTTGAACCTGGGAGGAGGGGGTTGCAGTGAGCCGAGATTGCACCACCACACTCCAGCCTGGGTGACAGAGTGAGACTCCATCTCAAAAAAAAAAAAAAAAAAAATTGTATTGCGGTAAAATACAGGTGACATAAAGTTGACCATTTAAAGTGTATAATTTAGTGGCATTAAGTACATCCACAATGTTGTACAACCATCTCCATCATCTAGTTCCAAAACTTTTTCATCGCCCCAAACAGAATCCGGTTACTAAGTAAGCAATCACTCCCCTATCCCCTTCCTCTTAGCTCTGCAACCACTATTCTGCTTTCTCTCTATGGATTTGCATGTTGTGGGTATTTCACATAAATGGAATCATACAATACGTGACCATTTGTACCTGACTTATTTCACTTAGCATAATATCTACAGGGTTCATCTGTGTTGTTCCATGCATCAGCACTTCATTCCTTTTTAGGGCTGCATAATATTCCATTGTGTGCATAGCCCACATTTTGTTTATTGGTTTATCAAATGACAGATATTTGAGTTGTTTCCACCTTTTGGCTTTGGCACGCACGCATATTTTAGTAGACTTTATTTTTAAGAGCCATTTTAGGTTCACAGCAAAATGTAGAAGAAAGTACAGTTTCCATACATCCCCTGTTGCCACAGCCTTCCCCGCTATCAACATCCTGCATCCATGGTAGATTGGGTATAATCAATGAATCTCCATTATCCCCAAGTCCATAGCACACATTAGGGTTCATTCTCGTACATTCTGTGGGTTTGCAAACATGTGCAATGACATGCATCCACTATTACAGTATCAGACAAAAGAATTTCACTGCCCTAAAAATCCCCAACCACTGGCAACCACTTATCTTCTCTATCTCCCTAGTCTTGCCTTTTCCAGAATGCCATGTTGTTGGGATCACAGGTGCATGGCCTCTGCCGATGGGCTGCTTTCACTTAGCCATATGTGTGTGCCTTTTGTCTGTTGTGCATAGTGTGGCTGTGAATATTCGTTCCTAAGTTCTTGTTTGCATCCCTGTTTTCAATCCTTCTGGGCATACACCCAGGAGTGGGATTGCTGGGTCACCCGGCAACTGTTTCACTTGCTGAAAACCCACTGGGCTCCTTTTACCCATTCTCCCTACCTCTGTGTTCCCATCCCTCAGAATCTGGTGGAAGCTGCCGAGGAGGCCGACCTGAACCACGAATTCAATGAATCCCTGGTGGTGAGTCCCACTCCTGGCACTGGTGCCAGAGGGCCAGGATCGCCTGAGTACCAGATATGGGGGTGGCGGCATAGGGTGGCGGCGTAGGGTGGCGATCCACTGATTCCATAGACATTTACTGCTCACCCCTCACAGGCACAGCAATGTGCTAGCCTCTGGATCGGAACTTGTTCTTGACCTCAAGAAGCTCACAGTGCAAATAACTCCGGTATAAAGCACATCACAAGTCACTACAGATGGGTGGATGGAGCCTCCGGGGAATGCAGGCTGGAGAAGAGGAGGTCTGCCCCCAAACTCCTGCAGACAGGGCGGCCTGGGGCTGCGCCCAGGGCTCATGGGGGATTTAGGCAGGCAGGGCCTGGAAAAGGGCCTTTGGTCACAGCAGAAAGAAAACACAGAAATAAGAAAACACGCCCAGGCGCGGTGGCTCACGCCTGTAATCCCAGCACTTTGGGAGGCTGAGGCGGGTGGATCACAAGGTCAGGAGATCGAGACCATCCTGGCTAACACGGTGAAACCCCGTCTCTACTAAAAAAATGCAAAAAATTTAGCCGGGCGTAGTGGCAGGCGCTTGTAGTCCCAGCTACTCAGGAGGCTGAGGCAGGAGAATGGCGTGAACCCGGGAGGCGGAGCTTGCAGTGAGCCGAGATCGCGCCACTGCACTCCAGCCTGGGCGACAGAGCGAGACTCCGTCTCAAATAAATAAATAAATAAACAAATAAATAAACAAACACCAGGTTGGTTGAGGAAACAGTGGGACCTGGGCCCTGTGTGTCCAGAGGCTGGTGAGGAAGGCAGTGGTCTTGGACAGTTAGGTGAGGAGGTGGGGGGAGCCTTGGGTGTCAGCGTAGGAGCCTGAGCCTTTCTCAGCAGGGAAAGGCAGGTGCAGAAGGCTTGAGCAGGGCAGGGACGCGGCTGGGAGTATGCGTGGAAGGCCAGCGCGGGCCACAGTGTCGTGAGGAGGAGCCGGGTGTGGGGTGCAGGAACCTGGCGTGGGAGTTGGCGTGGGGATGTCCGTGACGCAGTCCGGCGTGGGAGTTGGCGTGGGGATGTCCGTGACGCAGTCCGGCGTGGGAGTTGGCGTGGGGATGTCCATAACGCTGTCCGGCGTGGGAGTTGGCGTGGGGATGTCCGTGAGGCAGTCCGGCGTGGGAGTTGGCGTGGGGATGTCCGTGACGCAGTCCGGCGTGGGAGTTGGCGTGGGGATGTCCGTGACGCAGTCCGGCGTGGGAGTTGGCGTGGGGATGTCCGTGAGGCAGTCCGGCGTGGGAGTTGGCGTGGGGATGTCCGTGACGCAGTCCTGGGGGGTGTTCAGGTGTGAACCCGGTCGTGTGGAGGAAACGGGGCCGGGGCTCCACCGGAGGCAATCCTAGCACGCCCTCCAACACCGCGTGGGAGAGGCCGAGGGCAGCTGCGGGACTCGGAACCTGGGCCCCGTCTGAGGCCAAGGCTGCAGGCCCCAAGATTGCGCAGGCTCGGTTCTGGGGCTCTGGGACCTTCCTGGCCTGCGAGAAGTGGAGGGGGCTGATGGGGCTTTTTGTCTCTACCTGTCCTTGACTCCGCGGCTGCCTGTCTCCACTCTGCCTCGGCCGTGTCAACACACGCTGCACCAAGTTGGGGACTGAGGCAGCGGTCAGGACAACTGTCATCAAACGTCGGCCTCACGCCTCTCCGCGCCGGCCTCCTGGATATTTTTGTCCCGAATCGCCCTGATCAGTGCCCAGCGCGCCGCCGCGGGTGCTTGTGTAGACTCTGATGGCCGCCCGGCCCCGGCCCTCTCGTCCTCTCACCTGCGCCGTTTCTCTTCCTCTCTCTCCGCCTGTCCCGGTGCTCGGGCCGCCTCCGTGGGCCTCACCCGTCCACCCCAGTTCGACTATTACAACTCGGTCCTGATCAACGAGAGGGACGAGAAGGGCAACTTCGTGGAGCTGGGCGCCGAGTTCCTCCTGGAGTCCAATGCTCACTTCAGCAACCTGCCGGTGAACACCTCCATCAGCAGCGTGCAGCTGCCCACCAACGTGTACAACAAAGGTAGCCGGCACGCTCAGCTCAGGCACACTCACCAGGCACGCCCACCTAGCACACCCACCAGACACGCCCACCAGGCACACCCACCAGGCATACTCACCAGGCTGGCCCACCAGACACACCCACCAGACACGCCCACCAGGCACGCCCACCAGGCCGTCCACCAGACACGCCCACCAGGCACACCCACCAGGCACGCTTACCAGACACGCCCACCAGACACGCCCACCAGGCACCCTCACCGGGCATGATCACCATTTTCCTGAGAAGTTCTACAGGATCATAATCTATAGTCTCACCCTTCAGACCCAGATATTTTAAATGGAGTCTACATGTCTGAAGCCTTGAATGCTGTCTTCGTGGAGAACTTCCAGAGAGACCCAACGTTGACCTGGCAATATTTTGGCAGTGCAACTGGATTCTTCAGGATCTATCCAGGTAAGGACATGGAGTTGCATCTCCCCGACCTTCTGGGATTCTTCTCTGGAAATAATAGGGGCACTGAAGATGGACCCTGGCACTCAGGTCCCCAGTGAATGGGGCTGGTCCTCCTATCCCAAAGCATCTCCAAGCCCACACTTTAGCCCTTCTCACTGCATGATATGCACATATTAAAGGGCTGTGGAATGGATGAATGAATGAATGAATGAAACCATCAAACACCATGAAACCAGTCAATGAATGCCCACATGAAGCTCCTGTCCCATGAAAAGTACTTTGGAAGATACAAAGAAGGATAAAACAATTCTTTACCTTAAGGACTTTATGTCCCAATTGGAAAAATGAGGCGCACTCGCCAAGAGTGTTCAACAGCAATCTGGAAAATGGCACAGGCCACACTCTGTGGCTAGTGGCCAACTTAATAGAGTCCATCAATAAAAATAGAAAACACAGAGCACAAAGTTTCCAAGAGTTCTACCTCTTTTTGATTCCCATTTAAAATAAGTCAGCTCTCCATTTCACCCCAACCCATTTTTATAGTTTAGCACACAGTCCAGGAAGTCTTAAAGTTATCCCACTTTTCTGAAACAGGAAACCAGAAAGGCCCGAGAGGACTCCACTGTGTCCACAGGCTGGAAAGTCAATCTCTCTCTTGGAGTGCCAAGGGAACTCAGAGCTCCTGCAGTTCCCATAGTTGGCATTGTGTTCCTCTGCCAGAATTCACAGCTAGCTATTGTGGCTGTTTCGGTTCTCTGGAGCTTCAATGAATAGGTTTATCCTTCTTCCATGCAGCAGTTCACGTGCCCCTCTTGTCTACTCCAGGGTGGAATTCCTGTAAATATTCCTGCCACATCAGGGCTTCCAGAGACACCAACTTATATGTAAACAACACAGTCCAGATGTGAACGCATCAGTCAGTAGAGAGAGGCCATTTCTCACTATTTTGAATTGCACTATTTTTATTGTTGTTGAGTTTTAGGAGTTATCTGTATATTCTGAATATTGATCCCTTATCAGATATGTGATTTGCAAATAATTTCTCCCATTCTGTGGGCTGCCTTTTTACTCTGTTCATATTGTCTTTTGATGAACAAACTTTTAAATTTTTTCTGAAATCCAATTTGGTTATTTTATCTTTTGTTTTCTTTGCCTTTGGTGTCATACCCAAGGAATGACTGCCAACTCTAATGTCATAAAGTGTTTCCCCTATGTTTTCTAACAGGAGTTTTATAGTTTTAGGTCTTACATTTCCGTTTTTAGTTAATTTTTGTATATGGTATTTGGTAAGAGTTCAACTTCCGTTTTTTCATGTGGATATACAGTTGCCCCAGCACCTTTTGTTGAAAAGACTGCCTTTCTTCCATTGAATGGTCTTGGTACTCTTGTCAAAAATCATTTAATCATATATGTGGGGGTTTATTTCTGGGATTTTTGTCCTATTTTATTGGTCTATATACCTTTCTTTATGCCAGTACCATGCTGTTTTGATTACTGTAGCTTTTCAGTAACTTAAAAATCAGGAAGTGTGCCTCCATCAGTTTTTCTTTCCCCCCAAATTGTTTAGGCTATTTGGGGTTTCTTGAGTTCCATATAAATTTTAGAATGAGTTTCTCTTGCTCGTTGTGATTGTAATAGGGATTGCAATGAATCAGTAGACCACCTTGGGCAGTACTGACATCTTAACAATATTAAGTATTTCAGTCCATGAATATGGAATGTGTTTCCATTATTTCTGTCCTTAATTTCTTTCAGCAGTGTTTCATAGTTTTCACTGTACAGGTCTTTCACCTCATTGGTTAAGTTAATTCCTAAGTATTTTATTCTTTTTGATGTTATCATAAATAGGATTTTTAAAAATAATTTCTCAGATTGTTCACTGTTAATGTATAGAAATGCAACTGATTTTTGTGTGTTGAGTTTGTCCCCTGATACTTTGCTGCATTTATTTATTAGAACTAACAGTTTTTTGTGGAATCTTTAGGGCATTCTACATATGAGATCATCTGTGAACAGACATAATTTTACTTCTTTCTTTCCAGTTTGAATGTCATTTATTTCTTTTTTATGCCTAATTGCTCTAGCTAAAATTTCCAATATTATGTTGAGTAGAAGGGGCAAAAGTGGACATCCTGGTCTTGTTTTTGATTATAGAGAAAAAGCTTCTAGTCTTTCACCATAGAGTATGATATTTGGGATGTGATTTTCCATATATGATTTTTATATCAGTTTCATTCTATTGCTAGTTTTTTTAATGTTTTTGTCATCAAAGGATGTAGAATTTTGTGAAATGCTTTTTATGCATCCATTGGGATGGCCATGGAATTTTTTCCCTTCATTATGTTAATGTGTATATTACCTTGATCAATTTTCATATGTTGAACCATCCTTGCATTCCAGGAATAAGTCCTATTTGGTTATGGTGTGTAATCCTTTTAATATGCTCCTGAGATTTGCTTGCTAGTTTTATGTTTTATCCATGCTGCCAATCTCTGTGTTTTGATGGGAAAGTTTAATCCATTTATATTTAAAGTAATTACTGTTGAGGGACTTATTTCCATCATTTTGCTATTTGTTTTCTATAAGCCTTAAGCTTTTTTGTCCATCATTTTCTGCATTACTGTCTTCTTTTATGTTTAGCTGATTTTTTATAGGGAAACATTTAAATTTCTTTCTCATTTCCTTTTATATGTATTCTATAGTTATTTTATTTCTGGTTACCAGAGGGATTACATTTCACATCTTAAAATTATAACATTCTAATTTGGATTTATAACAGCTTAACTTCAATAACATACAAAAACTCAGCTCCTTTACAGCTCCTTATCTACCCACTTTGGTTGTTGATGTCACAAAATTCCTTCTTTATACATTGTGGTGCCCAAAACCACAAACTAATAATTCTGTTTTTTTAATTTTTAATTTTTGTGGGTATATAGTATGTGTATATATATTTATGGGGTATATGAGATATTTTGATATAGGCATACAATGTGTAATAATCATATCAGGGCAAATGGGATACCATTGCCTCAAGCATTTATCCTTTGTGTTACAAACAATCCAATTATACTCTTTTAGTTATTTTAAAATGTAAAATTAAATTATTACTAACTATAGTTACCCTGTTGTGCTATCAAATACTAGATCTTATCCATTCTTTCTATTCTTTGTACCCATTAACCATCCCACTTCTCCCCAACCCCATCGCTACCCTTCCCAGCCTCTGGTAGCTATTATTCTAATTTTTATCTCTATGGGTTCAGTTGTTTTAATTTTTAGCCCCCACAAAAAAGTGCGACGTGAAGTTTCTTTATGTACCTGACTTATTTCACTTAACATAGTGGCCTCTGGTTCCATTCATGTTGTTGCAAATGACAGAATCTGATTCTCTTTATGGCTGAATAGTACTCCATTGTATACATGTACCACATTTTCTTTATCCATTCTTCTAATGTTGATGGACATTTAGATTGTTTACAAATCTTGGCTATTGTAAATAGTGCTGCAGTAAACATGGGAGTGCAGATATCTCTTCAATATACTGATTTTCTTTCTTTTAGGTAGATACCTAGCAGTGGGATGGCTGGATCACATGGTAGCTCTATTTCTAGTTTTTTGAGGAACCTCAAAACTGTTCTCCATAGTTGTTGTACTAATTTACATTATTATCAACAGTGTATGAGTGTATGAGTTTCTCCAAGTCCTTGCCAGCATTTGCAATTGCCTGTTTTTTGGATACAAGCCATTTTAATTAGGGTAAGATGATATCTCATTGTAGTTTTGATTTGTGTTTCTCTGATAATCAATGATGTTGAGCATCTTTTTATATACCTGTTTGCCATTTGTCTTTCTTCTTTTGAGACACGTACATTCAGATTTTTTCCCATTTAAAAATCGATTATTTGATTTTTTTTCCCACCGAGTTATTTGAGCTTCTTATGTATTCTGGTTGTTAATCCCTTCTCAGATGGATAGGAGTTTGCAAATATTTTCTCCCATTCTGTGCATTGTCTATTTACTTTGTTGATTGTTTCTTTTGCTGTGCAGAAGCTTTTTAACTTGATGTGATCCCATTTATCAATGTTTGCTTTGGTTGCATGTGCTCATGGGGTATTACTCAGGAAATCCTTGCCCAGTTCAATGTCCTGGAGAGTTTCCCCAATGTTTTCTTTTAGTAGTTTCATAGTTTGAGGTCTTAGATTTAAGTATGTAATCCACTTTGATTTGATTTTGGTGTATGGTGAGCGATAGGAGTCTAGTTTCATTCTTTTTCATATGAATATTTAATTTTCCCAGCACCATTTATTGAAGAGACTGTCCTCTCCCCAATGTGTGTACTTGGCACCTTTGTAGAAAATGAGTTCACTGTAGATGTATGGATTCATTTCTGCACTCTCTATTCTATTCCATTGATCTATGTGTCTGTTTTTATGCCAGTGCCATGCTGTTTTGGTTACTATAGCTCTGTAGCATAATTTGAAGTCAGGTAATGTTACTCCTCCAGTTTTGTTCTTTTTGCTCAGGATAACTTTGGCTCTTCTGGGTCTTTTTTGGTTCCATATACATTTTTGAATTGTTTCTTCTATATCTGTGAAGAATGTCATTGGTATTTTGATAGGGATTGCATTCAATGTGTAGATTGCTTTGGGTAGTATGGACATTTTAACTATATTAATTCTTCCAATCCATGAACATGGAATATCTTTCCATTTTTTGTGTCATCTTCAATTTCTCACATCAATATTTTATAATTTTCCTTGTAGAGAACTTTCACTTTTTTGGTTAAATTAATTTCCAGGTATTTTATTTTATTTGTGGCTATTGTAAATGGGATTACTTTCTTGATTTCTTTTTCAGATTGTTTGCTGTTGGCATATAGAAATGCTACTGATTTTTATATATTGACTTTGTCTCCTGAAACTTTACTGAGTTTGTTTATCAGTTCTAATAGTTTTTTGGTGGAGTCTTTAGGTTTTCCTAATATAAGATCATATTATCTGCAAATAAGGATAATTTGACTTATTCCTTTCGAATTTGGAGTCCCTTAATTTTTTTCTCCTGTCTGATTGCTGTGGGTAGGACTTTTAGTACTATGTTGAATAATGAAAGTGGTGAAAGTGGACATCCTTGTCTTGTTCCAGATCTTAGAGGAAAGGCTTTCAGTCTTTCCCCATCTAATATGATACTAGCTGTGGGTCTGTTGTATATGGTTTTTATTATGTTGAGGTATGTTCCTTGTATACCCAGTTTTTTTAGGGGTTTTACCATGAAGAAATGTTGAATTTTATCAAATGCTTATTCTGCATCAATTGAAATGATCATACAGTTTTTTTCCTTCTTTCTGTTGGTAAGATGTATTATATTGACTGATTTGCATTTGTTGAAACATCTTTGCATGGAATAAATCCCTCTTAGTCATGATGAATGATCTTTTTAATGTATTGCTGTATTCAGTTTGCTAGTGTTTTTATTGAGGATTTTTGCATCAGTGCTCTTCAGGGATATTAGCCTGTAGGTTTTTTGTTTGGTTGGTTTTTGTTTTGGTATGTCTTTGTTGGGTTTCAGTATCAGGATAATGCTGGCCTTGTGTACTGAGTTTGGAAGTATTTCCTTCTCCTCTATTTTTCATAATAGTTTGAGTAGGATTGGTATCAGTTTTAGTTCTTTTTTAAATTTTTGGTAAAATTCAGCAATTCTGAAGCCGTCAGGTCCCAGCCTTTTCTTTGCTGAGAGACTTTTTATAATGACTTCAATAGCATTACTTGTTATTGATTTGTTCAGGTTTTGGATTTCTTCATGGTTCAATCTTAGTAGGTTGTATGTGTCTAGGAATTTATTCATTTCTTCTAGGTTTTCCAATTTATTGGCATATATTTGCTCATAGTAGCCTCTAATGATCCTTTGAATTTCTGTGGTGTCAGTTGTAATGTCTCCTTTTTCATCTATGATTTTATATATTTAAGTCTTCTTTCTTTTTTTCTTAGTGGAGCTGAAGGTTTGTCAATTTTGTTTATCTTTTTTAAAAACCAACTTTTCATTTCATTGATCTTTGGGTTTTTTTATCATTTCAATTTCACTTATTTCTGTTTGATCTTTATTATTTCTTTTCTTCTACTAACTTTTGGTTTGGTTTGCTTTTGTTTTTCTAGTTCTTCAAGATGTATTGTTAGATTATTTAAAGATTTTCTACTTTCTTGATGTAGACACGTAAAGCTACAAACTTCCATCTTAGTACTGTTTTTGCTGTATCCCACAGGTTTTAGTATGTTGTGTTTCCATTATCATTTGTTTCAAGAAATTTTTCAATTTCCTTCTTAATCTCTTCATTGACTAAATGATTATTCTAGAGCATATTGTTTAATTTCCATGTTTCTGTATAGTTTTCAAAATTCCTCTTCTTGTTGAGTTCTAGTTTTATTCCATTGTGATCAGAGAAAATACTTTATGTTATTTCAATTTTTTTGAAATGTTTTAAGACTTATTTTCTGGCCTAAATGTACTCTATCCTTGAGAATGATCCATGTGCTAAAAATAATTTGTATTCTGTAGCCATTGAGGGAAATGTTCTGTAAATATCAATTAAGTCTATTTGGCCCGTAGTGCAGATTAAGTATGATGTTTCTTTGTTGATTTTCTCTCTGGATGATTTGTCCAATGCTGAAAATGGGGTGTTGAAGTCTCCAGCTGTTATGTATTGGGGTCCATCTCTCTATTTAGCTCTAATAATATTAGCTTTATATATCTGGGTGCTCCAGTGTGGGGTGCATATATATTTACAATTGTTATATCCTCTTGCTGAATTGACCTGTTTATCATTATCTAATGACATTCAAGGAATGGAATTGCTAGGCCCTAAGATATGTGGGCATTCAACTTTGAAAAGAAAATTCCAAATTGGTTTTCCAAAATACTCACACCAATTATATTCCCACAAGCAATGAATAAGAGATCCCACTGATGCACAATTTATCTAACTCTGAATGTTGTTAAAAGTTTTTTGTTGGTCAGGTGCAGTGGCTCATGCCTGTAATCCCAGCACTTTGGGAGGTCAAGTCAGGAGGATTGCTTCAGCCCAGGAATTCAAGACCAGCCTGGGTAACATAGTGAGACCTCATCTCCACCAAAAATTTTTTAAAAATGAAAATTAGCCAGTCGTGGTGGTGTGCACCTGTGGTGCTATTCAGGAGACTGAGGTGGGAGGATCACTTGACCCCAGGAGTCTGAGGCTGCAGTGAGCTGTGATCATGTCACTGCACTCCAGCCTGAGTGACAGATCAAGACCTTGTCTCAAAAAAACAATTTTTATTAACAATTCTTTAGTATAAAATAGTATTTCATAGTGGTCTAGCATTGCATTTCCCTGATCACTCATGAAGTTGAGCATTTCTTTATATGTTATTAGCTGTATGTATATCCTCTTTTGTGAAATGCATATTGTCTTCTGCCTACTTAACTATTGAATTTTCTAATGTTAACCAATCCTTGCATTCCTATGAGAAACCTAACTTGATTATAGTAAATTATCCTTTTATGCATTACTAGATTTGGTTTATTAATATTTTGTTTAGGATTTTTGCTTCTATATTTATAAGTGAAATGGTCCCTTAATTTTTCATTCCTTTACTATCCTTGTTAGGTTTTCAAAATTATACTAGCTTCATAGAATATATTTGGAAGTAGTCCCTCTTTTTCTGGTTTTTGGAAGTATTTGAATAAGATTAGAATGATCTTTTCCTCAAATGCTTGATAGATTTCATCTATAAAGCATATAGGCCTGATGTTTTCTTATGGGAAGATAAAATTACTGCTTTGATTTATTGATCACTTGTAATGCTAATGTGGCTTTCTATTTCTTAGAATTTGAAGTACTTTTATTTAGAATCCATCCATTTTATCTGACTTTTCAAATTTATTTGTATGAATCTATTATTCTCTTATTATCATCTTTTAAATCTCTGCTGTATCTGTAATTGTGTCCCCTTTTAATTTACAGTATTATGCATTTTTTCTTTCCAATTCCCTATAGATTTCTTTATTTTGTTAGTCTTGTCAGGAATCATCTTTTGTCTCCATTGACTGCTCTTAACTATTTCTCTATTTTCTATTTCATCTATCTTAGCTCTTTCTTATGTTCTCCTTTCCCTTTCTTTGGGTTTATTTTGTTCCTCCTCCTGACTTCTTAAATGAGACACATAGCTTTAAGTTTTAGCCTCCCTGTATTTCTAAAATAAATGTTAAGTCTACACTATGCCACTAGAAGCTCTGTTTTTGCTGCATCTCACAGGTTTTGATTGGTAGTGAGGTTTTTTAAATTTTATTTTTATTTATGGCAAAATATATATAATATAAACATTTACTATCTTAACCATTTTAAGTGAACTTATTAAAAGTATCGCTGATAATAAGTGCATTCTCATTGTTGTGCAACAATCACCACCATCCATCTCCAAAACTCTTTTTATCTTGCAAAACTTTATACTTATTAAACAATAACTCTCCATTCTCTTCTCCCCCCAGCCTCTGGCACCCTCATTCTATGCCAATCTCTATGAATTTAACTATTCTATGTACAACATATAAGTAGAAACATACAGTATTTGTCATTTTGTGATGGGCTTCCTTCACTTAGCATAATGCCCTTAAGGTCCATCCATGTTGTAGCATATGTCAGAATTTCCCTCCTTTTTGAGGCTGAATAATATTTCATTTTGTGTGTATACATATATATGTACACATACACACACACACACACACACACAGAGTTGTGGGAATGTAAAAGGATGCAGCCTCTATCACAAGGGTTCCGACTTTTCTAAATCCTTGCCAGCTTGTTATTTTCTGCAGTTTTCTTTTTGTTTAGTTTTTTTTTAGTTTTCCTGGTAGTAGCCATCCTAATGGGTGTGAGGTAGTATCTCATGGCAACTTTGATTTGCATGCCCTTAATGATTAATGACTTTGAACATCTTTTCATGTGCTTATTGGCCATTTGCTCATCTTTGAGAAATATCTGTTCATGTTCTTGGCTCATTTTTAAATCAGGTGTTGTTGTTGTTGTTGTTGTTGAGTCATAGGAGTTCTTTGTATATTCTGAACATTAACCTCTTGTTGGATTGATGATTTACAAATATTTGCTCCCATTCTATGGGTTGCCTTTTCACTCTGTTGACTGTAGCCTTTGATACATACAGGTTTTTAATTTTGATGTCCAGTCTATCTATTTTTTCTTTTGTTGCCTGTAGTTTTGGTATAGAGGTAGTGTTTTAATTATCATTTGCTTCTAAATATTTTGAAATTTCTTTGTGATTTCTTCCATATTTCAGTTATTTAAAAGTGTGTTTTTAAATTTACAAATATGGGAATGTAGATAAATATTTATATTTACCTTTTTATTCTAAATGTTTAACTCAGTTGCTTTGTGGTCCAAGAATTTGGTGCATATACTATGTGAAATTAATTTAAATTTATTTTAATGGCTGAGTATGACATCAAGTTTTGTAAATATTCCATATGTGCTTGAGAAGAATATGTGTGCTCTCATTGTTGGATGAAATCTTCTATACATGCCATTAGATCAAGCTTGTTAACTGTATTGCTTAAATTTTCTGTATCTTTGCTGATTTTATATTTGCTTGATCCTTATTAACTCCTACAACACTTTTTATTTTAATGTGTATTTTGTCTGATAGTCATAGAGTGACACCAGCATGCTCATGCTTAGTATTTACCTGATATATACTTTTTCCTCTATCCCTTTATTTACGAACTTTCTGTCATTTTAGCCATATCTGTTGAAAATAGTTTATAGCTTTTACATTTTTATCCAAACTGGCAATCTCTTTTACTAGTTAGCAAGTTAAGCATATTTACATTTATTGTGAACATTGGTATATTTGAATGTGCCATCATCTTATTTTTACTGATACATAATACTTGTACACATTTATGGGAATATGTAATATTTTGTTATATGCACAGAAGGTGTAATGATCAAGTCAGAGTATTTGGGGATGTCCATCACCTGGAGTATTTATCATTTCTATGTGTTGGGAACATTTCAAGTCCTCTCTTCTAACTATTGTGAAATATACAATGCAGTGCTAACTATAGTCACCCTACTCTGCTATCAAATATTAGAGCTCATTCCTTCTATCTAATTGTATGCTCGTGCCCACTAACCTTCCTCTTTATTCCTCCCCCACTCACCCACACACATTTCCCAGACTCTGGTATCTGTCATTCTACTCTCTACCCCCATGAGATCAACTTTTTTAGCTCCCACATATGAACGAGAACATGTAGTGCTTGTCTTGAACTCGTGGCCTCAAGTGATCCTCCTGCCTCAGCCTTCCAAAGTGCTGGATTACAAGCAAGAGCCACCGCTCCCGGCCCAGTGTTTGTTTTTCTATGCCTGGCTTGTTTCACTTAACACCCTCCAGTTCATCCATGTTGCTGCAAATGGCATTTCATTTTTTTGGTGGCCAAATATTCCATTCTGTGTATATACCACATCTCCTTTATTCATCTTTTGATGGACACTTAGATTGATTTTGTATCTTTGCTATTGTGAATAGTGCTGTGATAAAGATGCCAGTGCAGGTATACCTTTGATAAACAGATTTCTTTCCCTTTGGATAAATTCTAGGTAGTGGCATCATATGGTAGTTCTATTTTTAGTTTTTTGAGAAATCACCATATTGTTTTCCATAGTGGCTATACTAATTTACATTCCCACCAATGGCATATGAGTTTCTTTTTCTCTGCATCCTTGCTAGCATCTGTTTTGTGTGTGTGTGTGTGTGTGTGTGTGTGTGTGTGTGTGTGTGTGTGTGTTTATTAATAGCTATTCTAACTGGGATGAGATGATATATCTTTGTAGTATTGATTTGCATTTCCCTCGTGATTCGTGATATTGAGCATTTTTTCATATATCTATTGGCCATTTGTATGTCTTCTTTTGAGAAATGTCTATTCATGTCTTTTGAGAAATGTCTATTCATGTCTTTTGCCCACATTTCAATGGGATTATTTGTTTTGTTTTGTTTTGTTTTTACTGTTGAGTTGTTTGAGTTTCTTAGATAGTCTGGATATTAGTCCCTTGTCAGATGAATAGTTTGCAAATAATTCTCTCATTCAACAGGCTGTCTCCTCATTTTAGATTGTTTCCTTTGCTGTGCAGAAGCTTTTTAGCTTAATAGAGTCCCATTTGTTTGTTTTGTTTCTGTTGCCTGTGCTTTTGAGGTCTTATCCATAAAATTTCTGTAGAGACTAATGTTCTTAAGTATTTCCCCTACGTTTTCTTCTAGTAGCTTTATAGTTTGGGGACTTACATTTAAGTCTTTAATCCATTTTGAGTTGATTTTTGTAAATCATGAGAGATAGGGATCCAGTTTTATTCTTCTGCATATGGAAATCCAATTTTCCCAGCACCATTTATTGAACAGATTGTTCTTTTCTTGTTGTATGTTCTTGGTGCCTTCGTTGAAAATTAGCTGGCTTGAGGCCAGGCATGGTGGCTCACACTTGTAATCTCATCACTTTAGGAGATCAAGGTGGGAGGATCATGTGAGGCCATGAGTTTGAGGCCAGCATGAGCAGCATAGTGAGACCCCTATCTCTACAAAAAATTTTAAAATGTAACCATGTGCCATGTGGTGGCACATGGCTATAGTCCTAGCTATTTAGAAGGCTGAGGTGGGAGGATTGCTTGAGCCCAGGAGTTCAAGACTGCTGTGAGTCTTGCACGCCATTGCACTCCAGCCTGGGTGGCAGAGCAAGACCCTACCTCTAAAAACTAATTAATTAAGTAATTAATTTTTAAAAAGAAAATTAGCTGGCTCTAAATATATGGATTTATTTCTGGGTTCTCTATTCTGTTTCATTGGTCTTTGGGTCTGTTTTTATACCAATATCATGCTGTTTGGGTTACTATAGCCTTGAAACATACTTTGAAGTCAGGCAGTGTGATGCCTCCAGCTTTGTTTTTTGTTTTTGTTTATGTTTTTGTTTTTACTCAGGATTGCTTTAGCTATTCTGACTTTTTTTTCCATTCCATATGAATTTTATGATTTTTTTCTACTCTTGTGAAAAATGGCATTGGTATTTTGATAATCATTGCATTAAATCTGTAGATTGCTTTGGGCAGTATGGTCATTTTAATTATATTAATTATCCCAGTCCATAAACATAAAATCTTTTCATTTGTATCCTCTTCAATTTTTTTCATCAGTTTTGTAGCTTTCCTTATGCAGGTCCTTCACCTTCTTGGTTAAATTTATTCCTAGGTACTTTTTTGGTAGTTACTGTAAATGAGATTGCCTTCTTGATTACTTTCTCAGCTAGTTCATTATTGGTATATAGAAACACTACTGATTTTTGTATATTGATTTTATATCCTGTAACTGTACTGAATGTATTTATCATATCTAAGAGTTTTTTGGTGGAGTCTTTAGGTTTTTCTAGATATAAGATTATGCCATCTGCAAAGAAGAGTAGTTTGACTTCCTCTTTTCCAATTTGGATGCTTTTTATTTCTTTCTATTGCCTGATTGCTCTGGCAAGGACTTAGAATACTATGTTGAATAGGAGTGGTGAAAGTGGGCATCTTTTTTTTGTTCCAGTTCTTAGAAGAAAGGCTTTCAGATTTTCCCCATTCAGTATGATGTTACCTGTGGGTTTGTTATATATGACCTTTATTATGTTGAGGTATTTTCCTTCTATGCCTAGTTTGCTGCGAGTTTCTAATCATGAAGCAATGCTGAATTTTATTAAGTGCTTTTTCTTCATCTATGAAGATGATTATATGGTTATTTTCATTCTTTTGATGTCATATATTACTTTTATTGATTTGCATATGTTGAACCATCCTTGCATCCCTAGTATAAATCCCACTTGATCATGGCATATTATATTTTTGATGTGCTGTTGGATTTGGCTTGCTAGTATTTTGTTGAAGATTTTTTGCATCTATGGTCATCAGAGATACTGGCCTGTAGTTTTCTTTTGTTGTTGTTGTGTCTTTATCTGGTTTTGATATTAGAGTAATGCTGGCCTCACAGAACGAGTTAGGGAAAATTCCATCCTCTCCAATATTTTGGAATAACTTGAGGATAATTGGTGTTAGTTCTTTGAAAGTTTGGTACAATTTGGCAGTGAGTCTATCTGGTCCTAGATTTTCCTTTGTTGGGAGGCTTTTTATTACTGGTTCAATTTTATTATGTGTTATTGGTCTGTTCAGGTTTTCTATTTATTTCAGTTCAATCTTGGTAGCTTGTATGTGTCCAGGAATTTATCCATTTCCTCTAGGTTTTCCAGTTTGTCTTAGTGTATAGTTGCTTATAATGGTCTCTATTTATGTGGTATTCATTGTAATGTATGCTTTTTTCATTTCTGATTTTGTTCATTTGGGTCCTCTCTCTTTGTTCTTGGTTAGTCTAGCTAGCAGTTTATTGGTTTTATCTTTTTCAAAAACCAACTTTTCATTTTGTTGATCCTTCATAATTTTTTAGTCTCTAGTTTGTTTGTTTCTGTTCCAGTATTTCTTACTTTTTTCCATTCACTAATTTTAGGTTTGGTTTGTTCTTGCTTTTATATTTCCTTGAGGTGTATTATTAGATTGTTAGAAATCTTTCTACTATTTGATGTAAGCACTTATTGCTACAAACTGTCCTCTTTATACTGCTTTTACTGTATCCCACAAGTTTTGGTATATTGTTTTTCAATTTTCATTTGTTTCAAGTAAGTTTTAAATTTCCTCCTTAATTTCTTCCTTGACCCATTGGTCATTCAGGTGCATGTTGCTTAATTTTCATGTATTTGAATAGTTTCTAAAATTTCTCTTGTTATTGATTTCTAGTTTTATTCTATTGTAGTCCGAGAAGATACTAGAAATGATTTCAATTATTATTATTATATATTTTTTTGAGATGGAGTTTTGCTCTGTCACCTAGGCTGGAGTGCAGTGGTGTGATCTCTGCTCACTGCATCCTCTGCCTCCTGGGTTTAAGCAATTCTCTGCCTCAGTCTCCCAAGTAGCTGGGATTACAGGCGCCCACCACCATGTGTGGCTAATTTTTTTTGTATTTTTAGTAGAGATGGGGTTTCACCATCTTGGCCAGGCTGATCTTCAACTCCTGACCTCGTGATCCACCCGCCTCAGCCCCACAAAGTGCCGGGATTAATTTACTGAGACTTGTTTTGTGTCTTAATATATGATCTGTCCTGGAGAATGTTTCATGTGCTGGTGAGAATAATGTGCATTCTGTGGCTGTCAGATAAAACGTTCTGTACATGCCTAGGTCCATTTAGTCAAATGTGCAGTTTAAATCCATTTTTTTTGGTAATTTTCTGTCTAAATTATCTACATAATGCTGAGAGTGGGGTGTTTACGTTCCAACTATTATTGTATTGGAGTCTGTCTCTCCCTTTAGATCTAATAATATTTGCCACATATATCTGGGTGTTCCAGTGTTGGGTGCACACAGGTTTAGAATTGCCATATACTCTTGCTAACTTGATCCTTTTGTCATTATATAATGACCTCCTTCATCTCATTTTTCTGTATCTGTTTTTGACTTAAAGTTTGTTTTATCTAATATAAGTATAGCTACTCCTGTTTGCTTTTGGTTTCTGTTTGCGTGGAATATCTTTTTTCTTCCGTTTCATTCTGTATATGTCTTCACAGGTGAGATGAGTTTCTTCTAGGCAGCATATAGTTGGTCCCTTTTTTTTTAAACCATTCAGCTAATCTATACCTTTTAAATAGAAAGTTTAATCTGTTTACATTCAAGGTTATTATCAATATGTGAGAGCTATTCCTGTCATTGTATTAATTGATTTCTGGCTATTTTGGGTATCCTTTGTTCTTTTCTTTTTCTCTTATTGTTTATCATTCTGGTTTGGTAGTTTTCTGTAGTGGTAACATTTGAGTCCTTACTCTTCCTTATTTGTGTTTGCTCTGCCAGTGAATTTTATACTTTCATGTGTTTTCATCATGGTAGATATTGTCCTTTCTTTTTCAGGACAATTCAAGAATTTCTTGTAGAGCAAGTCTAGTGGTGATGAATTCCCTCAGCTTTTGCTTATCTGGGAAATATTTTATTTCTCCTTTGTTTATAAGGAATAACTTTGCTGGGTATAGTATCCTTGACTAGCAGTTTTTTTCCTTTTCCAATAAATTTGAATATATCATCTCATTCTCTCCTGATCTGAAAGGTTTCTGCTGAGAAATCCATTGCTAGTCTCATGGAAGTTCCCTTGTAAGCAACTAGACAACTTTCCCTTGCTGTTTTTAGAATTCTCTCTTTGTCCTTAACTTTTTACAGTTTGACTACAATGTATTTTTGAATTATATCTGTTTGGGGATCTATGAGCTTCCTGTGTCCTGATGTCATAATCGCTTGCTAGACTTGGAAAGTTTCCAGCTAGTATTTTGTGAAATAGACTTTCCATCCTTTTTGTTTCTTTTGCCTTATGGGACACCAAAAATGTGAACATTTGGCCACTTAATGATGTCCTATATGTCACATAGGCTTTGTTTATTCTTTTTTTAAAGAAAATTTTTGTCTGAGTTATTTCAAAAGACCTGTCTTCGAGTTCTGAAATTCTTTCTTCTGCTTGATCTAGTCTATTGTTAACGTTTACAAATGTATTTTGTATTTCATTTAATGAATTCTTCAGTTTCAGAATTTCTGTTTGGTTCTTTGTAATGATATCTATCTTCTTAGCAAATTTCTTATTCATATCCTGAGTTTTTTTTATTTCTTTGCATTGCTTTTCTGTATTCTCTTGTATCTCACTGAGCTTCTTTAATATTATCTTAAATTCATTTTCCGGTATTATATAAATTATTTTTTTATTGGAATCTGTTGCTGAAGAATTATTGTGTTCTTTGGAGGTGTCGTATTTCCTTGCTTTTTCATATTTCTTGTGTCCTTACATTGATATCTGTGCATCTGGTGTAATAGTTGCATCTTCCCATTTTTAAAATTTGCTTTTATATGGGAGGACTTTTTCCTAAAGCTATATCTATGGTGTTGGTTGGGTAGGACATTTTGACTTTGATCTTAGACACATGCAGTAGTGTAGTCTCAATATGATTTCTTCAGCTATAAACAGCGTCTGTGGTGTCTGTGATTTCCTCAGTGGCTTAGGGTGGCATTGTTAGTGGAGGCTGTGGTGAAGTTTTTCTGGGGACAAGGATGCCAGATGATCCTGTCCTTGGGCCCCAGTTGTGGCAGTGGGCTGAGCATGCATGTCCTTGGGTCCCAGGGAGGTGTACACTGGCACTGGTGTTAGTGGGTCCAGACAGGCCAATTCTTGGGCCTCCAGGTGGCTTGCTCAGGGGACAGTAGTAGTAGTGGTGGGCCAGGCTGTTGGGCAGGCTTTCAGTCCCCAGAGAAGTGGGTGTGGCAAAGGTGATGCAATCGTTAGCAGTGGTGGGGCAACCCTCTGCCTCCAAAGTGGTCTGTGCTGCTCTTGGCAGTGGCTGCAGTGAGCTGGGCAGTTCAGTCCCCAGGACAGTGGGTGACATGTAAGGGTGGGTGCAACCTATGGTGGTACCAGGAAGTTGAGTGGCCCTGAACTCAGGACCCTGGGAGAAGTTCTCAGGTGCCAACGATGGTAGAGTGGGCTGGGCAGTTCCCAGGCCCCAGACAGGATACTGGCACTGGATGGGGGGAACAGAGAGCCAGGTCAGGTGGACCTGTCCCAATGCCCTCTGCTGGGGCATGCAGACACTGGCTGTGGTAGGCAAGGGTGGGGTGATCCCTTGGCCCCTGGTGGAATGCTCGGGTTGGGGCAGCAGTGGCTGTGTGGCAGCCCTGCTATTGGGGAGGGTGAGGTTGCTTTCAGTGGCAGCAGCCAGATGCAGGCGGCTGGCGAATGCTTGCTTCACTTGTGCTTCATCCCTGTTGGCAGCAGCCCACAGTGCAACGGCTGTACATGGAGGATTTTGTCTTCAGGGTGCATGAAAATTTGTGGTGATTTCACTGCCAAGGGCAGTGGGGTTATTGCCAATAGCTCACGCTTCAGCCCTGGTGGCAGCATCCAGCCATGGTGGTGGCTGTGGGAAGGAAATGTCAGTGGTTCTCCAGGGATATGAAGATCCAGAAGCTGTTGGGCCCCCAGGCAGGACGCAGTCTGGTGGAGTCTGGACTCTTGATATCGTGCTGTGCTGCAGCTGCTTAGAGATCTGGGGGTGTATGAGATCCAGTGTGAGCTCCCTCTCTGGAGCAATGCCCTCACCCAGGCTCCAGGCAGCTCCCTATGTTAGTCTTAAGGCCTACAAGAGTCTAGAGGCTCTCCTGCGGCTAGGATTGCAGGAATCCATGGTGGGAATGTGGACTGCTGGGGGTCTCTCACTTATCCTTTCATTGCATTGAGCAACCTGGAGAGGCTCCCAGCCAATCCTGGCCAAGCAGGGTGACTTGCTTCCGTCTCCTTCCTTGCTTTAGGTGTTTCCTGTCACTTCTCTGTTGAATTCCAATGTTCTCTCTTGGATGATCTATTCAAAGTGTGATTATCTACCTGCTATTTTTGTCCTTCTTTGTGGAGGAGGAAAGTACCAGATGCCTCTAGTCAGCCATCTTGAAGTCTATTATCTTATTTTTTAAATTTTTACTTGTCCTGGTGTTTTTATATTTTCTTTTTCTCCTTTTTTCCTTTTTAAATACTTAACATTTAAAAAATAAATTTCCCCAATATAACTTTTTTTCTCTCTAGCACTTTAGAACTTGTCCCCTTGTTTTTATTCTTTCAGTTATTACCCCTGAAGTCTTATCAGGCATATTTAATACAATAACATTTTAAAATTAAGCTGGGAACTTGGTTTGTACCTATAGTTCCAGCTACTGGGGGGGGCGGCTGAGGCAGGAGGTTCCCTTGCCCAGGAGTTCAGGACCATCCTGGGCAATATAGCAGGATCCCATCTCTAAAAATAAAAAATTAAAATTAAATAATATTTTTGCTCTCTACTCAGTCAACAAAGGCCTTTAGAACTTTTGTGCTTCCATCTCTTTATTCTAGACTTCCATTCTATTGTCAATATTTCAAATTTTTCATCCCCACAAATCAGACACACAAGTATTGTTATTTGATATAAACATCACTTACTTGGAATTAATGACTTATTTACCATTTTATTTGTTCACCATTCCCTCATGCATGTGAGGATGTTTTTCCCATATCATTCCCCTTCTTCTTAAAGTAAGTCCTCCAGAAGTTCCTTTACAGTGGGGACTTCAGTATAAACTGCTTTAGATTGTGTTTATCTACAAATGTTTCCTTTTATCCTCATTCTTGAATGATAGTTTTGCTGACAATGCAATTCTAAATCAATAATTCTATTCTCTCAACATCTTAAAACTGTTTATCCACTGTCTTCTGGCTTTCATTGATGTTGGGAAAATCTACCAGTTTAACTGCTCTTCCTTTGTAGGTGTCGTGGGCTTTCTGGCTGCCTTCGTGGTATTTGTTTATTTATTTATTTGCCTTCGAAGTTCTGCAGTTCCAATACTATGTGTCTATATGTGGATATCTTTTTATTCATGCTGTTTGGGATACGCTGTGCTTCCTAGATCTGTGGAATTGGATTTTTAATCAGTTCTAGAATATTTGCCAGTATCATCTCTTCAACCATCACCTTTCCTCCATGCTCTCCCTTTTCTCTTTCTGTGACTCCAATCAGATGTGTATTAAACCTTCTCATTCCAGCCTCAGTAGAACTCTGGATACATCCACAAATGTATGCATTTTCTTTTTACCCATGAATAAAGCACTATCCATTTAATTTATTTTTTTCAACCTATACATTTTTTCATCTCCGAAAGCTTCATATTTGCAAGGCTGTTTCTTCATTCCTGGTCATTTCTTGTATGTTCTTTGTATTATGTGTTCTTCTCATACCTACCTAGTTTGTGTTTGGTATTTGGCCATTCCAACATCTGTAATTCTTGAGAAGCTATATCCAGCTCTTGAGGTAGCTCTTGAGTCTGCTGCCTCCCACTAATAGGGGTCTGCTCCTTATGTATTTGGGAATCTTTGCTTGTGAGGCCATGCTGCTTGTCCTCTTCAGAGTCCAGTGGGTCTGAGTTGGGAATCCACAAGAAAATTCGCTTCTGTTTCCGCTTGGACTTGAGGGTACCCTCATCCAGGACCTCCAAAGTCCTCTTCGAAGATTTTGGTTAAGAGCCAGTAATCTCAGACTCAGCTTCTCCTCCTCATTGCTGTTCTAAGGATCAAATTCCCCATGACCATGTTGCTGTAAGAATGTGGCCTCAGGAAAGCCCTACCTCCCATGACTGCCTGCAAGACTAGGTCAGACCAGTGGTACTCAAGCTCCCATCACACCACACTCCCATGGCTCTGCTTCCCACCTTCAAGGCTTTGGGTGCTAGCTGACCTCACACATATGCCTCACGCCTGGGGCTCTGTTCTCATTTGTTTGGTTTTGAGATCATGGTCTCTGACAACCTCTCCTACCTTTGAGATGCCAGCAATGCCTCAAAGGGTGTATGTCATCTGAAGTCTAACCACTGTGGAGGAGGAAGGGCCCTTGGAGCTTCTAGACATTCATAATACTGCTACAATCATTTTGTCTATCCCAATCACAACATATTGCAATTCCACCTGTTATTTTTACTCTTCTTCTTTTAAACCCACTATTCCCAATCATAAAGTCTTTTCAAATCGAGATTCTATTGTGGATCATGTCAGTGTTTTCTGTGCATCTATACAAATTTTTTTATTAGGTGGATAGGATAAAAATCTACACCAGCATTCTGCTACTGGGTCAACGCAAGATCTTTCATATCCATTCATTTGTCCTTTCATTCAAGTAACAGACATTTATTAAGCATATACTCTGCTGGGTTCTAGGAATCCCTGACCTCAAAGAGCCTACAGTCATAGAGCCAAATCATTTCTCCCATCCCAGCCAACAGGAAGGATCCTGAGTGCTAATGAGCTTAACACCTAGAGGCAAGTGTGTTAGAAGTCAGAGCACTTGCCTTTTTCAACATTTTGTCCACACTTTGCTGGATGGTAATGGATGTTAAAAGTCACACTTCTCCAAAGCTTCCCCCTCCACTATTTGATATGAGGTTTTGCCTCACAAATGAGTCCCAGGCACCACCTATGTGGTCCTACCTGTGAAATTACCCCCAGCTCTGCATCTGGGCAGTTTGGCTGGTAGATGTCTCCTTGCCAGCTTGTCTCAGTCTACAGGGCATGTCCCAGTGTTCCCCACCCTGTTCCCTAGCTCCAAAGCTGTTCTGCCCTGGGGATCATGGCCATCTTGGGGGTCCACACCCAGCCAGGGGATCTGGGGTGGCCTCACCAAGCTAGTAAAAGAACGAGTCTTTATTCTCCCAGGTATAAAATGGACACCTGATGAGAATGGAGTCATTACTTTTGACTGCCGAAACCGCGGCTGGTAAGAGCTCACAGGGGAAAGGTTTGCGGCCCGGGTATTTATCTCATAGCTTTTGGGTTTTGCCTCATCCTCCTCCACTTCCGCCCCTTCCCCCACCGCCACTCAAGGGCCTTGGGTGTGTAGAACCCTAGCCCGACACAAGAGCAGGAAGAGGGCCAGCATTCCTCCCTTCCCTCTACAATTGCCTTGCTCCAGGACTGATCATGTTTGTCTTTCCCAACCTAAACCTCCTGCCAGGACACTGAGCTGTCTCCACGTCAACCTTTTGTTAGGCTCTCCTCTCCTTCCACACCCCTTTTGTGGCAAGTTGGTAACAGAATCTGAAGCCCAGCTCTCTCCCTTTCTGCTGCCAGCCCCTCAGGGACCCCGGTTGGTCTAAATCAAAAGGAACAAGCGTTACCTCCAGGGCTTGACCTGGCCTGTTAGGTGGCACATCCCCAACCACTGCCACCCCAGATGGCTTCAGCACTGTGTCAAGTGGTTATGGAACATGTGAAACCTGGCATAGATGGGTTGCCCTGAACTTTGGGTGGGCTCGAGCCAGCATCTGAACAGAAATAACTGCAGACCCCTTGGTCAGGTATTGGTTCCGGCTTTGGTTTTCCCATCTTGGGCATGTCCCTTTCTTCCTTCAGGTACATTCAAGCTGCTACTTCTCCCAAGGACATAGTGATTTTGGTGGACGTGAGCGGCAGTATGAAGGGGCTGAGGATGACTATTGCCAAGCACACCATCACCACCATCTTGGACACCCTGGGGGAGAATGACTTCATTAATATCATAGCGGTAAATGTGCCTTCCTGTTCTAGAATAGCTCTCACTTGCTCTAGAAATCATACACAGGTACCAAGGTGACCCACAACCCCTGACCACCCGGTGACCTGCATGAGTGTCTTTGCTGGGCCTGGACTTTGCAACCTGATGCTGTTTATTCTCCCCCCACCTCCCCTCAACTCACTGCAACTGCAGTACAATGACTACGTCCATTACATCGAGCCTTGTTTTAAAGGGATCCTCGTCCAGGCGGACCGAGACAATCGAGAGGTGAGTGTCCACGGTGGCCTGAGACTTCCAAGCCCCTGCTCTTGTCTGGATGGTGGGCGGTTGTCTCTGTAGACTGTTTCTGTGGCCCTTTTTGCTTATTCCCATGGCACCTGGAATGAGAGCAGAGCACGTTACCCATGCAAACAACCCAGGGAACCGCCCTGTAAACACACTGCTGCTTATCAGAGCAAACAGTGAGCAGATAGAGACCTCATAGCAAAGGGAACCTTCCTTATTCAGGACTGGTTTTTCACCCTGTGGATTATATAGGACTCAATTTCCCCTTTTGCCTCCCACCTGGACCTTTCCATTATGTCAGTTTTCATGAGAAGCTTCCCCGAAAGGAGGACAAATTTAAACTTCATTGAGTGTCATCCTTTCCTCTGGTAAAAGACCAAGGAGGAGAGGACATGGCAATAATTTTTTAAAGAGAGCTTTTGCACATCATAGATTCCTCCCTCTGTGATGGAGGAGTTGGGGTTTGAGTTCCTCTTGAAGCCGGGCCTCTGCCCTGGGCACCTCCACACTTTCTGCTGTGAAGTGTGCACCCCTGGGCTGCGGGCTGCGGGCTGTGGTCTGGGAGCCGAGGTTACCCTGCCTCCATCCCAGAACTGTCCTCCCCCTGTACTCAGCTTCACACTTGGCGTTTCCCATCAATAGTGGCCATGGATGTGTACCAAGTCATTTCCCCTCTCTCAGTTTATCTTGGGGACATTTGAGAAACACCTATTGTAGAGGACCAGTCCATGAACTGCATCATGGAGACACAGGCCCTGAAATCATGTCCTTCTGGATGGCCCTAAACAGCCTCCCAAATTAACACCAAACATGAAGCTCCACTGGCCCACTCAACCCCCTGATGCTTCTCTAATATCTCACCCATGGCAGCATTTCAAACTGCTGGTGGAGGAGTTGATGGTCAAAGGTGTGGGGGTCGTGGACCAAGCCCTGAGAGAAGCCTTCCAGATCCTGAAGCAGGTGCCCACTGTAATGAGGCCTGGGAGGGGAGGACTGGGAGGAAGGCGGCAGGTGGAGGGGGGTGGGCTTGGCCTGTGGTCATGGGCACTCCTCTTCCCTACACAGTTCCAAGAGGCCAAGCAAGGAAGCCTCTGCAACCAGGCCATCATGCTCATCAGCGACGGCGCCGTGGAGGACTACGAGCCGGTGTTTGAGAAGTATAACTGGCCAGACTGTAAGGTGACCCTCCCACGGGTGTCCAGGGAGAAAAAAGCTTCTCCTGCTGCCATGGATGGGATCACCAGCAGGGACCCTAGAAGGATGGCCCCCATTCAAATCTGCTTTCCTATTAGAGCCATTCTTGCTTTCAGATGCATTTTAATTGAGTGTTCCAAAATTATGGCTACCCGAGACACAGAGGCCTGATGTAGGAAGTTTGGGGTAAGGGACCAGAATATGGTTTGGGGACATCAGAACTGCCAGGCTGTAAATCTCAGCCTTGCACCTACCCGCAGTCCCCATGGCCCTGGGCGAATTGTGTTGCTGCCTGGGCCTCAGGGGGTGAAATTGGAGAACCCGAAGACTGAGAGGCACTGGGGCCAACATCTAAGACTCATATAAACAATGTTAACATTACTTATGGCCGGGAATTTTGCTGCTGAGTGCCTCTGTGTCTTGTGGGTTAGGTCCGAGTTTTCACTTACCTCATTGGGAGAGAAGTGTCTTTTGCTGACCGCATGAAGTGGATTGCATGCAACAACAAAGGTGAGTGCCGGGCCAGCAGGTACCTTCCCACCTGCACCTGAGCACAGGAGACAGGGTTACCCAGCCCTGGAAGTGCTGAGCACGGGCTTCCCCATGGGCCCCTAAGAGGAGCAGTGCTATGTCAAGAACAGCAGCCTCAGTCCCTCCTTCATATTTGGAAAAAGCAAGGTGAGACAATGTCAGCTCTGTCTCCATCCTGCCCCCATTCTTTCTTTCAGCAAAGTAAGCCATGGACTCTGGTTCTGCTCCCAGACAAAAAGCAGAGGGTCACTGTTTTCTCTGGAATAATGTTTTGTGTGTGAATGGTCCTCATCTATCTCTGACCAGACCCCATTGATTCAACAAAAATTCACTGAGCATCCACTATGCACCTGGCCCCATTTCCAGGCACCAGGGGACCAAGAGGGATCAGGATGGACTCAGGGTCGGTCTACCTCTCAGTATTGTCCAGCAGGGAGACATACAAGTAAAACACCACCCACGATGCAGCCTGAAATGTGCTTTGATGGTGGAGAGACACAGACTGTTCAGGGTGCCGGGGGCCATGGGGGAGGCACTCTCCAAGTCAGTGGGGCGACTGGAAGGGTGTTCCAGACAGAGGGAACAGTGTGCTGAAAGGGTCTGAGACCTGCTGGGAGCAGAGAGGTGCTGCATCTCACTGGCGAGGGGGATGAACACGGTGGGAGGTGGGGGCGTGGAGAGGCCATTCACAGCCTTCTGCGCCATCTGCGCTTTGGAGTGTCACCATGGTTCCAGGGAATAGGCTGTAACACCCACCCCACAACCTGAGCAAGAACAAGGACCAGAGGAAGGAGGAGCGGAGAGGCAGAAATCTCTGCCTCTGATTGGGTTCCCTGAAGAGACCTAAGAGTGGCAGAAGAAAGCTTACAGGGCACTCTCATGAGATGTTCCTGTGAGGAAGTGGGAGGGCGAGGCTGGGAGAGGGAGAGGCTGACCCCCAACACTCTTGCGTCAGGCCCTGCTGCTCCTTCCGGAGCTCTGGGTGGGACAGCCCCTCAGAGATCTTCCAGGGTGCAGCAGAGTGAGCCTTGGCCTCCCACTGGCCTGCGGCTGCCCCTGGGTAAAGGACACAACTGTGGGGAAGCAGCTCCCTGTGCCCCGGTCCAGTTTCCAGAGAGTATTCGGCTATGAGCCATCTGCAGCTGGGGAGGGTGCAGGCCCTGGCGAGGGGTTCCCAGGGAAGCCCTGCCTTCCACACCCACGCGGCCTTCCCCACCGCAGGCTACTACACGCAGATCTCAACGCTGGCGGACACCCAGGAGAACGTGATGGAATACCTGCACGTGCTCAGCCGCCCCATGGTCATCAACCACGACCACGACATCATCTGGACAGAGGCCTACATGGACAGCAAGGTGAGCCTGGCAGCAGCTCCCAGCTCGAGAAGCCCACCTCAGAGTTAGGGACCCCAGGGAGTAAGAAGTTACTTCCTGGGTCAGGAAAGGGGTGGGCCTAGCACCTCCTTAGGGAACATTAAGAAGGGGCGAATGAAGCCGCTTTTCCATGCTTTTCCTCCTCTTTTCCTGACAGCCCTTGGCCCACTAATGGGACCACTGCTCATATGCTGCCTTAGACCCCCAGCAGACCTGCCTGAGGTGCTCTCCACGGACAGGGTCCCTGCTCCGAAGTTGTTCCTTCCTCCTCCTCCACAGTCCTCGCCTCCCTCATCATCCCTCCCTCCCACCCACCCGGGACAGAAAGGGGTCAGACCAAGAATCCACCATCCCACAGCTGGAACACGTTCTCCCTTCCTGGGTCCCTGCATTTTCAAAGGACTGTAGGCAGCAATGACTTGCACGAAAGAATGAACATCAAAGGGAGAGCTTCACATGGGACCTTTCTGGGGAAGGGAGACCTTTCTGCCATTTCTCAAATCCCCATCACATAGGCAGCCACCTGCTTCAGTGATGATGTATCAGGCTGGGCTCCAGAGAGACCTGAAAAGAGTGGCTTAAATAAGATAGAAGTGAATGTCCCCCTTGGGTAAACAAAGCCCAGAGCTGACCACGAGCTCTCTGGCCTGGTCATCAGGGACCCAGGCTCCTCCCTGCTGTCCCCTTTGCTGTCCCAGCCATGTGGCCCTCATCCTCATGCTCAGGAGGCTGGTGGAACATGAGTCAACTGAAACCACACTTAAGCATCAGGCTGTGGAAGGGGAAGGGGGATACTTCGCCCCTGTGAGGGAAACTTGCAGGGACTCTTGCCAGAACCCAGAATTCACCTTTCACTGGCCAGAACTCAGTCCCTGTGCTGACAAAGGAGGCTGGGAATGCAACGAGGCAATGGTCAGCTTTCTTCTGAGTTGCTCTATGTCCAAAAGCAGTGGCATGCTTACTTACCTCCACCTGTTAATAGTAGACATAAGCCATCTGGCCAAATTTGGGATGAAAAGCTCATTAATCTACTTTAAAGGGGCTCCGCCAACACGGCCATGCTCAGCAGATGTCATCTGACCATCACCGACTGCTGCTGAGAAGAGACGAGCTGGCTGCCTTTGGGCAGGGCTCTCCCTCCCTTGTCCAAGTGTTCATAGGGCCCTGAGTGTCCAGGTTTGATGAGAGAGAGGTGGGTGGGGAGAAGGAGGACAGGAGGGGATCTTCTTTGAGCTGTCTTCCTGTGAACCCTGGCACCTGCACTTCCTCTCCATCACCCGTGCATTCATCTGCCTGCCAGTAGCCAGCCCAGCAGGAGGGGCCAGGGCTCCGGTGCTCCGTGTGGGCCTCCCTCACCTGGGAGTGTTGTGGTCATGCCACGGGAGCTGGAAAGCGAAGGCTTTCAGAACCATGAAATCCGATGAGAGAAGCCGGGCATAGGCCATACCTGCTGAAGGTGGCCTGGAGTGTTGGGTGTGAGTTTGGCAGAAGGTGGGTAGAGGCAACCCCAGGTTCCCTGTGTGCTGCAACTGATGTCAGACGGTGCTAGGATGTCCTTAGCATTCTATGGACAGCCTGACCTTCTGACGCTCTCTTACCTCCACGCACACAGACGAGGCCACAGTTCACAGTTTGATCTTCACTTTTACACCTGTCCCTCAGTGAGAACCGCCCCCTGCAACCAGTCCCTACATCTCCTCTGTCTTCCTCCTTCCCTCTCCTGTCCCTGACTTAGGAGTCCCTGAAGTTAAGGGTCACCTGCAGGTCTCCCGGACCCACTTCGGAACCCTCTGAGTGGAGGATGTCACTCCCCTGAGCCCAGGGCAGGTGTCCGCCCTTGCAAGGGTATCCAGAAACATGAGTGCAGGGACAGCTGTGACTGGACTCCTCCCAGACTGAGACATGTCCTAGGGAGAGCAGGCCACAGGGGCCTCCAAGAGCCTGGGAGCTGCTCTCTGGGAGCCAGGGACAAGCTGGCTTCATGCATTCCTAACTCAGGAAGGAGACTGGAAAGCCCTCATGCAGCCCATAGAGATGTGTCCAAGCTCAGAAAACAATTAGATGTCATCGTGGTTCACTCTCAGAAAGCCTTACTTCTAACTCTAAATTGAAAACTCAGATGAGATGAGAGAAAGAGACGTGGTGGCCAAAATGTGCTTCCTTCTCCAAGAAAGTCAACTGTGGACTTCCATGACTCAGCAGTCCCCTTTAGTTGATCTCATCCAAGGTCGGACTTACGATACCTCTCTTCCCACATGCTTGTCAGAAGCCTACTTTTGTTATAAAGTGGGGCACACATGCAGAGCCCCTTTCAAGTGGCTGGAGGAGCCGGCACGGCGAGCCCAGCCAGTCAGGGCGGACAGCCGTCTAGAGGTGGCAAGGGTTTGGCTCTGGTGCTGTGAGTGGAGTCCATGTGGGTCTGACCTGTGTCCTAGGAACGGCCCCGAAGCCCACCACAGCTGCACCACGGCCTGCCTTTGCACTGCAGTGCCTCGGGGTGTGCTTGTGTTTCTGGGTAGCTCTGGGTCAATGTCCTCCCTCTCACCTGTAGCAACCTTAAGTCCATATCAGAGGTTTCTGGAAAGCTCGTGCTGTGCAAAGCCTCTCTGTTTCTGGGCAGGCGCAGATGGGCCTGTTTCCTGGGTTTGCACTTAACACTCGGCCTGGGCCTCGCTGAGACGAGAGAGCTTAGTGAATGTGCTTGGGGCTGGGTCATGGGGCTCAGGACCCTGCTGAGTGACATCAGCCTGGTCCTGCCCTCCAGTCCACTTCTGGCCCCCAGCATTCCTGCCAACTCTCCTTTTGCAGAGAAGGGAATCCTCATTTGGGATTTCCTCCTTCCTGTGGGAAGGTGACGCTGGATAATTGATGTGGTGACTGTGGGTTCTCCGCACTGGGTGCTCCGAGTGCGGCAAACCAGTGGCCCTAGGCCGCACCTTCTGACCCCTGTTCTCCCCTCCCTTACAGCTCCTCAGCTCGCAGGCTCAGAGCCTGACACTGCTCACCACTGTGGCCATGCCAGTCTTCAGCAAGAAGAACGAAACGGTGAGTGGCCGCTCCTGGAGACGTTGTAGCAGGGATTAGAACCTGGGGCTTCAGTGCCATCTTTAGACCAGTGATTCTTGACTTGGCTGTGCCTCTGAGCCACCTTGGGAGGGTTTGAATGCAGATTTCCAGGCCTGTCCCAGAGTAGCTACCCCAGACTCTCCTGGTTGGAGGTGGGCTGGTGGTCTGTGCTTTTCCACAGCTTCCCCAGTGACTGCAGGCTGGCTGGGAGTAGCTTCACTGCTCTGCAGTTGGGACCCCTGCCTTGGGGATATAAGACCGGAGGGTTTCCCGTCAGCCTTCCTGCAAAGCCATGCTTAATCTGCCAGGTTGTGCAGACTCTAACTTGTCTGTAAAGGCCTCTGGTGAGGGGATTTCTTGAGCCTTCCATCCTCCATCAGGTCAGGAAATGTTTCATTACAGGCTCTGTATGCTTCAGAGCCCCCGTGAGTTATGGTCCCTGAGATCCCGATAACTTCGCCCTGTGCCGTGAAGATTAATATTTCATTTAACTTTGGATTCCATTTAAATATTACAACTTAAATATTAATACTGGGTATTAATCTTCCTAGCAGCTGGTTTTGCTCCTGGGACCTCGTCTGATAGAGTCTAGATTTTTATTCCCAGCCTAGAATCTAATTGCAGAGGAAGAACCACTTAAAGCCTAAGTGGCTTCCTCTTCCAGGCTCTGGACAGGCCCAGGGTCCAGTCTAACCTTGTACACAGGGAAGCTGGGTCTCCCCCACCCCTTGTGTCTTTCCTTCCAGCGATCCCATGGCATTCTCCTGGGTGTGGTGGGCTCAGATGTGGCCCTGAGAGAGCTGATGAAGCTGGCGCCCCGGTACAAGGTGAGCCTGGGTCTGTTCCCTGTGGGGATCACAGGTTCCCCAGGAGCAAACTCCCTCCCCCGTGATGGGAGCCTCTCTCCAGGCAAGCCAAGCCCAGAGCTGGGGTGGGGCCCCTCCATCACTGCCCAAGAAGTGCAGGTGCTGAGCAGGGGAGCAGCAACTGGTGCCCCTGGGTCCCTTTCCCACCACGAACTATGACTTGCTCTGTGGCCTTCAGTAAGTCCTTTCCCTGCCCAGTGTCTCAGTTTCTCAGTCTGCTCCTCCGTGCCACACAGTCCTGCTGTAAGGGTGAGTGAGATTACATCATCAAAGCACCCAGAACATGTGGTGGTAAAGAAGTCAGGTAATAATATGTATGATGACGGTTGCTATAAACAGTCCGGTTTGGAAAGGACTCCTCAATCAATGATGGAAGCATGGCACTGGCTCAGTTACGTTCCTATTGAAAACACTCACTGCTGTGAGCTGCCATCTTTGACCGTCCTGTGGCCCCCAAACCCCTGCCCAACTCCAGATGCCCAGCACAAACAGCAGGCCTAATGCGCCTCCACCCTGGACTCTGGCAGCTTGGAGTGCACGGATACGCCTTTCTGAACACCAACAATGGCTACATCCTCTCCCATCCCGACCTCCGGCCCCTGGTAGGTACAGATCTTCTTTGCCTTGGGATCCTTACTGTATGGGATTTGGGGGTAATTCACAAAAACGATTAAAACAACAAACACACATTGGGCTCCATTTAGGAACCCAGTGGGTAATATGAGAAAAAAAATGTATTCGAGTCATGGTCCCTGTTTTCAAGTTGTTTAGATTCTATCAGAAGAGACAAGGCAAAAACATGTGAAATGACTGATGAGTGGGCCAGAGAGCACGTAACGAAGTGTGCAGTTTTGAGGCTAAAGAGCCCGCAGGGCCATTATTCACATCTGCTTGGAGTCTCTCAGAACTCTGGGGGCCTGCGAAGTTGGGTGAACAAGGAGCTAAGCATGGAAATGGCAGGGGAGCCCTCTCCTGAGCAGCACACCTTAGGATGCATTCCTGAGTGCTCCTGGCCCTCCCAGCCCTCTTCACTGTGACACAGAGGCTGGGGTATTTTCACATGAGTTCAACTGAGCCTCTGATGGCTGAGGAAGAAAGTTGCATTGTCTTATCTGAAAGCTCTGCCTCCAGGAGCTAGTCATGCACTTGAGCACTATGCAGCAATAATGACCACAGCTCTCAGTGTGGCTGTTGGGACGGCGGGAGCTAAAGTCCTAGGAGAATCGTAGCCCTTTGCCCTCTACCAGTCTTATGGTGAATAACAGATGGCAACAGAGGACAGACAGCAGAGCACCTTCCGGAGAACTTAGGGCCTCATCTGCCCAGGTGTCATTTGGAGAGGTCAGTCTAAGCCACACTCCATTCATTCCATTTGGTTCAAATAGACACTGAATATCTGCAAGGCAATGATTAACTATTTAAGGCAAACTCTAGGGGTTCTGAATAGAGAGAGATCAGGGCACACTGGAAGCCACTCTGTTCATGCTGTCTTCCAAATCAGGCTCTGCTGGGCAAGCATCTGAGCCCATAACATGTCACTCCCTTGTACCAAGGGGTTCTGCGGGGGACAGCCCCAGTGCCAGCAGAATGACTCACTAGGGAAATAATATGCTGATTCTGGAGCTGACTTGTAGAATTGAGGGGTACTGATCATAAACTGCCTGTTACCATCTATGTACTCTAGACGAATATAAGGCTTCAACCAGTGGATTCACACTGTGGGCCTCCTCGTGCCTGACCTCACGATGCAGTGAAGAATGCTATAAACAGAGGCTTGTACTCTAATTAGGAAAACTAGACTTACACAAATGAAACAATTAGGGAATAATACCACACAGGACACGATTACAAAACAAAAGATATAGCAAAGCCAAAGTAATGAGTTATCTGAGGAAAGCACTATCAGGAAAACAATAGTTACGTTTGAAAAAGAAAAAATAACGAGGATATGCCCAGTAATAAATTAAAAGAGCCATGCCATTGGACTGAAATCTTTCCATGTCAGTGCCCCATGTAGGAGTATTTAATGGAGTAGAATTGCAGTTTTAAAATGAGGAGCTACAGATGATCTTCAGGCTTTGTCAGGATTTAGGAAATGGCAATGGAATGTTGAGCCCCACCCAAAGGAAACAGATCCCATGTAAAAGATGGCAGGACAGGGCTGTTTGATGAGTATGGTCATTAATAAGACCAAGAAGCATGATCCAGGCATGGGAAAGGAGGGAAAGAGGGGAAAGGGGATCCTACAGATCCCCTGAACAGGCAAGAAATCAGCACGACACTTCCCCGAAAAAAGTGAACAAACAAAAAACTGGCGGAAGCAAGATACACAGTGATAGGGGACCGGAGCTGTCCAGGCATCTGCTGGGGGCCTCATTTGGCTCAAAGCAGACATGTTAATTAATCCTTAATTTACCTCAATGATAAACTATCCTCTTTGCTTTTTTGATTGGGGTTAATAAACTAAACCCGGGAAGTGCTGCAGACCTAATCATAGATAACTTGGTGACATCTGTCTTGGCTTCAGAGAGAGAGAAGTCAGGGCCAGAAAATAATAACACTCAGCATGTTGATTAATGGCTGTATGTCAAGTTGAAGGGAGGTCTTTATTAAGCACTGATCTGTCCTTGTCTCCGTCCCATTCAAATATTTTATCCCTAAGATGAAAATGCAGAAGGCAGATGCCATAAAGTCTGGAAGGTATGGCTAATACATTAAATGAGAAAATTAGTATTCAGAAAGCAGTCTCCTAAAACAAAGGGGCTGAAACTAGCAAGATGAAATATATTAGGGATGCCTGGAGAGCTCTGCGAAATACTCAGTGCCCAAGCTTACGATTGTGAAGAGGGACCTGACAGTGTGTCCCATGAGGAAGACCAAGGGGACTGAACTGTCTGAAATCTCCGCCTGAACTGCCAGGTCAGTGCGGCTGGCCAGGAAAACAGCAGAACCGCAGGCAGCAGTCAGGGCCCCCTGACGCCTTAGTGCACAGATCACAGCCCACGCCACACTGGTCAGACCCCATTTGGAAGGTTGGCTTTTGTCCTGGGAACTCCATTTTGAGAGTGACATTGAAGACAAAGTACAACATATTCAGAGGGAGCTGAGGCACCTGCACACCGGGCAAACTCAGTTGGAGCAGTGAAGTCTTAGGCGTGACAAGTATCTTTGGAAATCCCAGGGGCTGTCAGGTGGAACACATTCTATGCAGCTCCAGGGGAAAGAAGGAAGATCAGTGGATGGAAGTAACAGGGAGATGGATTTCAGCTTTGTGTGAGGAGGAACTTTCTAACAATTAGGGCTATCCAAAGCTCCAACAAGCTGACCCACGAGATAGGGAGCTCCCTGCCATGGGGAAGATTCACTCAGAGGCCGTGAGACCATCTGTCATAGATGTCAGTAAGGGGAGCTCTGTATCAGGTGGAATTTGCCCAGATAACCTTAAGTAATTACTGGATTGATTGATTTCTAAGGAATCCTTTGCTTTTATGAATATACCTGAAAGGCTTTGTAGAAGAGATAAACTTGAGCAGGACGTATACTGACCACATGTTTTTCTTCCTGACCTGCCCACTCCAGTACAGAGAGGGGAAGAAACTAAAACCCAAACCTAACTACAACAGTGTGGATCTCTCCGAAGTGGAGTGGGAAGACCAGGCTGAATCTGTGAGTGGGGAAAATAGGGGGAAGGGAAGCTAGTTAGGCTCTACATCCAACTAAATGGGTCAGCTGTGTGGCTGTGAGCTTTGAGGTCACTCTGTTCCTGTCAGGCAGAACAGGTTCATCCCAGAGCCTTTCCAAGCTCAAGCCACAAGCAATGCCTAAAATGAGCAATTCTTTTAACAACTATAAAAATATAACAATATCTTCTTGAATCACAAGGACTACTGAGGCTGGATGAGATCATGTGTATAAGCTGCAGAGTCTGAGTTTTAGTGATGTTTTAGCCTGGCTTTTGATTGCAATATCTCGTCCTAGAGGAAATTATGTCCCAGCAACTTGGCACTCTGTACCCCAATGCATCAGTGCACATGGGAGTGGGATCTTGGTGAATGCCTGGAATTATGAGCTAGATGGAGCTTAGAGTCAGGTCCATCTTCCCTCCTGGTATCTCTCTCAGAGGAAAAAGGGAAGAACCAAAAGTGTTTCTGGGGATCACCTCTAATCTGGTCTGAAGAATGCCATACTTTCACCATCCCCTGTGAGCCAAGGAACTAATGCCATTGTCTTTCCTCCTGAAGCTGAGAACAGCCATGATCAATAGGGAAACAGGTACTCTCTCGATGGATGTGAAGGTTCCGATGGATAAAGGGGTAAGGAGCTAGAAACAGCCAGGGCATGGCCTAGGAAGGCATCTTCATTAATTGGGTTTGGAGTAGTGACGAGGGACCTGGACTTAGCCTAATTATAGCTGAAGAGTTGAGTGCTTGCTGCACCTAGAGGGTCCATTAGGGAGTATACGCAGGGTGCATTGGCCCTGGAGAAACACCTAGCCAGGGAATGACAGGATTGCTCATGCAATGCTTGGCTTTTGGGAGACCGCTGAGCTGGGGAGAAAGCTGGCCAAGGCATTTACAGCTCTTCTTTCCTCCTTATGCTGCCTGCTACTGGCCCTTTTGTTGTTTATAATGAAAAGGGGAAACGTGACAGCTGATTTTGTAAATGGTAAGCAGCTCTTGTGAAGTGTTATACAGGAAGAGATTGAAATATTCACTATTCCCTACAGCTGATTTTCATCCACTGTCATTCCCAGATAGTTAGGAATCAATGCCCTCACTAATCCCATTACTATCTTTACAACCATGTGCATCGTTTATAAAAGATCATTTCATCTTCTCACTTAAAAGGTTCCAATGTGTCTACTGATTCTGCATTGTCCCTTGACATATTTACAAATGTCACCTCCTCCCTCACAGCCACCCCCACCTCCTCCTCCCCTGCCCATCTGCCTCAGCTGAAAGAGCACAGGCATCTGCCTGCAGCAATTAGACCCAAGTTCTTCCACAACACAGACCTCCATGAAAGCCAAACAAGAAAGCACAGGGAGAGACAAGGAAGCATCCCTTTTAGGCCAGACTGATTTTCACTGGGACCAGTGTCTGATTTTGGTGGCATCTGCCTGGCTTTTTGTAAGCTCTGGGCTGAGAAAGGCCTCCTGCAGGCAGACTGGGCACTATAGTGAGGTCAGACCACCAGTGGCAGCTGTTCCTTCTCCTGATCCAAAAGAACAGAGGCTTCTTCCACAGGCACCCACCTTTATCCCAACCAGATTCCTGATCACATGCACAGATGAGCTCTCATGGAGCCCAGCACGGCCACAGCACTGAACTGACAATGAAGAATTTAGTCTGCTTATGGCACAGGACAGCTTAAAGGTAGATCTGAATGTGGCTATACTGTATCTAATACAGACTGACACATGCAGTGGGTGTGGTTCTCTTCTACCCTTTCCCCCAGTGCCCAGGAATCTCGTGCTGCTTTTATGCTTCTCAGAGCCACTGAGGCAGAGTCCTAACCAAATGCAGTAGGCTGAACTTCTGAAACCTCTGCCCATCCTTTCAAAGTTTGTTCATTGCTACTAATAGACCATCTGGGTTACATATTTGCAATTTCGCAAAGGCTTCCTGATATACGGGTGCTTCAACATAAAGAACGTTCAATGAGGATGACGACGATCATGACCATAATGGACGTTCCATGGCACTTAGGGGTTCATGTCTTACTACTATTAGTACAGCTAATAATAATGATGGAAACTAACATTTATAAGAAACTGGGCTGGGCGCTGTCAAGTATTCACTCATTGAACACTCACAACCTGAGGGTGGGCCTATCCTATCCCCATTTGACAGATGAGGATATTCAGAGAGGCTAAAAACTTGCCCAGGGTCACCCAGATGATCAACTGCAAAGCCCATGTGTAACTGCTCCGAGATCTCCCATTCGTAACCACTGCTCTAGAAGGCCTTTTCTGTAGGACTGGCCCTGAATTCTCAACTCTCCAGCCTTAAAGGTTTCCCAGAGTTTGCTTTAGCATAGCATTTCTATTCCACCTTGAACACTCATCGCCTTCTCCTCTCCCTCTACCCCATTCTATCACCACACAGTCCTCCTTCATCCTCCATCTCTTCACCCTGACCCCAGGAGCCTGGCAGCCTCCACTCTGTGCAGGGCATTTTGCTGGTGTGGGGCCGCCGAGGCAGTGTCTGGCTCTCACTGCTCTGATGTCTTAGGCTGCCACTCATCCCCAAAGTGGCTGCGTTTTCTTCACTGCCAAAGGCCCTGTCTCCTCCACACAGCTCTCACAGAGCCATCCAACCGCCCCATGGTCGGCCTGCCTGCTGATCTATCCCAGCCCTCCCTCTCAGCTCAGTGGTGTGTCTCAACTTACGAGCTGGTTTCTCAGTAGAAACCGTCTCCAGGTCTAGGTCTAGGCTGAGGAAAGCTTTCTAAAAGCCTTGTGGGAATAACTGTTACTGTTCGAGCCATCTCCCGGTACAGGACCGCCTGCCGTGTTGTTTTCTCCAGGGGATTTTATAGGTATCCTTATTTTCCACACGTCAACAGCATGATTTAAGGCAGGACTCACAAACCCAGAAACCTATGGGGCCAAACTTGTATTTGTTAATAAACACGAGTAAGAGAAGCAGACAGGCCTCCGTGCAGGGGGCTCTGGGAACTGTGGCAGATGAGAGAACACACACCATCTGCAGGAGACGGCTAAGACCCATGTTTGAAACATGTGCAACTCATTCCAAAAATGTTAAAAACACAACCTGGGCCAACATCTAGGATGTTAAACTCGTAAGAAGCCCAGTTTTGGCTGGCGGGCCTCCCATTTGCCACTTTGATGGCAGGGGTTTTGTCCCAAATTGCAGACCAGTAACAGGTGCCACAATTTCTAACCCATCAGCAGCATGCTGGCCAGACACCCTCAGACACAAGTTTAAAAGAAGAAAGCAGAAGAGCAAAGTGTCCTGGAGTCTAACCTAGGAGTCGTTCTGTCATTCTCGTTTTTGATCATTTCAAACAATAATTAGCAATGGGGGAGGGAAGGGGCAGACAGAGTGTTCCTTCCTAGCCTCTGGGTTCTTCCAAATTAACTGCACTGACTGGAGTCCACGCATGAATATGCACACACAGCAGCAGCACACATGTACATATACCAGCAGCACACGTGTATTGTACACACATGCCAGTTGCATACACGTGTACACACACACCAGCAGCACATGTGTACACACATACCAGCAGCACACACGTGTACACACACCAGTAACACGCGTGTACACATGCACACACGAGCGGCATACATGTGTACACACATACACCAGCAACACACACGTACACACACCAGCACACACGTGTACACACGCACACATCAGTGGCACACATGTACACACACACCAGCAACACACACATGTACATATGCACACACTAGCAGCACACACGTGTACACACACACCAGCAACATACAGGTGTACACACACCAGTGGCACACATTTGTACACACACCAGCAGCACGTGTACACACACACCAGCAGCACACACATGTACACACACCAGCAACACACGTGTACACATGCACACACTAGCAGCACACACGTATACACACACACCAGCAACATACAGGTGTACACACACACCAGTGGCACACATTTGTACACACACCAGCAGCACATGTGTACACACACATACCAGAAGCACACACATGTACACACACCAGCAACACGTGTACACAGGCACACACCAGCAGCACACATGTGTACACACACACCAGCAACACACGTGTACATATGCACACAACAGCAGCACACACGTACACACACACCAGCAACACGTGCGTACACACCACCAGCAACACACACGTATACACACACACACCAGCGGCTGGCATTCAGAGCAGCTTTGCCTCGTGTTCCTCCAGTGCCCTTGAATCCCTGCACCCTGGATTTCAGGAACACAGGGCTAGAGTACTCTGTGACGTGCTCTTACACTGTCTTTCTCTCTCTCTCTTCCCCTCACATTTTTGTCCGGCAGAAGGAGTCAGTGTATTAAAGGAGCAGATTGCTCAGATACCTCTTTACTCCCAGCCTCGTCTTCCAGACCTCTCGCGCTCTCTCTTTCTGTTAACAGAATTCACAGACCCCCTCCCAACCCCCCACACCCCTTCTCTCTTCCTTTTACTTCAGCCTTAAAAGGTGATCTCAAAGTTCATTTGAGTAAGGTGTAGCTTGACTAGACTCACCCTTCAGCAGATAACAATTATAAACTCTGAACAAAATACAAAAAACAAAAACGGAAAGGCACTTGAAAGCGACCAAAAGCAGGCAGCAACAACCCTTGAATCAAGAGAACTGCATTGGGTGTGATATGCGTTTTGATGGCTCTTTTTCCCAAAGGGCACTCCCCAGTCTGTCTGGAGCGCAACAGCTAGAATTCAAGCAGAAGGCTGCAAGGTTGTCACCGTGAAGTGTCAGAGAACAGAATTTGCATTTCCAGAGTGTCTGGAAATGAGGAGGGCTAGCCCAGAAGCAGCGAGCCACAGGGAGGCTAGACCCCAAATCTGTTTACAAACTCCTCTGAAATTCCTGGCTGACTCCTGAGCCCTGCAGACACAGGGAAGCCTCGAGGTGCCCCAGTGGAATGCAACACGGAAAGCCGAAAGCAGGATTCCAGAGCAGGATCTCAACACGGGATCTCAGCTTTTGCACGTGTAGTAGGGACAGTTTGGAGTGTGAGTCACACAGAGGTGGAGGGGCTTGGTAAACACCTCAGGATTTCCTTTGAAAGCACAGAAGAACTACACCTTAGGAGTAAAGACTGTCCCACGACCAAGAGATTCGCCCTAGGCCTAAAGACAAAGCTGAGACAGACCCACCCAAACAAAATGTGAATTCAAGCCTCTATATGCTCAGTTCTTATCAACCCATCATTTAACTACTGCTTAATACAAAAACACCTTCAAAGGAAGACAAGAGTATCTACAGCCTACCCCTCAAATATCCAGTATATAATAAAAAGTGTTATGACCCAGCTGTTAGAATTAGAATGACTTTAGTGCAGACATTGTAACTGTGTAAAGGAAAAGATGTTCATAATGAGGGAACAGATGGAGAATCTCAGCGGAGAAATGGTTAGGGCTTGGTCAAAGAACAGAGCCCCTGGGAGTGATAGAATGTAGGATTTTATCGTAGGGATTAGACCTTATGAAACTGTGGGAGCTGTTTATGAAATCTATGGAAAGCTGGTGTCTGCATCCAATGGTGAGCTTGAAGTCATTGTAGGTCAGCATGACCAGCAGTTGGGAAGGAAAGCTGGATGAGATGTGGAAGAAAGCAAGAACGAACTGGAACTCAAGAGGAAAAACAGGAATCCGTGAAAACAAACTGAAACCCACATCTGTCACTCACCAACTCTACCCATCAGGATGGCAGATGACCCGCAGACGGAGCCAGTGCCTTCCATGAGGAGCTGCATCCTCACCAGGTTAGGTCTCAGGGAAACTGAAGGAGGAGAGCCAGCAGCAGCGGGTGGCTTTGAATCTGGCTTCGGCCCATGCCTAGAAAGCACGACGGTAGGTTACAGCAAAGAGTGGCAGAGCCTGGTATTCTGTGCGGACTTCAGTGTGCAAAACGGCTACTGCTGCACTTCTGTCTGCAAATCTCACACACACTTCTCTTTGGCTGACCCTGACTCGAAACCACACTGGGCATTGAGTCTGGAAGTGTAGTTCCAGCTTAGCTAATTTGACACAGTACAAAATCATTATAAGAACCAAACAGGAATTTTTTTCTTGCTTTAGACCTGCTTTTCGATTGTATATATTTAAGGTGCACAACGTGATGCGCAGTCATCCCTCAGCATCCATGGGGATTGGACCAGGACACCCCAAAGATACCAAAATCCATGGATGCCCCAGTCCCTTCTATTAAATGGTGTAGATTTATGTGTAATCTACACAGTCTTCCCTAATACGTTAAATCATCTCCAGATTACTTATAAAACCTAATACAGTGTAATTGCTATATAAATAGCTACACTGTATTGTTTAAGGGATAATGACAGAAAAAGTCTGTACATATTCAGTACAGATGCAACTATCCTTTTTTCTGGAATACTTTTTGATCCACAGTTGATCGAATCCAGGGATGTGGAACCTGTGGATATGGGAGGACCAACTGTACTTATCTTGATATACAAAGTGAAGTGAAGGGATGACTACAGTCAAGCAAATTAGCATACCCATCATCTCATATAGTTACCTTTGCTTTAGCCTGTGTGTGGTAAGGACACCTAAACTCTGTGCTCTTGGCCAGTTTCCAGTGTACAATACAATACAATACAATGAACTCTAGTCCTCATGTTGTACATTAGAGCTCTAGCCTTAGTCATCCTAGATAATCACAACATGGTACCTTTTGACCAACGTTTTCTCATTCCCCACCTCCCACCGTGCCTTCCCCTGCTGCTAGTAACCACCATTTTTCTCTGTTTCTATGTATTCCATTTTTATTTTAGATTCCACATATAAGTGAGATCACGCAGCATTTTTTTCTGTGTCTGGCTAATTTCACGTAGCATAATGTCCTCTAGGTTCATCCATGTTGTAGCAAATGGCAGAATCTCCTTCTTTGTTAAGGCTGAATAATATTCCTCTGTATTTATAAGCACTACAATTTCTTTATGCATCCATCAACAGATACTTCAGTTGTTTCAATATCTTGGCTATCAATGGTGCAATGAACATGGAAGTGCAGGTATCTTTATGAGGTGGTGATGTCCTTTCCCTTGGGTATATACATGGAAGTGGGACTCCTGGGTCACATGGCAGTTCTACTTTTCATTTCTTTAGGCTCCTCCATATTGTTTTCCACAGTGGTTGCACCAACCTACATTCCCACCAACAGTGTACAAAGGTTCCCCTTTCTTCACACCCTTGTCTACACTTATTTCTTGTCTTTTTGGTAGAAGCTATCCTAAGAGGTATGAGGTGGCATCTCATTGTGGTTTGGGTTTGCATTTCTCTGATGATCAATGATGTTGAGCAGCTTTTCAAATATCTGTTGGCCATTTTATGTCTTCTTTTGAGAAAGGTCTATTCAGGTCCATATTTAAATCAGATTATTTGGATGTGTGGGGTGGTGGTGTTGTTTTTTGGTTTTTTTGCTGTTGAGTTGTGTGGGTTCCTTATATATTTCGGATATTATAAAATATTTGCAAACCATATATTTTATAAGATTTTTATGTCCCTTATAAAATGTGCAAATATTTTCTCCCAATCCATAGGTTGCCATTTCATTTTATTGATTGTTTGCTATGCAGAAGGTATTAGTCACTTTTTATTTTAGCTGTTGTTTCTTATGCTTCCAAATGAAAATTTTAAAACCAAAAAGTACCGTATCTGAAACGAAAGCTTTACTGGATAGGCTTCCCAGCAGGTTGTAGAATAAAGGGACAGTGAACTTAAAGATGGATCAGTAGAAATTATCCAATTTAAAAACCAGGGGGAAAATGGGGAAAAAGACAGAGAAAGAAACAGAACTTCAGCAACCTGTGAGATGGTATCAAGTGGTCTAATTACATGTTCTTGGAGCCCTAGAAGGTAAGGAGAAAAACTCAAGCAGAAAAAAAGCATATTTGAAAAACTAATTGTCAAAAATGTCCTGAATTTGACATAAAACAGCAATCTACAGATCCAAGAATCTCAGCAAACCCCAAGCAGGATAAAAAGACAAAGAGAACCACATCTGGGTACTTCATAGTCCAGCTACTAAAATCCAAAGGTAAGAGAAAATCTTCAAAAAAGCTAAAGGAAAAAAGATGCATTACATAAAGGGAAACAATAAGACTGCTGTATATAAGAACCAACAAAATAACATCGTTAAAGTGCCAAGAGAAGAAAAAACTGTCTACTCAAATTTCTGTAGAAAGAGAAAATACACTTCAAAAATAAGGATAATGTCTTCGGTAAGGACATTTTCAGGCCGGGGCAGTAGCTCACACCTGTAATCCCAGCGTTTTGGGAGGCCAAGGAAGGAGGATCACTTGAGCCCAGGAGTTCGTGACCAGCCTGGACAACATAGGGAGACCCCATCTCTACAAAAAAATACAAAAAAAAAAAAAAAATTAGCCAGGTGTGGTGGCATGCACTTGTAGTCCCACCTACTCAGGAGATTGAGGCGGGAGAATCACTTGAGCCCAGGAGGTTGAGGCTGCAATGAGCTGTGATCATGCCACTGCACTCCAGCTTGGGCAACAGAGTGAGACTATGTCTCCAAAACAAACAACAAAAAAAGACATTTTCAGATAGAAGGAAACAGAGGTTTCATTATTATCAAGACCAGCAGCAAAAATGCTTCAGAAAATTCTTTAGGCTGAAATAAAGTGACATCAACTGCAGGTCTACAGGACAGAATCAACCATACTGGAAATGATAAATAATGTGGGTTAATAAAAGACTATATTTTATTTATTCTCTTAATTTCTCAAAAAGACAACTGACTATTTAAAGCAAAAGTTTCGATGTTGCATTGTGGGGTTTGTAATATATGTAAGTGTAAATTATATGGCAACAATAGCACATAGCAGAGTTATCTCAAAAATTTAAAGTTAATTTAACATTGAAAAAATTAATCAGTCAGTGCAATTTATTACATTAACAGAATAAAAAAGAAAAGATAGAGGGTAATCTCAATAGATGCTAAAAGAGCATTTGACAAAATTTAAGAACAGAAAGAAACTTCTTCCCTCTGATGAAAGGCACCTATGAAAAACCTGGAGCTAACTTTTGATGGTAAAATATTGAACACTCTCACCCTAAAATTGAGAACAAGGCAAGGAGGACTTCTCACCACTTCTATTCAGCCTTGCACTGTAGGTCCCAGCCCCTGCAGTAAGGCAAGAAAACAAAATAAAAGGCACAAAGACAAGGAAGGAAGAAGTAAAACTGCCTTCATTCAGGGACAAAATTATTGTTTCCATAGAACATCCCAAGAATCTACAAAACAAACACTAGAACTAATAGGTAAGTTTAGCAAGTTCAGAGAACACGATTTTATAAAAATTAATGTTATTTGCATATATAGCAGCAAACAGAAAATGGAATATTTTTGGTCCAGGAACGCCACCGTCCTTCAGGCCAGCGCCCCGCAACCGCCTCCCCGCGCCCCGGTTCCCCACACACCGGCTCCCCTCGCGCCTGCCGCCCGGGCTGCATCTGGTGGAGCCCCCGGCTGCCCCTGGTGCTGCTGCTGCTGCTGGGCCTCGTGCGTGGTGCAGCCGCAGCGGATGCGGTGAAAAAGGGCAACGGGACAGCCTGCGTAATGGCCAGCTTCGCTGCCTTCTCGATGAACTACGACTCTAAGAGTGGCTCTAAGAATGTGACCTTTGACCTGCCATCCAATGCGGAAGTGCTTGACAGTGGCTCTTGCAGTAAAGAGAACACTTCCGACCCCAGGCACGCGATTGTGCTTTGGAGGAAGACAGACACTGACCTTCCATTTCACAAGAAGTGCGACACGTGACAGCGTCCAGCTCATGAGTTTTGTTTACAACTTGTCAGACACACACATTTTCCTCAGTGCAAGCTCCAAGGAAATCAGGACTGTGGAATCTCTACCAGATATCAAGGCCCCCAGGTCCGCACGAACAGCGAGACCATCAGGCTCCGCGGTGCCCCGATCCAGGCCTAGATTTCCAACAGCAGCTTCAGCAAGGGAGAGACGCGCCACGAGCAAGACGCGCCTTCCCCGCCACGGCGCCGAGAGCCCCTTCTCCCCTCCGTGGCCAGGTACAGCGTGAGCGGCACCCACGGGGCCTGCCTGCCGGCCAGCGCGGGACTGCAGCTGAACCTCACCCAGAGAGGAGGGACCACGCGACGGTGACCTGGGCATGACCTCAGCCAGCGGGAGCGCGGCGCCCACCTGGAGACCCGGGAGCGGCGCGGCGAGGGCACCACGGTCCTGGGCTTCCGGTTGGGGATGAATGCAGGTTCTAGCCGGATTTTCCTACGAGGAATCCAGCTGAATACGACTCTTCCTGACCCCAGAGACCCCACTTTTAAAGCTGCCAACGACTCCCTGCGAGCATTGCGGGCAGCCATCGGCAATTCTACAGCCGGAGCGGAGCGTGTCCGCGGCACGAAGGCGTTTTCAATCAACATATTCCCAGTGTGGGGCCAGGCTTTCAAGGTGGAAGGCAACCAGTTCGGATCTGCGGAGGAGCGTCTGCTGGGCGAGAACAACACGCCGATCCCCATCGCCGTCGGCGGCGCCCTGGTGGGACTGGGCCTCCTCGTTCTCATCGCCCACCTTGTCGGCAGGAAGAGGAGTCACCCGCACGGCAGCAGGCACAGAGCTGCTGGGGTCTCTGTTCATCCCCCTGGGCTTAGGGTCCTGAGACAGAGGCACACTTTCTGGCAAACATTTCTCAAATGTGCTTCATCAAATGGGATGTTCATCTTGCAGCATTTGCCATACACGGCAGAGTAACTATGGAAATGACGGTGTTAATTTTGCTAACTGGGTTAAATATTTTGCCAACTGGTTAAACATTCGTATTTACCAAAATAGAACTCTAAGGGACGGTGGTAGTGCTTCTCAACATTGGCACTGGCTCCATTGTCATTCGACTTTAAAATGTCCGGGGTTGGTTTCCTCATTCTTTGCTGCACTCAGATTTAAGCCTTACAAAGGGAGAGTCTCCGGCCTTCACGCTTAGGAGCCTGAAGGTCGGCTCACCGTTAGGCTGACATGCTCATGAAATTACAAACAGTAGAGAGGGAAAATCCTAAGACAGAAGAACTCCAAAGATAAACGGGCCTGGCCGCCTTTTAAAGATGAGCGGAAGCACTCCAGACATTTGTCTTTGGACGGGATGGGCCCGGCCACTCACGGCTGGCGGCCACGTTCCAGCGAAGGCACCTGGTGGCATGTCCTCCCGCATTTCCGAAACTCTGCTGCTCAAGGGCTGGCACTTTTTAAAATATGAAAATGGGTGTTATTATTTTTTTTTTTTTGTAAAGTGATTTTCAGTCTTCTGTTGACATTCAGGGTGATCCTGTTTCTGCGCTGTGTACAATATTAGATAGATATTATCTACTGATGTGTCTGCTGTGGCTTGGGATGGTTGTACACAGGACCAGCTCACATAATGCATTGCCTGTAACAATGCTAACGAAAAGTGTCTTTCTCCAAAAAGAAAGAAAATGAAATATTTTAAAGTTCCAATGACAATAGCATCAAATAACATAAAATACTTAGGAATAAATTTAACAAACGTATATATGACCTCTACACTGAAAACTACAAAACATTGCGGAAAGAATATCAAAGAAAAAAGTAAATATAGAAAGATATAACTCTGTTTATGGGTTAAGATCAGTATTGTTAACACATTCATTCTCCCCAAATTGATTTATAGATTCAACGCAATCCGATCAAAATTTGAACAGACTCCTAGAAACAGACAAGCTGGTTCTAAAATTTATATGAAAATGCAGAGGACCTAGAATAGGCAAAATTATCTTGAAATAGAAGAACAAATTTGGACAATTCACAGTATCTGATTTCAAAACTTACTATAAAGCTACAATAACCAAGCTGGGTGGTATTGACCAAAGAATAGACAAATGGGTCAATGACCTGAATAGAGAACCCAGAAATAGCCCACACATATATTATCAATTGATTTTTCAATCAAGACACCTTGGAGTGTCATTGGAGCAAGGCAATCTTTTCAACAGATGGTCCTAGAACAACTGAATAAATGTATGGGGGAGGGGAAACATTGAGCCATAGCTCATACCACATACAAAAACTAATTGGATGAATCATAACCTTCAATGTAAAAGCTAAAACTGTAAAGCTTTTACAAGAAAAAATAGGGGAAAATCTTCTCAACCTGAGGATATGCAAAGATTTCCTAGGCAAAAACACAGAAAGCACTAAACATGAAATAAAATCTGATAAACTAGACTTCATTGAAAGTAAAAGTTCTGCTCCTCAAAAGGCACCAGTAAGAAAATGAAAAAGCAGGCAGACTTGTATCCAAAATACATAAAGAACTCCTACAAAGCAATAACAAAAAGACTAAAGCCAAATAAAAAATGCTCAGAGCACTGAGCAGACACTTCGTAAAGGAAGCTGTGCAAGGATGCTCAACATTAGTCATCAGAGAAATGCAAATCAAAACTACAAGACTTAGCCGGGCACGGTGGCTCATCCCTCTAATCCCAACACTTCGGGAGGCCGAGGTAAGCAGGTCGCTTGAGGCCAGGAGTTCAAGACCAGCCTGGCCAACATAATGAAACCCCGTCTCTACTAAAAATACAAAAATTAGCTGGGCATGGTGGTGTGTGCCTGTGGTGCCAGCTACTCAAGGGCTAAGGCATGAGAATTGCTTGAACCCGGGAAGCTGAGGCTGCAGTGAGACAGCCTGGCGACAGAGTGAGACTCTGTCAAAACAAAACAAAACAAAACAAAAACCAAAAAACTGCAAGATTCTCTATAGTGGCTAAAATTTAAAAGACTAATAACACCAAATACTGGCAGCGCTGTGGAGAAATTGGAACTCTCAGACATTGCTAATAGGAGCATAAAATGGCAAAACACCTTTGGGAAATTGGCAGTTGTCTTATAAAGGTAAACATACATTTACCATGTGATCCAGATTCCATTCCTAGATTTTTACCAAGAGAAATGCAAACACATGTCCCAGGATATTTATGGTAGCTTTATTCACTATAGCCCCAAAGGAGGAACAACTGAAATATACCAAAATATCCATCAATCGATGAGCGTAGAAGCATACTGGGCCGTGTCCACACACTGCGATACTACTCAGCAGCAGAAAGGAACAAACTACTGGACGGACAGCAATATAGACGGACGCTGAAAACATTATTTTGAACAAAAGAAGCCAGACGCAGTTTTTGTGTGTGTCATACTATAAGAACAGGCAAAACCAATCTATGGTGACAGAATCCAGAACAGAGTTTGCCTGTGAAGGAGTGGGATGGGATGGACCAGAAGGGGTAGGCAGAGAGACTGGAGAGGCTGTTCTGTACCTTGACAGGTTGGTAATCACAGGGCTGGATACATGTATCGAAGCTAATTAGGTAATACATGGAAGATCTGTGCATCCACCCTTTCCTTCAATTAAAAAAAAAGATAGGCCGAGCATGGTGGCTCACGCCTGTAATCCCACCACTTTGGGAGGCCGAGGCAGGTGGATCACCTGAGGTCAGGAGTTTGAGATCATCCTGGCCAACATGGTGAAACCCCGTCTCTACTAATAATACAAAAATTAACTGGGTGTGGTGGCGTGTGCCTGTAATCCCAGCTACTCTGGGGGCTGAGGTGGGAGAATTGCTTGAACCCAGGAGGCGGAGGTTGCAATGAGTCAAGATCACGCCATTGCACTCCAGCCTAGGTGACAAGAGGGAGACTCCATCTCAAAAAAAAAAAAAGAGTAAAAATAAAAAAATGATCTCCAGTTCTGACACTCCAGCCAGCTGCTCCTTGGAGCACAGGGCACCCAACTCCCCCAAGACATCTTCCAGGACATCCCACGACCGCTGCAATAGAGAGAAGCTACAGAGAGGGTCTGACTGGGCAGAGGAGCCAGAGGGCATGACCAGGGGATGGGTCCAGTTTTGTGAAAGGTGCATTCTGATTTGGCATAAAGCCAGTTTCCTAGAGAAAGCAAGGCTTTTGTTGCCGTCCTCTCTCTCTGTGTCCCTTCTGACACCTCGCTCCAGTTTCCAAAATCAAAGAAGGAAAGTCAGAAAGAAGTAAAGGGAATAAGAACAAGTCCTGGGCCAACTGCAAAATGTGGCTTTCCCAATGACATGAACTTGTGTGGTGGACAGGACAATCCACAGAACCTCAGCACCCCGAATGCACCCTCACGGCAGCCTCGTGCAAGAGAGGCCGTGGACAATCCTGATTTACAAATGAGAACTCGAAGTGAAGTAACTTGCTCAAGAGCACACAGGTCGAAAGTGGCTGAGCTGGGCTTCAATCCTGGTTCATCTAAGCCCAGCCATGCCCTTAGCCACTTTTGTACTACATGATGCCCTAGTTTATACAAAGTAAACCAAGGCTAAAAGATGGCAGCTTAGAAAGGAAAAGGAAGTTGTGAAAGGGTCCCGTGGCCCGGGCATGGATGACAGTGGAGGGAGAATGGTGCACCCCTTCTCCCTGGGTGTCTTTGAGGGCGAGGAGGTTTAAGTGGATTGTGTATGTATACATGGGCTCCAGAAGTTCTTAGCACACACTGACAGCCCCAACCTCAACCCTCTAGGAACCATAGAGTCATGGTCTACATCAGCACTGCCCAATATAGCCGCTAGCCACATGTGCTAACTAAGTTTAAATTTATGCCAACTAAAATCTGAAAATTCAGTTCCTTGGCCACACATTTCAAGTGCTCAGTGCTGCTTAGGGGCTATCGTGATGGGCAGTGCAGGTCCAGACCTTGATCCTGAAATCCAGGCCACGCCCCAAAGGGCTGCAGTTTGCTGCACCTAGAGAGGATCTGCCTATGGGTGTCACTAGGATGAGGTGTGTAGGGGCTGGTCAGGGAGGAGACAAGAAGGCGGAGGGACTGTACAGTGACGATGAAGACCCCAAGAGCCCTGGGGGCGAGGTGGGGGCTGGGGGCCGCTCTTCTCTGCGTGAGCACTCTTTCCTTGTCTACTCTTTCAGAAGCGAGTTCTTTTCCTGACCAATGACTACTTCTTCACGGACATCAGCGACACCCCTTTCAGGTGAGGGACACAGGCTTTATTTGCACGGGGTGAGGGTTGAACATGAATACCAGCAACTCATATTTAGTTGGCAATTTTGTGGTAATAGCAAAAGACCCAGGTCAGCATCCAGGAAACTTGAGGTGTAGACCTGCTTTGCCAGTGTAGCCTAGAATGCAGGTTCCAGAGCCAAACTGCCTGGACGTGAACCCCAGCTCTACCATTTACAGGCTGTGTAAACTTGGTCAAGTGTATGTCCTGTGCTATGCTCCTGTGGGCCCCAGGCAAGCCCCGCCCCTTCAGATGCTGTTGTTATTTCACTGCTCATCAGCGTCCAGCAGCCAAGCTGCCTTAACAGGTCATTTCCCCGAGGGCGGTTAGCCCTGTCTCTGAGAAGAGGCTCTGAGGTCCAGCACTCCCTGCTTTACTGATGCGTCACCTCTGCCTCCTACAACTCTGTTAACAGGTCTTTGAGTTTCACTTAACTTCTCTGTGCCTTAGATTTCGATCTGTAAAATGGGGGTGACAATAACTGCTGCTTTTTGGTGATGTTGTGAAGATTAAGTGATATCATCCAGTTAAGATCCTAAAGCAGTGAGAAGAGCAAATTGGAAGATCTCAGGTTCCGTGCAACTGTAGAAATATTTGGCTCTAGGTATTAGGCAGATTAGAAAACAAGTGGTCGTTACCTCTGAATTATCTGATTTCTCCGTAAAGCCCTGGTTCCCAGCCCTGACTGCTCATTGGAATACCTGAGGAATTATGTGAAGTTGCCACTGCCCAGGCTTCATCCAAAACCAGTTTTTTTTGAGACAGGATCTCACCCCGTCTCCTAGGCTGAAGTGCCGTGGCACAAACAGCTTACTACAGCCTCCACCTCCCGGGCTCAAGCGATCCTCCCACCTCAGCCTCCCGAGTACCTGGGACAGTACAGGAGCGTGCCACCACACCCCATTAATTTTTTGATTAAAAAAAAAATTTTAGAGCTGGGGTCTCGCTGTGTTGCCCAGGCTGGCCAGACCAATTTAATCACAATTTCTGGGGGTAGAGCCCATGCACTTGCATCTTTTAAAGTTCCCCAAGAAAGTCAGATATTCAGCCAAGGCTCAAAACTGATGTTCAGCCAAGGAGAGGAAGGCACAGCAGGACTCACCGGGTAGGAAAAGGAGCTCCTGTTTGTGGGACCCCCTGTGAAACAGAGAGACTGTTCTACATTTTAGGGGATGCCTGTGAGTTTCAGGGTGTCCCTTGATGAAAATGGGAGCTGAGAGGGCTCTTGGTCTACAGAATGGCCAGGGTCCTGCTTAGGAAGGAAGGCTTCTGGGAAATTGGAAGCACCGCCTCCGTTCTGGAGGGGATGGCTGTGAGGCCAGAGGTAAAGAAGGGGGCATGAGGAGCACACCACTCGTCGTGGGTACAAAAAGCCCATACACCTAGTGTTGGTAAGGGCAAGGACGAGGCCCGGGAGACAGGCCGGCATCTGCTGCTGCTGAATGAGTGCCTTCTCTTCTCTCCCCACAGTTTGGGGGTGGTGCTGTCCCGGGGCCACGGAGAATACATCCTTCTGGGGAACACGTCTGTGGAAGAAGGTGGGTCGGTACCAGGGGCTGAGGGACAGTTAAGCAGAAAATAATGGGCTCTCATGGGACACTGGGCAGGGCCAACCCCAACCAGAGCCAGTGTGACAGCCTCCCAGCTCCCAGGCTCCAGAGCAGCCTCTCAGAACAATGCTGCCAGGTGGAGAGGGGCGTGTGTGTCCCTGGCTCCCAGGGCATGCAGGATCTGTGGGTCTGTCGTCAAACCAGCAGAGCCTGAGACCTGCCAACCGCACTGCTAGTTTCCGGGAGGCCTTGCTGGACTAGAAGGACCGTCAAGGCAGTATGTTTTTTAAACAAAGCTCAAAGCTGAAATTTCCCTGCCAGGTGACTGCAAAGGTGATGAGAAAGGAGGCCAGAAAGAGGAGGGAAGCCTGTATTCATTTGCTAAGGCTCCCAGCACAAAGTACCGCAAACATGGCATCCTAAAACCGCAGACATGTATTCTCTCACGGTTCTGGAGGCTGGAAGTCCCAAGTCAGGTGTTGGAAAGGCCGTGCTCCCCACAAAGCCTCCAGGGGAGTCCTCGCTCACCTCTTCCAGGTCTAGGAGCCTCAGGTGCTCCTCGTCTTGCAGCTGCACACTTCAGTCTCTGCTCCCTGATCCCGTGGCCTTCTCCCCTCAGCTGCCTCTCACTGTCTCCATTACCTCTTCTTATAAGGACACCACTCATATGGGATCAGGGCCTATCCTAATGATCTCATCTTAATTTGATTACTTCTGCCAAGACCCTATTTCCAAAGAAGGTCACATTCACAGGTCAGGACTTCAACATATCTTTTGAGGGACACAATTCAGCCCATACCTGGAGCTTATGGGATGCGAACCAAAGTGAGATGGCAGAGAACAGTGGTGGAGGCGGGGAGAGAAGAGCCCCATCCAACCCCATCCCTCCTGCCGGTGACTTACTGTGGCCCAATCACCTTAGGAGACCACAACCTATCTCAGGGGTCACAGATATCCCAGGAACCCCTGGAAGAGGTGGCCACTTTCTGTTTAACACCCACATACTACCCTCTGCTATCTGCTGAGTACATCTCATCACCCTGCCTTCCTACAACCATCCTGGTCATTGTCACCTCTCTTGTGGACAACCACAGTAGCTTCCAGCTGTTCTCCCTGACTCCTTTCTTCTCTGAGCTTCAGCCAGAGGGATCTTCCTAGAAATGCCAAGTCTGCCCACATCACTGCTGATGGGCCTGCTCCTCCTGGCTGCTTTGCTCTGCCCTGGAGTGCCCTCCTCTCCCAGCACACTTTGACCCACTCTCAGGCCCCAGCTTAGCTGTCATCTGTCTGGGAGCTGCCCCTGGTAGATCCCCTCTCCCGCACCTGGACTGAGTCAGGCACTAGCTGTGTGCTCACCTGGAAGCTGTGTCTGCCCTTCCACAGCACAGATCCTAGCACTGGGGCACTCTCCTCTGTTCCCCATCATCCCTAGGCCTCCATCGTGCCTTCTTCCTTCTTCCTACACATTTCTTCCTCTGCCCAGATATTCCCAGGGTGCACTCCTCCAGGAGACAGAGGGTGCTGTCTTATACCCACTCCTGGGAGTGAGACATTCCAGTGGTCAGGGGCTTGGAATCCCGGAGTCTCCTGGTCTTCTGTGGGCAAGGGAGCTCCCCTTCCAGCTGCTTGCCCTGTGTCTACATCAGAGCAGCAGCCCTTGTGAGGCTCCACAGATGCCCCACTGGCCTTTCTGTCATCCCCTCCTTGGACTTACCCTCAGTGGAGCACCTGTTCATTTCTTAGCTCTGAGTAGGTGCCATGGAGCATCAGCTCATCGTTCTTTCAGTCAACAGCGTGTACTGAGCATGAGATCAGGCTGGCTCTGTGTTAGGTGAGAGGCCGCAAAACACACAGGGCCCATCCTGGGGATGAAGCCAATGAAGCCAAAATCACTGGTTTCAAAGTATCACCTCCCTTTGAGGGAGATGCTAGGAGGAATAAGATGCAGCTTCCTCAGGGAGCTGCTGTCTGGCAGAAGCACAAGGTTATTACATGCCCATAATAACCCAAATCCAACCTGGATGGGGAGGAGGGGCATGAGGGCTGCAGGAGGAAAAGATGCTCCCACTGGCTGGGCAGCTCATTGAAGGCATGGCATTTGCCCTGAACCTTGAAGAAGGGGTAGGATTTGGACATGAAACAATGAGAAGAAAGCATTTCAGGAGGTGGGACCTGTGCAGACTTAGCCATGTTCTCCTACTGTGAGCTAAGAGCAAGAAAGAACAGACCCCAGTCCCTTTCTTTAGAAACTCACTGGGTGGCTGTTTCTACAATTGAGACACACACCCTCATGGCAGTGAGGGAGCATCACCCTGAATGTGGACTCTGGTTTCAGGCCTGCATGACTTGCTTCACCCAGACCTGGCCCTGGCCGGTGACTGGTAAGTGAGGAGTAAAAAATGGGAGGGAGACAGGTGGAATGTTTTGAGATAACACTGACTTTCCTGGGTTTCAGGATCTACTGCATCACAGATATTGACCCAGACCACCGGAAGCTCAGCCAGCTAGAGGCCATGATCCGCTTCCTCACCAGGAAGGACCCAGACCTGGAGTGTGAGTGCTGGCCGCCCACTGAGGCAAGCTTTTCCTCTGGGGCCCTGAAGTTCAGGACTTTGCCAGGAGAGGTGGGAAGGCAGGGGGAGGCTGCTGCACAGCCCTATCCCATTAGCACATGGATGGCTTAGATCAAACAGGGAGATTCCCAAAGAAAAAGGCATAGCCAGCCTTACCACAGGGCTGAGCTGGTATTTAAGCACCCTTGGAACTGTGGTAACATGTATGGATCCCCAGGTCAGGGACTGGGATCTTTTTCAGCCTCTATCCACCAAGCTCTGTTAAGGGTCAGGAGAAAGCACCATTCAGAGTCTGTCATCTTTTTCCCTACCACTGTCTAGAAGTGGACCTCTGGGCAAATGGCTGCCACTCTTCACCAGAAGTCCTCATCTCCACAAGGGGAGCATTTGGCCAGATGACTCGAAGCCTGTGGGCTCTGTTTTCTAAACCAGTTCCTCAGGCTAACCTTGCTCACCTCTTCCAGGTCTAGGAGCCCCAGGTGCTCCTTGTCTTGCAGCTGTGACACTTCAGTCTCTGCTCCATGGTCACATGGCCTTCTCACCTGCACTAATGCGAGTGGTGAGCTCATTAGGCCACATCCTCAGCTTGCTCCTCCTTCTTCCTCTTTGGAAGAAAGAGCAGGTCATCCTGTCACATAATTGTCACCCGCATAAGAAGACTGCCTCCCATGCCAACCCAACAGGGCACTTACTTACTTATTTATTCATTTCATCAACAAATCTGTACTGAGCTTGCACCCTGTGTCAGGCCCTGGGGTAGGTATTAGAGCTACAGAGATAACCCAGACAAGGCCCTTGCTATCATGGAGCTTACATTCTAGTGGAGAAGCCAGGTGATAAGCAAATAAGCCTACATATATAGATATAGGTTGTTATAAATTGTGATAAGCGCCATGAACAGGATGCTGTAGGGGAGAGAAATAGGCCTGCTTTAAAGGAGATCCTGTTAAGCCACTTGGGTGGCTCTATTGTGACACCTCCTCACCAAGGTGAGGAGGATCTCCTTTGGGGGGTGATAAAAATATTTTGGAACTAAATAGAGGTGGTGGTTGTACAACATTGTGAATGTACTAAATGCCGCTGACTGAATTGCATACTTTAAATTGGTCAGTTTCATTTTATGTGAATTTTACCTCAATAAAGATAAATAAATTTTTTAAATGAGAGAAGAAAAAGAAAGAGCCTCCATGCAAAGACTGGGAAAAAGAATATCCAGATCAAGGGAAACAGCATGTATAGGGGCTCTGAGGTAAGGAGGAGCTTGGCAAGGTCAAATTCACAGAACTGGCCAGGGGCAGTGGCTCATGCCTATAATGCCAGCACTTTAGGAGGCCAAGGTGGGCAGATCACTTGAGGTCAGGAGTTCTAGATCAGCCTGGCCAACATAGTGAAACCTTGTCTCTACAAAAATTACAAAAATTAGCCAGGTGTGGTGGTGTGCACCTGTGGTCCCAGCTACTTGGGAGGCTGAGGCAGGAGAATTGCTTAAACCTGGGAGGCGGAGGTTGAAGTGAGCCAAGATCATGCCACTGTACTCCAGCCTGGGCAACAGAATGAGACTCCATCTCAACAACAACAACAACAAAAAATTCACAGAACTGACCAAAGGCCAAGGTGTCTGGATGGTTAAGAAGCAGATGAGGAAGAGTTGAGATGGGGGAGACTGGGAAGATCCAACCTGAGGTCACTGAGGGTCTCCTAAGTTCATCAGATGTTACAATTGGAAAGAGCCTCAGATATCAAGCTGTTGTACTGACATATTTTTTGGAGTTGAGAAAGTGAAGACAGACAGAGGTGAGGCAGCTCCCTCAAGCTCACAGAGATAGTTTTACATGTCCCATAGACACGTTCAGGAAGCACATCTTCTCCCTGAACTTAGGATGGGAGAGTTGTGTTCATGAGCATGGAGGAAGCATGTGGCCTGGTTCCCTGATGTTTTGCACCCAGGTGACGAGGAGCTGGTCCGGGAGGTGCTGTTTGACGCGGTGGTGACAGCCCCCATGGAAGCCTACTGGACAGCGCTGGCCCTCAACATGTCCGAGTAGGTCCAGGTTCCCAGGTTCCCAGGCCCCAACCAGCCCCCAGAATTCCCTTGGCTAAGTTGGGACCCCTCTCACCATCTGGCTGGTGGCTCAGGAGAGAACCCACGTCCTTTGGCCTAAGATTAAGTGGAGGTCCCCCTGGGCACTGGACTAAATCCCCACCCCAGGATAGTCCCATTCCGACAGCTCCTTTCTCTGGGTTGGACTCCAGCCATGAGACTTCAATGGCCAAAATGCCCCTGGCCAAAGAGCAGTTCAAATAGGTTTCCAGCAGGTAAGGTCATGGCACCAATGAACTTGACCTCGGTTTTCCCAGCCCCTTAGAAATCCTCGCTCCCTTTGCTGGTCTTCTCCTGATACTATTGTGTTTAGTGGCCTGGTAGAAAGAAGATGAGTGGCATGTGAGTGTGAGTGTAGGGCATGTGTGTGCCCATGAGTGTTGGGGGGCAGAGTAAGGTATTAATGAGGTTAAGGTTGCAGTGGGTCATACCTTGCTCCTGAATAGGAAGATTCAACATTGTGAAGATGTCAAACCTCCTCTACACAGTCAATAAATTTAAGCACATAATTAGATACTAGAAAATTAAAAATTAGTTTTTTAGTGCTATCCTAATAAAAAACACCTACAGAATTTTATAGGGACAGTCTCCTATTGAAAAAAGCAAGATGTGGAATGCTACCATTCTACATAGTATAGTACGCTACCTTTTCTGTAAAAAGTGGGTGCCATAGTATTTGTGTGGATTATATAGATAACATCTATGATCTGTATACTGTCTACGCAAGGCTACTCAGGAAACATTCCTCATTAGCTGTTTCTGGTTGGAAAATGGGTAACTGAAACAGGGATGGAAGGGACACTTTTCACCCTAACATGTTGGTGTAATTTTGAACCATATGAATATATGACCTATACAAAATTAGAATAAAGAAAGAAAAACAATCTAGTGGGCCAGGCACTGTTCTGAGTGCTTAGTGTATATAACCCATTTGATCCTCACCGCAGTCCTCACCCACACAGGAGCTCTCATTACTGCCATTTGACAGATGAGGAAAACAAAGCATAGCGAGATCAAGCAACTCGCCTGAGGTCATACGCCTCGAAAGTGGCAGAGCTGGAATCAACAGCAGGCAGCCTCACTCCTGCGCCCCGACTCTTAAACCCTGCACTGTTGTGCCTTCTACAGAGGGCTGGAGCAAATAGGTTTGGAGAGGGGCACCATCTTCATCTTTCCAACCTCAGAGATTAGTCAGTGATGATTTTTAATGTGGAGAAATATTGAGAAGGAAATATTCTTAACCAGAGCATGCTTCAGAAAAGACTTCCTAGGAAGTTAATATAAAATAGCATACAGTTAAGGAGAAAAAAATACATAACCATCTCCAAAGATATAGAAAAGGCATTAAATAAATATTAATATTCATTCATTTAAAAAAATTTTGTAGAGATGGGGGTCTCTCTATGTTGCTCAGGCTGGTCTTGAACTCCTGGCCTCAAACAACCCTCCCACCTCAGCCTCCCAAAGTGATGGGATTACAGGCATGAGCTGCCATGCCCAGCCATACCATTCTTGTTCATTAAAGCCACTCAGTAGAATTAAAATTGACCTAAGCATGAAAGTAACATCTTAATGGGGCTAGAGGCTCTCTCACTAAAGACAGGAACAAGACAAGCATGCCTACTTCCCCATTGCTATTTAACAAGGCCAGAAGGAATTAGACAAGAGAAAGCAAGCAGAGGCAATTAGAATTGGAAAGAAAGAAGTAAAATTGTCGCTGTTTAAAGATGACATAATTATATATCTGGAAACCCCAGAAGAATTAATAAGAAAATTACTATACCCAATGAGAGAATTTAGTAAAATAGCAGGTTATAATATCAACATTCAAAAATTAATAGCCTTTATCTACACACAAAAAAGATAGAAGATATGAGAAGGCTTATTTTAAAAGGCAAGAAATAATACATGATAAAGTTATAAGACTACAAGAACATACGACATAAACTATAAGAACTGTTCAAAAACCTATATAAGGAAAATTATGAAACACTCCTGAAAACACAAAAGTAGAGGCTGGAACACATGGAAAGACAGTGTTTTTGGATACGAGACTTCAACATCATAAAGATATTAATCCTCCCTAAGTTAATGTTAACCCCAATGAAAACACCGTCAGTCTTTTTCTGCATCTAGATAAACTGATTATCAAGTTCATTTGGAAGAACAAGCAAGAATAACCAGGAAATCTCTGGAAAAAAAAAAAAAAAACGCACACACACACACACACACACACACAAACACACACCAAAAAAAGCAAAGAAGGGAGGTTGGGCCTACCAAGATATTAAAACACATGACAAAGCCTCTGAGGTTTATAAAGTATGGTATTGGCACAAGAAAAGGCAGGCAGACCACAGGAACCCAAAAGGAAATCCGGAAACTCATCTAAATGCATGTGAAAATTTAGTCTATGACAGAGGCATCCTGTCAAATCAATGAAGGAAAGATGGATTTTTAAATAACCGGTTTGAGAGCCATATGGAGAATGATAAAATTATGTTCTTTTCTCACACCATACACCTGGACGAAGTCCAAATGACTCAGAGATTCAAATGTAAAAAATGAAGCCATATAAATACTAAAGGAAAACATGAGCCAATTGCTCTAAAATCTAGGAGTGGGGAAACCTTTCCCAACAATGACTCAAAATTCAGAAGCAATAAAGGAATGACGGATAAATTTAACAACATTAAAAATGTTTCTGTGGTCGGGTGTAGTGGCTCGTGCCTGTAGTCCCAGCCACTCAGGAGGCTCAGGTGGGAGGATCACTTTAGCCTGAAAGTTCAAGACCAGCCTGTGAAAAATGACAAGACCCCGTCTCTAAAATAAAAATAATAATAACTTAGCCAGATGTGGTGGTGCACACCTGCAGTCCCAGCTACTCAGCTGCTCAGGGAGGATCACTTGAGCCCAGGAGGTGGAGGCTGCAATGAGGCATGGTCATGTCACCACACTCCTGCCTGGGCAACAGAGCAAGACCTCATCTATTTTTTTTTTTTTTTTTTTGAGACGGAGTCTCGCTCTGTCGCCCAGGCTGGAGTGCAGTGGCACAAGCTCGCCATTCTCCTGCCTCAGCCTCCTGAGTAGCTGGGACTACAGGCACCTGCCACCACGCCTGGTGAATTCTTTGTATTTTTTTGTATTTTTAGTAGAGACGGGGTTTCACCATGTTAGCCAGGATGGTCTCAATCTCCTGACCTCATGATCCCCCTGCCTCGGCCTCCCAAAGTGCTGGGATTACAGGCGTGAGCCACCGCGCCTGGCCAACCTCATCTTTTTTTAAAAAAAAGAAAAAAATATGTTTCTATGGCAGAAATAAAAACATGAGCAAGGTAAAAAGAGAAATTACAAACTGGAAAGGTGTTTGCAACTTATAAAACAGATAAAGGGTTACTCTATATATTATGTATTCACGACAAAGGACTTTGAAAATTGAGACTTAAGAGGTCAACTACCTTAGAGGGAAAGTAGTCAAGAAATACGAACAGTTCAGAGGAAAAATGCAAATAGTCCTTAGAAGAACAATTCAAATAGTCTTAAAATATAAAGAAAAACAATGCTCAACCTAACATGTAATCTGAAATGCAAATGACAACTATGCCCAGATTGGACTTCTCGCCTCTCAGACTGAAAGCCACCTGAGCTTGTCAGTGTGCACTGTTGGCAGAACTGTGGGGAGTCAGGCACTCGTAGATTGTGGGTGGGATACGAAATGTTTCAAACCCCGTCGAGGGGAATTTGATGACGTCTAGCACAATTTCATGTACATTTACACTTTGACCCAGCAACCTCACTTCTAGGAACCTTATCCCAAAGATACACTGGCAAAAATATGAAAAAAATGTACCTATGAGCTGCTCATTATAGCACCTTTAATAACAATAGAAGATTGGAAACAACCCAAACGTTCATCAGTGGGAGCCTAGTTACATAAATCATGGTGGATCCACATAATGGAATTCTATGCAGCTGTGAAAAATTAGAATATCTCTATATACTGCCACTATGAAATCATCTTCAGTAATGAAAAAAGTATGAATAATATCTCCACTGCTTATCTAGAAAGAGAAAATACAAATATATTTTCATAATTACTTTCACAAAGGTACATATAAATGTACATGCGTATATGTATGTACACATACACACACGTACTTTTTAGTGGAACAAGGAACCAAAAGTCAGGTTACCTACAGGAAGAGTGAAGGAACAAGGAGATGGATACAGAGACAGACTCCCCTGAATAGGCCTTATTCTCCATATTGACTTTGGAACCATATAAATGCTTTATCTAATCATAAAACAAAATTAAATTTTAAAAAGTAACCTGTAGTAATTGAAAGCAAATGAAACAGCTAAACCTAGCCATATATCAAGTTCATTAAATAATCGAACATACGGGAATTCTTTCAAGGGGCTTTAGAATTGTAAACACTAAATAAATAAAATGTTAAGCAGTCCTCAGTAATCACATTGCTAGAAATAGTATTGGCATTGTTATTCTGAATAGAGAGAGCAAATTGTATTATATTAATGTCATTAAGAACCAAGATCTTCAGCAAAAGGGAAAAGAGATATGCAAATTTCAAAAATCAGAGAAGTTAAGATTAGATGGAATGCTAAATTTGAATTAGAAATATCAATTTGAACTCATGATGTATTTCTCTTAAAGAAATTAAAAGGATATCCTAGCTCTCTCCCCTGAAAGGGCCCACCGCAGCAAGTGCCCCAGCCCCAGACTTCGGACTTTCAATGTCAGTCCTCTTTAAAATGAGCCCATGATCCTAGAAGAAATGTCTGATTCCAGGACAGGGGCAGGAAATACGCACAATGAACCTGGAACATCTTGTCGTATGAGGAAGCAAGAAGTTACCAAAGACAAATGATATTGTGCCCAAGGGACCCCAGAGCCAGCTGGAGGAGGCCCTCACTGGCCAAAGGTGGATGATCAGAGCAGCAAAAGTAATTATAATCACAGCAGGAGCTGGCTGTGGAGGCACGGCTGTTATCCCAGCCTCATGGCAGGCTCAGGCGAGAGGATCGTTTGAGCCCAGGAGTTCAAGGCCAGCCTGGGCAACGTAGTGAGAACCTGTCTTTAAATAAAAATAATAATAATAATAATAATTGCAATGGGTTAAAACATATGAAATATATTAAAATACTTGGGTTCATAATGATACTGGAAAAAACCTCATTGGCCATCTTTGGAAGATTGTTAGGAAAGCAACTCATTATTCTAAAACCTAACAAAGAAACAAAAAGAATAAATTATTTATCCTGCCTCTTCTATAAAAGTTGTACTTCAGGATAACTAAATATTGATGAGGAGAAGTTTTTCCTTATACAGATATTTCGGGTAAAAATAAAATAAGAAATAAAAGAATGCATGTATTTTTCATGCCCTAATCAGTCAGAGTGTGTGCCTCTTGTGAAGAACAGCCTTGTAAAAACACAAACCGGAACCCGGTCAGGCCCTGAGGTCTCACGGCCAGTTGACAGGCAATGCAGGGGACACAGAGCAGGCTGAAGAGCACCCCAGGGTGGCAATCCGCCAAGGCCAGAACCGGAGAATCCCCACAGGCAAGCGCCCTTTGTCGCTCTGTTTGTTCCACACATCGATTGCAAGGAAAAGAGAAGGGGAGAGGGAGAGTGGAGAGAGAAAGGGAATCAGGTTAAAGGAGGCCAAAGATGACTGCTAATGGTTATGGGGTTTCTTTCCGGGGTGATGAAAATGTTCTAAAATTCACAGTGCTGACGGTGGCACAACTCTGTGAATACATGAAAAACTATTGAATCACACACTTTAGGTGGGTGAATTGGATGGTATTTGAACGATATCTCAATAAAGACAGAGAGAGACAGACAGACAAATAAGAGATACCCGTTGCCATGCGTGAGCCTTAGGCAGATTCTGATTCAGCCAAACTTAAAAAAATTCGCGAGGCGACTGGATTATCTGATCATATTAATGAATTGTCAGGTTTTTTTAAGGTGTAATAATGGCATCGAAGTTTTTTTAAATGTTATTTCTATTTTGATTGTATAAATTAAAATATTTACCCATGAAATATCTGGGATTTGCTTCAAAATAATCTAGTTGAGGGGCTGGAGGAGGCAGTGGCTGAATTGAGACCAGCCCCGGGTTGGTGATTGTTGAAGCCAAATTATGGGTAGTGAGACCCATTAGCCCATTCTCTCTGCTTTTACACAGAGAATTGAATCAGGAAGCTTTAGGGGAGCTTAGGCCCTGTCCCCAGAGAGTCTGACTCAGAGGTCTGGGGCAGGGCTCTGTGCAGCTCGAGTCCTATGACTCCCATGCCCACCCTGTACAAGCCCCCTGGCTACAGGACTGGAGTAGGTGGGGGAGACCCTTTCCCTCAGTGATTTTCCAGACCTTACTACAGTCCCGGGTACCACCCACAGACACAGGTCTATCCATGAGGAAGACCCCCGCAGTCCAGCCTCTGAGCCTGGCAGTGCTTTGGAATTGCCTACTTTGTATGCTCACTATAGCACACACCCTTGGGCATGGAGAGGAACTAGGTAATAGCCTCCTATCCACTGTGCCAAAGACAAGAATATCATCTGGGTCAAAAGAGATGACTTCCCACCCTGGTCAAAGTATTGTGGCTTTGAGACTGGGAGGGAGATATGTGACGCCAACTAGCTCATGGATCTGTCTTCTTTCAAGTCTCAACGGCAAGGTTATGAGGTCCGTTGGGACTTCTCCTGGGTGGGTGTATGCAGTGCCTGCTCCCCCTCCCTTCACGTTTCGGTAAGAAGGGAAGTATGAGGAGGGCTGTAAGACCAGGAGGTGCCTGGTACGTGCTGGGCATGAGAAGTTCCTGTTCCTTAGGTCCCAGGACAGAATCTCCCTTCCAAGTTCCATCTTCTAGATCGAACTCCCCAAAAGCCAGGAGAACAAATTAAGAGCTAGATCTGCCGAGGCAGAGAGGCAGAGGCCCAGGGCTTCACTTCACAGGGGTGCTGCCCGGAAGCCGGGCCTGAAACCTGATGGGCACCGTGGATGCCAGCAGGGTGCGTGTCCCGGCCCCTTCCCAGGAACCCAGCCTTCCTGGAAAGTCTTCCCTGAGCCAGGCCAGGCAGGAGCAAGGAGAGGCCCCCAAACCCCTGCAGGTCGCCCCCAAGCTCTTGCCACAGCCATGTGGTGACCATTCCCGCTCTGTCTGCCACACAGGGAGTCTGAACACGTGGTGGACATGGCCTTCCTGGGCACCCGGGCTGGCCTCCTGAGAAGCAGCTTGTTCGTGGGCTCCGAGAAGGTCTCCGACAGGTGGGTTGGGCCGGCCACCTCGGGAGGGCAATCCCTGCAGGGCAGAGAGGGCCAGAGTCCCATGGTGTGTTCCTGGGCCATGGGTGGACTGGCACCGGGTCTCCAGCATGCTGGACCCCTGGGAGCCCAGCAGGGCAGAAGGATCGGGATTGACAGATTGGGGCAGTGGGAAAGGCAGCCCTTCCCCGAAGGCTTACGGATCGGGATTGACAGATTGGGACAGTGGGAAAGGCAACCCTTCCCCGAAGGCTTACACATCCTGGTGGTGGGTCCCTAGAACAGGATGGAGGCCGGACCAGTCAGGGAGAGACTTTGAAGTTGAGGGTTGGTCGGAGAATCCACCTAGAGGAATCTCTAAGGGACAAAGCCGAAATTGCTTTCCTCTCTGGGCTGGTCTCTGTGTGACAGGCTGAATCTTCTGGCTGTGTCTCTTTTCCCCACTCCTAAGGGGAGAGGAGGTGCTGCTGGGGCCCTGTGGTAGATGGAGTGCTCACCCCGCAGTGCCTTCTTGAGCCACCCACTCCCACCTTGGTGTGGGAGATTTGCGGTCTCTTACTCTACCTGGTAGGAGTCCAGGCCCAGCTCCCTGTAGGCCATGGAAGACTTAGGCCTCCACACCAGGAATGTTCAACTGGGGGTGATTTTGTGACATTCAGCGATGTCTGGAGATACTTTTGGTTGTCACACTGTGGGAGGCAGAGAACTTCCTACTGGCACCTAGTGGGTGGAGGCCAGGACGCTGCTAAACATCCCATGATGCACAGGGCAGCCCTCACAGCAATCGCCTGGCACAAAATGTCACCGGTGCCAAGGCTGAGAAACCCTGCTCTAAGCCAAGGCTGGGTTCTGGGGGAATCAGGGGCTGGCCCACCCGGGTGCTCAAGGGAGGATGGGAGCCCAGAGGAGGGGTTAGGGGCCGAGCGGTGCCACCTGCCGCTTCGCAACCCAGGAGACTCCAACAGGTGAGGACCTTCAGGCACCTGGAGAGCAGCCCAGGGCCCCTGAGCCGACCTGACCCTACTCTCCTCGCCTCCCACCCGCCAGCTGCTCCTCTCGCTAAGCACGCCCAGCCACGGAGCGCCATCTTTGAGCTTCTTCCAGGACTCTGTGACAAATCCACACTTGCTAAGCAAAGCTGAGGCTTTCTAGGAAAACAAATTAAGTTGCTCTTCCCTTTCCCTCCCTCCTCCCTCCCCTCCTCCCCCCCACCCATCCCTGCGGAGGTGGAGAAGGCAGAGCACCACTGCCTCCCTGACCCTTCCCTCGCCCCCTCTCAGAGGCTTCTAAGACTGGAAGCAGGAGATTCGAGGCAGACAGACCTTCCCAGTGCCTCTGCCTCCTGCGAGCACTCCCAGGGGCTCCCTTCACCCAGACTCGAGGTGAATGGCAGCCCAGGAACTGTGTCACAAGGCAGGTTGCTTCTGGTACATGTGAGCCCGTCACTCTCAAAACCAAATCTCAGTTATCCACCTTGTGGATTATCCACAGCAATGTCTGCTCCCCACCCCCACCCTGCTTCTCCCTGCCTCCCACTCTGCTTCTGGCCGAACACTCCCTTCTGTGGGCTGCCGTGTGTTCAGGGAATGCAAAACCATAATTAGCAAGGTAAAGCTGCTCAAAAAAAGGAAACTCATAATGTATGCAAAAACCTAGAGGCAATCCTGTTGAAGGAACCATTTGGGGGGATTGATGCCCTCCTATTAGTGCAGTGATAGAGCTGACTACAGCTTCCTCCCTCAGACGTGCCAACGAGCCAGACAAGAAGAAATTGGGCTCTATCCAAAAGAAAGAATCCCTGCAGGCAAAAGAGTTTACATAAAAATGGAAAGTATCCCCTCACTCTACAGACCCTATGCCTCTTCCAGCTGCTAGCTAGATGCAACATGACATCGTTTTGTTTCTGGAAAAGGCGAGAATTGCTGGGAAGCATTGTCTGGGGCCGTACTAATTTAGGGGCTAAAATCACTCTCTTAGCCCAGCCAAGTTGACCTTGTGTGAGAAAAGGAAAGAGTGATGACTGTGTTCACAGATCTGGGGAGAGGTACCACATCTTCCTCCTTGCAGGAAGTTCCTGACACCTGAGGACGAGGCCAGCGTGTTCACCCTGGACCGCTTCCCGCTGTGGTACCGCCAGGCCTCAGAGCATCCTGCTGGCAGCTTCGTCTTCAACCTCCGCTGGGCAGAAGGACCAGGTAACACACAGCCCGGTGCTCCCGGGGCTGGGCCAGTCTCAGGCCAGTCTCATCTCTCCTCCTGCTGTGCTCTTAGTGGGAAATGGGAACGAGATATGGAATAGAATGTCCAGACCACCAGGGTTCCCCTCCTGCCTTCCCTCCTGCATGCATTAGTGACTTAAAAAAGCTCATTGGCACCTTCCCACACCACAGGTCCCACGCTGAAGGTGAGCCTGATCATTTGATTCCCTAGCCAGCCATCAAAGTTGGAGTTTAAAAACCCAGCATGGGATTCTAGCCCCAATTCCAAATATGAGATCAGAAGAGTCCATCTCTAAGATTCTTCTATTTATCCTGCATGTCTGTGAAAGCTTCATAAACCACCCAGACGGGTGGTTTCATTAGGGGCTGCAGTACTCACTAAGTCAGTGGGGCTGCCCTGCTCTTCCCAAACAGAAAGAAAGCAACCCGTCCCCAGTTACCCAGGACCACCCAGGACCAGCCTCAGGGAGCTCCCAGCCTTCTCCACAAGCCCCTCTCAGCTCAAGAGAGAGGCTGTGCCAGGCAGGTGGTGGGGAGGGTGGGGTATGAGGCAACCACAAAATCCCTGCACGGCCAGGGACCAGGAAGACTCTCAGAGTTGATGGGCACCCAACTGCCAGCCAGCCCCAGCCCCCATTCTGGAAAATAACCAAAATAAGAAAAATTAAGTGACTCTAACAGAGCACCGGAAAAATCCTGCAGAGGCTTCAGTGTCTGCATAGCCTGGTGCTCTTGATTTACACTCGAAGTGACTGTGGCCCAGGGAGCTTCCGGGGCTTGTCCAGGGATCCCAGAGTGCATGGCACAGCCACCCCTCCACCACCCCTCCACCAGGTGAGTGCTGGGGCGGCTGATCCCATTCCAGCACATGGATCCAGGGGCCTGGAGAGTGTGCACAGGCAGGTGGGGTGAGCCCCAGGAGGGGATGCAGGAGTGTGGAGACTTCTAAAAGGAAAGTCAGGGCTGGGGTCACTCAGAACTTCCCCTTTAGGACGCCCTTCTGCCAAAGGCCTTCCACCACCACTTTGCCAAACCATCCTCAAGCGTCGTGATGGAAAAATGTCCTGGAGCTGATGGCTGGGGAGGCCCAGGATCCCGGGGATCCTCCTGGGACCAGGACAGGGAAGGCAAACAGCAGGGAGGAGCTCCACCCCGCCCCCTCCGGAATCCCGCCTTCCTCACCTGGTGCTATGCCCCTACTCCCACCTGTGCTGTTCCCTCCACACACGTGCAAATAACTACTATGCTTCACAAAACAATTTTCCACGTGTTTTTCATTTAATCTAGACAACCCCATGAGATAAGTGCCGTCATTATCCCTCAACTTACACAAGGAGAACGTGAGGCTCAGAGAGGTTCTGTAACTTGCCCGGGGTCACACAGCAAGGGAGCCACAGAGCCAAGCTCTGCCCTAATCCAAGCCCAGGCCCCGTTACCACACTGAATGTAAGGAAAGAGGGAGGGGGAGTTTTTATTACCAGTGCAAGCCCAGCAGGAAGGCTCTGGAAGCAAAGGGGAGACCCCTTCCCACACCGTCCACCCCAAGGCTGAAAGAGGCAGCTCCTCCTCTGTGGCCACACCCTCGATAGCAGCACATTGGGCTCCCCAGGGAGGGCACCCACAGGCCCCTGGAGAGGTTCTATAATGAGGCCCCAGCCCCTGCCCCAGGCCCTGATGACAGGTCCCCTCCTGCCCGCATTCACCAGGACTGAGCCTGCTGGCTGCTGGGGGAGCTTTATGTGGTGATGAGGTGGGAGGGTGGGTGGGTGAGAAGCTGAGCCACGAGGAGAAAAGAGGGAAGCTGGAGCCCAAAAAGGGGGCCTGGTGAGGAGGGAGGCGGGGCCCACTTCCTCTCCACAGCCCACTCACTCGCTCAGCGCACACACACGCTTAGACACATGGCCACCTCTGCACACTCCCTTCCACCCCAAAAGAAGGAAAACAACCGCGTTTCAAGGGGGAAAAGAGGACGAGCTGCCTCCAGGGTGAGGGGAAGCTCGCCTGTCTCTCTAGGCTGACATGGTTGCCCTTTGCCGGGGCCTGGTGGGCTAAGTCCCGACCACGTGGAGCTGCATTGTGCAGTCAGTGCCTAGAAACCTGTCCGCACACAGCAGAGCCTCAGAAATATGCCCACAGCCCACCTCTCCCTGGGCCCCGCCCCCTTCTGCACTCCACGCCCTGATCATTCCCACCAGGTGCTGGGCCAGGTAGCCACGGTGAGCCAGGCACTGAAATCCCTGATGTCCCCAGAGACTGCCTCATTAGGGTCTCCACATGCTCACATCTGCGTTTCCTACAAGCCTCTGCTGGCTGGGGTACAAATGCGACGGAAGGTCTGTCCCAGAAAATGGGCTGTGGGACCCAGGGAATATTGTCGGGGCTGCCACATCACCACCTTCGAGATGTCTGTAGACACAAGGTGGGGAATTGTCCCTTCGTCATCATGGGGCAAATTTCTAGAATCAAGGACAACCTTACATATTGGAAGTTCCTGGAATCAGACTGCAGTTTTAGGTTTCTTGAGATATTTGACGACAGCGGGTGTGATGGGTAATCTTGGTGACGTGGCAGATGTGAGAAGCTGGTGGTTAAGTCCCGGGACAATTGACACTGTTGTCATAATCGCCACACAAGAGTCCCATGACCTGTTTGCTTCAGGCAACATTTGACATCAAGACATTCTAACAAAATGTGATAGCACATCAGAAACTGTTTGCCCCTTTCTCAGAAGTTGAGTCTGCATTTGACCTGCAGACAAGAGTGCTTTGAAATTCAAGTCCGGGGCCAAGGACTGATGAGAATTAAGAAGCCTGAGGCCCCGAAGTAGCCAGCCCCAGTCAGAACCAGAAAGCTCTGTTTCAATGTGGAGCTGAAACTGCCCTCTAAACTGTGCACCTATGGTGGCCTGATTGTTCCAGAAGAAGTGGAGAGAGCAATGCGAGGCAAGCCCTGTGGCCTTCAGGAGCCTCAGGACTTGCCCTGAGTTGCTGCAGAGTCCCAGAAGTGGAGCAACAGCTGAGAAGCAAGTGAAAGACCCGGAGAGCGGTTGTGCAGTGGAGGGTCCGTCATCTCGCTGCCCAGGGCCGCATGGTGGCTCGGCTGTGGCATCTGGCTTCCTGATTGGGACTGACTGTCGGCGTCCTCCCTGACTCACGCAGACTCACAGAGAGCAATCCAGGATCACCCACCACCCAGTGCTGAAATGCAGCCTGTCCTTCCTGCCGTTGGAAGGGATCACTGGATACAACACAGGTGTTGTGGGCAAAATGCATGCCGCAGCCGACAAACACGCAGAAACCCCAGTGTCGTGGGGCCACTGCAGCCCTGCACTGTGCTGGCGGCCAGAGGCCATGTGTGTGTCTGTCCAAGACCCGTGTTGGGGTCACCATCACAGCAGCAACTTCTCCAAACACAACCCCTGTCCCCACCCTCGCCTCAATTCTTCCAAGGATGCCTTCGCCTGCTTTTATTCCCATCTCCTATTCCAAGAAAGTGGTAGCGCTCCACCTGCCCCAACCACAGCTCTTCCCCATGACTGGGTTGTCTCTGTTTCCCCAGAAAGTGCGGGTGAACCCATGGTGGTGACGGCAAGCACAGCTGTGGCGGTGACCGTGGACAAGAGGACAGCCATTGCTGCAGGTAGGAACGGCCCTTGTGGTGTTGAGGCCAGGAAGCTGGGGACAGTGTAAAGAGCAAGGCATAGATCACAGCAGAAGGCCCTGCACATGTGGCCAGGGCCACAGTCCTGCCGGTGGAATGTGGGATGGGTGGAAGTGCACTCTTCCTAAGCCATTTCATTTGTAAAACCATAAAACTTTGGATGTGAAAGTATTCACGAAGTGAGCAAAATGAAGCCCAGAGAGGCTAGGAGATCTGCACGGCCACACGGAACAGAGACTGCAGCCCAGCCCCCCGCCGCCCCCCACCCACCCCCCTCTTCCACATAATATATTTACCGTATGCAAGCTTCTCTTGAGAAACACTTCCTGCGGGTTAATAGAGCATTACTGAGGCATTCTGTAGCTGAAAGGAAGGCTGGCGGGTTAATAGAGCATTACTGAGGCATTCTGTAGCTGAAAGAAAGGCTGGCGGGCAGAGCTCTTTTATTCTAGGTCTTTTATCAATCATCGTCATCATCATAAAGCTAATATTTACCGAGTATTTACAGTGTGGTAACTTCTTGAAAACTTTGCTGTTGAAAAGATGACCTGAAGACCAGCAGCGCTGAAATTGCGTGGGCCTCTGTTAGAAACACATAGTCTCAGGTTCCAGCCCATACCTGTTCAACCAGAGTGCGCTTTACTGAGATGCCTACTGATTTGCCTAAACATTAAAGCTTGCGAAAGCTCTTTTGCAGTATTAACTGATTTAACCTTTACAAATATTTTAGAGTGTAGGTATTACTGTCAGTGCCTATTTTATAAATGAGGACCATAGGCTCAGAACGTTTGGCTCAAAGCAACCCAACTAGCGGGGATCGGATGCCATAATTCAGTCCAGACCTGTCTTTTCCCCCAAAAGGTGTTACTAACCACCAAGATGCCCTGCCTCTTTATAGAGCAAACAGTGGATGCTGATTCCTGTGCCATTCCCTTACCTGCTCCGTCTCCTATTGCCTTGGGGTCTCGTATAAGAGGGAAGTGGGACTGTGACTCGAACCCCTGAGGCATGAGCTCAGTGTGTGTGTTCAGCGTGTGCCGGGCACTGTGGACTGCCTCCCATGTGGTCCTTGGGGTGACCCAGTGAAGGCGATGGTTCTGGCTCTACTTTACAGCTGAGGGGACTGAGACACAGAAAACTTACTTGCCCAAAGCCCCACAGCTAATAATGAATGAGGCTGGGATTTGAACGCAGACCGCCTCTCGTTGGAACCCAGGTTCACTGCCCTGTGCTGCGGTTTGCCATGGCTTACATGATGAGAGCAACTGTGACCCTCACAAGCTTCTCCTGACTTTCAGTTTCTTCGTGCCTGCAGAGTCCTTGGTGTCTCTGCCTAGCTGTCTGAGAACGATCAGGTCCCTGCGATGAAGCGCTCCTTACCCTTGTTTTAGCTTCAGTACCTGGGACCCAGCTGTGTTCTGAAAAGTTGCGCGATCCAACAGGCATTCGAGCTCAGCCATCCTGGCTCCGTGAACGCAGCTGGCAGGCACCTGCCTTGTAACCGAGGCCCTGGCCAGGTGAGGACTCTCGCAGCAGGATGGGGACGGAGCAGACAGGGTCAGGGCAAAGGGAATGCAAAGGAGCCGGCTGGGCTCTGTCTTCCTGCCTCAGAGAGGGCACCAGGGCCATCCTGAGTTGGGGTCCTGGGCTGTGTGCCACTCTGGGATAAGCGACGGGGGGAGAATGGCTCCGTCTGACATTGCCAAATTGCCCGGGTAGAAGCCCGGTGTCACTGGTCGTGTGCGATGCAGCCACCTGCAGCACTTGGAAGGGATTTGTGCCCGCCTGGCTGCCGTGCTTCCCTGGGCCCAGGGCACACTAAACCCAGACCCAATTTCCAGGCCAAACTTTGACTCCGAAATCGTCTCCCTACAGACTGTTCTGTGCTCCCAGCCAAGCCTGCGCCTGTGCTGCTCCCACGTGATGGGGGCCTTCTCAGCTCCTGTACACCTGAAGGTCTAGGAAGGATGGGACAGGGGGTCAGGCTGCTGGCTGTGCTTTCCTGCACTCTCCAATTATTTGATAGCATTTTTAACTCAGAGCTGAATTAGAGCCGAGAGGGGTTGCCATAGAAACAGTGTCCCAGTGCCTCCAGTTTAACTCACTGCAGACAATCGCTCTTACACTCTGGGGTGCATGAATGTCAGAGGAAAAGAATGGGGTGCTGGAGACCTGATACTTCAATTATGATTTTTCTTTTGGTCTCCTTCTGCCACTTCCTCTCCCTGGCCTGTGGCTCAGCCTCCCTGATCCTGGGGCCAGCTGGAGCCTGTAGCTGAAGGAGGGGTAGGTGGTTCATTTGCTGTCCCTGGAAACGGCTGGCACTGTAAGCGTGTGAGCGCCAGGCCTGCTGAGTGTGGTGTCTGTGGTGGGGGCTGTATGGTGACGATTGCGCACCGAGCTCGAGGGGAAGGTAGGAGACGGGCACTCAGCCCAGCCACGGGGGCAGTGGCGGGCTGCGCGTCACTGCCGTGTATAACACCACCGGCTCACACAGAGGGCAGCGGACCAGTAGAGATCGCGTTCATCCCTAAGCAGGTGGTTTATAGACAGCTACTGCAAAATTTCCAGAGATCTAACTTTTGGATCAGGATCTGTTTTCAATTCTCCATGTCCTCCAGGCCCTAGGCGAGGAATGAGGTCAAGCTCCAGGATGGGGCTGTAACGGGCAAGTGATTGTCCAGCAGACGGGCATTCTTCCAGCATGACTTGTAATGTACACAAGCCCCTGCACAGAGGCCCTTCCTGCCGGCCAGGGCTGCAAGAGTTCTCCCCTCCTGAGAGGTCAGCCTCAGTACAGGCCCAGCCTTCAGACCTTTGAGGGCTTCTATCTGGGAACCATGACATTTGAATTACACACATAAGCATGACAGAGACCTGTGCCAGGCCTGAGAGGGGCCCCGTTCTTGCTTCTGCAGTGGGGCTCGGGAAGACTTGTCTTGGGCCCTGCTATAATTATTAGGGCTATAGGAGAGCAACATCCCTACACTTATCACCACCTGGGGAAGGCGGACACCCCAGCTCTGCCATGGAATGGAGCTGAACTCCCGGGGGACCCTGATGGTTCACTTCCCTCTAGGGTTTGCTCCTGGCTCGCTGGGTTGTTATCCAAAGGAAGATCCTAGGAAGGAGAAAATTCCGCCTTGGCCTCTGAAGACTAATGAACCATATAGCTGAGGAGGGGGTTCTCGGGCCGGGCGTTGAGCTCGCTCTTCAGTGGGGCTTGCAGCATGCTTATAACCCCAGAGTCTCATGCTCTTCCTCATCCCCTCTACTCAGTGCCTCACTCCCCAGCCCTCCAGTCCGTAATTCCGGGGCCCACCTGCTGAGCCCCGTGGAGGCTTCACCCTGCAGGCCCAGAGCATGGTTTGCCGTCGCCTGAGTAAGCCCTGAACAGGCTCCTCCTCCTGGCCAGCAGCCCCGCCAGCATCCAGTGAGGCTGAAAGAACCCAGTCAGCCGAGGCCCCTCCAACTGCCCTCCCCTCCCACCGTGCGGCAGCATCCTCTGGGCAAACAGTGCCTTCTCGCCACACGAGCCCATCTGTCCTGGCTGCCAGGGCCGATTCATGTCAAGCTTGGGTGGATGAGCAGCACCCACAGGGCACGGGCCATGGCGGGCTCCCCAGCTCACCTTCGCACCACAACCTCGGTGTCGCCCAGAGAAGCTGCCCTGAGGCTCAGGAACCTGCCTGTCAGGCCAGGGTGGATGTACCATCCTGGATCTGCCAGGCCATGAGCTCACTGCCCCCAGCCACAGGGCCTGGCTCTGATCCAGGACTCGGCCTCCGCCCTCTCCCAGCGGTGCCCCAGCCCTGGCCCTGGGTGGGAGGCACCGTCTGTCATCAGAGCTCTACGCATCAGGATCATGGCCACCGGTGCTTTGTCCAGCCTCCTGGGGAGGTGGGGGGCAGGAAGCAACTCTCCTGGCACCCAGGTCCCCTTCCCACCCAATGAAACCAGGAAGTACATAGGAAAATACAGTCTTTATTGGTCTTCTGAAACAACAAACCAGAAATATAATTTTGCCTTTAAAAATCTTCTGTCTCAGGCTAAAGATACCACCATTGACAATGCCCTCCCCTCCCCCCAGTCCCTTTAGAAAATCCCCAGATCTGGTACCAGCCCACACGCCAAAAGAAGGAAGACTGTGGCCATGGCCAGGGCCGCCTGGGGTCCCAGTAAGCAGCCCATGCCAGGCGTCCTCTGTCCACCTGCCAGGACTGACCTCCTCAAAGGCACTCCTCCAGGCCCCCAGCCCACCTCACCCACCCACTGCCGCATGAGCAGGGAGGGTCGGAGTGGGGCACAGGAGCTAGGCCTGCCAACTCCCTCTGCTCAGACCCTTGGCTTCAGGGTTCTTGCTGGCCTCTTCCTGAGCCCCCATCGAGATTCCATCCCAGAGCCAGGGACGAGCCTGATGCCTCCTGAGCCTGTGAGCATGACACCTAGGTACCCACCATCTTCACACTCTGAGGAGGGGCAGAGCTAGGGAGGGGGACAGGTAACCTGGAAAACTTGCACTGCCTTGGCAGCAGGTGGCTCTGTCCCAGACAGGCTCCCCACCCACTCTCTGGTTTGGCCCCGGCTGGGTGCTCTAGGGAGCCACACTGAGCAGACAAAGCCCGGGAACAGAGGCCCCATCCTGGGAGCCTCTGGGCAGCACGTGGCCACCCGCTCCTGCTCCTGGGCTCTGTCTGCAATAAGCTGGCAGGCAATGAGCCTCAGGGGAGCCACCGTGTTCTCTGCCTGCCACCTGCTTTCCCCAGAGGGTGCCACCAATGGCAAAGCACCACCAAGTCCCAGCCCTGAAGTCACAGGCCAGGAGTACTGAAGATGGAGGGCGAGAGGCACAGAGTCACGGTGCCAGGCTGCAGGCTGTGGAGGAATCAGTGGGGGCCCCACAGGGCCTGGTGCTGTGAGATGCGTGGGCAGGACCGAGGCAACACCAGTGGTGTGTGGCTGGGTCCTCAGGAGGCCGCCATGCACACATGCAGCCGCTCCAGGCCCCTGGGTGGTATCCCGGGAAAGCCCAGCAGGAGAGGTGTGAGAGGGTTACCATGGTGACAGGAGGGCTCCTCCAGGGGCACCACTTTGGCCCACTTTAGAGGATCTCAAAGGATCCTGGTGTTACTGGTTGAGTTCCTTCCTGCTGTTGACTTGAGAAGATTGCAGTGAGCACGCGAGAGGCTCTGTGGTCTCAGGGAGACCCCTGGGGAAGAGCATGTCTCTGCTGTTCGAGCGCTCATAGCCTCGGTCTCCGTGTGACCGTGTGAGTGTGTGTGTGTGTGTGTGTGTATTAATTCTTTCAATCCATGTGACCGCACTGGTGATGCAATGGGTGTGTGAGTGAATTAGCGAATCCAGGAGCATGTGGTCAGTGTGGCCTATAGCAGATCCAGGGGCATGATGGCGTCGGCCAGGGGTGTATGGTGTTTCTGAGTGCTGGGTCCAGATGGCAGGGCTGGTGTGTTTGCACATTGGTACCAACAGTTGTAGAGCTGGACCAGCTTTCACACTGCAGGGGTGTTAAGAACGTCTTTCTGGCTTAGGAGAGAGTCTCAGAAATCTACCTTCATCCCTCAGATCCCTCCCTCCCCGTCCCCTCAATGCAGGTGAGGTGGGACCAGCAAGGTAGGAAGAGTCACCAGCTATGGCCACCCCAGGGCAGGAAGGGCGACAGGGGAATGCCCAGTCCGGAAGCCTCCTCTTGCACACACCTCCTTGCTTTGCTGTGGCCAGAGCTTAGGGAGATCCCCCACATGTTCCAAAGATTTACTGGCCCAGACAGGAGCATCAGCAGGAGCCCCCAGCACGGTGGCTTTCAGGGAGCCTCGAAAGTGCAGGGAGAGAACCCGGTGTGGCTTGTCTGCTGGAGGGCGGGGAGGAGGGTGGACTCGGGGAGGCAGTGGCCAGCGCCGGGTCAAGGTGGGAGCTGTGGCTGAGCAATGCCGTGTGCTCTCCCCGCCCTTCCTACCTGGCCGGGTGGGGATGGGCGCTCAGGCCACAGAAGAGATCTGCTTCTGGTCCTCGTGCTCGCCCTCGGGGTCCCCCATCAGGGGCTGGCGCTTTTTGAGCTCCCGGTGGTACTTGGCCATGAGGGAGGCGTAGATGCAGCCATAGGCAGCGGCCACCACCATCATGATGCAGACGACGCCGCACACGACCCCTGCAATGATCACCGTGCCCATGGCTCGCCTCACGCTCGCCGGCCGGTGCCTCTGCTTCTGTGGGCAGGCTGTGCTGGGCTCCGGCTCCGGCTCAGCCCCGGGCTTGGGCTTAGCAGGCTCTGGACTGGCCTTGGTGCAGGGTGGCCCAGGAATATCCAGCCCAGCTGAGCTATTCTCGTCCTCCAGCTGGGAGCAGTAGTTGAACATCTCCATGGGGACCATCCGCATGTCCTTCCCCCTCAGCTCCTTGGGCAGGGTGCAGGCAAGCTGGTCCAAGCGTCCCCCTACATGCAGAAGAGAAAAAGAGGGGCTGACCAGGCATCTAGAACTTGCACTCCCTCTCCCCATCCCCAGCTCCCCAAAACGGAAGCCCCAGAAGGTAGTTTTTATCAGCAATGTAGTCAATCCTGGAATCACCATCTATAGAAGAGGAAGCGGAGGAGGGAAAACAGCATTGATTGAGCCAAGTCCACAGTGAGTTACGTATATCGTGCCATTTCATCCTCGCAGAAGCCATGTGAAATGGATATTGTCTTTATTCCCATTTTATAGAGAAGCACGCAGCCACTTCCATCCGGCCTGTCCTCTCCCAGGCCAAACGGACCCACAGAGTAAGGCAGTGCTAACATGGGGAGGTTCCCAGGAAAGGGCTGTCATTAGAGAGCTGAGCGTCCCTGCCACACTCTCTGCCCCCGAATCTGCCTGCTCATCACCTGTCTGTGAGCCCAGGATACCGTTCTCAACACAGCATCTTATCCTTCTAGGGTTCTTACCTCTCACTCAAAGGACAGCAGTCAAAACCCACTGCCCCTGCCGCTGCCCCTCCACGCAAGACCTTTTGGTTGCCTAAGAATGGGCAGCTCCCTTCCTGGCGTAAAGAGGAAAAGAGTTGGGCAGGAATGTTCTCCTTCTCCTCCTTAGGAGCAATCCAATGGCCCCATCGGTGCCCCAACCACAGCCCTGTAAGTACAAAGGCATCTGGAGGGGGAATCCTGGAGGCACACGAGGCCAAGGAGAGGAGGCTGGTGTTGATGAGGAGGTGTGGGTACCTGGGCGCACGGGCTCGCCAGGATGTCTTCATGATGATGGTGGAGGCTGGCTTGGACAGAGGGAGACACAGATGCAGGACAGGGCTGGGGTGAGAGAGAAGGTGGTTGAGGACAATAATCTGTCTAGACCTCCCCTAGGAAGTGAAAGTTGGATTCTGGCCCTCTTTCAGCTTCCAGTGAAATCTGGATGCAGGCACTAGACCCCCTGCCGAAAAGATGCGGGCTGCAGCCACTCCGTCACTGGCAGCTCCCTCTGCAGCCCATCTGCCGCAAGTCTCCTCATACAATAGGCATCAATCTTTCCCTGGGATGCCGATGGAAATATTCCAGGATTTTGTTTTTAAGAAATGCAATGTTGAAAGCAACTCCGCTATTGAAAAAGTCTGAAAACTGCACATTCTCATGGCATGCATTTTTGTGCTGGGAATTCAGTTCCCGGCGACCACAGGAGAGGAGGGTCTGAAGACACCCGGCCTAGTTCCCCTGTGCGGCTGACACCTCGGTGGCCTGCAGCAAACCTCACATCCCAGGAACACGTATCAGTGCTGCCTGGGGATGCAAAGCTGGGTGCTGACAGGGATGCAGCCTCATTTCCCTGCTGGGAAGACCCACGGTTGAATCCTGGCTGTGTCATCTTGTGAAAATTATTTAATTTATTTAATTACTTATGAGTTTTAGTTTTCTTAGCTGTAAAATAAGAAGGTCTATCTCAATTAGCTGCTGTAAGGTTTAAAATCATGTACATGAAAAGACATTGGTAAACTGGAAACTATATAAGTAGTAATCATTATTTCCCCGCTCATGAAAATGGGGGAAATGATCATAGTGACTAACATTTTGTGGCACTTTATAGTTTGTAAAACATTTTTAATTAACTAACACAGGAGAATTTCATGGAAATAATTGAAATTGTGGCTGGAGATTAAATGAAAGTAGTAAGACTTTAACAAAAAGCATTGGCATTATTTTCACCACTTAAATGTTGATTCCTTAGCCCAGCAAACATTCATTGAGCATCTTCTTCGTGCCAAATGGTGTTTCAAGTCCACTTAGTATTTGATTATTACCAGGAAGTGAACGGATAAATGGACGTTTTATTGAGGACTCACTTTGTGCTGGGCACCTCTCAAGCCACGTTCCGTGCATTGCCACATTTAATTCTCATAATGACCCTACGAAATAGATATTGTTTCCTTCCCACTTTACAGACCAGGCCCTGCCACAGCGAAAGGGTAACCAGCTTTCTCAAGATCACACAGCTGGCAGGTGGCAGAGCCGAAATTCAGACGCAGACCTGGCCCTCCTCACCACCATCTTGCGCACCCTCCTCTCCCATGTCATGTGATCATGTCATAGGTCATTACAGCACTTTCCCATATTAAAGAAAATGGGAAGGGAAGAAAGTAAAGCCTAACCCATTTGACTTCTTCTTAAAGTTTGGATAATAAAACTTGGGAGAGGAAGTTGGCACTGTCACCAAAAGGAAGATTTGGTTTTACTGAGGATTCATTCTATTCCCCTCTCATGTAAGGGGAGATGTTTAAGAGATGGCTGTATTCTTCAGAAGAGCTGTTTTTCTCCCTCCTTCTACCACACTGGGGAAGCCCACAGGCAAACTTGGCGGGATACAAAGCCCAGGTGTCTTTACTGCCCTTATGTAACCTAAGAAAGGGAGATCCAGTTCAGTGAGTCCTAGGAGAAAGTGGGGAGCTGGCTGGGGGAGGGGATGCAGAGCAGGGAGGGGAGGGTGGGGGTGGAGGGAGCAGCACCAGCCTCTCTCCCATTGGCAGGAAGGGTGATGGCTCATGTGAGGGGAGGCTTGTGACTTTTCTAGCCGAGCTGGCACAGAGGCAGGGTCGCCCCCTTCTTTCCCCTGGCCTGCTCTCTGAGTCAGCACCCAGCCACCAGGAGGAAAGTGTGGGGCCAGAGGTGATCGTCCCAATCCCTCGGGCCCCAGCAGGGCCGGCTGCGCTCACCTCGGTAGGAGAACCACTCCATCCAGTGTTTGAACTCACGCAGGTTACAGTCACACTCCCAGGGGTTATCCCCGACCTGCAGCAGCTGCAGGTTTGCTAGGGGTTCAAATGTCAGCCGGTCCAGATTCTGCAGACGGTTGGAGCGAAGCGAGAGGGAGCGCAGAGCCAGGAGCCCGTCGAAAAGACCAGGGGGCAACTGGGCCAGGCCGTTGATGGACAGGTCCAGGTGGCGGAGCAGCGGCGAGTGCCGCAGCAGGTCCCTGTCCAGGGTCCTGATGCTGTTATTGCGCAGCTGAAGCTCAGTCAGATTCGTCAGGTCCCCGAAAATGGAGCGGGGCAGCCGGTCCAGGAAGTTGTTGGACAGGTCCAACCGCTGCAGGCTGGAGAGGTTGGCGAAAGCCCAGCTTGGCAGGGCACTCAGCTTATTGTTCAAGAGCAAGAGGGTTCGGGTGGCTGCGGGCACGTCTGGGGGCACCGTGGTGAGGCCAAGGCCACTGCAGTCCACCTCCAGGCTGCGGCTGTCACACTTGCAGGAGAAAGGGCAGGTGGGGAGGGCCTCCACAGCATACAGGGCGATCCAGCAGGTGATCCCTTGGTGGGAGGGACAGACGGGGGAAAGAAAGCAATAGGACGGGTCACCACCTCCTGCTTCTCTTCCCTCCTTTCTAGCTCATAACAGGCTCTTGGCTTTATCTCCTTTGGCACAAGCCACAATCAATGCATAAACGTTTATTAACCACATAAAAGCATAATTAACAAATCCAAAGCCACTTCCATATTAATGGACATCACACAGTGTCTGCAGGGCGCCCTGCCTTGCCACACATCTGGCAGAGGAATCACTTGAGTGGAGAATGACCCTGCAGACTCAGCCAGAGCCCAGAGACAAGCCATGCTGGTGCAGTGATAGGAAGCTCACAGGGCCTCCCACAGTCATCTCCCGGGGAGTTTGGGTCCCACTGACACCATGGATGTTGACACAAGAAAGGAGATAAGGTTGTCAGAGAAACCTGCTCCCATGCCCTCTCCCAGTGTCACTGCTGGGACAGAGTTTGTTTCCCAGGGAAAATGGCCAGGCTGCTGGCTCCCTCCCCTCTGTGGCCCACCCCAACTCTGGAGCTGTGTATGGAAAGGCGAGAGCACAAAACAGCACTCCTAGCCCTGTCCTTCACGGCGTCCCAAGTGCTGTTATGTTTCCATCAATCCCACACCCATGATGACGCCAGCAGTTTGGCATGAGGATTTAGAGCCCAGGCTGTGCACCTAGGGTCCCACTGTGGGAGTGACAGGCTAAGATGTACAAACCCACTTCAACATTGACAAGTCATGGGGCCCAGGACACATTCCACTTTAACCCCCACCCTAAAGCCATCTAGGCTCTCAGCCTGGGCTTCTGTTCCTAGGGGCTACAGGGCAGCATTCCTGCACAATGGCCCGATGAATAGAATTCGTTTCCTGGTCCCATCTTTTGCCCAAGACCCTTCTGCGTAGCGAGCATGGGGTCCTGTCTGTAGGGCTGGGAGAAGTAACCCTCAGGGAACAATCACATCAGAGCAGTGCCTTCCATTATGCAGCAGCCCTTTCCAATAGTGGCCTCAAAAACCCCTAAGTGTCCTCCTGAGTAGCAGAGAAGCCTGCTCATCGTGAAAGAGAACTGGGAAGAATTCAAAATAGTTCAGCCCCACCAGGTCAGCCCAGCCGAGGTCAGTTCCACCCAGCCTAGAGAAAAGACCCCAGCCAGAGAACTGATGGAGAAGTTCAGACCCAGCTCACAGCCCATCGGCCCACCCTGACATGGGACCTGGGACCTGGCTGTCCCAGGTCGGGGTGGGCCGATGGGCTGTGAGCTGGGTCTGAACAGCCTTGAGTCTTGTCCAGTAGGGGTCTGGGTGTCTGCTGTCCCAAAGGGTGGAGCTTGAAGGAACAGGATGAGACTCTCCCCTTCCCTGCCTGGAGGATCGATGACAGCTGAGAGCTGACACGTGGCTAGATCTGGCCCAGGCCTCCCTGCAGCCTAACAGCAAGCCTCACTGTTCTTGGCGAGAAGTGAGCACAGGTACAGCCATGGAAGCCACCGGAGACCCTTTTTCTGGCCATCTTGGGTTACCTCATGTCTCCGCTCACCCTCTCACCCCTCTGAGCCCGTCTGCTACCAGATCAGCCAGCCCCATACCACCACCCCAAGCCATTTGAAAATCAGCATTCTTCAGACTTGACTTTCCCCAGGAAATAAAATCCAACGCATTCAGCTCCCTCTCAAAAGGATCTGCATCACCAGAAGCCGCTCGCCCCTCCCAGAGAAGGGCCTGACAGCAGGCTAAGAGAGCCGCTGCGGAAGAGCGACTCCCTGCGCCCCCCACCTCCCTGGAGATCAAGGTGGCATAAAAGCTCCAGTGACAAGAAAACATAAGCCCGTATTGCGAGGTGTTGAGTGATTCTAGAATGAGGCTGAAAGGAGATCTGAGTCACTCAGGGGCCAGCCTCTCTCACATGGTGAATAATTCAGGCTGCCCGTGTTGGGTGCTGGATCAGAGCGGGAAGTCAGGCGGAATGCCGTCCCGCGGGACCGTTTCCTCCCTGCCACCGTGTAGCCTTGGGCAGACCAGCCCTTGCTGACCTGGTCCCTTTGCCACATATAAAGAGAATTCTCAGGGCTCCTTTCACCCTGACAGCTGCCAAGTGTTGCCTTCATTCACGCTTCCTCCCCTTTTTGGTAAATGGACGGCTCAGTCTGCCTATATGCAGGAGGGGTTGGACCCACTCCCCAAAGTCTCTTCCAGCGCCGCATCCCACGAGCCCACTAGGTCCTCTACCGAGAGTTGGGAAAGCGGAGGCATAAGGAGCATAAGAGACATCTCCAAGCTGACCCAGCTCCTGGCCGAGGCCAGCCAAGGGGGCAGTTCCCCACGGGAGCAAAAGGGCTCGCCGCAGTCTGTGACACAGGCCGACAAGCTCAGGCACCAGTGAGGCTGTTTAAGACTCAGCAGGCCTGCATTCCAGCAGAGCTCTTCTCCTGTTGGGGACCCCAGCAAGCTCACAGAGACTTACCTGGGGGAGGTAGAACAACTGTCGTGGCCTCCAGCTCCAGGTCTAACCACTCAGCACTCAGCGGTGACTCTGACTGGCAGGGATGCTGTCACCGTGGGCGTGACCCTGGCTTCCCAGAACATAGCCTCGGGTACCCCAGGAAGATCTGGCGTAGGCCTCCCTGCAGCCTGAGTGTGGCTAAGGTCCCATATGGCGCTACCTACAGTCACCTCGGCACCCCCACCCAACCCGCACCCCCCTCCGAGGCCAGGGGTGTACTCACAGGAGACTTGCCTCCACTGCAGGGCGAGCCTGCCCCTCTGCCCAGGGCTGCTGCCCGGCGCCAGCATGGTGAGGCCCACGGCTCTCCGGGCCCTGTCGCTCTGGGGAGAGAGGAGCCCCTGGGTGCGCCGCCTGTCAGTCCTGAGGGAGGGAGGAGCACTGAGCACAGGCAGGCGCGGGAGCCCCGTTCCAGCCCAGGGGTTAGGGAGAGGGCCCGGGTGTCTCTTTACACTCCTCATGCCCTCTCCTGTTCCTCTCAGTTATGATTCCCTGGGTGGGGGAAGAAGAGGAGCCAGGAAGCCTTCAAGCCCCTGGGATGGGGGCGGGGCAGGCTTCGGCTTTCCAGGAGCCCGAGGGTCGGGCACAGTGCCGCAAAGCTGGGGGTGCACCCATGGGCCTACCCAGCCTCATCTGCCTTCTTGTTGCCTCCCGAGTATGTTGATCACTCAGATGTTTTCATGGCAACCTGGTCTCCCATCTGGGCATTCCTTGAGTTATGGGTGGAGAAACTGAGGTCATCTCTCCGAGGTGAGCAGAGTGAGGTCACAGGCCACAACTGTCACCTGTCCCTGGAGGCTCCCCTCACCTGGGTCCCGGTTCCTCTAGCCCCGCCACAGCTCACCATGGCCCGAGGGAGGCAGGGGCCAGGCCCTTGGCAGCTGCAGCCGCGTAGGGTGTGAGCCGCTGGATGGCCTGCTGCTTCCCCCTGCACCACCGACGCCCACGCAGAGGTGAATAGCAGCACTCTGTCTTCCGCCAGCCGGGCTATAATAAGACTCATCAGCTCAGGGGTTCATGCTGCGGCAGCTGCTAGGAAGAGACAGGGACACAAGGAGAGGTGAGAACGCAGAGTAGGGGCGCTGAGGCAGCCAGGGCGCAGGAGCAGGCTTCCTTCGCGGGGGACAAGGGGGCACTTACCCTTTCTAGGGTCTGCCCCCCCCAGTGTCTCCCAACTGGGACACAGGCTGTGTGCTGGGGTCTCCACTTCCTTCCAGATGGGAGGCCCAGGCTGCCAGCCCATCAGAGAGGGGGACAGGGGACTGGCATGTGTTTACCTGCTGCAGCTGGCAAGGGCGGGGATGGGCAGGGAGGGAGGGAGGATGCCCGCACCCCTCTCCTTCGCCCTCCACGGGCTCCCTGCGTCAGCCCACTGCTCCAGGCGGCTCCCAGCCTCTGACCTTCCTTGGTTGCCAGATTTGTCCCTGGGTAATTCCTGGTTGCAGCCTCCCTCTCCCTGCCCCCATGGGCCTATGGAATTCTGGGAGCCCAGGAGACAATATCAGAGTGAAAAAGACAGGCCCAGAGGTGGATGGAGCTGCCGAGAAGCTTCAGTGCTGAGCCCAGAATCTTGGCCTGTCTGTGCAGGTTTCCCCTCGGGCATTAGGGTCCTGCTGCAAACCCTGTTGCCCCCATCTTCTCCCCTCTGGTCCCCTCGGCCCCTCCCTCCTTGGGTGCTCCTCAGGCGGCCACAGCAGTGCTCAGTTAGAACAGGACAGTCGGCTCTGCCCCCGGCAAGGGCAGCCTGCTGAGGAGCGGAGTGCCGCCCTCTCGGCTGTCTTTCCTCCCCTTCCCCCACGCAGCGAGGGTGCCAGTCTGCCGAAGGCCCCGCAGGCGTTGGCAGAGGGGTCACAAGACTGGGCACAGATGTGGGATTGCAGGCAGCCCAGGTGCCCATGCAGCCTTCAGGAGGACCCACGTCCCTGGCATGAGGGGTGGAGGAGCCCCTGAGCGTGGTGCTGTCATGGTTCTCTAACCACTGTCTCAAGGCCAGGCTCCAGTGGGCTCCTGGTGCCAGTTGGCGGGGGGGGGGGGGGGGCTCTGGGTTCAAATCTCTGGTCCGTTCTTTAAACAAACTGCTTAAAGCCTCTGGGCCTCAGCTTCTTTCTGTCTAGAAATGGTGACCGCAATACCTGCTTGGTGGAGTTTCTATGAGGATCAATCTAGTGAAGGGAAGAGAGTTGACACACCCAGTGCCCATCACCATGGAAATTCAGGCAGAGGCTCCTGCTCCTAGCTCGGACTTGAGCCCAGTACAGGCGTGAGGGAGCAGCAGTTCCTCCCTCCAGAGGAGAGGGGTGTCAGCAGCAGGTCTATTGTGACGGCTTTCTTTCCCGATCCCACCAACCTCCCCTGTGAGGTTGTTTCTCATTCCTGAGCACCCCGGGCCTGTGGAGTCTATGTATTTCTGCCCCACACCTACGGCCCTCGCAGGCCTGCCTTCAAACAGCAGCGTGCACGCTCTCTGTCCCTCGAGCCCTGACCTTCAGCACAATCTCTCTTACTCAGTCAAGAATGTCCATATCAAGAGCTCACAGTCCACGGCCACCCAAGGCAGAGATGTTGATCACTTGTCCAAGGTCACATGGTAAGTCCGGGACTGGATTGCAGGTTTCAGAGCCAGGCTGCAGGCTGCTCATCACTCCCTGGCGACTGTCACCCAGCAGTGGCCCTTTCAGGGAGATACTTACGTGTGCACAGAGCAGGGCACACACACAGGCCTCCCAGACCTGTGCTTGGAGCTCTGTACACAGCACGTGATGCAAACACACACCCACAGAGAGCTGTGCAGCTAGGTATGTGCTAACATACATGTGCCCACATGCTTGCACACATGCACACACGCACCTGGCTGGCAGCACTCCAGCACTTCTCAAATGCCAACACTCAGGCAGCTGAGTGAGATGCCTCTAAGTTCCCAAATGCCCCCAACAGACAGATGTGTAAGCCGCCTCCAGCCTGGAACTAAGGTCTAGAGAGAACCCCTGCAGAGCAGTCCCTAACCCATAAGACACCTCCTCTGCCCAGGGCCCATGTTGAGGCCGGATTCCCCATCCAGGTGTCTGCTCCCACTCCTTCTGGCTTGCCGCAGGCAGATAGGTAGTGGAGAAGCCCTCCCACCCAAGCTCAGGCCAGTTTCCACCTAAGGCTTCTGCCTCCCCTGGATAGGCTCCTCTTTTGCATCCCACCTCACCCTCTCCCATCCCTCAGTGTCTCCCACACTGTGAGCCCAGGAGTTAACCAGCAAACAGGCTGGTGAAGGCGGCCTCTTGTGCAGGTCTGGAGGTCCCATCTTCAGCCTCGAATGGGATGTCACCTGCACAAGTCCGGCAAGTCCCCACAATGCAGACCCACAGGTGTTGTCTTGCAAGGTGGCAGGACACTGTTGATCCTGGTATTGTTTAGAGAAATGTGATGAAAACAAGGCCCCCAGGTTCATGCGGATATGCCCTGTGCTCTCTTAGCAGCTAATCCTGCCTCCCTGGGTCCCTTGGGCTTCCTCCTGGACACCAGGGCCTTCCCAAGAGCAGGAAAAATAGCGCAGCTTGCAGGGAACACCAGTCATATGTGTGTGGCACCACAGAGGGACTCCTAGAGAGAGGTGGGGCTGCAGCCAGCACTCCCTAGTTCCTTAGCCTCTGCCTACCAACACGCCTCCATCCAAAGGACCCTTCCCACCCCCAGAAGAGTGGAGCCTCCTTAAGGAAAGGGGGTGACCTACATTGGGAAGCTTGGAGAGCAGCTGCCGCAGCAGGCACTGACAGCTGCTGAAATGAATTCACAGTCTGGGAGGGAAGTCCCTACCCAGGGTGCAGCATGGGGGACAGCGAGATCTCCTGTCTGCAAGTCCCATGGCCTCATCCACTCTGGATGCTGGGCCTGCTCCTAACCCAGTCCTAGAGACAGGGAGGCCAAAGATAAGGGGCCAGGCCTCCACGGAGTCCCTGGCCTCCCTTCCAGAGAGAGCCAGGATTGGAGAATGGGGCTGAAGAGCTCAAAGCAGTCAAATGAGGAACTCTGGAGGGCCAGAAACATGGGGCTTTGAGTGTAGACCATTGCAACTCAAAGTGTGGTCCATGGACCAGCGGCATTGGTCTAGCTTGGGAGCCTTGTAGGAAGGTAGTCTCAGGGCCCATCCAGAATGACTGAGTCAGAATCCGCATTTTAACAAGATCCCCAGGGGATTTTCATGCATATTTGAGTTTGATACGACTAGGCCGGGCACCTCTCAGCAGGGCAAACGGCCACCGAGGAGACCATGCTGGCCTGTCCCTGAGCCTCCAGGACCCACTGAGAAGCTAACTGGGACCTGGGGAGAAAAAAATTACCACAGTCACAAACCTGTGTAGTTTTCTGAATCCTTGTAACAACTCTCTGAGGTTAGTGTTCTTGTTACTATCATTTTGCAGATGGGGGAAACTGAGGCACCAGAAATGAAATAACTCACCTAAAGTTAGGCAAATGGAATCATATGGCTCTGAGCCCGAGCTCTCTGGCTCCTAACTCAGTTGTCTGTCTGCTTACACGTGGGGGTTACTTGTACAGGAAAGGCAGAGGTAGGAAAGGAAGATGCCGCCTTTCCTCTGAATGGTCCTCTGCAGTGTCCACGGCATTGCCTGATCCACTCCCGCTGGAGCTGAGAAGGCAGCTGTTTTTGTCCCCATTGCCCTGATGAAGGAACAGGCTTTGTGACTTGCTGGACTGAGATGCAAGCAAGACAGGTTCTCCTCTTCCCAGCCTCTCTTCTTGAAGTCCTGGGAGGCCAAGATCTTACGGAAGGTGGGGGGCTTTCTAGAAACCTTTCTGGCTGGGGGTTGTGTGCTGAGGTGAGGGGAGTAGGCCGGAGCTCTGTTCTGGGGGAGCCAAGGCTGGGGAGGCCATGGGGGAGCAGGAGGCCCCAGTAGGAGCAGGGGGTTCCACATGCGGAGCTGAGTGGGCTGTAGCCACCCCAGGAGACTGGGAGTGGGAGCTGCCTCCCTGCTAGCACCCCACTCGGCCCCCTCAGAGCACGGAACAGCCGCACGCACTCACTCACTGCAGAGAGCTAGGTTGGGACGGCAGGAGCCTGGACCGCTCCATGCACCTGCCCCTTCCATTTCTCCTCAGATGGAGGTTAATTAATCAGTCTCAGACTCTAGCTAGAAACCTCCAGCACACTCACCACAGACCTGGTGTCCGCACCCTTCCTCTCAGGCTTCTGCGCATGTCTATCCCTCCACATCAAGCATCCAAGACACACAGCCAGATAATGCCCATCGGGCCTCCACCTCTGAATTCCTGACTCCTGGGCCATCACACTAGCCCTAGGGTGTGCCCACTCCCCTGGCATCTCCCCTTGGTCAAGAGTCCATACCCCTCAGCATGGAAGAGTCACAGAACTCAGGGGTAAAGGGGGCATTTGCAGCCTACTCTGCCGCCCCCTTCACTCTGCAGAAGGCCAGAGAGAAGCAGAGCCACGACTGGGCCCACACCCTGGGCCTGCAGGGGCCGTGCCCTTCCACCAACCCCAGGAAGGCTGAGAGGGAGCCCGGAGAGTGGCCAGCCAGAGCCCCGGGCCAAAGACGGCCCGAGATTCCATGTGGCCAGGACGCAGGGGAGGCTGCCACAGCCGTCTAGGCTGGGCTCCGCCTACCGCTGCCTGTCTGGGCACCCAGGCCCTCTAGGACAGCTGCCCATCACCCCCATCACACACACTGCCCAGGCAGCAAGGAACCAGGTTTTAAAAATCTCTATATTTGTACTTGGAACAGCCATATACCCTCCTGGTTCATTTTAAAACACATGCCCCATCCTCACCCCCAGCCTCCTGCACCCCCGTTTCCTTGTCAAATATTCTCAATCTCAAACAGACCCTCTGGGAAGCAGAACAGAGAAGCCTCCTGAGTGGCCCCTCATGGGAGCTGGTCCCTGACATGAAGGAGGCTAAGGTGTCCACTGGGCCCTGGGGCCGGGCTCAGGGTGGTGTCCCTGGGGCTGGGCTCAGGGTGGTATTCCCAGGCAGGGCACAGGAGGCTTGGCTGGGGGAAAAAGGAGGAAGACCAGAGGGGCAGACAGCCTCTATGCTGGCTCCTTTCTCCTCTGCCCACCCCCAGAACTCCCAGACACCCCCAACCATCACATACATGCCATCCCCTCCTCCTTCCTACACTGCCCACTGAGGCCATAGCAGCCCAGAGGCGGCCCCTGGGCTCTGGTGCCTGGGAAACGGGAGCAGAGTTTGCTCCTCGTGGGCCCAGACAAGCTTCTGTCAAACCCCAAAGACACCAGATCGGCTGCTTAAGCAGCCTCTCTCCTTACCCCTCCCCGCGGGCCTGGCTTTCCTGGTCTCCCTCTTTTGGCAGTGCTGAGACTTTCTTTCTGCCGGTGGGGAGGTGGGGGTGGGAAAAGCTGGGCTCTTCTTGGCAGCTCGGAAGCTGCTGTCGGGTTTCCCTACCAGCTGGACTTCCCCCGCCTCAGCTCCACGTGCTCGGCTCCCTCCCCGCCCCCACCTGAGGCAGTTATCTAAGCTGCAGGGGTGTCATCTGAGTCACAAAGAGACACTGCCCAAGTAGCCCTGACAGCCGGGTGCCAACACCCCCCAGAAATGTGGACAGCTTGGGGGTGGGGGAGAGACAGGGCCGCCAACTGGAACCCAGCCCCAGACCTGCAGGGAGGTGCAGGAATGTGAACTTCCGACTCCTGGTCAGGCTGCTCCTCTCTCCAGCACTGTCCAAATGGGTCTGGGGGATTGAGAGCAACTGTCCCGCTCTACTCAGGGTGTCCATGCCCCCTGTGTGGGTCAAGAAGCCAGGCAGGCCTGGCCCCGCTGTGTACCCCCCACCCAAGCTCAGTGTCCAGCCCCCACTAAGGCTCCCTGACCCATTTGCAGATGGACGGCTGGGTGCACAGCTGCGGGACACCCCAGCAGGTTCTCGCGGGCCTGGTTCTCCTGTCTTGCCCTTGGGCTAGCAGGGAAGGGCTGCGATACTTCTCTCTCCTGCCCACTCCCAGCCTCACCCTCACCAGGGAGGCTTCATGCACAGCTGAGTGGGCCCATGCTCATCTGGGGGAGGGTTCCTCCACACCCTTGTCCAAGGACAGCCACCTGCAGGCAAGCTATAGGGAGGCCCAGGACCTGGGTCTGTGCCCATGCCTCTGACATCCAGGACCTCCTCCCTGCCACCCTCCACCCCAAGCCTTCCTCTGACCTGGCCCTGTCCCCAGCACCTGACTGCCATCCCAACCGCTTCCCATGACCCCCGAGTTTCTTGGGGCTGTCTGTGCAGAGCCGGGCACAACGACAGCACAAGGCTCTTGGCTGCTTCTCCCATGCTGCAGGGACCGGTTTCTATGCCACCCGGGACTGTCATCTGGCGCCAGCGCTGCCCTCCTCCCCACTTCCCAGCAGAATCCACAGCTCTTGTCCCCAGCACTGTGGGCTCAGAGTTCCCAGTGTCGTGCACCTTTGGGATGCTCAGGTGCCTGAGCCCGAGCAGCTTCTTCGGCCCCAGCAATTGCCTGCAGGTAGGAAGCAACTGCAGCTATTCCTGCAGGGCAGAGATGGCCGGTGCCCACTTCCCATGCCCCGACCACCCCCTGTCCCCACCAACCCTCCATTCCTTCCTACCAGCCACTCGGTACTCACCCGTCTTTACTCTGACTGCAAACGCCTTCAATCAGGTGGCTCTCAACCCTCCAGTAAGACCCTCCTGGGATTCCTATAGAAATCCAGACACCACCGGCAGGCAGAGCGCAGTGGGCACTGGTGCCAGAGTCTCCACTCAGCGGGAGCAGCGGCTGGCACGCAGCACACAGCACCAGGAGGTGGACTGCTTGTGGCAGACGGGGGACGGGGCTGCTGGGTCAGTCACAAACTGAGAAGGAAAGAGAGGGATGGAGGGAGAGAGAGAGAGGAGAGAGGGAAGAAAGGGGCGAGGGAGGAGAGCGCACGCGTGTGCGCGAGCAGCGAGCCAGAGTGGAGCGGGGAGTGACAGCTGGGGTGCATCTGTGATGACAGCGGCAGCAGCACACACAGGCGCACACCAGAGGCACCACGGCCGGCCGCGAGGGCAGCGCTCACCCTGGCCACGCTCACATTTCAGTGGAAAAAGGCGCCTGTGGATGAATCGCTGCCGACCACAGGGAGGAGGAAAGCGGTTTCACCACCACCTCCATCTTCCATCCTGCGCCTCCAGGCTCTCCCTCACCCCCCCGGCTGCACCTGTCTTCTGTGCCTCTCTCCTCTCTTCCCCTCCATCTGGGGAAAGAGGGACAGGCGCAGACACAGAGCAAGCGGCTGACTTCTGTTCCGATGGAGGCCCCCCTGGGAAGCTGGTCTTTCTCCTGTTTTAGAGACATGCGAGGCAGAGTCTCCCATCCTGCCTGAGAGAAGGAAAAACCGAACCCTTCTCTCGGTCATACGAAAGAAGGGTACACAGGCATGTCCATGTGCCAGATGACCCTACAGGAAAGGGCCCTGAGCCCCCACAAAGCCAGGGATCACATGGTCATGCAGAGGTCACTGAGCCTCAGGGTCTGACCACCCGACGCCAGGACTACTTAGGGAAGCAGAATGCCAGAGTTGGCAGGCTGGGAGTTTGGGCACAGGGCAGCCTGCAGCAGCAGCCTGCAGACCGTTCTCAGTGCCAGGGACGAGCTTGGCTTCTCAGGGCTCCTTGCTCTTATCTGTGATGGGTCAGGCATGCGAAGGGAAGAGACTGTCATTCAAGAACTTGGAGGCCTCTTTCTTAACCAATCAGGACAAAGCAAGTCAGAAAAATTGATATCCTAAGAGATGGGAAGTGGCTGATCTGAAGGCCAAGTGAGTCAGGGACCAAGCTAGAGGGGAGCCAGGGCCCCACCAGCCTGGAGCACGAACCCTAAATCCCCCTTCCTTTGCGTCCACTGCCTGTAGACAGATGAAGCACCGTGCTAGCGATATATCACCGTGTCCTATGTCCCTCTTCCATTTTGCCTGCTTTGCTGGAGGGGTTCACAGCCAGGACTGGGGTGGGTGTAGAAGAACCCCCTGGACTCAGGATGCCCCTAGAAGGATGCTCCTGCTCACTCCCTTCTGTCCGTTCTGCCGGGTCCCCGGGCAGCACAAGGCTTGAGCTGCAGTGTCTTTTACCTCTGGGGAGTCCCGCCTCTGACCTCTCATGCTGGTGCCTCCCACACATCCCACTGTCAAGCAAAAGAGGCTCCCACCTCCCCATAAACATACTTCCTGCTTCTCCATCTCCATGAAAGCGTGTTCTTCCCTGGGCCTGAAATGCTCTCCTGCCCATGGGTGGCTTCCCCCTTCCTTAAACGCCCCCTGCAAGGTGACGTTTCCCCGGAACACCACAGGACTGGCCCTGCTCCTCCTCCGATCTCTGGCATTCTCTTTGGGCCACCCTCATGTTGTGCAGGAGCTTTCTGTGGTCTGCTTCATCTCCTTTCCTTTTTTTTTTTTTTTTAATTTTTTTAGTATTTATTGATCATTCTTGGGTGTTTCTCGGAGAGGGGGATTTGGCAGGGTCATAGGACAATAGTGGAGGGAAGGTCAGCAGATAAACATGTGAACAAAGGTCTCTGGTTTTCCTAGGCAGAGGGCCCTGCCGCCTTCCGCAGTGTTTGTGTCCCTGGGTACTTGAGATTAGGGAGTGGTGATGACTCTTTTTTTTTTTTTTTAATTTATTTATTTATTTTTTATTGATCATTCTTGGGTGTTTCTCGCAGAGGGGGATTTGGCAGGGTCATAGGACAATAGTGGAGGGAAGGTCAGCAGATAAACAAGTGAACAAAGGTCTCTGGTTTTCCTAGGCAGAGGACCCTGCGGCCTTCCGCAGTGTTTGTGTCCCTGGGTACTTGAGATTAGGGAGTGGTGATGACTTTTAACGAGCATGCTGCCTTCAAGCATCTGTTTAACAAAGCACATCTTGCACCGCCCTTAATCCATTTAACCCTGAGTGGACACAGCACATGTTTCAGTGAGCACAGGGTTGGGAGTAAGGTCACAGATCAACAGGATCCCAAGACAGAGGAATTTTTCTTAGTGCAGAACAAAATGAAAAGTCTCCCATGTCTACTTCTTTCTACACAGACACGGCAACCATCCGATTTCTCAATCTTTTCCCCACCTTTCCCGCCTTTCTATTCCACAAAGCCACCATTGTCATCCTGGCCCGTTCTCAATGAGCTGTTGGGCACACCTCCCAGACTGGGTGGTGGCCGGGCAGAGGGGCTCCTCACTTCCCAGTAGGGGCGGCCGGGCGGAGACGCTCCTCACTTCTCAGACGGGGCGGCTGCCGGGCGGAGGGGCTCCTCACTTCCCAGACGGGGTCGCGGCCGGGAAGAGACGCTCCTCACATCCCAGACGGGGCGGTGGGGCAGAGGCGCTCCCCACATCTCAGACGATGGGCGGCCGGGCAGAGACGCTCCTCACTTCCTAGATGGGATGGCGGCCGGGCAGAGGCGCTCCTCACTTCCCAGACTGGGCAGCCAGACAGAGAGGCTCCTCACATCCCAGACGATGGGCGGCCAGGCGGAGACGCTCCTCACTTCCCAGACGGGGTGGTGGCCGGGCAGAGGCTGCAATCTCGGCACTTTGGGAGGCCAAGGCAGGCGGCTGGGAGGTGGAGGTTGTAGCGAGCCGAGATCACGCCACTGCACTCCAGCCTGGGCACCATTGAGCACTGAGTGAACCAGACTCCGTCTGCAATCCCGGCACCTCGGGAGGCCGAGGCTGGCGGATCACTCGCGGTTAGGAGCTGGAGACCAGCCCGGCCAACACAGCGAAACCCCGTCTCCACCAAAAAAATATGAAAACCAGTCAGGCGTGGCGGCGCACGCCTGCAATCGCAGGCACTTGGCAGGCTGAGGCAGGAGAATCAGGCAGGGAGGTTGCAGTGAGCCGAGATGGCAGCAGTACAGTCCAGCTTCGGCTCGGCATCAGAGGGAGACCGGGGAAAGAGAGGGAGAGGGAGACCGTGGGGAGAGGGGAGAGGGGAGAGGGAGTCATCTCCTTTCCTACACAGAGCTGTTCAAGCAGGGGGACTGGCCTCACCTGTTCCGTGTCCTTCAGGCCCCAGTGCCTTCGTGTCAACTGAGTGAGGAATGGAGGACATGAAAGAGCTCAAGACTGGGCATCAGGGGACCCAGACTCCAGACTCTGTTGCTCAGTGACTAGCTAGCTAGTGAGTTCACTCAGCAGCCCTGGGCCTTGTGCTGGCTGGGATTCCTGCCCTGCAGAATGAGGAGATGGGTTGAGATCTCTGGTCTCCCTTCTGGCACTGGCCTTCTGTGACCTAAGTATTCGCTGTGCACCTGTCGGGTCCTCAGCTTGTGTTACAAAAGATGATCCCTCTCATGCCCCACAGTCCCTATCCCGTGCAACACGCAGTCTCCTGGTTAGGTTCTCAAGACAGAGGAGGAGGAAAGAGAAGCAGATAAAGGGCTAGGAGGGCAAAGCTGGAGCTTCTGACTCCTGGGACCACAGCACTCAACAGTGTGCAAACTCATATGTTCATGTGCATGCTATGTATGTGCATGTGTGTGTACGTATGTGTGCATGTGCATGGTGCACGTGTATATGCATGTGTGTGCAAGTGTGTGCGTATGCCTGTGTGTCCATGTGTGCGTGCATGGGTATGTGTGTGCAAGTGTGTGTGCATGCATGTGTGTCCGTGTGTGCATATATGTGTGTGTCCATGTGTGTGCATGTATGTGTGTGTGCATGCACAGTTGTTTGGTTTTGCCTTCTGTGATGACACAGCAGCACCGAGGTGACAGTCTGTGTGCACAGCAAAGACGTACATCTTGATAAGCCGCCTGCGGGTCTGGCCTTATTGAGGCTCTTTGTTAGGTTGTCTGCCAGCGGAGCTGAGCTGCGATCTTACAGGAAAGCTGCTTGGGAGGAAGGCACGAGATCAATGTGGAGAGGCAGGGCAGAGAGGGAAGGCAAGGGACAGCCCAGAGAGGGAGGACAGGAGGGAGGGAAGGGACCCAGGTCAGCTGGGGCAGGAGGCCCGCTGGGGCAGGAAGGGGTCTGAGATTTGTCCTCCTCTTTCAGGTCATGACAGGCCCTCCTGGGGACGAAGGTCAGGGTCTAAAACAGGGGCCCACCATGCACAGGCATGAGGGAAGCTTTCCTGATAACTCCCAGGAAAGCAACAGGAAAAGCCGAGTGCTTTGCATTCCCTCGGGCCCTTTGCCTGAATTTCTCTTCACCGAAAGGTGTGAGCTTGTCTGCAAACATAATATCATAAGGTGTTGTCTCCTGCACACAGCTGGCTAGCAGGAGATGATGGGAGGAAGGGCAGTCCTCCCCGCAAGTAACCACTCACCTGAACGAGCAGAGCAGGGATCCTGGGGGAGAAGACTCGGTTCCCTGGGTGTCTGGAGTGGAAAAGCACAACTTGGGTTGTGGGACTGCAGTTGACAGAAGGATTCAATATGATGCAAGCCAGGGGATGCAAGCGGTTGGGCACGGCAGAACACCGTTGACTCACTGGTAAATATATTTCCGTGCCTCACCGCCTTTACTCCCAATACTGTGTCTTGTCTTCAACATCTTATAGTTCTTGCCATAAGGAAGTTCTTCTTCATGTCTCACTTAAATCCCCATTTCTTAGTGGATTGCCTCCGAAGTCTTCAAGGGACCCAGAGCACAGCTAAACCTCCAGGATCTCAAGTTCAGGGACAGTGAGAGGGCACAGCAAAATGGAGAGGAAGGAGGTCAGCAAGGCCCCTGAAGCTGGGAGGGAAGGGACAGTGAGACCTGGTAGAATTCGGCTTCCCCGTCAAGTGGCTGGCTCAAATTGAATTTGCTTACGTAGCTCAAGAAAAATTTATGGAGTCACACTGTGATAGGTACGATTCTAGGTGCTGGGGATCAAAACTCAATCCCCTGCCTGCTATTAGCCCCAGACAGACAATAAATGAGAAATCAAATAGATGAACAAATCATGTCACTTAGAAAATTTAAAAAGTAATAAGGTAGAGAGTGAAAGTGAGGGAGGTCCCCCTGGCTGGCTTTATCTCGGGAGGCCAGGGACAGCCACTCTAGGAGATGATATTGGGCTGAGACCTGACGATGGGAAGGAGCCAGCCATGTAAAGTTCTAGGGGAAGGGCATTCCAGGAGGAGAGAACAGCTGGTACAAATGCCCTGGGGTGAGAATGAGCTTAACATGTTTGAGAGGTGAAGTGTTTCTGGATGAAATCAGAGAAATCAGCAGAGCCAGTTCCTGTGGCCATCTTGCAAGTTTAGATTTTAAGATCAATGGGGACCAGGCATAATGACTCACGCCTGTAGTCCCAGCACTTTGGGAGGCTGAGGCAGGTGGATCACTTGAGGTCAAGAGTTTGAGACCAGCCTGGCCAGCATGGCGAAACCCCATCTCTACTAGAAATACAAAAATTAGCCATGCATGGTATCACACGCGCCTGTAATCCTAGCTACTAGGGAGGCCGAGGCAGGAGAATCACTTGAATCTGGGAGGTGGAGGTTGCAATGAGCTGAGATTGTGCCACTGCACTCCAGCCTGGGTGACAGAGTGAGACTCTGTCTCAAAAACACAAAACAAACAAAAAAGAGCAATGGGACGACATTAGAGGGTTTTAAGCCAGGGAGTGGTGTGATTTGATCTTCAGAAAGATCCACTCTATGTGGAGAATGGATCAGAGAGAGGCAGGATGCAAGGCGGGGGCCAGTTCGGGGGTGCTTGCATTAATCCAAGTGAGAGCAATGTTGGCTTGGCCAAGGGTGGTAACGGTGGAGATGGAGGGAAGCGGACAGATTTATAAAGTTTTGGAACTGAGGTGTGCAGACGTTGGATGGGAGGAGGGAAAGTGATAGCAATCAGATAGAAAATGTGTCCTGAAATGGAGAAGTCTCAAGGAGGGTCAGGTCTGGGGGAGAACACGCTAAGTTCAAAGTGAGAGCTGAAGCCAGCTGGACTTCTTGGGTCGAGTGGGGACTTGCAGAACTTTTTTGTCTTACAAGAGGATTGTAAAACGCACTCATTAGCGCTCTGTGACCCAAGGGCAGATGACATGCCAATAGGCGGTTGCAATGCCCTAAATTTCGCAAAGGACACCCGGGGCAAGACACACAGCTTGGCTTGGAGGAGCCTGGAATGGAACCAAGTGGGGGAAAATATGCTCTGTGCCCTGCTCCCCCCATTTCTGCCCAAGGAGCCTCAACACCTACACCCCCACCCTCTCCAGACTCCCCATGTTAGAATCGTAGAATTCCTTCCAGCTCAGAAATCTCATGATTCTATGCGACTTGACACTGAGCCATCAAATGGAAAGGCAGAGTCTCATTCTAGGAATAATGTGAGACCTCTTTGACCACGGAGGCCAAGGACAGGATGAAGGAAGCTTTCTTCAATCCCGAAGAGCTGGTCATTCTGAGCAGTAGCGTGATTCGCTCTGATGATCCTCTTTCATTTAGCCTTTTCCTACAGGTGAAAGAAATCTGTCTAAAATGAATGTCTAGGGTGGTCTTATAAGGGAAAAGAAGGAGAAGAGACCGAGGGGTCCCCGCAACCTTAGAGGGGCACATGAGCGGGAGGAGGAGCACAGCCATGCTAGGCCCTGAGCACACCTCACCTGCCGCTGTGCGCTGTGTCTGCAGCTCTCATCTTTGTCATGAGCCAGCAAATGGGTCTCCCCGTCCCCTTCCAGCCCACTCCTTTCAGCTACCTGGAACTCAAAGCAACAAAGACACCCCCAAAGCACTCAAATGTTCCCATATCACAGGACCTGTTCAAGAAGGCCAGCCAGCCGGAGCACCACCCCAGGATTGCCATGAGACTCCAAGGGAGGGGAGGTACCTCTCAAAGCCTCGGTTTCTTCATCTGCAAACTCAGATGAGCTCTAGAACAACACTGTCCAAAACGCTGGCCACCAACCATACGTGGCTATTTAAATTTAAGTTAATTAAAATTAACTGTTTTTTAAATTCGGGTCCTCAGGCGTGCTAGCCACACTCCGAGTTCTCAGTAGCCACGTGTGGCTGTTGGCTACCGTTTAGGACAGCACAGATGTAGGCCATCTTCATCATCTTAGGAGATTCAATTGGTGAGGCTTTAGGACGGGGGTTCCCTAAATATAGTGCCTGGACTAGCAGCATCGGCAACCCCTGGGAACACTTCAGAAACTCTCAGGCCCACCCTGGACCCCCTGAAGGAGAAACTCTGGGGGCGGGGTTCTAACAAACCTTCCAGGCGATTCTGATGCACGCTGAAGTTTAAAAATCAAGGCTCTAGTCTGGAGTAACAGCCTCACACATTATCTCGCTTGAGCCTCAACAATCTTATGCAACTTCTGCCCTTCCAGGGGAAGTAGAACCGTGACTCATCTTGCAGCTGAGGAGACGAAACGCAAAGATCACAACCCTGGAAAATGCAGGGCTGGACCTCTGGCCTTTGACCCTTCCCTGCTCTCATTTTTCCCATCAAATTTCTCTAAGATCATTCCAGAGTGAAAAAACAAAAACACAATCCTGTATCTCTGTGCCATACTGGAACTCCCACCAACTGGGTACTCGAGAAGTGAGAATGACTGTGACGGACACAGCGTAATGGTTAAGAAGCCACATCCGTTCCCGTTTCACAGATGAGGAAACCCGAGCCTGAGCAGACAGCGGCTTGCCTGTGCCCGCCGCTCCTTCCCGATCACCAGGACTCAGTCCAGGTCCAGAGAGGAGGCAGCTTCAGGGAGAGACAGGCCCAGGCTGCAGTCCTGCTTCTGTGATTAACAAGCTGGTGACTTGGGCAAGCCATGTGACTCTGAAAAGTCTCCATTTCTTCAGCTTGGAAAGTCAGAATAATAATAGGACTGGCCTGCTGTGGGATTCAATACACTCATGCATGTGAGGTGCTGGACACGTTCTAAGCGCCCAGCGCAGTTTTGATATTATTATACCAGACACTAGGAAGCTGGCCTAGTTTTGAAATTCTTCTTCTTTTCAATATAACCTGCCTCTTCTTTCTATTCATTGGCCCCAAGTTTTCCTGGAGCTCTTTGTCCCAGATTTCTCTGGATATGTGAGCACCTGCTTGGGTTCTCCAAGCCTATTTGGGAACCAGAAAGTCAGGGGTGGCCCTTGTAAGCACAGTCATCAAAAGAGAACTATTTGCCAGCTGGTGGTGCCTGTAGTTTCCTGGAACCCACCTGCAGCCCTGGGCAAACCCGAACCTGGCTTTGAGCTGGAAAAGAGCCTCCTTATAAAGCAGGGAAGATCCTGAGCAGACAGAGGGTATGAAAGGAATGGTTACACCAGGTTAAGATCCAAGGAGCCCATGAGTTGCTAGGGCAACGGCCCTGAATTCCAGGGTGCCACTCTTGGTCACGTGATTTGGTCAAAAGGGTGGGTCTCTCTGGCCTCTATATTCCCATCTATGGGAAAGGGGAGACTGAGCTGTCCCATCCACCGGCCTTGAGTTCCCAGAGATCTAGGATGAATCTGCCCTCGTTGTTTTCTGGAATGGGAGCCTCATCACTGCTGGGCATTTTCTGTCGCTCTTCTTCCAGTGGGAACGAGAGAGGCTGCCGTCTCTGTTCTTCCCCCACCCCTCCCACTCCCCAGAAACCCCAGTTTGCACTCTGCCCTCTGACTCAGTCCTCCCATCCGCTGCGGTCTCTCTCCTCAGTTCCTGCGGAAGCACCTCCTCTCTTTAACTTGACTCTATTTTTTTCTCTCCCCGTCTCTTCCCTGGCCTTGCCCTCTCTCTTTCTGCCCTGTAGCCGCGGGCGTCCAAATGAAGCTGGAATTCCTCCAGCGCAAATTCTGGGCGGCAACGCGGCAGGTAGGTGTGATGTCGGGCCAGGTCGGGGCTGGGGACTCACCACGCTCCCCTGGGTGTGAGACCCCCTCTCCCTCCCCTTGGATGCTCCACTGCCTTGAGGCTCTCAGGATGCCCTCCCGGCCCCTACACTTCTCAGCCCCTCAGCTCCCCAGCCTGCAGGCCGGGCCTCAGCGCTGGTCCCCAGCCCCTGCCAGCCCAGTGCTGAGGGCACGACCCAGAGTCACCCCTTCTCGCCACTCCAAAGCCACTGGCATGCCTCCCCGCTGAAAAGGGAGAGCCACCTCGATCCACCGTCCAAGGTCCGGGGTCCAGGCCCTGATGGCTGGCAAGAGATGCCAGAGACGACAGCGGCTTCTGGCTGAGAATTCCCAGCTCTGCCTGGCCTCGTCCTGTCCGTTCTACTGGCTCCTTTCCCCTCTGCTTCCCCAGAGCCCTCAGGTCCCTCTGGGCTTCTGAGCTGCCCCCTTCATCTCCCTCAAGCTCCCTCAGCCTCAATCTCCTGCAACGCCGAGCCCCTCGGCCCCCATCACTTGCTGCTGCCGCCTGACTCTGGGCAAGGGCAGGGAGCCCAAGAGTGAATCGAGAGGGATGGAGGGCAGGGGGCTGCGGTCACCCACCGCCTCAACCAGACAGCCAGTGCAGGAGCCCCACAGAGCCCACAAAGTCCCCTCCCCACACCAGCAACGAGGCCTGGGGGCTGCAGAGCCTGCACCTCTAGAAGGGCTACCTGGGCCCTTCCACCACCCAGGGCCTGCCGAATGCAGCACCCGCAGGCCACATACCACATGCATACCACGCACACAATGCTAACACACACCACACGCATGTGCCCTCCACGTACAGACACCCCACACATAGACACACACATGCACACACCTCACACACGTGCTCTCCACATACGACACACACATCCCACACCCACACCCCACACAGGTGCCCTCCATGTGCAGATACACACCCCATGCACACATGCACACACACTGCAGACGTACCACACACACAGCATTCCCACTTACACGTGCCATTTCTACTACACATGCAGTGTCCACATTCAGTCTCTCCTCTTCCTTCCAGTGCAGCACTGTGGATGGGCCGTGCACACAGAGCTGCGAGGACAGTGTAAGTTCTGCCCGTGTGAGGAAGGTGGAGGAGGGAGCCATGGCCCTCCGCCCGGTCCTCCTGGCAGGCCAGCTTCCCTCTCCCAAATGCCCTCCTTCCCTGCAGTGAAGCTCCCACGCTGCCTTCCAGAGCTGGGGGACAGGCTGGAGGACCGGGGTGGGTGAGGGCCCTGGCATAACCTCCCTTCTGGGTTTCCTCCCAGGATCTGGACTGCTTCGTCATCGACAACAACGGGTTCATTCTGATCTCCAAGAGGTCCCGAGAGGTGAGTCACTGGGGATATAGAATGAGGGGGAGAGGGCGGCAGGAGGACTGGAGACATTGGGCAGCCACTCCAGCTAAAGAGAGCCCCACGGCCCCAGGAGGGAACCCTGTTCGGGGCCAATTCAGGTGAAAGGTCTGAAGAACATGGTGTTCTGACACCAAAGTCAACAGAGCAAGAAGGCAGAATTTGGAGCACTTTTCAACTCAGGGAGTCAGAGAAAATATTACTTCTTCATTTTATCTGTCACTAGCCTGGCCTCCTCCCGTGCCTGGTAGGAGCCACTCAGTGACCCCATCTCAGGGCCCTGCCTGGCCACACTGGCCCAGCCTCACTCGGGGCCTCCCCACAAGGATCCAAGCACACTCACTTATCAGATCATTCCCCAACCCCCGCCTGCCTTTCTACCATTGTGGGGCCCAGAAGACATGGCTTCCCCACTTCATGTTCTTGTCCTGTCTGGACCTTATGGAAAATTATACTCTCACCCACCACGCCCGGCCTTCGGTGTGTCAGAGAAGAAATGGGGGATGGACGCGATGCTTTCTCGCCTGAATGCCTGGCTTGCACATCCTAATCCTCCCCCCGCCCCCGCTGGCTGTGGGTATCTCCCTGAACCCAGCATGTGCTCAGAAAGGAAAAAGAGAAAGTACAATAATATTTTTATACTTGCTGGGCTCCAAAAGGGGCCTCAAAATGGATTATTCCTTTAGCCAGGAATCAAACTGAGAAAGAAGCCCATTCAAACCTGAAGCAAATCCAGATATATTCACCAGATGTATTTCCTTGAAGCAAGGCAGAAGCATCAGAACCGCCTCCTGCCTGAGCCTCGGGGAAAGGGGCATAGTATTTGGTTCTGTGTGAGCTTTGCTACTAATTAGAAACGTGATGTGGGCAAGCGACTTCCATTAGCTGTGTCTCGCCGGGGGCTGGACTACACAGTGTCTAAGCCAGCCCCAGCTGAGGGCTCTAAGTTCCTGGGATGTGGAGGCTGATGCAGAGGTCGTGGCCAAGGCCACCTCCACGCATGGTAGGGCTGTGGTCTGGCCTGACCGGGATGCGGCTTCGGATCCAAAGAAGTCGTCGGAACAGGGCAGGAACTGGAGCAGGGATGTCGGAAGGAGACTTGGGAAAGAGGGCAAGTGAGGACAAAGGGGCACCAGTGGGTCATGAAATCTAACTCCTTGGGGTAGTGTTTAAATGACCCACTTAACGAGCAGCAGTTCTCAGCCACAAGAGTAGAGAAGCCAAAGATGGTTTCGTTCAACTTCCTGTTGGTGGGAGTGTGGGCGGGGCTTTGCAGGACACACAGCTAATTGAGCATCACGGTCACCTGGGCGCCTGCCTCTGGTACCCTCCCCCTTCTCCCTTTCATGCCCCATTTTCGTCATTTCACTCCTCCCCAGACAGAGCACCGGACCTTTGTATTTTTCCGTTGTTCTGGGAGAAAACCAGTGATGATAAGAGTTGAAACCAGTGGTTGGTGTGAGGCTCTGGGATCACTGATGCCCCCTCATTCGTGCTCCGACCCCTCTCGCCCTGGGTGACTGAGACTGACCGTGTCCCCAGGCCTCCCGTGGTGTTGGCTTTCAAGGGCCGGAGCATGGGCTAAGGCATCCCAGAGAGAGCTTGCATCCTGGACACTGGGATGGGAGGTGGCAGGACAGAGGGAGAGGATGGCCAAGCCTGAGAGCAAGCTCAAGAGCAGGGGTAGGCGAGCGTTTCCTAAAGGGGCGGATGCACATGTTGGTTTTGAGCTTCATGAGACTCAGCCCTGCTGTTGTAGCAAGAAAGCAGCCATGGGCGATCTGTGAGCAAATGCAGGTGGCGTTGCTCCAGTAAAACCTTTGAATACTGAAATGTGAATTTCATATAAATTTCACGTGTCATGAGATGTTATCAATCTTTTGACTTTTTTTCCCCAACCACTTGAAAATGGAAAAGCCAGTCTTAGATCAAGGGCTCACATGAATCAACAGTGAGCCAGGCTTGGCCTACGGGCTGTAGTTTCCAGCCCCTGCTCCAGAGGCAGCGGGACAACCGTGCGGGGAGGCGGCCCTGGAGGGAAACCACCCCAGCCTTGAGAGAAGCTGGAGAGCACGTGGCCTCTCCAGGGTCCCTCCAGGGTCCCTCGAGGGACCCTCTCATAACCCACTGGGCCACTTTGGTCCTATTCTGTCCAGACCACATTTGCTCACATGTCTTCACAGATTGTAAAATCACTGAGAACAAGTTTGGATTAGATGTGGTAGCAATCAATTACTCAGAGATTTATATTTTATAATGTATTTGTTGACTTAACTCATTCACCCCCATTTTCTCAATGATTCTATTACCTTTTTACCCCGTGTGTAGTTTTATATGCCATCCCAAACCCTCCATGAAATGAAGCAGGGCAGAAACGAACTGACCTTCTAGAGGCTCCTGCTGGGGCCCCCGCTCCCGCCGTGCTTGGCTCACCCTTGCTCCCCCACTGTGATCAGGGCCCAGTTCCTCCTTCCTCACTCTGGACAGCTCTGACCATGCAGCCTGAACTGTGTCGGGTTATGGGAGGGCACTAGGCCAGAGACCCTGCCTGGTGTGGTGCCTGGCACACAGCAGACACTGGGTAACCGTGTGGAGAACTGAACTGGCCTGAGAGTGAGGGCTGGAGGCAGCAGGCGCTAGACTGGGAGATGAGTGGAAGACAGGGCGGCGGAGAGTCTGGGGCTAATGCCATTTGTTCAGCTGTCCGACCCTCTGTCCGTCCATCTGTTTTTGCTGTTTTTAAAAAAACTTACTCATTTAACAACTCTAGAGCAGTTATCTATTGCTGCACACAAACTATGGCAAAAAGAGTGGCTTACAAGCAGAAGACTTAAAATCTGGCAGTTTCTGTGGGTGAGGGATCTGGGTGCGGCTGGCTCAGGGTCTTGCACAGGCCACAGCATCAAGGTCCCCAGGGCTGCTGTCATGTCATGTCCAGGCTTGACTGGAGAAGGATCTGCATCTGGTCACACGTTGGCAGCATTGAGGTCCTCCAGGGCTGTGAGGCGGAGGCCTCCTCTCCCATCACAGGGCAGCTCACAGCAAAGTTCACAGTGCAGCTCACAGCTCAAAGTTCCTTCATCAGACCGAGCAAACCAAGGTGGAAGTCACAGTCTTTTGAAACCTGATGTCAGAAGCGACACCCCATCACTTTTACCATATTCTGCTTGCTAGAAACAAGTTACTATGTCCAACCTATACTCAAGAGGAGGGGCTTACACAAGGGCAGGACTCCCAGGAGGCCGGGATCATTGTGAACCACTTTAGAGTCTGCCCACCACCAACTCCCACCAACCGACCCAAACCTGCCCCTCTTCCCCAAACACACAAGTGCCATCGAGGGCCACAGGGCCTGGCCTCCCCTAACTCATTCATTCCTCACTGCTCCTCCCTGCTTATCTCTAGGCCTCCAGTGTGGCTGAAGGACAGAAGCCCCAGCATCTGGGAGCTTGTTAGAGATGCAGATTTGCCAGGGTCCCACCCCAGACCTAGGGACTCAAGCACTCTGGGGTTGGGGTCTGGCAGTCTGCTCAAAGGGGCCCTCCAGGTGACTGGGTGCATGGTGGGTTGAGAACCCTCCCCAGGCCTCCTGGCTGCTGTGGATCTCAATGCACTTTAGCTGGCTGCTGTCACTTTCCTGACTAGGCAAATATGTCAAAGGCTTCCAGCGACTCCTTGTCCCTGCTAGGGCTTACCCAGGGGCCTGGAGAGAGAAGCCTGTTGAGCTACAGATGCAAAGATTCTTCCCAGACAAAGTCCTTGCACACCCTCCTCCCCGTAGTCAGTGAGTGGGGAAACCACAAGGGCCTCATCTGCAGCCAGCCCCAGGGAGTGGCTGCTTGGCTCTTTCTTGGCACCGGCGGTGTTCCAGGCCTGCTGATTAGACATTTGGCCTCTCTTCCAGGCCAGGGCTCATTCTTATAAGAGTTATGGATGACAAGATTGCAACCCTCGATGTGGGGCCTAGAAAGAGAAGCAGACAGCTGGGGACAGGCAATGACAGTGGCTTTGTGGAGCTTTGTAATATTTATAGTGGATCTGTCACCCTGAATCTGGGGACTCCGATTCCTGTCATTTGCTTCTGGGCGGCACCCACCCATGGAAGCTTCAAAGTGGATCTTCAAGGGGCAGCAACTGCAGCCTAGAAAATCCGAGGCCCCATCCCAGCACCTTTCCCTGAGGGACCTGGATCTCTCAGAGCACAGCACCCTGCTCCCTCCACACCCCAGCCCAGTGAGCCGGACCAGGCAGGCCCTCAGAGCAGGGCATCCCTCTCTGTCGTCAGGGGGCATCAGGCATGCCTTTCTGGGCCTCGGCTCCTGTTTCTCTGAATCCCTCTCACCTTCCCTGCCGCCTGCGGCCCGCCCAGCCCAGGCTCCTCATCTTCAAGTCACTATCCCAGCCTGGCACGTGTTGCCATCCTTTCCACTCTGGGCAGCCTGCCTTGGCCATCTTCCGGGACACCACATGCCCTGGCAGCGGTGCTCCTTCTACCTTCCTGGCGTCCCAAATGGCCCTGCTCCACTGGGCCCTCCAGGAATAGAATTAATCCTGTCGTGGTCAGAGGCAGGCTCTTCAGGTGGCTTTCTGGGGAGTGCAGTGCTGCCCCACCCCCACCCCGCTCCTCCACGTACCTCCCAGGCACCCCTGAGTGTCCAAAACACTCCTTAAGAGACTGCAGCCTGGAGGACGGAGGGGCAGGTGAGGCTGCACAAGCCAGGAGCAGACAAAAGGAAACTGATCCCGACCCGAGCCAGACACAGGGACTTGAGTGTCCACACCCCTTAGGAGGATGAGCTCCCATCTTTAGAGAAGAAACGGAGGCTGTCCCCAGGTAAGGAGGCCATGGGACATTTACTCCATCTGTCATCAGAGTCAAGAGCACCCCTTCTCTCTGGGCACAGCCTCCCACAGCCCTGCAAATTAGTCCAGGCCTGGGAGGGACTACCCAACCTCTCATCACTTGGTCGCCTGCCTCTGCCCCCATCTGCTTCCCCCGCAGGCTTCTGGGTGGTGCTCACAGGACCTCCTCCTCCTGGCCTCCCTCCAGACTCGAAGGCCAGGCAGGGGGGGTCCTCGACTCTTTTGACCCAGCCCCAGAGTTCAGGCAGCCCACGGGCCACTGCTTATTTGTGAATTGTCCCCCATGAAAGGGGGGCTGGGGTGGTCAGGCCCCTGCATCGTGCTATGCTTTGGGTGCCACTCCACGGGCGGTCTGGGGCTCCTAAATCGACAAGGCATCCCACGTCGACGTTTGGACCTTCGCTTTGCAGGTTCAGGGACTGTATTTGAGTCGGGGATTTGCCCTGACAAAGTTCAAAAGAAACTATCAGCCAGGAATTGTGTTCTGCTGCCAGAAGAGAAGTGGCTTAAACAACTAAAGGTTTATTCTCTCATAAAAGAATGGATGAAGGCAGCCTGGGCCCAGCCTGTCCCCATCCGCACGATCCCAGCATAGCTGGAGGGGCTCCTGCCTTCGAGTCCACTTCCCAGAGCGCAAGAGCGAGGATGGGGAAGAGGCAGGAGGCCTTGGGCCCGCTTCCCGGAAGTCCCTCCCAGCGGCTCTGCTCACATTCCATTGGCCAGTCCCTGCCGCAAGGGCTACTGGGAAATGTAGTCTTTTCGCTGAGCACATGGCTGCCATAATTAAAGTCAGGCTGCCTAACTAAAGAAGACGGGGAGAATGGATATTTTCTGCCAGAGTGACAAATCCTAGAAAAATCAAGCTAGTAATTTATGGAGGGGGATACATTTTTCTAGTGTCCAGGATACACATCCTTGCTCTCAGGGACCTCTCTTCTCAGAATCCAGGGTCTAAACCACAGGGTTGTTGGTGAATAAGCCTAGAATTAGGAAGGAGAATGGGACAGGTTTGTAGGAATTAAGACCAGCCTCGTCAGAAGCCTTGTCTGCACCCCGCTGCACTTTCCCAGGGAGCAGAAGACTCGGGTCATTCATTCCCTCACACATTCCTTCAGCAAATATGCATGGAATAATAACTGTGAACAGGACATGGTGTGGTGCTGTGGGACAGAAGTGGATTTCTGTCCCCTAGAATCCTGCTGTCAGGTGAGGGGGTGACGGAGGGGACACACACACACACACACACACACACACACACACACACACACAGTAACTAGAATAGCAAAAAGCGAGCCCCAGCTGAGAGAGTTTACTCCAGCTGGAGGCACCAGGGAGAGCTTCAGGGCTGCGCCGTGAAGAACAGGCAGGATTTCAATGTCTTTCACATTCCCATGTGCTGTTGTGTCCCTGGAATGCCCTTGACCCTCCCTGCTGTCCCGCTGCCATGTCCACTGCCTTCTTTCATGCAGCCTGCCAGGGCTTTAGGTTGCCACTCCTTTCCACCACCGTAGGAGGTGCCGGTTTTCAGCCAGCCATGTCTGAGAGTTTGTGTGTTCCCTGCCTGTCCATGCAAACTAGTCTGAAGCTCTTGATTCGTGTCCATTTCATTCATCTTTGCATCAGACTCACCTGGTGAGTGCCTTATGAATAAAAGGTATTATGAAATAGTTTTTGGTGGTCAGGCCATTCCAGGTAAAGAACTAGCAGAGTGTAGACAGACAAGTGTGAGCACCTTTGTCTGAATCTGTTTTCCTGCTGCTTACTTTTGTAATTGACCCTCCATTTTTAGATTACAATTTGCCATGCATTTTTAGTGGGTTGCATCCTTACGTTTTAATTTTATAAGTCAGCCATTTCCACTTACACAGGAAATACTGTAGGATGTAAGGACTATGTTTTGTTATTTAAGTCCAATTTGGAAAGTAATACTTCCTGACTCCATCCCAGATTCCTGGTGTGGGCGCATCTGGGGACCTGTGGCCCCATATTGGCTGATTATAAGTCACAGCATTATGAACCATGGGCATAACAGTTCTGGGGTTATTGTCCTGAAGCTGCACCATCATCTCTTATTTGAGAGAGAACTTCTCTGGTTGTTCATTGGGTGTTCAGGAGTTGTGCGTTCTGCCTAGCCCTTGTCTGGAATACATCTCTGTTCCCTTCAGAAGGCTTGCTGGAGTCTACTTGGCTGCCCAGGGCAGGCCCCAGGTGGGCACCCAGACAATGCCTGGCTTTCCTTGAGATTGGCCAGGCCCATGTGCCTCAGCTCCTGTACCAGCCTTGCATTTCTTTTTATTGGTAGTTATCACACATGTCATCATTTTGGGCCCTGGCAGCTAGAAAGCTCTCCATGAAGAACCTGACGTGGCCATCAGCTTGGTTCCCACCTCCCTTCCCTATCAACATTCCACACTGACTGAGTATGTCCAGGTACCAAGACACTTTGGGGAATTCAGAGATGAGTAAGACATGGTCCTGTTCTCATACAGTTTTCAACCAAATATCTTATCAGGCAGAGTGAGACTAGGACTCCACAGGCTGCCGGTGTGCAGAGGAAGGCCTTGTTCTGGCTGGGAAAGTTAGAATAGAAAGACTTCCCAGCGAGGGTGAGGAAAGAAGTTCCTTGGCATGAGGACAGAGGAAGGGTAATCGGCAGGGAGAACAGCCAAGCCGGACCCCGGACCTCTCCTCCTAACGATGGCTGCCATTTTTCAAGTATTTACTGGGAGCCACACGCCGGACACACGCTATCCCCAATTTTTAAAGACAGCCTACATTAAAGTCGAAATCCAACACCAAAGCCCAAGCTCTGCCACCCTGACATGCTGGGAAATGGCAGACTCAAGAGGCCAAGGCAGGTACAGAGGCCATGAGAGGTGGCAGAGTGGAGGGCCTGAGGCCATTCTCAGCCAGCTAGGGGGCCGCTGCTTGGCACAGGGCACAGAAGCCACAAAGTGCTGGCTGATGGACAACAAAAGGGGAGCCGGGGGCAGGAGGGAGGGTCCTGTTTTATTTTTTGGAAATGAAGGCAAGAGTGACCCATCCATGTTGCATTTGAGTAAGATGACTCTGGCAGTGCCACAGGGACAAGAGGAGAGGTCAGTTAGGAGGGCAGGTGGGCAATGGAGACAGGGCAAGGGATCCGGTTAGGTCATTGTCATGGAGGGGACAAATGACCGATCCACAGGGCACACTGATTGTGGGAGGTGATGGAGGGACAGCAAAAGCCACAGCAGCCCTCTCACACTGGGAAGATGAGGACACCAGCGTGCATGAGACAGGCGCTGCTTCTGACCTTGACCTGCAGAAACGTGTTTTATATCTGACCCAACACACACACACACACACACACACACACACACACACACACACACAGCATATAAAACAAATCCAGTTTCATAAAACATTCTTTAACCTTGCTGCAAGTGATTCACACAGAATTGTTCCAAGGAATTCTGTACCATTAAAAAAATCACATTGCAGCCTCTACGTTGGTCTCATAGTCAGCTAGCGGGTGACTCCTTCCAGTTGAGGAAGCACCAGGCTGGACGGTGAGGAGGGAGCCAGGACCGGACAGGGGCGTGGGTGGAAGGGTTCAGCTGGATTATGCTGAGAGGCAGTCAGAGGGAAAGCCCAACTGGCACCAAAAGCCTCGACCTGAGCTGAATAAATAGTGCTGGACTCGGAAGGCTCCATCCTGCTCCATCTCTCTCCCTCCCTCTCTCTCTGCTGTCCCTCTCTCACAGACGGGAAGATTTCTGGGGGAGGTGGATGGTGCTGTCCTGACCCAGCTGCTCAGCATGGGGGTGTTCAGCCAGTAAGTGGGGCACACTCCTCCCCAGTCCAAATAGACACAGCAAACCGAGAGCTGACGCTAAGTGGTCCTGGCGGATCTCAGGATCCTGACCTCCAAAACCCACAGTGGGTGCCCCCAAAGAGCTGCAAAAGCAACCTTTATGGAGCCAGGGCGTCAGCATGATGTGGGGAGGGCGTAAGGGCATGTGGGCATCCCTGGGAGGGGCTCCGCAGCTCAGACCCTAGAGGGAAAACCGTCCAACTCCGAGGGCAAAAGCCATTTGCTCTTCATTGTCTTTAAACCATTCCAAGTGCAGAAATGTAATTTTCAGCATGAGCTGTATTCTGATCTGCTGTCCTAGCTCAGGCGCCCTTGGGAATTGCGGTAAACGGATGCTCTGCTAGTAAAGCCTCCTGAGGCAGGGGCAGGGGGTGGGGGTGGCTTTGGACTCATCACAGCCCGCTTCTGATTTTCAGAGTGACTATGTATGACTATCAGGCCATGTGCAAACCCTCGAGTCACCACCACAGTGCAGCCCAGCCCCTGGTCAGCGTGAGTGTCACCCAGCCCTTCCCTCTGCCAGCCAGCCAGCCAGTCCTCTGCCCTGTCCTGGAATGAGGTCACTGGTCCCTGTTCTCACCCACCTTGGGTGTCTGGCCCCAGGGCCCTACCTTGACCATCTCCATCTTCTGCTCAGAGCCACTGCTCTCAGTCCCACTCCCAGGCAGGCCTCTGGGTCTGGCTTTGGGGCTTCAGAGGGACTGCTCTGGTAGTTGTGACACAACAGTGCCTCTGGCGGAGACAGAGAGAGCAGCCTGCCCCAGCCTCAGCCCCTGACACTGCCGCTTGATCACCAGGGATCCTCAGCAGTGCAGCACCAGGATGAGGGCTTGACTCGTCTCCTGGAGGGGCATGTCCAACCCCACCCGAGATGTCTGACCTGCAATAGGCATTTCCCAGCTAGCTCAGCTCTGCAGGGCAGGTGGGAGGTGGGGGGATGGGGGGTGCTGGGCTGCTGGCCTGTGCTCTGCTGCCCCTGCTCCCAGTGGCAGGGCAGCCCACTCTCTGGTCTCTCTGAGGGTGGTGCTGGTGGTGGGGGGGGGGCACCCTCACCCTTGGACCTAGGTGCGAGCGGTGTGCACTCTCTCCTTCCCAGCCAATTTCTGCCTTCTTGACGGCGACCAGGTGGCTGCTGCAGGAGCTGGTGCTGTGAGTGGGGGTAGACACGGGGCTGGTGGAGGGCTGCATGCGAGGGTGGCTTAGGAGGGTGTCCTTGAGCAGGAGGCTGCAAGGTCTCCAGGACAACCCACTTGCTACCAGACCCCGGGGAAGGAGGGCACAATCCCTGGGCATGGACGCCACCTCTTCCCTGCATGCTGCCCCTGGGAGGGACCTCATTGCTCAACCAGAGCCCTCAAGCAGGGAAGAGGGTGTCCTGGAGGAGAGGGGATGGGCCGGGGGCTGTCAGGGATACTCCAGCTCCTTGGGAACCCAAGTCGGGAGGGCTCAGAGGTCTCCGAGATTCAGTCCTGTGTCTGACAGGTTCCTGCTGGAGTGGAGTGTCTGGGGCTCCTGGTACGACAGAGGGGCCGAGGGTGAGTGCACGGAGCTGCAGGGCCATGTGCTGAAGAGCAGTGGCATTTTGGTCCACTAACGTGAGACCATTCCCTGTGGGGTGGGTGACAGTGGGGATAGGTGACCCTGAAGCATCGTTGTTCACATCTCACCCTGCGTGGCCTTCTCTCATCACATCCCTCACTCCTGGCTCTGTGTGTGACATCATCTTGGGACACCGCCACTCCATGTGCCATCATCACCACCCCATGACATCCTGCCCTCATGTGCCACCATGTTTTCCTGTGCCGTGTCCACCCTGTGCTGGGCTTATGTTCCGGCCAGCCAAAAGTGTCTTCCATCACTGTAAGTAGCCCAGCTGAGGCCATCCCTGCTGGCGGTGGGTTGGGGACGCAGCAGGAGCTACAAAGAACCCACCCTCCATGACCTGTCCCAGGAATGACCCCAAGCAGGGCTGAGCTCTCCTGGTTTAAAGTACCATTCCTGGGGGTTGGGGGACTGGGGAGTCTAGCCCAGTTCTCATCCCACATGAGGACGGTCAGGCCCCAGGGAAAATGAGAAACTCCAGCCTCCCCTTGGGTGAGAACACGTAAGATTCCAAGAGGAAGCCGGTGGTGTGGCCGGGTGGCCATGAGCCAGTATGAGTGAGCAACCTCCAGCCCACCCCTTGGAGAAGCAAACAGCGGCACCCCAGCCCTCAGCGGGACTCCGGGTTCCAGGGGCCCCAGGAAGCTCTCAGGATGATTCCCCTGCGGGACCCTGTGTCTGAGGACAGAGTCCCCCAGAGGCAGCAACCATGAGAGGCCCCAACACAAAGCCCGGTGGCTGTGGCCACACGTGCAGGGCGGCAATGAGCCTGGCCTTTCAAAGCACTCACTGCCCGGGCGCCTGGGCCCTCCATGACTGCAGGAGGCCATCTTGCCTCAGCGGGCTCTGCTCAGTTCCTCCGTGTTCCTAGAACCTTTGCCATGGGGTTCCAGAACTTCCCACCACCTGGGCTGTCCCCAGCTTATCCCATCTCTTCATCTCCACTGTGGTCCTCTCTCTGGCTTGCTCTTCGTTCTCTTCTGCTGGCCTTGGCTTGGGGCTTCCTCTGCCCCTGGGCTCAGGGCAGTTCGGGCTGTGTCTCCAGACTCCTTCTGGACTCACATCCGCGATCGGGTGGGGCTGCTCTGGGGTGTTCACAGTCACTAGGTGTCAGTGACAGGACACTGTCCCCTCTGTCTCTGTCAGCAGCTGCATCTTGCAAAAGTTGAAGATGATCCCCCTCAATCTGCCTGCTCAGAATTTCTCTTCTCTGGGGTACCTGTCCCCTGGAGCTCCTCCCCCTGGTCTGGCCTACACAGATGTCAGTGTCCCCAGTGAAGGCGCACTGGACTTGGAGTCCCAGGCCGGGGCGTAGGTGCTGCAGCCCCTTCCACTGCGTGACCCTGGGGACGCCACTCAACCCTGCCATTGTCAGGCAGGCTTCTGTGCCCAGCCCTGGGGACAAAACTCACAGCCCTGGCCGCTGTGGGCTTGCTCCTCTCGGTGAGAGTTTTCTGCACGCCAGCTAGTGTCCCCTCTGGGTTTCCAGCTCTGGCTGGGAGCTTCTGGATTTGGAAGCTGGGGAGACCCATGCTCTCCTGTAGGACTCTGCATGAGCCTGGGAAGGTAGCTCACACCTGTGCTCCCTGCCTCTAGGTCTATCCCTGGGGGCCACAGCCAGGCCCTGAGAACAGAAGGGCCATGCAGACAGCCTGTGTGGCAGGGCCCTGCTCTGCCATGTGCCCACCTCAGGAGGCTCCGGGAGGGAACGGACTCGGGTCCTGCAGAGCGGGGCTGAGGCACTCGCCTCCACCTTTGGTTGAGTCCACTGTCCTTGTCCCAGGGAGCTAAGGCAAATCGCGCAGCCCCCGAGGAGTCCCGCACCGGGTGGCTGTGGCTTCTGGGCTTCCGCAGCCCCAGGCCTGGAGCCCACCTGCCCGGCTGCCCCCACCGCAGGCGCTCAGGCTCAATGGGTGGAGTGTGGGCCTGGCTGTGCGGGAGAGCAGGGCAGGATTGCCCAGGAACTGCACTGCGTCTGTCCACAGTGAAGGGAGGGGTGGTGGGCCTAAGTACCCCCAAGCCACCCCTTGGTGCCCCTACTGCCTCTGCTCCCCGCTCAGACCCTCCCCCGGGATCTGAGTGCTGGAAGGGGCCCTGGAGATGGTGCACTGCCCCCAGCTCAGTGAGGGCCAGGCTCCCCAGAGGAAGCGCTTTCCCTCCACCGAGGCTCAGGGCCCCTGCGGCGCTCCCCGTGCCAAGCCACCCTCTCCAGAGACTCCGGGTGTCTTCCCTCCCCTCACCCCCCGCCCGGCTCCTCCCACGCGTGTCCTGAGAACTGCCTGAGGAGGGACCCTCTGCAAATGCACTGGGGTGAACTCTGGCCCTGGGAGTGCCGAGGCGAGGTCACCGCAGGCCAGAGGCCCCTTCGGTGGCGTGATGTCCTTTCTCCGCCCGCAGCCCACAAACACAAGAAGCAGGACCCGCTGCAGCCCTGCGACACGGAGTACCCCGTGTTCGTGTACCAGCCGGCCATCCGGGAGGCCAACGGGATCGTGGAGTGCGGGCCCTGCCAGAAGTAAGACCGCAGGGCGGCGCCGCCCGTCCCGCCACACTCCTCCCGCCCTCGGCAAGGCGGAAGTGCGGGCAGGGCCCCGGAACCCCCGGGAAACGGCTCCACAGCCGGGAGGAGGGGATGCGTCTAAGTGCAGAGCCCACGCTCCCGGGGTCTTCCCCCGCCGTCCTCAGTGGAGGAGACACGCAGGAGGCGGACGGTCTGAGGCGGGCAGGACGGCTGGGGACCGGGACAGCCGGGATGGGGAGAGGTGGTCCCGAGGCCTGACCCTGTGTGTCGAGCCCACCCCGCCGAGGCCGCAGCCGTGACCCCACGGCGTCTCTGGGCGAGTGGGCCCTTCGGCGGGTCTCCCCCAGCCCTGCTCAGGCGGTGCCCAGGGCGGTGCCAGTGCCCGCGCCTGAGCTGCGTGGGGAGAACTTGGAAGGCAGAGGGAGTGTGAGAAGAGAAGGCCGGAAGTGTGCGATGTCCTCGGGTCGCTGGGAGCCCCGCGGGCAGCCTCTGTCAGGCTTCCTGCTGTGTGGAAGCCGCTAGTTATAACCCGCCCTGGCCCCGGGGAGGCAGGGAGGCCGCGCGGAAGGGTCTCTCCTGCTGACCCCCCGCACCCAAGCCCGGGAGGACCCCCACGCTGGGAATGCGGCGGCCTCCTCGAGGGTCGCCTCAGCCAGACGTGCCGCTCGCCAGGCGGTCCCTAGACCCCCGGGCCCGTGGCACACCATTTAACAGTGCGGCACCTGCGGCGCTGGCATCGGGGCTCCCTTCTCCCCCACTCCCTGCGCGTCGTGCTGCGCGGGTTTCACCCCGGGTTCTGTGCAGCGTTGAGGGCTGGGGTTAGCGTTCCCTGTGCACTTGTCGCAAAGGCTCGGTGCGAGGATAGAGCCAGCGGGCTCCGGAGTGAAGCGAGGGCTTCAGAGTAGACACTCCTGAATTGAAAACTGGCTCTGCGCTCCCCCGCTTATGACCGTGGGCAAGTGACTTCGCCTCCTCTAGTCTCCATTCTCTCATCTGCAAAATGGGCACAACACCAGCCTCATACAGAGCCGTGAAGGCTGAGAGTATACACGGCTGTGGTGTGCACGTTGGGTGTGTGAGACCGCCCATCCCAGGGGAGGCGCTCGGTAGGCGGCCGCTGGGACTGCTGGGAAGGCCGTGGGCCTGGCGGGCGGGCTCCGCCCCACTCCGCGCCACTCCTCGCAGGGCGGCCTCGCCGAGCGCGGGGCCACTGCGCCACCTGGTGGCCAAGCTCCAGCGCTGCCGCTTCGCCCGGGCCTGCCCCCGCCACCCTCACCCAGAGCAAGTGTTGCCTCGCCCGCCCATTTGCTCCGGACGGTCTTGATTTACGCCTGTCGTCCCTGCATATATTAATAGCAACTCTGCACTCTCCAAAGCGGCCCAGTTTGGACTTCCTCACTGTCTCCAGTCTGCTAGGAAAGGAAATGCAGCAGCAAAGGCTTGTGAGCAAAGCCAGTAGGACTGAGCCATCTGCCAGGCCCGTTCCCTTAGCTGCCCCGACCCGCCCTGCCTCATGGTTCCGGGCTTCCCTGCCACCCTAACTCCACACTAAAGTCTCCAGAAGTTCCTTCCCTAGAAGCCCTTCTCGTGGTCGCCACGGAGCCATCCTCGACTCCCTTTCTTTGCTGCAGGGTATTTGTGGTGCAGCAGATTCCCAACAGTAACCTCCTCCTCCTGGTGACAGACCCCACCTGTGACTGCAGCATCTTCCCACCAGTGCTGCAGGAGGCGACAGAAGTCAAATATATCCTGCAATGCTCGGGGATGTGTGCGGTGGGGGCGGGGGCTGTAGGAGGTGTCTGTAGGGCTCAGATTTTGAGCAGCGGGGCCAGCCTCCTTCACCGCCCGTGTCCTCCACAGGGCTCCGTTATTTGTTCTCTAACCCTTCCCTGGGCCCCGGTGCTGCCTCCTGACCCTAAAGCTGCTTGCAGGGCAACTGGTGGCACCAGAGCAGGTTCTTCCAGACCTTTTTCCAGTCTGCAGAATGGGCTCCGGTCCTGAGATATTGACCTTAACAGTGGCTTCTGCACATAATGCCTCTGTCAAATGTGACCGGATGCGCTCCCAGAAGCTCCGCCGGCGACCAGACTCCTGCCACGCCTTCCATCCAGAGGTGCGGGTTGAGGCGGATCGAGGGTGGGCTGGATTTTCATCCCCAAACCCTCTGTGCCTGGGTCTGTGCCCCTGCAGACAGGAGCATATAGGGATGCCAATGAACACACCTGTGCCTGTGCTTCTCGGGGGAAACATTCGCGTTTATGCCCTGTGACACTGTGATATAATAAGAAACAGATCTTTATTTAGTCTTTGTCCTGATTCCTGGCAAGCTCCTAAAACGCTTGTTATTTCCTGATTAGGGTGATAGGTGCATCTTTTGTTATAGTGTTTGGTCTTAGTCCCTGGTTCCTTCACAGGTGCCTCTAAGACCCTTGGAATGATAGAGGTATCTTTGTATGCTAATTAGATGACTGGTGGCTGGGGGCCCTAGACAGGATGAGAGCTGGCCACAGGAAACACCAAGTTAGGATTAGAGGGTTGGGACTTTTGGCTCCAAGCCCCTGGCTTCTGGGAAAGGAAGGGGGCTGGAGACTGAGTTGATCACCAGTGGCCAAAGATTTAATCAATGATCATAATGAGGCCTCCATAAAATCCCCGAGCCACTGTGTTTGGAGAGTGTCCGAATTGGTGAAAGGGTGTGGGAGCTCTGCGTACCCCGTGCCTTGGCCTACGTGTCTCTTCCACTCAGCCGCCTGACCTGCGTCCTTTATAATAAACGGGTCATGGTGAGGGAAGCACCTTCCTGAGTTGAGTGAGCCACGCTAACAACTCACGGAGCCTGAGACAGGCTCATGGGAACCCTAGATTTACAGCCAGTCTGTCAGAAGGACAGGAGACCTGGGGCTTGCGATTGGCATCTGAAGTGACGGCCACCTTGTGGGACCGAGCCCTGTAACTTGCGAGCTCTAATGCTAACTCTCAATAGTGTCAGACTTGAATTGAGTTTCAGGACAGACACCCAGTTGGTGTCCAGAGAGTGGGGTGGGAAAAACCCTTCACATTTGTTGAAGTGCTGGTGTGAAAGCACAGCAGAGCCCCTGTGTCATTAAAATACGAAGTCAACCAGGATCCCAAGGTGCTTTAACGAAGAGCCACGCTTCCTAGGGCTTGGGCCCTAGGTGAATTAGAATGCAGTTTTCCCATCTTGTCCTCATTCCCGCTACACTTAGTTCCGAATGATCGAGCAATGTGAGGGGGCCGTCACGTGGATAATAGTCATAGTGGCTGGTACGGATCCAGAACCCAGACCCAGGTGTCAGGCCCTGAGCCGGGTGCTTCATACAGTCTGGTCTGCTGGGACCAGAAACCCCCATCAGAGATGCTCCCAGAGTTGAGGACATTCTGAGAGGATGACCTCGCAGCCACTCCAAGCCTGAGGGCAAGCAGAGAAGGCCGGTGCCCCCCTCCCAGGCTGAGGGGCCAGCCTTTGCTTTTCCCCCAAAAGGTAGGGGCCTAAGAGAGGTAGCAGTGCTTCCCCGGCTTTCCAAAACTCCCCTTTCCCCAGGATTTTGGCCCAAATTAGTGGTGGAAGCCCCTCCCTTTTTGAGGGTCCTCCTCTGAGCGCCGCGCTGTCACCTCTGCTCTGCGTTCGCAGGAGAATGCCCAGGACTGCGGCGGCGCCTCGGACACCTCAGCCTCGCCGCCCCTACTCCTGCTGCCTGTGTGTGCCTGGGGGCTACTGCCCCAACTCCTGCGGTGACACCACCCAGCCTGACCTGTGTTTTGGCAAGGTGATCCTTCCAGAGCCATCCCAAAAAGTCAGCACTGACATGGGATGCAGCTAACTGCAGTTGGGTCGCCCCCAGGCCAACGCTCCTCTCAATCCTGGGCTGGTGGCCCCTGGCTCCGGAGAATGCTGGATGGAACAGGAAACCAATCACCTGGCACCACTTTCAAGATGCTTCATGGTGCCCGGTACCATCTGCCCTAGGTCTCAACATGAGCATACTTCTGACCTAACCTTCCTGTCTCCTCTTCGGGAAGCCAGCGTGAGCTCAGCTTGGACCAAGACAAAATAATTTAGTTCTTCCTGTACTCCAGAGTCCAGACCCAGCCAAGAAAGGGTCAGTTGTTTCTGACCCTTTCTGTCGGAGTGGTCTCTGGTAGAACCCAAGGACTTCTGGGTACTGAGAAGCAGCAGCAGAATGAGGCCAAATGCAGAGATGAGGCTAAGGCAAGAATATGCCCCAACTAAAGCATAGATTCCCCAAAGTGAGGCTCATGGTGGGAGGCCACTCACCTTCCTAGCTGCTGCTCGAAAAGGTTTTGACTGTGTTGGGGTGGGGGTTGGGTAAGGGAATGGTCAAGACTGAGAAAGGAATGAAATCCATTCAGGAAATATCGACAGGGCTACACGTGATGTCCCCAAACTGCTGCTATTGAAGAACTTCCCAAAACTTCTTTACAAAGCCCTAAAGGAAAGTTTGCATCTATGAAAAGCCAATAGGCTGAGACATCCAATTGCTGCATGGAAATTGATGTACATTCAGGGGACGGCAAAAATAGCTGTAAAATAGTGAAAAAGAGCAGTGGTTGTGCTCTTTTCTGGCCAATGATTTACAAAAGAATCTACTTGACTCTGTCCCTGGAGTGAAATCCTTAGGGTTGGAACTTGTGGGAACATTCCAACTTGCTAAGCAGGGTCCACTGGGAGGGAAGCTCTATCTGGGAACTCACCCCCAGCGCACACACATCTCCCCCAGGGTCCCAAGGCCCCGCAGCTTCCTCCCCCGACCAAACCCCAAGACCTGGATCCCAGGAGACAACAGTCTCCACAGTGAGAGCAACATTAAGGGCAAAGCCATGGAGAAATGTGGGAGAGGCCGGCCTCAAATCTTTCCATTTAACAAACCCCAGTGATGGGTATGGACAGCATGCAGGGCTTTTGGGGCGCTTCCCCCCGCTCCTCCATCACCCTCAGCCTCCACACTTCAAAGTTCAAGTTCAAAGCTGTTCAAGTTTCCTACCAGCAAATAGCCCTAACTTGCCTCTAGAGTAGGCCAAATGCCAACTCTGTAAAACACACTTACATTATCGGTTACAGAATGTCACTCTTACCGTCATGTCTTGCAACAACCCTGTGAGGGCAGTATTAATGCCCCCTTACAGCAGAAGACACTGCAGCTCGAAGACAGCTTAAGTGGCAGAATAATGCTAGAACAGCTAAGGTTTACATGTACCAAATAACATGTTTCAGCTCATTCCATCCTCACAACAGCCCCCTGAAAGTGGGTACTATCATTAGTCCCATGTTATAGAAACTGCAGCAGAGTTGAAAATTGCCTCCAAATTACCGGAAGAGTGTATGAAGATTGAATGTGATGTATTCACGTAACATGCTTGAAACTGCCTGGCATATACTAAACGCTAAATAAATACATGCTAACTGCGATCATTACATTACCTTGTTTCATGGAGGTGGGGACAAAGAAATTACAATTTAGATGCCAGGAACAATAAGGTGTTCAACAGGCCCAGCAGGGTTAAGAAAGCAGCAAGGAGCCCTTTCTAGCCCCTGGGCTGCCATCACTGAGTGTCCCAACCATGTGTCACGAGGCACCACCTGTGCGGCACACAGCAGGGTGAGCACTAACTCTCGCCCTGCCACTTCCTGCCAAGGCCGTGGCCGCCCACCTGCCGTTCATTCTTTGGCATTAAGGCACATTCTGACCTCCAACTGCATTTGACCCCAACTACCAACTCACAGACACCAAACAGCAGTCTCTGTAGGACCATAACCCAGTGTTATCTTTTGGAAGGGTTATCATCCCCACCCAAACAGGTAGAGCACTTTCAGGCAAATTTATCAACTCTTAAAAAGCCAAGCTTAGGAAGCTGGAGCAGCTTCTGGCCTGGTTTTGTCTGCTTCCTCTGGGCCCCATATCTCTGCATGGCCGAGGGGAATCCCTTTCAAGACCATTGGAAGGAAAAACCATTTCTGATAAACTAACCTTCTCTACCTTGGAGAACAAAATATTCTCATAAGCTTTGCCTTTGAAGGTCAGAACGATTCCTCTTCTACTTTTAGCAGAACCACTAAAGGACAGCAGGTGGCAGCCTGGCTCACTCTAAAGCCCATCACCTGCTCTCGGACGCATGAACTTGGAACCTAAGTCATTTGATAAATTAGAATGCAGAATTTTGAAATCTTATGTTGTACACCACCTTTGGAGGACCAGGAACTTAAGGATGCTGTCAGATCTTCCTTCCTCAGTACCAAGGATATGTGAACTACTAAATCCACATAATAATGTTGTGTATTTTAATAGAAGAGCTTTCAGGGAAAATGCTTCAACCACTTCATTAAGCTCAGTGAAGTTGTGGTTCGGGGGCGGCGGGGAGGCAAGAAAGTGGGCATATCATAAGGCCAGAAAAGTAAATGAAGTCCACAAAAGGACGGAATTGGAGCGAGGGTTTGGCAGAAAACCCAGCCAATCACTATGGGAAGTTTGAGGAAATTATCTATAGAAACCACAGCATCTCAGCGTGGGCTCTAGAGGATGTATCGTTGGCCTCATTTTAACAGAACACCGAGGCTAGACAAGCAAACGGCCACTTGCCCATGCTACATGGCAAATGGCACAACTGAGATCTGAAGCTACCCTTTTCATTTCCAGGTAGTGTAGCAGGGTAGGGACGGTGGGACAGTAGGATGGCGGTGACAAGAGGCCATCGCACGTGACGCTTCCTTCCTGCCCCATGCCATCATAAGCAGCCTCTACATGAGTGAGACAGGCTGCCCTTGTTTCACCAAGTCAAACAGCTGAAGGCAGAAAAGATTTGTACATTAGATAGGGTGTTGGTGGTGGGTAGGGAGCAGTGCTGGCTAGCAAATGGTTCATGCCCTCTGAGGGGAAGACAAAATGAAACACTACAATTGAAGCCAAATATTCAAGAAGATGTTGTTTCTGGGATGATTTTAAAGTAACATTGCCCAGAGGGTTCTCTAGGCACCCAGAGCCTAGCACGCTGTACAGTCAGAATCCAAACTTGTCCTTATCTACTTCCTCTACAACCACATAACATCACCTGGGTATCAGGAACCATACAGACACTTTTTTTTTTTTTGGGAGATGGAGTCTCGCTCTGTCACCCAGGCTGGAGTGCAGTGGTATGGTCTCAGCTCACTGCAACCTCCACCTCCCAGGTTCAAGCGAGTCTCCTGCCTCAGCCTCCCAAGTAGCTGGATTACAGGTGCCTCCACCACACCCAGCTAATTTTTTGTATTTATAGTAGAGACGGGGTTTCACCATTTTGGCCAAGGTGGTCTCGAACTCCTGACCTTGTGATCCGCCCACCTCGGCCTTCCAAAGTGCTGGCATTACAGGCGTCAGCCACCATGCCCGGCTCAGATGCCTTTTGGGAAGAGACGAGGAAAAGACAAGTGGGTTATTAGTAGGCTTCAGCTAATACTGTTTGTCAAAAGCAGGGAATGATCCAATGTCTATGCCCAGGTAAGGTATGGGACACTCTAAAGTTAAATCTATACTTAAAAATGAGAATTCAGAATGAACATATTATCCTGATACTGGAAATGCCCTTCCAAAAACTAAATTTACCTAAGGCAAAAGGGTTGGAATTCCGTTTTTTTTTTTTTTATTTCAAACACCAACTCGAACCAGATCCTCTTCTTATATAGAAGGGACTAGGTTAATGAACCCCAAAACCTTTAAGTCAATGTATATGACACTGTTTAATCAGAATAACAAATACAGAAAGGTTTTCTTAAATTTTCTCTTCACTCTTTTCTCCAATACAGTGCTGGCACTAGAGTCATTCTTAAACTTCCTAAGCTTCAGTTTCCCCATCTATAAAATGAGAGTGAAAATACTCCTGAATGGCTCAGAGGGTTGTGATTATGATCATATGACATCGACAGTTCTCTAACACATCCCTTGGCATCAAGTGTTACATTAGAGACTATTTTTTTTTTTCTCAGACAACATGACTTTATTACTGGAAACCAACTAAGAAAAAATTATGATTAGGAGGAGAAAACAGCAAATGGTCGGGGTAAAAAACCAATATTCAGCAATCAGTAGCTTTCACCAATCAAAAGAACTTTTAGAAGATATAATTGAAGACAAAATCCTATTTATAATAGCAAACAACAGCAAAAGCAAGGAATGAACTTAGTCAATGTGCACTGCCTGTAGGAGATGGCCTCGTGATCCGCCCGCCTTGGCCTCCCAAAGTGCTGGGATTACAGGAGTGAGCCACCGTGCCCAAAAAAATAAATTTTGTAATGTTTCACTTAACAAAAGAGATACATTCTGAGAAATGTATCATTAAGTGATTTCATAATTAGTTGATTTCGTTGTCACGCAAACATCATAGAATGCACTTACACAAACCTAGATGGTACAGCCTACTACACACCCAGGCTTTATGGTAGAGCCTATTGCCCTTGGCATTAGAGACTATTTTTATAAACTTCAATAATAAATAAGAACTGCCCCTTAGAGCTGCTCTCCCCTCCATTCTAAACCTGGTGCAACTTACGAGGAAAGCTTGAGTTAGGAAACAGGAGTTGGGCATAAGCACTTTGATTTCTGCATCCCGAAGGGGAAGTTTCCAAAAATTTCTTAAATCACAGTGTCTAAATTAGAGCTTCAGAGAAGTGCCAAAAGCCAAGGGGAGGTAAGCTGAACGGCAATAAAAAAACACACGACAGGTCATATTTCATTTGGTTCTTTTTATTAGAAACTGAGAATACAGCAAGTAGGGAAATCCCACATCAATGGAACCATCACACAGATGCCTTTCTGGAACCCCAACCTTCTATGATCCCCAAAAATGTGCTTTGTGGCTTTAGCATAATTTATAAAGGGGAAGAGGGAAAATACTGAAAAAGGCCACTATTTAATGGTGAAAGAATGAAGCTGTAGAGGTCCCAACCAGCCTAGGGCCAAAAAAGAAAATTAAAAATCTGCACAGAGCAAGCAAGCCTCTGACTGCTGAGAGTAAGGCATTCAGGCGCCAACCTGGTGAGAGTTCTCAGCGAGCACTGTCAGGTCAAGTGCACATGAGGCTGTTGGTAGTGAGCTGCACGTAGACACACACATAGAAATGGGCACATGCCCACATACACACCCGAAAAAGGGAGATTTTACTGGATTACACATCAGTGATGTTAATTTCATTTTTCCTAAGGGTTTGTGCTATGTTGAACCAGATCCTTCCAGCTTTGGGGTGTGGGTGACTGCACCCAGAGGCTGCTACTTCTGTTGGTGTTGTGACAGGGCTGCACCTATACGCTGTATCCCAAAGTGCATGACCGAAGAGCAAGTCTGGCTTCTGATACGTGCTGTTGCTCCCAAGAAACTAAGTGGGCTTCTGTCCAAATGGCCACTGTCCTGCTGGACTATGCTTTCTCAAAGGGATTAATACTGTTCTTTATTCTGTCAGGCACTGCACCAGTTCATCCACTGAGTCTTTTGCTCGGTCCACCTAGCACCTAGGACAGTGACCTTATCCAGAACCAAAACGTTCAAGTTCTTCTCAACTTCTACACTGGATTCTTTCTTCCTAGATCCCACCTTTTGCTGGAGATTGCAAGGGCAAGGGAGGAAAATAACTGAGAAAACTCTATTGAATAAATAGGAGACCCTTCCCATATTCCCAAACACCTACTGAGGACGCCAGTCCCCATGCTCAGGACCTCCATATTTAGTTCTAATACCCACAACCCCAGGATATAATGGAGTCATCCCAAGTCTTTGATGACAGTAACCTAAGACTCGAGCACTATTTTGGTGGTTCACCTATGGGCCAAGATCAGAATTCCATGAACCAGATCCTTTCCCCACCACTTTCTCTGACACCGTATCAGGTAGGCCTGTGACATGAGCCATCGTCTTGTACCTCACTCCCTGGCAATAACATACCATTGTATTTAAAATGCCACACCACTCTTATCCCTGTAAAGTGAGGTTCAGTGAGTGCTGACAACTCCGTACTACAACTGGCTTTAAGAGTTCTGCTGGCTTTCTTATTCAAGGAGAGCCGAGGTGTCTGTCACATCCAGGCTTACCAAGACAGTGTACCAGAGGTAAAACTCATCTTTCCTAATCCAAAGGAAGGGTCTACCAATCTATGTAGATGAGCTCAGGAGAAACCTGGACACGTCAGAATCTCATTTGTGGCTGGCTCCCATGCCAAGAACTATGTCAGAGAAAGGTCCATTTCTATTCCCTCAAGGAGGAAGTGTAGTTAGGGCAGTGATTTTTAATAGAGGGAAATTTAGAGAGTGTTCCAGAGCTCCACAGCAAGGATATGGAAAACTGTCCCATCCCTCTAATAAGACTTCCCATAAAAGTGAGCGGGATGCCAGGAAGTAATCAGATCAGCCCATGCTAATGTTTCTAGAGCTCCTCCATGGCCTCCAGCACCCCTTTACCAGCTGCTAGGAGTGTGTCAGTCTCTCAAATGACAATGACACCCTAACTAGAGCCTTTATCTAACATCCTGTCACCCACTCATGTGCTGCTTCCACTGAGAAAACACATACCACTCCCCTCTACCTCAGGCCTCCCAAAGGGAGTGGTCATGTCACCACTGGGCTAGGGCTATACTCTCTGCCCCATTAGGGTCCAAGGTATGTCAGCCTTTAGAAGGCATCTTGGTGCACCAAGACACTGTACATTCCGGGGCTATCACCTGATCCTACAGTCACTTTTTGTGCAAAATTCAAACAGTGTGTGGTACTTGCATGTTTCATTCTATACAAAAATTCTCCCTCCCTCCCTTACCCCTATGTTTTAAACATTTATATAAAGTCTTATTTAAACAGTTAGAAATCTTATTTACATTAATTTCTTTGTTCTCCCAAAAGAGCATTTAAAATCACACTCCCACCCCTTATCGGATATAAATGTTCACTTAAATTGGTTTGTATTATTGTCATAGAGAGAGAGAAAGGGAGAAGAAAGAACCACCAGCTAAACTGTTTCGCCATCTTCTACAAATAAATATGATATGGATCAGAAGCCAGTTTGCCAAGGGTCTTGCAGAGCCCGCAATCAGTAGATCCCAAGAATAAGCCAGGGTTTGGGCTATGTCTCCTTTTCTCCCAATTGATGCACTCCATCCTTTGAGGTATGATTTATTTTTGTTTTTCTCTTCTCAGTCATGTACCACGCAGAGCCACTGGGCCGTCACAAAGCCCACGAGGCTGTCAAAGTTTTGGGGCTCCTCTGGTACTGGCATCAGTAGCCAGCAGGGAGGCCCGCAAGTGCCGCAGGCCCTGGTTTAGGGTCATAGTCCCTGGAGACTGGTAGGTATCACAGTGCATCCTCTTCACTGCAGCCCCCGCCGATCATGAAACGAAACTCCTGGAGGTTTGAGACACCATGGAAGTGAACAAAAGCTCCAGCAACCACAAAGATATGAAACAGCTGATGAGAGTGAAACTGGAGGGGAAAAAAGAAGAGAAGGGGGTAGAGAAACCCATACATTATTAAGACTGCTAAAGATTCTTAGGATCGTTTAATCCTGGTTTATGCTGAGCAGAAGGCAGGGAATGGATGTGACAGAGCTCAAATTCAAGGCGTCCACAGATCCTGGAACATCCATTAGGTGTAACACATTCTGCTGAGCTGAAAGCCAGCTGTTCCCAAAGAAACCAAGGTGCTGCCACTAAGCTCTACACATAAAAATCTACAAACTTAACACTGAAACCAGTGGCAAATGACACACAGACTCTCTTGCTAAAGTGGCAAATGACACACAGACTCTCTTGCTAACAGGCCACAAAGGTCCCAAGGATCCCTTGACACCTAGCCATGGGCTATGATTACACATACAGTCCTTTTCCTACTCACTGCTGATGGACATTTTGTCATGGACAAGAGGACTAGAGCTATGGTCATTTAAATGTTGCTCTCTGTTAGAAAAACTAAAGAGGCTTCCAGGATGGTGTGTGGAATGTCACAACATATGGTCCCCAGAGTTTCCTTCAGTGCTACGATTCTCAAATTTCATGAACTACATAATGTGTCAAAAACTAAGCAAACAGGCCCTTTTACTTCTCAAGTCAGAAGCTGGTCTACAAGCAAGTGACATTATTTCTGATTTTACCTGTTCTGTTGAATGCTATTCCACATCTCAAGAAGGGTAATCAATTGCTCGCTGCACTTCAAAAATTACACTATTCTGTCATTATAATCTCAAAATGAAAAAGTACAGTGGCAAAGCAGTATTTATCAAGAGAAAAACACTGATTTTAGAAGCAAAAACTAGAAGAAATCAAGTCACATCCCAAGAGATGTTTCCTAGGAAACCAAAGGGGATTAATTTCCCCCAAAGAAAGGGGATAAAGGGCAAAAACCCCTCCATACCAATGTTAAAATGATGATGATGAATCAGAAAGATAAATTAGCTAATTTGAAGCTAGAAAGATTGCTTAAGTTCAAGATCATCTTCATTTTACAGATAGCTAAACTAAACTTTAAAGAGATGAGATCATCAGGTTAGTCTATAATAATCAGCAATAGGCTGAGGAACAGAATTACAAAGGTCAGATTTCACATTAAGCGTATTTCCAATGTTGTCTTGTTGAAAATATTTCAGGCCCTCTTTGGTTATAAGTTTTTCTATCTATATCAGTCCTTATATTTTCTTTTCCCTCTTCTCTTTCCTCCTCTCTTACCAATGACCACAATCCAGTTCAATCCAGTTCCCTCTTCTTCACAATCCCTCTTCTTCCACCAGACATACATACACTCAGTCTCCCATTACAAATCACTAAATTTCGGTATAAAAAAAGACCCTGATAGAAATCTGGTCCTAAAAAGGGCTCTGGTGAAAATCTGGTCTATCATCCTCATTTCATAAATAAGGAAACTGAGACAAAGAATGGCAAAATGACTTGCCATTGTCAAAAAGAGCACAGATTCTGATATTAAAACTAGCCTAATTCAAATTCCTGTTCTACCACTTAAATAGCCACATGGCTTGGACAAGTGGCCTCACCTCCCTAAGCCTTAGTCTCCTGCTTTGTAAAATGAAGACATTAACAAGAGTTATCATACCACATAGGGCTAATGTATGTAATGAGGTAATCCGTGCAAAGCACTCTGTACCATGCTGAGCACCAAGGAAGTGCTCACTAAATGTTAGTTATTATTGTACTTATTGTCCAGAGAAAGCTCAATAGGGAGTTAGGACCAGGATACAACTCTCCTGACTTTGTGTCTAAAACTTTTTCTATTGCATCACTCTGCAGGATGCCAATAACTCATGAGCAGATACCTACACACTCAGTCACCCCGACATACTTACCCAGATGTCACATTTGCCAGGGAAAAAGCGTTCGGGGATCCGGGCAGCATACAGGGCAGCTCCTGTGATGTAGAGGCTGGCCATCAGCATCAACCAGCCTATCTGCCCTATGGTGGCGGCCTTAAGGAACCCCTCCGAGATGACATAGTGCAAGGTAGGAATGATTCCACTCAGGCCTAGGCCCAAAAACACTCCTAGGAGTCACAAGAAGAGAGTAAAGTAATGCAGAAGAGAAACAAAGAGCCAGAAGTCAGTATTACAGCACAGCACCATTAACTCTGTAAACTGAATATTTCAAAGTAGCATATAAAATTAGCTTCCAGTTTTAAAGGAAAAAGAAGGTTCTTCAAACTCTGGGACACTGTCACACAAGACAACACAGCTATGTTCTAAAGATTTACAAATGCAAGGAGCCAGCCGGGTGCAGTGGCTCACACCTGTAATCCCAGCACTTTGGGACCAGCCTGGCTAACAGGGTGAAACCCCATTTCTACTAAACATCCAAAAAGTAGCCAGGCGTGGTAGCGCACTCCTGTAATCCCAGCTACTCGGGAGGCTGAGGCAGGAGAATCACCTGAAGCCGGGGGCAGAGGCTGCAGTGAGCCGAGATCACGCCATTGCACCCCAGCTTGGGCAACAGGAGTGAAACTCCGTCTCAAAAAAAAAAAAAAAAAGCAATGAGCCTCACTAAGAGAGGCTTAGCTTAGTAAGTCAGCAGTCTTCAAGGGTTTTGAATTAATGTTGCTAAATGTTTTCGGAAAGGACAGCTCCAGGAGTTTATTTAAACTGTCCTAGCCTGTCCTTCTACAGACACAGGTTACAATACAAGCAATTTTACGTATCCCATCTTCTCTTTGAAGCAGCAGGCGTTGTTGGGGTGGAGAGGCGATGAATGATCACATCACCTGGCATCACCTATTTTTAATAGGAATCTAAGGCTGGGCGCAGTGGCTCAGCTCACACCTGTAATCCCAGCACTTTGGGAGGCCGAGGCAGGCAGATCACTTGAGGTCAGGAGCCAAGATGGCACCACTGCACTCCAGCCTGGGCTACAAAGCAAGACTCCATCTCAAAAAAAAAAAAAAAAAAAAAAAAAAGAAAGAAAGAAAGAAAAAGAAAAGAAAAGAAAAAAGAAGAAAAAATTTAATCTAAATCTATAACCTATAACTGGGCACTTAAAAATTGTTAAATGCCTTTAACAAATGACCTAATGGGGGTGGGGGATGGGAGAGAATACTATAAGCTCCCAGACCCCTAAATAGCAATCAAGTACAAAAGTCTAGCAAATCACTCAGCCACAGCCCTACTGCCTTACTGCCTCCAGAAGCATCTAATGTTTTTTTAAACTTCTGGATATGACCTAAGTTCTAAGATCAATTAAATGAGTCTCAACCAGCATTTTTTTAAATGAACTAGAATAAAATTTAAAATATCAGACTGTAACATACGTGGAGGATTAAATACTATTTTGTTAAAGTTTTGTAATTTATATATACATGAACTTATGTATAGATACACGTGTTCAGGACTGTAATAGAAAATGTCATGATGGAAAAAAAAATGTGAAGTCCACTGATCTAAATCCACTTTGAAACCCGTGTATCAGCCAAAGCAACACAGGAGCTCCCTGCCTCTGCCAGTAACTGCTCCTACATTTTGACACAGAGTTAACAATGACCCTTGCAAAACAAGCTGTCATTTGGTAAGCTTTCTCAACAGATAAAGAACCTATTACTTGCTTTGGACATTACCAAATAAACTGCTGGTATACAGCAATATATGTAAGCACAGCTATGGGATGCATACTCACAAATAAAATGGACATCTAAAAGAGAAGAGGAAAATGGCAATGCTGCTCTCACAACAGGTAAGAACCAAGCAGACCTAAAGAAAAACTATTTCCTACCTCTGCTCCTCTAAGGAAAGATTTGCTAGACTTTTGCACTATTCACTTTTTCTTTTCCTCTACATGCTAAGCAAAGGCTGCTAATGGTTTCTGCCTATCATTCTCTAAGTCAAAGGCTCAGGAATTTGGTTCTTCTGATGTATGTAAATAACAGAATGCTCAGCTGTACTCAGCAAAGACATTCTTATCTCATGTGCTCAAGCAGGCTTAACACCACTGTACTACTCAAGTACTGTTGAAAGCTGACCCTGACCAATGCTCATTTGCTCATATGAACACAAAAAGGAGGACGGCAGAGTGTTTTAACAGTGGTCACTGACATGAGGTTACTTCTGTGTCTAACCTTCCAGGTACCCCCGGATGATCCAGGGTTTAGATTTTAATACTAAATGGTTTTGGGGGTTTAAGGACGAAAGGAAAAACACTCCTTGTTCATTCTCAGTGGGCACTGAGCTTGACACTGAGTAGGAGACAAGAACATCTCTGCTAATTCCATGTCCTACAAGAAGACTCAGCCAAGGCACTGAGGGGCTTGTGGCTTTCTCTATGATCTCCAGCTAAACAGGCATTATCCTAAATATAAAAAGCCCCTTTATCCCTACATCAGAAGGGAGATATGGTGCCCACTTTAACAAAACATAATCAGCATGGGGGTGAAGCCTTAAGCAGATTATCCATTATAAAATAAAAATATAAAACAAAACAGAAAATGACAACAAAAAAAGAATCACTACAAAAAGTACACTCCACAATGAGTAAGAGAAATCATTGTTTACAAAAGTTATAGACTACCGCTTTCTGGATGGTGTTTAGCCATAAATTCAAGTAAGTAACAGTCCCAAATTATATCACCTCATACTCACCATGACCCCTCAACCCTAATGCTTTAAGACAATTAATAAACACTACTAACAACAACAACTACTACGACTACTACATAAAAAAACCCCCAACAATAGGAACTATGATTTCTTCATCTTGGCATCACAAATACACAGCATAATGTTTGGCAAATGGTAGAACTTTAATAAATAGTGAATTTAACTAGTGAATAAATGAATGTCGAATGTAGAACCTCCCCGTGCTCTTACCTGCTCTTACTCCCCGATACTGAGGGGTGGCAAACATGTCCCACTGGGAGACTATAATGGCTGCAATGCCCAGCACACAGATGACAATCAAGTAGATGAAGCAAGGTTGTGGATTACAGTAGAAAGAATAATAAAGCCAAGGAACAAAACTTCCCATAATCAGAAGAGCAATACCAGAGTAATCCAGTCTATGACAGAAAAAAAAAATCCATTTAATGCAGTAATTTAAAAACTACTGGCCACTACAGGTTCCAATTAATCCCTCATGACATAAGCCATCAACGACACCTAAGAGCCAAACTGGGTTGCTCTTTAATTTTTAAAAAAAAAAAAGTTTGCATGAGATGATATTAAGAATTCTGCCAACTCTGCTGAATGTTTTTCCCTAACGCACTACCTCTAAATCATTGGCCAAAATACGGACTTTACAGATACTTACTTAGAGAAGAGCCGAGAGACCCCCTCTGAGTGGCAGTAGACTGTGTGGAAGAGCCATGAAAAAGAAAGGCAGAGAATGGCTCCTAAGAAAAATAATCCAAAGACCACCTTCTCTTGCAGAGGGGCCACAAAGGAGATATTTGGGCGAAACATATAAAAGATCCCCAGGCACAGGAAGAATACACAACCTAGGAAAAAGAGCACAGAAAATAGATAAAATATCACCCTTTAGAAGAGACAGTATTATAACTGATTCTGTTTTCAATCCTTCTGCATTACAACAATATCTGAATCAAAAGTTCAATGAGAAAAATCTTCCAAATAACTGAAGCCTATCCAAAATTGTGGTTTACTTCCAACATTGTTGGTATCAGAAATACTTCAGCTTCATAAACTGAATATACAGAATATAAAAACTTATCTAAGGGCATAATCTAAAAAGAAATCAGACACTGCTGCTACTTCTTAGAAGATATAATGAAGCCACTTCTACCTCTAGATGTAGAATAGTTTCATTTATACAGTTTTTGGCACATACCTCATAGTCCAGCTTTCAAAGGTCCATTGTGCTTTTGCTTTTGTTTTTACAATGAATTCCAATACCCCTAAACCCTGCCAAGAAATACAGCTTTCCTCTACCAATAGCTGTCAGGGAGTGTCATGCTGTTTCTCTGGCCCTCATCAGCTGGTTCAGGAGATTCAAGAGTTAAGGACAAAATGCCTACTCAGGCCATTTCCTAACCAATTCTTACACTGTTCTACACAGAAAGATGCCATGTTCCTATTGCTTAGGGAGGGGCCACCTAACACAAGGCAGGCACAGAAATTTCAACTTCAACGTTTGCTAAGTAATTGTTTTATCATTTTAATTAAAAATTACCCTTGAATTAGAAGTCAGCAACAAACTTGATTTGACCCTCTACTCTCCTCTCACTATACTAGCAGGCAGGAACTTAGAGGCACCATGGAAATCAAATGTGTGATAAGAAATGCAAATCAAATGGAGTAAGGCCAGAAACTAGTATATTCACAAGGTTGTACAACCATCACCACTAACTAATTCCAAAATATTTTCATCACCCCAAACAGAAGTACTGTATCTGCTGTCATCCCCCATTCCCCACTCCTTACAGCCCTAAACAACCACTAATCTACTGTCTTTATGGATTTTCCTGTTCTGGACATTTCATGCATGTAGAATCAAACGACATGTGACCTTCTGTGTCTGGCTTCTTTCACTTAGCAAATGTTTTCAAGGCTCACCCATGCTGTGGCATGTATCAGTGCTTCATCCCTTTTTGCAGCTAAATAATACTCCAGTGTATGAATACACCATATTTTGTTTCTCCATTACCAGTCGATAGACATCTGGGTTGCTTCTACTTTTTAGCTATTATGAATAATGTTGCTGCAAACTTCTGTGTTCATGTTTTTATGTGAACATGTTTTCAGTCATCTTGGGTAATATACTAGGAGTTGATTTCTGGTAACTCTATGTAACTTTTTGAGGAACTGCCAGACTTTTCCATGGGGACTGCCCCATTTCACATTCCTACTGGCAACGTATGAAAGTTCCAATTTCCCCACATCCTTGCCAAGACTTGTTATTTTTCATTTTCTTGATTATAGCCATCTTAGTGGGTGTGAAGTGTTGAGATTTCTCACTGCATTTCTCAAAGCATTTGATTTGCGTTTTCCTAAATGCCTAACGAAGACAAACATCTTTTCATGTGCTTATTGGCCATTTTAGATCTTCTCTGGAAGAACATCTATTCAGATGTTTTACCCATTTTTAAAATCGGTTGTCTTTATTGTTGAGTTGTAGGAGTTATTTATTAGATCCTTACCAACTAGCTGATTTGTAAATATTCTCTTCTCTATGGGTTGTCTTTTCACTTTCTTGATAATGCACTTTGATATACCAACGTTTTTAATTTTGATGAAGTCCAATTTATCTATTTTTTCTTTGGTGGCAATTCTCAGAAACAGTCACCTAATCCAAACTTACAAGGATTTATATATGTTTTCTCCTAAGGATTTTATAGTTTTTGCTCTTATGTTTGGGTCTTTGATCCATTTTGGGTTCACTTTTGCATATGTGAGTTCGGGATCATTCTTTTACATATGGCTCAGTTATCCCAGCACCATTTGTTGGAAAGACTATTCTTTCCTCTACAGTATTCTTTCTTTAATATACAATCATTATGGAGAAAAAATTACAGTCCATATTCTACTTCAGGCCAAACTGAAAATTAGCAGTGCATATAAGTAATGCATTTTAAAAGATCAGATTACTTCTATTAAATAATACTTTCTTCTCAGTGGTCACTACAATATGAAACCACATTTTGTATAGCAACTTTTACTTGGCCTGGTTTGAGGACAAGATCTGAAAATCTAGTAGAAAGAAATATAACTTAAGTTATAACAAAATCATAGTGCAAACCAGGATAAACTACGAGTAAACCAGTCAGAAAATTCATCATTAGAAATTCAGAAAACAAAATGGCAAATCCAAATACATTTCTGAAGTTCTGTGCTTACCCTCAAATACATGAAAATAAAAAGGAAGAAAGTGAATCACCAGCTCATTACATCACTGACATTACATACCTAAGAGATGTGTCCAAATGTTGCCTGTTTCTGTGTGTATTCTGAAAATGCTCTTAAAACAGGCCCGGAAAGAAGGCATAGGAGGCCGGTGTCCATGCAAGAGGAAGTCATTATCCTTGAGCCAGTCTGGTAGTACATCATGAGGGATCACTCGCCACCGACCTTCCCATACCTGGCAGAGAGGTATTATCAAACATCTTTGTGATTTTAGTTGTCAATTTACCAACACTGACCCCTAACAACTGTGTCTTATCACACTGTTTTATAATGGGAAAAACAATTCATTTTTAAAAAGGCAAACATCTCAAAATGTATAATGTCTTATATTCTGAGTTCTTTAAAGACTGATGAAAAATATATTTTTGCCGGGCATGGTGGCTAAGGCTTTAATCCCAGCACTCTGGGAGGCCAAGGTGGGTGGATCACCTGAGGTCAGGAGCTCGAACCCCATCTCTACTAAAAATACAAAAAATTAGCCGGGTGTGGTGGCACATGCCTGTAATCCCACCTACTCGGGAGGCTGAGGCAGGAGAATTGCTTGAACCCGGGAGGCGGAGGTTGTGGTGAGCTGAGATGACGCCATTGCACTCCAGCCTGGGCAACAAGAGCAAAACTCTGCCTCAAAAAAAAAAAAAAAAAAAAAGAAAGAAAAAATATACTTTTAAGTGGGGGCCTTAGGAAAAGGAAAGAGTAAACAAATTTATAGGAAATGCCCTAAAAGAGTGGTTTCAAACTTTGTTTCAACCTGGCTAATGGTGGGATGAAGGTTCCAAAGTCTCACTCATACTGACCTCCTTCATCCTACCTATATAACAGACTTTACCTCTGATAAATCCCTGTGGTGTTAATATGAACATTTTTATATTTAATATTCCTATTGGTAAAAACAGAATTACATAGAATCATACTTTTGTGCCTTTTGCTAAAATCTCTCCCTCCATCTTACTCTTTCTTCTCTTCCCACTATGCAAATATGATGAGGCAGAAAAGAAAGAGCACAGGAGTCAGAAAATTGTGGACCCCTGGCATTAACTAGCTATATGAGATTTAATTAATTAAAAAACCTCCAACCTGCAGCTCCTTCATTTGTAAAATAGCGCTTCAGTTACTTCATAGGGAAATCATGAAGATCAAACAAAATGACACAAAGCATTTCATGAATTAGTTAGTAATCCCTGGCATCTACTCAAAGCCAGTACATGACTATCCCCAGGGGCTATCTCCTGTCAGACAGTTAGTGACTAATCCATCTTCCTTCTCATGCTGCAGAGAGATGGTAAAGAAGCTCAGCCCTAACCACCCTTTCAGTCCCTCAGAGCCCTTTCCTCCCGTTTCCTCATGGTCCCTCCCGCATCAGATTCTAGAGGAAAAGGGATCAGGAATCCGATATCCCCTCTGTAGGAAGTCTGTCAACCTCTGCACTCTGCTTCTTTTAATGTCTCATAGCCCCGAGAGCTCACACCACAAGGATCACTTAATCTTGACTAACTTGCTTCTGCTAGACAGAAAGATGTAAGGAAAAATGGCAGGCACATGGTTTATCTTCCAGCTAATGTGGGCTCAGCAGTTCTTCCAGTCTATTACCCTATAAAGCAAGAATCCAGGCTGCAAATCAGCAAGATTCACCTTCAGACAATGACCTCCACCCTACCCACTACAGGGTCTTGTGACAATATGGGTAAGCCATGGAAACTTGGCTCTCTCTCTACTCTATGGAAAGACTGCCACTTACTCACCAGCTACTGTGCCCATTCCTTTTGCTCCACAACCTGTTTCTTGTTCTCTGCTCTCTTACTTCCTTACAGATATTTGTAAAAGAACTAATCCTCTGTGTAACATCTCCACATCCAAAGGAAGTGAGGACTAACAATTTAAGAACAGATGTGTCCCTCTTAACACTCTAACCAAACTAGCCCCCTGCCTCTTCCCTACTCTTCCTGCCCCCAGCCATACAAAACCTCTCCTCCCTCACTTTCCAACTCAAAACGTGGGGTCTGTGGTTACTGGTGCTAATGTGGCCATTCTATGCTTGCTTCTAACATACAATAAAATAAAATAATGCCAAAAGACTAATCTATATTTTTAACATCTGCTGCTAATAGTACTACCACTTACAAAAGTAGCTGTATGAGATCTTCCACAGGACTTTATGGAGAGAAAGAGAAAGGGGATCAGGGATCCAGTATCCCTTCTGTTGGAACTGCTGGAAGTCTGTCAACCTCTGCAGTCTGCTTCTTTTAGTGTCAGAGAGAGACCAAGATACTGAATTTTTTGCATCAAATTTGAATTTGGGAAAAGACCACTATTGTTGAGATTAACCTTACAGAATGTTGCTATTACCTTACTTTGGGGGAATTTTATTTTCTGAGAGGGAGAGGAAGACAGAAATCAACCCTTACATCTTCAAGGCAATTCACAATGTGCACACAGCTCTGCTGTATCCAAACTGCTACTCTGCTACCCCACACAGACAAAAGAGTCATATGTTCCTTTTTTACATTCAAAAAGAATATGTGAGTTTCTTATTGGTTATATATGCATATAATTTCAGAGTGATTTTCCCTGGTATTTCTAAACAAATGTTCTAGTGGTCTAAATACTGAGACAAGGAGCTATACTTTCTTAATTACACTGCAATTAGTGACACATTCAACAGACACTGCACCCTCATTCTCAACCTGGAGTCATATACAGTCAGCCAAATTCCAACACAAATAGGTATCCTCTTTTACCCCCTAGAATAAAAAAATAAGATCACGGCTTAGCCAAAGACATATTTATTTATAAGCTTGACAAAGACACTGCCTACCTTCAAATATCTTAGTAATAATCCACTGGGTATGTGGATATATTAGACCATAAAATGCACAAAAACATTTCTTAAAAAAACAGCTGGACGCAGTGGCTCACGCCTGTAATCCCAGCACTATGGGAGGCCGAGGCGGGCAGATCACGAGGTCAGGAGATGGAGACCATCCTGGCCAACATGGTGAAACCCCATCTCTACTAAAAATACAAAAATTAGCCGGGCATGGTGGCACATGCCTGTAATCCCAGCACTATGGGAGGCCGAGGCGGGCAGATCACGAGGTCAGGAGATGGAGACCATCCTGGCCAACATGGTGAAACCCCATCTCTACTAAAAATACAAAAATTAGCCGGGCATGGTGGCACATGCCTGTAATCCCAGCTACTTGGGAGGCTGAGGCAGGAGAATCACTTGAACCCGGGAGTTGGAGGTTGCAGTGAGCCAAGATCGTGCCACTGCACTCCAGCCTAGCGACAGAGCGAGACTCAACAATAAATAAATTTCAAAAACAAATAAACTCCCCATAGCATACATCCTATTCCCACATGGACCTGGTTATGCTGGTAAATAGCAAACACTGAAGTCTAGGGGAAAAAAGAGTGACCAAGATCAAACGTGGAAACTCTAAAGACTAAATTATCCACAGCACATTTCATATTAAACTGTCTCTGTTTACTTGCTTCCAGTCCAAGAAATAGAATCCCTGTGCCACTAGACACGGCTGGTTTTCAAGTGTGGTCAGTTGCACTGCCATGGCAGGGTTGAGCCACACCAGACAACACTGTGTAACAGGATGCCTCTTCATTCTGCTGTCATCAACAAACTGCTAAGGGATATTTACAACACTCCTTTTCCTTCAGAAGATCATAGTTTGTAGCAAACAAATGTCCTGCCCTATTTATTCTCTGATTTGCTGTTAAATTTAGAGTTTTATTTGTTTTATTCTTTGTTCTCTGTTCAGAAAGGGAGAGGACAAAAAGGCAGTTAAGTCAGCTACCGTACCCCGCTGATCTCTAAATATTAAAATCCCCTAATGGCCCAGATACTAAATTTGCCAACTTTGAGAGATTTCTTCACACCAAATTTGCATTTTAAAAACAAAATAATCTTTTGTATCCCTTTGTGCTAATTCTCCTGAGACAGTGATCACTAGAATGAATCTATTGTTCTGTTCAGTTGTTTCTTCACTCATTTTCAAACTGGCTAAAATTTTCTATTACAGACCCATAAATGTTTAAACTCCCCCTGAAAACCCACTGGACCCTTAGTCTTGGAAAGGATGTCTATGTTCAGATCACAATGTTCTCTTTTCATACCCTGGTCCAAAGTAATAGCATTCTAAGTCCACTGATCCCAATTATTTCCAGCATTATTGTGAATGTAAGAAAACCTATATTTAGTCTCCTGGATCTAAGACCATGTACATAAAAAGTTTTGGTTTCATAAAAGCCATGAAAAGCTAAGTGTCACAAAAATTTCTCTCTAAATAATAAAGAGTTCTCCAGAAATGTTTAATAAATCAATTTACATACACATACGTATACACACAGACTGATCGACTTACATTAATTAGATTCTACCTGCCAGGGCCCTTATTGATCTGATTGATCAAGTACCTACAAGTTTACCAGTGTGTCTATTTTCTCTAAGCAGGCAAACTCAATTCTAATTACTATTTTAGAAAAAAAAAAAAAAAAAAAGAATCCCATAATAGGTCCTAGGGAATCAAGACAATGGACTGGAAGAAAAACCTTAAGAGACAGAATGTATACCAGCTGAACTGAAAATACCAGATGTACATGGAAACTGGAAAATCTCTCTCAAGAGTAGCCTGATTACTCACAGAATCCCTAGAAAGAACAGTACATTTGCCATTGCAGTCACTCAGCAGAACAGATTTAAGGGACCTGCGGAGGGCATTTTCATATCTCCAGGCGTCAACCACTTCTGACTATGTTTCATTCTGTTTGTCTAAACCACCAATAAGACATTTACTCTGTTAACCTACATTAGGAAATGTTTGTTTCCCAGCTGGATATCCTAGTTTTATCAGAGCTTTATCATGGCTACTACAAGCCAACAAATGTATTCTGTCTTCAACAGGATTAGAGTCCCAAGACCACTTCTGTCCCCATCTTGCCACAGATCTTCCCCAAAGCAAACCAAAGGCTATAGTACTACCACTCTCTTTAAAGGTTTCTGTTTTGGAAGGGCTAAATATATAGCATGACAATGACAAGAAACTGCACTCTTACCTTACAAACAAATTCTTCCATTTTTTCCATAGCATGATGGGCTTGTAAGAGAGGGGACATGCCCATAAAGCCCTCATCTTCCTGAGGAGCTTCATCACTGTATTCATGTTCCTCAGAGCTCTGCAAGGCAATCACAGAAACAGTCAAGGACAGAGACTGGGAGCCAAATGACACAATCAATACATTTCCCTTGTGGAATTATAATGAAATTCTTAAGGTCAAAACAAGGCCTTAGACAAGAATCAACAATATAGTAAGTCAGTTTATTATAGAATTATTAGTATTAAAAATGAACACTAGTACTCAATTCTTCTCTGACAGATGAATTAACTGTCTACTATAGCAGCATCTCTGTTTCAGTAGCAAATTCCTGGCTTTACTGGTTTGTTTTTTAAAAATTATGTCATAGACCCCATAATAATATTACATAAAGTTGAGAAATTACTAAGGGGAAAACCTCCAAGACTCGCACCTGGGACACATAAAATAACTAACTGTGATACACAATGTGGTAAGTACTCTAGTGGCAGAGAAAGAAAGGGGAGAAAAACATTTAATAAATTTTTTAAATATATCCAACACAGAGGAAAAGGCTTTATATATAGGTCATCTAACTTAATCCTAACAACCACCTTATTAAGTAAGTATTCTCATTCCCATTTAACATATAAGAGCATTAGGCAAAGAAGTTAAGTAAGTTGTCCAAGGTTAAAGCTGAAGTGGAAAAGTCAAACTCCAAAACCCACTGCCTTTCCACATTCTGGAGAAAATGACTGATTTGTCTAGAGAAATGGAAAAAGAAGTGACAATCTGGTATGGTCTAAAGAGATAAATTACTAAAATTAAAATTTCTGCCTCCAGACCAAGGTTCATACTGGTTTAGATAAAATGATATTGTGAGAAGAAGGGCAGTAGACTGCAAGTCAGGAGACCAAAGTGGTGAGGCCAGCTCCACCACTAACATCAATGGATCTTCACTGCAGGTCCATTTTCTCCCTATGTATCAATGGAGGAGTTTAAACAATCTCTACAGTCTTCTACATCTCTAAAAAAATTCTATAATTCTTTAACTCAATGAATAAGACAGCACAAGAGAACCATAATTCCGTATGTAACCAAGAGTCTGTTTAGATAAACAGTACTGCTAACATGACTGCACAAAGAAATGAATAAATCCTCTACCTCTAATCAAAAAACTACTTGGTAAGAATGAACACAGAGGCAATGGGTAATCTACTACAACACTTTAAATTTGATCTTGTTTAAAAGGAAATTCTGAGATTTTAATTTTCCTATTCTTCAGTTTATAAGACACTAACTAGAGGCTATGATGCGGCATGTGAGACATGTTATACACCCAGTCTGATTTTATAAAAACACATAATCTCCAAGAAAACCATCTTGAATAAAATAACCTCTCCATCTTTGTTTACCTAAAACTTACCATCTATCCTTCAATGACTAACCTTCATAGTTCCTATTTAAAACCCTTCTTTAACTATCCTAAACTCGTGTTCCTCAACCTTTCATTACTGCTACCCACAAGCCCCGGGACCTTTTTTTTTTTTTAGTTTGAGACAGCGTTTTTCTTTGAGACCCCAGGGTCTTGCTCTGTCACCCAGGCTCCTGGAGTACAGTGGTGCGATCATGGCTCACTGCAGCCTCAACCTCCTGGCCTCAAGCAATCCTCCACCTAAGCCTCCTGAATAGCTGGGGCTACAGGTGTACACCACTGTGCGCACGTGTGTGTGCATGCGTGCACTACAGGTATGCACCACTGTGTCTGTTGTGTGCACATGCGTGTGTGTAGAGACGAGGTCTGTGTTGCTCAGGCTGGTCCTGAACTCCTGGCCTCAAGCAATCCTCCTGCCTCAGCTTCCAGTGTGTTGGGATTACAGGTATGAGCCACTGCACCCGGCCCTGGGACATTTTAGATTGCTTTCCTCATCCCCATGAATTTTAATAACACAGATATACTATCTATGTACTGTGGCCCTATGGGGGGTTCCAAACCATAGTAGTATTTAATAGTTTTTCATCCCCTACCCCACCAAGAACCAATTTTCATTAGAGACTGCATAACCTATCTAATCCACAGCAATTGCTTCTTCTGACTTCTGTTTCTTCTGACTACTTCTTCTGACTTCTTTAGCACTTAAGTCTGTGCCTCTCATTTGACAGTAATATCTGATTACAGCTCTTTTACTGACTAATACTGTTTTATTTAACGTTTAATAGAATTTTACATTTTTAGCGTATCATTTCCTAAACTAGATTTTTAAGTGTCTGTCTTCTTCCCCATGGCTTCTGGAACATACTTACATGATGGCTAAATTAATAAATGCTCTAGGAGACTTTCAACAATAAGTTAATGAGGGCTGTGCCTAATTAAACACGAAATTAAAATGACAAAATTCCATTAAAATTATATAAAACCTGAAAACGGGCAATAGCTTGAAATGATTATAGCAGACCGATTTTAAAATATAAAATTATGTTATATAAAATAGCTCAGATATTTGCACATATTCAACATGTATTTGATTCTCCAAAGAAACAGAAACAAAGAGTCTTTATTCTCATACAAATTACTGTCAGCCATTTCAAAACTACAGATATGTACATAAAACACAATATGGCTAATGTATACTACCATTAAGTAAACATGATGAAACTGCACTCCGAATCAATGTGACTCAGTAAGTAATCAGTGAGATTACTCACAATCAGTAATTCTGATTATCAGGCTAAGTGCAACTGGTTACATATAAGACTACTGATAGCGGCCAAGACAGGAGGATGGCTTGAGCCCAGGAGCTCGAGACCAGCCTGGGCAACATGGTAAAACCCCATCTCTACAAAAAATATAAAAATTAGCCAGGAGTGGTGTTGCGTGCCTGTCTGCAGTCCCAGCTACTCAAGAGGCTGAGGGGGAGGACTCCTTGAGCCCCAGGAGGTCGAGGTTGCAATGAGCTGTGATCTTGCCATTGCATTCCAGCCTGGGCAACAGAGCTACACCCTGTCTCAAAAAAAAAAAAAAATTACTTTAGTAAAGATAAATATTTCCATCCATCCCAATATATCAGCAAGATTCAGAATCTTTATAAAAGAATTATTTCCGGCCAGGCACAGTGTCGCACATCTGTAATCCCAGCACTTTGGGAGGCCAACGTGGGTGCACCACCTGAGGTCAGGAGGTCGAGACCAGCCTGGCCAACGTGGTGAAACCCTGTCTCTACTACAAATACAAGAATCAGCCAGGTGAGGTGGCGAGCGCCTGTAATCCCAGATACTCAGCAGGCTTGAGACAGGAGAATCGCTTGAACCCAGGAGGTGGGGGTTGCAGTGAGCCGAGATCGTGCCATTGCACTCCAGCCTGGGCAACAAGAGAAACAAACAAAAACAAAAATATTTCCTTCAGAAGGGCAAAGTATTAATAAATCTGTTGATTTATCAAGTACTATGACCAATTCCTACCCTTGTATAAAGGAATATTCACAAATATGTTCTCAAAGGATAAATTAAAATACTAGACCATAATTAACTATTTATTGTGTTCAAGTATTAACGGAGTTGCTAATGCGGTATCCACGTGGTGTGGGTGGTGGTAAATGCAGTTCCCTGGGTTAGAGAGAGGATAAAGTAGGAATACAGTGGCAGAGTTAAACACTGGCTAAAACAGGATAAAAAAATACTTTCCCTAGGGTATACCATATGTCACATACTGATGGCTTGGAAAGACTATGCTAGACGCTATATTTAAAATAGTCTCTGTCTTCCAATATTAAGTCCAAATAACTATTTTATTATGAGTGAAATTACTATTTCTAATTTCCATCCAACAGCCACCAAACCACAGTACCCAAAGATACCTCTCTGAACAATAAATTGTATCTATATTCAATGATCACATACATGCTATGTTCTGCTTCTGTTGTCATACTCCTTACCACACCCTCAACAAAATTATGACAAGAAACATGACATTGTGACAGATTAAACAAAACCAAAGCTGCCAAGAATAAAGGCATAAAACTTAATTCTCCAGGTTTTTCTATGAATAACTATATTTAAACTTGTAGAGGTCAATGCTTTGAAATGAGCACAAAGACATTTTGAAATATCTCCCCCCTCCCGCCATCTGTTTTCAGTAAAGTCCATCTGTGAGAACTTTGCTGACTGTATTTCAAAACATAGTAACATTTGACTTTGATGATCTGTCCAAACTGCAATCTAAAATGAGAATTTTCCAGAGTACACTTTACCTTTGGAAAGACAGAGAACCATAGTGATAAAGATAAAAGGTCTTTAAGATCAGTCTAATATGAAAATAATTCACAAACCTATTGGGTATTTATTGGTTTTGGCCTAACTCAATTCAACAGAGTAATTCAGTTTAACAAATATTTATTAGATGATTAAAAATAAGATGAATAAAACATAGTCTCTGTCTTCCATGGACTTACAATCTAATAAAGTGCTAAATTAGCCAAATAAATGACTTCATAGAAAAAAAGGTATAGCTAGTTCAAAGATAAACATGATGAGGCTCAGGAAAGCCTGCATGAAGAATAAAAATTTTGCAAAGATGAGATAAAGGAAAATAACCAAGAGGGAAAAGCAAAAGTGCCATGTTGAGAAAAAGAGACTAGTTCATCTAGAGCTTCGGGGGCATTTAGGAAAGTAGCAAAACATAAATGAGGTATTTAAATGTTAGTGGAAGTACAAGAAGTGCCACAAAGACTCACAATCATGATACTATCTACCATCCACAATTAGATGAAAAAGGTCAAGAAATGGTACAATATCCAGGGCTGGAGACAGTAAACCTTTGATTAAAATCTGTCTGCCTTTATAAATGTCATTGAGAACTGAGACCTTCTGCATTCACACAGCTTAATTATAAGGACTAAGATCTAAGGCCCCTATATCAACAGAACTTTATTATTTGTTCTCGGAAATTCTTGCCCAGGAAGGTAAGAATGCAAACCAGTAAATAACTTCATCATTAGCTTTAGGAATTTCTCAAAAATTCATTTAACTGAACAACAGACTGCTCAATTAGATCCTTAATCATTGCTCAACTGGGCAAACATGCTCACTTACCAAACAAATATTTGTTTATCAAGACTTGGTCTAAGAATTCTATCACAAACTCAGAACAGGGCCAAGTAAAATCTCCTTAAACTACTTGAAACCAGACCCCAAAACCCTGTAAATATCCATATCCAATACTTTCTTTCTGAAATACTTCTAGGACTCTTTAGGGCAGTGTTCACCCTTACTGGAGTATGTAATAAACCTGGCTTAGTTTGATCAACAGGTGATTTTTATGGTCTTTTTACAAGTTGACAGGTTGAAGCCAGCCTTAACTTTAGAAATTGGAAATGTGTAGCAAGGGCATTAGCAAGCTGATATTACTAACAAATGAAAACAAAGAGGTTTGTGGAAACAAAGGTATCTACAAAAAAAAATGATAGCTGAAGAATAAGTATTGATGGATGTATACCCAGTATTCTCCAAAAGAATAACTATAATATCTAGTCTATATGAATATTCATTTTGGCCTGCCTAGAAATATATATACTCTGACTTCCATCAAAGCTTAATGGAAAAGATCTTTAAAATCACTCAGTTTTTTAAAAATTCTCAAATAGCAATTCTATCTTTTTTTTTTTTTTTTTTTTTTTTTGACGAAGTCTTGCTCTTGTCCTCCAGGCTGGAGTGTGATGGCGCAATCTTGGCTCACTGCAACCTCTGCCTCCTGGGTTCAAGCGATTCTCCTGCCTCAGCCTCCCGAGTAGCTGGGATTATAGGCGCCTGCCACCACGCCCGGCTAATTATTTATATTTTTAGTAGAGACGGGGTTTCACCATGTTGGCCAGGCTGGTCTCGAACTCCTGACCTCAGGTGATCCACCCGCCTCAGCTTCCCGAAGTGCTGGGATTACGGGCGTGAGCCACCACACCCGGCCTCTAATCTTAATTGAATTTCTTAAGCAGGCTTCTCCATGAAAATAAAATGAAGTGATTGACAAGAGTCTATTTACAAGTTAGTTTTCTTACAATAAACTATTATATAGTGGCATTCTTGATTTTGGTTAAAGTAAACCAGTTTAACAGAATATGAAGGTTGAATGAATAAAAGTTCCTTATCTCCCAATTTATAAAGAAGAATCTGGAGCAGAAGAAAAGTAGGACAACCATAAAGGCTGATCTCTTTATTCAACCTAATATCTTGAAAGCTCAGAAAGGGAGCAGGGAGGCAGAGGGGAGCCATAAAAATAAAGATCAGGACAACCTGGTTTGAAATGCCTCTCTTATATTTTTGTCCAAAAGCTTACAGAATGCCTCCTAACTATATACTTTAGCAAATATAGTTAAAAGAGTCCAGGCTTTAGGGTCAGAGGCCTAGGGGCAATGGTCTAATCATTTCAACCAGTACACAACATTACACAAAATTTGAAACTGATATAAATTGCAAAAAGAAATTTGAATGATGGCATAATACTGGACCAGGAGGCTAAAGACCTAGATTTCAGGCCCCAGGTGTCTTGTCTTACTTACTACCACATCCTCCACCCCACTATACACCTTGACCTTTCATTCCAGCTATGCTAGAAATTTTTCAGGTTCAGACATCAGTATGTGCCAGTGTGTACTCAATAAACATTAGCTATTATTATTACTATTCCCTACAGGCATCGTATTACATCTGCTTCTGAATCTTCACATCTGCTGTTCCCTTTGTCTAAAATGTCCTTTAGTCCTTTCTTAGCTAAATCCATTTGCAACTGGAGTTACTACCATAGTAATCTGTGCATAAAACCACACAGCACTCACCACAAATGTACTGATTTACCTGTCTCTCCAACTAAACTACATGCTGCTTAAGGGCAAAAACTATGTCTTCTCAAGTCCAAAGTGCCAACACATGGTAAAGAAACTAAAAACATTTGTAGAAGGATTAAAAGCATCCATGTGTCTACTAAACTAAATGACTGATGGGATCCCTTCCACTCTTGACAGTCTAGGAACCAAGTCTGAGTACCTGAAAGAAAGTTGGTACTATTTAAGAGAAATTAGGATTAGAAAATTAGAATAGAAGGAAAAGCTGATGGGGGAGTGGACAGTTAACCTTAGTTTAACATTAGTTCAATTTGAAATGGTTACAAGTCCAATAAAGAAGAAAGCACTTCTCATTTGAAGGCTATAGAAGAAAAAAGGGGGAAAAAAAAGAAGACTGCACTAAGATGATAGATTTAGAAATCACCTTTATGAAAAGGCTGTTGAAATCAAGGGTGGCTGAGATATGTGGATAACTTCAAGATGTGTTTATCAGGACTTACTACAGTTATGGAGTAGTCAAGTACTATTATAAAGGAAGGACAGAGTAACAATTATTATTTATTATACACTACATGCCAGACATTGTACTAAGTGCTTTTTACAAATTAATCAAACCCTCATAACAATTTTCTGAAATGAGTATATTTCTATTCCCATTTTATTAAGTGGAAATCTAGATCAAACATGGTAAATGAAGAAACAGAAGCTAAGAGAAAGTACACAGCTTTAAGTAGTACCTTAATTCCCAACCTAACACCACTATCTTGGCTAATTACTTCAAAAATTATGCAAGTGTATATGCACATTAAATGTAATCTGTAGACTGAATAAATGTCTCATATTCATAAAGTAGGTGTAACTAATTTAAAATCATGTAGGTGCTGCGTGAATCACAAAATACAAATTCACTTAAGATGAACTGAATTCATAGCCAATTTCTATCATGTATTTTTTTCAAACTAATATTTAAAATGTGAGTATCATGTAGTGAGGTCTGTTAAATATTTTTGATGTTTAAAGGGAGAATGGGATCATCTTCCTAACGCAGTAATTCCACTCACAGGTATGTAGCTAATGGAAGTGCATACATTTGTTCACTAAAAAACAAGTACTGGAATGTTCATAGCAACACTATTTATAATAGCCCCAAGTTAGATACAACCCAGATTGCCTTCATATAAATAAAATAAAAATTGGTACAGTAATATAAAGAAATAACACAGACCAATAAAAATGAATAATCTACAGCTATACCCAGAAAATACAGATGAATTTCACAAACATCATACTGAGCAAAAGAAGCCAGATACAAGAGTACATATGGAATGATTACAATGAGATAAAGTATAAAAACAAGCAAAATTAATCCATGCCATTAGAAGTCAGGGTAATGGTTACCTTTGGGGGAGTGGGAATAGGCAGTTACTATGAGGAGGTAATAAAGAGACCTCCAGGAGTGCTGGTTATACAGGAGTGTCTAGTTTATAAAAGTTTATCAGACTATCCACTTACAATATATCTACGTGTGTGTGTGTGTGTGTGTGTGTGTGTGTGTTTAATACTTTAATAAGGTTTTTGTTGTTTTTCTTTGAAGGGTCCTCTTACACAGAAGTTTGAAAAATAATGATACAGAAGAGATCAGGGATACAAATTTAGGTCACTCTGAGTACAAAACCCTGCTTTTTTCCTTTTACCAAACTATTTCCTTCAAAATTATTTACTAGTCCACAGAAATGGCTTCACTAAATAAAACCAGGCACGATAAAAGTGATCAAAGAAGGCATTAAACAGGGCTGCTTAAGCAAAGATACCTAACTGGATTGATTTATGAAAAAAGTAAACTATGACCCTCACTCATTTTTTATCCCATTACAAAAAAGTATTAATATAGTGTCGGGGACCACAGAAATTTTGAGGATAAGAAAATCTTAGATGTTTATCACCCAGTTAAACATCTCCATTTTAATGTAAGGAAAATGAAACCCAAAGAAATCAAGAAAATTGGCCAAAGTCACACATCTGGCTGGCAGTACAGCCAGGACTAAAACTCAGGTTTAATCATTCATTTCTTTACTTAAATATTGCACAAATACAATATTCTTGGAATATACATTATATGTGTAATTTTTTGTTTTGAGCCAGGGTCTTACTCTGTTGCCAAGGCTGGAGTGCAGTGGCACAATCATGGCTCACTGCAGCCTCGAATTCCTGGGCTCAAGTGATTCTCCCATCTCAGCCTCCCAAGTAGCTGGGACTACAGGTACATGCCACCAGGCCCGGATAATTTTTGTATTCTTTGCAGAGATAAGGTTTCGCTATGTTGTCCAGGCTGGTCTCAAACTCCCGGGCTCAAGCGATCTGCCCGCCTCAGCCTCTCAAAGTTGTTAGGATTACAGGCATGAGCCACCAGGTCCAGCCATTCCTGGACTATTTTGGATGCAGAGAATAAACATGTTCAAGTGAGTGGAGACAGATAACCACCAATCTATTTTTTATAAGATAAATACAAATCTAATAAAAACAAAAAGAAATAAAGAAAGATTAACTTTGTCCTTTTGATATAACAGAGGAAGTCTTTTCTTTTTGACACAAATATACACCTCCAATGATATGCTACATCTAACATTTATTAAGTGCTTTCTCTGTACCAGGCAGTGTTACCACTGCTTTACATGCACTAAGTTATTATCATTACAACCCTGTGAGACAAGAGGCATACTATTACATACTGCATTTACAAAAGAAGAAACACCCACCTCCTCTAGGCCCAGCTTTACCCTGATGTAATTCCTACCGGTCTGGAACTTCCGTATATGCATTATGAAAAGAAAACTGTGATCACTGGCTCTCCATCATTAAGTGTGCCTCACAATCACATAGGGGAACTTGTGAAAAATACAGATTCCTACTGCAGAGATTTCAATTTTAAAGTATTTAGTTTCTAATACTCTTTCTAAAAATCCATCCTGCTTCATAAGGAACCAAAGAGACTAACCTCTCCAACACCTCAAATAAGGAAGGGATTCCTATGCACAGGTAAACGTAATCTAACTGTACACACAGGTATTTTATTTAATGTTACTTGAGAGCCAATTCCACAACTACAATGGATCACTATCACCTATCACAGGGTCTCTTTTTCCACAATTCTTATCATCTATGGAAATAATGTATTTTAAAATGTATTAAAGGCAAATAACCATTGAAATTGCCATATCGCACTTTTTACAATAAACCAATGAAAAGAAAACCCTGCCCCTTTGAAGAGAAAAAGTATATCATCCCCATGACAAGAGTCCCAGTGTACAATACACATACATTCACATGAAACCTCAGTTTCCTCATCTGTAAAACAGATTCTAATAATATCTATTCTAAAAGGCTACTTTAGGAACGAATAACATATTCAAATGAGCTCAAAAAATTACTTCATCCATTGTAAAAGATCAATAAAAGTGAACTATCATTATTCTCCTGATAAGAATGCATTTATTCTAAGATTAAAGAAGTAGATTAGTTAAGCTTCCCTAAGCATCTAAATAGTATACGTCCCCACGTGCTCCTTTTGTACATCTCTTTAAAGAAACTACTTGAAACCACTTAGACACAGAACTTTATATTTGTTGCTGATAAATTCATTCAACAACTATTTGTTATATGCCACTCAAAGACCAGGTTAGACTCTGAGGATATCAGAGGAAAACAAAAAGGCAAGATTCTTACACCATGGAACTGAAGAGTCTACAAGCAAAAACAATTATTAAACAATTATAAATTTTTATAAAATATGTTTTATATATATGTTTATAAACATAAATATATGTCACACAAATATATGTCATGATACGCATTGTAATGGAAAATAAAAGGTAATTAAAGATAACAATGGGAAACTTGAAATAGAATGAAGTGGAAGTAGAGAACTTAACCTGAATACTGAAGGATGAGCAGCAGTTAGCCAGAGGTGTGGGTGTAACAACACTCCAGGCAGAGGAAAGAGCCATGTTTGAAGGCTCTGAAGCTGGAAAGAGCCCAGCCTGTTTAAGAAACTGAAATAAGGCCAATGCGGCTGCAGCTCAATGAACATGGAGAAGAATGTCCTGAAATGAAGTTGGCCAGATAGGGCAGCAGTGAGATCACGCAGGATCCCGAAGGTTATAGAAAGAATTTGGGATTGTACCATAAGTGCAATGGGAAACAAATGAATTTCTTAAATGGGAATGGCATAATAAACTTTATATTTTTAAGAGCTCTCTCTAGGAACTGTGCGAAGAATATATTGGACAGCACAAGAAACAAAACAGAAGTCCTGTCAGGTGTATTCCAGATGGAAGATGGTGGTGGCTTAGATTAAAGTAATGGCAGAACAGATGATGAGGAGACCATTTGAAGTGAAATTGACACAACTTGAGTTTTATAGTAAGTTTGAATTTAGCTTCTATTTCCAAATTCCTCAAAGAGGTTAATACTTAAAATCCTGAGCTAAAGTTAACCTAGGCAGGTCTCTTCATAAAAGCTCAAGAGCTAACTGACTATGATGAAATATCGTTTCACACCCACTAGGATAGTTATATTCAAAATATAGTAACAATAGTTAGTGTGGGTGTGGAGAAAGTGGAACCCCCACACATTGTTGGTGGGAATATAAACTGGTGCAGCTGCTATGAAAAACAGTCTGGTAGTTTCTCAAAATGTTAAACACAGAGTTAACATATAACCCAGAAAAATCCCTCCTGAGTATATACCCAACAGAAATGAAAACACATCCATACAAAAGCTTCTACATGAATGATAATAGCAACATTATTTGCAACAGTCGAAAAGTGGAAACAATCCAGTGTCCATCAACTCATTATTGGATAAACTATAGTACAGTAGTTTCCCCCCATCCACAGGAAATATGTTCTAAGACCCCTAGTGGATGCCTGAAATCATGGATACTGCTGGACCCTATATATGCTGTGTTTTTTCCTATATATACATACCTATAACATAGTTTAATTTATAAATTAGGTACAGTAAGAGATTAACAACCAATAATAAAATAGAACAATTATAACAATATACTGTAAAAAAAAGTTATGTGAATATGCTCTCTCTCTCACTCAAAATATCTTAGTGTATTGCACTCACGCTTCTTGTGATCTGTGACCTTATAACCAGAAGGCTACTAAGTAACTAAGTAGCCAGCCATCTGCAGCATGGATATGCTGGACAAAGGGATGATTCATTTCCTGGGTAAGGCAGGACAGGGCAAGGAAGGTGAGAGATTTCATCACACCACTCAGATCAGCACAAAGTTTAAAACTTAGAAATTATTTCTGGAATTTTCCATTTAATATTTTCAGATCTCAGTTGACCCATGGGTAACTGAAACCACAGAATGTGAAACCACAAATAAGAAAGAACCCCTGTATATCCATACAATGGAATATTATTCAGTCATAAAGAGGAATGAAGTACTGGTACATACTACAATATTGATGAAACTTAAAAACATTATGCTAAGTAAAAGAAGCTAGATACAAAACACCACATGCCTTACACTTCCATTTATTTAAAAGTCCAGATTAGACAAAGCCATAGAGACAGAAAGTAGACTAGAGGTTGCCTAGGGTTGGGGGTAGAGATGGGAAGTGATGGCAAATGGGTTAAGGTTTCTTTAGGGGATGATAAAAATGTCCTAAAGTTAGAATGAAGTGATGGTTGTACAACCCTGTGACTAATAAAACCATTAAATTGTACACTTTAAATGGGTTAATTTTATGGTATGTAAAATTTATCTCAAAAAAAAATGTTTTAAGAGTCAACTGTGAGTAAATGTGATATTTTCCTTTAACAAACAGTAAATAAATCTAACTTTATTTCCCTAACAATCTTCAGAGAATGTGTTAAGATTTCTTTGCAAAGCATGTTGCTAAGAAGTTTTTAATACATTAACTATTTTAAATAAAATACTTATTTAAAATAAATAAATATCAAAAAAAATTAGGCACTGGTTTGGGTTTTGTTTATTTGTTTTCCTTAACTATCTCCTACGGGAAGGAGGTTGTTTTTTTTGTTTTGTTTTGTTTGTTTTGTTTTCCCCGAGACAGAGTCTTACTCTGTCACCCAGGCTGGAGTGCAGCGGTGCAATCTCGGTTCACTGCAACCTCCACCTCCTGGGTTCAAGCGATTCTCCTACCTCAGCCTCCCAAAGTAGCCGGGATTATAGGTGCCTGCCACCACACCCAGCTAATTTTTGTATTTTTCGTAGAGACGGGGTTTCAGCATGATGGACACGCTGGTCTCAAACTCCTGACCTCATGATCTGTCTGCCTCGGCCTCCCAAAGTGCTGACATTACAGGTGTGAGCCACTGCGCCTGGCCAGGAAGGAGGTTTTTAAACAGTAGTGAGCATCTTACTTGTGAAACAAAAAAAATATACCCAGGACCCAAAGATTCTGATTCAGCAGGCCTGGAATAAAATCCTGGCATTTGTAGTTTTCTATAAAGGGCAATATGTGATCAGGTGGGCACTCCTAATAGGTTTATTGATTTAAAGAAACCTGGCGGTAAATAAAGACTTGTACAAAAAGATACCACAGTCTGTAATGCACATAATTACCTTAAATCTTACTTTATAAATTCAGAATTCCACTTAATAAAAAACGAGACACCCCTGCTGCTTTTCCTATTTTACTTTGATCCTTATTCATGATTGGCATGTGAATGCCAATCTCCACAACTTAAGAGAGCCTAAGGGCTCCCATAATGTTTTAAATGAAGCCTAAGCAATTTAGTTAAGATCTGCATCTTCTAAAAGAGGGAAAAAAACAAAGAAAATGATGCAAAATTGTTAGAAATGTGAATGACTGTACTATGATATATTCGTTCTATTTGCTTTCAAAATAAACAGAAAACCCATTACAAAGTTAGAACACATCTGAGAAGCAAAATTACCCTGGCCTAACAGAAAACGAGGTCTGCAACAACTTCTGCCAAAAAACAAGACCAACTGTTGAATCTAACCTCTAGGTCAATATAAACAACTCAGGGACTGAGTTTGGAATTCAGAAACATTAAGTCAATCTGGTGCCAATTCTCATAAAGGCAGCTTTGTTCGGCAGAAAGAGCAGTCAGAAGACTTAGCACATGCTCTCATCTTGTCATGTTACCTTGGGCAAATTCCTAAACTAACCTTTCTAAATCCTATTTTCGTCTACTTTCAAAAAGAAATCATATCTGCTCTATTTCAGAGTATAGTTTTGAGAAGCAAATGAGATAATGTCTGTGAAAGTGACACAATTAAGATATTACTAGAATTATCCAGAAGGTTGCAGTCTACAGTTCAGATGTTTCAACTTCAAAACTGAAAATTTTAAGAAATGAGTCCTTTCTCCAAACAACAAAAAAAATCAGCATATGGAACTCCTCAAATCATGTGAAGATATCAATATTTTGCCTTTAATTTCAGTCTCAAAACTGCAGTTCTCTATAACTCTTATCTATCCCCCTTCTTTTCTAGCTCCCATGTGTAGTATACATTAACCGTGAAATTGGCAGCAAGGGACAGTACTGCATATAGATTCTCTTTTTCAGCAAACAACTTCAACTCCAAAGAGAAACAACATACACACGCAAATTTTCATTAGGAATAAAAACACAATTTCCTCACTGGTAAATTGAGGAAGGCAAACAAGATGATTTTGGAAGGCCTTTTCAGCTCTAACATTCCACAACCTATGGATCCTTTCTTTCCTTGGCTCCTCATAGAAAAATCTATTAAAACAAATGAAAGAAAAAATGGTTCTTTTGTTCATACTGCTAACTTTTGCATTAGCTCAAGATAAAAGGAAAATCAAAGAGAGGCTTTCAGGGCAATAAATGAGTTCATTCATAAGGATGGGAAAAATCCCATCCACCTAATTATTTATTAGTGAAATTAAAACACAAATATTATTTACAGAAGATACCACTTCAACCAGTGAAGACAGGAAACAAAAATATATAGTATTACAACACATAAAAAAATCAATTAATGTAAATCTGACACAAAAGTGATTGGGTGGGCAAGTTCTGGACTCTAAAAATATATTTTGCTTTCCCTGCCTAACGCAGCCATGGCGCGTGGTCCCAAGAAGCATCTGAAGTGGGCAGCAGCTCCAAAGCATTGGATGCTGGATAAATTGACCGGTGTGTTTGCTCCTCGTCCATCCACTAGTCCCCACAAGTTGAGAGAGTGTCTCCCCATCATATTCCTAAGGAACAGACTTAAGTAAGCCCTGACAGGAGATGAAGTAAAGAAGATTACATGCAGAGGTTCATTAAGATCGATGGCAAGGTCCGAACTCATATAACCTACCCTGCTGGATTCATGGATGTCATCAGCATTGACAAGACGGGGGAGAATTTCCGTCTCATCTATGACACCAAGGGTCGCTTTGCTGTACATCCTATTACACCTGAGGAGGCCAAATACAAAGTGAGAAAAATCTCTGGGGGCACAAAAGGAATCCCTCATCTGGTGACTCATGATGCCCGGCACCATCCGCTACCCTGATTCCCTCATCAAGGTGAATGATACCATTCAGACAGATTTGGAGATTGGCAAGATTACCAATTTCATCAAGTTTGACAATGGTAACCTATGCATGGTGACTGTAGGTGCTAACCTGGGAAGAACTGGTGTGATAACCAACAGAGAGAGGCACTCTGGATCTTTTGATGTGGTTCACATGAAAGATGCCAATGGAAACAGCTTTGCCACTCAACTTTCCAACATTTTTGTTATTGGCAAGGGCAACAAACCACAGACTTCTCTTCCCTGAGGAAAAGGGTATCTGCCTCACCATTGCTGAAAAGAAAGACAAAAGACTGGCGACCAAACAGAGCAGTGGGTGAAATGGTCCCTGGGTGACATGTTAGATCTTTGTACGTAATTAAAAATAATGTAGCATGATAAACAGAATTTTATTGCCATTATGAATCTCAAATTGGCTAGCCTGAAATTCTTTCAAGCTTGAAAATTCCTTAGATTCCTTAATAACAGTTCAGTTTTAAAAATAGTTAAGAAACAGAGGTAAATAAAAATCTAATCGTGACACAGTTACTGACTCCTCAATATATCTTCTAAGATATCTAACAAGAATCTTGAATCTCACATTTCCAAAACACCACTCTTGATTTCCCTACCTTAAACCCGCTCTTCCCTCTTGCTTTACCATTTCAGTTCAGCTCAGAGAATCAGCCTTGATTCCTCTATTTTCCTCACTCTACAGCTAATCCATCAGGAAGTCTTGTTGATTTGACCCACAAAATATATCCAGAATCCAACCATTTCCCTCCATTTCTGCTGCTCCCACCATGCTGTTTCAAGTGACATCATCTCTCATCTATATTCTAACACCTGGGTCCCTCTTCCATTCTGTCTTCAAATAATCCATTCCACAACCAGAGTCATACTTTTAAAAACACAAATGTCTCCATGTTTAAACACCCCAAAAGCTGCCCACGTGCCAGGCAATTTTATTAAAATAAAATTTAAATTCCCTGAATAAACCTGTATAATCTGTTCTCTGACTGGCCCACTGACCTTATCTCATTTCACTCTTCCCTCTAGTTCCTCATGCTCTAACTACACTGGCCTTCTTTTGGTCCTTTAAAAAAAAAAAAAAAAAAAGAAGGCCAGGCACAGTGGCTCACGCTTGTAATCTCAGCAATTTGCGGGGCCAAGGTGGCGGATCACTTGAAGTCAGGAGTTTAAGACCAGCCTGGCCAACATGGTGAAACCCCGTCTCTACTAAAAATACAAAAATTAGCCGGATGTGGTTGCGCAGGCCTGTAGTCCCAGCTACTCGGAAGGCTGAGACAGGAGAATCACTTGAACCTGGGAGGCGGAGGTTGCAGTGAGCCGAGATGGTGCCACTGCACTCCAGCCTGGGCAACAGAGCGAGACTCTATCTCAAAAAAAATATAATTATAATAATAAAATAAAGGAGAAGATGAAAGAAGAGAAAGATGATACAAGCAGGCGCAGGTGGTGGTGGGAGGCAGGAGGGGAAGGCAAGGAAGATAAGCATATTCCCACCTTTGGACCTTGGCACTAGCTTGTTTCCTCTACCTTGAAACACTCTTCCCCCAGCTGCTGTTCCCAGTAGAAGCTTTCAAAATGTTAACCACAACCCGTAGTAAGAAATGTATTTCATATTATTATTCATATTTATATACATAACTATATAAAACTAAAACAATTTAAATGTGTATTACTTACTATATACACACTTCAATGTTTTTATTCTATTTTGATCTTTAATTTTTAACACTTTATAATACAATTAATTTCAAAACCCACTAATAGGTACAACCCAAAGTTTGAGAAACACTGTACTAGTAATAAAACATTAAACACATGCTATATAATTTGGAAGTTCCAAAGCACATAGCAAAATGTCTGTAACAATGACTTTCTGATACTTCTGCTCTATAGGTATAGTTGCCTAAAGGTTGCTCTTTTCTCTAGGAAATGAAAGAATAAAATCTGCTTCAGCTTTCAGAACTCTACTGACTCCCAAGGTATACACTGGAGGTAAACAATTTCTGGAAAAGTAGCTCTAACACGCAATTCGAATTTCTCCAAAAATAACAGATAACGTCATAGCTAAAGTATGGTTAAATTAGATTATATGGTACCCATAGACCACGTCTTCTCCCTTCAACAAGATAAAGCAGGTTAAGTACGCTTTTAAGAGTCAGCAGAGGCCGGGCGCAGTCGTTCACGTCTATAATCCCAGCACTCTGGGAGGTTGAGGCAGGTGGATAAGGAGGTTGAGATGGAGACCATCCTGGCCAACATGGTGAAACTCCATCTCTACTAAAAATACAAAAAGTAGCCAGGCGTGGTGGCAGGTGCCTGTAATCCCAGCTACTCGGGAGGCTGAGGCAGGATAATCACTTGAACCTGGAAGGTAGAGGTTGCAGTGAGCTGAGATCGCACCACTGCACTCCAGCCTGGCGACAGAACAAGACTCCGTCTCCGAAATTAAAAAAAAAAGAGTCAGCAGAAAGACATTAACCATAAAATCAAAATCAAATAATATCTAAGCTAATTTAAGAATAAGAAGCTGGGCACGATGACTCATGCCTGTAATCCCAGCACTTTGGGAGGCCGAGGTGGGAGGATACCTGAGGTAAGGAGTTCGAGACCAGCCTGGCCAACATGGCAAAACCTCATCTCTGCTAAAGCTACAAAAATTAGCCTGGCATGGTGGCATGTACCTGTAGTCGAGGCAGGAGAATCGCTTGAACCCAGGAGGCGGAGGTTGCAGCGAGCCGAGATCATGCTACTGCACTCCGCCTGGGTGACAGAGCGAGACTCCGTCTCAATAGTAGTAGTAGTAGTAGTAGTAGTAGTAGTAGTAGTAGTAGTAGTAGTAATAATAATAATAAAGATAAGAGACTTCAAGTTATCCAGAAGAAAAAAATACAAATGTGCAAGTTTCCTTCTTACCACCCCATCCTCCCTCCAGCAATGGACCCCCACTTTTTTTTCCCCATATCCTCCCTCTGCCACTTCCTCCACATTTTTTCCTTTGTTTATCATTCTTCCAATTTGACTTACTTTTTTATGATGGGAAGATAGAACAGATGCCTCTAAAATGGGCTCCAAATCTCCTTGGTGGCTGTCATTATCACCTCTTCGTGTACCATCCAGTTGGTGCCCTTTTCTGAGCCTTATATCTGGCTCTGGAGTCCTGCTGCACCCCAATCGGTTTTCTGTTGGCTCGTTCATGGGATACCCAAGCCTTTCTTACAAATAGATCTGTCTTTCTGTCCCCTCTTCTTGGGAGAATGGACCTTCAGGATAGTGAGTTGATCCTAAGAAGATGAAAGTTTTGAAAAAATGCATTAAAGGAGTGCTGGGGAAAATATCAGTTATATTATCACATATCCAAACGACAGAATACTCAGCAATCAATAATAAAAGAATAATGTACTTAAAAGCTATATTTGTTGACAGGGAATATAGCCAAAAATCTCTTTTTAAATGAAAAACACAGGATACAAGACAACATGAATAATATGTTCCCACTTATATGTTATAAAAATATGTAAGTATATGTAAGTGCATATGTTCTAGAATAATTAATGAAAAATATTTAAAACCATACTCTTGGTACAGAAGAACATATGGAAGAACCTCGGGTCTGAAGTGAGAAGAATACTTACTTTGTTCTGCCTGCATTTTTTTTAACCATGTATCATATTACTTGTTTAATTTAAAAAATAGTATACAATTAGAAATTAGAATTCTAAATACTAATTGTATGTATTAGAAAGAATATATGTAAGTTTATATATTATAACTGGGCTTTACATATCCAATCTCATTTAAACATCACAATGACCCCACAGGGTATTTTTATTTCTAGTTCACAGGTAAAGGAAAACAAAATTCACCATACTTTATAAAAAATAAACAGGACAAAGTCTTCAAATTTATAAGCACATATTATCCATAATATTTTGTATTCAAAAGGCTTAATGTCTTACATTTCAACTTTTTTGAGTTATTCTGAACTCTAACTAGACTACCCTGGAAGGAAGAAACTCAGGACCAAAGCATACACGTTTTACATCCATCTGGGTTCCCAGAAAGTGCTACGCACACAAATGTTTAATGAATATTTGATAATATCTCAATGCTCTTGAGTGCTAAGAACATTTTCAGAAATCATTAATTTCTCTCTAAACTGGACTGCAGCAAGTAAGTCCTAGGAGTTCAAGCTTTTCAAGTCCTTGGCACTATACCTCTTAACTCATGATATGTAAGCTTATTTTAGACAATTAGTTGAATATCCAATAAGGATTATCACAGTCAATCCAACCAGAAATACCAAAACAGGAAGAGACCAGGGTATATGCTAGCTAATAAATTCCATGAGGTTCAAGGTTCTTAGTGGGGAAAGGAGTAGGGCAAAGTAGGAGAACCCAGATACCATAAAAAGAAGGTAACAGGTGGATTTAGTTTCATATATGTGGATACATAGACTAAGAATTAGTCAAAGAAACAGAGTAAGAATTAGTCAACTGTTGGTTTCATAAATCATGTGAATTTGCTGTAGGATTTCTCCAAGGGCTTTCGAAGTATGTAGGGCAAGAAGAAACAAAAATCTAAAGAATACCAAACCTGGGCATGTACCTGGGCCAAGCACATGATACTATTGAGATTATAAATTATGTTATTAATGCCCATTTCTGAAAGAGGAAACAGAATAATGGCTTCTATTTAATTATATTATTTAAAGCTCACAAAGCTATTCACACACACCATTTCATTTTGTTTCAGGGGAGAGGCAGCAAACATTTACTGAGAATCAACAAAGGTAAATTCTGTACCAGATAATTTACATGTGGTACTTCACAGCATCTTTAAATATAGCCTTCTGAGGTATTATTATCCTCCATTTTGAGGATTAGAGTTTGGATAACTTATTCAAGGTCATTAGGATTCAAAGAGAAGCAGCTGTGTTATACCCAGTTTCTGAACCTCATGAAGTTCATGTGCTTTCCACTGTGCAACAAAATTAAGACTGGGGTGAGTAAAAGATAAGAAAATGAACCCTAAATGTAGTTGGTTTATATCACAAGAAAACTACAGAGTCAGGATCTTGATGCTGAAGCTGTAGCAAGTAGAATAAAGCTTTGTAAAGTGTTCTTGAAATATCACCACACTAGGCTAGGCACAGTGGCTCATGCCTGTAATCCCAGCACTTAGGGAGGCCAAGGTGAGAGGATTACTTGAGCCTGGGAGGGGGAGTTTGCAGTGAGCCAAGATCACGCCACTGCACTCCAGCCTGGGCAACAGAGTGAGACATTATCTTAAAAAAAAAAAAAAAAAAAAAGAGGCCAGGAGCAGTGGCTCACGCCTGTAATCCCAGCACTTTGGGGGGCCGAGACGGGCAGATCACAAGGTCAGAAGATCTAGACCATCCTGGCCAACATGGTGAAACCCTCTACTAAAAATACAAAAAATTAGTCTCTACTAAAAATACAAAAAATTAGCTGGGTGTGGTGGCGCATGCCTGTAATCCCAGCTACTTAGGAGGCTGAGGCAGGAGAATTGCTCGAACCCGGGAGGCAGAGGCTGCAGTGAGCCGAGATCATGCCACTGCACTCCAGCCTGGCAACTCCATCTCAAAAAAAAAAAAGAAAGAAAGAAAAGAAAAGAAAAATATCAGCACACCAAACTTTTCATCAGCAGGAGCTATATATGGAGGAATGTTGCTCATTTATGAGACTATAAACGCACGCTCAGGCGGGCACAGTGGCTCACACCTGTAATCCCAGCACTTTGGATAGCTGTGGCAGGAGGATCACTTGAGCCCAGCAGTTCGAAACCAGCTTGGGCAACAAAGTGAGACCCACCTCTACAAAAAAAAAAATTTTTTTAATTAGCCGGGTGTGGTGGCACGTGGCTCATGGCTGTAGTACTAGCTACTCAAGAGGCTGAAGTGGGAGGATCACTTAAGCCCAGGAGTTCGAGGTTGCACTGAGCTCTGATGGCATTACTACACTCCAGCCTGAGTAACAAAGCAAAGACCCCATCTCGTAATAAAAAAGAAAAACTGAAAAGCTCCATTAGTTAGAATTGTTTTGTAATCCTCATCTCAGAAGAAGAAATCAAATGACAACAAATAAGAGTTCCCCAATAATTTTTAAGGATCCTCCTTAAAATAAAAAGAAGAAAATCAACTCTCCAGTAAAGTCCTGAGATCAATATACATTCCTATCAATACTGTTTTCTAAATTGACAAGTATGATAAAATAAGAATGAAGAAAATAAAGTGCTGCAAAATCTACAAAGAAATCAAATATTGGCCACTCTACAGAAAGCAGGAAGGCCTATAATATTGACTTTCAACAGTAGAACTGTTGAAGTAAAAGTATTTATGTCAACCTTCAGGTTCCCATAAATTTAACAAAACAGAACACCCCAATACTAGAACACACTAGAGAACTGAAATTTACTATATGTTTTACTCTATTTGCATTCTACCTACTGAAATAAAATGAACTCCTACTAGCATGCAATGCCTTGAAGAAAAAAAAAAAAAGCAAACAAGTCTAAGAGTCTAAAGCCAGAAAATGGTATTACCAGCATTATTTAACTCTATCTTGGAAGTCTTAGATAATTAAATGAGGGAAAAAAATGAGTATAAAAATTGGGGGAAAAAAAGGTAAACTGTAACTATTTGCAGATTATATGACTCTTTTATCTATAAAATCCAGGAGAATCAACTAAAGAAAAAATTATAAATAAGAAAAATCATCAATGTGATGGGGCATAAAATTGATATATGGATTTCAACAGCCTTCATCCTAAAACCCCACAATATTTGGTCATTATGAAATAAGAATACATCACAATAGAAAAAAGATAAAACACTTCAAAACAAATCTTAAAATGTTACTGAGGATCTACAAAAAAAAATTCTAGAAATAATGAGTTCAGGAAGAATTCAAGATCAACACTCAAATATCAATCACTTCTCTTTTCTTTCTAGAGACACAGGGTCTCACTCTGTTGCCCAGGCTGGAGTGCAATGGTGCAATCATACCTCACTGTAACCTTGAACTCCTGGGCTCAACGGATCCTCCTGCCCTCCACCTGCCAAGTACCTAGGATTACAGGTGCACACCACCATACCTGGCCTTTTTTTTTTTTTTTTAATTTCTTGTAGTGATGGAGTCTCGCTATGTTGCCCAGGCTGGTCTTGAACTCCTGAACTCAAGTGATCCTCTCACGTTGGCCTCCCAAAGTGCTGGGATTAAAGGTATAAGCCACTGTGCCCAGCCATCATTTACTTTTCTATATATTAACAATAAACACGCAGAAACTGAAATTTTTAACAATACCATTTACAACTGCTCCATAGAAAATTAAATACTTTAAGTATACGCTTAGCAAAATACGTATAGGCCCTATATGCTAAAAATTCCAAAATGCTGATGAAATAAATCAGAAATCTAAACAAATACAAGAGACTGAGGCAAGAGGATCACTTCAAGACCAGGAGTTTGAGACCAGCCTGGGCAACAAGACCATGTCACTAAAAAAAAATTAAAAGTTAGCTGAGTTTAGTGGCATGCACCTGTGTAGTCTAGGTACTGAAGAGAATGTGGTGAGAGAACTGCTTGAGTCCAGGAGTTTGAGGCTGCAGTGAACTATGATGACACCACTGCACTCCAGCCTGGACAACAGCATGAGACCCCATTTCTCAAAAAAAAAAAAAAAAAAAACTAAACAAATAGCAATATGTTATACTATGTTCTCAGCAATATACTGACTCAGTAAAGATGTCAATTCTGTCCAAATTGTTCTATAGGTTAATACAATTCCTATCAAGATCCCAGCAAGGATTTCTGTAGATAAAAACTCATTATAAAACTTACATGGAAGGCAAAGCTCCAAAATAGCTAAAACAATCGAAAAAGACCTCACTGAAGGCCAACTACATAGCTAGTCAAGACTGTGTTGGTATGAGCAAAAGAATACACACATAGAGTAACAGAACAGAACAGAGAACCCAGAAATGACCCACACAAGTATGCCTGTTATTTTATTGTGGTGCTATGATATCTATTGGTCTTCTTCCATGGTTCCTGGCCTTAACTCCCATAGCCTTTATTCCAGTCTTTCATTATAATGTTGGAAGTGTTAGGCCTCAGAGGCAGGCCTCTTTCTCCTGCCTGCTTTCCACACTTAATGTTCCCCTGACTTTTTGATTGCGGGTCTTAAGACTCTCTCATGTAGGGTCCCATCTATGCCCTTGGGGTAGGAATGTTGATGTCATGAAGCTTCCATAAAAACCCAAGAGGACAGGGTTCAGTGAACTTCAAGACAGCTGAACACACAGAGGTTCCTGGTGGGTGGAGCATCCAGGGAGGACATGAAAGTTTCACACCCCTTCCCCCATACGTAGCCCTGCACGTCCCTTCATCTGTAACCTTTGCAATATTCTTTATAATAAACTAGTAAGCGTAAATAAGTGTTTCCCTGAGTTCTGTGCGCCAGTCCAGCAAATTAATGAACCCAAAGAGGGGGCCATGGGAGCCCCAACTTGAAGCTGGTTGGTCAGAAGTTCTGGAGGCCCCGACTTATGACTGGTGTGTGTGTTAGGGGAGTAGTCTTAGGTACGGAGCCCTCAACCTGTGGGATCTGACACCAATGACCCGGAGATAGTGTCGAACTGAATTAGAGGACACTCAGGCTGCTGTCTGCTGCTTGGTGTGTGGGGAAAACAACCCCATGTGTGTGATCACAGAAGTCTTCTTCTGTGTTGATTATTGCTGTGGTATGACAGTAGAGGAAAAACACAGTTTGAGGAGAGTTTTTCCCTAAACACGTTTACAAATATCCAAAGCAATTCAATAATGGAAGGATAACCTTTTCAATAAATGGTGCTGAAATAATTGAACATCCATAGACAAAAAACTTAAAAAAAAAACTTCAACCTGTAAATTTAGGTCACACTTCATACAAAAATTAACTCAAAATGGATCATAGACTTAAATGTAAAACGCAGGCCAGGCACGGTGGCTCACGCCTGTAATCCCAGCACTTTGGGAGGCCGAGGTGGGCAGATCACAAGGTCAGGAGATTGAGACCATCCTGGCTAACACGGTGAAACCCCATCTCTAATAAAAATATAAAAAATTAGCCAGGCGTGGTGGCGGGCACCTGTAGTTCCAGCTACTCGGGAGGCTGAGGCAGGAGAATGGCGTGAACCCGGGAGGCGGAGTTTGCAGTGAGCCGAGATCGCGCCACTGCACTCCAGCCTGGGCGACAGAGAGAGACTCCGTCTCTAAAAAAAGAATAAATAAATAATAAAAGTAAAGGAAAGCATAATGACAATATCACCTCAGATAGAGATCAATGAAGAGATGTAAACTACAAAAAAGAACCAAATAAAAATTATGAAGCTGAAAATTACAATAATGGAAATTTAAAAATAAAGGGTGGGGGGGCTCAACAGTAAATTGGAAAATCTTAGAGCTATGTGGGACACCAATAGGCACAGTTTGGTACTCTAAAAGGAGAGGAGAAAAAGTGGTAGAGGGGAAAAAAAATTCAAAGAAATAATGGCTGAAAACTCCACAAATGTACTGAAGACAATAAACCACACATCCAGGAAACTCAATGTATTTTAACTCAGAGAAAGGCAAGGACATCCAGACAGATGCCTCACAGTAAAAATGTTGAAAGTCAAAGTCAAGGAGAAAATCTTAAAAGCAGCAAGAACCAAACGACTCATTATTTTAAAATGGAACCCAGTAAGATTAGCAGCTGACTTCTAAGCAGAAACAATGGCAGACAGAAAACAATGAGATAACATAATCAAAGTGTTCAAATAAAAGAAAAAAAAAACCTGTCAACCAATCTTATATCTAGCAAAACTACATTTCAAAACTGAAGGCGAAACAGACCTTCTCAGATTTTAAAAAGCAATAAAACAGATTTTGTTCCTGGAAGATCCCCCTTAAAAGAAATGCAAAAGCCTGGAAGCAAGTGACCTCAAACAGCAATTCAAATCCACGTACCACCCACCACCGCCCAACAAAAAAGAAAGAGTACCTGTAATTATATAAATGTTTACCTTTTGTCTTAACTGATTTTGAAAAGCCAATTGTATGAAGTGATATATATATTGCAACCCCTAAGTTTTGGTATGCTGTGTTTTTGTCTCGATATTTTCTAATTTACCTTGTGATTTTTGACCCAATGGTTAAGTGTGTTAATTTCCACATATTTGTGAATTTTCCAGTTCTCATTCTCATATTTCCACTTTCATTCCATTGTGATTAGAAAAGGCACTTTGTGTAATTTCAATCTTTTTAAATTTATTAAGACTAATTTTATGGCATAGTATATGGTCTATCCTGAAGAATGTTCTATGTGCACTTGAGAAAAATAGCTACTGAGTGGAGTATACATGCCTATTAGGCCCAACTGGTTTACAGCGGTGTTAAAGTCTTTTATTTCTTTGTTTTGTTTTGTTTTTTTTATTTTTTGGGGGGGGGCAGTGGAGTTAGTGGGGGAGACAAGGTCTTACTCTGTTGCCCAGACTAGAGTGCAAGGACATGATCACAGTTCATTGCAACCTCAAACTCCTGGGTTCAAACAATCTTCCTCTTCCCACCTCAGCCTTCCAAGTAGCTGGGACAACAGGGGTGCAATAACATGCCCAGCTAATTTTTTAATTTTTAGTAGAGACAAGGTCTCACTATTTATCCAAGCTGGTCTCAAACTCCTGAGCTCCAGCAATCCTCCCACTTCAGTCTCGTAAAATGTTAGGATTATAGGCGTGAGCCACCATGCCTATAATTCCACTCTACTTCTAACTAGACTAGATCTGTCTAGTTGTTCTACCCATTATTGAAAGTGGCATATTAAAGTCTCCAGTTATTATTTTAGATCTGTCTGTTGCTCAATGAGGTCAATATTTGCTTCAGGTTATTTGGAGCTCTGATGTTCAGTACATACATGTTTATAATTGTTATATCTTCTTGGTGTATCGACTCTTCTATTTAATGCTCTTCCTTGTCTCTTATAAGAGGGTTTTTTTTGTTTTTTGTTTTTTGTTTTTGAGGCAGTCTTGTTCTGTCGCCCAGGGTGGAGTGCAATGGCTTGATCTCGGCTCACTGCAACCTCCGTCTCCCTGGTTCAAGCAATTCTTCTGCCTCAGCTTCCTGAGTAGCTGGGATTACAGGCACACACCACCATGCCCGGCTAATCTTTGTATTTTTAGTAAAGATGAAGTTTTACCTCAAGTGATCCACACACCTCAGCCTCTCAAAGTGCTGGGATTACAGGCATGAGCCACCACACCCAGCCTCTTAAGTGTTTATAAGAGTTTTTAACTAAAAATCTATCTTGTCTGATATTAGCAAACTGTCCCAGCTCTCTTTTAGTTACTATTTGCATGTGATAACTCTTTCAGTCCTTTCACTTTCAACCTATACATGTCCTTAGACCTAAAATAGATCATATTTTTTAGATCATGTCATTTTTTTTTTAATCCATCAGGAAGATGAGGAAGGAAACTGGGTAAGTGAAAACAAGCATAGGAAGAAGACTTATTTTTATTTTACATTCTTTAGTAACTTCTGAATTTTGGACTACAGGTACAAGGGATCTTCAAAAAGTTCGTGTAACATATGTTTTATGAAAACACTATGCATGAATTTCAATAAAATTTTGCACCAAAATAAGCTGGTACTAACTTGTTATAACACATCTGAACAAGATGTAGTTTGAGGCACTAAGAAGGATAAGACATTGGTTTGAAAAGCACCCTAACAGAGCAACATGAATTCTGCTAAAATTGAAGCAAGAACAAAACATCAAATTTATGGTGAAGTTTGAGTGGAAGAATGGTAAAATCACTGGTGCTTTACGAAAACTTTATAGAAACAATGCCCCTAAGAAATCAGCAGTTTATAAATAGGATAATTCATTGTAAGAAGGGACAAGATGATATTGAAGATGAAGCCTGCAGTAGCAGACTATCAACATAAATTTTTTAGGAAAAAATTCATCCCGTTTGTAACCTAAATGTAGAGATCCAATGATTAACAGCACAAACAACAGCCAATACCATAGACATATAAATTCATTCAGCGTATACAAATCTAACAAAAAAATTTAAGTTGAACAAACTTTCTGCTTGATGGGTACTAAAACCATTGTGCTCAGATCGGCCACAGACAAAAGCAGTGCCTTCAATGCAAATTTTAAACAAGTGGCAACAAGAGCATGTGGAATTTCTTTGAAAAATTTTAACAGGAGATGAAACATGACTTTACCAGTGTGATCCTGAAGACAAAGAAAAAAACAAAGCAATGGGTACCAAGAGATGAAAGTGATCCAGTTAGAGCAAAAGCAAACCCATCAAGAGCGAAGGTCATGACAAAAGCTTTTTGGAATGCTCAAGGAATCTTGTTGACTTTCACCACCACAAGGTTCCTGCTCATTCCTCTCAAATGGGCAGTTTTGCTAGGGTTTCAATGGGAAATCACTGGGCATCCACCAAACAGTGCTGATTGGCTCCTTCTGACTTCTTTTTGTTTCCGAACCTTAAAAAAAAATTTAAAGGGCACCCATTTTTCTTTAATTAATAATGCAAAAAAAAGACTGCACATACTGATATGGTTACAGGACTTCTTTAGGAGTGGACTAAATGGCTAGCATTATTGCTTACAAAATTTTCTTGAACTCGATAGAGCTTATATTGAGAATAAAGTTTATATTTTGTATTTTTATCTTTTAATTCCATTTTTCCACAAACTTTTTGAGGTCCCCTCATATCTATCCAAAGATAAATATAAAAGGATTTTTTAATTGTAAGGTTAGCAAATAATGAAAATAGTTCCGAACATTAAAATAGTGCTTTTATTACCAGAAAGTATAAGGCACCATTTAAGAATTTTCAAGTAGGTCAGATGTGGTGGCTCACACCTGTAATCCCAGCACTTTGGGAGGCCAAGGCAGGTGGATCACTTGAGGTCAGGAGTTCAAGATCAGCCTGGTCAACATGGTGAAACCCCATCTCTACAAAAAAATACAAAAATTAGCCGGTCATGGCGGTACGCGCCTATAGTTCCAACTACTAACCAGCCAGGGTGACAGAGCCAAAGACTCTGTCTCAGAAAACAACAACAACAAAAAAAGCTGGACGTGGTGGCTCACACCTGCAATCCCAGCACTTTGGGAGGCCGAGACGGGCAGATCACAATGTCAGGAGATCAAGACCATTCTGGCTAACGTGGTGAAACCCTGTCTCTACTAAAAATACAAAAAATCAGCCAGGTGTGGTGGCGGCTGCCTGTAGTCCCAGCTACTCGGGAGGCTGACAGGAGAATGGCATGAACCTGGGAGGCAGAGCTTGCAGTGAGCTAAGATCGTACCACTGCACTCCAGCCTGGGCGACACAGCAAGACTCCGTCTCAAAAAAAAAAATACAGAAAAAAAAAAGACTTTTCAAGCATTTTATCCCATATAAAACATAACAGCAAAATAAACATTCCTTTCTGCATTCAGATAAGGACCATCCTATAACCTCTATCCAACATAAATTTGAGCTAAACATGATCAGTGGTCTCATCCGTTGGGTGGCACAGGCATACACAATGACACAGTCTGGAAAAAATATAAGGCTGATCATAAAGTGACAATTCCCAGAGTCCTGTTTTTTAATGTAATAAAAAAGTTAAATTATTTTATCTCCTTTTTCTTGTATATAACATAGAAAAGCCTATTCATCAAATGCAAGACTCTTAAGCCAGATCTTTAATATGCAGATAGAAATCAACAATAAGTGATTAATTTTTCAACAGTTCAAGATAACTCATATTAATAACAGTACCTGGAAATTTGAGTTGTATGGGTTTTTTTTAATTTAATATTTTTAGAGATAGGGTCTCACTCTGGAGTGCAGTGGCACAATCACAGCTCACTGTAACCTTGAATTTCTGTGCCCAAGCAATCCTCCCGCCTCAGCCTCCATCCAGAGAAGCTTAGACTACAGGCGTGTGCCCACCACACCCAGCTAATTTTTAATTTTTTGTAGCACTGGAGTCTCACTCTGTTGCCCAGGCTGGTTTTGAACTACTGGCCTCAAGTGATCCTCCCATCTCAGCCTCCCAAAGTGCTTACAGGCATGAGCTAATGTGCCCAGTATTTTAGAGAATTTAAACTATTGCCTCCAAAGTTACTTGATGTAATTTAAGACTCATAGAATTTCTTTTTTTTTTTTTTTTTTTAGACAGCGTCTCGCTCTGTTACCCAGGCTGGAGTGCAGTGGCACAATCTTGGCTCACTGCTTTGTTTTTTTTTTTTTTTTTGGTAGAGATGGGGTTTCACCATGCTGGCCAGGCCAGTCTCAAACCCCTGACCTCAAGAGATCCTCCAGCCTTGGCCTCTCAAAATGCTGGGACTACAGGCATGAGCAACCACATCCGGCCCTCGAGACTCATAAAATTTCTTACACAAGGAAAATTTTGAATGTTTCCCCAAGAGCTATAGTTTGCAAATCCCTCTAGGACTGCTATATTCTCCCTTAAAAAGAGAGTAGCATAACTAAACCCAGCAACTCCCAACTCTTCACAAACAAAAAAATAAAATCGAAAAGTAAAAATATTTGATCCTGAAGTAAAGAAGTAAATCCTGAATCCTAAAGTAAAAGAAGGCTGCTATCACACTTGCCTTGCTTTTGTATTCAGTCAGCCCTCTATATCAATGGGGTTCTGCATCTGTGGATTCAACCAACAACAGATGGAAATTATCCAGATTTTTAAAATTACATCTATTCTGAACATGTAGACTTTTTTCCCTAAACAATACAGTATAGTAACTATTTACAGGGCATTTACATTGTATTTGGTACTACAAGTAATCTAGACATGATTTACAATATACAGGAAGATGTGCTTAGGTTATATGCAAACGCTATGCCATTCTCTATCAGGAACTTGAGCATCCACAGATTTTGGTATCCATGGGAGGTCCTGGAACCAATCCCCCATGGATACCAAAGGATGACTGTATTCTACTCAGAACTTAGAATTACTGTGCATCTCTGAATGCTCTCGCTCTTTCAAAATTAGCCATCTAGTGGTTACCTGCCTTATGGATGGGGAATAAGGCTCAGAGGTAGATTTCTAAACATAGAAAAAAGTGGCAGCTGGGCACAGTGGCTCACGCCTGTAATCCCAGCACTTTGGGAGGCCCAGGTGGGCAGATGGCTTGAGCCCAGGAGTTCAAGACCAGCCTGGGCAACACGGCAAGACTCCGTCTCTACAAAAAATGCAAAAATAAGCCAGGCGTGGTGGTGTGCACCTGCAGTCCCAACTACTCAGGACACTGAGGTGGGAGGATCGCTTGAGCTTAAGAGTTCAAAGCTGCAAGCAGCTGTGATCGCACCACTGCACTTCAGCCTGCAGATAGCAAGATGCTATCTTAAAAAAAGAGAGAGAGAAAAGTGACAAAAAACAGACCCTGGCTCTCACAATTCTCTGACTCCTCATTGGGAGTTCAACAATCATAAGATTTTGTCTTTTTTTTTTTTTAACTTTTCAGTCAAGTCCAGCCTAGAGGTAATAAAATTCTTTTTGAAAGAGATATAGTTCAAATTTTCAAGAAGACACTCTTAACCTATTCCATTCATCTTTAGCTAACATTATTTTATGTAACATATCTACTTTCACAAAGTCTGGTCCATTTTTTAAAATGATTTACCTAAGAAAAAAGAACTCTAGCACTAAAGAAAATCACTTAATTGCATGCATAGTCATTCCATCAAACCTGACATTTGTTATTTTACAATACTCTCCAGGGCTTTTTCATTCCAAACAGGTTATGTGTCCCAAAGGCATTCTCTATGGCAAACTATGAATTCCCCATTGGTTGTCTAGTAGTTATAAGCCTGTAAGTTGAACATAATTAAACCATAGCATTGTTTACCTGCCTTCTGTTTTCCTATTTAATGATTGAAGGCTTTTTTCCTTTCCAAATTATATTCTGTAACTTGCTGCTGCAGCAATCATCTATCTGATTTGCTAACACTATAGGTTCACTTGCTACAGTGGACAGTATTACACAACACTATTGCCAAAGATATTCCTCCCTCTTCCTAAGCCCCCATACTTAATCCATTAGTAAATAATACATGGATTTTATCTCCCAAAATATCTCTCAAATTATTTCCCTTTCTTTTTCTCTTCCCTGCCATGATCTTAGCTAAACCACCAATATCTCTGACCTACAATACTTTGATAATCCCCTAACAGGCCTCCCTATCCTCTACTCTCATACCTGCAGTTTCCTCTCTTTATTTAGCAGCCAAAGTGCTCTTTCGAACAGAAAAATCATGTCACTCCCCTGCTAAAATCCCTCCAGATTTTATTCCTTGTGCAAAAGGAAGCCAAATCTTTACCATAATTCCCACAAGGCCCTTAATGATTTTGCCCCACCAACCTCTCCAACCTCAACTTATAAAGCTCCCTAATTGACTCACTATTCTTTTGAACCTTTTCCATACCAATCTTGATCAACATCAGGCCCTAGAAACATGCCTGGGAACTTAACTAGCTAGCTATCCCTTACCATTTAAGCTCCCAGGTAAAAGGTCACCTTTTCAGGAAGCCCCTACCTGACGACCCGTCACACTAATCATTCTAACACTTGACACAGTTTAATTTCCTTCACAGTCCTTATCACTCTCTCAAATATTTATTTTCCTATTAATTATCTGTCTTTCTCAACTAAACCACCAGCCTCTTAAGTGTCAAATCTTGTTTGTCTCGTTCACCATATGTATCTAAAACAGGATCTGTCACATAGTACACACACATACATACGTAAAACAGGATCTGTCACACAGTACACACCCTCAAGATCTGCTTAATGTGTAAACAAATGAAGTTTCTATCAGAAATTCCCTGGCGGTGTGCACTGATTGTAGCCTCTCAAAATTCATATGTTAAGTCCTAACCCCCAGTACTTTACAATGAGACTGTATTTGGAAATAGAGGCTTTAGAGAGGTAATCAAGGTTAAATGAAGTTACAAGGTGGGGGGGCCTAATCCACTATGACTGATGTCCTTGTAAGAAGAGACACCAGGGAGGAATACATGCCCAGAGGAAAGGCCCTGTGAGGACAGAGAGAAGGCAACAATTGCAAGCCAAGGAGAGGGGTGATAGGAGAAACCAAACCTGCTGACATGTTGATCTTGAAACTCTAGCCTCCAGAACTGTGAGAAAATACATTTCTGTCATTTAAGCCACCCAGTCTGCAGTACTTTATGGCAGGCCTAGCAAATCAATACACTTGGCTTTCAATAGAATAGCACATCACTTTAGCATTTTTCAGCAGAAATAACTGAAAAGTTACATCTAAAAGTTTACCATTCAAGGTAGGCATCATCATAATCCTTTATACAGCCACTTAAAATTTAACTTCTTTTTTTTTTTGAGATGGAGCCTCGCTCTTGTCGCCCAGGCTGGAGTACAACGATGCAATCTCAGTTCACTGCAACCTCTGCCTCCCGGGTTCAAGCAATTCTCCTGCCTCAGCCTTCTGAGTAGCTAGGATTACAGGCATGTGCCACCACGCCCGGTTAATTTTTTGTATTTTTAGTAGAGACGGGGTTTCACCATGTTGGCCAGGCTGGTCTCGAACTCCTGACCACAGGTGATCTACCCACCTCAGCCTCCCAAAGTGCTGGGATTACTGGCGTGAGCCACTGCGCCCAGCTAATTTAACTTTTAAACATATAATAAGGAATTTAAGGAAACTGCATGTGTGATTGAGGTCATAAAAAGTCAGTGCTCATAACACTCTAAAGAAGGCTCAACAAACTTTTTCTATAATAAAAGGCCAGATTATAAATATTTTAGGTTTCGTGGGCCACAAAAGGTCTCTCCTACAAAAAACTCAACTCAGCTAGTGCAGCACAAAAGTAGTCAGACAATATGTAAATGAATTAATGTGGCTGTGTTCCAATAAAACTTTATTAACACTGAGATTTCCATTTCATATAATTTTCATTCATCTATCACAAAACATTATTTTGTTTAAACTATTTTTAAATGTAAACACCAATCTTTGCTCATGAGCCATACAAAAACAGGTAGATACCCAGGGGCTAGCTATAGTTTGCTAACCCTGCCCTAAGGCAATAATTTTACTTTCAGAGAGGGAAATCTCAAGGCTTCTCCACATAGCTACAATTTACACAGCATCCCACTGGCTAGACTAGAAGCATATGCACCTACCTGTGTAACTACTACTATAATGACCTTGACCCATTGTTTCTTATTTACTTGTGTCTCCCATTAGACTACACGCAAAGACATAAAGGCAGAGAGCAGTACCTTCATCATTTTTTATGTTCAGAGCTAAGTAATGTTCCTGATGCACAGTAAATTTTCAACTGTCTTCTGAAAGAATTCATGTTTTACTGTTCTTTGACTTAAAATTCCTCTTCCAACTGTACTACTGCCCCTCTAAAATAAAATTTTTTGAAGTTTTTTTAAAGTTATTTTCCCAAAAAATTTTATGGCAGCATAAAATTATCACAAAAGAAATTTTGCTGAATATAATGACTCACACAAGAAATGTTATTCTTTGAAAACAAATAATCTCCCCAAATACGTTTAACAGACTTTTTGTTGTTATTAATGCTCCTGTTAATTCTCATTTTCGAGAAAAATATTCCTTTGTTCTTCAAAGGAAATATAAATCAATCTAAAAATTCAGTCCCAGTCACAACAGAGAAAAATATCCAAAATGGTTTCTTCAACCAACACAAAAAATCTGTCTCTTAAGCATACTCACTCCTTTAATAAATATGTGTGAGGCTGACAAGATAGTTTTGAGTGGAAAAGTTCATCCACCTCCAAAAAGTGAAAGAAGGTCAAAGGGGGACCAGCATAAACCACTAGCAATTCAAGATAAGATGGTCTCTGCTGGCTGGAGAATTCATTTAATTACCTTTATTTTATTATTTTAGGCTCTGGAATTCTGCCAAACTCTCTTTAAAGAAAAAAATAGGAAGAAGGAGAAACTCCTTGGGGAAGGAAAAAAATGAATGTTTTTCTCTAAAATGAGAAATTACAGGGCTTGTGCTTTTCTGGCTCAATACAGAGTTAAATTTACAAACAAAACACAGAAACTACTAAAAATTTTTTTTGAGACAAGGTCTCACTCTGTCACCCAAGCTGGGCACAGTAGTGCAATCACAGCTCATACTGCAGCCTCAATTTCCCAGATTCAAGTGATCCTCCCACCTCAGTTTCCCGGGTAGCTGGGACCACAGGCACATACCACCATGCCTGGTTAACTTTTTTTTTTTTTTTTTTTTTGTAGAGACAGGGTTTCTTCATGTTGCCCAGGCCGGTCTCAAACTCCTGGGCTCAAGCAATCCATCCATCTCAGCCTCCCAAAGTACTGGGACTACAGGCAAGAGCTACCACACCCAGCCATAAACTACTAAAACTAATAAGGTAGGAGTACAAGAGAGTAACACATTAAAATCAAATCAAGTAGTGGTAATGCTGTGACATTTATTCCCACCCCTGCCTTAGTATGTAGAAGAGAAAAGAACCAATTATCAAAAAAAGGGACCTTCATACATGGCAACTGTAATAAGTAATGGACAAAATCTTAAATTGGAAGCATGAATATGCAAGGAACAGGAGTGATGCTGTAAAGGGTCAGTCTGGGCCAGGCGCAGTGGCTCCGCCTGTAATCCTAGCACTTTGGGAAGCCAAGATGGGCAGATCACTTGAGGTCAGGAGTTCAAGACCAGCCTGGCCAACATGGTGAAACCCCATCTCTACTAAAAATACAAAAAATTACCCAAGCGTGAGGCTGGGGCACAAGAATTGCTCGAACCCAGGAGGTAGAGGTCACAGTGAGCCAAGATCACACCACGGCACTCCAGCCTGGGTGACAGAGTGAGACTCTGTCTCCAAAAAATATATAAACAGTCAGTCTGTGTGACAACTACAGGAAGATTAGCAAACAACTCACTGGTGTACTTCTTTTCCAAAATTTCATTAAGGGTTTTTCTATCTGGTAAACTTGGAAATGATTATAAATAACATGAAGACAACAAACTACCAATTCTAGAGGGAAATGACTTAATTTGAAACACACTCAGCAGAAAACCTAAACCCTGATAATTAACATGTATTTTCCACATGACAATACTGTAAGAAAAAAAACAACAACAAAAAACCCCACAAATAACTTCAGTCTTCTCTCAAAACAAAACAACTTCAACTATAAAAGGTACATTGAGATGTACATAAACTCTGTATCTGAGGAACAAGTATTTGGGCACTCTGCAAATATATACAGGCTACAATTTCAAACAGCAATAATTATATATTCCTAACATAAATATATGCTGTCAGGTGCCCATTATCTCATTTATTCTTCATAACAACCTGAAGGATTCAACACCTCATTTCTGCAACTGAAGAATTCAAGGCTCACAGTTTGTGCAGGTTGCTCAGTCTCATGGCTGGTAAGTGGAAGAAAAGTTCAAAATCGGGCCCTTCTGGCTTTTCACTCAGCCATAATGCCTGGTGGACATGAAAACAGGCCCATTGTGTAGACACTAATTCTGACCAAATTTTCTGAATCAAAAACAAACTATATGGAAACTGAACAACCTCCTCCTGAATGACTACTGGGTACATAACGAAATGAAGGCAGAAATAAAGATGTTTTTTGAAACCAATGAGAACAAAGACACAACATACCAGATTCTCTGGGACACATTCAAGGCAGTGTGTAGAGGGAAATTTATAGCACTAAATGCCCACAAGAGAAAGCAGGAAAGATCTAAAATCGACACCCTAACATCACAATTAAAAGAACTAGAGAAGCAAGAGCAAACACATTCAAAAGCTAGCAGAAAACAAGAAATAACTAAGATCAGAGCAGAACTGAAGGGGATAGAGACACAAAAAAACCCTTCAAAAAATTAATGAATCCAGGAGCTGGTTTTCTGAAAAGATCAACAAAATTGATAGACCACTAGCAAGACTAATAAAGAAGAAAAGAGAGAAGAATCAAATAGACACAATAAAAAATGATACAGGGGATTGTGATACAGGGGTGGTGATACCACCAATCCCACAGAAATACAAAGTACCATCAGAGAATACTATAAACACCTCTACGCAAATAAATTAGAAAATCTAGGAGAAATGGATAAATTCCTCGACACATACACCCTCCCAAGACTAAACCAGGAAGAAGTTGAATCTCTGAATAAACCAATAACAGGCTCTGAAATTGAGGCAATAATTAATAGCTTACCAACCAAAAAAAGTCCAGGACCAGATGGATTCACAGCCGAATTCTACCAGAGGTACAAGGAGGAGCTGGTACCATTCCTTCTGAAACTATTCCAATCAATAGAAAAAGAGGGAATCCTCCCTAACTCATTTTATGAGGCCAGCATCATCCTGATACCAAAGCCTGGCAGAGACAAAACAAAAAAGAGAATTTTAGACCAATATCCCTGATGAACATCGATGCAAAGATCCTCAATAAAATACTGGCAAACCGAATCCAGCAGCACATCAAAAAGCTTATCCACCATGATCAAGTGGGCTTCATCCCTGGGATGCAAGGCTGGTTCAACATACGCAAATCAATAAACGTAATCCAGCATACAAACAGAACCAACAACAAAAACCATATGATTATCTCAATAGATGCAGAAAAGGCCTTCGACAAAATTCAACAATGCTTCATGCTAAAACTCTCAATAAATTAGGTATTGATGGGACGTATGTCAAAATAATAAGAGCTATTTATGACAAACCCACAGCCAATATCATACTGAATGGGCAAAAACTGGAAGCATTGCCTTTGAAAACTGGCATAAGACAGGGATGCCCTCTCTCACCACTCCTATTCAACATAGTGTTGGAAGTTCTGGCCAGGGCAATTAGGCAGGAGAAGGAAATAAAGGGTATTCAATTAGGAAAAGAAGAAGTCAAACTGTCCCTGTTTGCAGATGACATGATTGTATATCTAGAAAACCCCATTGTCTCAGCCCAAAATCTCCTTAAGCTGATAGGCAACTTCAGCAAAGTCTCAGGATACAAAATCAACGTGCAAAAATCACAAGCATTCTTATAAACCAATAACAGACAAACAGAGAGCCAAATCATGAGTGAACTCCCATTCACAATTGCTTCAAAGAGAATAAAATACCTAGGAATCCAACTTACAAGGGACGTGAAGGACCTCTTCAAGGAGAACTACAAACCGCTGCTCAATGAAGTAAAAGAGGACACAAACAAATGGAAGAACATTCCATGCTCATGGGTAGGAAGAATCAGTATCGTGAAAATGGCCGTACTGCCCAAGGTAATTTATAGATTCAATGCCATCCCCATCAAGCTACCAATGACTTTCTTCACAGAATTCGAAAAAACTACTTTAAAGTTCATATGGAAGCAAAAAAGAGCCCACATTGCCAAGTCAATCCTAAGCCAAAAGAACAAAGCTGGAGGCATCACGCTACCTGACTTCAAACTGTACTACAAGGCTACAGTAACCAAAACAGCATGGTACTGGTACCAAAACAGAGATATAGACCAGAACAGAGCCCTCAGAAATAGTGCCGCATATCTACAACTATCTGATCTTTGACAAACCTGACAAAAACAAGAAATGGGGAAAGGATTCCCTATGTAATAAATGGTGCTGGGAAAACTGGCTAGCCATATGTAGAAAGCTGAAACTGGATCCCTTCCTTACACCTTATACAAAAATTAATTCAAGATGGATTAAAGACTTAAATGTTACACCTAAAAACCTAAAAACCCTAGAAGAAAACCTAGGTAATACCATTCAGGACATAGGCATGGGCAAGGACTTCATGTCTAAAACACCAAAAGCAATGGCCAAAATTGACAAATGGGATCTAATTAAACTAAAGAGCTTCTGCACAGCAAAAGAAACTACCATCAGAGTGAACAGGCAACCTACAGAATGAGAGAAAACTTTTGCAATCTACTCATCTGACAAAGGGCTAATATCCAGAATCTACAATGAACTCAAACAAATTTACAAGAAAAAAACAAACGACCCCATCAAAAAGTGGGCAAAGGATATGAACAGACACTTCTCAAAAGAAGACATTTATGCAGCCAAAAGACACATGAAAAAATGCTCATCATCACTGGCCATCAGAGAAATGCAAATCAAAACCACAATGAGATACCATCTCACACCAGTTAGAATGGCAATCATTAAAAAGTCAGGAAACAACAGGTACTGGAGAGAATGTGGAGAAATAGGAACACTTTTACACTGTTGGGGGGACTGTAAACTAGTTCAACCATTGTGGAAGTCAGTGTGGCGATTCCTCAAGGATCTAGAACTAGAAATACCATTTGACCCAGCCATCCCATTACTGGGTATATACCCAAAGGATTAGAGAACATGCTGCTATAAAGACACACGCAAACGTATGTTTATTGCGGCACTCTATTCATAATAGCAAAGACTTGGAACCAACCCAAATGTCCAACAATGACAGACTGAATTAAGAAAATGTGGCACATATACACCATGGAATACTATGCAGCCATAAAAAAGGATGTGTTCATGTCCTTTGTAGGGACATGGATGAAGCTGGAAATCATCATTCTCAGCAAACTATCGCCAAGGACAAAAAACCAAACACCACATGTTCTCACTCATAGGTGGGAATTGAACAATGAGAACACATGGACACAGGAAGGGGAACATCACACACCAGGGCCTGTTGTGGGGTTGAGGGAGGGGGGAGGGATAGCATTAAGAGATATACCTAACGTTAAATGATTAGTTAATAGATGCAGCACACCAACATGGCACATGTACACATATGTAACAAACCTGCATGTTGTGCACATGTACCCTAAAACTTAGAATAAAAAATAAATAAATAAATAAGAACACATGGTTTAACTAGAAATATATTTTCCAAACCTGTAAATGTATGTATTCAAAAGATACCTTTTAAAAATGGAATTTAATGACTCACAAAAAAGATAGAAGAAACTCTGATCCAATAATTGTACTGATAATTAAGAAAAATAAAGAATGCAGGTCTCAAGAGTTTAACTGCTCTCACGGTTATATCCAGGAGCATGCTGTCTCAAGGGAAGCCTCAGTTTCTCCACCTATATATAAGGGAGCATCTGTGAATGATAACCTTAATTAACAACACTAAATATATATTTAGATTGTACCATAGTAAGATAAAGTCAAGCCCGTGTTAGCTACCTGTACCTAAGAACCTCAATAAACTATTACATAAAGTTCTGAAGTAATCAAGAAGATTCAGATAGCAAACAGTGATTTTTGAACAAAACCAACAGTAGGGAAGCTTACTACCACTTCAAAGAACCAGTGAAAAGTTCTTTGTTTTTTTCTAAGTAAAATTACACAGATAACTGGTGCTACTCTTGTCTAGAAAGCCACAAAATAAACTGCAGCAAACCTCCACTGTAAATCTAACAAGGTTTCCCATTGTGAAACTTTACTGCATATCAAGAATTATCTAAAATGGCCTTGATCCCAATAATTGTACTCTTTACTGTTTCTCCTTGAATTTTATCCTAAAGCAATACAAAAGGGAAAAACTACACACACAAAAGTATTTATTAAGGCAGGGGAAAATGGAAGCAATTAATGAGTAACAGAAAAATAAAGTACATAATAAATTCATTTTCTCATTTTAATATTAGGGAGCATTCAAAAACAGCATGAAGATTGTTTATGTTATCTTAAAACATAAAACAAAATTATTACAACTAGATAAAACTAAGTTTTACAACTATATAAAAGTGTATGCATAAATACAAAAGTTAGAAAGGCATACAATTTACCCAAATGAGTTAAAAACCTATGTGCACACAAAAACTTGCATACAAGTGTTTATAGTAGCTTTATTCATAACTGCCAAAACTGGGAAGTAACCAAGATAGTCTTTAATAGGTCAATGAATAAACAAACTGTGGTACACATCCATACAACAGTGTACTATTCAGCAATAAAAAGAAATGAGCTATGAAGCCATGAAAAGCCATGGAGAACCTTAAGTGTATATTGCCAATGGAAAGAAATCAATCTGAAAAGATTACATATTATATGACTCCAATTATATGACATTTTGGAAAAGACAAAACTAAGGAGACAGTAAAAAGATCAGTGGTTGGCAGGGATTTAGGGATGAGTAGATGAAACACTGAGTATTTAGGGCAGTGAAACTATTCTGTGATAACTGTAATAGTGGATACCTTTCATACATGTGTCAAAACCCACAGAATGTACAACACACAGAGTGAACCCTAATGCAAAACTATGCAATTTAATTAAAAATGTATTAACATCAGTTCATAAACTGTAACAAATGTACCACACTAATGCAAGATGTTAGTAACGGGAAACTGGTGGTACCAAGCAGCGGGTAGATATATGGGAACTCTAGTTTTCACTCAATTTTTCTATAACATAAAAATGCTCAAAAAAAGTCTAAGCTTTTTTTTTTTTTAAATAAACTTGGTGTTTTTTGTTTTTGTTTTTGTTTTCAGACCAAGTCTCACTCTATCATGCAGGCTAGAGTGCAGCTGCACGATCTCGGCTCACTGCAACCTCTGCCCCGCGGGTTCCCGCGATTCTCCTGCCTCAGCCTCTCAAGTAGCTGGGATTACAAGCACACGCCAGCCACCACGCCCGGCTAATTTTTGTATTTTTAGTAAAGACAGGGTTTCACCATGTTGGCCAGGCTGGTCTCAAACTCCTGACCTCAGGTGATCTGCCCAGCTCGGCCTCCTAAAGGGCTGGGATTACAGGGATGAGCCACCGAACCCGGCCAAAAGGAATAAAATTTTGATATATGCTATAACATGTACGCTATGTGAAATAAACCAGACACAAAAAGACAAATGCTATATGATTCCATTTATATGATACTTAGAACAGGCAAACTGATAGCGTCAGAAAGTGTAATAGAACTTACCAGGAACTGGGAGAAGAGAACAATGAGGAGTTATTGTATAATGCGCATAGTTTCTGATTGGGATCATAAAGTAGTTCTGGAACTAGGTAGTGTGATGATTGTACAACATTGTGAATATACCTAATGCCACTGAACTGCACCCTTTAAAATGGTTAATATAGTAAATTTTATGTTACGTGTATTTTCCCACAATTTAAAAAAAGGAATCTGGCCCAGCACAGTGGCTCCCAGAACTTTGGGAGGCTGAAGCGGGAGAAAGTTCGAGACCAGCCTAGACAACATAATAAGATGCCGCCTCTACAAAACATCAGCCACGCAGTGTCACATGCCTGTAGTCCCAGCTACTTGGGAGAGTGAGGGAGGAGGATCGCTTGAGCCCAGGAGTTTGAGGCTTCAGTAAGCCATGATCGCATCACTGCACTCCAGCCTGGGCAACATTAAGACCCTGTCTCTAAACAAACAAATAAAATAAGGAATCTGAAATATTAAAATGTATGTTTTATTGTTAGCTTTGTCACAGTATAATGCCCTTCACATATATGCAGTATAAACAAGTTTTTAATAATAAACATAATTTTCTTGTTGTCACAACAGCCCAGAAACTTATAATCAACCTGCATTACATATAAGAGAGCTGATAACTTAAACTTTTACATAATCAGCCTACAGTTTCAACTTGCTTCTCTTCCAAACTTTTAACTAAGGAGAAATAACTTTTTAAAAAGTTATGATTTGCTCTCCCTTCCATTCTGTGCTTGCTTCTCTTAGTAGAGGTGCTAATGAGCCCAACTGATGCTAAAGATTTCATCTAAAAGCCAAGATAACAAAATGTTAGAGAACAATATAGAGAGCTGGTTTCTACTAAAGTAGAATTGATTGAACAAGTGTTGTTTGGTTTTTTTTGTTTTTTTTTTTTGAGACAGAGTCTTGCTCTGTCACCCAGGCTGGAGTGCAGTAGCACTATCTCGGCTCACTGCAAGCTCCGCCTCCTGGGTTCACACCATTCTCCTGCCTCAGCTTCCCGTGTAGCTGGGACTACAGGCGCCCGCCACCGCGCCCAGCTAATTTTTTGTATTTTTAGTAGAGACGAGGTTTCACCGTGTTAGTCAGGATGGTCTCGATCTCCTGACCTCATGATCCACTCGCCTTGGCCTCCCAAAGTGCTGAGATTACAGGTGTGAGCCACCGCGCCCGGCCTGAACAACTGTTTCAAATAACGTATCTCCTAAGATTCTGAGAACACTAAGAGAAAAAAACGCTTACCAATCACAACTTTTCCCCCTAAGTTTTTGTTTAAAAAAAAAAAAAAACTTTAATACCCCTAATAGTGATTATAATTATGTGAGGTCCTAAGGGGTATATCTAATTATCTCTTGAGATGCCTAAGAATTCCCCCAGCTAACCAAATTAGCTTGAAATGTAAATGAGAATCACATCTCATGTTCAGGAGTGACAACATAATGTAATATTGTTGTAATACAGTCACTTAAATGATATATTAACACTTTTCCCTCACCTTTTTTTGTTGTGTGTTCCCTTCCGGTATGCCTTCGTTCTTGGCTAAGGATCATGAAATAATTAAACAGTACCACTAAATAGGGTGCACTCTTATGCTGCAAGTTCATTCATTCATTAATTTGTTCAAGCAACAAAATTTACTATGTGCCAAGTTTTGTGCTTTTCCCTGCTTTCTTACGGCCCAGTATTACAAAATAAGAACTGATTACATAAATGACATTTCTCTAAGAAATAAACAAAAGAGATAGAAAGTAAAGCAAAATACAGGAGATTAAGAGAGGGCTTTTGGGGAATCAAAACTAGTTCATTAACTGATGCCAACTATTAGGGATAGGATAAGAAAATAATTAGAAGTTATCAAAAAAAAACACTCAAAAAAAAAAAAAAAAAAAAAAAACAACTGGCTGAGCTCATTGGCTCATGCCTGTAATCCCAACACTTTGGGAGGTCAATGCAGGAGAATCACTTGAGCCCAGAAGTTTGAGACCAGCCTGGGCAATAGAGTAAGACCCTGTTTCTAAAAATAAAAAATAAATTTAAAAAATTGTAATAAATATATTATTTTTTAAAAGCTTTATGATAATATAAGATATATCCCTTCCTATGGCTATCATTCCTTAAAGTCCCAATGAAGCAGAAGGCTCCCTAATATTTAATAATTTTTAAACTATATTCTTTAACAATAAAAAGTTATGACAAGTCAAGAAAGTCTAGAAATATTTCCTTTCTCCAAAAACTAAGTAACACAAAAAAATACACAAAAGCCAGTATTCCAATATTTATTACAATATAGTTCTAGGAATGGAGAAATTAACCTCAGTCCTGACAGCTTCCAGTATATTCCAGGAAGAATGGGGAAGACCAACAGTCTTGATGTGCAGTATCTTTACCTATGATGATGATCTACTGACAAAACATTCAAAGTTTACAAAGGGAGATTATGGGTAGAGGGGGAAAAAAGATTTAAAGCACACAGAACCAAAGTATTAACAATGAACTGTTCTGTTGTACTCGGACAAATGACTGTCTTGTTAAAAAAAAAAAAAAAAAAAAAAACAGTCCAGAACTAGGAAAAGTATTTGGAACTGGCTTTACTTTGTTCTAAGATTTTTTAACAGTAAAAGAGAGTCAAGATGGAAGATGGAAAGACCAGACTATCAATATCTGTAAATCAGAAGAGTTCATTTTTATTCTACTAACACAGAAAATTTTCACTGGCCAAAATTCTATGAATACTGTATTGTATCATGCAGAGCTTTCTTTTATTTATTTATTTATTTTTGTTTTTTTTAAGACGGAGTCTTGCCCTGTCGCCCAGCCTAGAGTGCAATGGCGCCATCTTGGCTCACTGTAACCTCCGCCTCCCAGGTTCAAGCAATTCTCCTGCTTCAGCCTCCGGAGTAGCTGGGATTACAGGCGCCCACCACCACGCCCGGCTAATTTTTTGTATCTTTAGTAGAGACGGGGTTTCACCATATTGGCCAGGCTGGTCTGGAACTCCTGACCTCAAGTGATCCACCCACCTCGGCCTCTCAAAGTGCTGGGATCACAGGCGTGAGCCACTGCGCCCAGCCGTGTTAACATTTTTTTTTAAAGCTCTGCATGAGGCCAGGTGTGGTGTTCATGCCTGTAATCCCAGCACTTTGAAAGGCTGAGGTGGGCGGATTTGAGGTCAGGAGTTCGAGACCAGCCTGATCAACATGGTGAAACCCCATCTCTACTAAAAATACAAAAATTAGCCGGGCGTGGTGGCAGGTGCCTGCAATCCCAGCTGCTTGGGAGGCTGAGGCAGGAGAATCACTTGAAACCGGGAGGCGGAAGTTGCAGTGAGCTGAGATCGCGCCACTGCACTCCAGCCTGGGGGACAAGAGCGAGACTTCATCTCAGAAAAAAAAAAAATCTAACACAAACAGAAAACAGCTGATAGGAAGGAACAAGTAACTAGAAAGTGTTCTGAGCCCATAAATAGATGTGGAAATCCTACACAAATTTGATCAATGCATTTTCAGCAAGTAGGGGAGCTCAGCTGTCCTTCAATATCTCTGGGTAGCTGGGAAGTGACAATGAGGAAAGAAAGAAAATACACATGAGTTTTCAATTCCTAAACCTCCTCAGTTACAAAGCCCCTCCCACCAGTATCCTTTTTTTTTTTTTTTAAACAGTGTTCCTGTGTGCACGGGCATCTGCAGCCAGGCCTGTAGGGGACCGCTCCCCGAAGATGTTGGGGGTCTTTCCAGGAAAGTGGTGAGTTCAGAAGTTGCCCTGGTGCATAGGAAGAGAATACCCCAAGGGGCTACTGAAAGGGCCTTGAGTAGGTAAGAATGAGACAGAAACATTCTGGGAGGGAGGGGCAGCAGACCAAGGGTTTCGATTCTTGGAATCCACTGAGGCTCAGGTACTGCTGCTCTGGGAGAGGCAGGGGCTGTGGGTGCCAGGGAGCACATGTGGCTTCAGATTCCTCTGGAGGGTGGGGATGAGGGCAGCCATGGAAGACTTCTGGAGAGACCAGAGAGGTCTTTAATTAATAAAGAATATTTAAATAATAATTATACATGCAATGAGTGAATGATTATACATGCAATGCTTATTGGAAAAAGATACTCAAACATACTATACACCCTACTACATTTCTCTTTAAAAAGTATGTTCTCACAAACTAATTTATGCTTAGGCACACAATGACTTATTTCAAAATTTTGCTAAGGCTGTCTTCCCCTTGACAATAATAAAGTCTATTCTACAGACAATCGAATAAAAAACTGTGAAAGAACAGAAATACAGTACACACTTGACCTACAAGCTCTAAGAGCAAAGACTCAGGAATCACTAATTCTGCCTAAAAGAAATGGTGAAGGTTTTACAGGAGTTAACATTTGAGCTGGACATTAACCAATGAGTTGGAGTTTGCCAACTAAAGAGAAGGTATTCTGTGCAAAGAAAGTAGAACATGCAGGACAAAGAGTGTCAGTTCTGTTCAGAAATTAGAGCATAAAGGATAGATTCAAGATATACTCAAGAGAAGCAATATTTGAATGACTGAATGAGGGTCAATGAAATATAGAAAGATGACGACTCAGGGTTTTTCCTTAGGCAGCTGGGTACATAGCAATGCTATTTGCCGAGATGAAAAGATCATAAAGAAGGGAAGCAAATTCAAAGCGGAACAATAATGAGTTTCTTTTTGGAAATGGAGTATGAAATGACAGAAATGTTCAGTTGGCACTAGGAAACACAAATTTAAACTCAGGAAACAGAATGAACTTGAAAATAGAACTATTACTAGCATAAAAAGTGACACTAGCATAGTTACTGGCACAACAGTGGATAAAATCCTTTAAAAAAAAAAGCTGTACAAAGGAGTGAGGACAAGCAAGGATCACTGTGAAGAATTCTGAAACACACAAAGTATTACATGATGAAATGAGGATTAGAACCCAGATCTCTTGACTCTCAAATACCGTCACACCAGGTTGCCTTCCTAATGGGAAATCTATGGAAAATTAAAAAATCCCAACTCAGCCAGGGGTGGTGGTTCACACCTGTAATCCCAGCACTTTGGGAGGCCAACACAGGCAGATAACCTGAGGGCAGGAGTTCGAGACTAGCCTGGCCAAGATGGTGAAACCCCGTCTCTACTAAAAATACAAAAATTAGCTGGCTGTGGTGGCATGCACCTGTAATCCCAGCTACTCAGGAGGGTGAGGCAGGAGAATCCCCTGAACCCAGGAAGCAGAGGTTGCAGTGAGCCAAGATGGTGCCATTGCACTCCAGCCTGGGTGACAAGAATGAAACTCCGTCTCAAGAAAAAAAAAATCCCAACTCTATTGCTTATACTTCACTTCCCTTCAGTTCATACCTCAAAAGGCAGTTATGTTGCTTAGAAGCACTAAGGTTGCTTAAGTGATACCTCAAAAGCAATTTTCTCTGCCTGAAGAAATTGTTAAACTTAATTGACACTTCTGGTCTAGAAATCTAACACTAATCCAGGAGAGATTTTTTTTAAAACCAACAGATTGTAGGTTCCATAAGGGCAAGCATTTATGTTTTGTTCACTGCTGAATCCCAAACTGCAACTGATACACAGTAGACATTCAATGAAGATTTCTTGAGTGAATGAATAAATTAATGAATAAACATCACATTCTCTAGGGGAAAAAAAAGAAATTAAAATCATTTCTACTGTATCTTCATAAATTGAACTTCTCACCAAGACAGATTAGTACAATGCATTAACGTAGGCTTTATTATTAATTTGTGTATTTGTATTATATGGAAAACAAATTTTTAGTAAAATATAATGTATTTTGTTCATTTTGTTTAGTTCATTGCTGGACTGCTGGTCTCTAGAACATTGCCTGGCAAAGATAAACATTTAATAAGTATTTTTAAATGATGTACTTAGTTTTATTACCCTACCATACTTGAAACTGCGACTTTATAGTTTCCTTTAGCAAAAGGTAAAACTGTAGTCAACATATAGACTATAAATAAATTTTTAAAGATCATTTACTGTAATGTAATAGCATCATTTTACATGTATACCAGTTTTTCAGGGAATTGATTTATAGTCCATTTGGTTTAAGTTTGGGACATTTGGCCAGGTGTGGTGGTTCACACCTGTAATCCCAGCACTTTGGGAGGCCAAGACGGGTGGATCACCTGGGGGCAGTAGTTCAAGACCAGCCTGGCCAACATATAGTGAAACCCCGTCTCTACTATACAAAAATTAACCAGGCATGGTGGCGCATGCCTATAATCCCAACTACTCGGGAGACTGAGGCAGGAGAATCACTTGAACCCAGGAGGCGGAGGCTGCAGTGAGCCAAGATCGCGCCATTGCACTCCAGCCTGGGTGACAAGAGTGAAACTGTCTCAAAAAAAAAAAAAAAGAAAGTTTGCGGTATTTGGATGTTTCTGATGTTGACTGATAAAATGTAGGCTTAAAAAATCTGTTTACAGTTTTATACTGCTGTATTGTGTATAGCCCCTCTTTCATAATGACACTTGGGACTGTGATGGTATAGAGTGACTCTTAATAGTCTGCTCCCAGGAATAATATATAATACCTAATAATACCTAACAGTTGTTCAGTCATTATCTGTTAAATGAATGAATGAATACTGAAAGGAGGCAGAAAAGGGAGTGAGTTAGTAAAAATTAGCCAGGAGTGGTGGCGTACACCTGTAGTCCCAGCTACTTGGGAGGCTGTGATGGGAGGATCACTTGAGTCCAGGAAGTCGAGGCTACAGTGAGCCGTGATCGTGCCACCGCATTCCAGCCTGGGCGACAGAGTGAGACCCTGTCACCAGAAAATCAAAACAAAACAAAAAAATTAGCCAGGCATGATGGCATAGTAAAATACACATAACATAAAATTTACCATCTAAATTATCTTTAAGTGCACAGTTAATGTTACTGAGTACATTTATATTGTTGTGTGACCCTTACAACCATCTAGCTCTAGAACTCTACAACTTGCAAAACTGAAACTATACCCGTTAAACAGTAACTCTCCATTCCCTCTTCTCCTCAACCCCTGGCAATTACCATTCTTTCTGTCTCTGTGATTTGTACTACTCTAAGTACCTCATTAAAGTGGAATCATACAGTATTTGTCTTTTTGTGACTGGTTTCACTGGCCAGTTTCACTTAGTGTATTGTTCTCAAGATTCATCCAGGTTGTAGCATGTCAGAATTTCTCTCCTTTGAAAGGTGAAATAAGATTCCACTTTGTGGCCGGGTGCGGTGGCTCACATCTGTAATCCCAGCACTTTGGGAGGCCAAGGCAGGTGGATCACGAGGTCAGGAGTTCAAGACCAGCCTGGCCAACACAGTGAAACCCCGTCTCTACTAAAAATACAAAAAATTAGCTGGGCGTCGTGGCGGGCACCTGTAATCCCAGCCACTAGGGAGGCTGAGGCAGGAGAATCGCTTGAACCCGGGAGGCAGAGGTTGCGGTGAGCCAAGATCACACCATTGCACTTCAGCCCGGGCAACAGTGCAAGACTCTGTCTCCCAAAAAAAAAAAAAGATTCCATTTTGTATGTATACCAGTAACATTTTGCTTATCTGTTCCTCCATTTGGGGACAGCTGGACTACTTCCAGCATTTGTCAATAATGCTGCTATGAGCATGGGTGTAGAAATACCCCTTCAAGACCCTGCTGCTTTCAGTTCTTTTGAGTATATACCCAGAAGTAGAATTGCTGGATCACAGGGTAATTCTATTTTTAATTCTTTGAGGACTCACGTTACTGTTTTCCACGGCTTTTGGAATGATATAGTTTGTAACCTTTCAGGATTGGCTTTTTTGCAGTTTTTTTAAAATTACTTCCACTTTTGTTGTTGTTGTTTTGTTTTGTTTTGTTTTGTTTTTGAGATGGAGTCTTGCTCTGTCACCCAGACTGGAATGCAGTGACACGATCTTGGCTCACTGCAACCTCCACCTCTCGCTTCAAGCAATTCTTCCGACAGTCTCCTGAGTAACTGGGAGTACAGGCACAGGCACCCACCACCACGCCTGGCTAATTTTTTTTTTTTTTTTTTTTTTTTCAGTAGAGACGGGGTTTCACTATGTTGGCCAGGCTCCAATTCCTGACCTCAGGTGATCCACCTGCCTCAGCATCCCAAAGTGCTGGGATTACAGGCATGAGCCACTGTGCCCAGCCCTTCCACATTTTTAGAAGGAATTATTTTTGGGAAGAGCTCCTTTGGGGAGGATTATGAGACCTCATGGAACATGCGAAGGAGACAAGATCATTAAACCAGGGTAAAAATGTTCAATTAAACATGATCCATGTTCGATTCATATGCCATAGATAGCTTTGACAGGTTCTATGTCTTTAACAATCTGCTTACATTCTCTGGGCTCTAATGAGATAGGCTATGATCCAAAATGAACTTCAAGGCCACTACCTACTATATCCTAAAAAGTCATGCACAAAGAAGACATAATGGGGCATTTTAAAGAAAGGAATTTCTATATTTGTGTAACAATTTAGAGCTTGCAAAGAATTTTCACATCTCTCATCTTGTAATCCTTCCAAAAACTCTAAGGTAGATTGGATTTGACCAAGATAATAAAAGTTTAAGGAGCATTTTGGTATAATGAAAAATACTCTGCATCTACAGTCAAAGTGAGTGAGTCCAAATACAGGTTCTACCTGGACTGTCACTTAACTTCCCTAAACTAAGGACTCTCATGTCACAGAAGGAAAAGTATCATCTACCTCAATATTTGTAGAGAGGACTGCGTAGGGTACATAAAATATCTTAAACTTTAGAATGCACTCAAATAATAACTGTATCCAGGCAAGTATAAAAGTAAGATTCGAATCTGGGCCTTACTTGTGGTCACAACCATTTTTCTGCTTCCCTTTTCACAGGAAAATTTCTTAGGAGTCTATTGTCACTGTCTCCATTCCCCAACTTCATATTCTCATTCCATCCTTTACCTGATACTTCTCTACAATCTAGTTTCCATTCCCACTAAGACCACACTTGTCAAGGTCACTTACCAAATCTAGCAGACATACATCAGTTACTCCTAAATATTTATCCCTGGCCCTAAACTCTCACTGAATTCCACAGTACTACTATTACCTACCACCAAGTATGAAATCTCTACATAGATGTCTAATTGGCACCTCAAACTTAACAAAACAGAACTCATGATTGTCCCACCAAACTTGCTCTCCCCTCCAGTCTTATCCATTTCAGTAAACTGCACCACCAATCTTCTAAGTGCTCAAGTCCTAGGATTTGCCTTGATCACATGCAGTCAGCAAGTCCTGTTGATTCAATCTTCAAAACACAGCCCAAATCAACCTATTTTTCTCCACTAATTTACTCTCTGGCCCAAGCCACCACCACCTCTCACCTATACTAATACAGCAGCCTCCAGAGGTCTCCTAAATTCCACCCTTGTTACCCTTATCCTCAGAATCCAGTCTTCACACGGCAGCGACAGTAATCTTTTTCAAAAGGCGTTCCCCCTGCTACAGCCCTCCACTGGCTTTCGTTTACACCTAGAAACTCCTTACTCTGGCTTACAAAGCCTTAAATGATTTAGACCCTGACTATCTCTGATCTCATTTTGCACCACTCTACCCCTTGCCCATTACATTCCAGCCACACTGACCTGTCTGCTCCTTAAATACTCCAAGAGCTCAAGGGGCTTTGTGTAACATGGTTCCCTATGGTAGAATGCTCATCCCTCTAATCTTTGCCATGGCTGACTCTTTTGTAGGAAGATCTCAAAGGTTACCTACTCAAAGGATCCTTCCCTGACAATGCAATGTAAAGCAACCCCTCAGTCTCTCCTTATTACATCACCTTTTAGTCTCTTTCATAGCACTTGTCTCTGATATTTTTGTTTACTACTGATCTTTTCCCACTAGACTGAAAGCTCCTGAGAGTAGAGACATTATCTGTCTTCTTTACTCTGTGAACCCTGAAAATTTGAGACAGGTCTCAGTTAATTTAGAAAGTTTATTTTGCAGGCTGGGCACAGTGGCTCACGCCTGTAATCCCAGCACTGTGGCAGGCCAAGGCAAGCGGATCAGTTGAGGTCAGGAATTCAAGACCAGCCTGGCCAACATGGTGAAACCCCATCTGTACTAAAAATACAAGAATTAGCCAGGTGTGGTGGCATGTGCCTGTAATCCCAGCTACTCAGGAGGCTGAGGGAAGAGAATCACTTGAACCCGGGAGGTGGAGGTTGCAGTGAGCCGAGATCGTGCCACTGCACTCCAGCCTGGATGACAGTGAGACTCCACCTCAAAAAAAAAAAAAAAAAAAAAAAAAAAAAAGTTTATTTTATTTTGCCTAGGTTGAGGACGCTCCCATGACACAGCCTCAGGAAGTCCTGACAACATGTGCTCAAGGTGGCCGGGGCAAAGTTTAGTTTTATACATTTCGGGGAGACTTGAGACACCGATCAATATATGTAAGAAGTACATTGGTTTGGTCTGGAAAGGCAGGACAACTTAAAGCAAAGGCAAGAAGACTCAAATCAGGGAGGGAGCTTCCAGGTTAAAGTTAGGTGAGAGACCAATGGCTGCATTTCTGATTAGCCTTTCCAAGGGAGGCAATCAGATATGTATCTATCTCAGTGAGCAGAGGGATGATTTTGAATAGAATGGAAGGCAGGTTAGCCCTAAGCAGTTCCCCACTTGACTTTTTCCTTTAGTTTAGGGATTGAGGGCCCCAAGATTTAATTTCCTTTCACAACTCCTATACAGCAGGGGTCCCCAACCCCTAGGCTACAAGCCAATTCCATAGCCTGTTAGGAACCTGGCCTCACAGCAGGAGGGGCTCAAAAGCTTCATCTGTGTTTACAGCTGCTCCCCACTGCTTGCATTACCACCTGAGCTCCGCCTCCTGTAAAATCAGCGGTGGCATTAGATTCTCATAGAAGCCTGAACCCTATTGTGATCTAGGTTGCACGCTCCTTATGAGAATCTAATGCCTGATGATCTGCCACTGTCTCCCATCACTCCCATATGGGACAGTCTAGCTGTGAAAGAACAAGCTCAGGGCTCCCACTGATTCCACATTATGGTGAGTTATATAATTATTTCATTATATATTACAATGTAGTAATAATAGAAATAAAGTGCACAATAAATGTAATGTGCTTGGATCATCCCAAAACCATCCCCTCCACCCCCTGCCCACCAGTCCATGGAAAAATTGTCTTCCATGAAACCAGTGGTATTCCCAGCACCTAAAATAGTGCCTGGCAAAAGTAAAGTGTATTCAGTAAATATCTGTCAAATAAGTCAACAGGAAACTACTATTCACACATCAAAAATAAGTCAGGGATAGAAATGTCTTTCCCTGACCTCCCCAGGCTTATGATACTAACTCCTTTATTCTTTTCATTTGTTTCTGATATAGCATATGTCACAACTTATTGCATTTATCTGTTTACATGCCTGTCTTCCCTTCTTGAACTATGAAACTTCTTAAGATGGGGAGGCCTTCTTTAGAATTCACTTTGTATCCACAACACCAAGCATGGTCTGGGATGAAAAGAGGACAGACACGGTGGCTCAAGCCTGTAATTCCAACACTTTGGGAGGCCGGGGCAGACAGATCACTTGAGGTCAGGAGGTCGAGACCAGCCTGGCCAACATGGTAAAACCCCATCTCTGCTAAAAAACTATAACAATTAGCTGGGCATGGTGGTACATACCTGTAATCCCAGCTACTCCACAGGCTGTCGCAGGAGAACTGCTTGAACCCAGGAGGCGGAGGTTGCAGTGAGCTGAGACTGCACCACTGCACTCCAGCCTGGGGACAGAGCAAGACTATCTCCAAAAAAAAAAAAAAGATGAAAACAAAAAAAAACTTCTGCTGAGTGAGGATGACAGGAGCAGCTAACATGCTCTGAGTGTTTACTACATGCAATAAAATATTTCCCAAGGATTATCTCTTTAATCCTTACAACAATCCTGGAAGATACATATGATTATTTTCCCCATTTGGCAGATGACAAAACAGCTAGAGCAGTTATAATTAACTTATCCATGTTCATATAGTTACTAAATGGCAGAGTCAGATTAAATTTATTCTGCCTGACACCTAAGTCAATGCTCTTATCCACAATGTCTGAATGAGCCATAAACTGTTCTCAAATAAATGCATGATAGCACTTAAATGCCAAAGCCAAGTATTTCAACACAGATAGGACATTATACTCTACAACAATGTTCCAAGATATTAAGAAACTGTCAAGAAATGGGGAAGAACATGGAGCCCTGCTACATTCCAGAAGCAATAAAAAGAATGATTACAATTGGAGTACTTTCTAAATACTCAGAACCTTTTTGAGTAGAAAAGTCTCAAAAAAAAAACTGAAAAAGCATAATTGGTAACATGGCAAAAGTTCCCAACATATGTTACTAATATGGCCCTTAAAAAAAGATATAGTTGGTAGCTGAGAAGGAGCAACACCTAGATTTTTAACAGGCATTCTCGAGCCCTGGTGTTAATAAAATCTTAACTGCCATAACACAAAGAATCATTTCGAATCAAACAGCAGTTTATTTCCTTAAAATTATTTTGAAAATGTAAAGGTAGGCAACATGTTGTATCACTACACTTCTTTTTTCCCCCAGCATTAAGTAGACCAACCTTTAAATAAAATCACAAGGAACCCGTCCTAGCTTATCACCCTACCCCACTAGCTGACTTTCCTAAGAAAATAGGAAAATCTCACCTTTATGTGAGGTAGAGTTGAGGGAAAAAGACAGTGAAAGCCTGCCACACTGCTGGTCTCTTATTGTACCCATGGAAAGATACCAATGAGAATCTTCCCAAAGTGATAAAAAGATGACATTTTAACTGCTAAGTTGCTATTTTAGCACTGTCTGCTAGATAGCAGTCGACTTTAGCCATTTCAGTAATGTTTGTCAAAATTCACAGAACCATACATCTAAAATGGGTGAATTTCACTGAGTGTAAACTATACCTCAACAAATTTGACTTTCTAAAAAGAGACAAAATACTATAAACATCACAAAAATTTTTTGAAGTCCTCAGTTAAAAAAAAAAATCTGAATTTGTTTTGTCACCTCACCAAAGAGTACAAAGTCAAGTTCTAAAGCTTTAAAAAACAAGGAGTTGAAAATAGATGCTGGACTTTCTCTGAGGTTTTTAAGTTTTAGGATCTCTGCTTCAAAAATATGATGATGACCATCCCAAGAAGTGTAACAGTCTTTCAAGAACTTGAAATATCTCGAATGCATTCAGATTAAAATAAGAGTCACTTTATACCATCACAGTCCAAGTATCATTATGAAAGAGAGGCTATACACAATACAGCAGCATAAAACTCGAAGGATAATTTTTTTAAGCCTACATTTTATCATTCAACATCAGAAACATCCAAATGCCCCAAACTTAAACCAAATGAGTTACAAATCTGAAAAGCAGGTATACATGTAAAATGATGCTATTACGGTAAATGAAGATTTTTAAAAATTTACTTATAATCTATATATTGACTATAGTTTCACCTTTTGCTAAAGGAAACTATAATATAAAGTCACAGTTTCAAGCATGGTAGGGTAATAAAATTAAGTACATCATTTAAAAAATACTTATTATATGTTTATTCTGTACCAGGAAAAGTTCTAGAGACCAGCAATCCAGCAATGAACTAAACAATGAACAAAATACATTATATTTTACTAAAAATTTGTTTTCCTTATAATACAAACACACAAATCTAATAATAAAGCCTACATAGTCAACTTGCTTAGTCCCTAGTGCTTTTCAGAAGCTGAATTTTTTTTTTTTCCTTAAGATGGAATTTCATTCTCATTGCCCAGGTTGGAGTACAATGGCACGATCTCAGCTCACCACAACCTCCGCCTCCCAGGTTCAAGCAATTCTCCTGCCTCAGCCTCCCAAGTAGCTGGGATTACAGGCATGTGCCACCACGCCTGGCTAATTTTGTATTTTTAGCAGAGACAGGGTTTCTCCATGTTCATCAGGCTGGTCTCGAACTCCCGACCTCAGGTGATCCACCTGCCTTGCCTCCCAAAGTGCTGGGATTACAGGTGTGAGCCTCCGTGCCCGGTGGCTCAGTGAAATTTTAACCAAACATAAACGTTATGTTCTAAGCAATATAACCTAAGCAGGGACAACCACTAAAGATGAGGGTATTACATTTTAAAGGATAAAAAGGCAATACTTCTCTTAATATGAGCAGCCTAGAAAATAAAGAAGTGACTCAGAAAATTTTAAAAGACTTTAAACAGTCTGAAAATTCCAAAGTGAAAAAACATCAAGAGAAAAGTGACTTTCTTTCCACTCAAATGCTTATCAACTTAGGAAGGAAAAACTTCCAAGTCTTACAACCATTCCTATCACAGTAGGCTAGGCAGATGATCAACAAGTTGACTCATCTCAACTTAACACTAATTTTATTTTTTACTTTCCAGTAGCAGAGCTCATGTTTGAGTGTTTATATCCAAAGTCAGAATATTATCACCTTAACTTCTATTGCCTGCTTATTAAGGTTTACTTAAGTTTTTCTTGCTGTATTTGGTCAGGGATCAATTAAAGCATTTTCTCCACATATTCTCTACTACAAAAAATATTCCAGCCATCTCCCATTTGGCAAAAAATCAAATAAGTTTTCCAGTAATGCTACCTAGTTGGATACAGTGTGTGGTAAAATCACACAAGCAAATGATTATAACATGAAAAGGGCTGGATGAAAAATTGCTAAGGTTTTAAAGAAAATTAACCTTTAGGAAATAAAGACTGAAAATAAATACTGAATAAATACCGAAAATGTAATTCAGGTGCAGTACTGTATTTGGCAAAACCAGATGCATCTTCTAGATGCATCACACATAAGTGCTGAAAGCGTGAAGTGTGAAGAAAAAAGTTTCAAAGCAGGAAATTTCCTAAACTTGAAATTTCATATGCTTTCTGCAATGCAGTTTTAATATAGTTGTAAATGCATTATTTTTTATTCACTAGCCTTTTAGTCAGGAATGTTAGGAATATCATATTACAAACAATCGAAGGTTAAATCCAAACATTATCATCTCTTACATAATGACTAACAGCAATACTACTACTAATCTCTCCTGTGCCAAACTGAAACAGTTTCAGTTTCTGGTCATATTAATAACTACAAACATTTTCAAAGGTTTGTCTTTATCACAAATCCAAAAGATGATATAAAAGGCAATAAACCATCTTCAATTTCATCCCATTTTTAATAGACAAATGCCTGTATGTATCATCAGAATTACACTGCTCTCAGAGACCACCACATTCAGCAATGCTAACTGCACATAGTAAAGTCGTCAAAACCAAAAGAACAATTTTCCTCATCTTTATGTGTGCGGAGTTGGTTCCTTCCAGTGGGTTCATGGACTCGCTGACTTCAAGAATGAAGCCGCAGAACTTCGTGGTGAGTGTTACAGCTCTTAAAGGTGGCACGGACCCAAAGAGTGAGCAGCAGCAAGATTTACTGTGAAGAGCGAAAGAACAAAGCTTCTACGGTGTGGAAGGAGACCCGACCAGGTTGCCGCTGCTGGCTGGGGTGGCCAGCTTTTATTCCCTTATTTGTCCCCCTCCATGTCCTGCTGATTGGTCCATTTTACAGGGCACTGATTGGTCCATTTTACAGGGTGCTGACTGGTCCATTTTACAAACCTCTAGCTAGCCACAGAGCACTGACTGGTGCATTTTTACAGAGCGCTGACTGGCGCATTTTACAATCCTCTTGTAAGATATCAAAGTTCTCCAAGTCCCCACCCAACCCAGAAGTCCAGCTGGCTTCACCTCTCAATCCCCCCTCTAAACAGGACACCCCAACTGCTGCTAGGAATTGGGCGATGCCCACTCTAGCTACTTCCTGCTGGATAGGGGTAAAGAAGGGGCCCTGCAGTGGTAGTGTCCTCCAGAGGGGAATTCTATAGGCCAGCCAAAGCGACAATGGTCCGGTTTTTAAAGCCACGATAACTCGGGGTTGAGAGGGTAGCGGGGAACAAACCAAAACCACAGGAGGTTTTTTCTTTCAGATGGGGAACACACAGGCATCAACAGGCTCACCCTTGAAATGCATCCTAAGCCACTGGGACCAATTTGACCTGCAAACCCTGAAAAAGAGGCGGCTCATTTTTTTCTGCACTATGGCCTGGCCCCAATATTCTCTCTCTGATGGTCAAAAATGGCCACCTGAGGGAAATATAAATTACAATACTATCCTGCAGCTTGACCTTTTCTGTAAGAGGGAAGACAAACGGAGTGAAATACCTTATGTCCAAGCTTTCTTTTCACTGAAGGATAATCCACAACTATGCAAAGCTTGCAATATTGGGGAGGAGGACCTCTCAGCTTACCCCCATATCCTAGCCTTCCTACAGCTCCCCTTCCTATTAATGATAAGCCTCCTCTAATCTCCACCACCCAGAAGGAAACAAGCAAAGAAATCTCCAAAGGACCACAAAAACTCCCAGGCTATCGGTTATGTCCCCTTCAAGCTGTAGGGGGAGGGGAATTTGGCCCAACCCAGGTACATGTCCCCTTCTCTCTCTCTCTGATTTAAAGCAGATGACAGTAGACCTGGGGAAGTTTTCAGATGATCCTGATAGGTATATAGATGTCCTATAGGGTCTAGGGCAAACCTTCAACCTCACTTGGAGAGATGTCATGCTATTGTTAGATCAAACCCTGGCCTTTAATGAAAAGAATGCAGCTTTAGTTGCAGCCCAAGAGTTTGGAGATACCTGGCATCTCAGTCACGTAAATGACAGAATGACAGTCGAAGAAAGGGACAAATTCCCTACTGGTCAGCAAGCCATTCTCAGTGTGGATCCCCACCGGGTCCTCGACTCAGATCATGGGGACTGGAGTCGTGAACATCTGTTAACCTGTGTCCTAGAAGGACTAAGCAGAATTAGGAAAAAGCCCATGAATTATTCAATGACATCCACCATAACTCAGGGAAAGGAAGAAAATCCTACCGCCTTCCTCGAGCGGCTACAGGAGGCCTTAAGAAAATATACTTCCCTGTTACCCGACTCACTCGAGGGTCAATTGATCCTAAAAGATAAGTTTATTACCCAGTCAGCTGCAGATATCAGGATAAAGCTCCAAAAGCTAGCCCTGGCCCCTGAACAAAATTTGGACGCATTATTAAACCTGGCAACCTCCGTGTTCTACAGTAGGGATCGAGAAGAACAGGCTGAAAAGGAAAAGTGAGATAAGAGAAAGGCTACAGCCTTAGTCATGGCCCTCAGACAAACAGACCTTGGTGGTTCAGAGAGGACAGAAAATGGAGCAGGCCAATCACCCGGTTAGGCTTGTTATCAATTTGGTTTGCAAGGACACTTTAAAAAAGATTGTCCAACGAGAAACAAGCTGCCCCCTCGCCCATGTCCACTATGCCAAGGCAATCACTGGAAGGTGCACTGCCCCAAAGGACAAAGGTTCTCTGGGCCAGAAGCCCCCAACCAGATGATCCAACAGGACTGAGGGTGCCCGGGGCAAGCGCCAGCTCATGTCATCACCCTCACTGAACCCCGGGTATGTTTAACCATTGAGGGCCAGGAAATTGACTTCCTCCTGGACACCGGTACAGCTTTATCAGTGTTAATCTCCTGTCCCAGACGGCTGTCCTCAAGGTCCGTTACCATCCGAGGCTCAGTGTTAATCTCCTGTCCCGGACAGCTGTCCTCAAGGTCCATTACCATCCGAGGAATCCTGGGACAGTCTGTAACCAGGTATTTCTCCCACCTTCTCAGTGGTAATTGGGAGACTTTGCTCTTTTCACATGCCTTTCTTGTTATGCCTGAAAGTCCCATACCCTTATTAGGGAGGAACATATTAGCCAAAGCTGGAGCTATTATCTACATGAATATGGGGAACAAGTTACCAATTTGTTGTCCCCTGCTTGAGGAGGGAATCAACCCTGAAGCCTGGGCATTGGAAGGACAATTCAGAAGGGCAAAATATGCCCACCCACTCCAAATAAGGCTAAAAGATCCCACCACTTTTTCTTATCAAAGGCAATATCCCTTAAGGCCTGAAGCTCATAAAGGATTACAGGATATTGTTAGACATTTAAAAGCTCAAGGCCTAGTAAGAAAATGCAGCAGTCCCTGCAACACCCCAATTCTAGGAGTACAAAAACCAGTCAGTGGAGACTAGTGCAAGATCTTAGACTCATCAATGAAGCAGTAATTCCTCTATATCCAGTTGTACCCAAGCCCTATACCCTGTTCTCTCAAATACCAAAGGAAGCAGAATCGTTCACAGTTCTGGACCTCAAGGATGCCTTCTTCTGTATTCCCCTGCACTCTGACTCCCAGTTTCTCTTTGCCTTTGAGGATCCTACAGATCACACGTCCCAACTTACGTGGACAGTCTTGCCCCAAAGGTTCAGGGATAGCCCTCACCTGTTTGGTCAGGCACTGGTCCAAGATCTAGGCCACTTCTCAAGTCCAGGCACTCTGGTCCTTCAGTTTGTGGATGATTTACTTTTGGCTGCCAGTTCGGAAGCCTCATGCCAGCAAGCTACTCGAGATCTCTTGAACTTTCTAGCTAATCAAGGGTACAAGGCATCTAAATCAAAGGCCCAGCTCTGCCTACAACAAGTCAAATATCTAGGCCTAATCTTAGCCAGAGGAACCAGGGCCCTCAGCAAGAAACGAATACAGCCTATACTGGCTTATCCTCGCCCTAAGACATTAAAACAGTTGCGGGGGTTCCTTGGAATCACCAGCTTTTGCCGACTACAGATCCCTGGATACAGCAAGATGGCCAGGCCACTCTATACTCTAATAAAGGAGACCCAGAGGGCAAATACTCATCTAGTAGAATGGGAACCAGAGGCAGAAACAGCCTTCAAATCCTTAAAGCAGGCCCTAGTACAAGCTCCAGCCTTAAGCCTTCCCACAAGACAAAACTTCTCTTTATACGTCAGAGAGAGAGCAGGAATAGCTCTTGAAGTCCTTACTCAGACTCACGGGACAACCCTACAACCAGTGGCAAAAGGCTAGCCTCACTGTTTACGTGTAGTTGCAGCAGTGGCCGTCTTATATCAGAGGCTATCAAAATAATACTAGGAAAGGATCTCACTGTCTGGACTACTCATGATGTAAATGGCACACTAGGTGCCAAAGGAAGTTTATGGCTATCAGACAACCGCCTGCTTGGATACCAGGTGCTACTCCTTGAGGGACCGATGCTTCAAATATGCATCTGTGCGGCTCTCAACCCTGCCACTTTTCTCCCAGAGGATGGGGAACCAATCGAGCATGACTGCCAACAAATTATAGTCCAGACTTATGCCACCCAAGAGGATCTCTTAGAAGTCCCCTTAGCTAATCCTGACCTTAACCTATACACTGATGGCAGTTCATCTGTGAAGAATGGGATACAAAGGGCAGGTTATGCCATAGTTAGTGATGTAACAGTACTTGAAAGTAAGCCTCCTCCCCCAGGGACCAGCGGCCAGATAGCAGAACTAGTGGCACTTACCCAAGCCTTAGAACTGGGAAAGGGAAAAAGAATAAATGTGTATAGATAACAAGTATGCTTATCTAATCCTTCGTGCCCATGATGCAATATGGAAAGAAAGGGAGTTCCTAACCTCTGGGTGAACCCCATTAAATACCATAAGGAAATCACGGAGTTATTGCACACAGTGCAAAAACCCAAGGAGGTGGCAGTCTTACACTGCTGAAAGGAGAGGGGAGAACAGCAGCATAAGCAGCTGGCAGAGGCAGGGAAAGACCAGCAGAGAGGAAAGAGAGAGAGAGGAAGAGACAGACAAAGAGGGAGTCAGAAAGAGAGAAACAGAGAGAGGAAGAGACAGAAAAGAAGTCAGAAAGAGAGAAAGAGAGAGAGAGAGAGAGAGAGAGAGAGGAAGAGACAAAGAGAGACACAGAGATAGAAGTAGTAAAGAAAAAACAGTGTACCCTATTCCTTTAAAAGCCAGGGTAAATTTCTGTCTACCCAGCCAAGGCATATTCTTCTTAAGTGGAACTTCAACCTGTATCTGCCTCCCCACCAACTGGACAGGCACCTACACCTTAGTCTTCCTAAGTCCCAACATTAACATTGCCCCAGGAAATCAGACTCTATCAGTGCCCCTTCAAAGCTCAAGTCCATCAGCACAGGGCCATACAACTAATACCCCTACTTATAGGGTTAGGAATGGCCACTGCTACAGGAATTGGAATAGCAGATTTATCTACTTCATTATCCTACTACCACACACTCTCAAAGGATTTCTCAGACAGCTTGCAAGAAATAACAAAATCTATCCTTCCTCTACAATCCCAGATAGACTCTTTGGCAGCAGTGACTCTCCAAAACCGCCAAGGCCTAGACTTCCTCACTGCTGAGAAAGGAGGACTATGCACCTTCTTAGGGGAAGAATGTTGCTTTTACACTAACCAGTGAGGGATAGTATGAGACGCCACCTGGCGTTTACAGGAAAAGGCTTCTGAAATCAGACAACGCCTTTCAAACTCTTATACCAACCTCTGGAGCTGGGCAACATGGCTTCTCCCCTTTCTAGGTCCCGTAACAGCCATCTTGCTATTACTCGCCTTCAGGCCCGTATTTTTAAACTCCTTGTCAAATTTGTTTCCTCCAGGATCGATGCCATCAAGCTATAGATGGTCTTACAAATGGAACCCCAAATGAGTTCAACTAACAACTTCTACCAAGGACCCCTGGACCGACCCACTGAACCTTTGGCTGACCTACAGAGTTCCCCTCATGGCTACAGGGTCAACCAACTTTTTGTTGGGACCCCGCAGCTGAATGGCTTTCCCCTCTTGTCAACCCTTGGCTCAGCCCAGAAGTACAGGCAAAGAGGAAGCTGGTTCCAGGCAAACCAACGCTCCCAACTCTGAAGAGTCGGGGGTTGTTAGAGAGCCCTTTCCCAGAAAGCCTAACACCCGTGTCTTTAGTCCGGTGGCCGCGCTAGTTGCTTTTAACTGGCCGACAGGTGCCCTGGTGTTTAGCCCCTGAATTGTAAGGAAAAATAGGACAGAATAGCAAGCAAAAGGGGTCCAATGGTCCCGTCTGGGTCACCAAGATGTGTCCAGAGTTGGTTCCTTCCAGTGGGCTCGTGGTCTCGCTAACTTCAAGAATGAAGCCGCAGACCTTCACGGTGAGTGTTACAGCTCTTAAAGGTGGCACGGACCCAAAGAGTGAGCAGCAGCAAGATTTATTGTGAAGAGCGAAAGAAAAAAGCTTCCACAGCATGGAAGGGGACCTGACTGGGTTGCAGCTGATGGCTGGGGTGCCCAGCTTTTATTCCCTTATTTATCCCCGCCCATATCCTGCTGATTGGTCCATTTTACAAAGCACTGATTGGTCCATTTTACAGTGTGCTGAGGGGTCCATTTTACAAACCTCTAGCTAGCCACAGAGCACTGACTGGTGCATTTTTACAGAGTGCTGATTGGCGCATTTTACAATCCTCTCATTTACACCATGTTTTAGAACCAACAACAGAAAACTGTGTGAGAACACAATCTTCTAGGCAGGATGAACAGAAATACTATCAAAGACACAGCTTAAAAGAGAGAAGAGAGTTGTACTGGGCCAACAAATCAGGTTTGGCTAGGAAATGGTAAATCATCTGACGGTATACACAAACAAAAATACTTAAGCCAGTAACAGACATTCTTGTAGGCCAAAATGTATTCAAATGAAAACAAGTTTCCTCTTTTTAATCATACTACTCAAGCACTTTCTACTTTAAAATATTATATTTAATATAAAATTGAATATTTTACCATCTAAAAATTTTCAACTCTGCTTTTCTATAGCTATATCCTCTCATCTGTTGAATGATCTCTACATGTCTCCACTTATATCCAATATCGTATATTTTACCATAAAATCCAAATGTACTTCTACGTTACAAATTCAGAGAAATTAAAATAAGCCACAGTCATACAAATTTAAAACCCATTCAAATTCAGAGATAATCTTTTTTCTTTTAGATGATTATTTTCTCCAGAAAGTTAGATGAGAACAAATTAAATTCCATCTGACTACTTATTAAGGAATTTCTACATGCTAGACAGACCACCAATCAATTGTAATCTACATACTAGCACCAAATTGGAAAAAATGAAACTTTAAAAAAATTCCCATGTAAGCACTTAAAATAATTAGGAATAAATCCAATAAAAGATGTCCAACACTTCCTACACTGAAAACTACAAAACACTGCTGAGAGAAACTAAAGAACCTTAAAAAATAATAAGATACACCATTTTCAAGGACCAGAAGACTCAATATTTTTTAAACGACAATTCTCTCCCTAATGATCTGTATATTTAATACAACACAAACTGAAATTCCAGCAGGCTTTTTGATAGAAACTGACACTATTAATACCAAAATTTATGGAAATGCAAAGAATCTAGAGTAACCAAAATTTACCATAAAGCTACAGTAATCAAGTGTAGTACTGGCATAAGTATAGATATGCAGGGCCAGGCACAGTGGCTCACACATGTAATCCAGCACTTTGGGAGGTATAGGCAGGTGGATCACCTGAAGTCAAGAGTTCGAGACCAGCCTGGCCAACATGGTGAAACCCCATCTCTACTAAAAATACAAAAATTAGCCGGGCGTGGTGGTGCACACCTGTAATCCCAGCTACTCGGGAGGCTGAGGCAGGAGAATCACTTGAACCTGGGAGGCGGATGTTGCAGTGACCCAAGACTGTGCCACTGCACTCCAGCCTGGATGACAGAACAAGACTCTGTCTCAAAAAAAAAAAAAAGTATAGGTATACAAATCAATGCAATAATAAAAAGACCCACTCATTTATGGACAACTGATTTTCAACAAAGGTCAAAGTAATTAAATGAGGAAAGGATAGTCTTTTTACCAAATGGTGCTTGAACAACTGGATATTCATATGGGAGAGGAGAACCTGAACTTTTACCTCACATCCTACACAAAAATTAACTTGAAATAGATCATAGGCTTAAATGTAATGTCTAAAACTGTAAGGCTTCCAAAATAAACACAGGTGAAAATCTTTACAACCTTGGTGTAGCTAAATACTTCTTAAGACACAAAAAGCACTAACCATAAGTAAAAAGTGATAAACTGGACTCAACAAAATTAAGAAACATCTGCTCTTCCAAAGACTGTTAAGAAAATGAAAGGCAAGCCACAGAACAAAAGAATACAGTCATCTCTCGGTATCCCTGGTGGACTGGTTTCAAGAACCCCTCTCTACCCTCCTAATCCACCCAAAACTGAACACCAAAATTCGAGGATGCTCAAGTCCCTTATTTAAAAAAAAAAAAAACCCATATTTGCATATGCACATCTTCCTTATACTTTAAATCAATCTCTAGATTATTTATAATACCTAATATGATTAAATGCTATATAAATAGCTGTTATACTGTATTTTTTATTTGTATTATTTTTTATTCGCATATTGTTATTTTTTTACCAAACATTTTCCATCTTAGATTCGTTAAATCTGTGGATGTGGAACCCTCAGACAAGGAGCGCTGACTGTATATTCAAAATTCACACAGCTGACAAAGTACTTGTATCCACAACATATAAAGAACTTGTAACTCAGTAATTTTTAAAAGCTTTTTTAAAAATGAATTAAGAATTAGACACCTCATCTAATAAAAGGATATACAAATGGCCAATGAACACATGAAGAAGTGTTCAACATCATTTGCTATCAGAAAAATGCAAATAAGGCAAGGCATGGTGGCTGACACCTATAATCCCAGCACTTTGGGAGACTGAGGCGGGAAGATCACTTGAGCCCCAGATTTAAAGACCAGCCTGGGCACACAGCAAGATCTCATCTCTACATAAAAATTTTTACAAAATAAAATTAGCTGGATGTAGTGGCATGCACCTGTAGTCCCAGCTACTTGGAAGGCTGGGGTGGAAAGATTCCTTGAGCCTGGGAAGTCAAGACTGCAGTGAGCCAGGATCACATCAACCTGGACAACAGACAAGACCCTGTCTCACAACAAAAAACAAAACTTTTAAAAAGAAAAATGTAAATAAAAACCACAATAAGATATCAATTCACACTAAAAAAAAAAAAGTTAAAATTAAAAACACAGCATATAATGTAAATGAGATTACAGGAAGATAAAATGGCACAATCAGTTTGAAAAACTGTTTAACTTATTAAGAAACTGCAAAATATACACCATATGACTCAGCTATTCTACTCCTATTTGCCCAAGAGAAATAAAAACTTAAGTCCACAAAAAGACTTGTACATCAATGTTCATTGCCACTTTAATCATAATAGCCAAAAACTGGAAACCCAAATATCAGGTGAATGAAGAAACAAATTGTGGTATAGCCATACCACAGTGAATACTACTCAGCAATAAAAGGCAACAAACTACTGGAACACAAAGCAACATGGAGGACTCTCAAAAACATGCGGAGTGAAAGCAGCCAGGCATTAAAGAATATGTACAGTATGATTCCATTTACACACACAAAGTTTTTTTCTTGAGACCGGGTCTCACACTGTCACTAAGCTGGACTGCAGTGGTGTGATCCTGGCCCACTGCAGCCTTGAACTCCTGGCTCAAGAGATCCTCCCACCTCAGCCTCTCAAAGTGATGGAAATATGGGCATGAGCCACCTTGCCCAGCCCACTTACATGAAATTCTAAGAGACAAAATGAATGTATGCAAATCAGTGGTTTCCTTGAACCAGAGGAGGGGAGGGGTGTGGTGCACTGACTGTGAGGGACACGAGGAAGGTTTTGGAGATAACAGAAATTCCATTACCTTGATTAGGGTGATGGTTATCTGGGTGGGTATGTACATTATCAAAAGTCATCTAACTGCACCCCTAAAATGAGTATATTTCATTGTTTAAATTATATTTCAATAAAGTTGATTTTAAATCCTAATAAAACAGTAAAGTTTATTTACATAAGCCTAGATTACACAAAATTTTGAGAAACTATTGAGTCACATTATTTGTATTTTAGCCAAGTAATAGTAGCCTCCTAAACAGTCTTCCTTCAATGAATACTCCCTAGTCTTTACTCCCTCAAAGTAAACACGGACTAATTCATAACAATTCTGGTTTCTCCAACCAAAAGCCCTTCTTGTGACCTACTTCAGAAGCATAATATTGCTTATTACCATAAAATTTTATTAATAGAAGTTACCATGTTACCATGTGCCAGATAAAGTGAGCTTTTATAAATATTCTCATTTAGCTTTAAAACTCTGCTGTTACATAGGTAACATTATCTCTACTTACCAATGAGAAGACTGAGGGTAAACTTTCTGGATAATCTCCCTAAGGTTACACAACGTACAAAACAGAGAAGCAACAAATGGCCTATTATACAACACTGCCTCCCACAAAAGTAAGTAGTTCCCTTCTTCCCACATCATGATGTTATCTCTCTGTAGGAGAAGGTGAATTGTTACTTTACTACTGAAGACAACTTTGAACAAGGCCCAGTAGTTGACCCTTCACCTATCATCTCCAACAATCCTTATGAAGTGGGGTCCCATTTTATAGATGAAGAAACTGAGGTTCACGGAGATCAAGCAATTCATCAAAACACAAACTTAAGTGGAAGACCCTGAATTCAAATCTTTATCTATCTGACTTCAAAGTCCATGCTTTTATCACCATCTTATAGGACTTCAATAAAGCCACAAACAATGCATTATAGCCACTGGTAGTGGTCAAAGCTACAAAAACAATGTCTTTAAAGGAGAAAAGTCTTTCTACAACTCTTTTACAGCCATATTACAACGGTTATCCTCATTTCCCAAGATCTATAATAATGACTATTGTTTTTGAAACAAAGATTAGTACCCAGAAGTGTTTTGGATTTGGAATTTTTTCAGATTCTGGAATATTTGTATATACATAATAAAATATCTTGGGGATATAACCCAAGTCTAAACACAAAATATATTTGTTTCATAGCCTGAAGGTAATTTTATACAATGTTTTGTAATTGTGTGCATGAAACAAAGTTCTGACTGCAACTTGTCACTGGAAGTCAGGTATGGAATTTTCCACTTGTGGCGTCGAATAGTTTCAGGTTTGGGAGCATTTTAGATTTCAGATTTTTGGATTAGAGATGCTCAATCTGTACATAAAAATGCTAATACAAGGAACAACAGTTCTAAATATTAAAGTCAGGGAAATCCTGAAAAATCTAGGATTATATATTTTGTGCCAAAATATATCAAATATGTAAAGACTTCCTTCCATAAATCATCTGTACTATAATACCACATAGCCCACTGTTTAAACTACTTCAAAAATAAAATCTGTTCAGATAAAACATGTGGCCTGTACAGTTAACCTTTCAGGCAAAATCAAAACCCTACTTTGAAGTGATAAAGCACCTTTCTCCCATTATTAAATAACAATCATTCGGGGCTCTATCTCATCTCACATATTACCCTCCAGAGCACAAGTCTGTTTTGTCTGTTTGTTTGTTTTGCTTTATAATGCTGCAAATGGAAAATTCAAGGAAGTGGTTAATTATCTTTCTCAATTTTACAAGTCTAAGAAATCTAAAAATAAACTTGTATCTACAATCTTTATCAATATTGCTCAATTCTACTAAATCATAAGGCCTTCTTCTGACCACCAGTATGAGAAAGAAAAGGAATAAAAAGAAAAAAGAAAAATTTAGAATATACATCTGAAGGCCTCAGCAGCAACACTTCTTAGACTAAAAGTGTAATAAAAACCCTCTTAAGAGGAAACAAAAATGGTCTTCATACTTAAACTAAGTGATTTACAGTGTTTTATATCAAACATCTTAGAAAGTTAAGACAACTGTATTGATACATGTACCCTAAAGTCAAAATTAAAAGTCTCAAACGTTAGTATATGTGATAATAGCTGGATGACCAAATACATTTAAGTATGCTCAAGTTTTAGAACAAGATATCAATCAATCAACCATGTGCTTCTCTAGTTTCCAAGGTCTGTAGCCAGCAATGCAAAAAACCAGCAATCTGTTTCCTCATTAATGTATATCCTCAAATTGTCTGCAATCCAATTTCTTTTTTAAGTGAAAGCAAGTTTATTAGAGAAGAAAGAAAGTGCAATCTAATTTCCATTTAAATAGTAAGAGAAATGACATGTGAGTGAGACCTACAAAATATACTCTGTATCTACTCTTCTAGGTTCTATTTCTGGATCAAGTCATCCACCAATCATATCACTCTGGTCACAGAGATCACAAACTTGAATATATGAAGCAGCCTGGTGAAGGACAAAAAGACTGCAATTGTGCTTAACAAGAAACCATGAGCTGCTTTTAAAAATTATTAACTCAAAAATTCAAAACACTCTGTTAACAGTAATATGGTTATTGGGTATACATATAATAAAATTAAATTTGATCCCTGCCTCACATCACACACCAAAAAAAAAAAAAAAAAAAAAATTCCAGGTAGAACCAAGACCCAAAAAAAAAAAAAAAAAAACTGGTGGGGGCATAGCGGTTCACATCTGTAATCCCAGCACTTTGGGAGGCTGAGGCAGGAGGATCAGTCAGGCCAGGAGTTTGAGACCAGCCTGGGCAACATAGTGAGATCCTGTCCTCACAAAACTAAATTAAATTAATCATGTGTGGTGGCACATGCCTCTAGTCTTAGCTACTACAGAGGCTGGGGTGGTGGGATTACTTGAGCCCTGTCGCAAACAAAAAAACAAACAAATCTATTCCATACTCCAAGGTTATTAAGATTCTCCCATTTATTTATTTATTTATTTATTTATTCGTGAGACAGAGTTTCACTCTGTCACCCAGACTGGAGTGCAGTGGCTCAATCACAGCTCACTGCAGCCTTGACCTCCCAGGTTCGAGCTATCCTCCCACCTCAGTCCCGGCACACACTACCACACTTGGCTAATTTTTTAAGTTTTTTGTAGAGACAGGTCTCACTCTGTTGCCCAGGTTGGTCTCGAACCCTTGGGCTCAAGCAAACTTCCTATCTCAGCTTCCCAAAGTACTGAGATTACAGCCATGAGCCACCACACCCAGCCAAATTTCTTTTAAATTGTTTTTTACTTCTGTTTAAATGTGTACTGAAAAAAATTAAAGCAACACAAACACACATACCACTCCAGTGGCAACTATTATATATTTTCAGACCCTTCTATATGCATATATAGATTGCATATATCATATACATATGTGCCTGCAAAAATTTTGCACTGTAAGATTATACTGTGCATATTTTCTCTGCAAAATACTTTTTAAAAAACTTAACTAGTATATAGTAGGCATTTTCATGTCACAACGTATAGCTCTAGCTTATTCTCTTAATGTCTACAAAAAAATTCTGAAGTCTGGATACATATAATATATTTTTAACATTTAGATTGTTTTAACTTTCTTCACTAGTCAAGCAATGTCAGAGAGCATCTTTGTACACAAATTTAAGACTTTATATGAGAGTTCCTAAGAGTTTTTAATAAACATTTTAAAGACAATTCACAAGAAGGCTTACTAACCCAGGAAGTTTTGAATAGCAGCGTGGGAGCCACGGGAAAACTTCTCCTTTGCTCTTTAATGATTCACTTAAAAACCACCTCACAAAAGGGAGATCAACTGAAGAAATGAAGTAACAAACTTGTTAATGTGCATGAGGAGAACCACAGAGTGATCACCCCAGGTTTCTTAAATAAAACACAAACAAGAAAATAGTGATATATTTTATAATAATCATTTCTATTTAACAAAACAAACCATATAAAGTTAAGAGATAAGCCACACAGACTGAGAAAAGACAGTTGCAATTCACTTAACAAACATAATCGAAGTATGTAATGAACTTAAAACTTTCTAAAATCAATTTAGAAAGACCACCCAAATGGCTGTGGAAGGAAAAGAACAGCCAATTCAAGAAACAAACACTTGAATAGTCATCTAACATTTGAAAACATACTCAACCCCATAATCAAAAATAAAAATTAAGACAATGTGGTAACATTTCACACTCATCTGATTTGTAAACATGTAAAAAATCTGACAATGCCATTAATCATAACAATCGGAAGATGGCAAATTCTCATACTCTAGTGCTAAAATATGCAAAGTGACAGCAAATTTGACAATATCCAATACAGCTAAAAAAATTCCCATAACCTCCAAAATCTTCAGCCCAATAATTGCACTTCTGGGTAATTCACCATAGAGGGCTTCATTTCAAACTTAATAACCACATACATACACACAGAAATAAAAATTTCACAAAACATTTTATCCTTATTGTTTGCAATACAACCTGATATTTTTCTAATTCCTGAATTGATTTCACAATCCATTAGGGAGTCGCGACATGTGGGGTTTTTTCTGTTTGTTCATTTGTTTTTTAAGATGGAGTTTCGCTCATCACCCAAGCTGGAGTGCAATGGCGTGATCTCGGCTCACTGAAACCTCTGCCTCCCAGGTTCAAGCGATTCTCCTGCCTCAGCCTCCTGAGTAGCTGGGATTACAGGCACGCGCCACCCCGCCCAGCTAATGTTTGTATTTTTAGGAGAGATGGAGTTTCACCATGTTGGTCAGGCTGGTCTCAAACTCCTGACCTCAGGTGATCCGCCCACCTCAGCCTCCCAAAGTGCTGATATTACAGGCTCAAGCCACAGTGCCCAGCCACAACATGCAGTTTTTAAAACTTGCCAAAAATCTTAAATGTAAGCACAATGATTCCTAATAAGGAATGTTCAATGTAACATTATTTTTAATACATGAAAACCTGGAAACAATCTAAATGCCTATCAACATGAGAATAAATAAATTTTATCTGGCTATATTCATATAATAGAAAATAATTTTACAGCAGATAAAAGTATGACTATTAGGGTGGGCCATATGAAACTGTCATTTTTGTAGGTCAAAATGGTAACGTATCAGCAGTTTCATATAAATCAAAAAAATTTTCATGAAAGACAAATTATAGAATAAGCAGAATATATCATTTACATCAAATCTGAAAATATGCAAAGCAATACTATGATTTGTGAATATATACCCATGTAGTAATTACATAAAAACATGCATTAAAAATGATCAGGCCAGGAGTGGTGGCTCACACCTGTAATCCCAGCACTTTTGGGAGGCCGAGGTGGATGGACTGCTTGAGCACAGGAGACCAGCCTGGGCAACAGGCGAAACCCAATCTCTACAAAATATACAAATATTAGCTGGGCACAGTGGTGTAAACCTGAGTTCCCAGCTACTTGGAAGGCTGAAGTGGGAGGACTGCTCAAGCAAAGGAGATGGGCTGCAGTGAGCCATGATCATACCCCTGTACTCTAGCCTGGGTGACAGAGTGAGACCCTGTTTCCAAAAAAAAAAAAAAAAAAAGATCAACACCATACTCAGAATAATAGTTAACTTCTGGGAAGAAAGTAAACTGTAATCCAAGAAGTTGCTTCAACTGTACATGATTTTTTTTCCTCAAAAAAATGAGAAATATGGGAACATGCTAAGATATGCTACAGCTGTATGGTTAATATATGAATGTTAATTATATTGGTCTCTGTAGTCTCATGTATGTTTGAAATATTTTAAGGAAAAAAAACATATATTGGCCAAATAAAACATACATCTGCAGCCTAAATTCAAATCAACCCCTAAAATGTATTTCATTGGCTTGAAATCTTAATGCTTAGCCCTCACCTTTTTTTTTTTTTTAAATCTAGGGCCACTAACAACAACAAAACAGCTTTTATATAATGTCCAGTTTAAATAGTTTCTTAGAAATCTGTGAAGAGAGGATTTCACCCCTGAAAAATTGGTCTTGTTCCTCCTTTTAGTTTAGTGCTATGTATTTTACCATACTTCCATTTTTACCCTCGCTGCCAAGCAAACTCAAACCCAATTTTTATTCTTAGTCATTGAATTATGCTGTCACTTGGGAAAAGAATATATGCTTTGTCCTTTCCCTGATTTCTTCTTTTTACACATATTTTATTACACTTCCAGATCTTTTATTTTAAGTTACCAGATATCCTTTCTGGAAGAAATAGGATAAAATAAATTTCAAGAAAATAAAGTCAATCTTCTGTGCCATTCTGCTGAAGTTTTCATAATGTAACCCCTACCACAAAGACATCCTCCTTAACCAAAGGAATGGATACATGGATACAACTAGGCATACATGTTCACTAAACTTAATTTCAAAACATACAAGATTAAAGTGAATATGCTGTCAATGAAAAATAATCAGCTGATATACTAACAACAAACATACAAAAGAAAGGCCTAAATGGCCAAAGTGTAATAAGCTAACTAATTTTGCCCCTTTTAAGACCATATGCTTTGTGTTTTGTTCTCTAGTACACAGACATTGTGGAAATAAGAATATTCTTATATTCAATAAATCCAGTAAGAATGTGTAATATGATCAGTTATAAAGAAAATATCATTTTGTTGTAGTCTTCCATTAAAAAACTTAAGTGTCCTTTTCCAGTTATTTTTCCCATGCCTGAAGATAATCTGGCAATTCTCAGAATTTAGCTTCCCTTTTCCTTCTGTCTGGACACTTGTCTAATTAAGCCAATCTATAATATCATTGGCCAACATATATCCCCTTCTAACACATGGTATACTCCAATCCAGAAAACTCAAAACCATAAGTAATGTTAAACAAATCCCCTTTTTAATAAATTCCTCAACTTCCAATTTCTAAATACCAAATGTACTTATAAAATAGGCTAATTATTTCCTAACAGGTCCTAAGATATCAGTTCGTCCTATTTAACTTATCTTAGAGTTGAAAGATGAGAGACAACATATGCCAAAGTGACAATTTTATAATGAAGTTTTTCTTTTCTTTTTAAGACGGAGTTTCGCTCTTGTTGCCCAGGCTGGAGTGCAATGGTGCTATCTCGGCTCACCGCAACCTCTGCCTCCCGGGTTCAAGTGATTATCCTGCCTCGGTCTCCCAAGTAGCAGGGATTACAGGCAGTGGCCATGATGCCTGGCTAATTTTTGTTTTTGGTTTTTTTTGTTTTGTTTTGTTTTAGTATTTTCAGTAGAGACGGGGGTTTCGCCATGTTGGCCAGGCTGGTCTCAAACTCCCAACCTCAGGTGATCCGCCCACCTTGGCGTCCCAAAGTGCTGGGATTACAGGCCTGAGCGACCGCACCCAGCATGCACTGCAGTTTTTCAAGTTTGTATTTCACAATTTGAAAATATTATTTTTAACAAAATTAAAGCACTTCACTCAGCAGTAACCCCAACAGTTACTGGTTCATGAACCAATTTAGATTTTTAAAAGACCATTTACTTACCACCTGCTATATACCGGAACTGCCAGTAGATTATCAAGAAAGTTACACGTTCCTTACCCTCAAGAAATATATAGTCTATTAGGCAGGCACCCAGATTCTTTTTGATCAGTGATAACAAAACCATATGCTTTCAAGAGCCAAGCAGAGAATGTAAATAGGTGAAGCAGCTCCACCTAAGGGAGGCCCGGGAACAGAATGCATGCTCCACCTGAAGTAATCGTAAATCAACTTTAAAAGAATGCTATTGAAACAAAGCATATCTCCCAGTTAGATAGAATATACTGCAAATGCTTAACCTCCTATCAGATAAACAAAGATTTTTTTTTTTAATTTGTAATGACACAGAGAAGCTAGACTCCACCCACATTTCTGGTGAGAGTTTACATTGCTGTGACCTTTCTGGGTGGCAATGTGATAACACACATCAAAATGAAAAATGTGTTTTCTTCAACTATTACAAAATTACTAAAGGGGAATTAGCTTGCAATAAATATACATAAAATGTATGGGCAATTTACAATCCATTTATATAATCTAAATATCCATCAGTAAGAGCAGTATTAAGTTATAGCATATCCATTTAATAATACTACACTAGAGAACTACTAAAAAGAAGAGAGTAGATGCAGATGTAAAGTAAGCCACAAATATTAATTTTAAAAACACACACACAGGGCCTGTCATGGTGGCTCAAGCCTATAATCCCAGCACTTTGAGAAGCTAAGGCAAAGAGGATCACTTGAGTCCAGGAGTTCAAGGCCGGCCTGGGCAACATGGCAAAACCTCGTCTCCATTAAAAATGCAAAAATTAGCCTGGCGTGCATCTATAGTCCCAGCTACGTGGGAGTCTCAGTTGGGAGGACTGTTTGAGTTCGAGAGGGCAGTGAGCCGTGATTGTGCCATGGCACTCCAGCCTGGGTGACAGAGCAAGACCCTGTCTCAGAAATTAAATAAAATACACACACACACACACACACACACACACACACAATCAGCCAAGACAGCACCACCTGCTGAGCTCCCAAACACTGTTTCTGGTCACATCCAGAAGTACAACGCCACAGCTCCACACCACAGCTGAAATGGGTTTGCAAATGTCAGCAGTACGGGTTCTCTGAGAACTACTCACTGTGGATCCAGTCTACAGCCAACATGTCCTGCAGAAACTAGCTGCCCAGTAACAAGCAGCAGTTATAGAATCTAATAAAGTGGAGCCACTGGCTGACATTAAAGGGTTACTACAGCAGTACTATATACACTACAAATCCAATATGGAGATTCTCAAATTAAAACCAATAAACCTGGCAAAGAATTGACAGAGCTGGTGATATTTATGGCACAGATTGGTCACTGTTACCCAGAACATCTAAGTAACTTTCCTCAAGAGCTAAAAGATCTACTTTCCTACAATTATACTGTACTGTCTTGAATCAAAATCATCTAATAACATTTTACAAAGCTTTGATCTTGCTGAGAAGTATCATATCCATCCATCAAGTTTGCTAGAGCTCTTTTTTGAACTTCCAAGTTGCCATAATAAGCTTTTGAGACTTTACATACTCATGTTGTGACTGATAGCAAGAATATAACTGTAAAACACAAGAATAAAGTGGATATAGTACTGCAGAATTTCATATACATCGTGTTAAGAGACAGCAATGTAACTGCAGCCAAGATATCTTTGGATGTGATGACTGAACTCTACAAGAAACATCCGGACTGATGCCAAAACTGTCAATGTCATCACAACTGCATGTTTTGAGATATTGGTTGCCACCTTGACATTCTTCCTAGGATAAGATGAAGAAGAGAAACAAATAGGACAGACTCAGAATCTGAGGATAAAGTGACAAGAGACCTACAAGTGCAGTATGTCACTGGGAAGAGTGGCTCCAAACACAAAACACTGAAAAGGTTATGAAAAGTGCCCAGGAAACAAAAGAAGAAAAAACTCACAGTGTTTAACTTTTAAGCTATTAGCTTTATTCATGATCCTCAAAGTTTTACCAAAACACTCCTGAAGCACACAGCTAGAAATCTCTAAGCAGAGGTTTGAGTTAACATGATGCTCATAAATCTTATCTCCAGATTGGCAGAAATTCATAAGCCCTCTAACTTCTATGCCTTTGGGCAAAAGTTTCTGCTGCTGCACCACAGAGAAGTAACAGAAATCACTGTTTGCTAAACATGCATTTCATCACCTGTTAGTCCCAGAGATCACTCAGTTATTGCTCATGACTGTGACCATCCATTATGTTATGGACAAGAACTTTAGGGAAGACATGACAGTCCAAATCAGTGCTATAAGAGGTAATAGCTCAATGTCCCCTAGCCATGACAGAAGAACTTCCTCAAGACCTGTCCCAGTATAAAACACACAAGGATAAGAATATGATGCTGTCTACTATAACTGTGATTCAGTTCTTCCAAATCCTCAGATGATGCAGAATTCCAGGGTAAGCTGACAGAGGCCCCAGTAAAATCAACAGTGCAAGAATATGGCCAGGGACAATGGCTCCTGCCTGTTAAATCCAGCTATTCAAGAGGCTGAGGGAGGAGGATCGCTCGAGGCCAGGAGTTCAAGACCAGCCTGGACAACATGGCAAAACCCTGTTTCTACAAAAAATACAAACATTAGCCAGGCATGGTGGTGCATGCCTGTAATCCCGGCTACTTGGGAAGCTGAAGTGGGAGGATCACTTGAGCCCATGAAGCGGAGGTTGCAGTAAGCTACGATTGCACCACTGCACTCCAGTCTGGGCAACAGAGTAAGACGCTGTAACCAAAAAAAAAAAAAAGAAGGAAAAAAGAAAAGAGAAAGAAAAAGAGAAGGCTGAAAATGATAAAGATGGGTGGGGAAGCACCAGTCTCAGTGAGGAGGAGGGTGCTGCTGGTGAATCTGTTGACAAGTAGAAACTGCAAGAAATCTCCTAGAAGCTGAACAGCACCCATGGAGGAGTGAAAAGCCAAACTAAACGATGACTTCTAGAAAATCTGCATGGCTCAACTAAGGAAAAAATTCAGTGCTGCCCCCAGGGAAAGCCCAAGAGGAAATGTATTGAAATAGTGATAAGGAGCAAGTAATTTTTTCTAACATTGATGACAGTCATAAAAAGCCAAAGTCTGACAAGGAGACATGACTAGCAACTGCAATGGCTGGACAGACCAAAAAGAATTTATGAGGAAGAAAACCAAAATGAATCATTTTCCAAATCCAGAGATAAAGAGAAAAAAGAAGAACTTTGATGATTAGGTATAGCCAGAATGTCCCGTCAAAAAAAATAAGCATTCCTTTGGGGAAAAGCTGCTGCCACTATGAGATACACTTAAAAAAAAAAATAGAAAAATAAAAAGAGAGAAAAAGTAACATCCAAGCCAGCCTTCCATTCCCAAAATAAATTGTCATTAATCTGAAAATTAGTAAATCAAGAATGTTTACATTAGAAAGTCCAAAAGCACTATATCCTGAAAACCACCAAAAAAGGTGAATGACTGCTGAATGACGGGTTTCGTCATTTTTTTTTTTTTTTTTTGAGATGGAGTTTTGCTCCTGTTGCCCAGGCTAGAGCGCAGTGGTGCAATCTCGGTTCACTGCAACCTCCACCTCCCAGTTTCAAGCGATTCTCCTGCCTCAGCCTCCTGAGTAGTTGGGATTACAGGCGCGCGCCACCATACCCAGATAATTTTTTTTTTAATATATTTTTGGTAGAGAGGGGGTTTCATTCATGTTGGCCAGGCTGGTCCCGAACTCCTGACCTCAGGTGATCCACCTGCCTTGGCCTCCCAAAGTGCAAGGATTACCGACGTTAGCCACCACCCTCAGCCCACTTTTTTTTTTTTTTAAGAGACAGAGTCATGCTGTGTTGCCCAGACTGGTCAGAGTCATGCTGTGTTGCCCAGACTGGTCTCAAACTCCTAGCCTCAAGCAATCCTCCCACCTCAACCTCCCAAGTAGCTGGAACTACAGGCGCAAGCCACCACTGGGCTTGATCCCATTTTTGTAAAAAATAACTCTCGGCCAAGTGCAGTGGCTCATGTCTGTAACCCTAACACTTTGGGAGGCTAAGGTGGGAGGATCGCTTGAGCCCGGGAGGTCGAGGCTGCAGAGCCATGACGGCACCAGTGCACTCCAGCCTGAGATACAGAGTGAGATCTTAAAAAAACAAAACAAAAAAAAAAAAAAAACTGCAACACAAAGAATAAGCCCTATGTAAACTATAGACCAATAAATAACAACATATTGATATGGGCTCATCAAATGCAATAAATGTGCCAAATTAATGCAAGATGTTTGCAATAGGAGAAACGAGGGAAGGGAAGGGAATATGGGAACTTTCTGTGCTATCGGCTCAAATTTCTGTACATCTAAAGCTGCTAAAAAAAAGTGTAATTTTTAAATTCTGAATATGCAGACAAATCTGCAAATAATTACTTGTATATGCACACAAAGAGAGGTGAAAAGACCTATATCAAACTGTTGCCCCTGGTTATCTACAAAGGATGAAAACTGGAAACTAGCGCATGAGAAGGAATTTTTTTACATTATACAGTTGGCCCTCCATATCCATGGGCTCTTATGTCTGTGGATTCAACCAAGCTTGGATCCAAAAAGTTTAATATAGCATCTGTATTTGAAACATGCAGACTTTTTTTTCTTGTCTTTATTCCCCAAACAATACAGTATAACAACTATTTACATAGCATTTATATTCTATTAGGTATTATAAGTAATCTAGAAATGATATAAAGTATTTGGGAGGATATGCACAGGTTATATGCAAATACTATGCCATTTATATCAGAGATTTGAGCATCTGTGCATCTTGATATTCACCAAAGGTCCTAGAAGCAGTCCCTACAGACACCAAGGGATGACAGTATATCTCTGGACTGTCTAAACTTTCTACACTGAGCAATAATGTAAGTAGAGGCTCTGTAGCATATTGTTAAGAATTTGGGTTTCTCAAATCAGACTGCATGAAATCAAATCCTAGCTCCACCATTTGCTAGCTGATAAACTTCCAACAGTTACTTAATTTTTCTCCTTGCCTTAGTTTCCTCACCTGTAAAACAGAAATCATAGTATACACTCACAGAGCTGCCACAGCAATTAAATAATTTCATACACGTAAAGTAGTGGAAATTGTCTAGTACATAGTAAGTGCTCAATAAATGTTAACCAGCATCTTCATTACCAAGCATTTATTATTCCTGGATTTTCTTTTTAAATCTTGACTGGTAAGACTAATCATGAAAACCCGGTTCATAAGCCCCTTTCTAGAAAGACCTCCAATGCAGAAAATACAAAAGCAATCAAAATCCAAATACAAATAATGAAATACTTCTTAAAAAAGCAGATTACAGGGCTGGGCACGGTTGCTCACACCTGTAATCCCAGCACTTTGAGGGGTGAGGCAGGTGGATCACATGAGGAGTTCGAGACCAGCCTGGCCAACATGGTGAAACCCCGTCTCTACTAAAAATACAAAAAAAAAATTGGCCGGGCTTGGTGGCGCACACCTGTAATCCCAGCTACTAGGGAGGCTGAGGCAGGAGAATTGCTTGAACCCAGGAGGCAGAGGTTGCAGTGAGCCAAGATCGTGCCATTGCACTCCAGCCTGGGCAACAAGAACGAAACTCCGTCTCAAAAAACAAAATGAACAAAAAAAAAAAAAAGCAGATTACAAACCAACATTTATCAATTTGAGTTCATTTATATAAAAAATAATCACCAACAAATTCTATAATCACAGAAAAAAAGCCCCAAGTGGTGTACTTGTAAATAACTTTTACTTTCTCCTTTACAATTTTCTGACTCATTTAAATTTTCAACATTGACTATGTATCATTTTTAATGGAGCTCGGCAAACTTTTTATATTAAGGTCCACATAGTAAATAAATATAAGGTGTTACAGGCCACATGGCTCTCTGGCACAACTACTCAACTCTGCTGCTGTACCCCAAAAGAAACTACAGACAATACCTAAACGACTGCATATGGCTATGTTCTAATAAAAACTTTTTTCTTCCTCTTTTTTTTAAGACGGAGTTTCGCTCTTGTTGTCCAGACTGGAGTGCAATGGTGCAATCTTGGCTCACTGCAACCTCTACCTCCCGGGTTTAAACGATTCTCCTGCCTCAGCCTCCCGGGCAGCTGGGATAACAAGAGTGCGCCACCACACCCGGCTAATTTTTGTAGTTTTAATAGGGACGGGGTTTCACCATGTTGGCCAAGCTGGTCTCAAACTCCTGATCTCAGGTTATCTGCCCGCCTCGACCTCCCAAAGTGCTGGGATTACCAGCGTGAGCGATCGCACCAGGCCTAATCAAATCTTTATTTACAAAAAGAGGCAACTGGCAGGACTGGGCCTGCAGGCTTTAAAATCTGTCAATCCCTGAAATAAAGAATAAAACAAAATTATTTTCATTTTAGGAAACAAAATGTGATTTATACTAAAAAAAAAAAGTGCACCAGCTAAATTGATACTATTGATAGAAAAAACCATTTATTTATAAATTCATACAAGGAGCCTAGGGATAGAAAAAAAAAACAAACTCTCTTTTAGGCTCTGGAAATCCTACTCCCATTCCTAGTGTCAAGTGAAAAGAGGAAATCTGCTAAGCAGACCAAAGTCTAGATAGGAACGTATACTGGAGGACAGACAGTTACAATCAGAAGTTAAAAGAAATATGCCTTTCACATTTAATTTGCAATTTTTTCAAATTTCATAATTCACCAACAAGCAGCTGCCACATGTGTGGAAATCTTTACTGATGAAATAATTTTAGTTGCAGATCATCACAATCAACACTCTGACAACAAATTTATCAGAACGGATGAAAACATCTAGGAATTACCTAAGAGTCGTTTAAGGAGACATAAGGGTGGCCTTTGATAAGAGGTCACTTCAAACTTTCAGAACTGACAAGACGTATAGCCTCCCCCCAAAAAATAATGCTATGGGTAGATGGATGCTTTTTTCTGAAGGAATTTTTAGCATTTCATTTGGAAAAGTTCTGTGATCAAATAATGCTAAATGTTATGACAGCTTTCTTGGCGTTTAAAGGGATTCTCTGGGTGAGGGGAAGGGGTGATAAAAAAAAAAAAAGTCTGCTTTTGGAACAGAAATGGGGGACAATAACCAAGGCTCAGAAACCCAGAGTCAAAAAATTAAAAGAACATCTTATTTTAAAAAAAAAGTCAACAACCTGCAATGAAGTCACCGTACCCCCATAAAATCCCAACTGTGCATTTAAATCTTTCTACCAAAATTCACTTTTGGACCATCTTATGAAGTTGTCAAAATTTCAGAGGCAAACGCTTAAATCAAGATCAAAAGCCAGGAGGAAAAAAGAGCTAACAGTTTCCAACCCAAACTCTCTCCGAGCCCCCTAAAAACTGATTTATAACCCTGTCATCGGTAATTTTAGAAGAAGCGAACACTGACGGACGGGGGCTTGGGAAAACAGGACTCCAGGTACCAAGCAGGCTGCCTGACGCGCCACCTGAAAAAGGTGAGGGAACTCTTCCCCACCCCAGTCACTGTGAAAGTAGCGCTGAGAGAGCCCATCCCAAGCCTCCACCAAACAAATTCCTAGAAGTGATAAAAACAGACAAGAGACGAAGAGGGGCGGGCAGATCCTCTCCGCGGGCAGGGAGCTGGAGCAACTGCACCCGAAGGTGAGCAGAGGGCAGCAGGCTCCGACCCTCCGCCGCGAAAGGCGAGGCGAGGGGAACAGCGGGCGCCGGACTCCTCCGACAGCGGTCGCAAGGAGGGCGGCTCCAGGTCCCCACACGGCCGACCCTCAGGCCAAGGCGCGCCGGGCGGCAGGTCAGAGTTAGGAATCAAGTTGCGGGCCGGGCCGAGAGCGCGCTCTCCCGCCCGCGCCAGGGACATTCGCCCCTCAGCTCTCACCTCCCCCCGACCCCAAGCTCTCCCTCTGCGCCCAGGAAACGGCGCCCACACTCCAGAGACCCTCACCCGGAGCCCGTCGCCGCCTCACCGCGTGTCTCGGACTTCTTGGGAGCCACCGCTGAGGGGAGGGGGGAGGAGGGGGGAACGGAGGAGGGAGGGGGCCAAGCCCGGTGTAGCCGCCGCCGCTGCCGCCGCCGCGATGCCGCTTCTGGAATCGCGCTCTCGCCGCCGCGACAGCGACCGCCGCCGCCGCGTCTCCCCGCCCCCACGACCGCACGTCGCCGTGACGCGCATCGCACGAGGCGGTTCGAGCCAATAAGACCACACGCCGTGCGCAGCCGCGCTGTCCTAAACCGGAAGCCGCCCCTCTGACCGCTCTAAAACCTGGGTGCATCGTGGGAGCTGTGGTTCGGCCAGGAACTTAGCGAAAACTATACTGGGTGTTGAGGGCCGGAGGAGCGTGCGCTCCTTAGGCGCTCACACAACTCCTCGGAGTTTTTTCTCCCACCGAAAAAGGAAGCAATTTGGAGCTGAGGAGGAGGGGGCCGCCCCGGCTCGCGGATGCTTTTCGCAGTCTCTATGGATACTGGCTACACACTTTGGGCAAGAGCCAGAATTTGAGGATTTAGGCTGGATCGTGTGTCTCTGCCAAGGGCTGATAGGATGCTGAGCGTCGTCTGTGAAGACTGCGGAAAGAAATCCAAAAGCATTAGCCCAGTTTTGCCCAGAGCAATAGTGTTTGCCTTTTATTACCTTATTAAAGATTATGATTTATGCTCTACCACTTCTATTTTTTTTAAAACCCAGTCACTCTTAAAATACATATAATTCAGAGCGATTTTTAAAATGATGTTAATGTAATGGTATATCAGAACCTACTTAAGCACTAAATACCTGCGTCCATTTACCCAGAATGAGTAAGTAATTTTCCACAAGTCATCTTTACGTTGAGTTCTAACTTCTTAGAAGCCAAGAACAGATTTGGTTACGTACTTATTCTATAAGAAAAGTGAATATAAGAGTTAGTCTGCGTAGAAAAATAGTTCTTTACATTCAGTAGGAGGGGGAATTTATCACATTCTTAAGGCGTAAATGCCTTAACTATCAAAATTCTTGTTATTGACTAAAGGAAATCCATACGATTTAGGGAAAGTCTGTGCCCACGGCTTACTGTCCTTACCTTTGGACCACAGCAAGAGATAACAAAGGGTGCAGGGAAAAGCTGACAGGTCTTGAGGGAGCTGGAGTCGGATATATGACGAAAAAAACAAAAATACAGAAGTCTTCATTATGGAAATGTAAGTTTTAAAAAGTAAAGCTACTAAAATCACAAAGAACATGATTAAGATGGCAATAATACAGAACTAAGGCCCACTCATTTAAGCTTGAAAGAGATAAAACTAGTAGAAATTAAAATTAGGAAATAAATGTTAAAGGAACTAATTTCCTCCAAGGAGTGGTTTACATTGAAAATATAATTTTTTTAAGTTTACATAATTTGTGAAAGACATAATAATAATGACTTCTATGTTCCCAGGTAAAGATGTAAAGCTTTTGAGGTTGAAATCAAGGAAGACAATTGTACACCTCCTCAGCACATCAGAAACAATACAGGCATTTCTGGATTGTGAATTTGACCCGTTATACCAACTCACATAGAACAGAGATAAGAAGTATAAGATTCTTAGGCTTAATAAAGAGTCTACTAAAGGTGACAGAACTAGAGCGAAAAAGATAATTTTCTTAAAAAGAGATTCTTCAAAGATCTCCAATCTTTCCTGCATCCCTTTCTCTTAAAGACTGGTTTCCAGGCCAAGCGTGGTGGCTCACACCTGTAATCCTAGCACTTTGGGAGGCCGAGATGGGCAGATCACTTGAGGTCAGGAGTTCAAAACCAGCCTGGCCAACATGGCGAAACCCCGTCTCTACAAAAATACAAAAAATTAGCCAAGCATGGTCGCGCGTGCCTGTAATCCCAGGTACTCTGGAGGCTGAGGCAGGAGAATCACTTGAACCTGAGAGGCAGAGGTTGCAGTGAGCTGAGACCGTGCCACTGCACTCCAGCCTGTGTGACAGAGCAAGACTCTGTCTCAAAAAAAAAAAAAAAAAAGATTCTGGTTTGACAAAACGAAGGGCTTTAAGAAGCTACCTCTGGAACAGTTCACCGTGTGCTGAACCAGATGAAAGACAGACTTACCATTTCCCTAAAGTTTCACATCTTGTTCTCGGTTACCTTGATCCCATTCACATATCACTACTGCCAGTTCCTGATGCTTATATAGTGATGAAACAAACCACATCATTTCCTCAAAATACCCACACCTCCTTAACTATTGAGGATGTTGCCACTGTCCCTGACCTGAGCACCTGAGGAACATTCCCCTGATCCCCACATCCATAAGGCTGGCTTCACCCTTAACCCTTATCTAAATGTCACCATTAAATATTCCAAAGCAGAATTTTCAGGCCCTCTCCCTGACCATACTTCAGTTACTAAACTTTATATATTGTCTTCTGATTAGCTGTCCAAAAAACAAGAAAAACTCAGTAAAATTCTCTAACCTCCAGCATCAGCTGCGTATCTTAGAATTTCTGTTCTCTCCATTCTTGGGGTATCACACTACTCCACAGGAGGGTAGAGCCCTTTATCTTCTGCAGCACCAAAAAAAGATTCCCTTCCACCCCTATCCCACATGCCAGTCACCAGTGACCCAACAGTACCCTGTGGCTCAACTAGTCTGATGTAGTCATCTCTGCAATTATCAGATGTTATTGAAAAGGATGGCGCATCACTAGGTGAGTCACATCCATAATCCAGTTGTGGCTCCAGTGACACTATAGTATATTGCTGACATGATGGACAGAGTTAAACTCCATTGTGATATCCAAGGCAATAGCCAATGAGATTCGCATATGTATCTAAGGCATGGTAGTGCGCACCTGTAGTCCCAGCTACTCCAGAGGCCAAGGCTGGAGGATCACTGGGCTCAGGAGTTCCAGGCTGCAGTGAGCTATGATGGCACCACTGCACTCCAGCCTGGGCAACAGAGTGAGACCCCATCTCTAAAAAAAAAAAAAAAAAGAAGAAGAAGAATATGTATCTAAAGCTAAAAGCAAATGAACGTTCAGCTTTAAATTTTTTTTTTTTTTCATAAAAAGAGAGTCTCACTATGTTGCCCAGGCTGGTCTCAAACTCCTGGGCTCAAGCAATCCTCCTACCTCCCAAAGTGCTGGGATTATAGGTGTGAGCCATTGTACCGAGCCAACTTTCAAATTCTGAAAGAAAAAATACCCTAGATCCCAGTGCAAATTTAAACTTGAGTTTGAAACTGGTTTATATTGCTTCTCTTATAGAGAAAAGACAAGCTATCATTTTTCTTATCAGAATCGTATCTATTTTTAAGAAGGAAAAAAGACAAATTACTTCGCCAGTGAAAACCAGAATTAGAGTGTTCTTTCAGAGACCTGTGTCTGTGAGTTTAAAAAAAAAAAATTACAAAGGGAAATTAACAGCTTCGTTATTACAAAATACTTAATTCTAGCCTAAACTCTTCTTTTCAGCTCCAATATTTATCAGCTTTCAAAATATAAACATTAGAACTGAGGGGGAAATCTGGACAACATAGAAGATACACCATAAAAAAGATAAATCAAAAGAAAGGGCAAGGAATGTCGTCACATCAGTCCCTCTGGTTGTCTCATATAGTGTCCATAGAACAGTGAAATCCAGCCAGCTATTTAGGATTCAGTGGTGTTAGATGCTTTGCAAATAGTCTAGTAATCTACTTGAGAAAATTAGAGGGAAATACATAAATATCTGTATTCCATCTTAATTGCAATTAAACGAATCACTGATATCAAATTGTTATGTTGTTTAAAACTACATTAATCAGGGCCGGGCGCCATGGCTCACACCTGTAATCCCAGCACTTTGGGAGGCCGAGGCGGGCGGATCATGAGGTCAGGAGATCGAGACCATCCTGGCTAACACAGTGAAACCCCATCTCTACTAAAAATACAAAAAAATTAGCCAGGCGTGGTGGCAGGCGCCTGTAGTCCCAGCTACTTGGGAGGCTGAGGCAGGAGAATGGTGTGAACCCGGGAGGCGGAGCTTGCAGTGAGCAGAGATGGCGCCACTGCACTCCAGCCTGGGCGACAGAGTGAGACTCCGTCTCCAAAAAAAAAAAAAAAAAACAAAACAAAACAAAAAAAAAAACTGAAGAGAAAGACCAGTATAAACACTCCAATAATTACATAAATTACATTCGCAGCTCCTCAAACGCAGATTAGATAACATAGTCCTGCAGATTGAACTTAAGATAGAACATCATTACTGGCTGTGCTGCTGACAAAGGCATTGTTTATCTATGGCTTATGCATTAGCTCTTGTTAAGCTTTGATACCTTCATCAATAAAATGAAGATGTCGGTGAATACATGTTTTAGATGGACAGAAAGGATAAATACAACTTTAGGAATGTACTTGCCGGTGGGAAGGGGTGAAGAATAAGCCTGGGAGCTATGGAGAGATCATCTTTATCTGTAATATTTCATTTCTTCTATATGAAAAAGATGAAGCAAGTAACAAAACATTTAACATTTATGAATCCTAGGTGGTATGTACATGGACATATATTAGAGGCTTCTCTGAACTTTTTTAGTAGTTGAGAAAAACAACTTTATTGAAGTATATTTTATATAAAATGCACCCTCTTTTTAAGTGTACAGTTCAAATGAGGTTTGAAAAATGTATACTCCCGTGGAAGCATAACCTCAGTCAAAATATACAACATCTCCAACACCCCCCGCAATCCCCCTGTGCCTATTTGGAGTCAGTATTTCCTCTCCCAAGCCTGGCTCCAAGCAACCACTGATATTCTTTCTGCCACTATAGAATGCTTTTGCCTCTTCTAGAATTTCCCATTAATGGAATCGTGCGATATGTACTCTTTTGCTCTGTCGACTTTCTCTCAGCATGGGGTTTTTGAGTTTCATTCATGCTATTGCATTCATCATAGTTCGTCACTTTCCGTTGCTAGGTAGTATTCCATTTGTTTATCCATTCACCTATTGATGAATGATTGGGTAATTTCTTGTTTTTGTTGTTGTTGTTTTGTGAGACAGGGTCTCACTCTGTCACCCAGGATGGAGCGCAGTGATGCAGTCGTACCTCACTGCAGCCTTGATCTCCTGAGCACAAACAATCCTCCTATATCAGCCTCCCAAGTAGCAGGGACTACAGGCATGTGCCACCATGCCTCGCTAATTTTATTATTTTTTGTAAAGACAGGGTCTTGCTAAATTGCCCAGGCTGTCCTCAAACTCTTGGCCTCAAGCGATCCTCCCATGTTGGCCTCCGAAAGTGCTGGGATTACAAATGTGAGCCACTGTGCCCAACGTCTAGTCCCTGATTGTTATAAATAAAGGTATTGTGAACATTTATGTACAAATCTTTAGAGGACATGTGTTTTCATTTACTTTTGATAAGGGGGTGAATTAGCAAAATCATATAAATTTATGTTTAACTTTATGAGAAACTGCCAAATTGTTTCCCCATTTTACACCCTCACCAGCAATATATGAGATTTCCAGTTGTTCCACATCCTTGCTAACCCTTAGTATTGTCAAATTTTTTATTTTAGCTATTCTAGTGGGTATGTCAGTGTTATCTCATTGTGGTTTTAATTTGCCTTTTTCTGATTGTTAATGATGTTGAGACTTTTCATGTGTTTATTGGCCTTTCTTATATTTTCTTTTGTGATGTGTCTGTTCAAACTTTTTACCTATTTTTTAAAATGGGCTGTTTTCCCTCTTATTATTGAGCCATAAGTGTTCTTTTTTTTTTTTTTTTTTTTGAGACAGAGTCTCACTTTTTCACCCAAGCTGGAGTGCAGTGGTGCAATCTCTCCTCACCGCAACCTCCGCTTCCTGGGTTCAAGCAATTCTTATACCTCAGCCTCCCAAATAGCTGGAATCGCAGGTGTGTGCCACCACACCAGGCTAATTTTTGTATTTTTAGTAGAGACAGGGTTTCACCATGTTGACCATGCTGGTCTCGAACTTCTGACCTCAAGCGATCTGCCTGCCTCGGCCTCCCAAAGTGCTTGGATTACAGACGTGAGTCACCATGCCTGGCCATCAGTGTTCTTTATATATCTTTAGATACAAGTATTTTGCCAAAGTAAAAGGCAAGCAAAAAATTCTTTTAAGAATGCCAGGATTACATAATATTTCAAAGTTATAAAGGGTTGTTTCCATTTAATCTCTCCTTTGCTGTGAGAATGAAAATAGAAACACAAAGTTTTCATTACCTTAAAAATAGAGAGTAATAAAGATGCGTATTAGAAGCTACAACTACGGAACAACAGGAAATACAGGTGAAAACAATAAAGAAAAATGTCATTTCTTAAGTAATTTAGAAGCACCCAGTAATTAAAAATCTGTCATCTTTTTATTAAGAAAAAATTCAAGACAGCATCTGTTCTACTCAGTGACTGCTTATGCGCTCACCCACACACACAGAACTGTAAGCCAAAAAAAGAGCATTTTATTTGTTGTGCTAAAATTTTAAATCCATAATCTAAAGAGGTTTATTAACCTTGCAATATCTCAATGATGTATAGCTAAACTCAGAACTCAGGACCAGGTTTAGTCAGGATAGTTTGATATAAATACTTTCATCAAGTTATACAGGATGAATCCCTGAGCCCTTGAGGTCACAATCTGGTGAAGTGACAATTTGCAGAAATAAGTTGCAAGGACTGGCAGGCATTTACGGTGGAGGAAGAAGAACTGATCTGGAATTGAATTCCAATGATTGTGACTAAATAATCACTGAGGTAGGGGTTGAGATTGTTCTCATAACTTTGTTTCTCAAAATTTTTTTTTCCTTTTCTTTTGGTTTAGATTAGAAGCAAAAGCAAAACTGGGTAGGAAAAGCAGGCTATAGCAAAAATAAAATTCTTAATGAAAAATCCAGACTATCAAAAGTCTTACTCCTTCCCCTCAAACTTTCTCTAATAATCTCATATGCCTTGGATGTCGTCAGCCAAGTCTAGCCACACCTGAGGTATTGCGGGCAGGCCCAAGACAAGCGTAAAACAAAAGAGGATAGGGGAGAAAGAGGAAAACAGAAAAAGAGTAAAAGAGCTCAAAGAAATGCTGCTAGAGATGCAACATAAGTGCTGTCAGTTGCCCATCTAGGAAAGCAAGCCGAACACTTTTAAAAGAGAATTGGGGCCAGGCACAGTGGCTCACTTTGAGAGGCAGAGGCGGGCGGATCACTTAAGGTCAGGAGTTTGAGACCAGCCTGGCCAACATGTCGAAACCCTGTCTCTAATAAAAATACAAAAATTAGCCAAGCATGGTGGCACACACCTATAATCCCAGCTACTCCGTGGCTGAGGCACAAGAATTGCTTGAAACCAGGAGGCTAAGGCTGCAGTGAGTTGAGTTCCCACCACTGTACTCCAGCCTGGGCAACAGAACCAGACTCTGTCTCAGAAAAAAGAAAAGAAAAGAAAAGATAATTGGCCAGGCATGGTGGCTCACACCTGTCATTCCAGCACTTTGGAAGGCCAAGGCAGGAGGATCACTTGAGCCCAGGAGTTCAAGACCAGCCTGGGCAGCATAGTGAGACTCCATCTCTACAGAAATTAAAATAAAAAGCCAGGCATGGTGGCTGGCACACACCTGTAGTCCCAGCTACTCAGGAGGCTGAGGTGGGAGGATCACTTGAGCCCAGAAGATCGATACTACATTGAGCTATGATCATGCCACTGCACTCCAGCCTGGGTGACAGAGGGTGACTCTGTCTCTTAAAAAAAAAAATGAGCCAGGCGCAGTGGCTCATGCATGTAATCCCAGCACTTTGGGAGGCCAAGGTGGACAGATCACAAGATCAGGAGATGAAGACCATCCTGGCCAACATGGTGAAACCTTGTCTCTACTAAACAATACAAAAAATTAGCCAGGCATGGTGGTGCACCTGTAGTCCCAGCTACTCCGGAGGCTGAGGCAGGGGAATTGCTTGAACCTGGGAGGCAGAAGTTGCAGTCAGCCGAGATTGCGCCATTGCTCTCTAGCCTGGGCAACAGAGCGAGACTCCATCTCAAAAACAAACAAACAACAAACAAACAAAAACCCAACATTGCTCTTCCTTCTTCCCAAGCAAATGAAGAAAATAGGTGTGAGATTCTCAAAAGTCAACATCTAGAGAGCTTATTAAGAATGTTAATTCCAGCTGGGCACGGTGGCTCACACCTGTAATCCCAGCACTTTGGGAGGCTGAGGCAGGAGGATCACTTGAGTCCAGGAGTTCGAGACCAGCCTGAGCAACATAGTGAGACCCTTTTAAAAATAACCAGTGTGAGCACACCTGTAGTCCCAGCTACTTGGAAGGCTGAGGTTGGAGGTTTGCTTGAGCCCAGGAGATTGAGGCTGCAGTGAGCCATGATCAAGCCACTGCACTCCAGCCTGAGCAACAGAGCAAGATCCTGTATTTAAAAAAAAAAAAAAAAAAAAAAAAAAGGCAATTCCCAGATATTATCCCAGAGATTCTGGTAGGCCCCAAAAGTCAGATTTTTTTTTTCCAGTCAGATTCCAAAGATTCTGATTCGTGGGCTCCATGCAGGCCTGGCTTCCTAGGTGGATGACCTATGCAGTTAGTTGCTCGGGGCCCTGTACTCGAAAGTGCCCTATGCTTGGGTTTTGTTTTTTGTGTTTTTTTTTTGAGACCACATTTCGCTCTTCTTGCCCAGGCTGTCATGCAATGGTGCGATCTCACCTCACTGCAACCTCTGCCTCTGAGGTTCAAGCGATTCTCCTGCCTCAGCCTCCCAAGTAGCTGGTATTACAAGTATGCACCACCACACCCAGCTAATTTTTTGTATTCTTAGTAGAGATGGGGTTTCACCATGTTGGCCAGGCTGGTCTTGAACTCCTGACCTCAGGTGATCTGCCCACCTCGGCCTCCCAAAGTGCTGGGATTACAGGCATGAGCCACCGCGCCTGGCCCCTATTCTTGGTTTGATGCTCTGTTGTTACTGTCTTGAAATTTTTAATAACTTTTGAATAAGAGACCCTTCATTTTCCCTTTGCACTGGGCACTGCAATTTATGTACTGCAATGGGAGTTAGACCTTAGACTTCAGTCTTTTACTGCGGAAAATATTCAGACAATTACCTACATATCTATTGGATTTTAAGCCTGATACACAGCATCTGAATTAATTCAATTTATACAATTTCTACTTGGCACTTTGGAATCAGGGGATCCTTGAATGAGCTTTTTCCAGAGGGAGAGCCCAGACAGAGAAGTACCTGTTGTTACAGGAAGCAAATTCCTGGGGGCAGTGGCTTCAGGAACTGGCAGTTATTTGTGCAAGGAAGGGATAAAGAAAAAAAGTAGAGACCCCAAAAATAATACATGAAAAAAACATCATTCTCAGGCATTTGAGGAGAGGCAAAATTGACCCAACAAAGGTGATCAGATAGCCCTGAAACTCAATTATCTGAAAACTTTGGTCATTAAAAGCTAGAAAAAGTCAAAGACCTTTGGAATAAATTCTAAGCTGATTTACTTTGCCTAACCCTTTCAGCTGGGGAGGTCAGTAGGTGGAGATGGAGATACAGGACATGTCTCTTAAGACTGCCAGAGTGTTTTGTGGCAGAACTAGGAGAGACGAGCTTTAGGTCAGCTAATAAAAGTTCCCATTTCCCCACTTGCTGTCTATCATGGTAGAGCATCAACAACACACATTCCATGGGGAAAAAACAAACCGTGGCAAACAGCCAGTTCCATCCAAGGCTAAAAAATAGAATCAGAATATATTTCAGCTAAATCTAAAAAACAAATTGCTCTTGCCACTGTGCTTCAACTGGAATATATTCCTCTCAGTGGTTGAGTCAGACTGTCGAACCTTCAGAGCCTGGCTGGCCATAAACTAGAACAGGAAGGGAAGGGCGGTATCAGCTTTTCCTAGAATGACCAGCTGGGTAACATTTATTGTGGCCGTCCATTGTCATGCTCCTTTTTTTTTTTTTAATCTTTTATTCCTAAGTAACTTTGGCTGTTGTTACTCACTCTTAAGTGGCTTCAGGAAGGCAGAAGTCATCATGGTTTTCACCATCATTACCATCAATGCCATACCCATGTAATTATTATAATAACAATAGCTGATATATGTATAGAATATTTACTATGTGCTGAGCATTTTTTGAGTAATTTATATACGTTAACTCATGTAATCCTCACCACAACGCCATGACATAAATACTATTGTTATCGCCATTTTACAGATGAGGAAACTGAGGCACAGGGGGTTAAATGACTTGTTTAAGGTCACACAGCTATTACATAGCAGAGCCAGGATTCAAATACAGGGAGTGTGACTGTAATGCCCAAGCACATAGTCACTAGTCTACGTAACAAAGGCCACTATTCTGGAAGCTGAATGAAGCAAGGCAAACAGTTGCTCTGAACCTTTTTTGGGTTATAGGCTCCTTTGAGCATCTATACCCTCAGAAAAATAACTATATACACCAAATATTTACAGATTCACAGAGGACTGCCCCTGCTCCTCCGAGACCATACATTTACATTTATGACTTTATTCCTGGTTAAGAATGCCTACTACAGCCACTAGTTGTTTAAAATTGTAAAACAACTACCAAAGACAAAAAGATCTTTAAGTCTAATGATGAGGCCGGGCAAGGTGGCTCATGCCTGTAATCCCAACACTTTGGGAAGACGAGGTGGGAAGATTGCCTGAACCTAGGAGTTCAGTACCAGCCTGGGCAAATGGTAAGGCCCTTGTCTCTACAAAAAAAAATTTTTTTTAACTAGCCAGGTGTAGTGGTGCATACCTGTAGTCCGACCTACTCAGGAGGCTGAAGTGGGAGCATTGCTTGAGCCCAGGAGTTCCAGGCTTCAGTCAGCTATGATTGCACCACTGCACTCCAGTCTGGCCAACAGAAAAAGACCCTGTCTCTAAAATAAAATTTGAAAATTTAAATCTAATAACTCTGTGAAGTGTGGACTCAGGGCACTAATAACCCTGTAAGCCCTACATAGTACCATGTCATCAAAATCCAAGAACTGACTTTTTTTGAGACGGAGTCTTACTCTGTCGCCCAGGCTAGAGTGCAGTGGCACAATTCCAGCTCACTGCAACCTCCGCCTCCCCCGTTCAAGCAATTCTCCTGCCTCAGCCTCCCGAGTAGCTGGGATTACAGGCGTGCACCACCATGCCCAGCTAATTTTGCATTTTTAGTAGAGACAGGGTTTCACCATGTTAGCCAGGCTAATCTCGAACTCTCGACCTCAGGTGATCCACCCACCTTGGCCTCCCAAAGTGCTGGGATTACAGGAGTGAGTCACCGCGCCCGGCCAGAACTGACTATTTTAAAAAAAACAAACTTTAAAGATTTTTATCAACTGCCAAATTATTTCAAAATTGAAGAATAAACCACTATAACTTCCAGCATATAACACAGTGCCTGGCCCACACTGAGTGCTCAATAATTGTTAATAGAAGGAAGGAAAGGGGAAAAAGGGAGCCAAGTGTATCTGAATGCTTTTTATTAGTACGCTCAATGTAATTTCAATATATCATTCAAGTTTTAAATATATATGTAATAAATTATATATAACATATATAATAAATTATATATAACATATACAATAACTCCATTTCTTCACAATCACATTTTGATTACCCATCCTCAGAATCAAGCAATTCAAGTTCTTCTCCAAATAACTTCTTGGCTTCATAGTGCTATTGCTTTCCATTCAGCAATTAAACGCTAAAAAAAAATTAAATCTCTAGAAAGCTGATGCTCATTTACATTTAGCTAATTGACAAGTTATGATACAATCCACAACAATTTGGGAAAGGGGAATTCACATACAGGATATATATGAAAACGACCTTGGAACATACTAGAGCAATGGGAAAACAAATGCAAACCAAGTTATCTGGGTTGTCACCATGCTAACTAGATATAAAACCCAGGCTGGGTGCGGTGGCTCATGCCTATAATCCCAGCACTTTGGGAGGCCAAGGCAGGCAGATCACAAGGTAAGGAGTTTGAGACCAGCCTGACCACCATGGTGAAACCCGGTCTCTACTAAAAATACAAAAAGTAGCTGGGCGAGGTGGTGCATGCCTGTAATCCCAGTTACTCAGGAGGCTGAGGCAGGAGAATTGTTTCAACCCGGGAGGCGGAGGTTGCGGTGAGCCGAGATGGCGCCACTGCACTCCAGCCTGGGCAACAGACCAAGACTCTGTCTCAAAAAAAAAAAAAAAAAAAAAAAGATATATAACCCAATAGAAATAGGTGATGATTAAATTGTCCTGCTAAGAAATTTGAAGATTGAAAGTCCAGAGCAATGATTTTAGAAGATCTTATTAAGGGTAGAAGCAAATAACGGGAGACCACTTAAAACTCTTTGAGCTGATGCTAAAAACGGTTGTTTATACTCTGTAGAGCTACAGATCTATCTGTTTTACTCTACTTTCTCTATTTTAATACTGTTTTTCAAATTGCACTGACGCATGCTTTTTCAAGTCTGGGTTCAGATCAAAGGAGGGCTCTGGATGGCTCCATAGGCCAATTAGCCGACATTTTATAAACAGCATGTGACTTCATTAGAAGACACCAGCAAGTCTCTAAGAGTTCATAATGCTATTCCGCTGGGAAGTGACTTACTCTAGAGAATGCTGTCATATGTCTGTATTGGCATCTCCTCTTGTCCCCAATTTGGTTAATAACTACAATTATGCTTTGGTCATTTCAACAGCTCTGAGCCTTTGTCAGACCTTATCCCTATTCTGTGCCTTCATGCCTCCCTGGACTACTCCAATATGTTCCTAATTGGTCTCCCTGTCGTCAATCTCAACATCCTCCAATCCACTCCATCTACTGCTGCCAAGACCCACTTTCAAAATGAGTTAAGTTCAAAAACTTTCAAAAGCTCTCAAAGTCCGAATTCCTTTAAGCTGAAATCCAAGGCTCTCCACAATCTGGCCCTAACTTAATATTTCAGAAATTCACTCACATTATTATTACATGTACCACGTACCAAGCTCCTGCCAAACCAACTATTTACCATTCCCAAAATATATTCTTCACTTTCTGCCTCTCTCTCCTTCCTTGGAAATCCTTTGCTTCCTACTAGCCTATTACGAAGTCCTTCCTCACACAGCAACTAAAATGGGCTCTTTTTTTTTTTTGAGAGAGAGTCTCGCTCTGTTGCCCATGCTGGAGTGCAGTGGCACGACTGAAATGGGCTCTCTGTCTGCAATTTTACTCATCCTATTAAATGTTAATTAATAATTTTTATGGTATGTGTATTTTACCATAATAAAAAATGGCTTAATGAAAACATAGAGTTAATTAATAGATCTCAAGTTTAACAAATGGGCAGACCAGATAATCTGAAAATTATCCTGCTACAAACACCTACAACTGCTGAGTAAACTCAATAAGGCTTCTTTTAAATACAAAGCCAGGGCCGGGCGGGGTGGTGCACACCTGTAATCCCAGCACTTTGGGAGGCCAAGGCGGGCAGATCACGAGGTCAGGAGTTTAAGACTAGCCTGGCCAACATGGTGAAACCCCATCTCTACTAAAAATACAAAAATTAGCCAGGTGTGGTGGTGGGCACCTGTAATCCCAGCTACTTGGGAGGCTGAGGCAAGAGAAACGCTTGAACCCGGGAGCGGGGGGTTGCAGTGAGCCGAGATCGCACCACTGCACTCCAGCCTGGGCGACAGAGTGAGACTCCATCTCAGGGGGAAAAAAAAGCCAGGTTGGGTGCAGTAGCTCCTGCCTGTAATCCCAGCACACTTTGGGAGCCCAAGGCAGGAGGATCACTTGAAGCCAGGAGTTCGAGACCAACCTAGACAACATAGCAAGACCCCCATCTCTACAAAACAAGCATGGTGGCATGTACCCGTAGGCCTAGCTCCTTGGGAGACTTAGGTGGGAGGATCTCTTGAACCCAGTAGCTTGAGGTTGCAGTGAGCTATGGATATGCCACTACACTCCAGCCTGGGTGACAGAATGAGATTCTGTCTCCAAAAACTAAAATAAATACAAAGCTGAACACTCAAGAAAGAAAGTTAAATAACTAGGTGCCTGAAACACAAAGGGAACCAAGACCACTACAGTACCTGTGAATTCAAGCTTCATTTGCTCTAGAAGGTAGGGGACAAGGGGAAAAAAAAAAACCTTCCCTGAGGAATTAATAACCATGAGCCTGTGCCTTATGTGAGCTTAAGGTTTACTTTTAGAACAATATGATAGAGGATATACGATAAAGTTAGTATTTTTAATGTGTATGTGTATTTTTACACATTTAAAATGTGTAAAAGAAGAAATGCAAGAATAAACAAGAGTGAATGAAATAAGAACAGGTAGAAATGCAAAACAATCAAACTTCCAGAAATTATAAATAAAACTTAGTGAATAAGTTAAACGGCAGATTCGACACAGCCAAATCAGCTGGTTGAATTTACCCAGAAGACAGCATAAAATGAGAAACAGAAAATAGAGATTTGGCGGCCGGGTGCCGTGGCTCACGCCTGTAATCCCAGCACTTTGGGAGGCCGAGCCGGGTGGATATTTTAGGTCAGGAGTTTGAGACCAGCCTGGCCAATATGGTGAAACCCCATCTCTACTAAAAATACAAAAATCAGCCAGGCGTGGTGGTACACACCTGTAGTCCCAGCTACTCGGGAGGCTGAGGCAGAAGAATTGCTTGAACCTGGGAGGCAGAGGTTGCAGTGAGCCAAGATCACGCCACTGCACTCCAGCCTGGGTGACAGAGCAAGACTCTGTCTAGGGAAAAAAAAAAGAGAGAGAGATTTGGAAGCAAGGAGGATAATATGTCTACTGTAACACTCATAGGTAATCCAGAAGGAGAAAAGGGAGAGAACGGAGGATCATAAATATTCAAGAGATCATCACTGATAATTTCCCAGAATTAAAAAAAAATTCCGAGAATTGATGAAAGATATGAATCCTCAGACTCAGAAATCATGACAAGTGCCAAACCAATAAACAAGAAGAAATTTACACCTAGACGTATCATGGTGAAATTGCAGGCACCACAGACAAAAATCTTAGAAGCTACCAGAGACAGAAGACAAAAGAACTACAATTAAATCCAACAATAAAGGCCCAAAGATAATGGAATAGTATTTTCAAAGTATTGAGAAAAAAACAAAAACATTATCAATCTAGAATTCTATATTCATAGAAGTTCTCACTCAAGAGTGCAAACAAAATAAAGATGTTTTCAATAAAATAAAGACATTTTCAATAAAACAAAGACCAGGAGAGTTTAACATTCGGTTCCTCTCTGAAAAAAAAAAAACAAAAAAAACAGCTAAAGTGTATACTTGCAGAAGAAGAAAACTGAACCCAGAAGGAAAGAACAATGGTAATAATTCTCACCTACTTTGGGTGGAAATGTAAATTTGTATACCCACTTTGGAGCAAGGTTTGGATTACCAGGTATAGTTGAATACGTGCATATCCTAAGACCCCAGAATTCCACTGCTAGGCATAGAACCTCCTGTATGAGGGACATAAGGAAATATGTAACAACATCATGATTTATTATAGCAAAAGCCTGGAAATAACCCAAATAAATAAATAAGGTGCTATTGATTTATTTATTTTATTTTATTTTTATTTTTATTTTTTGAGACAGAGTCTTGCTGTGTCGCCCAGGCTGGTGGAGTGTGGTGGTGTGATGTCGGCTCACTGCAACCTCCACCTTCTGGGTTCACGCTATTCTCCTGCCTCAGCCTCCCAAGTAGCTGGGACTACAGGTGCCCACCACCATGCCCAGCTAATTTTTTGTATTTTTAGTAGAGACAGGGTTTCACATGTTAGCCAGGATGGTCTCAATCTCCTGACGTCATGATCCGTCCGCCTCGGCCTCCTAAAGTGCTGGGATTACAGGCCTGAGCCACCATGCCGGCCTATTTATTTATTTTTTGACACGGAGTCTTGCTTTGTCACTCAGGCTGGAGTGTGGTGATGTGATCTTGGCTCACTGCAGCCTCCGCCCCCGCCCCGGGTTCAAACAATTCTCCTGCCTCAGCCTCCCGAGTAGCTGGGATTACAGGCATGTGCCACCACGCCTGGCTAATTTTGTATTTTTAGTATAGGCGGGGTTTTAGCATGTTGGTCAGGTTGGTGGCGAACTCCTGACCTCAGGTGATCCACCTGCCTCTGCTTGGCCACAGTTTGTTATTTTTTTAAAAGCAAAGAAATGATGGAGGGATCCAGGCGCGGTGGCTCACGCCTGTAATCCCAGCACTTTGGGAGACCGAGGCAGGTGGATCACCTGAGATAAGGAGTTCAAGACCAGCCTGGCCAAATGGCGAAACCCCGATTCTACTAAAAATACAAAAATTAGCCGGGTGTGCTGGTGTGAGCCTGTAGTCCCAGCTACTCAGGAGGCTGAGGTGGGAGAATTGCTTGAACCTGGGAAGCAGAGGTTGCAGTGAGCCGAGATCACGCCCCTGCACTCCAGCCTGGGTGACAGAGTGAGACTCTGTCTCAAAAAAACAGAAATGATGGAGAAGTTCATCATGGAGTGGCATGCAGGTGGCTTCTGAGGTATGGTAATGTTCCTTTGGGTACATTTTATTGCTATTCTCTAAACTGTGCTTTTTTTTCTTGCCATTCATTCATTAAATATTAAGAGCTTACTCTAGGTCAGGCCTGTGCTAGGTGTTGGAGATACAACAATGACCAAGTTAGACAACGTGCTAGTTCTCATAGAGGACATTGTAGTGAGGAGTTTGGTGTGAATTAAAGATTCATGAATTCCAACTACTTTTTTTTTTTGCAGAAATAGACAAAGTGATCCTGAAACTCACATGGAAAAGCAAGGACCCAGAATAACCAAAACAATCTTGAAAAAGAAGATAAAAGTTAGAGGGCTCACACTTCCCAATTTCAAAACTTACTTTAAAGCTACACTAATGAAGACAGTGTGGTAGTGACATAAAAATAAACATGTATATTTCAATGCAACAGAATGGAGAGTCCAGATGTAAGCTGATACATCCATGGTCAATCTCTGACAAGAGTGGCAAGACCGTTCAGTGGGGAAAGGTCAGTCTTTTCAACAAATGGTGCTTGGACAACAGATATACATATGCAAAATAGTGAATTTAGACCCCCTAAATTCACACCTTCACACTATATACAAAAATAAACTCAAATGATCAAAGACCTAAATGTAAGAGCAAAAACTATAAAAATTCTTAGAAGAAAATATAGGGGTAAATATTTGTGATATTGGAATAGGCAATCATTTCTTAGGTATAATATCTAAAATGCAAGCAACCAAGGATAATTAGATAAATTAGGTTTCACCAAAAGTAAAGGCTGTTATGTATCAAGAAAGCGAAAAAACAACCCAAAATGGGAGAAAATATTTACAAATCATGTATTTAATAAGGGTTTTATATCTAGAATATATAAAGAGCTCCTATACCTCAACAATAAAAAGATAAATAACTCGGCTGGGTGTGGTGGCTCACACCTGTAATCCCATTACTTTGGGAGGCTGAGGAGGGCGGGTCACAGGTCAGGAGTTCAAGACCAGCCTGGCCAACATGGTGAAACCCCATCTCTACAAAAATATAAAAATTAGCCAGGCATACTGGCAGGCACCTGCAGTCTCAGCTACTTGGGAGGCTGAGGCAGGAGAATCACTTGAACCTGGGAGGCAGAGGTTGCAGTGAGCTGAGATTGTACCACTGCACTCCAGCCTGGAAGACAGACTGAGACTCTGTCTCAAAATAAATAAATAAATAAATAAATAACTCAATCTAAAAATGGGCAAAAGATTTGAATAGACTTTTCTTCAAAGAAGATCTATAAGAGGGCATGAAAAATGTCCAATATCATTAGTCATTAGGGAAATGAAAGTCAAAATCACAACAAGATACCACTTCACAGCTGGGCACAGTGGCTCACGCCTGTAATCCTAGCACTTTGGGAGGCCGAGGCAGGCAAATCACTTGAGGTCAGGAGTTCAAGACCAGCTTGGCCAACATGGTGAAACCCCGTCTCTACTAAAAATACAAAAATTAGCCAGGCGTTGGGGCAGGCGCCTGTAATCCCAGCTACTCAGGAGGCTGAGGCAGGAGAATCGCTTGAACCTGGGAGGTAGAGGTTGCTGTGAGCTGAGACTGTGCCACTGCACTCCAGCCTGGGCGACAGAGTGAGACCCCATCTCAAAAAAAAAAAGAAAAAAAAAAGGCAAATTATATGGGATGTAAATTTTATCTTAGTAAAAAACAAAATAACAGAAACAACACAAAAGATTAATGATATCTCACCCTGTCAAAGCAGGAAGGGATCTTAAATGATTGTCTAGTCAAACTGCATTATTTTAGAGAGAAAGAAACCAAGGTGCAGAGGAAGGAAGTGACTTATAAAAAGTGACACAGCTCGGGCCTGGCGCGGTGGCTCACACCTGTAATCCCAGCACTTTGGGAGGCCAAGGCGGGCAGATCAGTTGAGGTCAAGAGATGGAGACTATCCTGGACAACATGGTGAAACCCTTTCTCTACTAAAAATACAAAAATCAGCTGGGCGTGGTGGTGCACACCTGTAATCCCAGCTACTCCGGAGGCTGAGGCAGGAGAATCACTTGAACCCGGGAGGCGGAGGTTGCAGTGAGCTGAGATCACGCCATTACACTCCAGCCTGGGTGACAGAGCAAGACTCCATCTCAAAAAAAAAAAAAAAAGTGACACAACTCGTCAGCTGCAGGGTGAACATTGAGCCCCAGGACCTTTTACTTTTTTCTATATCCTTTAACATGTAAAATTTCAAACACATACAAAATTTCAAACACAAACACATACAAAAATGTCAAACACATACAAAAATAGAGCTAGCTCCCTGTATCTATACTCCAGCTTTAATAGTTATTAGTACACAGCTTTTTTTTGTTTTTTTTTTTTGAGACGGAGTCTCGCTGTGTCCCCCAGGTTGGAGTGCAGTGGCGCGATCTCAGCTCACTGCAAGCTCCACCTTCCAGGTTCACGCCATTCTCCTGCCTCAGCCTCCCGAGTAGCTGGGACTACAGGCGCCCGCCAACACGCCCGGCTAATTTTTTGTATTTTTAGTAGAAACGGCGTTTCACCGTGTTAGCCAAGATGGTCTCGATCTCCTGACCTCGTGATACGTCCGTCTCGGCCTCCCAAAGTGCTAGGATTACAGGCGTGAACCACCGCACCCGGCCCACAGCTTTAATAATTATTAAATAAGTATCAGTACACAAATTCAATTTTTCTTTTTTTTTCTTTTTAGACTGGGTCTTGCTCTGTCGCCCAGGCTGGAGTGCAGTGCACAGACTTGGCCCACTGCAACCTCCGCCCCCAGGGCTGAAGCAATCCTCCCACCTCAGCCTCCCAAGTAGCTGGGATTACAGGCCCACACCACCACGTTCAGCTAATTTTTGTAGTTTTAGTAGAGACAGGGTTTTGCCATGTTGCCCAGGCTGGTCTCCAGCTCCTGGGCTCAAACAGTCCACCTGCCTCAGCCTCCCAGAGTACTGGGATTACAGGTGTGAACCACTGCACCCAGCCACAACTTTAATAATTATTAAATAATTATTAGTACACAACCAATTTTATTTTATCTCCACCGTCACTCACTTTCTCCCCTCCCAGATTATTCTGAGATGTATCTCAGACATCATAGTATTCATCCACCAATACTGCGATATGTGCATAGTTTTTCATTTATTTTTCATGTATGATCTGTTTCTCATACACATACACATGCACACAAAAGAAAAAAAAAAGAGTGATCCCTCCAAAAAATGGAAAGCAATGGTGAGCAAAGAAACTAATAAAGCTTTAAATAAATCTAAACATGCATTCGCTGTATAACTGTATGTTACATTGATGATGGATATGTAAAGATATGAAGTATCACTGCAAAATAGCATGTTAGATAGGGTGGTGGTGTATGAAGTACTAAGTTCCTTGAGCAAGACTCCATCTCAAAAAAAAAAAAAAGTCAGGGTGTGGCAACAGTGTAATTGCTGGTGGCCTGACCATTTATGGCAGGATCTCAGCAGGTATGCAGAGCTACTATTCCGTGGGGAGGGAGTTGATGACAGCTAGTCAAGGTATGACAACTACATTCTAGAAGCTTAGAAAAGTTCCTGCTTTGGTAAGACTTGTTGATGGCACCTGAGCCACAGCAGTGGGGCTTAGGCTGAAGTTTCTGATCCCTGTTGTGGACCTGGGCAAGGGCCTGGTGGTGATGGGGAGCTTGCTTGGTATATGTCCAGCCTTAAAAGCTAGAAAAAGCAACGGCGGGAGCAGTGATGTCTGTGAAGCTGTATTGATAAAGTTGTTTTTTTTTAAAGGTGTAAAAGTAAACACATCTGAATCTCAGGGAAAAGCTACGCTACTTCAACTTCAGGATTCAGTCATTCCTGCTTGTTCAGAACCACAGGGTAAAATGAGCACTGCACTTACAAAGGGCTAATCACAAGCGAGGGCACTGTGGCGACCTTTCACCAGGTGTCAAGGTGTGGCGGCCTCTGTAGACCCATGACTCAGAACACCAGGCCAGGCACCATCTGGGAACACATCTGCGACTTCATATGAAAAAAAGGTGTAATTTAGTTGAAGCAATTAACTTAAAGTTGGTGAGTAAAGCCTTTTCGAATGAGCTGTGAGTGAGTGAGGGGGAGAGGATGCCCGAGGGGCAGTGTGGGGTTGCCTGCAGTGGAAGCGAGGCTGGCACTCTGCTACTGAGTGCCCAGGGAGAAGGAGGGGAGGACGCAGGCCAAGAACCTTTGGCCCCCAAGCAAGGCCTCCAAGGAAAACCAAAGGGCCGAGCTCGAGCTCCCCTTTCCTCCTGGTTTATTCTCTTTCCCTCAGGAGCCTGCCGGACTCCACCCTCAAATTCTCAGCCTGAGAAAGTAATATGATATTGGCACTCACCTCTCCAAATTCTTCCAGAAAGAGAGTCAGATTAGAGTGTGACAGGAGCACAGTACGCTTCTGGTCTGAGCTTTTGGAGGCCATATGACTCTAGAATGAGCCCGCCTGGTTTTTGTGAATGAGTCTAACTAAAATGAGTCCTCTTATTTTTTCACCAGAAAAAAACAAGATGTGTCAAGGGGCTCTTTGGGCTGTGAAAGGGCTGTATCCCAGCAACAGCTCATGATGTTTCTGACAACTTATTAGCATCTATTTGAGGGTGATTAAAAACATAATGTGGGGCCGATTGCGGTGGCTCACGCCTGTAATCCCAGCACTTTGGGAGGCCGACACGGGTGGATCATGAGGTCAGGAGTTTGAGACCAGCCTGGCCAATATAGTGAAACCCTGTCTCTACTAAAAATACAAAAAAAATAGCCTGGCATGGTGGCAGGTGCCTGTAGTCCCAGCTGATCAGGAGGCTGAGGCAGGAGAATCGCTTGAGCCCAGGAGGTGGAGGTTGCAGTGAGCCAAGATCACACCATTACACTCCTGCCTGGGTGACAGAGCGAGACTATCTCAAAAACAAAAAAAAACGAAAAAGCCATAATGTGTAAAGGATTCAAATTGTACTCAATTATTATAATAGCCTACTTCTCCCCATTCCCATTCCTCCTCCCTAAACCAGAGCTCCTGTTTGCCAGGCAAATAAGCTACAACTAAAATAAAAGGTCTTTTTAGACAAGGATCAAGCCAGATTAGGAATATTATAACTAGGCTTTCCAATCAATATCAGGACTTTCCATTTCTCTATCTGAGTCTGAAACTAATTACACTTCCAGGTCGTGGGGCCCCAGGTGCTGCTCTCGTGGCACCACTCGTGGGGCTCTAGGTCCAGAGGACAGTCTCTGCTGGCTGAGGCTGGAGGGACCATCTCATTGGTAGAAGTGGCATAGCATGACTTGGCCACTGGACATCTTGGCTGTCACCCAGACTTATTTCAAAGGCGAGACTAAAATAAAGAGGGCTGATCAGAGTGGGGGCAATCAGAGATTGGGCCATCGCTAGAGTTACAAAAGCAGCGCTGGCTACTGTAGGGCAGCAGCGTCATCTCCTCGAGATAGGACTCCCTCTGCCCCAGTTCTGTTCACCGTCCAAAGACCAGGGCCCTCCCTGAAGCCCAGCACTTGAGAAATGCTCGCTCTCACGTATTATGACTCTGGCTTTGGAAAGAAATTCAGCAAGGGTACTGGTTGAAAGGTCAAAAAGTGGTGAAATGCCATCTGCCCAAACGGAAGCAAGGGGTCGCTTGGATTGGGTAAAGGTTTCTTTTGTGGTTTTAAGCCGTTGGGTTGTTTTTCGTTTGTTTTTGTTTTGTTAGAAAGCACTGTGTCTGTCTGGAGGTCGAAGGGTCGGGTGGGTGTCTGCAGTGCGGCTTTTCTCCCTTGGCCAGTGGGGAAACAAAGTGGGTTTACTGGCCATTTCCGCTTTGTGTGAAGGAAACCTGAGATTCACTGCCTCCAGCACATGGGAGTTGTCTGTTATTTTTAGTTTAGTTCTGTTGTTGTTATTAGGTGTTTTTAAAACATATGTAAGTGTGTATCAAAGTTGTATTTCACAGTGTTGGCAGAAAATTTACAGGAAAAAGACAGAGGAGGGTTTAGTTGAAGATCAGGAGGAGGTAGTAAGACTGGTTAAATGTCTAGTGAAAGGTTTTAGGCATACCAGGATTGTCAGTCAACTGGGAGGGTAACTCTTTTATTTTTAAAATTGTGGTAAAATATGTATAAAATAACATATACTATTTTAACGATTTTTAAGTAGGCCTGGGCACAGTGGCTGACACCTGTAATCCCAAGCTTTGGGAGGCTGAGATGGGAGGATCATTGGAGGCCAGGAGTTTGAAACCAGCTTGGCCAACATAGCAACTTCATCTCTAAAAAAATAAAAATAAAAATAAAAGGTTTTTTTTTTTTTAATTATCTGGGCATCGTGGCACACTGGGCAAGTAGTTCCAGCTCCTTGGGAGGCCGAGGCAGGAAGATCACTTGAGCCTAGGAGTTCAATGCTATAGTGAGCTCTGATCACACCGCTGCCCTCCAGCCTGTGTGACAGAGCAAGAACCTGTCTCTAAAAAAATAACAATTTTAAAATGCTCAAGTGAACAGTTCTGTGCCATTAAGTGCACTCACATTTTTGTGCCACCATCACCACCATTCATCTACAGAAACTTTCTTTCTTTCCCAACTGAAACTCTGTCCCCATTGAACACTAACGCCCCATCCTGCCCTGCCAGCCACTGGTGGCCACCGTTCTGCTGTCTCTGAATTTGACTATTCGTAGTACCTCATATGAGTGGAATCGTAGAGAGAGTAGTCGTCCTTTGTGACTAGCTCATTTCCCTTAGCGCAACGCCTTCAAAGTTTATTCACGTGGGTAATTCGTTCTTTACGGTTTGTTTTTCATCGTTTGGACCCTCAGTTTTTGTTTCTTGTTGAGGATTTGGTAGTCTCAGATACTGAGGATAGGATTGCAGGCTGAAAGTCTGGCCAGGAGGCTTCCTGATCCTTCTCCTCACCCTAAAATATCTTGGCCACACTGGATATATATTTTTTTCTTTTTGAGATGGAACCTCCCTCTGTTGCCCAGGCTGGAGTGCACTGGCGCAATCATGGCTCACTGCGGCCTCAACCTCCCAGGCTCAAGTGATCTTCCTGCCTCACCCTCCCAAGTATCTGGGACTACAGGCATGCACCACCATATCTGGCTAATTTTTTTTTTACTTCTTGGGAGAGATGGGGGTCTCACTTTGTTGCCCAGCCTGGTCGTGAGCTCCTGGCCTCAAGCGATGCTCCCTCCTCAACCTCCCAAAGTGCTGGGAGTACAGGCATGAGCCACCACGCCTGGCCCACACTGGACATTTCTTAGTGTTTTTTCCTGCCTGGGTCACTACCTACTTGGTGTGTTAATAGCTCTCAAGGCTCTTAGCTTGGCCCACATTGCTTGCTCCTCTGGGCAAACCATGAATATTTCCAAAGCAGACCAGCCTCTCAGGGGACTCTCTGTCTCTGTCTGTCTCTCTCTGCCTCTGTCTCTGTCCGTCTCTGTCTCTCTCTCTCCCTGTTTCCATCTCTGTGTGTCTCTGTCTCTCTGTGTGTGTGTGTCTCCATCTCTGTCTCTGTCTCTCTCTGCCTTTCTCTCCTCCCTCCTCTCAGCATCAGTATTTACCCACTGGCCTCAGGCAAAGGCTTCAGAGAAGGGAAAGCAGCCTTTTCTTTCCCCTTCCCGTCCTCTCAGGCACAGGAGGCATGCCTTCTGTTTGCTTGTTTTTATAATCATTCTTTGTAAGCAGAACATTCAAATGGCAAAATATATAAGCAGTAAGAACGTGCAATGAAAAACCAGTCTCCCCACCCACTTCCTTGTTGCCTTTTGCCACACCAGCCACTGTGACCTTGACTGTCTTTCTAGGGACATTTACACATAAACAAGCTCAGGGGGCCTCTTTTTACACAAAAGATATCATCTTATACCCACCCCCCTGTATCATGCTTTTTGGAAAAAATACATAAAAATAAGAGTGTAATAAATGAAGTCTCCACCAACCAGAATTGATAAAAAACATTTAGTATAGCTGTTTTTTTTCTTTTTTTACATAAAAATAAGTAAAATGCTACAGATGAAGTCTGAAATATTCTGTGGCCTTTGTGGTCAGTCCTGCATCCTTCCTCCCATCCTTAGAGGGGAGCGCTACTGGAAATTATTTACACCCTTTCTGTAATTTTTTATATGTCATATACATACATATATACATCTGTGAACAATATATAGCATCATTTTGCACAATAATCATTTTTAATATCCCTTCCCCCTACTGGCAGGCATTCAGGTTCTTTTAGACTTTGCTCCTCAAATAATGCCGCAGGAAATTTCTTGTGCCGATATCTTTGTGCACATGCGTGAGTGTATCTGTAGGATAATTTTGTAGAGGCGGGCTTACTGGATCAAAAGATATGTGCATTTGATAGTTTCAAAGAAAGGGCACCAATTTTTACTTCCACCAATAATGCATGGAACACCTATTTCTTCACATCTTCTTTCACATACAAATTTATCAAAATTTTTAATTTTTATTCATCTAATACATAAAAAATACCTCTTATACTTTGAATTTATGTATTGGAAACCATGTATTGGTAATGTATTAGAAATATAATAGAATTATTTCTTTTATTATAAGTGAGGGTAAGCACCTTCTCATGTGTTTGAAAGCCAGGCAGGCCGGGGGTGGTGGCTCATGCCTGTAATCCCAGCACTTTGGGAGGCCGAGGTGGGTGGATCATCTGAGGTCGGGAGTTCGAGACCAGCCTGACCAACATGGAGAAACCCCGTCTCTACTAAAAATACAAGATTAGCCAGGCGTCGTGGCACATGTCTGTAATCCCAGCTACTTGGGAGGCTGAGGCAGGAGAATCACTTGAACCTGGGAGGCGGAGGTTGCAGTGAGCTGAGATCATGCCATTGCACTCCAGCCTGGGCAACAAGAGCAAAAACTCTGTCTCGAAAAAAAAAAAAGAAAGCCAGATATATTTCTTCTTCTGCGGTTTTTTAAGGTCTTTTGCCCATTTTTCTTTGGGGCTGATTATCTTATTCACTCTTAAGTGTACTTTGCATGTGAAGAAAATTAACTGTCATATGTGTTGCAAATATTTTCCCAGTTAATTACTTATGACTCAGCTATTTTTGCCACATGGAAATTTTTAATTTTTATGAAGTCAATTTTATCAATACTAATGTTTTTAAGTGGTGATACATTTACTGTTTTCTTCTAATTTTCTTCATTTCTCCCCTACTTCCCATTTCTAACTCAAATCATACCTCAGATTCCTGGGTCTAGGGTGAGATCAACAGCTGGAAGCCACCACAGAGTTAATCCAGGTGAACCCTGGAGGTTCAACATAACCCCGAAGGCTCCAGGGGCCCTTGACTTAACTTTGCCCTACTGTATATTTATAGGGTATCCTAAATCTGCCCTAACCACTGACACTTCCTGGAGTTCTTTCAGTCTGAAGAAACTTCTGGTTCCAATTTGGTCTCCTTAAAGACCTCTGCCCCAGGCAGGTCTGCATCCTTGGAGGCACCATGGCAGGGCTGGCACAGGGAAGCTGGGACCTTAGTGACCTACTGCTGCTTTTTCATTCTTTTCACTCCCTGTGGAGCCGGGTTTCTTACTGGCAGAGAAGGGAAAGGGAGAAAACAAGAATGCACTCATGCTGTCGGCCTGGACTTGGAGATTATCAGTGTGGACTCATGCATTCCAATACACAAAGATGGAGAGAGAGGTACAGGTGTAAAAGTGTGTGTAATATTTTGAATCTACTTTTGTGTGTTCTTAATTTTTATTATTTCATTCATTTATTTTTGAAACAGGGTCTTGCTCCGTTACCCAGACTGGAGTACGGTGGTGAGATCATAGCTCACTGCAGCCTCGACCTCCCGGGCTCAAGTGATCCTCCCACCTCAGCCTCCTGAGTAGCTGAGACCACAGGTGCGCACCACCACGCCCAGCTAATTTTTCTATGTTTTTTAGAGACACGTTTACACCATGTTGCCCAGGCTGGTCTCAAATTCCTGGGCTCAAGCGATCCTCCTGCCTCAGCCTCCCAAAGTGCTAGGATTACAGGCAAGAGCCACTGCGCCCGGCCTTGTGTGTCTTTAAATGTTTTTTGTTGTTGCTGTTTGTTTGTTTTTTGAGACAGAGTCTCCCACTGTCACCCAGGCTGGAGTGCAATGGCATGGTCTCGACTCACTGCAAACTCCGCCTCCCGGGTCAAGAGATTCTCCTGCCTCAGCCTCCCAAGTAGCTGGGATTACAGGTGCCCACCACCACGCCTGGATAATTTTTGTATTTTTAGTAGAGATGGGGTTTCACCATGTTGACCAGCCTGGTCTCGAACTGCTGACCTCGTGACCCACCTGCCTTGGCCTCCGGAAGTGCTGGGATTACAGGCGTGAGCCACTGTGCCCAGCCTTTAAATGTTTTACATGTACATCCTTGTCATCGTTTTCATTTAATTACTCTCCTCTAGTTTGTAAGGGCAGGGCCATAGTGGGCCAGTCCCAAGGCCATGGTGGGCCAGTCCCAGCCATTCTTTCCCCTTCTCTCTACCCGAACACAAATGTCTGCACAGAACACCATCATTCAGCCATTGGGGATTAAAAATTAAGATCGAGGAAAAAGCAAAAGAAAACAAGATCATTATTTGTCATTGAGGACTGGGTGGGCATTCCCTCATTCTTCTTGCCTTCCATGGTCCATCTCAGCAGCTTGACATTCTGCACCTTCTATTAGCTCGTGGCCCGGCTGCATCCTCCCTACAGACGTTTTACCCCTAAGCAGCCTCCTTCCTTCCTTCCTCCCTTCCTTTCCCCCTTCCTTCCCTCCTGTTTTCCTCCTTCCTTCCTTCCCTCCTTCCCTCCTGTTTTCCTCCTTCCCTCCTTTCCCTCCTTCCCTCCTGTTTTCCTCCTTCCTTCCTTCCCTCCTTCCCTCCATCCTTCCTTTCTTCCTTCCTTCCCTTCCTCCTTTCTTCCTTTTTTATCTTTCTCCTTTCCTTTCTTCCTCCTTTAATTCCCTCCTTCCTTCCTTCATCAAATGTTTGCTGCACTGCTAACAGAGTCCATGCTGTGCTTGGTGCGGACAATTCTGTAGCGAACAGTGCGACAGATAACTGGTGCTGCCTTCAGCAAGCCTACAATCTAGCAGGCAGCCTGCAGTGAATCGGCCACTACATAACTCAGCACCCTCTTCCAGAGGCCATCTCTCTCTCCAGTGGCCCCAACTGTAGCCGCTCTCGAGCCTCCGCCATCAAACTGTGTCCTTAAGAAAATCATTGTTTTCTCCCCACCAGAGGAGAGAGCCGCTAAGTGCTCTGACCCCCTTGCTTCCAGCACGTTCATACGAATTGGGATTTGGTGGCCTCACACGCATAGGCTCACGATCCTCACAGGGGACAGGGAAGACGCCACGATCTGCATTTTACCGACAGGAGGCGCAGGAACTTGCCGGAGATCGCAGAGCAGGTTCGTGCCCAGGTGGTGGGAAGCGACTCTCAGGCTGGGAGAGACACTGAAGGCCGCCCCGTCCAGCCAGTTGTTTTCCCCGGGGCTCCTGCTTCTGGACGGCCTTCCCAGACAGGAGGGCAGGCTGGGGCGGCCCTGCCTCCCAAGGGCCGCGCTGAGTGCCCAGTGCACCCCTTCACTCCGCACTCTGCCCCAGCGGACCCCCGGCTGCCTCATGTTCGCGGGCAGGTGCGCTGCGGGGCGGGGCACGGAAGAGCGGGCAGCCCCTCCCGGTTAGAGGCCCTCCTCCCGGCCAGGGCCTGGGCGATGCGCGATAAGAAAGGCAGGGTCCCCGTCCTTGCAGCTGGTGGGTGAGGGGCTAACCGAGCTTCAGGAAGCGCTGCTTGTGCCCTGAGGGAATCTCGCGGAGGGCGAGCGGAGCACACACCGAGTCCTCTCTCCCGACAGCGGACCTCTCAGGAGGGAGGCGGGAAGTGAGGAGGGGGAGGCGGGAAGTGAGGAGGGGGAGGCGGGAAGTGGGGAGGGGGAGGCGGGAAGTGAGGAGGGGGAGGCGGGAAGTGAGGAGGGGGAGGCGGGAAGTGAGGAGGGGGAGGCGGGAAGTGGGGAGGAGGAGGCGGGAAGTGAGGGGGAGGCGGGAAGTGGGGAGGGGGAGGCGGGAAGTGAGGGGGGAGGCGGGAAGTGGGGAGGGGGAGGCGGGAAGTGGGGAGGGGGAGGCGGGAAGTGGGGAGGGGGAGGCGGGAAGTGAGGAGGGGGAGGCGGGAAGTGAGGAGGGGGAGGCGGGAAGTGGGGAGGGGGAGGCGGGAAGTGGGGAGGGGGAGGCGGGAAGTGAGGGGGGAGGCGGGAAGTGGGGAGGGGGAGGCGGGAAGTGAGGGGGGAGGCGGGAAGTGGGGAGGGGGAGGCGAAGGGGCGGCGGAACCTCCGGAGGCGCAGCTCAGGCAGAGCAGGCCGCGGCCACAGAGGGCTGGGGCTGGGGGCGACAGGAAGTCCGGGAGGGGAGAGGAAGACAGCGGTGGGGCCGCGAGGCCGGGAATCAGGAATCTGGGCAGGGGCAAATTGGCCCAAGTCTGCAGTGTTCTTTAGCCAGCTCTGCAGTGGGAGAAAACAGGAGAGGGCTGGACAGCGGGCGGTGCAGCGGGGGAAGGGCGAGAGGATGCACGTGTGACTCGCTCTGCGCCCGCGGAGGTGCCCGTCCGCTGGCATGGCCCGCGGGGTGGGGAGTCGCTGCATACGGCCCCTGAAGGCAGCTCCCGGCGAGGGAGGCGGAGCCATTTCCCGAGGGCGGAGCTGCGGCCCCGCCCCCCGCCTCCCGCCGCCTCCCGCCTCCCCCCGCCCCCCGCCCCCCGCCGCCTCCCGCCTCCTCCCTGCCCCGCTCCGAGTCCGCCGCGAGGCCTTCGAGGGGAGAGGGAACTCGAGGCTGCTGCTGGGGCGGGGTTGGGGTGACTGGCAGTGGGAGAGCCAGGCAGGGGAGGGGCGAAGAGGAAGTCAGGGAGGGCACATAGCTCCGGGAGGGCCGTGCTGAGGCGGAGGGCGCAGCAAGGGTGGGGGTCGCAGTGGGCTGCAGGGGGATCGCTGAGCACGGAGGCTTCAGGTCCCGAAGGAGCGGTGGCGCGGTGACAGGGGCCCGGGCGCGGCTCAGCTCGCTGGCGGATGAGGGGCTGGGAGGAAGACGTCCATGCGCCCCGAACCTCAGTGCTTTGCAGAAGGGCCCCAGGGTGGGCGGAGGACAGGGACCAAAATGCAGAGAGGATGGTCCGGCTGGAGAGACGGGTGGGCGGAGGACAGGGACCAAAATGCAGAGAGGATGGTCCGGCTGGAGAGACGGGTGGGCGGAGGACAGGGACCAAAATGCAGAGAGGATGGTCCGGCTGGAGAGACGGGTGGGCGGAGGACAGGGACCAAAATGCAGAGAGGATGGTCCGGCTGGAGAGACGGGTGGGCGGAGGACAGGGACCAAAATGCAGAGAGGATGGTCCGGCTGGAGAGACGGGTGGGCGGAGGACAGGGACCAAAATGCAGAGAGGATGGTCCGGCTGGAGAGACGGGTGGGCGGAGGACAGGGACCAAAATGCAGAGAGGATGGTCCGGCTGGAGAGACGGGTGGGCGGAGGACAGGGACCAAAATGCAGAGAGGATGGTCCGGCTGGAGAGACGGGTGGGCGGAGGGCTGCAACAGTGGGGTGTGAAGACCCTGAGAGCAGCACCTCCCGCCCGCATGGGGCTGCCAGGAGGCGAAGAGCCTTTACCCAGAGGGTTTTCAACTGAATGACACTGTCAAAGAAAAGCCAGGATCCACTAAGGCAAGAAGTATTAAAAGTATTTTAGGGAAAGTCATTTAAAGCTCTATAACATTGTATTTTCATGGAATCTTCTAGATTCTTCCCCTAGAATCAGAGTTAGATTTTCCATTAAGTGAATGAAGCTCAAGTTTCAGGGCCTCTCCCTCGCCTTCTAAGGCCCTGTTCATAATTCCGTATTTGTAATTATTTAAACTGCCCCACCCTGATTATATAACTTTTAGGTCCCACAAAAGCTTAGCCAGTCTCTGCCTTAGAACTCCACGAGTTGGGAGGATGAACGAACTTCCACGTTTTGATTTCCAAACAATTTCCCTACCCTTGCATTGTTAAAAGATAAACAGGAATAAGTGTTCTGGCTGTGAGTGAATTTTTTTTCTTAACATGTTTTGGCCTGGATACTATCTGAAGGTGTTACCCAAGCAGTGGGGTGACTTTGCTGACGACACAGTTACTCAATACTCCCCAGCTCAGGGTGAAGGTTAGGTGGCACGTTGGCGGGACATGTGACTCACATGCGCAGGTGTGTTCCTTGGGAGGAAGGCTTGGAACAGGCACCTGTGTGTGCCCAAGTGTTTCTAGCAAACACAGGGACCTGAGTGTCTAAGCACAGGCCCACTTTACAGGGGTCTCCTGAGAACTCCTCCCCCTCCTGAGAACTGTGCCTTCCCAGCCAGAAGTCACTCATACAGAATGTTCCCAACTTATGAATGGGCATTGTTCTCAGAAAGAGAATTTGTAAGTCAGTTGTTTAGAACGGGAAGGCATCTCCCCAGATAAACAAGTGTATGTGTGATCTTTGTTATTCAGGAAAGCCTAAAAGAACATCTTGTGTCCCAGAAATCAAGGACTGTACAATGGGAACAGAAAACTCCAGCTGGTGGAATCATGTGGCCCTCAGAAAATGCCTTCCAACTTCTAGCCTGAGATCCTGGGAATCTTCTCCACTGTCACAGACCTTCTGTGAGAAGGGGGGACGCTTCCCAGCTCCACGTCCCTGATGTGGCTGCCATGTCCTGGGGCAGAGGCCAGTGAGGAGAAGCAGCTGGGTGTAGGCGGCCAGGCCCTGGGGGCTAGAGGGGGCAGAGTCCATTCCCAGAGCTCCTTTCAGAGTCCGCTCCCTGTCCATGTCCTCTGAGGGCCCAGGGGTGGGCCTCCTTGCCTTTGCCTTCTTGAAGTTTCCTTGGCCGGGAGCAGTGGCTCACGCCTGTAATCCCAGCACTTTGGGAGGCCGAGGCTGGTGGATCACTTGAGGTCAGGAGATAAGGACCAGCCTGGCCAGCATGGTGAAACCTCGTCTCTACTAAAAAAAAATACAAAAATTAGCCGGGTGTGGTGGCGCGTGCCTGTAATTCCAGCTACTCAGGAAGCTGAGGCAGGAAAATCGCTTGAGCCTGGGAGGCAGAGGTTGCCGTGAGCTGAGATCACGCCACTGCACTCCAGCCTGGGTGACAGAGTGAGACCCTGTCTCAAAAAAAAAAAAAAAAAAAAGTTTCCTAAGTCTTTGATTCTTAGGACAAAGTGGTAAACAGACTGGGGATTTAAAAAAAAAAAAAAAAGACTCCCATGTGATGGCGGGGTGGAAGGTGGAATGCTCACTTTTCAGGTACTGGCCTTCTCAGGAAAGACCAAGACCAACATAGAGAAGGATGGTGGATTTCTGGGTATACAAAAGACCAAACAAATCCAGATCATCAAGGTTAGACCCCTTGCATTTGTGGTTGGCTTCAGTTGAGATGATTCCCAAGAGCTTACATAATAAACTTTACTTTTTTAAAAAGCATATTTTCATTGATCTTGCCATGATATAAGCAAGCTATATCTTATACACTTATCTATATCTATGTAAGATATACCATTACCCTTTTCTTTTTTAATACAGGGTCTTGCTCTGTCACCCAGTCTGGAGTACAGTGGCTCGATCCTAGCTCACTGCAACCTCAAACTTCTGGGCCCAAGTAATCCTGCTACCTCAGCCTCCCAAAGTGCTGGGATTACAGGCATGAGCCACCATGCCCAGCCTCAATATTTTAAAAGTTTATATTTTACAAAAGGCTTTCACATCCATATGATTTAATTTGAGGTAGAGAGAGTATTATTTCTGTTTTATTGCTGAGGAAACTGCCTGAATCACTTAACTAGTTGGTTGGGAAGCCAGGTCCTCTGTACTGAATCTTGTGCCCTTGCTGTTTTTAGAGGCTGATTAATCCCTGAAAGGGAGATGGGACACACAGAACCCTCTAGCTGAAATGAATCTCCAGAGAATGTCTGGTTTTCTCCCTGGCTCTAGACTCTACTAAATTCTAAAAACATCTAAATGCTCTTCTTTTCTTAAACTTCTCTGGGGAATGAAATCTATCCTCTCAGTTACCTGTCCCAGCAACAAATAGCCACTCTGTTTAGAAATCCATGCTGTAAGGCTGGGCGCGGTGGCTCATGCCTATAGTCCCAACAATTTGGGAGGCCAAGGCGGGCGGATCACCTAAGGTCAGGAGTTTGAGACCAGCCTGGCCAACGTGGCAAAACCCCATCTCTACTAAAAATACAAAAATTAGCCAGGCGTGGTGGCATGCGCCTGTAGTCCCAGCTACTAGGGAGGCCGAGGCAGGAGAATCGCTTGAGCCCAGGAGGTGGAGGTTGCAGTGAGCCGAGATCTCACAACTGCACTCCAGCCTGGGCAACGAGCAAGACTGTATCTCAAAAAAAAAAGAAAAAAAAAAAGGAAAAAAGAAAGCCATGCTGTATTTCTATCTTTGGTCTTTTTTGTTACAAAAAAGAAAAAAAGTTTGTTTAGCAGAGAAAGTGTTTTTGACTACTTTGTTGGAAACAAGCAATAAGGGGCTTGGAAGACAAAGAACTAGCCTGTGGTTACTGGGTCAGTTCACAACAGTCCACAGCAGAACTGAAATAATAACAAAGGCAAAAATGGGAACATATACATTTTCCAGAGCAATTTCTCACTTCCTATGGCAGCTAAACTTTGCAAAAACCCTGAGCTGGCACCGGGAACTGAGGAGCAAATAAAGCCTGGAAGCCTGATCCTTCTTCCTCAGAGGCTTTTGAACAATTTGACAGCAGAGCCAGGGCTGCAATTCTGGTTTCTTGACCCTGGGATTGAAAAAACCACATCTCTGACCTGGCACCTGGCATGGTGGTTTATGCCTGTAATCCCAGGACTTTGGGCTGCCAAGGCAGGAAGATTGCTTGAGCCCAGGAGTTTGAGGCCAGCCTAGACAACACAGTGAGACCCCAGTCTCTACAAAAAATTAAAAAAAAAAAAAAATAGCTGGTCATGGTAGGGCACACTGGTGGTCTGAGCTACTTGGGAGGCTGAGGCAGGAGGAATACTTGAGTTCAGGAATTCAAGACCAGCCTGGGCAATAGAGTGAGACCCTGTCTCTACAAAAAAATGAACAAAATTATCTGGGCATGCTGGCGTGCACCTGTAGTCCTAGCTATTGAGGAGGCTGAGATGGGAGGATCTCTTGAGCCCAAGAGGTCAAATCTCCAGTGAGCTATGATTGAGCTACTGCACTCCAGCCTGGGTGACAGTGAGACTCTGTCTGAAAATAAAGAAATAAATAAAGCAAGCCAAATTTCTCTGCCCATCAAAGAGTCAAATTGACTTTACAGATTAGCAGAGTTTTCACTGTGAGTTCTTAATTCAGCATGCAGCCCAGGTTCCCAAGTTCAGGACTGCTGAAGACAGCCCCTGGGGACTTTCTCAAGAGAGAAGGAGAAGCCCCAGCTGGATTCCGGGCCGGTCCTAGGGCACAGCCAGCAGCCTGTGTGCAACTGTGTGGTTGCCGGCTGTTCCCTGCTCGGGCCTGCATGGGAGCCAGCGACATTCAGTGGCTTCGTTCGAGATACGATCTTTCAGGTCTGTCCAGATTTGTGAGCTGCATGATCTCGTGCGGTCTGATTGCGAGGCTGTTTGGATGCACGTAGCCTCTTGTGCATCTCTCCAAAGTTGCAGAACCAGGTCACAGATGCAGACCAAGCTTAGGGCTTGGGTTTGCCTCACAGAACATTCCCTTCCTCATCTGACTGTCTAATGCTGGTCCAACTGACCACACCGGAGGTTAGAAACAGATCCGGGAAATTAAGTTCACACATTTTATCATGTGGGAGGATTTAAGGATGGACTCTGATTTTAGTCTTTTGCAAGATGCTAATCCAGGATAGTTTACCATTCCTCCATTCCTTCCTTTTCCCAGGTCCAATCTTTTTTTTTTTTTTTTTTTTTTTTTAAGAAATAGAGTCTCGGGCCAGGCGCGGTGGCTCACGCCTGCAATCCCAGCACTTTGGGAGGCCAAGGTGGGCTGATCACGAGGTCAGCAGTTTGCGAGCAGCCTGGCCAATATGGTGAAACCCCATCTCTACTAAAAACACAAAAAAATTAGCTGGGTGTGGTGGCGCGTGTCTGTAATCCCAGCTACTCGGGAGGCTGAGGCAGGAGAATTGCTTGAACCAAGAAGGCAGATGTTGCAGTGAGCCAAGATCGCACCACTGCCAATGGAGAGAGACTCTGTCTCAAAAGAAAAAGAAATGGAGTCTCACTATATTGTCCAGGCTGGAGTGCAGAATGCAGTAGTTATTCACAGGCACGATCGTATCACACCACAACCCCAAAGCAATCCTCTCTCTCACCTCAGCCACCAGAGTAGCTAGGACTACAAGTGTGTGCCACCACACTCACTCCAGGTCCAATGTTGAGTGGGTAGATACTGATGCTTTACTCTGAATCCCCATCCTTAGACCTCTAACAGCCTGAGGCCCTGGCTACATTTCCTCTAAACCCAGCTCTGTCTGCAAATGGCCATGCCACTGCATGGAAGGCTTGGTGTAGTCAAATGTAATCACATATCAACAATCCCCTATTATAGCTGCTAAGCAGAATCACCCAAGGCATCTTTTTAAAACACAGAGTCAATCCCAGACCCCACCCCAAATTGACTCAATCAGAATCTCAAGGCCTGGGCCCTAGGAATCTGATGTTTTTTCAATAGAGACAAGGTCTTACTATGTTGCCCAGGCTGGCCTCAAACCCCTGAACTCAAATGATTCTCCTGCCTCAGCCTCCCAAAGTGCTAGAATTCTAGGCGTGAGTCACGGTGGCTGGCAGACTCTGAATTTTTAAATCTCCCCAGATGATTTGATTTAGCCAGATGAAGGGATGGAACCAGTGCCTAGAATGCATGAGCTCCCTCCTTACCAGCACCACAAAAGGGGAAAAAACCCACCTCTGTCCCCACTGCCACACATTAGGTAGCACTTGAGACTCCTCAGACCGAGGTAGCCAGGTGCAGCCCAAGCTCTGCGCCACACCCAGTCACCCTCCCTCTCCCATAACATATGAACACCTCCTCCCATCACCTGGGCTCATTTTTCTCTGAGCAGGTAGAGACTGTGGGGCCATGAGGAGTCCCAAGAGCTGCTCATTCCACCTCTCTCATCTAAGACCCACATCCCTCCACTCCCCTGCTCTGAACCCAGAAGCCCCAGGCGGGAGCTGAGTCACAGAAAGACAGGAGTCACTGCTCCTTCCCTTGCCTCCTCGGTGGGTACACCAGGAAGCGAGCACTGCATTCTCCTATGGAATCCCAATACCTGCTTCTGCTTCCTACCTTCTGTCCCAGCAGAGCCTCTGGTAGAGTCCCCTGTTCCAGCACGACATGCAGTTTCAGTGCTGTGCCTGGTGGGACTGCATCGCCAGCATGTCACAGGGCCAGGGCCACACTGAGTTTAGGGATGGGGCCTTTGAGAAGCTGAAAACATGTCACTTAATTCAAATATATTTACGGTTGTCTCCTTGTGATAGGAATTATGCATTTGTGATGGAGTTGAGTCCTGGCACAGAGATCAAGAGGCCGGAAGAGCAGATTGGAAAAGGGAGTTCAGAAGCTTAGTCCATGGTCCTGTCCGCTCAAGATCAGACATGCTTGGAGCTCTGCTGAATTTTAATCTTCACTCTTATTCAAAACCATTGACTCCTAACGCCTGGGAAAGCCAGTGGAGAGAGGGCTTCCCTCTGAGTAAATTCGAGGGAAGCATGTGGTAGAGAATACCCATGGCTGTCTTGTAAAATGAAGCCCCCAGGCACCAGCTCTAAATTCCCTACCGAATGTGACTTACTCATCTAGTTCCATCGTCCAAGGCCCCAGTTTTCTCTTTGCTTCAATATGTACATCAATATACTATCTTCAACTTTTGTAGCATTTTCTATGCTGTTTAGCCCTGTATGCATTATCTGTTTCCTTTTTTTTTTTTTTTTTTTTTTGAGACAGGGTCTCACTGTAACCCCAGGCTGGAGTGCAGTGGCACGATGATGGTTCACTATAGCCTTGAACTCCTAGGCTCAAGCAATCCTCCCACCTCACCCCCGGCCAGTAGCTGGGACTACAGGTATGTGCCACCATGCCTGGTTTTTTTTTTATACAGGGTCTCACTGTTACCCAGGCTGGAAGGAATGCAGTGGCGTGATCATGGCTCACTGCAGCCTCGAACTCTTGTGCTCAGGTGATCCTCCCACTTTTGCCTCCTGAGTAGCTGGGACTACAGGCAGGCACCACCATGCCCAGCTAATTTTTTGTGTTTTTTTAATAGAGACAGGGTCTCACTATGTTGCCCAGGCTGGTCTCGAACTCCTAGACTCATGCAATCCGTCTACTTCAGCCTCCCAAAGGGCTGGGATTACAGGCATAAGCCACTGCATTCAGCCTTTTTTTTTTTTTTTTTTTTTTTTTTGTGGAAACAGGGTCTCACTGTGTTGCTCAGGCTGGTTCAAACTCCTGGTCTCAAGTGATCCCCCTGCCTCAGCACCCCCAAAATCTTGGGATTGCAGGCATGAGCCACCGCACCTTGCCTGTTTACTTTAGATTTGGGATCCCCAAGTTCCCCCTGCCATATGCCCCTACCAAATGAAATCTCTCTAGTCACTCTTCTCATTCAACATTCATGGTGGCAAGACGAGGAAGATTATTGTACACTCCCTGAGACTTAGAAGGAAATGGGCACCTGTTATTTCAGCTGACCAGATTCCTTACCCAGAAATCCACCTGAAAGAGGTCTGGAGTCAGCATGAATTACTAGCTGTGTGAGGTGAGGGATGCCGCTTCACCACTCTGAGTGTTAGCTTTCCCATCTGAAACACGTGGATAATATTGGCTACACTGCAGAGGCCCTGAGAGGATTACATGTAATGTATGTAAAGCAGCTGGTACACAGTAGTACTCAATAAATGGTAGCTATAATTATTACTCACCTCCTTCATCATAATCTTCAAGCATGAAAAGTACTGTGGGTGTCTTGAGGGTCCAGCCGAGCAGGACAAGGCATTCCTTTCATGTTTTCTTTCCTAACTGCATTGCCCTCCTCACTCATTCTTTTAAAACTAAGTAAAATAAGACTGACCTAATTCTTCCCACATTTATCCAAATGAAAAATCTAGAACTCAGCTTTGCTGCTCTCCAGATTCTGTTTTCTGCCATCAATCCGCAAGGACACACCACCCAACTTTTTTTTAAATTTACAATTTTTTTTTGAGACAGAGCCTTGCTCTGTCGCCCAGGCTGGAGTGCAGTGGCATGGTCTCCACTTACCACAACCTCTCCCTCCCAGTTCAAGCGATTCTCCTGCCTCAGCCTACTCAGTAGCTGGGATTACGGGGGTGCAGGCTACCACACCTGCCTAATTTTTTTGTATTTTTAATAGAGATAGGGTTTCACCTTGTTGGCCAGGCTGGTCTCGAACTCCTGACCTCAAGTGATCCCCCCCCCCCCCCGCTTCGGCCTCCCAAAGTGCTGGGATTACAGGTGTGAGCCACCGCGCCCAGCCAAAAAAAAAAAAAAAAAAATGTTTTTTTGAACCAAGGTGCGGGCCAGAGCTATTCGGCTAGAACTGAGAAGATAGCGACACTGTGTGGTCACATGCAGAACTGCAGACCAGTCTGGAGTGGGTTCCAGGCTGATCATTTGCTCCGACCTAAGGCCGTGATATCTGTCAGATGAGACGTTAGGTCCATTAAAAAGTTTACTTGCATGTTAGAAAATAAAATGAGGAAGGAAACATAGCACCTAAAAAGCGTGAGTGTAATTATTTCCTATTTCACAGACGTGTCCTGCCTGTCATAGCATTCAAGGTCTATATGGCTTTTGCTGTCAAAACAAAAAGGACAAAAGAAGGCCAGCCACAGGGCGTAAGTCAGTTTTCTTTCTTTCTTTCTTTCTTCTTTTTGAGACAGAGTTTCGCTGTATTTGCCCAGGCTGCTGGAGGTGCAATGGTGCCATCTCAGCTCACTGCCACCTCCGCCTCCCGGGTTCAAGCGATTCTCCTTGCCTCAACCTCCCAAGTAGCTGGGATTACAGGCACCCACCACCACGCCCGGCTAATTTTTGTATTTTTTAGTAGAGACGGGGTTTCACCATGTTGGCCAGGCTGGTCTCGAACTCCTGACCTCAGGTGATCCGCCTGCCTTGGCCTCCCAAAGTGCTGGGGTTACAGGCGTGAGCCACCACACCCGGCTGTAAGTCAGTTTTCAAATGCCTGCTGGGTGCCCCCAAGAGCCGTGGAAGATTTGCAGAAACATCCTGGCAACCCTTACCCCTCTCAGGTCTTACTTTTTGGCATGCTCAGACCTTGAAGAATGAGGAAAATGTATGAAGGAAGCAATTGATACTGTAGAGTGGTCCTGTCAGAGGGAAGATACCTTTAAATCATCCACAGGGATGACTGGCCTTCAAATACAGCTCAGTATTGAAAAATGAATGCACCTGCAGGGCAGAATACCAGCCAGGGGCTGTCACTGACTCTAGTCTATTCTCTGCTTCTTAGCAACTTGGCTGCCTGAACCCTGCAAGGTAGATGAATGGGTGTGTGTCCTATCCTGGGTTATTCAGAGAACAGAAGCCTTCCTCTTCACACTAGTGGGCTCAGGTTTTTCCTTATTTTAGACAATCCTCAGGACTTGTTCCATAATTATGCATTTTCACAGATAAAAGACTCCTCAGTAAAGCTATCATGAGAATTTCCAGAGTAAATACTTAGGGGTCTCATTCACACCAACTGGATTATGTGTTCTCTGGATCTAACCATCCGCCGAGAAATTTATGAGAACGTGAGCAGTTCCTCTCACCTTGATGAGTTCTTCAGCCCCTCCACTCATTGACTTGAACTGCTGCAAAGTCATGCAATGGTGGACAGAGCCCTGACCAGAAGCCCCTCCTGGGAATCTGGGACAAGGACCAGGAGAGATTCAGAGTCCCTTCCTGGGGCTGGAACTGTGAGAGAGAGAGAGAGAGAGAGAGAGAGAGAGAGAGAGACCTCAGAGGAGAGAGGAGGAAGGGAGAGGGATCCAGAGGTGTCCAGGTCAGCTCCTGAAGACCCTGGCGTCTTTGAGACTCTTGGGACCCTCATGTCATACTCCTTCTTCATAATCTGACTCAAATTGGTTTCTATTACTTGCAATTTTGATAGAACAAATGATATGATGGACCACGCAGTTAATCACATTATGCCTCAGTTTCCTTGTCTGTTCATGAAGAAACATCATTCATTCATTCACTCAGCAAATATCTATTGAGTGCTTTCTTTGTGCTAGGCACTGTTGTGGGTGATGGCAGACATAGCAGGGAACAAAAGAGGTATCAAAACTTCCCTTATGAAACGTAACTGCTGCTAAGAAGTCTCTGGAAATAAATATACGAAAGACGTAACTTCCAAATCAGGGACCAGCCGAAGAGCTGGCTGACCCAACAGGCAGAGCACCAATATGGAATGAGGCCAGGGTCACTTCAAACAGTACTCACTCCTTTTGGCTTTACAGTGAGATTGGATCAAAAGGGTTCACCTTTTCTATAGTGTCTGTTCTTTCACGTCTTTCCTTGGGTCCCTGCTGAAGTCCCCTCCTGATATTCTGCTGAAAGCCTCCCCACCACCCGGTTTCCACACCAGCAAACCCTCTCTTGCCCCGAGTGATTTGAGTCTGTTTCTTTCTCTCTCTTTCTCTCTCTCTGTCAATACTGCAGTTTCCTTCTGGCTTTGGCTGTGAGCAGCTTTCAGTCTATTTTCAGTTCTCCTGTGGAGCAGCAGATAATACACATACATCTGTAATTCTTAAAATCTCATTGGAACCATCCCTCCTCCCACCCAGTTGTTTATCACAACGACTTAGAAGGCCTAAATTAACTGATTCAGCTCTGTCTTCTACTGCTGCTTCTGGTAGGGCTGCAAATGAGCAGCATGAAGACCAAAAGGCCTGCAGCAAGAGGGAGGAAGCAAGGACTGGAGAATCTACGTGAGGAATGCCCAAACTCTGCAACAAGCTAGAAAATTAACTGTGGATGGCTTCAGTCTTCCACACTGCCTGACGTCTGATCCTCACTGCTGGGCCCAAATCTTCTTACTTCAGAGAAAAATGGGCAAGCTCCCATACTTCTTATGTAAAACCAGAATTAAAGCACCCACCCTTTACTTACTGTTTTAGTATAAACACAATGCAGAGATTCTTACATAATAAAGAACTAACAGTAACACTTAGCAACCATGGCTCACAGCCCTTCTCAGCTCCCCAACATTCCTTCTAGAGATATGAAGCCTGTCATCACCAGCCAGGCAGAGGACAAACATTTCCAATAAAGATAGACAACCCAGGCTCTGCAACGTCTCAGCCAGAAGTGTTGAGTTGTTTTTAATTTTTTACATACTCCATGCCTCTGGTGCCTCTCCACCTCCACCCCCAAATTAATGAAAAATACTCATTTCCAGACACACACATAGAGAGACACACACACACACACACACACACACACACACACACACACAGAGGTTCTCCCAAAATCCACCTGCCCAGTGTCAGTGGTGTCTGGCAATGGAGCAGAGTGTTTCAGATGGAAACACTATTTTCCACACTCTCGGGGTGGTGTGGCTCTCTGCCAAGGAATAGGCTTGTCTGATAAGCTACTGCATCTGTAAGATCTCTATCTCATGGAGGACATCTTGCTAGTTCCTAAAACTGCAGGGGATGACGGAGCTTAAATACGATACTAATGATTAAAGAGAGGAAGCAGGGCAGAATTTCCAAGGCAATAGCCAATTTGAGGTTTCAATACAAAGAGCAAGTTTTGTTTCTCACCTCAAAGGATGGAGAGTGGAAGAGAACAAAATGGGCTCTCCAAGTAAGGACTTTGAATCCAAGTTCTGGAGAATTTGTCCATGATGCTTGGATGAATGGAAGCCTGCCCTAACCTCAACCATACCTGTGACTGCCTTCCTATCCTCCCATCCTCTAGCTGTCCATCTGTCTTCTTATTAAATGGAGGCAGTCAGGCATACCTTTCTCTTAATTTTTGAAGATAAGGCAAAGACAAATAGCTAAGAACATATCGCCTTATGATAGACATTCAGGAAATAGATCAGTAGGTCTCTACCCATCGTAGGCAGAGGAGGGAGGGAACATCCCAGGGCAAATCAGTTCTGCCCTGTACCAGAAAGCTCTTTCCAACGCATCAGCAAGGTTCCCTGGGATGGCTGGGACTGCTTGGTCGAGGCATTACACCAATGTAATGATCTGGTGAGACTACATGTTGATTATAACACATTTCAGGTACTAGGGAACCCTGCCAGGGGCTGCAGAGAGCACTGGGCTGGGAATCAGGACCAGGCTTCCTGCCTCCCGGCAGGTCTTAGCTCTCCGTAACCGCAAGTCCAGTGTGGTCTTTGAGCTAACAGCATCGGATCCCTTCAGGTCCCAGGCTCTGCCCCAGACCAGCTGAATATGAATTCCTGGTGCTGGGGACCCAGCACTCTGCATTTTTACAAGCACACTAAGGTGTGGGACCTGCTCAGGATCTGGAGGTTCTTATCTGGAGCCCCAGAAGCTTAAGCTGTGATTGCCATGTTCCCTTCCTGCTCCAACATTCTGTGATTCTGAGCAGAAGCTCACTTGCTTTTCTCAGGTTGGTTTCCACATTCTCCAGCCACATTCCTACAGCGTTACTGGTCACTTCACAGACAGGATTCCAATCCACCAGGATTCAACAAGCAAGTAACAAGTAACTATACCCGTATGCCAACCTACTTAGAAAAATAGGTCAGTGGATGCAACAACCACGCTGGTGTTTGAACACAACTTGCTCCCACATCAGAAAGAAAACTGATTCACTCTACCACTTGCCATGACTCTGCAGGAAAACCTTACTCTGATAAGGATTATCCATCTCCCTCCATGAACACGGAAGTGACTTCTGGGGATTGTGGACAATCATTCTCAGCTCATTTCTGGGGGCTTCTAAGAACAGGTTAGATTTCAGCTCTTAAACAGTTTGAGCACCTGATACAAAGTAATTCCCCAAACCTCTAGAACTGATGTGGGGAAGAACAGTGATGTTAGCCAGTGTTTCAAAACCCTATTATCATGGTTGATCTGTGCATCTGGATAGTTATGGTTAAAGGTGGTTAAGATGGTTAAATGTCAATGAATGAAGACGAGGACATGGTTTTCATCTTTTGTAGACCAATTCACTTCAATCATTTTTTTTTCTTTCGAGACAGGGTCTCACTATGTTGCCCAGGCTGGAGTGCAGTGGCATGATCTTGGCTCACTGCAACTTCTGTCTCTCAGGTTCAAACAATTCTCCTGCCTCAGCCCCCAAGTAGCTGGGATTACAAGTATGCACCACCATGCCTAGCTAATTTTTGTATTTTTAGTAGAGATGGGGTTTCGCCATGTAGGCAAGGCTGGTCTTGAACTCCTGACCTCCAGCGATCCACCCACCTCAGCCTCCCAAAGTGCTGGGATTACAGGCATGAGCCACCCTGCCCGGCCATAACTTCAATCATTTTCTTTCATGAAAATGAAATGTCACCTTGAAAGTATCAACCAAAGGAATCTGGGTAACAGTGTGAGTTAGCTACAGGTGAAATAACTCTAGGTCTGAGGTTCTTGGTTGGGTCAGAACATTCTCCCTCAGGTACTAAAGAGACAGGTAGTATGCATGGCATAAATGCCCTCAGGCAGAATCTCTTTTAAGCAGTTTTGCAATATCATTTGCTCATTATAACCCAAATTAACACATTAATTATTTCTCCAGAAATAAAGTTTTCTAGAATAAAACTGATGTCTTTCTGTAGTTACCGGCTCACCTGCAGGCTGGTCACTCTACAGCAGCCTGGCTCCATGTCTCCCTCAATCACTCCTTCCTCCCTTTTTAGGATAATAACATCTCCCTTCCTGGATCCTCAAGCTCAGCCTTACCCTCCTGGCCCCAGATACTGGAGTCCAAAATTGCAGACAGCAACACAGAGGAGACGGCAAAGGGCATCCCCATTACCCGTGCTTTAACAGGGACCCAGGGAACAAGCCAGGGTTCGCTTGGTAGGCTATCAAATAGGGGAAGGGAAAGAGGCAGGTAAATGTGAGGTTTCAATTTAAATTTCTGAACTCCCTTGTGTATAGCAGTAATATTAATGGCTACCACTTCCTGAGTGTTTAACTGTGCTAGCTCTTGGGGTGAATGCCTAAATGCATCACCTTATTTAATTCTCAAAACATTCATCTGTTCCTCTCCCTGATCACCAGACTATACAGTCTAAGGAGTCTCAATTTCCTTACCCTCATCCACACTGCAGAGCAGAGTTCTAAAGGCCAAATAAAAAATAAAAGGAGACTCATGAAAGATCAGCGTGGGTCCAAATAAGGAAAGGGAGCAAAACCTCCATGAAGGGCATTTAATGTCAGAGAGAAACCGTACACCTGGGGCAGAGATGATGAGCACGCCGGGCCCGCCAGCCTGACCCGTTGCAGCGTCCTGTGGTTTGTGAGGCCTCCCTCGGTGGAGGAGTGACAGCAGCAGCTCAAGCTTCCCCTCCCCGGGGGTGGGGGAAGACAGTATAACGTCCACGCAGCCTGGTCATGCACCCTGGCTTCTGCAGCCCAGGCGCAAACATTCAGTTTAGGGCTTTCCTGACATGTCAGGTCAAATGGCCCCCTTTCCTCTTCAGGTAGGAGCTAGTGAACCGTGGAGGATGAAGAATTCTCGCTGGAAAGGCAGGCCTGAAGTCCGGGAGGTGCAGATCTCTCTGTGGTCACTGGGCCAGAGATGACCTTGGACTTCTCATTTTAGGGAAGGAGCCGTTCCTGTAAACTGCAGATGCCGCACAAGTGCACGTGGATGAAAGAGTAAGAGAGCACCAGGCCTCTTACGGAACCCATCTACATTCTGGACAAGACCCTGAAGACATCGAGGTTGAAGCTGAGTTCCCGCCACCTTCATAGGGCCTCTTGGCCTAGTGGCCAGGATCACAGGCAGTCCTCTAACCAACAAAGACTCTAGACTTCCAGACAAGATCATCTCCTCCATCCAACCACAACCTCCCTCCTCCAGGCCGTGGTGGACAGACAGTAAATATTTCCAAGTCCCTACATCCTGAGAGTCCTCGCCAGAGGGAGAGAAAAAGCCCTGTCTCCCACCCACCAAGAGGAGAGAACCAGCAAAGTCCACTCCTCAGAGATCTCCAGCGTCTCTTAAATAAGCTCTTCCTTTCCATTTTCATCTTTCCATTGTATAGCACCCACCCATTTACTTATACAAATATAAAATAGATTTATATAGATTTATATAATATAGACCTTTGTGAGGCAGAGTGCAGGGGGGCCGGGAGCAGGCCCTCCGGGCTATTTACAGATGTACTGGTCCACGATCTCCGTGCACTTCTTACACCTGACGAAGCAGCACCAGTGGAACTTGCAGTGGCAGCGCTCCACCTGCACGCTCTTGAACTGGTTGTAGCCACGCCCGCAGCACATGAGCTCACAGCCATCCATGCCCTCCGAGGTCTTGTTGCAGAGGCGGCCCTGCGTGCCCAGGGAGCCCGTGCTCTCGTTGCGCAGGCAGTAGTCGGGGCTGGGGTCCACATAGACCAGGTCCTCCGGGGTGGGCTGGGTGAAGCGGCTGTTGACCAGCTCCAGCCGGCCCTTGCGGGTGACGCGCATGGCGGCCGCGCTGTCGTACTTCTCCTTCAGCCGGTCCCCGACCTTGCGGAACTCGGCCAGCTGCAGCCAGCAGGTCTTGAGGCTGCAGGACCCCGAGACGCCGTGGCATTTGCAGGCTACGTCTGCCATCTTATACACAGCCTAGGGGAAGAGAAAGAAGGCAGTAAGAAGGAGGATCCCGGTGGAAGAGGCCCAGAGGGTGGCTGGGGTAGCCACAGGCCTAGTACACAGGAGGGGCCGGTAGGGTAGGGGATAGATAGCTTTTCAAATGCATGCAAAGATCTTTCCAAGATGCTCAGGTGCTCAGGGGGAAAACATAAAAGAGGCACCACAGAAAAGAACCCTGGGGCGGCAAGGCAACTTGTCCCCATCAGCCGGGAGGATGGCACCAGGCACTTTCACTTTCTACTCTACTGGTTTCTCATTCCTCAAAACCTGTTACAATCAATGCATCCTTTTCACAATCGGAAAACAAAGATATCTCCATCTTGATCAAAGCCTCAAACAAATAAATAATAACCAACAAAATACAGCCAGGCACTGTGGCTGGTGCCTGTAGTCCCAGCTACTGGGGAGGCTGAGGAAGGAGGATCACTTGAGCCCAGGAATTTGAGGATGCAGCAAGCTATGCTTGTGCCACTGCACTCCAGCCTGGGCAACAGGGCAAGACTCCATCTCTAGAAACAAAGCAAAACAAAACAAAATAACAAAATGTGTCCAGCTTTTGCGTAATAGGAGCACAAGTCAGAAAAAAGAATCCAATTGTATCACAAGCCTATCACAGAAATCACTGGCATAGCCGTGGTTAGCCCAAAACTCTCCCTGATCCTGTCAAATACCCTGAGAATTAAATGGTCCCTTTCCCCATGTTACCATGTAGTCACTAACTCCATAGAGTCATCAGGAGTCTTGCCATACACCATCCATTTGTGAGCAAGACCACCGTCTTCCTCCCGAGCAGCCCCCAGACGCCCCCTTGGGAGAGCTGGAGTAACACAGTGAAGCAACGTGCAAGGGAACTGCAAGCAGCTGGGCCTGCCTGCAGGAGCGGTTCATCTAAAACAAGTCTACCCCAGAAGTCACAGAACCGCCACAACGTGGAGTAGATTTGAACTTGAGTTATCCCAAATCAAAATGTAAAAGCAAGAGCAGACCAGAAAGCTGCTTACAGAGTGCTTTTCAACGGCAGCATGCTGACGCACCATGGCAACCAACCCTGGCAGCAGGCCTAGACGTGCAGATGGCGGGATGAAAACGCAAGCCGGCTGCAGAGCATTTTCTTATGCATGGCTATTGTCACCAACTGAGTCAGGACTCATTTTTCAAGGGTTTCTCTTAGATTTCTTTTCAAGAGCCCCCAGATTGTGTCTTTATTCAGAGCTAAGCAGAGACCACTGCAGGTGCAAGAGACAGCACAGCCATCATCAGTGCATATGACTGTTGGCAAAAGTCTTCCTGAGTTTTTTCTGGTACGGAATTATTCCCACTATTTTATGGTGGAGAAACTGAAGCTCTAGAGAGGCTCACTAACCTCCAAGGCCACCCAGAAAGGACTCAGAATAACAAGCACTTATCCACTCCAATCTCGGGGCTTAAAGCTGGCTTAGAGCAGAGGAGGAAGGAAGGCTCTCCCCAAGGTTAAAGGCACCAGCACTTAGCCGGGCAGCTCCAGGTCCAAGACATAAAGGAACTGACACCCCATCCTGACAGACACTTCAAAGATGGGGCCTGCAATGACCCTTCCATCCCAAATGCCCTGGGTCTGAGCTGCAGCCTGACATTCCTCTGGAAATGGTCCTTGGCTTAGAGATGGATGACAGGCGTCTGGCACTGCTGAGAGGAGGAAACATTAAGGGTTGGAAACTGTGCACTTTGCCACTTAGCAACTCGGAGCACGGATAAGCATCTCTTGCAGGGGCAAACACTCAGACAGAGTTGGGGAAGGAGAGTCGGAGCAAGACCCTGCAGGGCAAGGACCAGAATTTTAGGAAAACAAATCCAAGAGGAAGTGCACCAGCTTAAACACCCCCTCCATCCTTCCCTGAATTCAAAGACATTGTAGAGATAGGAATATCTGCAATTTTTTTCATATTTTACTACTGATTTTATATATATATATGTATATATACAAAATCTCCTTTTGTAGATATATATATATATATATAGGCTCCTTTTGTAGGCGATAGGGGGAAATGCCGATTTTCAGCCCAGACTGCTAATTCAAAAAGCAAAAAAAAAAAAAAAAAAAGCTTTCAAAAATGTTTTAGTTCGCCGGGCATGGTGGCTTATGCCTGTAATCCCAGCACTTTAGGAGGCCAAGGCGGGCGGATCACCTGAGGTCGGGAGTTCAAGACCAGCCTGACCAACATGGAGAAACCCCGTCTCTACTAAAAATGCAAAATTAGCCCAGGCGTGGTGGCACATGCTTGTAATCCCAGCTACTAGGGAGGCTGAGGCAGAAGAATCGCTTGAACCTGGGAAGCAGAGGTTTGCAGTGAGCCGAGATCGCGCCATTGCACTCCAGCCTGGGCAACAAGAGCGAAACTCCGTCTCAAAAAAAAAGAAAAAAGTTTTAGTTCTACGATCTGTCCCTGGAAAAGCGCCTCTCAGCTCCTCTTCCACTTCTATCTAATGGTGTGCTGAGCCTGGTGACAGACAGGAATGTTACAGGATTAGGCACCAGGCTTTTATCTGGAAAATGCTTAGAAATCCTTGAGTGGCAAAACACCATCAGCCACTGGTGTTGCCGCCACCGTCTAAGAAGGAGCTACTAGATGCTCTTGCAGGCCAAGAGAAACTTCTGGCAAAGTAGCCTAAGATTTACTCTGTGTCAAGACATCAGATCCTGGATAATCTTTTTTTCTTTTTAATATGGTTCTAAAATACTTGTCTATTTTCCATCCCAGCCATCACTCAGTCCTTGCTGGAGAACTTTGTGTGTAGGTGTGAGGAGGCAAGCAGTGAATACCTCTGGCCTCAGATGGTGACTGATGGCCGAGGCCTGTTCCTTGGAGAGAGGATAAAAAATAAAGGGGGCCAGGAATTCCCAACCTGAAGCAGGCAGAGGCAAAGGGAGAGATAAGGAGTTAAGGAAGAGGAGAGGTGTGGGGCCTGAAGGAAGGGGCTAAGCGGGGAGACAGACAGGGAAGGTGAGCAAGCCAGGAACAAGCCTGATGGGAGGGAAGGCTGCCAGATAACAGCCCGGACAAGACAACAAACAATTAAGGGCAATAAAGTGAGACCCAGCAGCAGGGGAAAGGGGAAGAGTGGGTGTCACCTGCCTGATCACAGGCACGTGCAGACACCACAGCGCAGCTCAGCAGAGCCACAAGCAGCCTCCGTGAATCTGACCTCTCCCGAGGAGGCAACACGGAACTCCTCTGTGTATATCCATTTGTCCCACCCACATACAGCACATACAGGGTTGAAGCAAAGGGGCAGAGAGGGCAATCCCTGCCCACAGGAACCTACCGCCAACCTACCAAGGCAAAGGTAGATAGAGTAAGGAATACCTGAGAAGAGCAAGAATGCCCGATTGAAGATCAGGTGGGAGAAAAACTACTAACAATGGGGACTGGGGAGGGCAGTGTTTCAACTAAGATTTCAAAAACTGGATCGACTCTGGGCAGTCAGGAGATAAAGTGCGGATCTTAACCCCTTCATTGACATCTCTACTCCTCAGGCCCAGACACCCAAAGACGTGGGCAAATAGACTGGGAGACAGCCAAGACACCTGAGAGACCGGGTGGCTCCACACACGCCCTGAGCAGAAGTCATCTGAGATGGCTCCAGGCTCTCTGCCCTGGGTTAGCCTATCATAATCACAGATCAGCAATTGCCAGAACTCCTAACATCACCACGCACTGACCCCACCTTACACACACCCTTTTCTGGGAAACAAAAATAGCCTCTGGATAGGGGAAGCGTAAGGAAGACCCTGGGCATATAACCCACTCTGGTCTCCACCTGATGTCCCATGGCTGATGATGCTATGCACACAGGTGCACCACATTCCATCCGGCCAATACTACAACATCCCCATTCAGACAAAAGACACTTCCTATTCCATTTCTTTGATATGTGCTCCAATATATGAGTTCACATTTTTTTTCTTTTCTTTTTTCTTTCTATTTTTTTCTGAGACAGAGTCTCGCTCTGTTGCCCAGGCTGGAGTGCAATGGCAGGATCTTGGCTCACTGCAACCTCTGGCTCAAGCAATTCTCCTGCCTCGGCCTCCCAAGTAGCTGGGATTACAAGCGTGTGCCACCACGTCCAGCTAACTTTTTGTATTTTTACTAGAGATGGGGTTTCACCATGTTGGCCAGCCTGGTCTTGAACTCCTGACCTCAGGTGATCCACCCGCCTCAGCCTCCCAAAGTGTTGGGATTACAGGCATCAGCCACCGTGCCCCGCCTCTCATGAGTTCACATTTTAAGATTTTGCTATGTAAAGACATTTTGAGGCTTATATTCATATCCTGTTACTGAATCACCAGGGTGCCACCGTTAAACTTCTAAGAAATTGCCATTCTCATTTTTTTTTTTTTTTTGAGATGGAGTCTTGCTCTGTTGCCCAGGCTGGAGTGCAATGGTGTGATCTAGGCTCACTGCAGCCTCCGCCTCCCAGGTTCAAGCAATTCTCCTGCCTCAGCCTCCCAAGTAGCTGGGATTACAGGTGCCTGCCACCAAGTCCAGCTAATTTTTTGTATTTTTAGTAGAGACAGGGTTTCACCATGTTGGTCAGGCTGGTCTCGAACTCCTGGCCTCAAGTGATCCACCTGCCTTGGCCTCCCAAAGCGCTGGGATTACAGGCATGAGCCACTGCTCCCGGCCACCATTCTCATTTTTGAGTGAGTTCATCTTTGTTACATTACCTCGCCTGGGAACCAGAGCCAGCTGGCTTGACATAGACCCGAGTGGGGACAACACTCCAAGAAAGAAGTCCGTGCTGTTTCCTGAGAGCTCTTTTTCCAGGAGAAAGAGCCTCTCACCACCCAGTGCTCAGACCGCAGACCTTTCTCAGAGGAAACCCGGGTGGACGCCCATGTTGCCCTCGGTCCCTGTCAACACTGGCTATGCAGAAGCAGCAAAAGGCAGAGATTCCTGCGGGGCAGGCCCTCCAGTCTTGTGTGGCAGAGGCAGCCACGATGGGGGACAGCAAAGAAAAGAGGAGGCTGGATGTGTGCTCAGAGGGGGGGTTTTCAGGAACAAGGTGCAGGCAGAGAGGGTTCACGCTTTCCAGCATGCCACCTAGGGGCCCAGAAGCTGCCGCCCAGGTGTGCTCTGCACATACAATGAACCCAGCTCCCCTCAAACCTGCATGGTTGCTTCTGCTGAAACTGAGGCTTAAAAGACAGTCACATTACATGAGACTGGGGAGGCTGTTTCCTCCAGCCTTAAACAGATGGCTGTCTTCTCACACTTCCACTTATGTCTAAAATCTCCTAGCTCAGAAGTGTGTTTGTCATTAGTATTTGAATGTGTTTTTTGACTGGGTTCTGGATACGTATGACAGCAGTTCTTGAAAGTCGACTCTGCTATTACCAGAGCCTTTAACAGAGCATAAACCCTAGATGAGGTCTAACGGCCTAAACATCCCATCGCATTATCTATTCAAGTTGCAAAGGAGGGGTGGCCAAGACAAGAGCGCTGCTCTAATCCTTACGTCTGGAATTCTGATCCAAACATTGCACCTAAGTCCTCTAGGAACCGTGAAATAATAAAGTAAGTAAAAAGAAAAGAAGAAAAGAAAAGAAAAAGCACGTATGCCCATTGGGAAGTGGGGCATTTTGAAAAGGATTTGTTCAATAACGTGGACATGTAAATTTGCAATCGTAGGTAAGAATCTTCACGGTCAGACTAACCCGTTTCCTTGAAGGCCAGGCCACGGCTGGTGGCACAGCCCGGGAACAGCCCCCTAGGTCTGCAGTGCTGGGGAGGCCGGGGAGGCCCAGCTTACCCTGCGACCGGCCTCGTTGTTTTGCAGGTTCATGAGCACCCGGCCCTGCTCCTCTGATCCTTTGGCAAAGTTCTTCTCTCGCTCCCGGGCATCCACAAACTCCTTGGCGAAGCGGTAGCCGTACTCCACGTTGTCCCCACAGCCGCCCCACAGCCAGTCCCGGGGCAGGTCCTTGGGCCGCGCCGTCCGGCTGCAGCCGCAGGTGGAGAGCTCGCCCTCGCGGCAGGCCCGGCTGATGGCGTTGACCACGCCCGCGGCGCTCACCGCGTGGGTGAAGGCGGTCTCTCGGCTGCCTGCAGAATGAGGCCAGGGCGGTAAGCGGGTGCGCTCTCCTCTCCCGGGGACCTGTCCTTCCCCCCGTCTCCCCCGACGGACCCGCACGCCACGGCTCTGCTGACACCCCTGGGGCAGGGGGCTTCGCTTCCCGTAGCTCTAACGCTTGGAAACGTCTCTTTATAATGGGCTGAAATCTGCTGTTTTACTTCCGCCGCTGGGCCCCAGCTCAGCCCTGCGAAACCACCCGGAAGAAAACAAGTCCCTGGCCCGGCGCGGTGGCTCAGCCCGTAATCCCAGCCCTTTGGGAGGCCGGGGCGGGCGGACCACGAGGTCAGGAGATCGAGACCAGCCTGGCCAACACGGTGAAACCTTCGTCTCAACTAAAAATACAAAAAATTAGCCGGGCGTGGTGGCGGGCGCCTGTAGTCCCAGCTACTCGGGAGGCTGAGGCAGGAGAATGGCGTGAACCCGGGAGGCGGAGCTTGCAGGGAGCTGAGACCGCGCCACTGCACTCCAGCCTGGGCGACAGAGTGAGACTCTGTCTCAAAAAAAAGAAAAAAAAACACAAAAAAACAAGTCCCTCCGGTCCTGGCCTGCATTAATATCCACTGCAGAAGAGCCTGTGTGACCTGCAGATTCCTAGGCGGGAGACCTCAGCGGAGGGGAGAATAGGCATTCAGAAACACACAGAACATGGGAGTCGAACAGAATGAGGCTAAGGAAGAAATCATGGTATCAAGAGTAGGACGTTGTATCCTAGCAGAAATGTCTCCCTCACAGATGCCATTTCTCACGCTCTATGAGCTGCACATCTGTCTGTCGGTACTGCTGCCATTATCTAGCTAGACAGTGGCAGAGGCCAGGAGTCAAAAATGAACTAGAATTACAATGTCTAGAAAAATCCAAGCTGTCTTCCTCTCTCTTCCACAGGATCCACACTGCCTCCTAACTCAGGAGCCCTGGGAACAACATCTACAGCACCTACAATTCCAGACACTCATCACGGTCCCTCTAAATACGCAGATCATTTTCCAGCAGAAAATCCCAACTATGTTCCCCTTTACTGCTGTGGTGAACCACCTCAACATTCATATAATGTATGTTCTATTTCAGTAAAATGTCTGTTTCAGAATACTCAGCTATCAGGGACATGCAAGCCCAAATCACCTCCACTGGGATGGCTATCATCAAAAAGACAGCCAATAACAACTTGGTGAGAACACGGAAAAACCAGAACCCTCCCATACTGTGGGTGGGAATGGTTAAGCGGTGCAGCTGCTTTGGAAAACAGTCTGGCAGTCTAAGGCTAACAGTCACAAGGTTAAACGTAGAGTTCCCATATGACACAGCAATTCCACTCCTAAGAACACAGGCAAAGCTCCTCGTTTTACTATGCTCAGCTTTCTTGTGCTGTGCAGGTGTTGTGTTTTTTTGTTTGTTTGTTTGTTTGTTTTTGAGAGAGAGTCTCGCTCTGTCACCCAGGCTGGAGTGCAGTAGCACAATCTCGGCTCACCGCAAGCTCCGCCTCACGGGTTCACGCCATTCTCCTGTCTCAGCCTCCGGTATATGGGACTACAAAGGCACACCACTGCGCCCAGCTAATTTTTTGTGTTTTTAGTGGAGATGGGGTTTCACCGTGTTAGCCAGGATGGTCTCGATCTCCTGACCTCGTGATCCGCCCGCCTGGGCCTCCCAAAGTGCTGGGATTAGAGGCGTGAGCCACCGTGCCTGGCCGGTGTTGCGTTTTTTACAAATTGAAGGTTTGTGGCAACCCTGCTACAAATCTATCCGTGCTACTTTTCCAACAGCATGTACTTACTTTGTGTTTCTGTGTCAGCATTTTTTAGCAATAAAGTATTTTTAATTAAGGGATGTACTTTTTTTAAGATGTAATGTTATTACACACTTAATAGACTATAGAATAGTGTAAACATAACTTTTTTTTTTTTTTGAGACAGAGTCTCAGTCTGTCACCCAGGCCAGAGTGCAGTGGCACGATCTCAGCTCACTGCAACCTCTGCTGCCCGAGTTCAAACAATTCTCCTGCCTCAGCCTCCCGAGTAGCTGGGATTACAGGCACCTGCCACCGCGCCTGGCTAGTTTTTTTTTTTTTTTTTTTGTATGTTTAGTAGAGACGAGGTTTCACCATCTTGGCCAGGCTGGTCTTGAACTCCTGACCTCGTGATCCGCCCGCCTGGGCCTCCCAAAGTGCTGGGATTTCAGGCGTGAGCCACCGCGCCCGGCCCGCAGCATAACTTTTATATGCACTGGAAAACCATGCAACTCACTTTATTGCCTATTCACATTATTGCAGTATTATTGCAGTACGGTGGAACCAAATCTGCAAACCCACAATATCTCGAAAGTATGCCTTTATACCCAAGAGAAAGGAAAACATATGTCCACACAAAAATGGACATAGGAATGCTTCTTGCAGCATTATTCATAACAGGCAAAAATTGGAAACAACCAAACTATCCATCAGCGGATAAATGGGTAATCAAAATGTGGTATTATCCATACAATGGAATATTATTCAGCCATAAAAAGTGACTAGGCGTGGTGACTCACACCTGTAATCCCAGCAATTTGAGGCCGAGACAGGAGGATCACTTGAAGCCAGGAGTTTCAGAACAGCTTGGCAACATAGCAGTACCCCATCTCTACAAAAACATTAAAAAAGAAAAAAATTAAGCTGGGCGTGGTGGCTCATGCCTGTAATCCCAGCACTTTGGGAGGCCAAGGAGCATGGATCACATGAGGTCAGGAGTTCGAGACCCGCTTGGCCAACATGGTGAAACCCTGTCTCTACTAAAAATACAAAAACTAGCCAGGCGGGCGCCTGTAATCCCAGCTACTCAGGAGGCTGAGACAGAAGAATCATTTGACCCCAGGAGGCAGAGGTTGCAGTGAGCCGAGATCACACCATTGCATTCCAGCCTGGGCAACAAGAGTAAAACTCCATCTCAAAACAAAACAAAACAAAACAAAACAAAACTGGGCATGGTAGCATGTGCCTGTAGTCCCAGCTACTCAGGAGGTTGAGGTGGAAGAATTGTTTAAGCCCAGGAGTTGGAGGCTGCAATGAGCTATGATTACACCACTGCACTCCAGCCTGGGGAGCAGAGTAAGACCCTGTCTCAAAAAAAAAAAAAAAAGTATATATATATATATATATATATATATATATATATATATATATAGACTGCAACACAGATGAACCTTTAAATCATTGTGCTAAGTAAAAGGAGCCCGTCACCAAAGGCCATGTATTCTATAATCCCATTTATAAGAAATGCCCAGGATAGGCAAATCCATGGAGACAGAAAGAATAGTGGTCGCCTAGGGTTGGGGGTTGGGGTACGCAGAGTGACAGTTAACGGGTGTGCAGTTTCTCTGTGGAGCGGTGAAAATGTTATGGGATTAGACAGTGCTGATAGTTGCACAGCCTTGTGAATATGCTCAAAGCCACTGAATTTACACTTTAAAATGCTGAATTTCATGGTATGGGAGTTATGTATCTCAATAAAGCTGTTATAAGAAATAACAAATGATACTTATAGGGACTTAGATATGGAGAGAAGGGAGTGATTCTTAGCAGGAAACAGATTCAATCCTGATCTCAGAGATTAAACCAGGCAGAATCCCAGAGTCTTGTCTTGGAAGGTAGAAAGGGAAGCAGTCTGCAATCAACCGAGAGGTCTAGAGAAATCTCTCCCTTGGCCCTACTTCTTGATTATCTGGGCATGACACAGTGAAGTTTACAAACAGACCATGCTGAGTGAGTCCGTTTTTCTCTATTAACCAGTGGCTGGCTTCTGGTCAGTTGTGAAATAGGAATAGCCCAAGAAAAACCGAAATGATGGCAGGAAGTTACACTCATGATTCAGCCGACAGGACCCGGTCTACGGGGCTCAGAATGTGACAAGGAGCACTGGGGATGGTAAGATGGCCAAAGAGCCTCTCAGGGAGGAGGGTCTGGGCCCCACTTTGAGGAATTCATCTCCTTAAAATGCAGCCTCAACCACCTGACATGGCATCCTGGAACGGAGGGAGCCTCCCAAGCTTCAGCCCCGAGCTACCCTCCATAGCCACCGGAAGCTTTCCCTCTACACAGTTCCTCAGACCAGTGGGCTAGGTTTTCAAAGCAATCCATTCCATCTTTTTCAAATGACTCCAATCACCAGAATGCTCCTTCTTGTATTAAGCTGAAATACGCCTCCTTATGATTCCTGCCTGCTGCACTTGCACTCTGCTATAATCCCTTTCCCATTTGACAGCTCTTCAGTGTTTGAAAACAACTATTAAGCCTTTTACGTTTTCACTTTTCCAAGCTACATATGTCTGATTTATTTCTATCATTCTTTAGCAAACATGCTTTTCAGAGTTGAATCAGCCTTCTCAGAATTGCCTTCTAAAATCACGTACCTGCAGCTGAACTAACACACCAGACGTTCTGTACTCTGACAGTTCGAACCTATCATGACTGTTTGGGATCCTGATTTGTCCTCCGGTGCGCTGCCTGCCTCTTTCAGTCGGGTCTTCATCAGAAGCTGAGTGTGGGCAGCTCTGCCTTCACGGGGCAGCCTTTGGGCCCTTGGGTAAGCCTACTAAGTACCATCTACTGTTGCTACCTTCAGCAAGAAAGAGATAATTCGGGGCTTCAGAATGGATAAGCAACGTGGGGGTTTATCTATATACGCAACAGTTCAGGTTGAATCTCTAACCATCTCAAGAATAAACGGCTAAAAAAAAGCAGCCGTGAGCTACTAGAGGGACATGCGTCTTTTCCCTACAGGAGACAGCAGAACAATTTCATGCCCTCTCTGTTCCATAGCAGCCCAAGTTGCCTCCAAACTCCCTAGGCAGAAGCTGGGCAACGGGCCGAGGCTCCTCCGAGCTGCTCTGCCGCCCTCTGGTGACCGACTTTTGCAGCAGCTTCAAAGGAGAAAGGAAGCCTTAGACGGTCCTTCTCAAGATAGGGAGAGGGAGGACTCACCAGGAGCTACTCTGGGCTCAGGGGGGAGGAAGGGAGGACAGCCTCCTAGGTAGCATGAGCCTTCAGTGATGCTATAAAAAGGAAGGGGGAAAATTAGGCAAACAGAAGGGTTCCATTTTGTAACGGAATAGGGCACAGAGAGATGGGCTCTCTTCGACAGGGTTTGCTTTCGCTGGCCACCTAGTGCACATCTGAACCCAGCGGAGTGTCTTTTCCTGCCAACCCCTTTCTTTCCTAAAGTACAGCCTCACTTTGGGGCCTTTATGCACACGAAATACACATGAAAAGGATCTAGCCAACATCAGGCCTACTTTAGGTCTTCAATAAACATTAACTCCACTGAAGAGATTAGAGGAGACTCTGCACCTGGGCCGTCCTAGTTTCATTGCCCAAAACGCAGGGCAGGAAGTGCTGCCAAGATTTTCGCCAGAAAGAAGAGACAAGTGCCAGGTGGGTTTGAGAAGAATCAATAAACTATGAGTAAATCCCACTAAAACCCCAAGTCTACTCTTTTGGGAAAGCTGCCCCAGGAACACTAGGACCTTCCTTTTATGCACCCTGAGTTGATACCGAAGGAAGCAAGAGAGCAGCAAGTTTCAATGTGTACTTTTCCCATCTTTAATTCCCTCTCTCTCTTTAGAAAAAAAAAATTTTTTTTATAGAGACAGAGGTCTCACTATGTTACCCAGGCTGGTCTTGAACTCCTGGCCTCAAGGAATCCTCCTGCCTCAGCCTCCCAAGGTGCTGGGATTACAGGCGTGAGCTACTGCATTGGGCATTACTTCTCAATATGGGACAGAGAGGGTAGGGAAAGAGGTCTGGAATAAGTGGGAGGGGGAAGGAGCCTTCCAAGTATCCTCCCTAAGAGAGGAGCACGAAGAAATCTCTACCTCCCCAACTCCCCTCCCAGGCTGAAATCCCTCTCTGGGGAAACTCCAGCCTCAGGTAACCTTTTGAAGGGAGGTGTTCTGGGAGAATGTCAGGCAGAAGGAACACAGCATTCTAACACTTCCCTTTTATGGCCCTGGGGATAAGACCCAGTAGAATAGGGCCGGATTTCTCAATTTCTTGCCAGAGAGGAGAGGATTGCATTTCAAAAGGACCTAAAACAATTAGACCTCAGATCACACCTCCATCTAAGCAATAGGGTGGCCCAAGAATCCTTGGCCAGCAGTGGGAGAGGGGAAGGGACAGGAATCCAGAAGACTTGGCCCTCTCCCTCTCATCTTTTCTTTCGTCTGACCCCTTCCCCCATGTTCACACATCTCTTTCAAAAGAAAAAGCTGGGACTGGATGGGGTTGGGTTAGTGACAGCTATCAACACTTTGGCCGACATTTCTATCTCTCTGTCAAAGGTTGAAGTGGAAGAGGCAAAAATCCAACAGACATTCAGGGCTGCAATTTCTGGTTCTCTACCCAAGGCTCTTTTTTGCACTGAGACACAAAGGCAGTGGCGGTGGGCGGCTCTCCTAATCCACTCTAAGTCAACTCAGATGTCCTGCCCCCTCTCAGTGAGTCCCAAGCAACCTGCCCCCTCTCAGTGAGTCCCAAGCAACCTGCCCCAAGTGAGGCTGGAAGGCAGAGAGCTAGAGGAACATCAAGCGTGTGGTTTCTGCAGCCTCCCAGAGCCTGCTTCCTCGTGTGCCTCTCTCGTGGTGCACACTGCTGCCAAGCCTAGAGAGAGCCCACTTAGGCTGCCTTTGGGCTCTCCCTGTGCCAGTCCTGAGAGAGCTTAATTGCTCCCAAACGAGACGAGTGCAGTTCCTTGGCCGAGCCCTCTTGTAATGGCCTCTTACCTATCTGCATGACTCTCCCAAAGACAGATGCGTTGTCCGCTGTGCTGCAATTCCACCGCCGCTGCCGGAACTGGTGCTGGCATTCCTTGATGCCAGTCTTGGCTCCCTCCCCTATGTAGGCCATGTGCTCCTGGTACAATTGGCACAGCTTCCTCTGGCCAGGGGAGAGCCCGGGAAGCTGACTGCACACGGGCTGGGCACCGATGATAAACATCTCGGGTCTCTGCACCGGGTTCAAAGCTAATGACCTAGGACAGCAATCCAGAAAGGGGAAAAAAAGGCCCAGGAGTGAGCATACGCCTGTGTGCAGCATTAAGTCATTCATTCAACACATTTATTGAATGCGTCCCTGTGTACAAGGCCCTGGAAAGAAAAATTAGTAAATCAGAGTGCTGGCCTTCAAAGGACAAACTGAAGGAATCTGAGGCATGAACACAAAGGACATGCGAGATGCCAAATGCCCCAGACAGACTCTGGATATGCTTCTGGATCTGCTGTGATCAGATAGGAAAATAGCCCTTATGGCTGAAGAGAAGCCTTTATAAGGAAATGGCCAGAATTTGAACTGGATCTTAAGAATGGGGGTCAGGCAGATAAGAAGACGAGGGGTGGGGAGCAGCTCTTCATTTTAATAGAGGGCAAAAAGAGCCAAACCTCAACAGGAGAGCACAGGCCTCATTCAATGAGTAGGAGTGACTAGTTCAGTGCAGCCCAAGTACATGATAAGCCATGGAAAGCAATCAATCCTTTGCGTGGTACTCCCTTTGGGCCTTTAAAATCCAATCACTTTACATACATCACGATCTAGTCTACTTGTTTTCACTGCCATGTCTCACTTTGAGCTTCCCCTCATCCACTCTCCACCAGTTCAGAGGCTCTCCCTTTTGCTCATCATCTACCAGCCATATAGAGTGTTAGATGAGAAGGCTGCAGATTTGCTATCTGAGTAAAAATGCTAGTGGCAGAGACCATGCAAAATAGGTGGTGATCGCCTGCCATTTCCCTGTCAACTTGGCAATGACAACAGCCCTTAAAACATAAGAAGAAAGCCAGCCACCCATGGTGCTGTGAACCCCTCATCTGGCCTTCAGACTTATAAAAGAGGAATTCTATATCCTACCAGCAAAACACACAAAACAAAGGAACAAAAAACTACCAAGTATTGATATTCTTGTTGACCCAAGAGCAATTTCTAACAATTCATGGGCATGAGGGAAGGTCCAAGGAAAAGGAATGTGGACAGGATTAGAGAAAAAAATCAAATGAACGGAACCTTTATCCTCAGGGAACCCTTACAAAGATAAGGGTTGAGAGAGACACAGAGCGTTCTTAGTTTTCCTGGGATAAAAGAGGCCCTTAGTACTCCCAGGAATCAAGGTACTACCGTGACACACGGTGCCCTTCCTCCTCATCTCAGTCGCTGAAGGAGGCCTCCGGCTGTGCAGGCAGGACCTCAGCCCCTCTTACTCACCACCAGGAGTTGGCGTCTGTCAGAAGCTGAGCCCAGCTGGACAGCAGAGCAGCCGTGAACAGCAGCAGCAGGCTGGGCATGGTCGGCCTCAGCCCTCCCCAGTGCCCTGGGACTGACAGTTTCCAGAGTAGGGTTCCCTGGAGAAAACAGAAATGGAGAGTCAGTGTGGAAACTCAGCGGATAAGGGCAGACCAGGAGCCGGGGTGAGGCGGAGAAAGTTGCACTGATGCTTACGTGCTGCGTGTTCCCCACAAAGAAGCTCGGCCTCTTTCCAGCCTCCGCCTCCCACTGCTCATCTTCCCACCCTAGGACTTCTGTCTCTTACCCCAAACTGTGGGAACCCTGCACAGGACCTAATTTCCAAAGAAATAATGAGCTGAGAAACCACAAAGAGAAATGAAAACAAGTAATTTCAAGAGCGGAGCTTGCGGCGTTCCTCCGTTCGGCAGCCGGGAGGCCACTTCGGCTGTTGTAAAGCATACCTGTCCTTGCTGCAGAACATCCAAAGAAATGGGGCCCATCCTATCCACTCCCCCACGTGCCTACCTCTCATTCCAGCCCAGAGACTTATTTCTCTGACCCTCAGGCTCTCCTTTGTAGGATTAAAACATTTTGGTGAATTGGATTTACCTGCACCCAGGGAGGAGTCTCCCCTCTCCATCTGCGCCCTTCTCACCCTCAGCGGGTTTCCTAAGTCCCAACCCCTGCGTACAGATCAAGGACTTTTCACTTTCTCAAGGCAGCTTCTCTGAGAAATGTACAAGCCACGCCGCGAACCGCCCGCCCGGAAAGCTCTGGCGGCTGAGGTGGTGCCTCCCTAGGCGGCCCCTGCCCCTCCCGGCACCGTGGTCCTCGAGGGCGGCACCGAGTACCTTGCCCAGCAGCTGCACCGGGGACACTGCCGACGCCAGGCGGCAGCTCTGGCATCAAATGCCTGAGCTGAGGACGCATCTTCCAGATGCCACAGCCCTTCCCTGCTGGCTCCCGGGCCTCCCGCCTCTTGGCCTCCTGCCTGCTGTAACCCACGCCTGTTCCTCTATCCGCCCCCGAGAGCCCCTGTCCCCAGGCCCTGGGACCCGCAGCAGGTCAGTGCTGCTAGAGCGAGCCTGCGCCTCGGGACACACGGCCCCTGCGGCTCCCCCGCGGTCCTCCGGGGCCCCCGTCTGGGCGTGACCCGCGCCCCCAGCGGCCTCCCCGGGGCCCCGGACCTGACGAGCGCAGCCCCGCGCGCCCCGGCTCACTGCGCCACTCTCGCGCGTCGGCGTCCCCAGGCTCCCCGGGAGGGGGCGGCGGGTGCTTCGGGTCATCAGCCCGGGAAGTATTTTTGTCCTGGGGCCGCCAGGAGAGGACAGTGGCCCGAGCAGGGTCCAGGAGAGCTGGGACACAGCCCTTCCCCAAGCCCCCTTTTGATTTTCCTTCTCGAAGCCTCGGCTGGGGCGGGGGCACCAACAGGCAGGTGTGTGGGGCCGGCAGGGGGCAGATCAAAGAAGACACTTGCTCCTTCCCCTTTGTCATGCAGAGCCAGCTCGGAAGTGAGCCGGCCCCCAGCCCGGGACTAACAGCTTCCACGCCCGACTCCCCTCAGACCCCCCCTCCTCTGGAGGATGCCCCTCCCCCTCTCCTCTCCCCCCATAAATCCTCCTCGTCCCCCGGGGCAGAAGGTCTGTGAATGCACCGGCTGGAACCACGAGAGATGGAGCAGAGATAGGGCTGGCACCAGGAGCTAATGGTTTTATGGAGGGGAGGCGACCAGGTCCCGAGTAGGGAGGACGAGAGAAAAGCTTCAAAGCGTTTCCTTGTCCAAATATCCTTAACTCCACCTACCAGTCCTTCCCGGGGTTGCAGAGCTAGGGCCGCCCGTGCCCTCCTGCTTCTCCAGCCTCCTCCCCGCGGCCCCGAAGCCTCCTGCCCAGCCTATGCCCAGCCCGTGCCCAGCCCACCACCCTGCCGCCCGCAACACCTACTCTCCCTGGGGACTTTGATCCTCACACATTTCCACCACCAGATAGCGGAGTTCTTCCTCCCCGCCTGTGACACTTGTCCCTCACACCAGTGCCTCTCACCTCTGTCACCCGTCCATCAGGCTCCAGTGGAATCTCTCTGGTCCTGCAGTTCCTAGGTTCAAACTAGGCTACATTGGGGGCCACCGTTTCCGAGCCAAAGACAGGCCTGGGTGCCTGCTAATGGTCACTGTGGCTGTGACTGCCCCCAGGACAGGCTGACACGGTAACTAGAGCCAGACTTCCCAGGAGCTGCTAATCCCGCCCTCAGTGCCTTATAAACATATATGGAGACAAGAATCACTCCCGCAGCTGTTTCTACTCCATCCCCCGCCCCGGGCTTTCCACGAGGCGGCTCTCAGCCCATTAAAAATGTTTTTTTTTTTAAAAATTGCCCCCCAAAATGGCTCTAACATGTGCAGTGGCTTCTTTCTCTGACTTCCAGATGTGTGGTACCTGAAACTGAACTCCCCCATACACACATATGCACGCGCGCGTGCACACACACACACACAACACACACACCAGCCCCCTCAGGACGCTCTCTGTCCTGGCAGACAGATGCGAGCCAATTCTTGAGTGGCCATAGAACTGAAGCCAGGCAGCTGTTTGCCCTCTCTTACATTCTTGTGCTGGGGTGGGCTGGGGTGGGAGGAGAAAGGACCCCTTAGAAAGGTAAATGCTGGCGACTGGTTTCATCAGCATGGGCAGAATGGAAATTTCTTGCCTCAACCCGACTGGGAAGGCAGGAAGCTGTATGGGGGCTGACGGTTTTGTGTTAATGAGCAGGTCACATTGGGACCCCTGTTTGTGGGTCACTAGTGAGATTTATAGCAGGATTCAACCAGGGGAGGCTCTCCTTGTGTAGGAAGAAAGATCTGGTAAATGCCCAACAGGCAGGAAAAGGCCTTTGCAATAACTACAGATTTCCCCAGGGTCTAAAAAGATTCCCCTTCCTAAGAGGCAAGTGTCAATTCAAACATACCAAACACAGTAGTTAAGAATGCGGGGCTCTTCGGGGGGCCAAGGTGGGCAGATCACCTGAGGTCAGGAGTTCGAGACCAGCCCGGCCAACATGGTGAAAGCTCACCTGTAATAAAAAAGTATAAAAATTAGCCAGATGTGGTGGCACATGCCTGCAGTCGCAGCTACTTGGGAGGCTGAGGCAGGAGAATCGCTTGAACCTGGGAGGTGGAGGTTGCAGTGAGCCAAGATAGCACAACTGCACTCCAGCCGGGTGACAGAGCAAGACTCCATCTCAAAAAAAAAAAAAAGTGGGAGTCAGGGTCTCTATTCTTTAGTAGTAGTGACTAGGAGGCTGTGGGGAGGGAAAGATGCAAAATTCCCAATCAGGATCCTTCCAGAAGCCAGAATGAGCTGGTCAGACATCTGCTCTGTTCCTCCTCTTCATTCATCCATGCAGCCATTCAATACATTCATTAATCAAATGAATTACACCCTGGGTGCCTAATATGTGCCAGTTACTGCTCTAAGTGCCAGAGACATGGCAGTGAACAAACAAATGTATCATAAGTTAGGTCCAGTGAATACTATGAGGAAAATAAAGAGGGGACCAGAATCAAGAATGGGAAGGGGTGGTAGCATACTTGATGTAGGGTTCTTGGGAAGACTACTCTCTGAAATATCTGTGCCCCCAAAACCACTGTGTAGGCAGGATGGTGGGAGGGGATGTAACGATGCTACACCTCCAAGACCCCCTCTAGAGCACATCCAAGGTCCCTGCTGAGATGGCACTGTCCCACTTCACCATCACAACCAAAGAGGTGCGTGTTGGAAGACAGGAACTCCAAGATCTCCTCCTTTTTCTGCTAGGACTCAGTCACTCACTTTCATTTCCTTAAGGGGCCATGTCCATCCAGCCTAGAGTTAAGAGACCAAAAAGAGAGACCGGGACAGGTAAAGCTGAGACCCCAAGCAACTCTGTGCTTTCCACCATACTTCAGAGCAGTGCCTGAAACAACATCTCTGCCCCACAGGATGAGGGGTTGATTTCAGGTCATTAGCCATTCACACAAACCCACTGATATCTAGAACTGACTTCCCCAGCACCCAGGGACTCAAGCATCTCAAGACTCCTGCAGGAAATGGAGCCACCTCCCACATCTGCCCCTCTCCTCAGACAGGCACCGTCACATCCAGAAACCTGTCCAGAAATAGCCACGAGCCTAGGTGGGGACCTCTTCAAGGGTGCTGAGCAGGCCTCCTTTGTCACTGAGGCCACACCTTCCAAGATGCCTTCCCTGACCATCCCTCCCAGAGAAGGCCCCCATCGCCATTATTCTACTTCTAGCTTCTTGCATGTTTTAGCCGCAGCATTTAATGTGCCATGGAATAGTGTGGCGTGCTCATCTGTTGTGGTTTTGTTTCTTTCCCTCATATGCTCTGGAAACGGTCTTATTTACCATTTTTCTCCCCAGTGGATAGGATAGTACACAGGGGTATGTGGGAGTTGCTAGAAAAATATTTGTTGACTGAAAGAAAAGAAAAGCACTCTTACTTGGTCACCCAGTGGGGAGCTATAGAATGTGTAATTTAAAAATACATTTGGCGGCCGGGCGCAGTGGCTCACAACTGTAACCCCAGCACTTTGGGAGGCCGAGGCGGGCAGATCATGAGGTCAGGAGATCGAGACCATCCTGGCTAACACGGTGAAACCCCGTCTCTACTGAAAATACAAAAAAATTAGCCCAGTGTGGTGGCGGGCGCCTGTAGTCCCAGCTACTCAGGAGGCTGAGGCAGGAGAATGGCGTGAACCTGGGAGGCGGAGCGTGCAGTGGGTCAAGATCGTGCCACTGCACTCCAGCCTGGGCGATAGAGTGAGACTCCGTCTGAAAAAAAAAAAAATACACTTGGCCTGGAGTAGTGGCTCACGCCTGTAATCCCAGCACTTTGCGAGGCCGAGGCAGGTGGATTACCCGAGGTCAGGAGTTCGAGACCAGCCTGATCAACATGGAGAAACCCTGTCTCTACTAAAAATACAAAATTAGCCAGGCACGGTGGCACATACCTGTAATCCCAGCTACTCGGGAGGCTGAGGCAGGAGAATTGCTTGAACTCGGGAGGTGGAGGTTGCAGTGAGCTGAGACTGCGCCATTGCACTCCAGCCTGGGCAACAAGAGTGAAACTCTGTCTCAAAAAAAAAAAAATACACTTGTGGCCAGGTGCAGTAGCTCACACCTATAATCCCAGCACTTTGAGAGGCTGAGGTGGGAGGCTTGCTTGAGCCCAGGAGTTCAAGACCAGCCTAGGCAACACAGTGAGACCCTGTCTCTACAAAAAAATCTAAAGTTAGCCGAGCATGGTGGTGCCTGGGAGGCTGAGGCCAGAGGATCGCTTGAGCCCAGGAGTTCAAGGCTGTAGTGAGTCGTGATTGTGCTATTGCACTTCAGCGTGGGTGACAGATTGAGACCCTGCCTCAAAAAAAAAAAAAAAAAGAGAGAGAAAAAAAACAGGCAGGGTGCGGTGGCTCATGCCTGTAATCCTAGCGCTTCGGGAGGCTGAGGCAGGTGGATCACTTGAGGTCAGGAGTTTGAGACCAGCCTGGCCAACATGGCAACACCTATCTCTACTAAAAATACAAAAATTAGCTGGGCGTGGTGATGGGTGCCTGTAATTCCAGATACTTGGGAGGCTGAGGCAGGAGAATCGCTTGAACCTGGGAAGTGGAGCTTGCAGTGAGCCGAGATTGCACCACTGCACTCCAGCCTGTGTGACAAAGTGAGACTCCGTCTCAAAAAAAAGAGAAAAAACAAAAGAATAAAAGTACATTTGCAATTTTGTTAACATTCCTGGCATAACAGGGTAAACCATCTTAGCAGTCTTTGGAAAGGAAATGCTTCCCTTTGTGAACTCCTGGCTGCATTGCTGTTGAAGGAGGGGCCTCAGACTGGATGATTTCCATGGGACAGGGGAGGGGCAGGTGGAGGAGGAGCAGGCCTTGCTAGCTGGAGTCCTGTGGCTTCTCTCCCTTTGGCCACTCATTTCTCGTACTGTAGAGAAAGACTGTTTATGGACCTCAGCACAATAGACAAATACCTCCTAAAATGTACATCAGGTTCACTCATTTCCTTCCCAATTTCCAGGTGAGTACTCACCCTTCTGGCATCTGAACACCAGAGTAGTTCTTCGTGGTCTCACTCACAAGTGCACATAGACACAATACCAGTTTTCCCTAAAATACTAATTTTACATCATAATATTCCCCTATTTGAAAACGTATAGTGGTTCCCAGTTCTTTATTTCCAATGTGGCCTCATCTTACCTCTCATTGTTTTCCTGAATTTCCCAACATGAAGTCTCCTTTTCCAATGTCCTTCTACTCCTAGAACAAACCCCACTTTTCCCCCAAGACCTCATTCTGATCCTCTTCCCAAGGAAGCATTCTCCTCTGCTCTGCAGCAATCCAGATATTAAACTACTTTCACATCCAGGCTCAAGATTCACTCCCTCCATAAAACTGTGCTTGATTAACCCCACCCCATGAGAATCTCATTCTCATGGGTTGAGACCGAAGAGGTCTCAACCTCTTCGGCCCTTATGAATCCATGTATCTGGTCTGCACCTCCCTACCCCACTTATGCTGCCTTGGGCTGTTTCTCAGGTGAAGTATATACTTCTTACTTCTCTAGTAGATCAAATGCTTCCTAAAGGTTCAAACTTACCTTTTCTACTTTCTCTGCGAGCCCCTTTGCGCCCAGTATGGTTTTACTCAGCAGTAACAAATGTCTTTTGATTGATAACCAGTGACAATAGCTAGTATTAATCAACATTTATTGAGCACCTCTTAGTGCACTGCACTAAATGTTTCACATCTATTTTTCTCATTTAATCTCTGCCAACATTTGTGGCATATGCCATTATTATTCTCACTTTGAAAACAGGGAAACTAAAATTAAGTACTTGTTCATACAGCAATTGAATGGTTGACCCTGGCTTGGAATCCAGATCTTTCTACTCTTCCCCAAATACAGGTCCTCCCTGTCACTAGAGCATAACACCTTCTCTGCTTTCTCTTTTTTTTTTTTTTTTTTTTTTTTGAGACAGAGTCTCACTTTGTTGCCTAGGCAAGTGGCATGATCTCAGCTCACTGCAACCTCCGCCTCCCGATTCAAGTGATGCTTGTGCCTCAGCCTCCCGAGTAGCTGGGATTACAGGTGCCTGCCACCACGACCGGCTAATTTTTGCATTTTTAGTAGAGATGGGTTTCATCATGTTGGCCAGGCTGGTCTTGAACTCCTGACCTCAGGTGATCCACCTGCCTCGGCCTCCCAAAGTGCTGGGATTACAGGCGTGAGCCGCGGTACCCAGCCTCTTTCTTTTCTTCGTTGCACCATTGCCCTGTTACTACGGCTGCGAATAGTGTGAAAGTCAGAAAACAACATTCTGATATGCAGGAGATATCACAAAAAGCAAGGTTTACAAAACATGCAAAGTTACTAGTATTAATACACACACTTAGATACACACACAGCCTTGTGGGCGGAAAGAACTAGACTTCTCCCCTAGCCAAAATGATATGTGGGTTGAGAACAGGCCAGGCTGCTTAAAGCTGGAGGAATTAAAACATAATAGTTTTAAAGAGTTGGTACTTAGTTTTACTTTGGGATGGAAAAGACAAACCAGGTCAAGAGCTATGGGTCTGGAAGGGTGGATCCTGGTTTGGTGTGAGGGGCTCATGGAAGATGCAGAGGTGAGGTACAGAGTGCACGTGAAGAAACATAAGGTTTGGAGAGAACGTGGAGGGACATTTTAGATTGGCCTTAACAGTGAAACTCACCAAGAAACTATGTCCTCAGCAAGAAAGGCTCTTACTTCGATAGCACAAAACTGTCTTGCCTTTCAGTAGATATAGCGATCGAGGAGCTCTGTTCAAAGCTTAGATTTGACCATGTGACTTCTTTGCTTAAAACCCTTCAAAGAGGCCGGGCGCGGTGGCTCAAGCCTGTAATCCCAGCACTTTGGGAGGCCGAGGCGGGCGGATCACGAGGTCAGGAGATGGAGACCATCCTGGCTAACACGGTGAAACCTCATCTCTACTAAAAATACAAAAAATTAGCTGGGTGTGGTGGTGGGCGCCTGTAGTCCCAGCTACTCGGGAGGCTGAGGCAGGAGAATGGTGTGAACCTGGGAGACGGAGCTTGTAGTGAGCCGAGACTGTGCCACTGCAGTCCGGCCTGGGCTAAAGAGCGAGACTCCGTCTCAAAAAAAAAAAAAAAAAAAAAAAAAACAACAAAAAACCCTTCAAAGGTTTCCTATCTCCTAAAGGATGAGTCATAACTCCTCACCCCATTACATGACGCCTTCCAGAATCTGGCCCCGCCAACCTTTCCATCCTCTTTAGGATTTCATGCTGTGCTTTAGAACCCCAAACTCCTGATACCTCCTTACCCAAACCCATCCTGTTTCTCCCCGCTGTGCCTTGCCGACTTCTGGGAATGGTTTCTCCTCTCTCTGTGCAGAGCAAGCTCCTTTGTCATTGAGGCCACACCTTCCAAGAGGCCTTCTCTAACCATCTCTGCCAAAGAAGGCCCCCAGCAGCATCATTCTATTTCTAGCTTCTCACATGTTTTAGCCACAGCATTTAATGTGACATGGAATAGTGTGGCATGCTCATCTGTTGTGCTTTTGTTTCTGTCCCTCATATGCTCTGGAAACGGTCTTATTTACCATTTTCTCCCCAGTGGATAGGATAGTACACAGGGGTATGTGGGAGTTGCTAGAAAAATATTTGTTGACTGAAAGAAAAGAAAAGCCCTCCTCTGGCTCTCAGGGAAAGAGGAAGCAGGCCACGAAGGCCAGCCTCTCATGAAGACAAGGAGAGTCCCTTCGACTTCCATACAACTTGGTCCATTTGCTGTGAGGAAGCTGCTTGACTGTACCTCCCCTTATCTGAGAATCCACTGCTAATTGAGATTTTGGAGATTCCTGGTCCCAGACATAACTCTCTGTCTTTTCCTCAAAGACATAAGTAACATTCAGCTTCTAAGAGTAAAGGCTGGCACTGCTTAATAAGATAATGTAAAAATGTGTAAGACCTTGGGGAGTGCCCCAAGGTGCATTGGTCTAGCTGGGGAAAACAGAAAACCTGCCCAGAAAAGTACACTATAAGAAGTGTCATCTACTAAAAATACAAAAAATTAGCCGGGCGTGGTGGCGGGCGCCTGTAGTCCCAGCGACTCAGGAGGCTGAAGCAGGAGAATGGCGTGAACCCGGGAAGCGGAGCTTGCAGTGAGCCGAGATCACGCCACTGCACTCCAGCCTGGGCGACAGAGCGAGACTCCGTCTCAAAAAAAAAAAAAAAAAAAAAGAAGTGTCAGAAGAGCCTAAGGGAGCAGCTGTACTCAGGATGTGGGATTTGAGTAGGGCCTTGAAGAATATGAGGGCTTTTAACAGGAGGAAAACAGCAGAAAGGATTTCACATGAAGATGTGGTTTGGTCAAAGAGAAAATTTCAAGGTGCTTTTCGAAGAAGAGGAGAGATAGTGCAATGAAGGAGGACTTCAATAATTTCCACTGTTTTCAGAATTGCTTGTTCGTGAAATTTATGTAGTCCCTCCAAAATCTAATATGGGGCCAGGCATGGTGGCTCACATCTGTAATCCCAGCACTTTGGGAGGCCGGGATGGGAGGATCACTCGAGGCCAGGAGTTTGAGACCAGCCTGGCCGACATAGTGAGGCCTCATCTCTACCAAAAAAAAAAAAAAAAATAGCTGGATATGGTGGCACATGTCTGTAATCCTAGCTACTTAGGAGGCTGAAGCGGGAGGATCACAGGAGGTCAAGGCTGCAGTGAGCTATGATTGTACCACTGCACTCCAGCCTGGATGACAGAGGTCTCTAAAAATAATAAATGTTAAATTAACTTTTTAAAAAATCTGATTTGGTATTCCCATTGATAATTCAGCATCAATTACCCAGGAAAACTCCCATCATGACATGCTTCCAGTTTCTGGGGGCAACACTGCAGGAATGGGGTCAAAGACATAGGGGACCAGTCACCCTGGATACTGTCCTTTTGATCATAAAATGTGGGTTGAGTGAATCTTCCTAGAGAGCCAAATATAGAAGTTAAAATGCTGATTGATTACACACCTTCATATCAATCATGCGTGTTCTCTGTCTTCCAATTCTCTTCCTGTATCCAGGCCTGAAATCTTGGTATCCTTTGTGACTCCTCCCTCTTCTTTGCCTTCCACGTCAAATCAATTGCCAAGGTCTCTTGATTGTATCTCTATAGTGTTTTTTGAATATATTCCCTACTCAACATTCCTATTGTCATACTATGAGCTACTACAAGAGCCTGCTAATTGACCTCTTTTTCTCTAACAAATTGCAATATCTTATGTCCCATTCTTATCTCTTGAAAGGATAAATGAATTTCCCCATGGCAGTTCTCTAACTTTCAAAATAACAGGGTGGGGCGCGGTGGCTCACACCTGTAATGCCAGCACTTTGGGAGGCTGAGGCGGGCAGATTACGAGGTCAAGAGATCAAGACTATCCTGGCCAACATGGTGAAACCTGTCTCTACCAATAATAGAAAAATTAGCCAGGGGTGGTGGCGCATGCCTGTAGTCCCAGCTACTTGGGAGGCTGAGGCAGGAGAATCGCTTGAACCCGGGAGGTGGAGGTTGCAGTGAGCCAAGGTCGTGCCATTGCACCCCAGCCTGGCCACAGAGCGAGACTCCGTCTAAAAAAAAAAAAAAAAAATTTGCTGGGTGTGGTGGCGGGTGCCTGTAGTCCCAGCTACTTGGGAGCCTGAGGCAGGAGAATCACTTGAACCCAAGAGGCGGAGGTTGCAGTAAGCCAAGGTCGCGCCATTGCACTCCAGCCTGTGTGACAAACTGAGACTCCATGTCAAAAAAAAAAAACAACAACAAAAGAATAGCAGCACTCTTGATAGCCTCAGACCAGAAGCAACAATATCCATCAACAATAGAATGGACAAAACAATTAACTGTGATATATTACAACAAAGAATTATTATGCAGGAAGGAAAACAAACTACAAGTTACATGCAACCACATGCATGGATCTTCTGAACATAATATTGAGAAGAAGCAAGTCACAAGAAAGTATATGAACTATGGTTCCATTCATAGCAAAACTATCTTGTTTGGGGACCCACACATTGGTGGTTAAGCCATAAAGAAAAGCAAGCAAGGAAATGATGACATCAGGGAGTGGTTTCCAAGGGAGGGGGCTGTGATGAGGAAGGGGCTCGAGGAAGTTCCTGGGATACCAGCAATGTTCTATTTTCCAACCTGGTGATGGATATGTGGCAGTTCACACTACAGCAGTTTATTAAGTTGTGCATGTATTATGCTGTATGCAATTTTCTGCATTATATTAGACAACAAAAATATTTAAAAATAAAAAAGTCATATTAATACCTAATGGCTTGAAGGTCTTTATATATTATATTTTCTTGGCGGAAAGTACAATTATGGTCTCATGGGGCATGTGACCTTTTTTATTTTTATTTTTTGACTTAAAAAAGAAGATCCTCATACTCAAAAAGAAACATGTTGGGAAATTTAGGTAGAGACAACCACGTGGGATGACTATTTGAGGGCAGGTGGGGCTGGTGGGAGGGAGTTCTGTGCAAACCAATGGGTATTGCTCTCGCAGTGCCAGGCCTGGATCAACGGCACATGAATGGCAGCCGCTACGCCAGGAGCCGACTCAGCATTTCGCTTCCTCTCTTGCTCAGTCCAGGAAATGAGGATATGGCAAAATCACCCTCTGTCTCACTTTTTTTTTTGGTCAGTTATTACTATTTAGTTCTGTAGCTATCTGTTTCTCTTGCATGAATTTTTTTCTAGATAGCATTCTTCCCCAAAAAACATTTTTAAAAAGTAGTAACCAAAGATGAATCCAATAATGTACCAATGACTTTATCTGCAAATTCCACCACCTCTTACGAGAATCCCCGGATGCTCATCTTTCTTCTCAGCTCAATTAACACAGCCTTTCCCTGCCAGCCTTAATTATTTCTCCCGAGGGTCTCTGTCTCTAGGTTTCTCTCTAGTTCTTCCTTCCAAGCTTTGCTCAATGAATCCTCCTAGCCCTGAGGCATAGTATTCTTTTGTGTGATCTGCTTGTGTGTATGCATAATCTACAGTTGGTAGAAATGAAAATAAAAAATTGGGCGGGGAGAGGGTTGTATCAGCTCCACCATGATTGCAGCAGTCCTTTGGGAAGCCTCATCTCCCAAATATTCTGTGTCTTTTCTCATTGTTTCTCTGGCTTGCAGGAGAAGAAATGTCTTAGGGGTGGGGAGGGGCTGGGGGCTTGGTGGGAGGGGCTGGGGGCTTGGTAGGAGTGATGAGATTTAAATTCTGGCCCTTAAGAAAAATGCTAAACTACCCTTCCCCAGAAATGTGTGTGCCATTCCCAGTGATAAGGTACACAATTTGGGAAGTATATAGCAAAACAGACCCAATCACAGTGCAGGGTGGCAGGAGCGCAGAAACAATTCCTGAGGCCTTCACACTAAAATCTAATGCCTGATGTTCCAGAGAATAGAGCTTCCAGCTTCCAACTCCTGGTGCCTGGAGCAGTGTGAAAGTGACCAACTCATGCACTGTGAGAATAAATTCCACAAAGTAGGCAGAGCAGATCCCTAAGACTCTGGGTCCCTGTACAATTCCCAGAAATGGCAGATCTCAGATGACTCATCTTACTTGGAAAAGCACAATTTTCTCCCCAGGTATCAAGCAAAAGTCCACTGGAAGTCTTATTCTGTGCAGATGATAAGAAAGAGGAAGTTCCCTTCTCCTGAATACTAATAAAATAGTTTTAAAATATGCTCTAGAAAAGAAGGCAGAAGTGTATAGGTCACAGGTCAGTGTGGTTTAGGAATTGTTTCAAGAGAACAAGGCTATGGACTTTGTTTTCAAGGGCTGGAGGATTGAGGGGTGTTTAGATGCTCTTGTCCTGCAAGTAATCTATTTTCACCAGATCTAGAGTTCTGGGGTATTGTACTATAGGGGAAAAACATTTATTTGTGCAATTGCTACTGTTTTCTGCAAATTCCTGTCTACTTAGAGTGAATGAAGTAAATAAATGGACTTCTGGATCACCACCAAGGGCAGGTGGATAACCTCTCTCTATGCCATGCGCTAATTAGAATAAAAATGTGTCTTGTGCTACCAAGTAGAGGTACTACTGTGTTTGCAAAATGGAGCGTATTTTTAAAGGACCTGGGGAAACCATGCAACTTTTAAAACCAGGATCACCAACTGGCAGTCAGCTAGCTGTCTTTTCTTTTTTGGAGACATCGTCTCACTGTCACCCAGGCTGGAGTACGGTGGCATGATCACAGCTCACTGCAGCCTCGAACTCCTGGGCTCAAGCGATCCTCCCACCTCAGCCTCCTGAGTAGCTGGGACTACAGGTGTAAGCCACTGTGTCTGGTTAAGTTTTTAAATTCTTTTGTGGAGATGGGGGTCTCCCTATATTGTCCAGGCTGGTCTTGAACTCCCGGCCTCAAGCAATCCTCCCTCCTAGGCTTCCCAAAGTGCTGCGATTACAAGCATGAGCCACTGCGCCCAGCCCAAGTGTCTTTGACTAACACAATGTTTACAAATCTTTGGAATATGAATGTCTTGGTGGGTGGCACACAGGTTCTCTAACTTTCCCAAATCCCCACTGCTCTCTGCTGTCTTTCTCCTGGCTACTTCACTCATTCATTTTGGAATGTTTGGAGCATTCACAAGTCATGTTCCAAAAGACTTTCAAATTTGCCATGCAGTTCTTTTTTCTTTTTCTTTTCTTTTTTTTGAGATAGGGTCTCACTGTGTTGCTCAGGCTGGACTGCAGTGGTGTGATCATGGCTCACTGCAGCTCTGATCTCTCTGTGGTCAGGTGATCCTCCTACCTCAGCATCCTGAGTAGCTGAGACTACAGGCACATGCCACAATGCCCAGCTAATTTTTGTATTTTTTTGTAGAGTTTCACCATGTTGCCCAGACTAGTCTTGAACTCCTGGGCTCAAGCAATCCACCTGCCTCAGCCTCCCAAACTGCTAGGATTATAGGCATGAGCCAGCCCATCATGCTGTTCTTTAAAGGGACCTCAATATACATATTATATATATATTTTATATATTACATATATGATAATCATTGTACTAAATGCATAGTCACCATTTATAAATCTGGATTTTTACAGGTGGTATTTTCTGCAAGTAGTTATATTGACTCTTTTTCTAAGCAATTCTGTAATTCCACCCCAGAAACTAAGTTTAGATAAGAAGTTATGGCCTCACCTGATTCCAGTCTTCTCGCTCTCTTGAGATCTTACTGAAGCTGTCAACCTTCTGCTTCAAAAATTAGCAGTTTCCATTTGGAAGAATAGGATAATTGCTTCATTTTTGTAAACAGGCAGGAGATGAATGTTGCAATGAATGGAACAGCGGAAGGACAGCACCCCTGGGTCCACAGCACCTTCAACGGCGAGCCCCAGAGCCTGTCTTCATCAGTCAGGTACCCAGGGGCAAGCGGCAACACAGGGACCACGGCTAGAGGGACTCTAAAGGCAGAGCGTAGCGGAGAGGCTGCAAGCGAATTCTCCTCGTCACTCACTGCTCATGCAGAAACGACACCTGGGTTTTTATCTGGGGGGAAACCAGTAGCTCTAAGTAATGTGGGTCCCTCTAATGCTGTCCCCAGCTGTCGCCCCTGTGTCTCAAACTGCTCCTTTGATTGTGCGGGGAAGACCTTCCAAATCCTTTGAGAGAAGAGGAACCAAGCAGCTTTCTAAAGAAAACCACAGGCAAAACAAGTTCACGCCCACTCAGGCACAGCACCAGTTCCTTCCTCACCGATGAGAACATTCAGAGCCAAGGTGGTCAGCTCTCCTGTCTCCCCCTCCAATGCTAAGCAGTTCACATTCCCTTTGCCAAAACTAGAGTCCCTGCTAGCAAACCTCAGACCAGGTTTGTGGGTCTCACAGGCCCTAGTTTTGAGAATTAAATAACCTCTGTGGCTGCCTCAGGCAAAAGCATGATCACCAAATTCAGGCCTGGGCAGGTTACAGAGGCTTTTGGTTCACCACCAAAATTCTTTAGTTTCTTTTATGGCTCTGCCAGGCTTCTTTTCACGGAACTCCTGACCCTCTTGCTAAATTGCTCCCTCGACTGCCTGTTTTCTTGGTGAAGGCTGCAATGATGGGGGTCAAGCTTGCTGTCTATGCTGCCCCAGCACGGGGCTCTGCAGAAAATGAAGGTAACACAAGGACAGCCTCTGGGAAGCACCTAGCATTCAGCAGGCACTCAATAAATGTTAACTGTTCATCATTTAACACATGCTTACTGTAGGTTTACTCAATACACAGTACTGTATAGGATATTCCAATCAATTAATACAATGCTACTCTCCTAGGAACTCAATATCACTGCCCAAGATGGTAGCCACTGACCACATGTGGCTATTTAAATTAAAAATGAATTTAAATTAAATGTTCAGTTCCTCCATTGCAGAAGCCACGTTTCAAGGGCTCAGTAGCTACAAGTGGCTAGTGGCTATTGTTTTGGACAGCACGGATTATAGAACGTTTCCATGATCACAGAGAGCTTATGGACTGTCTCATAGTGCTGGTCTAGAGTGGAAGCCAGGCAAGAACACAAATCATCACTTGTACAAAACCGAAAGTTCCATTTGAAATCCATTGTTTAAACGTGGTGCAGTAGGAGCTTTAACAGAGTTACTTGCAAAGTACCATGGCACTCAAGGTAAGGGTAGCAAACTCTAACCTACCGCCCAGGAGCAAGACCCCACCTACCAGCCATGGAGACAACCATTTTCTATTCCAATGACAACCTATACTTCCATCATTGCAGGTAATCTTTAGGAAAAGCAGCCATTCTGCAATGACCTTGAGAGCAATTTCCCATGATCAGAACCAAATTGTTTGCTATTTTAAATTTGCTACTCAGAGTAAACGAAAAAGTTCAGACCCAGTGAAAATGCCAAAAAGTAATCGAAATGGAATTCTTTCTGTGACTCTTAATTCAAGTCAACTAATATTATTGAGCATCTATTAGGTCTTACTCAAAGTTGAGTAACAGGAACTCTTGGTTGAATAACAGGAATCTCGTAGAGGTGAGGCAAACATATGTGATTATAACATTTAGCAGGGCAATACGTTATAATGGAGGTATCAATTACTATCCAAACAGCTGAGAAAGACTATGTCGTTCCAACGGTGGGGATGCTTTCTGGGGGTGATGGTATTTGAACCTGTCCCTAAGAGGACACACAGGATTCTCACAGCTGGAGATAGGAGAATGAGACCCGCCCAAGGAGCAAAGGCACAGAGGCCTGAAAAACACATGACACGTAGTTTCAAGTCCAAAATTCAACTTCAGAAAACAGAAGAGGGAAGGGGGAGAGAAAGAGAGACAGAGAGAGAGAGAGAGAGAACCAAAGCCAAAATCTAAAGACAAACAAAAGTCATTAATTCTTCGTGAAGCAGAACCTTCCTATTGGGGCCCCCTTATAAGGAGTTTGGGCGTCTCTTGTCATCTGCAGGAGACATCCGAGGCATCTGAACAGGGGAGAGGCACCATCAGATGTGGATTTAGAAAAGCTCTGGTAATCGTTTGCTCCAATAATGATGGATGGAGTGTGGAGGGTAAGCATCTGGAAGGTGGGAGCCCAGCTGGGAGGTCTGATTCAGTAGAAACACTACAAGGGGCAGAAGGAGAGCACTGTCAGCCTGAGTGGAAAGGAGACGAGGAGGTGTGGTCTGTGCCTTATGCAGCCAAGGGATGACAAATGTCCGCAGCTGGAACAAACCACCAGCACAGGCCTCGGGCCGCTGGCCTCTGGTCACTGCTGAATGGAGATGAAGAGTCCTGACTATAGTCTATCCGCATGTGGCTTTGGGGAGGGCCCACTGTTTCTGTGGTCACCTCCCAAGCTGCATGAGACAGCTGGAGCAGGTGTGATCTCCATGGGATCCGGCTATCTTGTAAGCACAGGCCATGGATCAGAAAGAGTCACCACTCCTGAAAATACAAACAAATTGAGATACATATCCCACCTTATTTTCAGGAATTTAGGAATTCCTAAATATTAGGATAAATTTAGGAATTCCTAAGATTCCTGAAGATTATCTGTAATATGTAAGAGATATATAACCCTCTTATTAAAATTAAGACAAAATCACGGTTAATAGTAGAAATAATTATTAATTATTTCCACCCTCCTAGGCATGTGTGTATTTGTCCAATAAGTTACTTCACTCTCATATGACGTCCTCCTCCTTTGGGCCCTCAAAGCCCATTGTAGCAGAGATCACTTGATGGTCACTAAAATTGCACACCGCTGGACTACATTACCCAGCATCCACTGCACAAAGAGGTGGTCATATGACTGGGTGCTATCTAAAGGTATACTAGAAGAAGTGATGTCTGCAGCTCCCAGGCCTGGCCTCTAAAAATCTCCAACCAGGAGACCTCCAAGCTCGCTTTTCTTCTTTCAGCTTGATGCAGACAAGCATGGTGGCCTTCAAAACCAGGCCAAAGGTAGAGTGATAAATCAGAAGAAGCCCAAGCCCCAAAATTACCAGAGGGAGACCTGCCTGATAATAATGAACATCTATTTTGGCTTTTACATGGGCTAGAAATAAATTTCTATGATTCTAGAGCCAATTTACATTTGGGAGATTTGTTTGTTACAGGAACCTCAAGACCTTAACTAATACAACCTCTTACAACACTTATTCTGTTTTGTATTAGACTTACCTATATACGTTTATCCCCCTTTTAGACTGTACATGCCTTATTTTTATTTGTAGTTGCTCAAGGGGTTTCAAGATTATCAAAGGGACATCAATTGTGCCAGGATTATTATCCCCATTAAACAGATCTAGGCCGGATGTGGTGGCTCACGCCTGCAATCCCAGCAGTTTGGGAGGCTGAGGTGGGAGGATCACTTGAGCCCAGGAGTTCCAGACCAGCCTGGGGAACACAGTGAGACCCCTATCTCTACAAAAATAAAAACATTAGCTGGGCATGGTGATGCACACCTGCAGTCCCAGCTACTCAGGAGGCTGAGGTGGGAGGATCGCTTGGCCCAGGAGTTGGAGGTTGCAGTGAGCCACGATCATGCAGCTGCACTCCAGCCTGGGTGGCAGAGTAAGACTGTATCTCAAAAAATTTTTTTCTAAAGATGTAGAGGTATCCAGCCACTCGTTCATCTAAGGACAAAGAATAAATGAGGCAACAGTGCCTGATTTGAGGTCTCGGACATCCTGTCTGTCTGGAAAGACAGGGAAGCTCAACATCCTTGAGGTATTGAAAACAAAAAGTTTAATCCTATATGAAGCTATTTGCTGAGAGCAAGATCTAAATAACAACTCATCATGTTTTACTAATGCAATTCCAGCCTCCGTACAACTGTGTGACCCTAGACAAGTCACACAACGTCTCTAGGTCCCAGCCTTCTCAGTTAGAAAATGACAGGGCAGAGCCACATAAGCCCTAACGTCTTTTCCAGTCCTAACTTCTCTAGCATCTATTGACCAGTCAACCAATAGCTTGAACTGGACCATTAAGTTTGTTGGGCCATTCATTACTCTTTCAAAATAAGTTATTTTTAGAATTCCCAACCTTTCATGAAAGTCAAGTCTAATAAAACACTAAACTGGGTTTTAGCTTTAAATGACAAAAGCTAATTAAGATGTTTGGATATTATCATTTTAAAAAATTCTTTCTCACAATAGGGAAAAAATGCTATCAAATTTTAAACTGCCTTTCTTTGATTATTCGTGAGGGCATACATCTTTTAGGTGTTAACTAATCACTTGTCTTTCCTCTTTCACCGTTTTCTTAGTTCTAAAAGCAGAACACTCGCAGTAGGATAACAGGAGCCGTATCACTGCCCGCATGCTTTAGCCAGCGGCCAACTAAAGAGGACTAAAGTATTTTGCCCAGAATTATCACCAGCTCAACCTACTTGGAATTGCAGGACTCCCAGCACTGGTTCAGCTCCGTGCCTCTCAGAGTATGCCTGCCTTTCATTATGTGTGAAATTCAATGGAATAAAAGTGGCTGCAAGCATAGCATTGTGGGGTTCCGTATTTATTCTCTTTCTGTGACAGCCGCATCCAATTTTCTCAGTTGAGAAGTCAAAGGGGTTACAAATTCCACGCAGGACCTGGAAATCCAGCTGAGCTGTTTGAGTTTTCTTCTACTTCTCCATGAATAAAGATTCTACAGAAGGGCCCTAAACAAACAATGCTGCTAATGATGTGTGAGGCAGATGGTCCTCAAACTCAACTGGCCAGGGGGACGCTGGCTTTGCCTGGCTAACTCCAGAGCAAAAAATTGTTTTTGCCAAAGAAACCTTGTAACTAGATATGTGCTTAAATCACATAGAACGGAAGTGTTGAATCAGAAGGCATTTTTTTTTCCCTGCTGCTTTTCCAAACCTAACCATGCTTTGTGGCCACAGCACTGTCCTGAAATCACCCTCTGTTTCTAGGTGATACGGTGCTTGTGCAATGATTCAAATGATGGAAGGAAAAAAAAAAAAACAACTCCCTCCTCGCATCTGGGTTCTATCAGCAAAATAAAACAACACCGTTGGTTTCAAAAGCATTTAGAAATTTAGCTTAAAAAATAGGCTAAAAAACTGACAGAAAGAGAAATTCTAATGAGTACCCTCTGCAAAAAATGCCCAGTGGCCAGTGTCCTAAAGTTCAAGTCCAGGAAACATGAGTAAGGGTCTCCAGCAGATCTCAACTGCTGGAGCAGGAATAAGGGAGGTGTGTTCTCTGTCTCCTGCAAAAGGGTCTCATCCTTGTGGACGTGACTGTCTGGGATGGCTGGATCTGAGGCTCTGATATACCACAAATAAATGCATGCTATTGGCACACGGCATCACAGCGGTTTCCTTGTCTCCCGGGCTGCATAAGAAAAACCTCGCTTCTTCTACTCATATGTAAGCACATTCACTGTTCCATAGAAAGCCTATGCTCTGGGTGGCACCCACAGATGAAAGTGAGAACAGGAGCCGGGCATGGTGGCTCATGCCTGTAATCCCAGCACTTTGGGAGGCTGAGGCAGGCGGATCACAAGGTCAGGAGATCAAGGTCATCCTGGCTAACACAATGAAACCCCATCTCTACTAAAAATACAAAAAATTAGCTGGGCATGGTGGCGGGCGCCTGTAGTCCCAGCTACTCGGGAGGCTGAGGCAGGAGAATGGCATGAACCCGGGAGGCGGAGCTTGCAGTGAGCCGAGATCAGGCCGCTACACTCCAGCCTGGGTGACAGAGCGAGACTCCGTCTCAAAAAAAAAAAAAAAAAAAGAAAGTGAGAACAGGAATGTAAAAATGCATCCCAATGACCATCTCCAACTCAAAATGACTGAACCCCTAGGAAAATCTCAGTGGTACAACGTATTCATGTTTGTGTGAAAAGAAACCACACACCCAACACTAAAAGCCAATATCAATAACCAAAAAGTCAATGGAAAACAGCGCAGTATAACATAGCCAGTATAATATGACCTGATTTGGTTCAGTAGGGAACAGCATGGGAAGGTATGTGGCAAATGATAAAACTATTGCATTTTTCCAACATTAAGAAAACATTATCAAATACAGAGGCAAAACCAGAATGCCTTGTGCTCTTCACCCCAGCTCCTACGCAGCCCCAGACGTCTCCCCGTCTGTACATTAGAAACAATCTCCCTTTCCCCCTTCTTTCCCGCACTCACTGCCCACCCCAACACATATTTATTTTTAATTATTTTGAAAAAAAAAAAGAGACTAGATCTCACTGTATTGCCCAAGCTGGTTTTGAACTGCTGGGCTCAAGTGATCTTCTCACCTTGGCCTCCCAAAGTTTTGAGATTACAGGCATGAGCCACCGCACCCGGCCCCCAACACATATTAACCAGAGAAAAATAATCAAAATTAAAGTCAATATTTATGGAGTGCTAACTGCATACTTTGTACTAGGGGCCGAGGGATGGGATGAACAGAGGCCTGGCAAGGTGAAGGGTAATGAAGAGAAACAAAATCCTTGCCCTACTTCAGCAGTGAAAGCAGCCAGGCCAGAAAAGGCCAGGGAAGGAGTGGTAATCACAGGCAAGAGAAGGTTGGAGGGTTCAGGGGTACGGCCATGCTCCCATCTGTGTAAAACTCCGGGCAGCAGCCACTGTAGAATCGGTCCCTGTTTGGTTACCCTGTTTGAACAAACAGACCTTGAGATAATTTGTGTGCACAGAAGTAAACTTTTCTTGACCCATTAAACCCCTTCTGACTTAAAAAATAAATAAATAAAAACTTTTTAAAATTGAAACAAAACACACAGAGTTAAAACGCACAAGTCTTAAATGTACAGCTTGATGAGTTTCCACATATGCATAGACGCATGAAACTAAGACCCAGACCAAGAACCACCTAACCATGGGCAAACCAAACTGATATGCTGCAGATAAATGCAAGAGTAGAATCTAGTTGGATCTCTAATATACCTTTTAAAAGTTGTTTTAGCTGGGCAGTGAGGTCCACGCCGGAAATCCCAGCATTTTGGGAGGCTGAGGCAGGTGGATCACTTGAGACCAGGAGTTAGAGACCAGCCTGGGCAATATAGGGACACCCTGTCTCTACAAAAAATTTTAAAATTAGCTGGGTGTGGTGGCGCATGCCTGTAGTCCCAGCTGCTTGGTAGGCTGGGGCAGGAGAATTGCTTGAGACCAGCAGTTCAAGGCTGCAGTGAGCCATGATTACACCACTGCACTCCAGCCTGAGCAACAGAGTGAGACCCTGTCTCAAAAAACAAAACAAAACAAAACAAAACAAAACAAAAAGAAAAAGAAATGAAAATATAAAAGTTGTTTTATTGTTGTTGTTTATTCTGATATTTAGAGACAGTTTACTCCTTCTGGGGCTTTGTGGGTGGGAAGTCAACTAACAAGGATCTAGGAAACACTAGGAAATATTCTCCCAGCAGGCACACACACACTCATTCAGGATAGTATTTTCCACTTGTTGGCCGGGCGCAGTGTCTCACACCTGTAATCCCAGCACTTTGGGAGGACGAGGCGGGTGGCTCACTTGAGGTCAGGAGTTCGAGACCAGCCTGACCAACATGGAGAAACCCCGTCTCTACTAAAAATGCAAAATTAGCCAGGCGTGGTGGCTGGCTGTAGTGGAACTTCTCGGGAGGCTGAGGTGGGAGGATCACCCCAGGAGCCCAGGAGCCCAGGATCCCAGGAGGTTGAGGCTGCAGTGAGCCATGATTATGCCATTGCACTTCAGCCTAGGCAACAGAGTGAGACCCTGTCTCAAAAAGAAAAAAAAAAGAATTTTCTACTTGTTTAGGGATCTCTCAGGATCCCTAACATGTAAGAAATATTTAGGAAACCAGGCTCTGACTTACTGCCACCACGTATTTTGCATCCCTAATATTTAGTAACAGGGCGTGAAGCAGTTGACTTTTATATGTAATCTGGGCGCTTCCTCTTACATAACACCAGAAACTTCTCGTTCTCTCCAACTTTTTTTTCCGTTTGTAAGACATTTCTTTCCCATGGTAGGACAGTGACAGTTGACAATGCTTTTTTTCCAGATCTTCCATTCTTCTTTTTCTAGCTTTGTCTTAGAATTAAAATGAACAGTTTCAAAAATAAACTTGATTTTCTTTAAAAGAAAGAAAACAAAACAAACAAAAACCCTTAGTTTGGAACACAACCCATGGTTGGAAGTGAACCACCTGCTCTCTCCCACAGCCATGGATAATTCAGTGTTACCCATGGGATTATGCTGGCCAAGGATTTCAAAATGCTCATATTTCAAGCACTTACTATCTTATACTATATAACACTGAAAAATACTAGTTAGCATATTAATTCATGTAGTAGCCCCAACTTTCTGTCAGTTTGTGACATCTTACAGGGTGTTTTTAATAAGCAATAGGTTTACAATGAAAGTTGTGATGGTCAGGATGTTAATATAGCATTAAGGAAGCAAATGTGTATTAAACTTTATTAGCAGCTCCTGGGCATTTCCTGTAGTGAAGCTTTACAGACTAAGACACATTTCTGATGTAATCACAAGGCAAGCTGATTCAATTTTGGCTCTGCCAGCGGTGACAATTTCTTAGTATACTATTGTTTAAAGTATGCCCTACTTTTTAAAGTTTATAGATATAAAAGCAGGAAAATGGCTGAAAGAGGGATCCCAAAGATTGTGTTTTCCATTTTCCCATAGCACTTCAGCAGCCATTGACATGCCTGAGGACATCCATCATCACTCCATCTGAAATTTCTCCTTTTCCTCCCTTTATTGCCGGAAGATCACTGAGCAACCCTAATCACACAGCAGTCTAAGTGATCAAACTTTTATGTACTGCAGCGAATTTCTTACCATTCCAATTGCTCACAAATTTATTGAAATATCAAGTAAAAAGGCAACAATAGGCCAGGTGCAGTGGCTCCTACCTGTAATCCCAGCACTTTGGGAGGCCGAGACGGGTGGATCACCTGAACTCAGGAGTTCAAGACCAGCCTGGCCAACATGGTGAAACCCCGTCTCTACTAAAAATACAAAAAAAAAAAAATTAGCTGAGCGTGGTGGTACATGCCTGTAGTCCCAGCTATTCGGGAGGCTGAGGCAGGAGAATCCCTTGAACCCGGGAGGCGGAGGTTGCAGTGAGCCGAGATCGCATCACTGCACTCCAGCCTGGGTGACAAGAGCGAGACTCCGTCTCAAAATAAATAAAGGCAACAATAGCAGATGACTGCAATCCTGAGTGTGCGCCTGGGTGAGGAGACTCAAAGACGCTCGGCATGTCGGAGGAGAGATGCGTTCAACCTGAATTGTTCCCGTGACCCTGAGAAAGTGACTTCTCATTCTCTGCTTTATTTTCATTTGTAAACAAATAAAAAGCAAGCAAACAAAAAGCAACCATTGTCATTAAATGTCTACACAGTGCTTTTGTTAAATATTTACACCTGCTTTGAGTGTCATCTGGTCACTAAGATTTGCTATTATGTGACAACTCTCATTTAGGTTCCCTGAACCAGTTAAATTAAGGAAATTAAGGAATTCTTTTTTTTTTCTTTCTTTCTTTTTTTTTCTGAGACAGAGTCTTGCTCTGTCACCCAGGCTGGAGTGCAGTTGCGTGATCTCAGTTCACTGCAACCTCCGCCTCCCCAGTTCAAGCAATTCTGCCTCAGCCTCCTGAGTAGCTAGGATTACAGGTGTGCTCCACCAGACCCAGCTAATTTTTGTATTTTTAGTAGAGACAGGGTTTCACCATGTTGGCCAGGCTGATCCCGAACTCCTGACCTCGTAATCCACCTGCCTTGGCCTCCCAAAGTGTTGGGATTACAGGCCTGAGCCACTGCACCTGGCCCATTAAAGAATTCTTGATGGTTACAACAGTAGCCACTGATTTCTTATGTTAGTTACTTGAACTCTTTGGCCTTCAATAGTAAGTTAGTTAGTTAGTTAGTTAGTTTGTTTGTTTATTTTGAGACGGAGTCTTGCTCTGTCGCCCAGGCTGGAGTGCAGTTGCTCGATCTCAGCTGACTGCAACCTCCGTCTCCCAGGTTCATGCGATTCTCCTGCTTCAGCCTCCTGAGCAGGTGGGATTACAGGCGTACACCATCACACTGGCTAATTTTTGTATTTTTAGTAGAGATGAGGTTTCACCATGTTGGCCAGGCTGATCTCAAACTCCTGACCTCAAGTGATCTGCCTACCTCGGCCTCCCAAAGTGCTGGGATTACAGGCGTGAGCCACCGCGCCTGGCCAAATAGTTTAAAAATAAAAAATAAACAACAAAGAATCTCACTGAAGCTTGAGATTGAAGCTCAGTCTGAAGCCCCAGGCAAGCTGTTCCAACTTTAGAGAAAATGTGGACAGGGTTTTCATGCCTCTTTAATTTCCTGCACACAAGGCGGGAAGGTCAGTGCTTGGTGTTACTGACCTCTTTAGGAATGACTGGATTCAGGAAGGCAGTGGCATCATGTGACATAAAGGTGTGGTTTTACCTCAGAACCATCTTTTCTGGGGTGTGAAGAGTTAATCAGCATTAACTCTGAGCCTTCGCTTTTCTGCCCCTTGAGACTCTGCTTGTTTTTTTTAAAACCTTTAACCCTATCCTCTTGGCAGAAAAGGGGACCTGGCTGTGAACTCTGTAGCTGGGCTGATCCCTAAAGCTCCTCTGGGTCTGACATTATGTAAGAAATGTAAATGCTCTGACTCATCCAGATAGGACTTTCCAGCAAAGCCTGGCCTGGCGCCAGCACCTTTTCAAAAAGGGAGCACCCTTCGCACTGTGGCTCAGTCAGGCCTCGGGCGGCAGCGTCCCGCCGAACGCGGAGTTCCAAATCCGCTCTCAGTAAGACTGATCTTGATTCCCCCTTGTCTTTTGAAATATTTATCAACATGCGAAAGCCTCTGAGGATCCTGATAAAATGACCTTTACTGGCAGAGGGAACAGAGCCCCAGGCTAGGCAGAAGCAGCCAAGTCAGCAGTCCACTCCACGGTGGTGAACGTTTGGAATTTAGGCAGCTCCAGGCAGCCTCTAAACCTGTGCCTACTTCCCTTGGAAAACAGAATTGAAACTGCTTCTCCACGCCCACTTCGGCCCTCAGTGCTGACATTCTGGAAAGAGCTCTAGCTGCGATAACCGTCCCACCCCACAGACATAAAATGGCACTTGGCAGAAATTGACACGCAAGAGCCTCCCCTTGAGAGCGCCTTCTCTTCCCTCCTCTCCAGACGCTGTGCCTGGCCCGCTCCTGCTTCCCCTTCTGCTCGGCAGGGTGCACTCCTCATTAGTCCTAGTTGTACTTTTCACTCTTCCCGGGCCCTGGCACTCTCTTCATGCCCGGCCACACCCCGCTTTTCCCAGCACTGTCCCTCCATGCCAGAATCTCCCCGAAGTTCTGCTCCCGGGCTGTCACTGGGAAGAGAGGTCACCGACACCCGAGTGGGCTTTTCAAGGATAAAGGGCTAGTAGGGAAGTCACCGCTAGAGGGTGACATAATTACACACAAACGCATTCCTGGTCCTGCGAGGCCACAGCCAGCTGTGGGCCTGAAGGCATGAAACAGGTATCAGGATATCTACCCTGCAGTACACACACTCACACAGGCACAAACACACACCACCCTCTGTCTCTCACATACACTCACTCTCACACACACACACCCTCCCCCACACACTCTCACACACACACTTTCTCACACACTCACACACACACTCTCACACACACTCTCTCACCCCCACACACTCACACACACTCACCCCACACACTCTCACACTCACTCTCACACACACTCACCCTACACTCTCTCACACACTCTCACCTCCCACACACTCACCCCACACACTCTCACACACCCCCACACACTCTCACACTATCACACACTCACCCTACACACACCCCTCACACACTCACACACACTCACCCCCCACACACTCTCACACCCCCCACAAACACCCACACACACTCTCACACACCCCCACACACTCTCACACACTCTCACACACTCTCTCACACACTCACCCTACACACTCACACACCCCTCACACACTGTCTCACACACACTCACCCCCCCACACACACCCCACACACTCTCACACACACACACACACACTCTCACCCCCCCCCACACACACACTCTGACCTATTTTGGCTAGCAAACCAACCAGAGCCTTCGAGTGTCTTCCATGATCACCATGCCTCACCGTGACCAGATCCTGCTCACAGTATGGTCAATATGACACTCACTGTTAACTCTTTTTTTTCCCCAAGCCAAAGGTACTTTATGAGGAGTTGTTCAAATACATAATGGGACAGCAGTACTCCTAACAAGCAAAACATACCACACATTTACATGGCGCTTTAAAGATCTCAAAACATATTTGCACATCTTTTTTTCCTTTTATTTTCAGTTGACATGTAAAAATTGTACACATTTATAGAGCACAGAGTGCTATTTCTATCCATGTATGCTATGTGTAATGGATCCAATCAGGGTAATCAGCATATCCATCACCTCGAAAACCATTTCTTTGTGTTGGGAACACTGAAAATCCTCTCTTCTAGCTTTTTGAACAAATAAAATAAATTGTTAACTATATTCGCCCTACGGTGCTTTAGAACACTAGAACTTATTCCTCCTGTCTAGTTGTAATTTTACATCCATTAACCAACCTACTCCTGCCCTCCCCTCCCTGCTGCACTTCCCAGCCTCCTTCTTTCAGACAGGGTCTCCCTCTGTTACCCAGGCTAGAGTGCAGTGGTGTGATCATACCTCACTGCAGCCTCGACCTCCTGGGCTCAAGCAATCCTCCCATCTTAGCCTCCAGAGTAGCTGGGATCCCTGGTGCGCACCACAATGCCAGGCTAATTTTTGTATTTTTGTAGAGATGGGGGTCTCCACATGTTGCCCAGGCTGGTCTCGAACTCCTGACCTCAAGTGATCCACCCGCCTTGGCTTCCCAAAGTGCTGGGATTACAGACGTGAGCCACAGTGCCTCACCCCTACTTCTGTTTCTATGAGCTCAGTTGTTTTTAGCTCCCACACATGAGTGAGAACATGTGGCATTTATCTGTCTGTGTCATGGACCTCTCTTTACGTGGCATCATAGAGTAACTGCATCCTAGCAAGGCGGACTGCTAAACTTATACTGTTAACACAGCAAAGCATGGTGGCTGGGATATGGGCTCTAGATCCAGATCACAGAATTCAAATTCCAGTTCGGCCAGCTGTTTGGTCTTGAGCCAGTCCCTTCTCTGGGCTGTACTTTCTTCATCTGTAAAATGGAGATAGTAATGAACCCTCTTCATAGGCTGTAAAATGAGCTGTTGTCACAATTAGGGAAGTTCATAAATGTAAAGACCTTAAAAGAAGGCCTACTGCTCAATCAATGCTCTGTAAACATTAGGCTGTTTTCATTACGGTCTGTCACCATACTAGGAGGTTACACACATTACCCCAGTCAACCCTCACAAAACTCCCAAGATTTGGAAATCACTAGTTCCATTTCATAGATGAGATAATGGAGCCTCTTAGTGGTTAAATAATTTGTCCAAAGTCATAGAGCTAATAAGTGACAGAGTCAAGATTTTATCCTAGAATTCATCTGACTGTAAAACCTAAGTTCTTTCCACCATACCACTGGAGAAAATTTCAACCTTTGTATCAGAGGAGCTCATGATCTAAACGACAGAAGATGGAGGGGGGCGGGGGACTATAGTTTTGTCCTACAGGATTTTAATTTTGCCAAAAAAGAGAGAGCTTTTAAGAAGTATAATTTAACAAAAGTTTTAAAGAAGGAAAAAAAAGGTGGGTACTAGGAGGTTCTACCAGCGATTCTCAGTTCTGTGATCCCCAGTTCCCAGGTGATGCTGACAGCAATGTGAGAAACGCAAATTCTCAGGCCTCTCCCCAGATGTCCTGCATCAGGAAGCCCTCAAGTTTATTCTGATGCCTAGTCAAGCTTCAGAATCACCACGCTAAGCAAAAGAAAGAGTAACAGTTGGGCCAGGCGTAATGACTCACGCCTATAATCCCAGCACTTTGGGAGGCTGAGACGGGTGGGTCACCTGAGGTCAGGAGTTCAAGACCAGCCCGGCCAACATAGTGAAACCCCATCTCTACTAATAATACAAAAGTCAGCCAGGCGTGGTGGCAGGTGCCTGTAATCCCAGCTACTCGGGAGGCTGAGGCAGGAGAATCGCTTGAACCCGGGAGGAGGAGGTTGCCGTGAGCCGAGATCACGCCACTGCACTCCAGCCTGGGCGACAAGGTAAGACTCTGTCTCAGAAAAAAGAAAGAGTAAGAGTTGGTAGTGAAACCATAGGTCCAAGGCCACAGGACGGATGGATGTCTGGCAGAAGAGGAGTTCTGGACTATTTCTTTGCGCATGAATGGAACATGCTACCCTTCCTGACTTACAGAGGAGAAGATAAGATGCAAACACATGGCTGGCTCTACCTGAAAGATCATTCTCTTATGCGCCTACGCTTTTGTTATGTTTCCAGTCCTTGAACCTGTACATTTCTTTTTCTTTTTGAGACAGAGTCTCGCTCTGTCACCCAGGCTGGAGTGCAGTGGAGTGATCTCGCTCACTGCAACCTCCACATCCCAGGTTCAAGCTATTCTCCTGCCTCAGCCTCCCGAGTAGCTGAGATTACAGGCACCCACCACTACGCCTGGCTAATTTTTTGTATTTTTAGTAGAGACGGGGTTTCACCAAGTTAGCCAGGCTGGTCTCGAATTCCTGACCTTGTGATTCGCCTGCCTCGACCTGCCAAAGTGCTGGGATTACAGGCATGAGCCACTGCGCCCAGCTTCGAACCTGCACATTTCTTTAAAACAGGAAGTACAGTTTTAAAAAAGTGTCACTGTCAGTAAATGTACATCTGTATAATTCTGAGGCACATCTGTAAGGGTTTTTTTTTTTCTTTTTCAAAGTGCATCTTTATACAAGAAAAAAACAAAAACAGCATTTACTAGGTCCCTACTATGTGCCGGGCATGCACTAGGCCCTTCCTTTCTCGTGGATGTTTTCTTAACGCATCTCACCACAGCTCCGTGAACGACAATCACTTTCGTTTTATAGATGAGGAAATTGAAGCTCAAAGAATTGAGTGACTTTGCCATAGGTCAGGCAACAGACTACAGTGGGAGGGCAAGGATTCAAACACACAGCTTCAGACTCCAAGTATGGTGTGAACGCAGCTCACGGGAATGGGAACAGAAAGCACGGGCACGTAGGGGAGAGTCACACGTGGACGCCACAGGCAGGACACCCTGAACTTCCCTCTTTTTCCATCCTTGTCTGGTTCTATTGTTAGAGAGAAGAATGGGGCAAATGAGGAGAGAGCTGACTAAAACAAATTTTTTTTTTGAGGCAATCTCGGTTGTAAAAACAGTTGCAAAGTCCAGACCATGAATTAAAATTTTCTGACTTCAGATACTGAATTTCCAATTCCAGATACATAAGAGTTAAAGGTTTCTCTTTTTTCTCTCTCTCCTCTCTCTCTCTGTTACCCAGGCTGGAGTGCACTGGTGTGATCACGGCTCACTGCAGCCTCGACCTCCTGGGCTCAAACTATCCTCCTACCTCAGCCTCGTGAATAGCTGGGACTACAGGTGCGCACCACTGTGTCTGGCTAATTTTTTAAATTTAATTTTGTAGGGATAGGGTCTCCCTGTGTTGCCCAGGCTGATCTCGAACTCTTGGGCTCAAGTGATCCTCCCACCTCAGCCTCCCCAAATGCTGGGATTACAGGAATGATCCACCGTGCCCAGCCAGATCTCTTATTCTTGGGAAAAATAAAAGCCAAGAATTCTTTAGGAAAGTGATTTTTTAGATTTTTTAGATTAACTGATGCCTCAATATGGAAGATCCATAACAATGTATGACAATACATGGTTGCTATTGTAATGTTCTTATTTTTTTCTAAACAATATAAAACTTCAGCCTATTCTCTAAAAAAATTTCCACTATAATGTAATGACATTCTTCCCATCAACACCTATTCAAATTCTAGGTTTCACTATGGATCCTCCAAACTGAGAACTTTATTTCTATCACTCTGCTGGCACTTATAACACTAACAAATACTGTCACTGTCACAGGTATTTTCTAGCTCACCTGCTGGATCCCAAGTTCTTAAAGGCAAAAACGTAATCTTCTACATCTTTGTTTATTTCATAGCACAGAGCAATGTATATAATTTGTATTAATATTTTCCTGAATTTTTTTTCTCGAGAGATGGTCTGGCTCTGTCACCCAAGCTGGAGTGCAGGGGGGCAAGCACAGTTCACTGCAGCCTTGACCTCCTGGCCCAGCGGTCTTCCCGCTTGCCTCAGCCTCCTGACTAGCTGGGACTACAGGTGCATGCCATCACGCCTGGCTAATTATTTTTATTTTTATTTCTTGTAGAGATGGGACCTTGCTATGTTGCCTAGGCTGGTCTCAAACTCTTGGGATCAAGCAATCCTCCCACCCTGGCCTCCCAGAGTGCTGGGATTACAGCCACCCTGCCCAGCCTGAATGATTGAATAAATTGAAAACCCGTCTTTCTAAGTGTTCGGTGACCTGGAAATGGCTACATTTACAACACACTTTATTTTCCTAGAGTTGTTCTATCTACCTGTTTTGTAACAAGTACCTAAGGTGTTTGTCAACATTGAACAAACAATACCTGATATCTGAGATTATTCTATTACCGTATTTCTGATTCTTTGGTTGGGTGCCTGAAACTACAAAAACACCTATTATAGTTAACACTCAAAAGCTGCAAATAACAAATTACAAATGGCAACCCGATTTCAAGAGTAAAAGGGCGTGACCATCCATCGGGCGTGAATACTAATAGTACAGCACCCCCTTTCACCTCCGTGGGTTTCCCAGTGTGGACAATATAGCACACATTCACCCTCACGGGAAGGCTCTGGCTACCCAGATCACAAGCCCTTATTTTTACGGTAGTGGATAAAGATGATCCTAAGCCTACATTTACAAGATACAGCAAGCTAATAATTTGGGGGAACATCTCAAATATCTCAGGGGGTTCCCGGCAATCTGTTGATGTAAGAATACTTTTCACCTATTTTTCTCTCTTTTTTTCTATCTTTATTTCAAAATGTTTGTCCTGCTAAAATCTTTTTTAAATTTTTAATTGTAAAGTACACACAACGTAAAATTTGTCATCTTAACCTTTTTTTGTTTGTTTGGTTTTGGTTTTTTTAGACGAAGTTTTGCTCTTATTGCCCAGGCTGCAATGCAATGGCACGATCTTGGCTCACCGCAACCTCCACCTCCCGGGTTTAAGTGATTCTCCTGCCTCAGCCTCCCGAGTAGCTGGGATTACAGGCATGTGCCACCACACTCGGCTAATTTTGTATTTTTAGTAGAGACGAGGTTTCTCCATGTTGGTCAGGCTGGCCTCAAACTCCTGACCTCAGGGGATCTGCCTGCCTCAGCCTCCCAAAGTGCTGGGATTACAGGTGTGAGCCACCACGCCCGCCTAATTTTGTATTTTCAGTAGAGACGAGGTTTCTCCATGTTGGTCAGGTTGGTCTCGAACTCCTGACCTCAGGTGATCTGCCCGCCTCAGCCTCCCAAAGCGCTGGGATTACAGGCGTGAGCCACCGCGCCTGGTCCATCTTTAAGTGCATAGCTCAGAAGTGTTAGGTATATTCACAATATTGTGCAACCAATTTTCAGAACTTTTCCATCTTGTAAAACTGAAACTCTATATCCATTAAACAACTCCCCATTCTGCATCAGCCCTCTCCCCAGCCCCTAGCAATGATTATTTTTTCTGTTTCTATAATTCTGACTACTCTAGATACCTCATATAAGTGGAATTGTACAGTATTTCTCCTTTTGTGACTGGCTTACTAACTTAGCACAGTGTCCTTAAGGTTCATCCATGTCTCACTATGTGTCAGAATCTCCTTCCTTTTCAAGGCTGAATAATATTCCCTTGTGAGTATATACCATGATTTGTTTATCCATTCATTTGTCAATAGACATTCGGGTTGCTTCTAACTTTTGGTATTACGAATATCATTACTATGAACATGGATGTACAAATAGCTCTTCGAACCCCTGCTTTCAATTCTTTTAGGTACATACCTAGAAACAGAATTGCTGAATCATACGGTAGCTCTATTTTTAATTTTTTGAGAAATGGCCATACCGTTTTCCATAGCAGCTGCACAATTTTTTATAAGAGAGATGGGGTCTTGCCATGTTGCCCAGGCTGATCTTGAACTCCTGGGCTCAAGCAATCCTCCCGCTTCAGTCTCCCAAAGCACTGGAATTACAGGTGTGAGCCACTGTGCCTGGCCCACAACTTTACATTCTCACCCACAGTGCACCAGGATTCTACTTTCTCCAGATCCTCACCTATACTTGTTATTTTCTGTTTTATTAATAGTAGCTATCCTTATGGATATGAGGTGGTATCTTACTGTGGCTTCCATTTGCATTTCCCTAATGACTAATGATGTTGAGCCTCTCTTCATGTGCTGTGGATCACCTGTGTATCTTCTTTGGAGAAATGTCTATTTAAACCCTTTGCCCATTTTTAAATTGGGCTTTTTTTGGTTGTTGTTTCTGCTTAAATCTTTTATTTGCAATCAGTGAATCAAATCCTCACCCTCTCTTATCTTTAATATTCTGTCACGAAGAAGTGTCGAGAGAGATGCTCTCCTACTTAGAAATACTGAGCAACAGAATGAATGTTACTCTCAAGAAACCTTGAAGTTGGAAAGGCAGCATTTTATTATAAACCTCAGATTACTAATGGCTGCCCAGAACTCTCGAAGAAGTTTCGATATGTATGAAGTCTTTCATAAAGAGATTATTATTTATATTATCCATCTCATTCACTTCAGTTCAACAACACTGACAAAATGTCTACTACATAGCAGGCATTGTGCCATAGATACACTAGAGTTCAAGGAAAATAGACACAAAATATTTTAACTTTTTTTTTTTTTTGACAAGGTCTCTTGCTCTGTCGCCCAGGCTGGAGTGTAGTGGCACAGTACCAGCTCACTGCAACCTCTGTCTCCTGGGTTCATGCGATTCTCATGCCTCAGCCTCCCGAGTAGCTGGGATTACAGGCATGTGCTGCCATGCCCGGCTAATATTTTCGTATTTTTTTTAGTAGAGACGGGGTTTCACCATGTTGGCCAGGCTGGTCTCGAACTCCTGGCCTCAAGTGATCATCCCGCCTCGGCCTCCCAAAATGCTGGGATTAGAGGCATGAGCCACTTTGCCCGGCCTATGTTAACTCCTCTGACCCAACCCATAAACTAGACTCTGGGCCACTATTTTTGGAGATATATATATATATATATATATATATATATATATATATATATATATATATACTTGAATGAGGAGTTAAAAGCTACAGAGCTCTTCTGATCTTTCCTGCCAGGTCTTCCCCTTCTGAAGGAGAAAGTATGAATCCTTAGGTAAGCCTGATCTTTGGGTTGGGCCTCTCAATTTTCCCACCCTACCCAGGTGAAAAGCACATTCCATCTGAAAAATCTAGAATTAAAAAAAAAATTCTTTGTAAGGCTTTGGAGAGACTCCCTACACAAGGCTATCATTTCTGCTTTTAAATAGGCTAGTTAAAAAACTTATGGTTGCAACTTGTTAAATCATATACAAAAATCTCAACCAGTTTTAAAAATATGAAGAGCAAGCCACAGGATTTTCTACATTGGTATACATCTTTGCCAGACAATCAGAGTCTCCTGTCTATACATATTCTTCATATATTTTTGTGTCCTAAGTCTGAGCATAAACCAAAGCTCCCAGGAAGTTATTGTATTCGAAGTTATTCTTAATATCTGGAGCCTGCATTAGGAACAATGTGTAATTGTTCCATGGGTTAAGGAGACAGTATGCTAGGCTCTTGGCCTCAGAGTGTTCCTACTGGAAAGGTCCCTGAAGATTACCTAGTCAAATCATCCTGGTGTTACACAAGGAAACCGAGACCCAGAAAGGAGAGTCGTTTCCTCAGTAGCATAAAGTCACCAGGTGTTCAGATTCGGCATAGGGCTCATTCTACGCCCTAGTTCCTTTTCCCCGGGAATGCTTTTTCTGTGATGCTTCTTGATGCTATATTTTCCTATTTATTGAAGGTGAAAATAGTCATATTGCTGAAAATCCTTATAATATATACTTGAGTGCCTTAAATAAAAGGCTTTGTGTTAATAAGATTCTAGAATTCAAGAAAAACTGTTGTTAGAACGAGGACCAGATGGCCAACTTCTAGAGAAAGTGCTTCCAGATACCTCTGAATGACTCTTCAGATTTGAGAACAAGGGCCTTTCTAGAGAAGGAAAACCATTAGGCTCCTTCTTAGTCCGAGGCTGGTCAGGCCCCTTGTCTAAAATTCCCCCCAAATGTGTGGGGTACTTTGTTTTTTATTAAGCAGGATTAAGTTACACTAAGGTGCTTTGGATTAAGGCCTTGACATCAACCCAAACACATCTAGGTGCACAGAACAATCAAAAAGTGACTTTTGCGCAGAATTTAAGGTAAACGTTTAGGCAGAAGTGACTGAGAAGAATAAAAGCCTAGATAACCTCCAGGAGAAGAGTGAAGCCCAGGCATACCCCAGAATCGTGACACTTACTGCCACCGTACATCTGGATGTACTGGATGACTAACAGTACAGTCTATTTTTTCAAGAAGGTTATAAAAATCTATGGGCTCCACACTGCGTGTAATGTGGGTGAGGTAACAAGCTGGCGAGAATTTTTGCTTCTGCATTTCCTGATTTAGGAAAGAGGAGTGGTAGGGGTGTAAAAGGTGTATTATGCCTATTACTGAATCTGTATGTATTTGGTCTAATAGTGGTTGCTTGGGCAAAAGTTACTCTCCTACACTGAATATGGAACCCCTTCCAAATCTTGTTCAGGTCCTCAAAGAATCAATGAAACCATTTTCCCTTTCTGATAAATCCGCTGGTCTTGTATCTAGTTGTGTGGATCCATAAATTAAAATACAGAGGATCATTTTCTCTGATCCAAAAATTCTTGGTTTGGGGGTAGTTAAAATGAAACTTCTGAAATTCTATCCTTAGTACGGACATTTAGGACCCAGGGGCTACATCCTAGAATGGAATTGTGCCCTGCTTCCATAAAACGGTTGATAAACCAACAGACACGACTGGATTGTCTTAAACCAAGTTCAACTGTCATTCCATTTTAATCAAAAAGTAAATTGGATTCAGCATATACGAATATATTGACTATCAGTACAACTGAGCCATACAACTGATAGTCTAAGGCTGATGACAAGGAGAAAGCTCCTAAAACAAGGCTTAGGGGAAGGCTGTTCCCCTGTAAGCAAAGCGGACTGAGGGCATTGGTGGCGCAGCAGCGTTCAGAAGTAGAGGGAAGTTTTGATGTATCAAGTACCGAGGGAAACACACACAGCGTGTCTGGAAACCATCAGAAGATGCTAGAAGGAAGTAGTCATGGATAATTCTAGAAATTTCTAGAACACCGACTGGAGGGGGTCATTGTTTAAGATGAGTACAGCCGAGTTTCTCTCCAATTTAAGACACAAGACTGGAGAGAAAGGCGTCGTAGTAAACAGCCCCAACCGGGGGAGCAGGGGGTGTGATAATGAGGCGTTAAGGGGCATTAGGGACAGTAAGAAAAGGAGAGTTGGGGTGACGATTATTGAGCACTGCTATAGGAGGCGGCTCTCGCAGGGATAATCAAGGGAGAGGGGTGTGAAATAAGGGTAACGAATTGCAGGGGTAAACTGTGGGAAGGGGCTGCGCAGACTTCAACAGCAAAGAAAAAGAAGGAACGGGGCTGGGGCGTGGCCCAGAGAGGGAACGGCTCAATAACGGGCTACCGGGTGAAAAGAAGCCGGGTGGGGAGGCGCTCTGCTGACAGCTGCCGCTCCCCCGTGGCGCCCACAGGGTTAAAAATCAGGGGCCACGGGACCAGGCCGAACTCGGTTTCCAGGGCAACGGCTCCACAGTTCCGGCAGCGCAGGCCCGTACCATTGCGCGGGCGCGGGGGAGCGGGAGCGGCGGAGGGGACGCGCTGCAGGGCGGCGGAGCCGGGGCCGGCCCGGGCGCTACCAAACGCACGGCCCGCCTGCTCGCCCGGGGTCTGCGCCGAGCCGCGCTCCGGCCGGACGGCCGCGGCGTCCTTGGTGCGGGGGCCGGCAGCTCCCAAGTGGCCGCGGACGGCGGGGGAGAAGGAACGCACGCCGCCGGCCGGGATTGGCCTCCTGGTCCCCCCGCCTGGGCGGCGGAGTGCGGGCGGCCCGGGGCTGGGAGGTTTGAAAAGCGGGCGAGAGACAAAGGCAGCAGGAAGCCTCCTCCGCGCCCGGAGCCCGTGCGCCCGGCCCCCGGGGCCCCCTCGCCGCCCGCCGGCCCGCGGAGCAGCGGCGGCGGCAGGAGGCGGAGGATGCGGCAGGGGGCGTGGGCGCGGCGGCGCGGGCGGAGCGGCGCGGCCCGGGCGCGGCGTGGGTAGAGCCGAGGCGGCGGCGGCGGCCGGCCTCCGGGAGCGAGAGCGAGGCGCCTTCCCCGCCCGGGATGTGAGCGCCGTGCGGAGCCCGGGGCGGGGGAGGGCCGGGCCGGAGGCGCAGCCGGCAGGAAGGAAGGACGGACGGACCAGGAGGAGGAGCGGCGGCGGCGGCCGGAGCCGGAAGGCGGGGAGGGGCCGGCCGTTGGGCCCGAGGCGGCGGCGGCGGCGGCGGCGGCGGCTGGGGAGAAGCGCTCTCGTCGCCTGCCCGAGGCCGGAGCGGCGGGGCCCGCGCCTCCTCCCCCCAGCGCCGCGGAGGGGGGAGGAGGAAGATGGAGACCCACATCTCATGCCTGTTCCCGGAGCTGCTGGCCATGATCTTCGGCTACCTGGACGTCCGGGACAAGGGGCGCGCGGCGCAGGTGTGCACCGCCTGGCGGGACGCCGCCTACCACAAGTCGGTGTGGCGGGGGGTGGAGGCCAAGCTGCACCTGCGCCGGGCCAACCCGTCGCTGTTCCCCAGCCTGCAGGCCCGGGGCATCCGCCGGGTGCAGATCCTGAGCCTCCGCCGCAGCCTCAGCTACGTGATCCAGGGCATGGCCAACATCGAGAGCCTCAACCTCAGCGGCTGCTACAACCTCACCGACAACGGGCTGGGCCACGCGTTTGTGCAGGAGATCGGCTCCCTGCGCGCTCTCAACCTGAGCCTCTGCAAGCAGATCACTGACAGCAGCCTGGGCCGCATAGCCCAGTACCTCAAGGGCCTGGAGGTGCTGGAGCTGGGAGGTTGCAGCAACATCACCAACACTGGCCTTCTGCTCATCGCCTGGGGTCTGCAGCGCCTCAAGAGCCTTAACCTCCGCAGCTGCCGCCACCTTTCGGATGTGGGCATCGGGCACCTGGCCGGCATGACGCGCAGCGCGGCGGAGGGCTGCCTGGGCCTGGAGCAGCTCACGCTACAGGACTGCCAGAAGCTCACAGATCTTTCTCTAAAGCACATCTCCCGAGGGCTGACGGGCCTGAGGCTCCTCAACCTCAGCTTCTGTGGGGGAATCTCGGACGCTGGCCTCCTGCACCTGTCGCACATGGGCAGCCTGCGCAGCCTCAACCTGCGCTCCTGTGACAACATCAGTGACACGGGCATCATGCATCTGGCCATGGGCAGCCTGCGCCTCTCGGGGCTGGATGTTTCGTTCTGTGACAAGGTGGGAGACCAGAGTCTGGCTTACATAGCCCAGGGGCTGGATGGCCTCAAGTCTCTCTCCCTCTGCTCCTGCCACATCAGTGATGATGGCATCAACCGCATGGTGCGGCAGATGCACGGGCTGCGCACGCTCAACATTGGACAGTGTGTGCGCATCACGGACAAGGGCCTGGAGCTGATCGCTGAGCACCTGAGCCAACTCACCGGCATAGACCTGTACGGCTGCACCCGAATCACCAAGCGCGGCCTGGAGCGCATCACGCAGCTGCCGTGCCTCAAGGTACTCAACCTGGGACTCTGGCAGATGACGGACAGTGAGAAGGTCAGGTGAGGGCGGCAGCACCAGCTCCCCTTGTCCCGCCCTGTTCATCCTCCCATTACCACCGCCCCCACACACTCACACGCACACTTACGCACAGATCATTGCAGCGGATGAGATGGGGCTATGACAGAAGCCTCAGGCTCGTTTCCTCCTCCCTCCTCCAGCCCCCTCCCGGCTTCCAGCCCATTCTCTTTGCAGCTGGGGTTCCTACCCTACCCTACTCCCAGCTCCTTTTCCCCGCGGATGGAGAGATGGACTCTGCTGCTTACCCACCCACTCCCCTGCAGGGGGTGGAGGACTGATTCAGCTACTGTATCCCCACTGCTGTGACTGGAAATGGGGGTGGGGAGTGACTGGTCTTTTCAACCCTGGGGAGTTGAGGAAAATGTCTGCTTTCACTTCAGCTTTCATTTGAATACTGTGATCTGGTTTTTATTTTGAAATGTATAAAAAGCAAACCCAGCTACAAAGGCCTTTTCACCCTTCCACTTTGTAACTAATCCCAGTCTCTTCTCATCACTCCTCCTCTTACAGTACTCTGCTATTCATGCTCATTTCATGTTCTTAATCTTCTTTCCTGTTTAAAAATTTTTTTTTGGAAAAAATTTGAAATCATGGTCCTTTTTTCTGCTGAATATATTCTATATATTATATATATATAAATTATATATATATATATATACATATATATGTCTGGCTACCTCGTTTTAGTTTACTTTTTTTCTGAAGCCCTGGAATTCTACAAGAGAGATATTTTGAGACTGAAACATGTTTGTGCCTAGACTGGAAAGATGCCCTTGGGTTTGTCCGTCTTTTTGTGTTGGCTTCTTCCCAGCCTCCATCCGTCCAGTGTGCCCCACTTCCACATTCTGGCTATAATTTCCTTTTTCTCCTTGTTCATTGGGATTTGAGGACCTATTTCTAAATCTTAATTTATAGCACAAATATGTGGGAGCAATGAGAGTTGAACCGTTGTTTTTGTTGGAGATGCAGATTGTGTCTTGAAAATGATGATTATATATGCAAATTCTGCCCTACCCTCACCCTCTTCCAAGTTTCCCCCCAAAAAGGTCACACAGTGCGGCTTCCTGTGGGAAACAGGAGCAGAGCTGGCCTGCAGAGCCCCTGGGGCTGTGATGAAGCTCATATCTTATCTCTGTTCTATTAACAAAATGGGAGTTTGTGGGTTTTAAAAAATTCCGTTTCTAAATGGAGGAATAGATGACTTTCTTTCTTTTGGTGGGGGTTGGGACTTGTGGCTTTAAAGAAATCACTTCTGAGTAGGATGTATATTTTCGTTGGATTTTTGTTGTTATTTCTTTAGAACCCTCCACAGCAACATGCAAGACCATGGAGTTAAAGAAACCCAGAGACCTTTATCAATTAATTGTACTGTTTGTGAATTTGTATAAATAATAACAAAGATCCTCTTAAAACGTTTATATTCTTACAGTAAAAGGTTAAACTGATATTTATATAATAAAAGAGGAAATATGAAGTATGTTTTTGAAAAAAAAAAAAAAAACAACAGCCTTGTATCTGCGAATTATTTTTAAGGCATTGTGTGCTTGGGTACATGCCAAGGTAGGAGGTGTTGTTTGTATACTCTAAGAGGACGCAAGGTGGAGTTTGGTGCATCCTATGTGGGGGTGAGTCAACTCATGGGTAGAATTTTATTCTGTATAAGGTTTACTACTGACATGTTTTGTTTCTAGAAATGTGATTAGACTGGAGATTTATATAATGTTTGGCTTTAAACTTTCAACAACGTGGAAATTTAAAGAAATTGAACAAAATGAAACTTTTTAAAAAACCAGATTTGTATGTAAGTCACAGTTTCCCCGAGTGGCCAGTTTTTCTTTGGGTGAAAATGAGATCTAGAGGTGATGTTGAAAAGTGGTTCACGACGTGGGCAAGAAAGATGGATTTTTTTTACCCTGAGAGTGGGTGTGGGGAGGATGTGAAGGTGGAAGGACTGAAGCCATTGTTGAGAAAAGTTAAAAGAGCGCTGTCCTTGCGTGCTTGCCGGCTCAGTCATGCATACTGAATCTCCCAGTGTGAGCGAGGGTCCGGGTGGAGAGGAGGAGGGCAGCTCAAGCCCTCTTTTTCACATTCCCCTCCAGGCCCGGCTGTAAGGAAGCACTTTCCTGGGGGATGGGGAGCTTGGCCAGGATTTTGCACATTTGCATTTTAGCACTTCCAATAGCCGAGGCTGGCCGCTGGATCCACTCTGTCAAGGGTTTTTAGACTGAAATCGGGGCAGATTAATGAAATACCAGAATTCCAGCAAGAGTTCCCTTTGGTAGACAGTAACAAAATAATCTGACACCCTGTGGTTTGGCTGTGGAGACCTATGGGTGTGAGTGCTCCAACAGGGGAGTGGTTCATATTCCTGGTTTCACATTGGTCTGGGTTGTTTCTGAGATTGTTAAAAAAAATACTGATCTCAGCAAGAGCTGATAAGAGTAGTATAAAACTTTCCTGGATCAACCCCTCTTTCCAGGAAGAGGGCTGGAACCCAGGTTTCTCTTGGGATAAGATTGTTTTGTAAAATGTCCAAGCTTTCTGCCTGAGCATATCACAAAAGCCGCATTGTTCCTTTTTGGAGAGTCATCACAATTGGGTCTAATTGAGCCTGACACTAGATCCATCTTCTGTTTCTTTGGGGAAGGTGTGGATCTCTTTCTTCCCACTTAGGTTACAGTGCTTAATGCCTGGAAAAAAAAAAAAGTGTGAAGCCTATTAAGAAGTAGGGACTCTGAATTAGGGTCAGCTTTCTAATCCAGCATTTGACACAACTCCTGAAGGTTACACGGCAGTGGGTTCTTAGTCTGTTTTTCTTCCAAGAGACTGCATGGCTGTACAGATTCAATTGATAAAAATTTGAGCACCCAAGTCTTAGGCTCTGTATTCACATTCTTCATTTTAATAGGCAAAATATTCCTACCACCTGTAACGTGAAGCACGTTCTTCTGTTTTGTCTCCTTTTTACGTTAAATGTTAAATATACGCTTGACTAAAGGTCGGCAAATTGATGTTTGAAAGTTACGACCATGGGTCTAGCTATATCCTTATCCTGAATGAGGCATACTTAGTATATAGCCGGAGCTTCTCTGGGAAAGATGATAAACCACCTAGAGTGGTTAGTGAAGGTCAACTGCTCATCTCTCAACCTTTTTGGATGGAAAGCAATTAACGTGTTGAGAACCTATGTGTGTTTTACAAGGTACTTGTAAGTTTTAATCTTCAAAGCAACCTGCTGAAACAGGTATTATCCCTGTTTTCCAGATAAGTCATAATTCCTGCCGTAAGTTACCCAACCAGTAAGTGAGGGAGCCAGGATTCAAACCTAGGCTCCATTTCTCCATTTCCCTCCCTCCCTCCCTCCCTTCCTTCCTGTCTTCCTGCCTTCCTGTCTTTTTTTTTTTTTTTTTTTGAGACAAGGTCTTGATCTTTTTTTTTTTTTTTTTTTTTTGAGACAAGGTCTTGATCTGTTGCCTAGGCAGGAGTGCAGTGGTACAATCACAACCCACTGCAGCCTTGACTTCCCAGGTTCAAGTGATCCTCCCACCTAGCCTCCTGAGTAGCTGAGACTACAGGCGCACACCACCATGGCTGGCTATTTTTTTTTTTTTTTGTATTTTTTTTGTAGAAACAGGGTTTCACCATGTTGCCCAGGCTGGTCTCAAACTCCTGGGCTCAAGCGATCTGCCCACCTCGGCCTCCCAAAGTCCTGGGATTACAGGCGTGAGCCACTCTGCGTGGCCCAGGCTCCATTTCTAAAGTCCAGCTCCCTTCTGCTTGATGAGAAGATTTAGTTACTCGTCATACCTTGGTTTCCAGTAAGGTGACCCTCATAGAAGTGAACGGTAGCTGTTTGAACACCGTATGAACAAGCTTATGCCATAGGGCAGTACTTCAAAGGGAATAGGGGTGACTCTTGGTGGTATGAAAAGTTGATCCCCGCCATACCTACAGGAATGGGAGAAATGCATTGAAGAATAGAAGAGCTAAAGGACATGAATTGATAGTACACTTTGCGTGGTGGTACAAAAGTTAAAAGGCACTCCAGGGCAGTTCTTAGAATAACAGAAAAAAACTTGGTTCAGGTATTTGCTGAAACTTGAGAACTGAAAAAACATAATGTAAACTTCGTGTAAACCTTATCATCTAGAAGTAATAAACCTCAACAGAAACTGGGTAGTAGTCAAGGAACAGCTTCATTTCCCTTCTTTTTCTAAGTGTCATTGTGTGTAGCCCTTCAATGTTCTTACTGGAAAGATTATCTATAAATCACCTGTGGGGCTCAGCCAATTTCTGCAGCTCCCAAGCTAGGCCCCTAACTTGTCCAACTTAACATTTACTAAAACTAAAAGCCAGTACCAGTATATCCTAAAAATAAACTCGAACCGATCATGTTCTTTCATGAGTCAGATGAACAACAAAGATGTAAAAAAGCAAACGTTCCTTTTTCTTTTGAAAGGTATGAACTTTCTCTTACATAAGGACATATGATATGTAAATTAAAGCATGGCCTAGCTCCCAAATCCTGCTGCTTTCCTGAAGTGGTTACTAGATAGGTGCTGGTCTTAGAATACAAACAAAACCTTTCACTTTTGACTTAGAGAATTCGAATTCAAGTTTTCAAAGGGAAAGGGTAGTGGCCCCCAGGGACCACTGTGTTTCTAAAGAATAAGAACCTCTTGATTAAAAGATCAGATTTGTAAAACAAAACCAAGACCTCATGCAGCTTCTGACAACTGTCTCTTCCCAGTTCTATGAAAGGGAAAGCCCTGGCCTCTGATCTCTGCTGTGTTCTGCGGTAGAAAGGGAGGGACTATAGTAAGTCATCTAGTGGTCCCCTCTCTCTGTTCTCTTTCTCTTCCCTGCATCAAACATCACCCCTTTTAAAAGTTAATTCCATCCCTTTAGTAGAGGGCAAGACCTAAATTTTGTGCCATTATGAACCCCTGAGGAGTCAGAGGGGTGAGGCTTTTTGATGAAATAATGTGGATCATGAGTAAAGCACAGCATTAGAAATTAGAAAGCTGCATTCAAACCTAAGCTCAGACTTGGGTCACATACTTACCTCATTTCTGTCAATGCACTTGGTTAACTATCAGGCAGCAAGTTAAATTTTTTAAAAAGTTGTAAAACAGATGGGACATGCATATTTAGATCAGTGCCAAATATTAATAATTTACTTAATGAAGTATCAAAGGTAAGTGCACAGTTGGAACAAGAGCATATATCTCAGCTCTTGTATGGAATTTCTAGACAATTGGTAAATTTAAATGTCCACAAATGATCAGTTTCAGTTTTTTCCTCTTTTCCAGGGATTGCTCTGATTTTGCCTGCTGGAGTTGCCTTTACCAACCCAGAATATTTGGTCGTATGTAAAGCCAAGCCCTCCAGTTGAGGTGCAAAAGAAAGTAAGCTTGAGATCTTAACTGAGCAGCACCAGAGTGGGGTATGTTAAACCCCCACTCCCAATAAAACAATCGAAGTGGAATTCCTCTGCCTGCTATTTATTAACCCAGAAAAGTGCACATATTTTCTTTAAAAAGAAGACTTAAGTTTCTATTATTTCATTACTCTTCTACTTCAATTTTTTTTTTTTTTTTTTTTTGAGACGGAGACGGAGTTTCACTCTTGTTGTCCAGGCTGCAGTGCAATGGCACGATCTTGGCTCCCTGCAACCTCCGCCTCCCAGGTTCAAGTGATTCTCCTGCCCCAGTCTCCTGAGTAGCTGGGATTACAGGCGTGTGCCACCACGCCCGGCTAATTTTGTATCTTTGGTAGAGACGGGGTTTCTCCATGTTGGTCAGGCTGGTCTCAAACTCCCGACCTCAAGTGATCCGCCCGCCTCGGCCTCCCAAAGTGCTGGGATTACAGGCATGAGCCACCGCGCCCGGCCACTTTAGTTGTTTAAGGAACAAATGCTTTATATCCTTATAAAAAACTTACAAGGATACTTGCATTTGTGATAGTGGAAACAAATGAGTCTCAATTACAAAGAAGAGAACTGGGTCTGCAGCCGTGGCGCAGCAGAGAAACCCAAGTGAGACCAGGTCAGGAATGTGAGTGTGATCTGTGGAAGAACTCAGTCATAACACAATGTTCGGTTTCTCTGTCTCAACATTTTTGTTTTCCCAAATCTGGCAGATGTGGTACATTTAATTTTATAAATGGGAAAAGATGCTTAACAAAGTGGAAAAGATTTTGCCTAGGTAATTAGAGGAGAACCTAGTGTCAGAACCTGGGCTGCTCTAGACTTAATGACCAATGCAGAAGGTGACCAGCATGGAGGCGGCTCACAGGGGCACTGCAAAGCACCACCCTGTCTCTCTTCAGAGATGTGTGGCACCAAGCCAGGCACGGCACACATCTGTAGTCCCAGCTACTCACTCGGCTGAGGTGGGAGGATCACTTGAACACACGAGTTCAAGACCAGCCTGGGCGACACAGCAAAACCCCATCTCTTAAAAAAATTATTATTTTTTGTCTTTTTTTTGAGACAGAGTCTCGCTCTGTTGCCCAGGCTGGAGTGCAGTGGCATGATCAGAGCTCACTACAATCTCGGACTTCTGGGCTCAAGGGATCTTTCTACCTCAGCCTTAAAAAAAAGTTTCTTAAAAGGTGCCACACCAAAGCATATTATTTTCATTAGGAGTAAAAAAAAAAAAAAAACCCCAAATGCTAAAAGTTATTACTATTTAATATGCACTACCTTATGCAAACTTAGACATGTTTGCAAGCATTATATAGGGTTATTCAGGAAACCAAAAAACTAGTACATGTTGTTAAATGGTCTATAAGGTACTGAAGTAGCTAACTGTCAAATCTGTTGCCTGTTGCTCTCAGAGGATTTGAGCCAGTTTCCAAAACACTGCTTTGTTGCACATAGTAATGCAGAATACTAATGCTGGAAGTACATGCTCATGAGAGCTTCAAAGCTAGGAACTCACACATATTTCACATGCTATAAATACCTGCCACACAATCCTTTTATAAAGTAGAATCAAGTTGCAAAAACTCTAGCTATTTTCTCTTCATTCAAGGGCAAAAAGGCTTGACTTCACAGATGTTTTAGTTACAAATCCCACTTGTCCAGAAAGAGTAAAAGGGTCTAATTTGTTAATACTAGGCACCTTCTTATATTTATTACTCCCCCATTTACGTAATCCACACTCCAGAAGGATCAGACCTACCACACAGTGGGGTGTCAACAATTACTCCTTACATCATGGATCTGAGACACTGGAACTGGACTGTGGGAAAACAGTTGAGACCACATTAATTTTTCATAAATATTAATGTGGAATTACTATGGCTTGGAAAACATTGTTTTTCTCATCTAAAAAGGATATGAGGAAATATTTCCTACCAAGGTTCATAATATTTCTCCTTAGGAAATCTTGGCCTCAAACTAGCATTATTTACATACACGTCTGCTACATTTTTTTTTTTTTTTTGAGACGGAGTCTCGCTCTGTCGCCCAGGCTGGAGTACAGTGGCACAATCTTGGCTCACTGCAAGCTCTGCCTCCCGGGTTCACGCCATTCTCCTGGCTCAGCCTCCCGAGTAGCGGGGACCACAGGCACCTGCCACCACGCCCGGCTAATTTTTTGTATTTTTAGTAGAGACGGGGTTTCACCATGTTAGTCAGGATGGTCTCGATCTCCTGACCTTGTGATCCGCCTGCCTCGGCCTCCCAAAGTGCTGGGATGACAGGCGTGAGCCACCGCGCCCGGCCACACATCTGCTACCTTTTTCTAGCCCAAGGCAAGGCTTTCTGAGACGTAGTCACTAAACAGGGAGGAGCCAAAAAAATTAGTCCTGCTATTTCTGAGAATCTCTAGAACAATCACTGAGGCTAAAATTGGACACATGAGTAAAGTAAGGGAGAAATTGTAACAGTTAAGCCCGCAAACGCCCCTCAAATAAATGCTTCATGTTCTCAGATGGAAGACAAGCATTTCTGCTTTCAGTAATTTAAACCTTAACTTCATTGCCCAAAACTCCACTGCTGTGAACAACAACAACGACAAGATGGCCAGTACGTGTGTCTTAAGCAAACAACACGAAAATGACAAGATGAAAGTGACAATTTCTACCTTTCCTAATTTACTTCAGATGCACAGAATTTAGCCAGTTTTCAGGAATCTGTAAAAGCAGGATGGTTAAGTTCTGTGGCCCCCTGAACTTCATCCAGCTGACAGCTGACGGTTGTACGAAGCAGAAAAGGTCTTCAAGTTTCCAGAGCCTGGAGTAGATGGAGGATTGGCTCTTCCAGCCCTAGCTGATGTCTGTGCACTTGAGACAGATGCCCTGCCATTGTGCTCAGGGTCAGATGTCAACAATCAGAACAGCATGACCCCCAGGAAGGCAGCTGGCCTCTCTCTTCCCTACACAGAAGGGTCTAATTTTCAATGGAATCACAAGGGGAACTGCAGAAACTCATTAACGTAGGACACAGGATTTAGCAGCAAACAGCTTCATCCCTGCTTTATTGATTTTTAGAGTTGGGGTCTCGCTCTGTCACCCAGGCTGAAGTGCAGCGGTGTGATCATATCTCACTGCAGCCTCGACTTCCTGAGCTCAAGCAATCCTCCCACCTCAGCCTCCCGAGTAGCTGGGACCACAGGCATGTGCCACCATGCCCATTATTACTATTATTATTTTTTTTTTGTAGAGACAGGGTCTCGCTATGCTGCCTAGGCTGGTCTCCAACTCCTGGGCTCAAGTGATCCTCCCATCTCGGCCTCCCAAAGTGCTGAGATTGCAGGAGCCTACAACTGCTTTCTTTAGAAATAAAAATGTGCATATGTGGGTTAAGAGGTAAAAGTCAAGCACTACACATTATTGAAAGGTAGGGCTGGAAAACTGTTATTGTCTCCTTCTGGACTGTTGCTTCAGCCTCCCCAGCCCTTTAAAAAAACAACAAAAAACCCTCTTACACACAATTTACCTTCCCCATTGTGAAGCAGCTGTGAATCATATCCACACCTGTCCTGGAGTTATTAAAACTAGGAGTCCGACCTTGTGTTTTTCTTTACCCCAAGTTTATGAACATGATTTTAGGGTCCAATATAAGGTAGTACAATAAAGTATGGTTAATGCAAAACTAAATGTCCTCCACTGTGGAAGACAGAAAGTGGAGAAATCCACGAAGTCTGCACGTCCCATGTCTTGGTCTTGTCAGTAGGTGGCAGCATTGTCTGTGAGTTGGAAGCTATTTCCCAAGGGGAACCACAACCTCCTCCCATCTAACAAATCCCCTCTGGTCCTTTCTCTTTCACCCGCACCCGCAAAGTATTTCCTCCAGGCGTAAGAGTTGACAAATGAGGAATTTCACTTCCTGGAAAAGATGAAATTGAATTTTAAAATATCAGTGAGGTTACTCCCCAGAGCCAGGTGTTATTTTGCAGCTCTCTGCTTTTGGAGCTAAGAGAATCAAACATTAACTTCTAATGCTTTTTTTTTTTTCTCTTTAAACTTCTAATTCTTCTTAAAGGGCACTTCATACAAATCCTTCTTAGATTGCCATATCTGGGGAGTTTGGGAGGAAGAAAATGGGAAAAATTTTAGTCATACATGGAGGTATCAATTTAAACAGCAAGAAAAAGAGCTAGTTTTTTTTATTACAAAAGAAAAATCAGAAGTGTATCTGTGAGGACAAATTCTAGAGAGCCTTTCAGGAAAAAACATTTTAAAATTTTAGGAGTATCTTTTTTTTAATTTTTTTTAATTTTTATTAAAAGGAGTATCTTTATTGCCCAGATGAAGACATCTTCATAAAATATAAGAGAGTCTATGAAGATGAAAATAATAACAGCCCTGACGAAGAAGTAAAGTTGCTTGTGTGACCTAAATTCCTCCTACAGAAAACTGACATTAGGACAAGGTAGCAGAACTTACAAAAATAACTTCTGAGCCAATGTAGCCAGATTCCGTAGAATGGCACAAGAAGAGACAGGCTGAGGGCAGGAGAGGCCTTCGGGTCTTGCCCTCCTGGTACTCAACAGCCTGGCCTCGGGGAATCAAACTGTGAGTGGGAAGGGCAGGTGTAGAAGTGGGAAAAAAGGTGGAGGCAGTTATCCCCTGCAGATGCTTCTACCAAGCTGTATTGGCTAGAGGAGCCACAGCTTATAAGCTCTGTAATATAGACGTCATTTTTGGTTAGAGAATAAATAAAAAAGGAAAAGTTTCAGGGACTTGGGGCCTGTGCATAAGGCAAATTACATTCATTCCTGGCACCATCCGTGAAGGTCTTATGAAAGCAGAACATCTCCCTGCGCAACTTTTGGAAAGTAATAGCTGAAATATGCCATTCTTAGTGACTACACTGAAAGAATACAGATTCAGGGAAGGCACCCCAAACAGAGAATACAGGTTGTAAAGGAAAGAAAAGCAAACACGTATCACCCTGCACAAAGCCAAGAAGAAGAAAACGGGGCTGGCTGAGGAGCCAGAATGAGAACTGAGTGAGGGGAATGTGTGAACGCTGAGGACCAGCAGTTCCTAAAGCTGCTCCTCGGAAGAACTGGGAGGGCTGCTCCTTGATTCATAGCCTCCAAGAACAGCTTTCCTGGACTCCGTTTTCTTTCTCTTTCTTTTCTTTTCTTTTTCTTTCTTTCTTTCTCTTTTTCTTTCTTCTTTCTCTTTCTTTCTTCCTTTTCTTCCTTTCTTTTCTTTCTTTTCCTTCTTTCCTTTCCTTCCTTCCTTCCTTCCTTCCTTCCTTTTCTTTCGACAGAGTCACTCTGTTGCTCAGGCTGGAATGCAGTGGTGCAATCTCAGCTCACTGCAACTTCTGCTCCCCGGGTTCAAGCAATGCTCCTGCCTCAGCCTCCTGAGTAGTTGGGACTACAGGCACGTGCCACCATGCCTGGCTAATTTTTGTATTTTTTAGTAGAGACAGGGTTTTGCCATGTTGGCCAGGCAGGTCTTGAACTCCTGACCTCAGGTGATCTACCCGCCTCAGCCTCCCAAAGTGCTGGGATTACACACGTGAGTCACCAGGCCCGGCCCTGGGCTTCATTTTCAAGAAGGTAGGCCCTCTTTCTGTAACCACAGAAACAACCTTTGAATTTGACTCTAGACAAATCTCTTGCGAATGTGGCCACTGGGCTGGCGTGAGGATGTTGGTGTGACTGAGACCTCTGAGGTGGCAGCACTGCAAGCCTGAAAATGTCCTACGGGAGGCATGTGGCTGTCACTCTAGTTCTGTGCTCACAGCCGTCAGGACCAACGTTGTTTTCATCCACACCCCATTTCTGCCGGGAAGCTAGAGCAACAGTGTACAGAGGACACATAGGAAAAAGCATTTCCGGGACAGGCCGGCTCCGACATTCCTCACATGGGCCCTTCAGGCAGCAATTACTCTATTGGCTTCAACATTCTCCATCCAAACCACGTGACTCCAGTTTCTGTGCTCCGTTTTGCAGAGGAAGGTATAGCTGAGGGCTCCAGTAATCCCAAGATGATGCACGTTTCTCTTGTAGGGGACCTTCCCCAAACCCTCTCCCCAGGAGGTTCCCGTGGCTCAGTCTGCAAATCCACACAGCCCGGACACTGATTTGCAGGCTGACAGCCACTGCTGCTGCTTTCCTAACCTTCCTCTGTACTCTTTTAGCTGCTACCAGCACACCCACCCCCCACCCTAAAGGTGTCCATTCGCCCATTAAAGGACTCCAGCATGGCCATTTCCCAGTTTCTGAATTTCCTGTCGCCGTCTATGAAGACTGTCGAGAGGGGTCGAGTGTTGTGGGTGGGGGATTCCAGGCGACGTGGCCACACATAACAGCAATGAGGCCAGTCCCACGGCCGTCTACACACTGAAGCAGGTATCAACAACACCTTGCAGTCCTTCCTGATTTGGGCTGCCTTCCGCTTGATACTTCAGAGATAAAGCCTCCCTGTGCCATTGTTCAAGCCTGTTAGTTCCCACTCCTGTATTCATTCCTACCTCTGCACCTGCCAGGAACTTGCAGAGAAACTAAGGAACTTGTGTGCAAGTGGCTGCAAACACCTTCCCGCTCCTCCACTGGGGCCAGAAGCAAGCCCGCTAATGCTAATCTGCCCCCTCACTTGCAGCTCAACAGCTTTTCTCCTCTAAGCCCCTGATAATGGTTTTACTAAAATCCCCTTTTGATGGGAAAAAATCCCAGCTGGACATTTCAGGCCCCAGCACAATACACAAGTCTGCAGGTCCCTTTCCCCACCTCACAAAGGCCTCTAATCAAGTGGAAAATGTGCTGGAGGCCAGAGGTTTGGGTCCGCAATTATTTTTTAAGGGATTACTAGAGAAGAATAGGGGGCAGCAAGGACCTCCCCCCCCACTATGTTTTCCATTTGGTCCTGTTTTTAGACACACTGAGCCAGGAGTAGCCGTCCAGTTCTCCAAGCACAAGAGCTTCATCTCTGTCTTCCCAGGTGGAAGGATGTCATCTGTGAACACTATTGCTTCAAAAAGATGTAGAGAGTTTGGAAGCAATATGCAGGTCCTTTTCTGACCCCATTTAAGCCCTTATTTATAAAACCGCTATTGAACGGGATCCTGAGTGTGGAGAGAGCACCCATTCATTAACCTCTAACCTCTGGTCTGTATTCAGAGGGCAGCGTTCGCTCTGTGTCCATACACCGCAAGATTGGAGGCATTCACTTCAGCATCCCAGGCTTTGGAGGGCAAGAGGTCACGTTCCCAACCCTGCCAGATAGCCTTCTTCCTAGTTATATGCACTGACCCTTCCCTCGACACTGAGCAAATGTCCACGTTACTCCTAATGTTTAATCTTGGGGCAAAACATGGATAAAAATACAAAATGTTAACTATGTGTATCGGTCTATTGGAACCTTCCTTTAAGAATGTACACTATGGAAGCTGGTTTGTCTTCCCTGTACATTGCAAAGGACCTTCTTTGATGTCATCTATGCATGAGTGTTCATTAAGGATTAATCGATGAGGATGAACATTTCAGGCTGGCCCTGAGTTCTCATCATTCCATTTCAGCATCGAGAGACTGCTCATTCTAATCCCAGCTGGTTAGTGATGTATGCAAATACCCAGTAAAAAGGAAATGACTACAAATTCCTAAACTCACTCTGGAATGATCAAGGATTAGACTGTTCAGCTCTGAGAGTTAAAAGTCAGCAAACTAAATACCAGCCTGAGTAATAATTTTCAGGTCCTTTCTTCAAAGTTCCTGAAATACTTTTGGTCAAAAACAAAAAATTGATAACTACATTTTTTTTTTTTTTTAAATGGAGTCTCACCCTATCACCGAGACTGGAGTGCAATGGTGCGATCTCGGCTCACTGCAACCTCCCACTCCCCTCAAGCGATTCTCCCACCTCAGCCTCTCGAGTAGCTGGGATTACAGGTGTGCGCCATCATGCCCGGCTAATTTTTGTGTTTTAGTAGAGACGGGGTTTCACCATGTTGACCATAGCTGGTCTTGAACTCCTGACCTCAGGTGATCCACCCACCTCAGCCTCCCAAAGTGCTGGGATTACAGGCGTGAGCCACCGTGCCCGGCCCAGATTATTTTTTAAAACCTCTGGTTTTGTTTTCGTCAGTATGATGCCTTATTGATATATTTTTGCTTTACTGACATTTTTGGTTTGCCCTCAGAAGATCCCTAAACAACTGAGAACTGGATAGAGAGAAGCACAAATACTACATTGAAGGTATTATATTTAATACTTAATGCAAAGATCATATTCGTATTTTATGTCGGCTTTCATACTTCTTTTGGGGAGTGTTACAGGAGGAGACCATGTCGTTTCCCTAAAGAAAGCAAGTAGAAGTGTGTTATCTGGAGCCCCCTCCCCAGATAATGACAGGCTCGCTGAGGCACACCTGCTCCTTGTCCCAAAAATGTTGTAAGAGCTTTTCTCCAGGAGTGAAAAAGCTTCACCCGACTTTACATGAAGACGAGCACCTCTAGAAAGGTGAAGGGATAGTCACGAGCAACAAAGCACACAGTGGCATGTCTCTAAAGCAAAGCCCACCGTGGTCTGACTCCTTAAAGGAGGAGGGAACTGTGAGATAAGTTACAGGGAGAGCTGCTCCGAAGCCGCCCCTCATGGACACCCCTCCTGAATCACTGCACAGATGCCTGCTTAGTTCTTTGCTTATCATCGTTATTTTAGTCTTCATCATCATTCTTCAGCTTCTCTGCGCTTTTAACATACCATGTTGGACAAACTATCCATTGTTTTATTTTATTTTAGAGACGGCGTCTTGCTCTGTCACCCAGGCTGGAGTGCAGTGGCGCGATCTCGGCTCACTGCAACCTCTGCCTTCAGGTTCAAGTATTCTCCTGCCTCAGCCTCCCAAGTGGCTGGAATTACAGGCGCCTGTCATCATGCCTGGCTAATTTTTGTATTTTTAGTAGATATGGGGTTTCACCATGTTGACCACACTGGTCTCAAATTCCTGATCTCAGGTGATCCACCCACCTCGGCCTCCCAAAGTGCTGGGAATACAGGTGTGAGCCACCACGCCCAGCCAATATCCATTGTTTTAAAAGTCACTCTTCCTACTAGAAGAGTAAAACAGCATTTTAGAAACAATAATTTGATAAAATAGTAGCAGCAATGCATCTCACGTCTTTCAGGGCCATTGAAAATGTTAGTACTGTGGAATGTAATCATCTTTCAGACTCTCTATTAGAGGTAGCTAAATAATTCAAAAAACAAGATGAACATAATTAGAATTCAGTATAAAATGTGTGCTTTCCCATTAAAGAAAATTTTGTTCAAGGCCTAAAAACAGAAGGAAATTATATCGCAGTTATGAAATGTTACGTCTAAAGTTCATTGTGTCAAACTGGCATACCTAAAATAGGTGGGAAATGCCCCTGAATCCACGGAGAAAAGAAGTATCAGCTTCTCCCAGCCACGCTAGGTGGGGTAACTACAGGGGGCGATGGAGCTTCTCTGCAGTGTTTTTGTTAGCTCCTCTGTTTATGCTCTTGATATCCAAGAGCGTGTCTACCCTGAACTCCTACTCAAATATGTTTAGCCTTTGTTGTATTGCTTCCGATTTCTAAGTGATCCCAGTTCACTCTTTCCCATCATTTTTGGGGCATACTTACCTGTTTCACCTGCCATCTCCATGCCTGGTCACCTGAAGTCAGTGTCTGCAGACCCTGCTTGGGATGGTCTCTGCACTCCTAAGGTGAGCTAGCTCCCTGCTCACCCTGCCCTGCCCTCAACGTCCTCTCGGGCATCTCCCGGCAGCCATGAATGCTCCAGAAGCATTCTAACTCTGCACTCTGTTTCCTCCAGCCTGGGGGCGGGGGCAGGTGAGTGATAATGACCATCACTGTATTTGACTGGCAGTCTTCACACCGCAGGGTTAAAAAATTATTTTTACTAAAATATGCCTGCCTATTCAAGGCTGCTCTTTAAAATAATACATAAGTCCTTTTTTTTTTTTAAATCCTTATTTAAAATTCCTCCAGAATAGGACAACTAGATGACAAGGCAAAGAGGAGCTCTTGAATCTTCACCTGACCCCACTGCCCTCCCCCGAGGAGGGGCTACATCCTTTGGCCCCAACTCCAGAGTTCCAACAGCAGTGAGGTGGCAAGTGCCCCACGCTCAGCGCGGCTAGGAGACTCTTGCTCTCGATTTGTATACGATCATGAAATGAAGCATCTGTCCACACAGGGCAGGCCCCCAGAGGGCCTATGGTGAGCAGGCAGTATCAAGATTCTCTCTTCCCTGGCCTCCTGCTTAAGCATTGCTAGAAGTTTCTTCCCGGGAAGGATGAGGAGTTTATCCAGGCAGCGCTGACAGCCAACGGCAGGACTGATAAAGCCTGTGGCTGGCTTTATCAGTAACACAGCTAAGACGACTTTAAGAGCCCATAAAAATGCTAACAAATATTCCTGCTGACCAACGCATTGCAGCAGTTTCACAATCACAAAATCCTGCCGGTTTATTGGGATTAATTACTAACTAATAGTTAAAATGCTAAAGTTTATGAATGACTTTAAAAAAATACAAATTAGTGTGGATTCAGGGCTATCTTTCACTTAGTAAATATTTATTTGGCAGCTTTTACAGGCCGAGTCCCCCGCCAAGGGCTGGGGCGACAGAGCACCATCTCCCACTTACGCGTATGGAGGTCTGCTTTCTTGAGTGGGAGAGAAAGAAGTGGGGTTTTACTGGGAACTGCGCCCAACCCACAGCCTGATTTATCTGTGCCGCAGCCTGCAATCTAGATAGGCCCCATGGGAGTGCGTCTCGTGTATTTTAGGGGGAAAATAGTTGGGAATTGCTGCTTTACAGAGCTGGGCTTCAGATTCTTGGCGCAGAAGGGAGCCAGCCAGTCCAGATAAGGAGCGGGAACTGAGGTTAACATGTATTCAAGACTGAATTCCTTCTCAGTCCCCGAGCAGTAGCTCCAGAGGGTGACAGCCTCTGCATTACTGCCCTCGTGGTCTCTCCCCACCTTCTTGAAGCTGCCCTCGATGTCAGTTTCAACCTATTTTACTGGTACAGAAATATGGAGGAGTGAGGGGCCAACCCAGCACTCAGTGACTGACACTGCCGGCCCCCACGCTGTCCACCCCACCACGGGCACTGCCACCCTGCCTTCTGCTCTGGTCGGTTTAGTCTGTAGAGACGTTATCAGCATAGCACAAGCTAAAAGGTCCCCCAGGGAGGCCAAACCAAATCAGGTCCTTGATTTAAATGACGATTTAAATCACTCCCTGCTTCATCTGCAGTAATTTTGTTTTATTAGATAAAGCGTTTGTGGGAAGAAAAGGAAATATTTAAGGTTTCCTCCCGCTGTCGTAGGCTAGTTAAGTGTAAACAGAAAAAACCTGTTGGGCTGTGCTGAGGCATTGCACACAATTTGTCATGTGCATCTCCATGAGGACAAAAACACACATCCAGGCAGGCTTCCTCAGCAAGAGAAGTGCCTCTGAGCATTTCCTCAGGACAGGACCTTTCTACTGAAGATCCTGCGGAGGGAGGAAGTTCAGAGTTCATGCCAAACCTGACCCCAGGATCCAGGCAAAGACGGTTCCCTAAGGACACTACCACAGAGACAGTGACCCTCTCATGACGCTTCCTCAAACATGATTGCACACACTCCACACTATTTTCCTACCGAGAAACCACCAGGTGCCTTCCTAAGCTCCCACGCCTGTTGGCTGCAGATCCTGACCCACAGCATGGGCAGAAGCCAACAGCAACCTCCTGCGGCAAGGATCCCAGTGTGCTTGGAGCTGGAGAGGGCCGATTCGGAGGATCCCAGAGTCCTACAGGGGCTTCAGACAGGAGATTCCGAGGGGGAGTAGAGCTGTGAGCACAGGGTATCACTGACCAGTGAGGAAGAGGGTGTTTTCCCCACGGGATCCCGAACGGCACAGTGTCAGTGTCTGCTCAAGGAACCATTAACCCCAGGGATGCAAAAGATCTACTACTTATGGCTGGAATACGGAATATTCAAAACCAGATGGACAGTTAGGTCGATAGATAAGACAGATAGATAAGATTAGAGAAATAAGATAGATTACATTGATAGAGATAGATTTAGACAGACACAAATACTTTCTTTTTGTTCAACTGTTAATCATCCAAACTACTTTTATCTCAAAATGAAATACAGCAAACCCAGTGAGCAAAGGAGGATGGAGCTGTAGGGGATCTTTATTTTTATTTAAATAGAAGTTTTTTCTCCCTTGGGGTTTTGTTTATCTGTCCATACACATCCATAGAAAAATATTATTCTTAGAGTCCTGAGGCTGTTCACATTTGTTTGCACAGACTTTAAAGGGCAAATAAAAGACAAGCAGAGATATTTTTCAGACATACTGTTGTACTTAGATGATGTGTTTAGATCCCTCCTTCTAGTTCAGGAGCAATTTGTTCATTCATTACTGTCCAAAAAGTACTTTCAAAATATTCTACTAAATTTATCAAAGATAATTTTTTTTTTTAAAAAAAGCTCCTAACTTCTCAAATAAACTCGTACCAAATCCTTTCCAATAGCCACAGTAATACTCACATGACACTGAAATGACCCTCAGGACACCAGGGGCTGTGACAAGAGTAAGTCCCCAGAGTAAGGCGGGATTCTGCTGGCATGGCCCGCTCCCACAGCCTCCTGCCCACATCCAGCTGTTCAAGCAGGCACGAGGCAGGACTGCGAAGCTTCCTGAGGTTCTTGAACACTGAGGATCTGGAGCATTTGAGAACTTGAACTTCAGATCCCTCAAAAGAAGGTTCTGCAAACTTTCTGGCTACTTAGCAGGGTGGCCTTTACCAGCACTCAGTTGCTATCCTTGTCCCTGCCTCCCGAGGTGCCTCCACTGCTGCCAGCCTCCCCCACCCCAGCCTCCATCCACACCGCTGCTGCCAGCCTCCCCTCACCCCAGCCTCCACCCACACGGCTGCCACCAGCCTCCCCTCACCCCAGGCTCCACCCACACCACTGCCGCCAGCCTCCCCCACCCCAGCCTCCATCCACACCGCTGCCACCAGCCTCCTCTCACCCCAGCCTCCACCCACATGGCTGTTCCTCCAGGTAAGCTCTCTGGATGACCCACAGGAGAATCACTGGGGCGCTGGCGAAAACTGCATTTTTCAGGGGGCAGGTTTCATCATCTCTGTATTCTATCCCCAGAGATTTCATCCTAAAAATGTCATAGGATCGTATGACTATCTTGTTTCAAAGTCTCCACTCACTTCCTGTTTCATAAAGAACAAAGTCCTAACCCCATTACAGTGGTCCCAATTACACCCCAAGCTACATCTCCTGCCAGTTCTCATCCTCCTGAATCGCAGCCTCTTATTCTGGTCACACACAACCATTTCACTCTTTTTTTTTTTTTTCTTTTTTTTGAGACGGAGTTTCGCTCTTGTTGCCCAGGCTGGAGTGCAATGGTGCGATCTCAGCTCACCAAAACCTCCACCTCCCAGGTTCAAGCGATTCTCCTGCCTCAGCTTCCTGAGTAGCTGGGATTACAGGCATGCGCCACCACGCCCAGCTAATTGTGTTATTTGTAGTAGAGACAAGGTTTCTCCATGTTGGTCAGGCTGGTCTCAAACTCTTGACCTCAGGTGATCCGCCCGCCTTGGCCTCCCAAAGTGTTGGGATTACAGGTGTGAGCCACCAGGCCCGGCCTCATTTCACTCTTCTGTGCACTTATGTATGTTGTACCCATGGACATAGAATGTTCTTCCCTCTCTGTTTGACTGGAGAACTCTTCCTCACCCTTTAAGTCCTGGCTTGAATGAACACTGTGCAGCCTCCCATTGCTATCTCTGTGCCCCTCAGCTGCCTGAGCCTCCGGTATCGGCACTTCTGGCCCCGCAATGTTACATCCTCTTTACATCACTGCTGTCCCTAGAAGGACCCCCTAGTCGTGCGTGGCTGGGGTGGCATTCAGCTGACAAGGTTGAACGTATGTGCTGAGCTTCTACGAGGCACCCTGTCCTGTGATAGGGGCTGAGGATACAGCAAAGAACAGACCTTAGTTCCAGCCTAACAAAGCTTACAGTATTGTGGAGAAGACAGACAAAAAATGTAACACCAGATACTAACGTAACCCAAATCAGGAGGCCCTGACCTGGTCTAGGGGTCAGAGAATGCCTCCCAGACAGTACTGGCATTTACCTTTGCATTTCTAGCACAGCGCCTTGCACTCTGGAAGGCTCTGAGTCAGTTTTCTTAGGTGAAGTGTCACTCAAATGCTAAAGACCCTCAAATATTCAGCCCAGACCCCTGGACCCACAGACCCAACTATTAGACATCTCTTACTAGTGTATCCCACAGACATAGGAGCCCAAAATTAAACATATTTCCTCCTAAATCACTCTACCTACCCAGATTTACGGCCTCCATAAAAGGCACTGCCTGGCTGACCACACAATCAGCCTGGAAGTTATGAATAACTCTTCTCTCTCTTATTACATCCTGTGCCCAAAGGATTGTCCCAGCTCTGTTGATTCCGCCTTCTGGATTCTGACCGCATTATTTCCTCTCCATCCCCCCTCCACCGCCACTGCCCTAAGTCAGTCCTCATCACTTCTCATTTTGACCATTTTGACCCAGGTCCCAGGAGTGATTTTTCTAATGTACAAATCTGATTCTATCACTTCCCGGTCACAATCTCCAGTGGGCTCCTTCTTGCCAATAGGTTAAAATCTAAATTCTGCTGCACGCTGTCCGGGATCCTCGATAACCTGGCCCTGCCTTCCTCTCCACTGCCCCCCCGCTTCCCCGACCTGTATGTGCGTCAGGACTGAACCTCTGCAGTCACGATTTCTCCAATGATAGACCACGGCCTCTCTGGGAATGGGGCGGGCCCCCTGGACCTGGGTCTACTAGCATATGGACTCAGACCTAAAGATCAGGGTGCCTGGTGCATCTTACTTGGTAACAAAAAAAGCCAAATCAAAATGTTCTTGTGTTGAAAGGGGCACATTATCTGCACTAAAACATACCCTGCATCCAGTTGCAAACGTACAGTAGGAAACTCTTGGGAGCCAAGAAGTGTCCTGTATTGTGACTGTGGTGCTGGTTTCATGGGGTTATGCATCTGTCAAAACACACCGTATCGTGCACTTTGAGTGCAGTTTGTTGTACATAAATTATACCTCATAAAGTTATTTAAAAAGTTCCCTCTGTCAACACTAGCTTGCATGGATTGTCATACTGTCACCTAAAATGCTCTATCCTTGCCTATCTGCATGTAAATCCTACTTTTTTTTTCACTGCCCCCAAAGCCTTTCCTGACTCCCCCACGTAAACGTGACTGCCACTTCTCTTGTTTCTCATAGTTTCAGTCATCCCTCCCCATCCTTGGTGGTGAAGCCTCCTAATTCCCTTGGTGGGAATTTGTAGTTAAGGAACTTAACACTTCATAGAAATAACAGGCTATGGGTGGTGAGGTCTCCAGGGACTAGAGCACAGAACTGTCTTCATTCTGGTACTCCCTGCACCCAGGAAAGTGCTGGGTATAGAGTAGGTGTTCAATCAATATTTGAGGAACAAGGAGATGGGAAGATCTGGAGTTGATACACTCAGTACATTAGGCTTAGCTGATTCTTACTTGAGGAAGACAGACTGAGCTATTAGTAGTGACTTCAAATGGGATAGGGACAATCTTGCAGTAACCTTGCTGGTGAGAAATCTAGGAAAACCCCAGCATCTGTTAAAAAGTCGCTCTTTGATAACTGCTGTGTCCCCGTCCCAAGGTAATCATTTTAAAGTCAAATAAAAAACATGTATGATTTGGATATTTCAAGTCTCTTTTTCAAAAGCACTATCTCTGTTTATGAAACTGATGAGCTGTGTTGCTTAAGCTCTGCTAACTAAGAAAGTAGTGTTTTACACTGGCTGGGCGCGGTGGCTCACTCCTGTAATCCCAGCACTTTGGGAGGCTGAGGCAGGCGGATCACCTGAGGTCAGGAGTTCGAGACCAGCCTGACCAACATGGAGAAACCCCGTCTCTACTAAAAATACAAAATTAGCCGGGTGTGGTGGCGCATGCCTGTAATCCCAGCCACTCGAGAGGCTGAGGCAGGAGAATCGCTTGAACCTGGGAGGCAGAGGTTGCAGTGAGCTGAGATCATGCCATTGCACTCCAGCCTGGCCAACAAGAGCAAAAACTCTGTCTCAAAAAAACAAAACAAACAAACAAAAAAAACCCCACCAGAAAAAAGAAACTGTTTTACACCTACTGCCATGCAATAGCATGCTTTTGATACATGAGTATATGTATAAAGTATAAGATATATACAAGATTCTAAAATAGTGGCTGAAGGACCATGCAATCAGGCAGTCATAGCAATGACCGATTATTAGTGATAAACACATGCCACACAGAGAAAGGACTATGGACAATAATGGCCTATTTAACCTACCACTGTCCTGCAGCAACCGCTCATCTGGAGGAGCAGCAGACAAGGGTAGATGGAGCTGCATTACATGGCGACACTAGGCAGCTTGGTCTACACCATCACTGCTCCTCCCATCATGACCACACCACCTGGGAGGACCACCAAAGGGAAAAAGATCAAGAGAGGCCGAGGAGAATTACTACCGCTTGGTCTCGATGGTCACGTCATCAAAGATTCATTCATTGACTATTCAGTGTATGTTCTGACTAAGATGGGCAAAAGTGATCGAGACACTTGGGTTCCGTTCTGCTTTGCTCACTTAGTCCTTAACTTGACTGCCCTTCCCCTGCCTCACTTTTTTCACTTGCAAAACCAGACAAAATGCTAGACATTCTACTCACCATCAGACCCAGGAGAGCCTACAGGGAACCCCACGGCGTGAAATCAGCGTCAGCTCAGCAGGCAGGTATTCCAGGCAGAGCACACAGCCATGCCCACCCACATTTCCCACCTTCACCCTTCAGGCACGAGACCCCACCTTCTGACCACCAGCTCCTGCACTTTTTTTGCGGAGCCCTCTTGCCCACCCCGGTAGGAAGGAGATGCCAGAGATGAGTGCTCCCTGTGACAGCCCTCAACCAGGGACAGGCAGGAGCCGTTGTATAAGGACACATGTTGTACCCCGGCTGACTTCCCCAGCAGGTTTGGCCCCAGTGGCCACGTCCATCACCGGTGTGATAACCCACTCTTGATTGGCTGTCTTCCCTTCCTTGTCTCACTTTCCCACTCTCTGATCAGTAGCTCCTCATGTCACAAGTAATCTACTGGCCTTTGAGTCACTGCTTCAGGGTGGGCTTCTGGAGGAACACAAACTAGGACAACAGGTCTAGTGTGGACAGGACACCGCACTAGACAAAGCTGGGCGGAGTTTCGACCAGAGGGGAAAAACCCCTCTTCCATGCAACAACAGCAAAACGTTCTCTTAGGAAGAATCTGAACCTCATAAAAGCCTCCTTCTTGTCTGAAAAGCTTCCTTGCAGAAGGAGCTCAGTGGGCCTGAGGGCAGAAGTGCAGCTCTCGAGGGGGATGCTGGCTCTGCAGTGGGCATGTGGTGCGCCCTGCCCTCCCTTGGCTCTGTGTGAGCCTCCCTTCCTTTGCACAGGGGACTCTGGGTGAGTGGCACAGCCTTCAACAAAAGTGGCTCTGCTCTTTGGCAATAGTCTTTTCTGTGGGACAGCATAAAATGAGCATTAAACAAACTTCGAGGATGAGCTATGCTCAACAGCCATAAAGAACCAAGTGGTGCCGGGAGCGGTGGCTCACGCCTGTAATCCCAGCACTCTGGGAGGCCGAGGCGGGCGGATCACAAGTTCAGGAGATCGAGACCATCCTGGCTAACACGGTGAAACCCCATCTCTACTAAAAACACAAAAAATTAGCCGGGCGTGGTGGCGGGCGCCTGTAATCCCAGCTACTCAGGAGGCTGAGGCAGGAGAATGGCGTGAACCCGGGAAGCGGAGCTTGCAGTGAGCCGAGATTGCGGCACTGCACTCTAGCCTGGGTGACAGAGCGAGACTCCGTCTCAGACAAAAAAAAAAAAAAAAAGAACGAAGTGGTTTCTTATTTAGCATATGAGAGCGTGGGGTTGAAGAGGGAAGAAGGAAGAGGAGAAGCCTGGTGAAAAGGAGAGGGAATGGGAAGGAGAGGGAGAGAGAGAGAGAGAATTAGAAAACATCAGAAATTAAGTGGATAAAATAAATGACCACTTCACAAACAACCACTACCTTTCCTCAACCTGGAAAGGAAAATGAAAAGGAGAAAAAAGAGAAGCAAAACAAGCATTGATTATATAAATTTGCATGTACAGAGATAAAGGTGCACCAGCTTTTCCTTTTTGTTCTGTAAAAGCTTCAATATATTCTTTATATCTCAATCCTATGAAAATACTTGTGAGATTATAATTATGCTTATATTATTAAAGATAATTATTCTGGGTTATTCTCCATGTCTCAGGACTGTGCCTTTTGCTGGTCAGCCTAAAGTGACCTGACAGAAGCACAATTTATATCTGAAGTGGGTTTTTTGTAGACAACACAGAGCTGGGTCTTATTTTTTGACCCACTATGACAATCTTTTTTTGTTTTTTGAGATGGAGTCTCTGTCACCCAGGCTGGAGGGCAATGGCGTGATCTCGGCTCACTGCAACCTCCACCTCCTGGGTTCAAGTGATTCTCTTGCCTCAGCCTCGCGAGTAGCTGGGATTACAGGCGCCCGCCACCACGCCAGGCTAATTTTTGTATTTTTAGTAGAGGGGGGTTTCACAGGTAGTATGAGTTTCTTATAACAACACCATAATCCTAATTCCTCCCCTCATCCCTTGTAATATTGTTGTCACTCATTTCCCTTACACATAAGTATATATCTAAGGGTACATAATTGAATACATTGTTGTTATTACTTTGAACAGTTATCTGTTAGATTAAGAATAAGAAAAATAAGTTATTATTTTGCTTTCACTTATTCCTTCTCTGCCCTCTTTATGTAGATCTAAGTTTCTGACCTATAGCATTTTCTTTCTCTCTAAAGAATTTCTTGTAACATTTCTTGCAAGGCAGATCTACTGGCAACAAATTCCCTGAAGTTTTGTTTGTCTGAAAAAGTCTTTATTCTCCTTTACTTTTAAAGGATAATTGTGCAGGGTTCAGAGTTCTAGGCTGGTGGGTTTTCTCTCTCCACCCTCACATCTCACTCCACTCTCTCCTTGCTCACCTGGTTTCTGAGGATAAGTCAGGTGCATTTCTTCCCTTTGCTCCTCTACAGGTAATGTGTTTTTTTCACTCTGGCCCCTTCCAGGACTTTTTCTTTATCTTTGATTTTCTGCAGTTTGAAAATGATATGCCCAGGTGTAGTTTTTCTGGCATTTGTCCTGATTCTCTGAGATTCCTGGATCTGTGGTTTAGTGTCTGACATTAATTTGGAGAAATCTGTCATTACCATTTCAAGTATTTCTTCTTTCTCCTCCTCCTGGTATTCCCATTACACATGCTACACCTTTTGTAGATGTCCCACAGTTCTTGGATATTCTGTTCTGTGTGTGTGCGCACGTGTGTGCGCGCGTGTGCGTGTGGGTGGGTTTTCTTTTCCCTTTTCACATGTGGAGGTTTCTATTGAGATAACCTTATGCTCAGAGATCCTCTCCTCAGCTGTGTCCAGTCCACAAATCCATCAAAGCCCATCAGCGGCATTCTTCATTTCCGTCACCGTGCTTTGCTCTCTGTCACTTCATTTGGTTTTTTCTTAGATTCCCATCTCCCTGCTTTCATTGCGCACCTGTTCCTGCATGCTGCCTACTTTATCCATTACAGCCCCTCACATTAATCAGAGCTGCTTTCAATTTCCCGCCTGGTAATTCCAGCATCCCTGCTGTCTCTGAGTCTGGTTGTGAAGCTTGCTCTGTCCCTTCAACATGTGTTATTTGATTCTTATTTCATTTTATTATTATTATTATTTTTGAGACAGAGTACCACTCTGTCGCCCAGGCTGCAGTACAGTGGCGCGATCTTGGCTCACTGCAACCTCTGCCTCCCGGTTCAAGCGGTTCTCTTGCCTCAGCCTCCTGAGCAGCTGGGATTACAGGTGCTTGCCACCACGCCCAGCTAATTTTTCTTTTCTTTCTTTTCCTTTTTTTTAATTTTTATTTTTAGTAGAGATGGGGTTTTGCCATATTGGCCAGGCTGGTCTCGAACTCCTGACCTCAGGTGATCCGCCCGCTTCGACCTCCCAAAGTGCTGGGATTACAGGCGTCAGCCACCGTGCCAGGCCCTATTTGCCCTTTAGTATGTCTTATATCTTTTTCTTGATAGTGGCTGTGACCGGGTAAAGGCAGCTGCTGTAAAGAGGCCGTGAGTGTGCGGTGGGAAGGTCTACTCTATAGTCTACAATCAGGCCTCAGAGTTTTGGTGAGCTTGCACCCCTCAGCTGAACATTCACAAATGAGTCTCCGTCCTCCCTCCCGCCCCCACCTTAAGTGAGCCGGGAGATGGCTAGAGTGGGCTGGCGTGGGAGTTTCCCTTCCCCCAGGTCAGTTAGGCGCTGATAAAGCCGCGGTGGGGTTAGGGGAGGCGACCTCGTTAGGAAGAGCAGAGTGCGGCAGTCTCTTTCAAAATGGTCCTTTTTCTTCTTCCCACTGCAGGAGGCACGAGGGGATTTTTCTCCATTATTCACTGTGAGAACTCGGGGAAGCTCCAGAAGGTGAGGGAGAGGGGACAACGACATGGTTCCCGTGGATCTTTAACTTCCAGACTTGCCCGCTCTGCGCCTCCGGCACTCTGGTGATGACAGCTCAGGTTTCCCTGCCTGTCACTGCTCGGGCAGAGGCTGCTGCCCAGGGCTTCTGCTCCGGTACCTTGTGAAGCTGCATTCTCCTGCCGGTTTCTCCAGTTCTGGGGACAGTGGTTTGCTCTGAGACCTCGCTTCCTTTATGGATCCAAGGAGACTTGCTTTTTCAGTCTGTTCAGCTTTTTACTTGCTAGGATGGAATTGCAATTTGCAAGCTTCTTCGACAGGAAACTACAAGTTCCACACTTTAATTTTATACATATAAATATATACATGTGTACATATATCTATGTACAGGGGTATTATATATATACATATAAGATGATGATATATATAATGATGATATGTATTACTGAGAACGTAAAATATCATTACATAGTGATAGCTGGACACACAAGGAATTCACAACTCCCCAAAGAAAATACATCTGGATGACCTGCCTAGCAGTTTCCCCATGAGATAGAGGAATGTCTACGTATTTCATTCCCTGTTCCTGCCCTGAAACAATTTCAATCACTGACAAATCATTATCATTCATTAATAATGTTTACTGAGTGCCCATATGTGAAAGAAATCCACTCTACATTCCACAGATGCATTTCCTCTCCCCACGGGGTTTCCATTTTAATGGGAACAATGTAGAATATATCTGTCTTCCCTTTATAGATTCCATTTGGGTTTTTTGTTGTTGTTTCTTGTTCTCTCTCTCTCTCTCTGGTCCAGAGGAATAATTTCCTGGTTTTGTAAACTAAACCGGATCATGTCACTTCCATGAATCAGGGAATACTTAATGAAGGAGTAAGGATTTACAGAGGACTGGGGATAAGAGATGGAGGGAAGCTGAACAGAAGGCAAATGAAACTGGTTGAGCCTCTTCAGAACACACAACAATTCCTGGTGGTGAGTCAGTGTGGATGGGGGAATGGGACACCTTACATGGGGATCAATGAAGAATCACTGGGGTCAAAAAGAGCACATGTCAAGAAGATGTCAAACTGATGACAAGCAAATATTGCCCCAGTATTACAATTCCTGTTGCCCCATCTCAAAATTACCCTGTCAGTTTGATGGGATGAAACTCTCAGACCCCGTTTCATACCACAGACACTGAATCCCTATTCCACAGCTTAGGAAGTCCGAAGAAGTAGACGGTATGTGTGTCTTCCAAAGCTGTCTACCAGAGATGATCAAGGTGTTGGAGAACTTTTGTCTCTCTTAATTGTTCTGGTAACTGCTGTGTACAACGAGGCTAAACACTCACTGATAAGAATTCTCTCCCTGCTGCCCCAATGCAACTTCTAGATTGTACACTAGTACAAGAGTCCTAACGCAGTAACTTGCCTACACGCAGAAACTGGCTGACCTGGGCTTTGGGTGTAGGAACCCTTCCTAAAAACATGAGTATCATCCAGGAGTCTAAACAATTTGATGGGTAGACCTTATATTGAATTACAAAGGTTTAGGAGTAGGAATTAGCTAGTCCAGTGGTTTTTTAAAAAAAATGTTTTTAAAGAAGGAGAACTCTATTTTTCCACTAAAATCATATGTTGAAGCAAAACAAATAACATTTATGTAGTTGAAAATTGGGTAGGAGAGGAGATCTCCACTGGCCCCTAAGTAAGAACTGTCTCAAAGTTCTGTCTCGAAAACCACTTATCTAGCCCAATTCCTCAATTTTTATTGTTTTTTGTTTGTTTTTATTTGTATTATTTATTTATTTATTTTTGAGACGGAATTTGACTCTTGTCACCCAGCCTGGAGTGCAGTGGCACAATCCCCGCTCACTGCAACCTCCACCTTCTGGGTTCAAGTGATTCTCGTGCCTCAGCATCCTGTGTAGCTGGGATTATAGGCACACGCCACCCCATCCGGCTAATTTTTGTATTTTTAGTAGAGACAGGGTTTCGCCCTGTTGGCCAAGCTGGTCTCCAACTCCTGACCTCAGGTGATCCACCCACCTTGGCCTCCCAAAGTGCTGGGATTACAGGCATGAGCCACCGTGCCTGGCCTATTTTTATGTTTTTAAACAAGGTGTTGCCCTGTCACCCAGGCTGGAGTGCAGGGGCACTATCATAACTCACTGCAGCCTTGAACTTCTGGCCTCAAGCAATCTTCCCACCTTGGTCCCCCAGCAGTGCTGGGGTTACAGGCACGAGCCACTGCACCCTGCGCAATCCCTCCATTCCTATAGGTGAGGAAATGGGAACACAAAGAAGGCAGGTAAATTACCCAGGGTTACGGGACTAGGGGTAAATCTGGTTCCTGATGCTTAATCCTTTGCTCTTTCTACTATAACCCCCATCTCTGAGAATCTATTCTGAACCCATGGAACTACACGTGGTGATCTTAAGCCACAAAAATTACTGACACAGTGTTTTCATTAAGGACTCCCCCTGCCCTGTCCATTTCCTGAGAATGAGAGGTTTCTAGTTCTTTGTACCACATTAACTCCAATTGGTAATTCTGAATTCCTTCTTGGCAGAAGTAATATAGATCAGATTCCATTAAATGTATTGCTACAGAGAAAATTTACTTTTTAAAAAAATTCAAACCCAGCTTATGGTCTACAGACTTCAGTAAGATTTAATCAGCAACAGTTTAGTATTATACTGCAAAAGAATTTGGATGGTGTTTGGGACATTACTATAAATAGGTTTTGCCTATATTGCGTATATTGGCCTCATGTTGGCACCTTCAGTAATTCCGACAGCAGTTGGCTTCCAAATCCCTCACCATAAAAGTGGTTGCATATTATGAAATCCAACACTGATATCCCAGCATCCCAAGGAGTTCATCCCTATATCTCATTTAGTTATCTTCCAAGTAATCTGCTGTGATATGCAGTTTGCTACCCTGGCACAGACAGGAGGAAAAGAACCATCAGCCGCCCTAAGCCTGCAGTTCTGAGGCTCCCCCAAGGCTTCGATGGGCCTTTCTAGGAGGTGGCTCTGTGATTCCAGCCTCAACACCAAGGAATCTTGGGTTATTTATGAGATCAGAGCCCTTATTAATGTAATTCTGTTCAAGGCAATTTAAACGAATGAAATAGGCATGATGGTGCACGCCTGTGGTCCCAGCTACTTGTGATGCTGAGGAGGGGGATCACTTGAGCCCCAGAGTTTAAGGCTGCAGTGAGCCACGATGGTCCCACTGCACTCCAGCCTGGCAACACAGCAAGACCCTGCCTCTGAAACATTTTTTTTTAATTTAAAAAAAGAAGGGAAGATAAGTGAGAATTTGAAAGCAATGACAGACATATTTGAAAGCTGCAGGGGCAGGTGGAGGCAGCCACGGAGGACACGGTGGGGCGTCAGCTTGTGGGGCCGGAAGTTCCGTGCGAGCACCTAGAGCGAGGTCTCTCATACTCGTTCCCACACCACTGAGATTGGCGTTTCACTAAGGACCGATTGAGGAAGCAACAGCAATGAAAAGGAGGCCACGAGGAATGAGGAAACTGTCTACATGGAGTATAAACTCAAGGCCAGCATCCAAGGAAAACATCAAATTGGAAAGAAAAAAACAGAAACATTTCAGATGGCGGAGCTGAAACTCAGTCTCTGGGATGTGGCGACTTCGGTCTCCCTCTCATGCCTGACAGTGGAGTCAGAACCCTGTCATTTTTAGAGGCTGGGTCCCTGGCACGCGATTCCTCTGGTACAAAAGAACCCACTCACTGCGCAAGTGGTCTGGGCAGGGGACTAGGTGTGTGGGGCCAACTCACATCCCTGACTCCTGTTTCTCAGCCATTAGCTCATATCTGAAACCTGGTATTAGAATAGTTCATGCCGGGACACTCTTTGAACTCTGTTTGCCCTAGTCCTGGCACTGCTGCCCTACAAAGGGAGGAGAATTTTAATAGCATTAAACACACACACACACACACACACACACACACACACACACACACACACACACACAAGGGAAAGAGGATGAAATACTTGTAAAGCTTTTGATAGTATCGAGTCATACACATATAAGCATGCAAGTGGTAGGAGTACTGAATGTTCTAGAACATACACAATACAAGTTGCAGTAGAACTACCTTTTACATTACCTCATGGAGCAGCAAGGCTATGTTAGAGCTGAGAACAAAACTGAGGCTTCTAAACATTTGGGGCTTTTGAATACCTCTCCCCATATATTGTTTTGGAATGACCCCCAGCTTTCTGAAGAGCACGGAGGGTGGAGCATGGCCATCCTGCAGCACTGTAGAAAGAGCAATGGGCTTTAGAGCTCAGTTATGCTGATTGTTTCCTGCGTGACATAGAGCAGACGACCTAGCCTCTGGTCCTGTTTCCTCATCTTTATTTATTTATTTATTTATTTATTTATTTATATTTTTTTGAGACAGAGTCTCACTCTGTCGCCTAGGCTGGAGTGCAGTGGCGTAATCTCGGCTCACTGCAACCTGCACCTACCAGGTTCAAGCAATTCTCCTGCCTCAGCCTCCTGAGTAGCTGGAATTACAGGTGCATGCTACCGCGCCTGGCTAATTTTTCTATTTTTAGGAGAGATGGGGTTTCACCACGTTGGCCAGGCTGGTCTCGAACTCCTGACCTCAGGTGATCCACCCACCTTGGCCTGCCAAAGTGCTGGGATTACAGGTGTGACCGTGCCCGGCCCTGTTTCTTCGTCTTTAAAATGAGAATATGAAAGCCTTCTTCACAGGGTTGTAGTTGGAATACACGAAATGAGATGATGTATGTAAAGCTTCTACTATAGTGCCTGGCGTATAGCAGATGCTTTGTTCATTTGATCAATATTAATTAAGCACCTTACTACATGTCAGGCACTGTGTGAGGTGCTGGAAATAAACGTTAGTAGGAACAGACCTGGCATCTGTCTCCTTGGAGCGTGCAGTGTAGCCACCTATTGTGTCACTAATAGTGGCACTTACTGTGAATGGCCTGTCTTGACTGAGGTGCACAGGTGGTACTTACACAGGTCACAAAGATGAGCAAAGTACAGGCACTGCTTCTGAACTGCTTAAATCTGATTAAAAAGCTAGGACAACCATAACCACATAATTGGATGCCTCTGCCACTAATTAAGTGATCTTGGGGAAATAATTTAACAATTTTGGACCTCAGTTTCCCCATAAATAAAATGAGGAGGTTGGACTGGATTAATGGTTCCCAAACGTGGCTGAGTATCACAATTGCCTGGGGAAGCTTTTAGAAGTACATATTCCAGGGACCCACCCCAGACTTGCTCATCGGAATCTTAAGTGTGGGGTTCAGGGATCTGTAGTAATTTTAAAAATGTCCCCAAGTGATCCAACACAGATATTTTGGTCTTAGTCCATATGTCAGATCCCTTTTAACGAAAGAGTTCTGGGATAAATTACTATAATCCAAAGCCGAAGCAAAGAGTGCCACAGAAAAGGCACCAATACAATATTGTGAGAGTTAGGAAAAGGCAAACATCTCAGGGGAGGCAGCAGCACTGAAGCGGAACTTGAGCTGGGCCTTGGATGAGGGCTGGAACCTGAACTTGAGGGGAGAAAGAAAGGGAAGAGTATGGAGAACTGAACCCAAACATTTGGTGAAGGACAGACTGCTTGAATGGGAATGATGGGATCTAAGGTTGGCAAGGTAAATCAAGACAAACTCCCTTAGTTATTCCATCCATCCATCCATCTGTCCATCCATCCGCCCATCCATTCATTCATTTCAATGACCGTCCATCCAGGCATTCAGGAATGCCTGGCAGTGTGAAATATGTACTATTCTAGGCCCTGAGGGTGGAAAGATAAAGACATAGTTCTGGCTGACCTAGCACGGCTACAGACACCCAGTGACAGAAGCTAATGGTGCTAAAAGAAGTGCAGGGCAGGCTGGGCACGGTGGCTCACGCCTTTAATCCCAGCACTTTGGGAGGCTGAGGCAGGCAGATCATGAGGTCAGGAGTTCAAGCCCAGCCTGGCCAACATGGTGAAACGCTGTCTCTACTAAAAATACAAAAACCCGCTGTGTGTGGTGGTGCCCGCCTGTAATCCTAGCTACTCTGGAGGCTGAGGCAGGAGCATTACTTAAATGCAGGAGGCGGAGGTTGCAGTGAGCCAAGATCACCCCACTGTACTCCAGCCTGGGTGATAAGAGTGAAACTCCGTCTTGGGGGAAAAAAAAAAGTGCAGGGCAAAGGCAGCCCAGAGGACTAACTGTGCCCAGAAAAGACAGACATCTGAAAGTAAAGGAGAGATAACTGGGTGTTACAGGTTCAACTGTGTCTCCCCAAAATGATATGTTGATGTCCTAACTTCCGGTTCCTCTGAAAATGACCTTAGGGGATATCTGAACACAGAGACAGACATGCACTGTCTTTCTGAAGACAGTGCGAAAACAGAGAGAGAAGGCCCCAGGAAGGTTGGGGACTGAGTGATGTTCTGCAGTCTAGGAATGCCAAAGACGGTCAGCAAATCACCACATGTGGGGAGAGAGGCCTGGAGCAGCTTCTCTTCACAGCCTCAGAAGGAACCAATCCTGCCAACACCTTGATCTTGGACTTTGGGCCCCCAGAACTGTGAGAAAGTAAATTTCTGTTGTTTGAAGCTCCCCAGCTTGGTGGTACTTTGTTCCCGCAGCTCTGGGAAACCATACATAAAGTAGACGCAAAAGGAGAGCCGTTAAAGACTGCATATTGTAGGCTTGGCAGCTGATTTTTGAATTGTTGGGTTAGCCAGCTAATTAAGCAGCTAGAGTGGTGCCTAGCACACAGCGAGAGCTCAGTAAACACTTGTGAGTAACCAATGGGAGGCTGGGGAGAAGGAGTAAAAATGGGTTCCCAGGGAGAATGCTGAGATGTGGAGGAAATGCAGTCCCAGTCTCAGGCACGTTGAACCTCTCCAGAGAGAGAGATCCAGAGGCAGCTGGAGCACAGCCGTGAAGCTTGGGAGCCAGAGATTAAGTTTTGGAAATCATCCATATAGAGACAATAGCTTAGATGCAGTTAAACATTATATAGAAAAAAGAAAAGAACACTACAGGCAGACATACTGTAATTTAGGGTCTCAGAAAAGGACGGAGAAAAAGTAGAGGAAAGACACAAGTCCGGCATCAGAGAAGACAGGAGTGGAGGCTTCAGGGAGGAGGACCCGGCTACAAGAAAACAGAAAAGGAAGACCTGTTTCAAGTGATCTGCTTTCCATGGCACAACTGCTGTGTTGTTTTGTTTTGTTTTGTTTTGTTTTTAACCTAAACCCATGACAATTCCTGAATGGTTTCCAATGGAGCAGCTTTCGAATTTCGTAAATTCAAGAAAGATTCTGGAGGAAAACATGAAGATGTTAGTATTTTAATCCTGAGTGTTTCAATAGCAGTCTCAGCCTGAGGAGCTCAAAGACTGTGGGATCAGGCAAAAAATCTAGGAGTGAATATTATGTCCCTAATAAAAAGGCTCGGCCGGACGCGGTGGCTCACGCCTGTAATCCCAGCACTTTGGGAGGCCGAGGCAGGTGGATCGCAAGGTCAGGAGATCGAGACCATCCTGGCTAACACGGTGAAACCCTGTCTCTACTAAAAATACAAAAAATTAGCCAGGCGTGGTGGCGGGCGCCTGTAGTCCCAGCTACTTGGGAGGCTGAGGCAGGAGAATGGCATGAACCCGGGAGGCGGAGCTTGCAGTGAGCCAAGAACGTGCCACTGCACTCCAGCCTGGGTGACAGAGCAAGACTCCATCTCAAAAAAAAAAGTGGGGGTGGGGCCAGAGAAGTAAAAATTCGTGACTTGGTTTTAGGTAGAAGATCAGGTTCCAGTGAAGAGCTCGGTTCTGATTCTTGGGCAAATATTCAAATCAGAGCACCAGCCATTTATTCATTTAACACACATTATTGACCACCTGGCACTGAGCTAGAGGCACAAAGGTGAATAAACTCATCAAGGAGCTTACAGTTTAATGGGGAAGACAGAGACATTATCAGGTACTTAAAAAATATGCTGAAGACCTTAGCTAAAGAAACTTTAGAAATCAATAATATGGAGTTTTCCCCAAAACTAAAAATACTCTGCCCCCACTGTGTTCACAAGATCAGCATCAAGCAAAGATTAATCTCAAGACTTGTTGTTTTTCTTGTTGGGTTTTGGACTTACTTGCAACCCCTTTCTTCTTATTTCTCCCTTTTGGAATGGGAACATCTATCCTATACATGTCCCACCATTGTATTTTGGAAGCACATTAACTTGTTTGATTTCATGGGTTCACAGCTGGAGAGCAGTTTGCCTCAGGATGAAACAAACCTTTGAGTCTCATCTGTGTCTGGTTTAGATGAGATTCTGGTTTTTGGACTTTTGAGTTGGTGCTGGAAGAAGTTAAGACTCTTGGAGGGGCGCGGTGGCTCAGGCCGGGCGTAGTGGCTCACGCCTGTAATCCCGGCACTTTGGGAGGCTGAGGCGGGCGGATCACCTGAGGTCGGGAGTTCGAAACCAGCCTGACCAACCTGGAGAAACCCCGTCTCTACTAAATATACAAAATTAGCCGGGCGTGGTGGCACATGCATGTAATCCCCGCTTGGGAGGCTGAGCCAGGAGAATTGCTTGAACCCAGGAGGCGGAGTTTGCAGTGAGCTGAGATCACACCATCGCACTCCAGCCTAGGCAACAAGAGCAAAACTCTGTCTCAAAAAAAAAAAAAAAAAAAAAAAAAGGCCAGGCGTGGTGGCTCATGACTGTAATCCCAGCACTTTGGGAGGCCGAGGTGGGCAGATCACCTGAGGTCGGGAGTTTGAGACCAGTCTGACCAACATGGAGAAACCCCATCTCTACTAAAAATACAAAATTAGCCAGGCATGGTGGCACATGCCTGTAATCCCAGCTACTCGGGAGGCTGAGGAGGGAGAATCGGTTGAACCTGGGAGGTGGAGGTTGAGGTGAGCTCAGATTGCACCATTGCACTCCAGCCTGCGCAACAAGAGCGAAACTTCGTCAAAAAAAAAAAAAAAAAAAAAAAACTCTTAAGGCTACTGAGATAGAACGAAGAACGAATGTATTTTTTGTGTAAGAAGGACATGAGTTTAAGGGGGCCACAGCTGGAATGCTATGGTCTGAATGTATGTCTATACCCCCCAAATTAATATGTTGGAGCTTAACCCCCAAGGTGATAGTACTAAGAGGTAGGGCCTTTTGGGAAGTGATTCAGCCCCTTATAAGAATGGCTGAGAGGAGTGCTCTTGCTCCTTCCCTCTTCCACCCCTTCTGCCATGTGAGGACACAGCAAGAAGGCACCATCTTGGAAGTGGAGAACAAGCCGTCACCAGAGGCCAAACCTGCTGGTGCCTGTCTTTTGAACTTCCCAGCCTCCAGAACTGAGAAATGAATTTCTGTTGTTCATAAATTTTTTAAAGCCTAAAAATGGAATTACCATATGATCTAGTGATCCCACTTATGGATATAGATCCAAAATCATTGGAATCAGTATGTTGACTAGGTATCTGCACTCCCATGTTCATTTCAGCATTATTCATAATAACCAAGATATGGAATCAACCTAAGTGTCCATCAATGGATGAATGGATAAAGAAAATGTGGCATATATACAATGGATTACTAACAGCCTTTAAAAAGGAGGAAATCCTGTCATTTCTGACAACATGAATGAACCTGGAGGATACTATGCTGAGTGAAATAAGCCAGGCAAGAGAGATAAATACCATATAATATCACTTATGTGTGGTATCTTAAAAAGTCAAACTTATAGAATTACAGTGTAGAATGGTGGTTACCAGATACTGGGGGTGAGGGGTGGGGAATGCACAGATGTTGACCAAAGGGTAGAAAGTTCCAGTTAGACAGGAGGAATAATTCTTCAAGATCTATTACCCAGCATGGCAACCACAGTTAATAATAATGTATTATATATCTCAAAATTGCTAAAACAATAGATTTTAAATGCACTCACTACAAAAAAGGATAAGTATGTGAGGTGATAGATGTGTCAGCTTGATATAATCATTCCACAAGGTATACATATATCGAAACATCACATTGTACCCTGTAAATTTACAATTGTTATTTGTCAACTACAAATAAAAATTGAAGTTAAAAAATAAAAAAGTAATATTCTATTGGGGGATAAACAAAATGTTGTATACACATGCAATGGAATATTATTCAGCCTTAAAAAAGGAAGGAAATTCTGATGCATGCTACGACATGGATGAAATATTGCTAAGTTTCATCCATGGGCCAGGCGAGGTGGCTCACGCCTGTAATCCCAGCACTTTGGGAGGCTGAGGCGGGTGGATCACAAGGTCAGGAGATCGAGACCATCCTGACTAACACGGTGAAACCCCGTCTCTACTAAAAATACAAAAAATTAGCCAGGCGTGGGGGCAGGCACCTGTAGTCCCAGCTACTTGGGAGGCTGAGGCAGGAGAATGACGTGAACCCGGGAAGCAGAGCTTGCAGTGAGCCGAGATTGCGCCACTGGACTCCAGCCTGGGCGACAGAGCAAGATTCCGTCTCAAAAAAAAAAAAGTTTCATCCATGGATGAAACATAGATGCTAAGCAAAATAAGCCAGACACAAAAGGACATATTTTATAATTCCACTTCTAAGAGGTATTTATAATAGATAAACTCATAGATAGAAAGTAGGTCCCGATGTGGTGGCTCGCGCCTGTAATCCAGCACTTCGGGAGGCTGAGGTGGGAGGATCACTTGAGCCCAGGAGTTTGAGACCAGCCTGGTCAACATGGTGAGACCCTGTCTATACAAAAAATAAAAACTAAAAAATTAGCAGAGTGTGGTGGCACACACCTGTAGTCCCAGCTACTTAGGAGGCTGAGGTGGGAGGACTGCTTAAGCCCAGAAGTTTGAGCCTGCAGTGAGCTGTGGTTGCACCACTGCACTCCAACTTGGGTAACAGAGCAAGACCCTGTCTCAAAAATAAATACATACATACATACGCAGGAAAGTAGAAGCAGACAGAAAGAAGTGGTTGTCAGGGGCTGGAAGGCAGGAAGGATGGGAAGTTATTGTTTTATGTTAATTAAACAATAGTGTTAATTCTGAACAGAATTTCAGTTGGGGAAGATGGAAAAGTTTTGGAGATGGACGTGGTGATGATTACACAGCAGTGTGAATGTGCCCAATGCCACAGAACTGTACACTTAAAAATGGTTGAAATGGAAAATTTTGTTAAGTACATTTTACCATAAATTTTTAAAAAACAATAATGTTTGTGAACCTATCTGATAATTGAAAAAACTGGTCTTTGTCCGTGAGTCCCTGTTGGAGCATAAAGCTTCTTCTGCTCAGTGAATGAGCAGATACGAGGCAGCATTGAAAGGAATGCATCCCACATTTGACTGCCCAGTTTGATAGCTAGCAGCACCCCAGGGGTCAAAAGACATATGAGGCCGGGTGTGGTGGCTCATGCCTGTAATCCCAGCACTTTGGGAGGCCAAGGCAGGTGGATCACCTGAGGTCAGAAGTTCAAGACCAGCCTGGCCAGCATGGTGAAACCCCATATCTAGTAAAAATACAAAACTTAGCCAGGCGTGATGGTAGGTGCCTGTAATCCCAGCTACTCAGGAGTCTGAAGCAGGAGAATCGCTTGAACCAGAGAGGCGGAGGTTGCAGTGAGCTGAGATCGCACCACTGCATTCCAGCCTGGGTGACAAGAGAGAGACTCCGTCTCAAAAAAAAAAAAAAAAAAAGACATGGGTCCTTTTTGGACTGTGACCTTGTGTAGCAGGTTTTACCCTGAACCATTAGGGATCAATGAAGCTGATAAATTGTTCCCGTGGGTTAAGAACCAATGCCCATCATCAAGGAGAAATAAGGATTCTCCCAACCGGCCCCTTCCCTCCCATTGCCACATAAGGGAAACTTCTACCATTGCCCCCTCAGAAAGAGACCAAACTCAGACTGCAACCCCTGCCCCCCCACCACTCAGGCAGGTGATCTGGAAGGATCGAGGGGCTTTCCCAGCATCTCAGCCTGTCAGAGGCAAGTCAGAATGAGAATCCAACGCCTACTCAGACACCAGAGCCTCCCTGCCACTCTAGTAGCCAGGACGACTGGAACTATTGCCTACCACAGCCCCTGGCTAAAAATACAACCTCCTCTGAGATGGTTTCAGTTATTCAAATGTTTGAGAGCCAGGCAGCACCTGGCCTGGGTACTATACAAACATCTGGCTGAGGGACTGCCAGAAAACCACTGGGCAGCTGGAGGTCGTATGGGAACTGTGCCCCTGCAGCTGCATGGCCCTGTCCACCTCCTGGCACTTCTCCTTCAAGACCTTCCTTCCACTCTTTCTCCTGCCCGATCGCTGGTCTCCTTCGCTCCTCTGCCCCACCTGGCTTCTCTGCTCTGCCCAGGATGGAATCTCTCCTACCATCTCTGTTCCTTTATTCCCTGCCACACCTCTATCTACCTTTCCACTCGACCTTCACCTGGAAGGGTTTTTCCCTCTCTCGCTTGCCAGTTCAGGGGTTTCCTCCAAGTCCTTCTCAAATGCCATTTGTCTCTGAAAGGCTTCCAGGAACCTCCCACATGGGTAGCTCTCCTGCAGCATCTGCTGGCCAGTCAGCCTCACCAGGGAGGACTCATTCATCGCACAAAATTTGCCCACACCTGCTCCAGGCCGAGCCCTTCATGAGGGCAGGGCCACGGGCACAGTGGTGTATGGAAGGGGGTTTCTGCCCTCAAAGATGGGGGTCCACTGAGGAGGACAAACTAAAACCAAATAGTTAAAGGAACGCACTAGGTTTTAAATCGGAATTTTTGTGTAGAGGTGTCTTTGGGAGCTCTGAGGAGAAAGCAGCCTGCTTGGAGAGGCTGGGAGGTGTGAATCTTGAGTAAACGTGGTCGTCCCCCAGGCTTGTAGCTGCAAAAGGGCACTGCCAACAGCAGCAAGGCATCACGAGGACCACAAGTGTGGCTCTTCGGACGTCATGCTCAGGAAAACAGCAGGCGGCTCTGACCGGCCGTGATGCCGGGCTCATCCAGGAGAGATGTGGGAAATGGAATTGAATCGGAAGGGCTTGGAACTCCCGGCTCAGGAGTGAGAGTCCAGCTTCCTCCTGGGGCCACAGTGCGCTGCTCGGTGTTCCTTAGTAAAAGGCGTGTCACTGGCTATGGTCTCACCAGATTGCCTGTCTAATTCTTATTTTTCATTTGGGAAAGTTCAGAGCAGTTTTCCCTTGGCACCAGTTCACAGCAGAGCCAAAACTTTTGCTAAACGCATGGTTAAAGATTCACAAACATCACAGCAACTGGCACTGTCACAATGGCTCCTGCTGGAGCTACAAAACAGTCCCCAGAGCCTATCTAAGATGAGCAACCTCAGTGACTGACATCAGACGCTCAGGGTGTGCGAGTGTGCTCGTCCACTAAACGTGGCAGAGGACAGATCGATGGTGCCCTCTGACGAAGGGTTCCACAAATAAGCATGGGATACACTCCCTCCTGCTCCTGAGGGAGTCACACGGCATATGAACACATTAAACCTCTGTGGTTTTAAAAAAATGTGTTTAATTTGGTGGAAACCAGCATTTCTCAAACTTACTTGATCACACAACCTTTTTTTCCTCCAAGTGCCTATTAACCTCTCAGGAAGAACAGATGTTGGGAAGCGCAGGATTAGATGATTTCCAGCTGACCTTTCAGCCATTAAAATCCACTGCTTTATGGCTTGAGTATAAGTCACTGGGCTGGAACGTGAGTAACCAAAACATAATTGAGTTTTAGATATACTAACATTTATTCCGAGAAGTCCTCAAAACTGGAAATGGGCATGACTTTACGAAGGGATGTGATGATGACGAAGGGTCCACAGGGGGCCGGAGGGCCACGAATGGGAGAAGAACACAGAAAGCAGGAGAAAGAAAAGGCCTGAGAGGAAGGCAGACTGGTTGAAAGATTCTGATTGGAAGAAGAAAAGGATCTAGTTAAGTTAAGAAAGTTTGGAAAGCATGAGACAGCTTCACAGAAATTCTTTGGGCACCGAGAAAGGCTGAGACAGGGATCAGGAGGCCGTAAGGAGAATGGCCTCTGCTTCACGGCAGAGGAAACCGTTCCCTTGGGGGACACTGGAATGGAGAGGAGGAACCATGGCAGAGCACGATGTGCAAGCCAGGATGGCCTAGCAGGAAAGCACACTCAGATGCAAGGAGAGAGGGACCAGACAACTGGGGGGTGAAAAGGACGGAGAATGGAAGGGCTAATGAGCACCTCAGCCTACATGAAGAGCAAGGGGCTGGCTACCTGTCATCTACCCACATAGCATGAGTAATTCCAGGCTAACTCTGTCACCTTACTCTCAATCCCTTCCCCTCTTGCAACTGCTGGGATCTTGCCCCATGAATCACCCTCCTCTCTCGCACATCTTAGGCCCTTGCCAACCTGTCTCCATGTTTCCTTTGACACTGCTGCTCCCTCCAATTACTGCCCAATTTCTATTCTTTGCCAAACTTCTTGAAAGAAGTTCCAGTGCCACATTTATAACTGCTTGGATAGACTAGCCACCTCAAAGTCAGCAGGTCCAAAAATGGCTCCATCCACCCTCCCCTCCATCCAGCCCCTAACTTAGTTGTTTACACAACTGCTACAGCTATGTGCTGCCAGTCAGCCAGACTCAAAGCCACAGTCACCTCCCAGGTCTAATTCAGTGACAAGTCTTACATCTTCCTCTGCAATAATCTTTTACATCCGTGACACTCTGCCGTCTCACTGCACCGCCCTGACCTCAATTACAGTGGCCTTCTGAATGTTCTCTAAGGCTGGGAGGGCAAATCCTCATCCTCACACACATGCCCCACCTCTTCCTCACCTGGAGACCAACTGGAGGACATGAGTGATGAGGCAATGGAGCTCTTTCCCATGGATGGTCTCACAATCCTCTCAAACGAAGTGTACGGTCCTGGGAGGCCACCACCAGTCAGCTAAAGTGGGCATTCAAGATGACACAAGCACACATCTCATCCCAGCTAATGACTCCAAAATCCAAATAGGAATCTCAATGCTGGCAGCCAAACCACAGTCACGATACAGTTGTTACAGTCTCCAAATGGCAGAACTTCGTCCTAGTTGTCCTGTTCTTGTCACTCCAACTGAGTAATGTGCTTTGGTGGTATATACACGCTGAGTTTAACTGCCATGTCACCAAAAAGATGACAGCACGATTCAGCATTGAAACACAGTTTCAACTGTACACAGAAAGGCATGAATCTACATTTTACATTACTGAATCAAATGTTTTGATTGAAGAAGTGACCAAAATTCCATTATTTCACTTCAAATCAGCAACAAAAAGCTTCTTGAGACATAAGAAAGGAGGATACCCATGGGTAGAGAAGCCTGGTTACCTCTCACCAAGATCTGCTTATCACAGGCTGTGGCTCATGGTTCTGCGGGCTGCCCAGGCTTCTGCTTCTGGGAAGGCCTCAGGAAACCTACAATCATGGCGGAAGGTGAAGAGGAAGAAGGCTCATCTTCACATGGCCAGCAGGAGAGTGGGGGAAGAGGAAGGTGCTACACACTTTCAAATAACCAGATCTCAAGAGAACTCTATCACAAGACAGCACTAGGGGGATGGTGCCAAACCATGAGAAACCACCCTCATTGATCCAATCACCTCACACCAGGAACCACCTCCAACATTGGGAATTACTATTCAATGTGAGATTTTGGTGGGGACACAGAGCCAAACCATATAATTCTGTCCCTGGCCCCTCCCAAATCTCACGTCATTTTCACATTCTAAAACGCAATCATGACTAACAGTCCCCCAAAGTCATTCCAGCATTAACTCAAAAGTGCAAGTCCAGAGTCTCAACCAAGACAAGGCAAGTCCCTTTCACCTATGAGCCTGTAAAATCAAAAGCAAGTTAGTTACTTCCAAGATACAATGGGGGTACAGGCATTGGGTAAATGCTCACATTCCAAAAGGGAGAAACTGGCCAAAACAAAGGGGCTATGGGCCCCACGGAAGTCTGAAACCCAGTAGGTCAGTCATTAAATCTTAAAGCTCCAAAATAATCTCCTTTGACTCCATGTCTCACATCCAGGCCACATTGATGCAAGCAGTGGGCTCCCAAGGCCTTGGGCAGCTCTACCCTTGTAACACTCTGCAGGGTACAGCCCCCATGGCTGCTTTCATGGGCTGGTGTTGAGTACCTGCAGCTTTTCCAGGCACACAGTACAAGCTGTCAATGGATCTACCATTCTGGGGTCTGGAGGATGGTGGCTCTCCCCTCAGAGCTCTACTAGGCAGTACCCAGTGGGGACTCTGTGTGGGGTCTCCAACCCCGCATTTTCCCATCACACTGCCTCAGTAGAGGTTCTCCATGAGGGCACTGCCCCTGCAGCAGACTTCTGCCTGGACATCCAGGTGTTTCCATACATCCTCTGAAATCTAAGCTGAGACTCCCAAGCCTCAACTCTTGCCCTTTCCACACCTGCAGGCCTAACACCACATAGAAGCTGCCAAGGCTTGTGGCTTGCACCCTCTGGAGCAGCAGCCTGAGACATATCTGGGGCCCTTTGAGCCACAGCTGGAGCTGGAGCAGCCACAATGCAGGGTGCCATGTCCTCAGGCTGCACAGAGCAGCAAGGCCCTGGGTCTGGTCCGTGAAGCCATTTTTTTCCTCCTAGGCCTCCAGGTCTGTGATGGGAGGGGCTGCCACAAAGGACTCTGAAATGCCTTAGAGCCATTTTCCCCATTGTCTTGACTATTAGCATTTGGCTCCTCTTTACTTATGAAAATTTCTGCCGCTGGGTAGGCTGCAAATTTTCCAAACTTTTATGCTATGCTTTCTTTTTTTTTTTTTTTTTTTTTTTTGAGACAGAGTCTCACTCTGTCACCCAGGCTGGAGTGCAATGGTGTGATCTTGGCTCACTGGAACCTCTGCCTCCTGGGTTCAAGCAGTTATTGTGCCTCAGCCTCCCAAGTAACTGGAATTATAGTCATGCACCACCAGGCCTAGCTAACTTTTTGTGTTTTTGGTAGAGACAGGGTTTCACCATATTGGCCAGCTGGTCTCAAACTCCTGACCTCAAGTGATCCACCCGCCTCAGCCTACCAAAGTGCTGGGATTACAGGTGTGAACCACTGCGCCTGGCCTGCTTCCCTTTTAAATTTAAGCTCCAGTTTCAGATAATGTCTTTGCTCATGAATAAGAGCATATGCTGGTAGAAGCCAGGTCACATCTTGAATGCTTCGCTGCTTAGAAATTTCTTCTGCCAGATACCCTAAATCATCTCTCTCAAGTTCAAAGTTCTGCAGATCCCCAGAGAAGGGGCACAATGCTGCCAGTCTCTTTGCTAAAGCGTAGCAAGAGTGACCTTTACTCCAGTGCCCAATGAATTCCTAATCTCCATCTGAGACCACCTCAGCCTGGACTTCACTGTCCATATCACTATCAGCATTTTGGTCACAACCATTCAACAAGTCTCTAGGAAGTTCCAAACTTTCCCTCATCTTCCTATCTTCTTCTGAGCCCTCCAAACTATTCCAGCCTCTACCCGTTACCCCGTTACCCAGTTCCAAAGTTGCTTCCACATTTTCAGGTAACTTTATAGCAATACCCCATTCCTGGTACCAATTTTCTGTATTAGTCTGTTCTCACACTGGTATAAAGATACACCTGAGACTGGGTAATTTATTTATTTATTTATTTTTAAATTTTTATTATTATTTTTTGAGACGGAGTCTTGCTGTGTCACCCAGGCTGGATGCAGTGGTGTGATCTCCGCTCACGCAAGCTCCGCCTCCTGGGTTCACGCCATTCTCCTGCCTCAGCCTCCCGAGTAGCTGGGACTACAGGCACCCACACCATGCCTGGCTAATTTTTTGTATTTTTAGTAGAGATGGGGTTTCACCATGTTAGGCAGGATGGTCTCAATCTCCTGACCTCGTGATCCGCCCACCTCAGCCTCTCAAAGTGCTGGGATTACAGGCGTGAGCCACCATGCCCGGCTGAGACTGGGTAATTTATAAAGAAAAGAGGTTTAACTGGCTCACAGTTCTGCGGGCTGTACAGGCTTATGCTTCTGGGAAGGCCTCAGGAAACTTACAATCATGGCAGAAGGCAAAGGGGAAGCGAGCACATCTTCACATGGCAAGCAGGAGAGGGGGTGGAGAGGTGACACGCACTTCCAAACAATCAGATCTTGTGAGAACTCTATCACGAGACAGCACTAGAGGGATGGTGCCAAACCATTAGAAACCACCCCTATTGATCTAATCACCTCCCACCAGGTCCCACCTCCAACATTGGGAATTACAATTCAGTGTGAGTTATGGGTGGGGATGCAGAGCCAAACCATATCACAGGCCAAACAATATGTCTGGAGGCAAGAGAAATGGACAAGTCCTCCAGCACAGACGAAAGAAAGTGCAGACCAGGAGAGGCTGGCATGGCTAACTCACATGTTTGAAAGTACTCTCTTAAAGGCATTAATTTATAGGGAATTGGCACTGTTATTCTTTCTTCGTGATATAGAAAATAAAAGTAAAGTATAGACTAAAGGCATCTTACAGTCAATGAACTTGGTTCATGTTGTCTTTAGCATTGTGGTAACTTTCACATAGTCTCTAGGCCAAAAGAAATACCTAGTAGTCTCATTTATTAAGCAGTGAAATACAAACAACTTAATAAGTACTTATGTCCCAATAACATAGTGGCCATCTGAAAAGACGATACACATCAGTTGAAAGAAAAACATTCTTATTCCATCTTAAGCAACTTCATAATAATGCTTTGAGGTGAATTTTCATGGCCCCTTTAAGGATGAGGAAGTTGAAACTCAGAGAAGTTCAGCAACTTTCCCAGGGTCTTAGAGTTCCAAAATGGTTCTGCCTTGTAATATAGTACTGTGTGTAATTTTAAACTTTCCTCTTAGAATATAAACTCCTGAAAGGCAAAGACCGTGCCTCAGTCATGTTTTAGAATCTTGCCACAGAATAAAGAGTAAGAAAATCTTTCTTGGATTAAATCCTCTCTACCAAAAGCGCCCTTCTTCTTACGGCACCTTTTGCATTTTTAGTAGCTAACTTTGTGCCTGCCACATTGAAGAGGATAGACAAAAAGGTAAAAGGAAGTGGAAAGAAGAATGACTGCAGTACCCTGGATAGAGGTGGCTAACAGTCACCCCAGTGGGTGGCCCCTCATTGCTAGCAGCAAGCACACCTGGGAAGCCTTAAACTCACGAGCCACCCCTGGGCTGCACGGCCTCCTCACATCCCCACCCGTGGTGCCTCAGCCAGCTCTGCAGCACCAACATGAACAGAAGGACATGAGTCTTCAGCCCCCCACGCATGAACACCCTCACGGTAAAACCACATCGGTGTGACCGCCAAGGAGTTAACCACATGGATGCTTAAAGCAAGGTGCACCAGAGGACAGAGGGCGGACGGCAGAGGCTCAGATCCAGTGTCGGACACCCGAGTCTCCTCTCCACCGCAGTGTTCAGGGTCTCTGTGAGGGAGACTGGAGAATTTACTGGTTTGTGGAAACAAAAGCTTCCATCACGACTGTAACAGGTAAGCACCGTTGCTGCAGGACCCTGACAAGGCGATGCATTGCTGAGCGGCACCAGCTGCATTTCAGGAGACCGATTTGACTTCTGCTGTAACAAGCAAACACAGTACAAGCTCAATCTTACACACTAAGCTGTGGCATGGGTGTGAGCCACATTGCCCAGTTATCTGTCCTAAAAAGGGCTTTTCTTTCTCCCCTGAAGAAAGATCGCCTCTGAAGAAAGTGCAGAGTACGTTGGAGGGCAAACAGCTCTCCACAGGAATTCGTTTAATTCACTTCACCTCACGTACCCTCCTACATCCTGAACCTGAGGTCTGTATGCATGTTTAATACAGGGTGGCTGACAGAAAATCTGTCCCCAGGGACACAGCCAAGGAGAAACTCCGTGAGGATTAAATGGATCCACCATGCCGAAACACTGACAAGCCCCCGCAGTTCTGAAATGACAGCAAGTTAAGAACACGGGATTCATAGAGCTCCTGAGGCCACGGAAGCCATCCAGTGGAAGCTGCATGTGAGGCAGAATGCTCAGTCAACAGCACTGGACAGAAACAAGCTGGGGGCTACACAGCCCATCAGTTTGGAGACCTTGCGAACGTCCCGAAGTGGGACGCTCCCTTGTCCTTCTCTCAGGCCTCCCGCTTCTCCAGCTGCCCGTCCCAGTAGGGGCAGTCAGGGCGGGTGACCCGGTGGAAAATAAACCTAGCAGCATGTCCGTGACGCTTCAGGTTTGTGGGAATGGGTGCAGCGTTCAAGACACTCTCACGCGTATCCCTTCGTTTGATCCTCACAGCGCCTCAGTGAGACGGCAGAGCACACATTAGCCCCCAAAGAAACTGCTACTCACAAAAGCCAAGTGTGAACCTCAGGTCAGACCACTGGATCTCAAATCCACATCTTCTCAAGTCAAGACCTGTCTACCTCATCTTAAATCCAAGCTCAAAGCATTCTTACCGCCACGCCAGCGGGCAAATGGCAGGAGAAAGCGATTTGCTCGAGTCATGCACACACACAAAGCATTATCATCTTATTACCTGCTCTTGCAAAATTCTTCCCATAGACTCCAAGGTTGCTGGCTGATTGAAAGGGCAGCCAGGGCCAAGTGCAGTGGCTCATGCCTGTAATCCCAGCACTTTGGGAGGCCGAGTCGGGCGGATCATGAGGTCAGGAGATCAAGACCATCCTGGCTAACAAGATGAAACCCCGTCTCTACTAAAAATACAAAAAATTAGTCGGGCGTGGTGGCGTGCGCCTGTAGTCCCAGCTACTTGGGAGGCTGAGGCAGGAGAATTCCTTGAATCTGGGAGGCAGAGGTTGCAGTGAGCCAAGATTGCGCCACTGCACTCCAGCCTGGAGGACAGGGCGAGAATCCGTCTCAAAAAAAAAAAAAAAAAAAAGGGCAGCCATGCATGGAGATGGAGCCCTCAACAGGTGTGCCGTTGACATGTGACTCCTAGAAATGCGTTTCAGGTTGTTTAACAAAATAGTAATGTTCAATTAGAAGTTTGTATTATTCCTGATTAGCTCCAATTATTTTATGAGGTATCATGAAATACAAAACTAAATTAATTTCCATTCTTCTCTATTTATTTATAAGATGGTCTTGCTCTGTCACGTAGGCTGGAGTGCAGTGGCACAATCATAGCTCCCTGCAGCCTCGACCTCCTGGCTTCAAGCCATCCTCTTGCCTCAGCCTCTGAAAGTGCTGGAATTACATGTGTGAGCCACTGCACCCGGTTAATTTTTTTTTAACTTTCTTGTGGAGATGGGGTCTTGCTAATCACATTTCCTTAAAAGACACACACCATGCAGTATTTTGGGAGGACAGCAGAGCTGTCACAACGTATAATGATAAATATTTCCTTCCATTCCAAAAAGTTTGCTTTTATTTTTGGAGGACTTTCACTTCCCCCTAAACTTCTAAAATTGTGAAACGATACTATGGGCATAAACTCAAATTACCATGGAATTTGAATATCCCTAAAATCCCTGAGGTCTAACCAGTAGGTGTCTCACTTAGCCAGTGCTCAGATTCAACAAGCCAATTGTCAGACGGGGCTTTGATACACAAGTCATCTGTCCCAAAGGAAAGTCCTCAGGTTTGTGAGCTCCTGAAACCCCAGTGATATCAGTTAGTGATGATTTATAGTATTTTCTACCTTTTTCTTTTTTGAGATGGAGTTTCGCTTTGTCGCCCAGGCTGGAGTGCAGTGGCGACATCTCAGCTCACTGCAAGCTCCACCTCCTGGGTTCACGCCATTCTCCTGCCTCAGCCTCCCAAGTAGCTGGGACTACAGGCGCCCGCCACCGCGCCCGGCTAATTTTTTGCATTTTTAGTAGAGACGAGGTTTCACCATAGCCAGGATGTTCTTGATCTCTTGACCTCGTAATCCGCCCGCCTCAGCCTCCCAAAGTGCTGGGATTACAGGCGTGAGCCACTGTGCCCAGCCTAATTTTTTTTTTTTTTAAATAGAGATGAGATTTCACCATGTTACCCAGGCTGATCTCAAACTCCTGGGCTCACACGAGCCACCCACCTCAGCTTCCCAAAGTGCTGGGATTACAGGCATGAGCCACCGTGCCCAGCCCAAAAACTAGAGTTTTGAAATAACACTTTTAAAGTGCTGAAAGAAAAAAGAAAGTTTATATCCTGCAAAAATAGCTTTCAAAAACAAGGAGGAAATAAAGACGTTCTCAGATAAATGAAAGTTGAGATAATTAGTTATCAGCAGATGTGCACTACCAGAAATGCTACATATAGAATCCCCATCAGGCTGGAAACTTGGATCCACAGAAGAGAATAACAAGCACCTGAAATGGCAAATAAGCAGGTAAATATAAAATACTTTCCAGTCCTTTCATAATTTACTAAGAGACAACAGACTAAAGCAAAAGTAAGCATTTGGTAGATTGTCAGACATATCTTTTAAAATATGACAATCAGCTAAGTGGGGGGAGGTAAACGGAATATACTAAGTTTATTACATCAGTGACGTGTGGCCTGGGAAAAGGTACAATGTTGATTCTAAATAAACGCTGAAAGTTAAGGATGCATGTAGTTAGCCCTGGAACCACCACCATAAAAAAGGTGTGGTGGGGAGGGGCATGAATGGAAATCAAACAGCCACATGGTAGACAAAACCATATCAAAAATTACATTAAATGATCAAAAGTTAATATCACCAGTAATCTCAACATCACGCACTCCTTGATATGATGCACTGAGAAGGATACAATATCCACTCATGTGAGATTCTTGCCAGAACTGTATAAATACATTCTAATCATGAAAAAACATCAGACAAGCCCAAATTGAGGGAGGAACATCTTATAAATGTATCTGCAAAAATGTCAGCTGGGCACGGTAGATCACCCGAGGTCAGGAGCTCAAGGCCAGCCTGGCCAACATGGTGAAACCCAGTCTCTACTAAAAATAACAAAAATTAGCTTGGTGTGGTGGCGCACACCTGTAGTCCCAGCTACTCGGGAGGCCGAGGCAGGAGAATCGCTTGAATCCGGGAGGCGGAGGTTGCAGTGAGCCAAGATCACGCCACTGCACTTCTGCCTGGGCGACAGAGGGAGACTCTGTCTTGAAAAAAAAAAAAACAGTCAAGGTAATAAAAGACAAAAGTAACACTAAGGCATTGTCACACTGGAGGAGATTAAGAAGACATGATGATTAAATTTAATGTGAGATACTGGATTGAATTTGGGGCCAGAAAAAGACATTAGGGAAAAACTGATGAAATTGGATGAAGGTCTGTAAATTAATTAACAATACTGTAACAATGTTAATTTCCTGTTGTTGATCATTGTACTATGGTTATGTAAAATGTTAGCATAAGAAAAAACTAAGTTGGAGCGAGACTCCAACTCAAAATAATAATAATAATAATAATAAAGAAATAAAAATTAGCCAGGCATGGTGGCGTACACCTATAGTCCCAGCTGCTCAGAAGGCTGAGAGCAGAGGATCGCTTGAGGTCCAGAGTTTTGAGGCTGCAGTGAGCCATGACTGCACCAATGCACTATGGCCTGGGTGACAGAGCAAGATCCTGTCTCAAAAAAAAAAAAAAAAAAAAAAGAATGAACTACTGATACCTGCAACAACCTAGATAAATCCCACAGATATTATGCTGAGCAAAAGAAGCCAAATACCAAAAAGCTGAAAAATAAACCATAATTCTGGTATAAATCTATTCGTGTGAAATTCTAGAACAGACTAAAGTGATCTCGAATGACACAAATCAGGTCAGTGGGTGCCTGAGTTGGGGTGGTGGTGGGGTGTGGCTACAGGGAAGGGAGACAAGGAGATTTCTGCAAAAGCAGAAGTATCTTGATTGGGGTGGTGTTGCATGGGTGTGTATATTCGTCCAAATTTATTGACCTGTACACGTACAACGTGCGAATTTTACTGTATGTAAGTTATACTTCAATAAAGTTGATGAAGAAGAAAAAGTCAATAGTACCTCCACCATTCAGCTGTGGCAACACAGGGTGGGGAGTGGAGAAAGAAATACAGAGAGGGCAGAGTGTGTGAAGCTAATGAATTTCACACAGCGCATGAGGCTAATGAATTTCACACTATAAGACTTTCCCTAGCCCTCAACTGTGAAAGTAGGTTCATGGTAACTTCTCAGAAGTCTGTATGCCATATTGAATGAGAGAGATCAGCAGGACACCATCTCCCCACAGCATATTTTTTGAGGGCAGGTCTCCTAGGCTATTTTTTTTTTTTTTTTGAGACATACTCTTGCTCTGTCGTCCAGGCTGGAGTGCAATGGTGCGATCTCTGCTCACTGCAACCTCCACCTCCTGGGTTCGAATGATTCTCCTGCCTCAGTCTCCCAAGTAGCTGGGATTGCAGGCACCCGCCACCATGCCCGGCTAGGCTAATTTTTGTATTTTTAGTAGAGACAGGGTTTCACTATGTTGGCCAGGCTGGTCTCGAACTCCTGACCCCAGGTGATCCACCCACCTTGGCCTCTCAAAGTGCTAGGATTGCAAGTGTGAGCCACCATGCCCGGCCATGTCTCCTAGGCTTTTAAGCATAAAAGTAGGATGCTGCTTAAGACTTCAGCACATGGAGTGGGTAACAGTGAACTTCAAGAATCTCATTTGAAAGGAAATATTTTAAAGCTGTTTGGTAAGGTTTCGACCAGGATTCTTGATTTGGTTACTGTATAACATGCTGTATGTGTCGAAAATGCAATATTATTTAGGTCAGACTACTGTTAAATTGACATGTGTGTGTAGCTTATTAACGCCAGCATTAAGTATGAAAATAACACCACTTCATTCCTTCCTCCCAGACACAACCAAGCTTTTGATTCTGTCGGCAGAACCAGTCACTGGCAATTGCACAATAGCGCGTTTTGTGGTTGTTCAGAAGCATAATTAGAGCCAACATTTTCTGGTGCTTTCTAAGTGCAAGGCTCTGCATGCATTTATAACGTAAGTGCTTTCTATTCATTTCATGTCATCCTCACAACAGCTTTTTAAGATTTTAGCAGGTGAGGAAACTGAGGTCAAGCAAGTTTGGCTGACTTGCCTCAAGGTCACCTGTGTGTGCTGGTCACACTGCCATGAGGTTTTGGGGCGAGGGTTGAGCCAGCACCTGTTGCACTGCAGAACTTAATTTTTTGTTTTTTTTTTTTGAGACGGAGTCTCGCTCTGTCGCTAGGCCGGAGTGCACTGGCGCGATCTTGGCTCACTGCAACCTCCGCCTCCCGGGTTTCAGCGATTCTTCTGCCTCAGCCTCACAAGTAGCTGGGACTACAGGCACGCGCCACCACACCCAGCTAATTTTGTATTTTTAGTAGAGACGGGGTTTCACCATGTTAGCCAGAATGGTCTCGATCTCTTGACCTCCTGATCCGCCCACCTCGGCCTCCCAAAGTGCTGGGATTACAGGCGTGAAACACTGCGCCTGGCCAGAACTTGATTTTTTTAAAACACTGTACATAAGAGATTAGATTTACTCTTCATGATAAATATATTTGTGTTAATGTTAACAACATTTTACCCCATATTTTCCAGTGCCAAGGCAGTGAAACAGGAAAGCATAAAATGAAAAAAGAAAAAAAAAAGCTTGCATTCTACTTCTAGGATGTAACTTCTTTTTGATCCTTTGGGATACTATTTCATCTCACCAGACAAGTTTCTATAATTTCAAAGTCTCTCTCCTAGAAATAGACAAATAAGAAGACAAGTGCCAGGTATGAATCAACACTGAGTCACCTGGAGCTGTGCTTTGTCAGTGAATTTAAACAAGTCTTTGGGTCACAGTTCCCTTCTGCGTATCAGGTAGGAACAGCACTTCGTTGTTCTTACCGTTGGGTATAAAGCACTTCCCTACACGCCATGTCGCTTGACCCTAGCGGTTCTATGAGATAGGAAGGGGTTACACTGTGACTCCATGTACCAATGAGAAGAGGGAGACTGGCAGTGATGAGCACATTTGCTCAAGATTCTCAGCAATGCAAGGGCAGAAATCCTGGACTGCTGATTCCCAGGTGGCCACGAGCAGCCCAGCAGGCTCAAGCATCAGGGTCCAGGGTCCATGGGACGTCCAGTTTTTGCCTAGAATTTCCTCTCTCAATTTTAACATGGTTAATAGATGTTCAACTTGAAGGTGACAGGAAACAAATATTCTGTTTGGCAAAATACAAAAGTGCATTTCCAAGTGAACACCAAGTTAGGCACCAGGAAATGACAACAGGTCCCCTTAGTAAACAGTGATCAATTACCTTATTTCACCAAACCTAAGATGCTACTGATTCTAGAATGCACCATTATTTTGTACCACCAAGAAAGAAAAGTACTTGTCATCAAACTGTCATACAATATTGATTCTGAGATGCATTCTGACCTCAGATATGTTGAAATGCATCTTAATATCGATGAAACATGGTAATTATGGCTGGATTTCTTGAACCGGGGAGGATAACCTGTTTAGAAGTCACTAGCTCATTAACGTGTCAATATGGCTGAGCAGCAGCAACGCCGAGTGGTGGGATTATCAGTGAGGAGAGAGGAGCCCAGACAAGGAGGACATCACTCCTGCCATCCAGGAACCCACCTCTTGGTTGGGAGGACTGTCCAGGAAAAGTCCAAGAGCCTGGAGCTGCAGACCTCTCAACAGGTCTTCGGTAAAAGCAGCTGTCATGGAAGTGAATTCTCAGGTCTCCTTTGTCTCCTCAATCATCAAAATAAACCAAATTATAAAACACTCTGATCTTCTGCCTAAATTCCGACAAGGTATTTCAGAATCTAGGTGTCAATTTCTTGACACTTTTACTTTTTTTCAATGAAGTGTTAAAGTGGGACCTAACATTGACTAAGTACATGATACATGTTAGGCATTGCCCTAATTCACAAAATTATCACATTTCATTCTCAAAAATGACCTTAGGAGTTGGGCATTATTATCCCTGTTTAAACAGTGAAGAAACTGGAGTTCAGAAAACCTAAATGGGCAAGGCAAGCCAATTAGGCTTGAACAGCTGAGTTAGTTTAAACCGAAGTCCCCCTGAGCCTCAAGGCCATGCGCTTTCCACCGGACAGGACGGAAAGCACGGGCTCGCAAAGACTTGTAAAAGCTTGAAAATCACCGCCAGACTAGCCAAGGAAGGCTGATACCCCAACTACACAGTAAATACCAAAACCTCTTCTGCTACAGGACACCTCGTTCAACTTGAGGACCTGTTTAATCAGCAGGGTGGCCGTTCATGGGTGAAGAGGGTAGCGGCATGGTCCACCTGGGAGCAGCGGGAGAGATGGCCTTGTGAGGGTGGGCCCAGGGACAAACAGCTAGTGAGAAAGCTGCTGCCATAATTCACATCAGCTCCCCAACGGCCTGCCCTCGGCAGTAGCATGGAAATAGGATGTAAAACGGATAATAAATCCACAGGATTTAGGAGAAACAAAAACAAGGGAAGACTGTCAGGAAAAAAACAGAGGCATTTTGGAACAGCGGTCGTCTCCCAGGGTGACTCTGCTCCCTCCCGCTCTCCCCACGGGACATTTGGCAATGTCCAGAGACATTTTTGGTTGTCATCCTTCGGAGTGGGGTGCTACTGGCATCGTGTGGGTAGGGGCCAGGTGTGTTCTCAGACATCCTACAATACATGGAGCAGCCCTCTTCAACAAAGAATTATTGGGTCCAAAATATCCATGGTGTCGGGGCTGAGAAACCTGACTCTTGAACAACCTTAAGGAAACAAAAGTGGTGAAGACATTGCCCTTACCCAGCAGCTCATCAACCAAAAAGGCAAAGAAATCACAGGGACTGGCTCTGCATGGACTCCAGGTGCTCACCAGGAAACAGATCACGCACTTGTCCAGCCATCCCTGTGATCTACCACTGTGTGCACCCGATCCACGCCAGGCTCAAGAGAGGAGCTGGAGAGGAGGAGAACAGGCACGGTGCTGGCCCTCAAGGTGTCACCACCTGTCCGGAGGAGACGCGCATGTGTGGAAACACACACCTGAGCCTGTAAATACATGTGTGCTTGTACACACAGGCAGAAAAAACCGAAAAGGAATGCACCAAAATCCTACCAATGATAACTCAAAATCATCATTTTCTTCATATTTTCAATGAAAATATGAATGAATTAAAAAATGAAAAAAAGTCAATGTTTTTCAGTGAACATGTTATACTTTCATCAGTTCTGATAAAACAGGCATATCCCAGGGCCACATGTTCTCGCCAGCTGCCCCACCTCTATGGTATGGCAAAGGAGGCCAAGATGGGGAGGGAGCAACGGAGCAGAGGAAGAACCTACGATTTTGTTTGCTTGTTTTCAGACAAGGTCTCCCTCTGTCACCCAGGCTGGAGTGCAGCAGCACAGTCATAGCTCACTGCAGCCTCAACCTCCCAGGGTCAAGGGATGCTCCCACCTCAGCCTCCCAAGTAGCTGGGACTACAGGTGTTCACCACCACACCCAGATACTTTTTAAAATTTTTTGTAGAGATGGGTGTCTTGTTATGTTGCTCAGGCTGGTCTAGAACTCCTGGCCTCAAGCCATCCCTCCCAAAGCACTGAGATTACAGGAATGAGCCACCACGCTCAGCCTGTTCCCACTGTTAACACTCTTCCCTGCCAACAGGTGAAACCGCTGTCTTTCATCCACTTAAGTCCTTCAGCAAATGTTCACTGAACACCCACTGCGTGTCAGGCACTGTCCCATGTACTCTTTAAGATACAACAGTGGACAAAACAGACAACAACCCCTGCCCTTGTGGTGTTTCTGTTTTAGCAAGGGGAAGCAGACAGAGGACCAATAAGGGAAATATAAAATACCTGTATGTTCCATGGGTATAACAGAGAGAAATAAAGCAGAGAAGAGGGCTAGAGAATGATGAAAGGGTTATGATCTATATAGGAAAGTCACAGAAGTCCTCGCTAGGGTGAGGTCGCAGAGGTAAGTGGGGGCTGCCCACCAAGGGCTTGCAAGCCAGTGTGAGAACTTGGCTTTCTCCTGCATGAGATGGAAGGCCACTGGAAGGTTTTGAAGAGAAAAGTGACAAGATCTGACATATCACACAGGATTGCTGCCCTAACTAACTCAGAAAGACCAATTAGGAGGTGCCTCCTAATGAGCCGGGATGAGAAGGGTAGAGGAGGTGAGAAGTCATCAGGGTGCTGAGAACGTTCTGAATTTGGATTTGGCAAGAATCACTGATGGATTCGATGTCAGAAGGGAGAGAAGGGAAAAGTCAAGACTGACTCCAGGGTTTACAGCATGAGCAACAAGGAGGATGAGATGGAGAGGGCTATGGGAAGGCAGGGACGAGCTCAGAGGCATGTAATTCTGTAGAGGAGGTGCTGCTTCAGCAACACCGGTCTGGAGTTCAAGAGAGAGGAGCAGGCAAGACACAAAACCATGAGGTTCCTAAGGGTAGAGACAGTACTTACAACCATCAGAGTGTACAGTACAGTCACACGTCGCCTAACAACAGGGATACATCCTGAGAAACGTGTCATTAGGCAATGTCATTACTGTGTGAGTGTCACAGAGTGAACTTACACAAACCTAGATGGTAGAGCCTACTATACACCCAAGTGAGATGCTCTAGCTGATTGCTCCTGGGCTGCAAACCTGCACAGCATGTGACTGTACTGGATACTCTAGGCAGCTGGAACACAGTGGTAAGTATTTGTGTATCTAAACAAATCTAAACATAGAAAAGGCACAGTGAAATATCTTATGCAACCACTGTGGTCTATGCAGTCCATCATTAACCGAAACATCTTTATGCAGCGTATAACTGTACATAGAGAAGACAAGAGGTCCAAAGAGATAACCAGGTGAGCTGCTGCCGATGAGCAAGAAGAGAAACTGGAAGAGTGAGATGCTCTGGAAGCCAAGTGAAGGTCGTACAGCAAAGGGGAGGCAATGGGCCAGCAGTGGTGGCTCACACCTGCAATCCCAGAGCTTTGAGAGGCCAAGGTGGGAGGATCACTTGAAGTGGAGTTCAAGACCAGCCTGGACAACATAATGAGACCCTATCTCTACAAAAAATTTAAAAATTAGTCGGACACGGTCGTGCGTGCCTGTAGTCTCAGCTACTCACGAGGCTGAGGCAGGAGGATCACCCGAGCTTAGGATGAGCTTTGGTCAGGCTGGTCTCGAACTCCTGACCTCAAATGATCCTCGGCCTCCCAAAGTGCTGGGATTACAGGCGTGAGCCACCTTGCCCAGCCTAAAGCTGATTTTAGATATGACTTCACAGAGGTTACCTTTTTAAGAATAACAAAATGCAACAAGTTAAGATTTTGGGTGACTTCCAAATCCAGGGAACATATCAGCATTTGCTTAGTTAAAACGACAGATGCCTCTGAGATGGGGTCAGCAGGACCCCCTCCTTTTCAGCCAGGGACTCGCCGGATTCTCAACTGCGCAGGACCACGTCAGCATTGAGCTCTCCTCTCCCATCGACCTGCCTCCCTCTTCCTTCCCTTCATCAATATCACCACAAAAGCTGTCGCATCTAGAGCCCCACAAGGCTCCAGGCATGGTCCAGATGCTTTATGTACACTAGTCCTAACCACCACATACCACATAGAGATAGGTATAAAGTTACGGTTTCCAGTACACAAGTAAGAAAACAGAGACACAGAGAAGTCAGGTAACCTGCCCTACCTCAGGTGACGCAGCTGTGCTGGGGTTTGCACCCAGAAGTCTGCCTCAAAAGCCCTCCTCGTCCCAGCATATACCCTATCAATGCAACTGAAAATGCCCCCTCTTCCTTCACTCACCAGCCCCCGCTCCCAAGGGTGATATTCTAGTTCTCAATTTATATACACAATCTCTTTAAAAGTTTAATTGCTTTGATTGCAGGTCTCATACCCCCAAACAAGATTTCTAAGAAAATTCAGTAATTCTTTACTCAAAATTTCTCAGGAGAAACTTCTCAACAAATACTGGTGAAATCTATAACCTTAGGGAGGAGTCTATGACAGGCACTCAACTTTGCCCCAACCTCCCAGAGCAAGACAAGCCTCCTGTCATCTGGGGGATATTCACCGGTAAGAAAAATGGGTGCGGGGCCACTGGCCTCTTGCCCATGTCCATCCACTGGTTAAGTTCAGGAAGTGTCACCAGTGAAGGCACGACACCAGCAAGAGCCCAGGAGCTCAGGGCTGCTCTGTGGCTGCGCACCTTCGGTTCTGGGCTTGACCTCTTTAAGAGGAGCCACACTGAGAGCAGCAAACAGGATGACCACGAGCTGGCCTCAGAAAAGCTTTGTTACTTTAGATTTTTCATAACATTATATTTTTATGTTACAGTTTTTGCTTCCACAACAGGACTCAGAGCAAATCCAACAATTAATCATTTGCAGATAACTCTAAAGTGACTTTTGGGGGCTAAAGTGTGTAAACCAAGAACTTTTGAGTTCACTGCCTTTTCTAAGCCAAGGCCAGCTATCGTTTCCCAGGCCTCAGTAAATCCACTGTATAAATCAGACAGGAGTAACCTTTTAGGAGTTAGCATTTCTGGGGCTCTAGGAGGCTACAGAGGAGACTGTATACCCCTTTAAGAAAGGTTGGGGTGCCTCCCCCTAGAACTCAGGCACCAGCCCCAAAGTCACCCAAAGCTGGAGACAGAGGCTTGTCATAATCTCCCAGATGCCAGCGAACCACAGAGGCCCCTGGCAGGCCCAAGCCCAAAGCCAGGAGCACAACCTGAGCCTCCAGCTTGACCACAAACCCTGCCTCTGAGACCACGGCTGGTGAAACAGTAACTCTGTGAAAGCAGCAGGCCCAGAGCACCCCCCACCCCTCTGGTGGGGACACTCCAGGCCTGTCCACAGCAGAGGGATTCCCAAACCTGAAAGAGCTCGAGCTGTTCAGAGTGACAGGATGTTAGAGCTGGAAGGGGCCCCTGGGACCAACTAACCCAATGCTCTCACTTTATAGAAAAGACAAGCAAGGCTGGGCAAGGTGGCTCATGTCTATAATCCCAGCACTTTGGGAGGCTGAGGCAGGAGAATCACTTAAGCCCAGGAATTCAAGACCAGCCTGGGCAACATAGTGAAACCCAATTTATACAAAAAATTAAAAAAGAACAAAATTAGCCAGGCATGGTGGTGCACGGCTCCTACAATCCCAGCCACTGGGGAGACTGAGGTGAGAGGATCACTTGAGCCCAGGAGGTCGAGGCTGCAGTGAGCCATTATCATACCACTGCACTCTAGCCTGAGCAGCAGAGAAAGACCCTGTTAAAAAAAAAAAAAAAAAAAAAAAAAAGGAAAGAAAAGAAAATATTACTGAGATCCAGAGAGAAGCTACCGTGTGCACCCCAACCCACTCAAACACCCTCCCCAGCAAAACCTCAAGAAAAGACAGTGATGCAAAGGACAGGACATCCAGGTGGGTTGGTTTCTTAGGGGAGCTGGAGGTTTGGGGTGCCAAAGACCTTAGAGAATGCCCCTGTCCCTTTAAGGGCTGCACTGCTGCCAGCACCCTACGTGCTTACTCAAAGGGGATCCGACAGCCCGGCAGCCAGGCTGGGTAATGATTACAGTCAGCACAGCCCCCTGAGGACCTTAAATGACAGCTTGAGTCTAGGCTTCCTGTGATCTCCGTGCACAGTATCTGGAAGGGTTAGGGGAGAGCATCTTCCCCCAGTACCGAACCAGGTTCCAACTCACCCAGGAGGAAAGAGATGGGAAGAAAGCCACATGGGTGGAGAAGCAGCGGGGAGAGAGACCAACTTTAGAAAGCCTAGAAGAGGACTCATGCAGCACAAAGAGACCACACTGCAACCACAGGGGCGAAGAAGTCAGGAAATGCTGCCGCAGCAGCCAGCCCAGTGGCGAGACCGCAAGCCAGTGGCTCAAACTGGGATGGAGGGGGCGGAGGTTTAAATTTAGCCAGGTAAACAGAGCCGGGCCAGGGGTGGAGAGGGCCTGGTAGGGGCTGTGCAGTCACCTGCTCTCCAGAGTTGGGGCATTTCTCGCTGAAGGGAACAGTCCAGCCAGAACTGTACCAAACAGCGGATCCGTTTTCAGGGTTCCTCCAGCATGCTGCTTGGGGGAGCACACAGGCTGCGCCCCAGAGATGGACAGAAGGTTAGTTTTACTTTAAAGGGTGGCTCAGATTTAAAATGAGCATGTCTTTTCATCTTGATGGCAATATCGATGCACAATCCCTCTGCTGGATGTTTCTGGACTCGTAGATAACGGTGAAGACGCTCAACAGAAACCAGCCAAGGCTGCCCGTAAGTGGAGCTCCCACATGCTCTCATTGCCCAGAGGGCTTTTACATCTACTGCTGTTGTGTGTCTTCAGAGACCTGATGGAGTTACCCAACAACCAGTAACTACCACCACGACCACACACTCTGAGGACTGCATCCAGGACTAGCGCTGGAGCAAAGATGGGCTCTGAAGACCTGGTTAGAAGATGAAGGAGATAAATGGCAGGCGGTTTGAAAAGGAGCCAGAGAGAAAAAGCTCTCGCTGACACGAGAGCTTTTTTGGACTGACTGGTTTCTATTTCAGAGAAGACAAGGACTATCACCACACGTAAAAACTTCCCTCCATGCTAGAGAAGCCAGGCTGCGGCAATCCAGAAAGCAGCAGAACCATCCTAGAATTAAAAATTAGAACAGACCAGCCTAGTCCTCTGCCTTTCTTGACCTTGAAGAAGAGCAAACAAAAAATCTTTCAGCTGCCCCTAGAGTCAGAGGGTGAAATACACAAGGGAAGAAGAATTCCAGATTTTTTCTTTTCGCAGCATATGGCTCCCAGCAATTTTGGCAATATCCCTTTAACTTATGCTTTTTGGACAGAAAAAATTTTAGAAAAGGGTAGTTTCAAGTCAATAAGAAACCCCTGGTGATATTACAATCACCAAATGAACTAAAGAGGGGACCGGTTTCAGATACCTTGGAGAAACACACAGACACACACGCTCAATCACCTATTCATATTCAAATACATAAGATATCAGAGCCTGGGAAAGTATGAAATCCATGGGTGGAAAAAGACCAGCCAGCTCCTCCGAGCCTGGCTCCTGCTCCCCTGGCAGGCAGATCCCACAGAGTGTCACACGCCCTTGGCCTGACTGTCTTTAAGAAGAGAAAGAAAGGGAAGGGGAGATGTCTCTCCTGACTGCCTTTGGGTATTGACCCATCCATTGTCACTTTAGGTTCCTTTACTCCCTTCACGTCCTGCCCTGTTGTCCGCGCCACCTGCATCTGTTAGTAAAAAGCCCTGGTTTTAATTGTGACCCTTCCCTTGGACTGCTGGACTTGTCATCACCATGAAGACGCCAGCTCCATCACTCCTCTCACAAGGGTGCCTAAGAGGTCTCTTTCAGCACTGCCATCCTTCCAAGGAGACACACCTCCTCCTTCTTGCTATTTATAACCACGAATCTTGTGTGTCAAAGCGAGAACAGACACTATTTTGAGATGGAGGAAAACCACCCCTCAGTCTTCCACCTCTAATAGGTCGGTGTGTTTGCCAGGACCTGTGTGTGTGAGCCTAGGCAGGGGTGCGGCTGCAAGCTCCAGGTCTGGCATCCGCTCGTCTGTGCCTGAGATGGGGAGTCTTGCCTTTGCGTAAGTGAATTCTGCCGGTTAATCGGATGGCAGGAGAGGCTGGGTGCAGGAAAGGGTCCTTAGGCCTTCTGAGGGCGTGCCCGCTGCTGCCTGGGCTCTCCGTTGCCTTAGGGGCCAGCCACAGGAGGGGGCTCCCTAGGCTTCCCCCGTGTGCCTGGACGAGTGCTGGTGGCTGGCTAGCGGCTGCCCCTGCCCTGCCGAGCCAGGGTTTTCGGCTCCACACTGACGGCACGGGCACAGACGTCCCATCGCAGCTCTGGTGACTGGGCACATTCCGGGGCCCCTGGAGCAGTCTGGGGGGTTGATTCCACGATCCCTAGTTTTTCTCCTCCAGGTACCAGGCTGAACCTCTGCCCAGGGGAGTAGCAACTGGAAGCTGTTGCCAACGTGGCCAGGTGGCAAAAGCAGTGAAGAAGGGCCCGGGTGAAGTGGAGGGGACACCGGACACACACACACCCCTTCAGCTGAGTAACCAACGCAGGGCCGGGGCCACCTCAGTTTCCCTCCCTGTAAAACAGGGCCGGGCAGGCTCCCCGCAAACCGAACTGCCTCTCCCAGCGGTCTGCAGCAAATACCCGGGGGTTCGGCTCCGACTGGAGCGCGGGCTACGCGTCCACCGAGGCTCCAAGAAAGTGAAGGAGGAGGTCTCGTCCCGCCTCTCCCACGGCGGGGACGTGGAGCGCCGGAGCGACCGGAGAAGCACAAAGCCGAGCGGCGCTCGGGCTCTACCTGCGCGGTCCGGGCAGAAACGCAGGCTCCCACCCGCGTCCGGCGGGTAAAGTAACCCAGATGGGGTCCTCGATGCCGGCGCAGACCTCGGCGGAGGGTCGGGGCTGGGCCCGACCAGACCCGGGAGAGTGAGCGCGAAGCTCAGAGGCCGCCCCGCCTGCGCCGCCGACCCCGGAGCCTCCTATGCCTGCCCGCGCGAGGGCCCGGCGGTCCCCAGCTTTGTTCGCCGCCCCGGCCCGGGGCGACTCCCTTCCCCCGACCTGACCCCGGCCCGCCCCGACCCGACGCCCGCGGCGCGCAGACCCACCCGGCGGACACCCAGCGCGGCCGCGGGGCCGGGAAGGCGGAGGAGCCGCGCGAGGTTCGGCAGCCGGGGCGGCGGCGGCGGCGGCGGGGCCGTCCCCGGGGGCGAGGGCCGGCGCTTACCTGCATGTCCCGCCGCGTGTCAGGCCCGCGGGCTCCGGGCGCCGCTCGGCCCGGCCCGGCTCTTCCTGCGCCCGGCTGCGCTGGGTCGGCGGGCGAGGCGCGGCCCGCGGGGGCGCAGGGGGCGGCCGGCGGGGCCCGGGGCAGACCCTGCCCGCTCCTCTCAGCGCGCGGGCCGCTCGGGCCGCCGCCTCCGACTCTTCATCCGCGGCCGGGGCGCGGGGCTGGCGGCGCGGGCGGGCGTGCTCGGCTCCCGGGGTCCCGCCGAGGCGTCTCGGGCCCCCCCCCCGATGCTGGGGCAGCCTCCGAGGTGTCCACCGGAGCCCGGCCAGGCAGCCCCGGCGCTCGGAGTCTGCGCGCCCTCCTGCCGCCCGGAGGGCTCCCTGCTCCGCGCCGGGGACCCCCGAACTCAGCGGGCGGGGACGGTCGGGGGCGCGCAGCCTGCGGCCGATCCGGAGGGAGGCCCTGGGCCCGAGGCGCGGGCTCGGGAGGCCGCCGTCGATCTCGCCGGGCTGCGCGCCCTGCTCCGGAGCGCGGGACCCGGGGAAGTTTCGGCCCAAGTTGGCTGCGGGGCGGGTGGCGGCCGCGGCTCGGAGTGCAGGGCCCGGCGCTGGGCGAGTGGATCCTGGGGGCGCCGCCGCCTCCGCCCCGCCTCCCGCGCCTCCTCCCCGCCCCCGACAGCCGCGCCGGCCCCGGCTCGCTCCTGCCCACCAGCCGGGCCGCGACACCCTCCCGAGGGCTCCTCCCAGGCGCTGGGACCGCGACCTCCGCACCTGCCTCCCGCCCGGCTCCCTCGGCCCCTAAGCAGAGCGGCCCGGGGGCCTCGCCGCGGGGGTGCGGACGGGGAGTCTCCGCCGCCCGGCCCCCTTCTCCCGGCGCCGCACGCCTGCTGCCCCCTTCTCCTGGAACTCGACCCGATCCTCCGAAGAAACCGCGGCTCTTACCCCGGCCAGCAGCCCCCTCGGGGCGCCCAAGGAGCCCGTACCCGCGCCCCGCGATCCTGGCACGAGCGCCCACCTCGGCGTCTGCGGGGCCCGAGGCTCTGAGAGGGGAAGAGAGTTATGTCCTCCGCTTTCTTGCTACGCGTCCTCCTTTGAATCCCCCAAGGAAGTAGAGTGACCCGGGAACTACTTTGCCGCTTCGCAAACCCAGGTCATCCCCCTCGCAGTCCTGGGCCCTTCCCTACAGAGCCCAGCTCAGAAAGATCCCTGGGTTTGGGAAAAATGAGGCAGAAAGGTTTCAAGGAGCAAACGTGTTCTCTCAATACTTTCGTCATGGATATAGGACTAAATAATTCTCCTGATGTTTTATGGAGAAAATGAGGCACAGGAAAGTCTGACGACCAACCCATAGTCACTGCAGGGGCTAATAGCTTGAGAAGGTCACTAGAGTCCAGGGCTCGGCCTTAGTTCAGATCCAAGTTTAAATGCTTTTCTGGAAGTCCCATGTCCTTTTGTAGGTAACCTCATAGCACCTCTGGGTGAGCTGCCCAAGAGGGTGTCCAAGGAGGTGAAGTGGGTGAGCTAAGGTCCCAGTGGAGGCAGGAGCTGCTGGTCCCTGCTCCAGACCCAGGTAACAGGGACCAACCGAGAGCAGCCAGTAGGATCCCAGGCCTGCCCTCCAGCCCCTTTGCTTTTACATTCTGAAAAACCCAGTCTCTTCCCTGAGGAGGAGGTCGCCCTGCTAAAGAAATTGCCTTCGAATGCAGTACAGTGAGGGGAGGGAAAATACAATAGTAATAATCAAAGGCTTTGCCTTTTTAAAATTAGTAACCAAACAAGGTGACAGCCTCCCCCTTTCAGTGGGGGAAGGGGCAGCAGGGAGGGTCAGGGAATGGATGGGACCAGGAACCCACCACACTGGGCAGGCAATAAGGAGCTATTGTCCTCTGGATTTTACAACAGGTAAGAGCTGTTGTAGCAAATACCCCACTAATTAGAGGGCAAGGTTTCCTTGGAACTGTGCTGGCTTGGGCCGGAGGTGCACCGTGACTTTTCTCACCTCAGGTGCACTGTGACTTTTCTCACCTCGGAGTGAATGAATGGGGTTTATGAGACCAGGTCCAGCAACCATAAATGCATGGCCTATAATTGTTGTGGGGAGCCTGCCTGCTGCTGGAGGGAAGCTAGTTCAAGGCTTTATCTTGGGGACAGATGATATGAGGAGAGTTGGCCTAAAGCAAGCAAAAAAGCTTTGAATCCGCTTTGCCAAATTTCAAGCAGGCTCAGTTTCTCTCTTCCTCAGAATAAAACATCAGTTCTAGTGTTAGGGTCTTTTTTTTTTTTTTTTTTTTTTGAGACAGAGTTTTGCTCTTGTTGACCAGGCCGGAGTGTGGTGGCACAATCTCGTCTCACTGCAACCTCCTTCTCCCGGGTTCAACTGATTCTCCTGCCTCAACCTCCCAAGCAGCTGGGATTACAGGTGTGCGCCACCGTAGTAGAGACGGGGTTTCACCATGTTGGCCAGGCTGATCTCGAACTCCTGACCTCAAGCGATTCACCTGCCTCGGCCTCCCAAAGTGCTGGGATTACAGGCGTGAGCCACTGTGCCCGGCCATGGAGTTAGGGTCTTCGTGGGAGGTCGGGGGGAAGTCTTGTTCCCCAGACCCTGATTACTCCAGAATGCAACATGGGAGAAACTGAAGATTCGCTTCATTTGTTGAGCCCTAAACACCCAGAGATGAATGAGACCAGTTCCCACCTTCAGGAAGTTTACAGTCTGAAGAATGAGGTGTGGAGAGGCCGACCTCTAATTTGAAGCCTAGAAGAAGCAACAAGGGATGACTTTGCTTGGCCCTGAGCTGACAGTCTAGGATGAGAGCAAGTGACAGACGACAGCAACCCCAGCTGAATGCTCTGTAAGTCCCCTACCCCCACCATCTCTGTCCAAGATGAGTCAAAACTTGTGGCACAGGGAGGGAAGCTGCAGTGCCCCCGGGAAAGGAGCTTGTGGCTGAGTAGCTGGGAAAACGTTTGAATGAGGAGACAGCAGAGACGTGGGCCAGATTCCCCAAGGGAAGTGGTAAGCACCCCATAGCTTGAGTCACTGGACTGCTGGGGCAGCTACCTCCAGCTCTGAAGGCAGGCACTGATGGGAATGCAGACAAATCTCACCCATGTTTTGTCTGTGACTGTTGGGTGGGGTCTCTTGCCTTCTCTGCCAAACAAGGCATATTCCAATTTGGCATTTGTGATTAAAAAGAAAGGACACAAGAAAGTAAGGAAGGAAATAGAAGAAAAAAAGAGAAAAGAAAGAATATTTGGCCCTATGCAAATATGTAATGATCACTGCTCTTTTTATTGAGGACACTGCTCCCCACTCCTGGTCATGCCCTCGCAGGCCCCCATCCACACTCAGAGGTCCCTTCCCAGCCAGAAAGTCTAACGAAAACCCTATCAGAACTAGTCAGAGAGGAGGCTGAGACTCCTGCGTGGCTGGGATCTCAGTGGCTTTCCTGCCAGGTGCATGTGGGGCTGAGTGCTGGTCCTCAGGCATGCTCTTCGGTGGACTGCTCCGTTTCACCACCCCCAGTGCCAGGGGGAGGAGCTTCAGAACACTGCTGTCCAGCCGCCTCTGGGTGCAGGAAGAAAGTACCCCTGTTGCAGGGCAACCCTCTACTCCATCCCAGTCTGCTTCTCTGGCACCTTTCAAAGGTGTTCTTTAAGATGCACAGAAGGCCTGGCGCGGTGGCTCACGCCTGCGATCCCAGCACTTTGGGAGGCCGAGGCGGGCGGATCATGAGGTCAGGAGATTGAGACCATCCTGCCTAACACGGTGAAACCCCGTCTCTAGTAAAAAGTATAAAAAATTAGCCGGGCGTGGTGGAGGGCACCTGTAGTCCCAGCTACTCGGGAGGCTGAGGCGGGAAAATGGTGTGAACCCGAGAGGCGGAGGTTGCAGTGAGCCGAGATCGGGCCACTGCACTCCAGCCTGGGCGACAGAGCCAGACTCCGTCTCAAAAAAAAAAAAAAAAAAAAGGACGCACAGAAAATTTCTTGGGGGAACTGATGAGCCTTCAAAGCCCAGAACAAGAGCGAGAGGCAGAGCTAATAATAACCTTTTATCCCGACAGCTATTTCACAGGCACTTGACCCCATTGCCTGTGGTACTGTGTTGTTCAGTGCTCAGTTTCTGCTCGTTGTCTGGACGTAACATAGAAGTCACGGTTTTGCTAAGAAAGAGGGCTTTTTAAAAACTGGCAGAATCTGACCCAAATATCCAGACACTATCCATAGATTACCGCCACAGACTCACAATAGCCAAGACAATTTGGGACAGCTGGATCGGGGGATTTCTAAGTGCTGAAGGCAGCAGGGTTGGTAAGAAGGAAGCTGCTATCATGAGTTCTAATCTGGCTCTGCAGTGGACCTGTAGAGGAAAAAGTTCATACCAGGATGTCAGCAGCATAAAGGAATTTTTATAAAAGCAGAAGACCGTTCTTAATACCTCATATGTGCATAGAGCTTACCAGTTTATAAACTGCTTTTCTTTTTTTTTTTTTTTTTTTTTTTTGAGACAGAGTCTTACTCTGTCACCCAGGCTGGAGTGCCGTGGCATGATCATGGCTGACTGCAGCCTCAACCTCCCATGCTCAAGCGATCCTCCCACCTCAGCCTCCTGAGTAGCTGGGACTACAGGCACATGCCACCATAGCTGGCTAATGTTCATATTTTTTGTAGAGACAGGGTTTTGCTATGTTTCCCAGGCTGGTCTCAAACCCCTGAGCTCAAGCGATTCTCTCACTTCGACCTCCCAAAGTGCTGGGATTACAGGTGTGCACCACTGTGAGTGGCTGATATGGTTTGGCTGTGTCCCAACCAAATTTCGTCTTGAATTCGCACGTGTTGTGGGAGGGACCCGGTGGGAGGTAATTAAATCATGGGGCAGGTCTTTCCGGTGCTGTTCTCCTGATAGTAAGTCCCATGAGATCTGATGGTTATTATAAGGGGAAGTTTTTCGGCACAAGCTCTCTTTTTGCCTGCTGCCAACCACGAAATATGTGACTTTGCTCCTCTGTGCCTTCTGCCATGACAGTGAGGCCTCCCTAGCCATGTGGAAGCGTAAGTCCAATTAAACCTCTTTCTTTTGTAAATTGCCCAGGCTCAGGTATGTCTTTATCAGCAGTGTGAAAACGGACAAATACAGTGGCCCTCTAGTTTTATCTTAATGAAGATTCATCAGAATGATGACAGCCTTACTCATCTCACTTGGAAGGCTCTCCTCTAGCCACCTCTCCCCAAAAGAGAAGTTAGTGCCCCTCCAGGGAGAAGACAGCATGGTTGCTGAGCAGGGCGCCAGGTCAGTCCTCAGAGGTGAACTTCAGACTCAACACCTGTGTGATCTTGAGCAAGACACTCATCTCTCTAAGCCTCGGTTTTCTCATCTAAAAGGTAGCAGTGGTAAGATCACCTATCTATGGCAATGTGAGAAGTCGAAGAACACACATAAAGAATCCAAGTACTGGCTGGGCATGGTGGTTCACGCCTGTAATCCCAGCACTTTGGGAGGCTGAGGCGGGCAGATCACTTGACCTCAGGAGTTCCAGAACAACCTAGGCAACATGGCAAAACCCTGACTCTACAAAAAACACAAAAATTAGGTGGGTGTTTTGGTGTGCACCTGTAGTCCCAGCTGCTCAGGAGGGTGAGGCAAGCGGATTACTTGAGCTCGGGAGGTCGAGGCTGCAGCGAGCCGTGATTATACACCACTGCACTCCAGCAGCCTGGGCGATAGAGTGAGACCCTGTCTAAAACAGACAGAAAAAAGGAATCCAGTACTATTTATTACACGTAGTATATGTTCAATCAGTATTAATAATTGCATTATTATGATTGAATAGACGTGACCTCATTTTCTGTTGTCCACTCTAATGGGATGCTCTATCCTTGAACTCCTCCCAAGAGAAGACAGAATCCTAAATTGTCCCTTTAATGAATTACTGCTTTACTAATACCTAGAATGAAGCAGTTGAAGGTGTCACTAAAAACTGGCAAAATCTGGAGACTCTAGCCAATTGCAATGGGAAGAGTTTCATCATTTCATCAGTACCACTCGTCAAGGTCCCATAAAGAGAAAATGGGGGCCGGGTGCGGTGGCTCACGCCTGTAATCCCAGCACTTTGAGAAACTGAGGTGGGAGGATTGCTTGAGGCCAGGAGTTCGAGACCAGCCTGGGCAACAAAGTGAGACCCCCCCCCCCCATCTCTTAAAAACAAGCAAACAAACAAAAGAATGGCGAGCAAATGGGAAAAACTAATGAATGTGATCCTGTTAATGAACTACTCAAATGCTTGACCAAAAAACAAGGCACTCTTTGGAATTATGATTGACAAGAAATACCATTTTCCCTTTGGAGACTCTAACATCCCCATATGCCTCCTTTTTCCCTCATCTCAACTTTGACTGAAGCCCTTTAATGCTTTCTATACTGAGGGACATTTCAGAGGAAACGGAGACAGGGTGCCTGCCCTCAAGGAGCTTTGTTCTTATAGTGGGGCCAGGACACAAGCAAATGGAAATGAAATGAACATCAGATGCCCAGGCCACATGCGTCTGGTGCCAGAGCCCCTGGCGGCTCAAGGCCATCAGGACTAAGGGTGGTGGCCGAGCTTCTCCTTCCCTCTCTCTTACTAAGGAGCTGGTTTCCCCTGGGGAAGGTCACTCCCCTTCTTGGATCCTCACCTGTAAAAAGCATGGGTCTAAATACTCCCCAAGAGTAAACAAAGCTATGATGGAGTCAAAGGGGAAATGGAGAAAGATGGAGGTTTGAGAGGAAGACAGTGAATCTGACTCCAAGACACTTACTTTTAAGGTCAAGGGGGCATTCAAGTGTTGACGGCAAGAAACAGGGAATGTAAGGAGCGTTAGAGGTCAGGGTGGCTGGAGGTGCAGTTTCAAAAAGTGAACTGATAAATACGAAGGCCAGAGGGCAAGGCGAGAGAGATGGCGGAGTGAGCAACCTGTGTAGACAGGGCCCACAAGTTTAGGAAGAGGAGAGCGCAGACTGGAGGGTGCAGCAGGGAGCCCTCGGGTCGAGTGATGTGTGCTCCACAATAAGAGAGCCACAGTAAGACACGCACAAAGGCAGAGAGAGGCAAAGCCAGGAGCATTGGCCGTTCCTGTTGGTAGAGGGGGCTGGGAGCAAGGAAGAGAGGGCGGCAGGAACTCAGCAGGGGGCTGGCATTCCAGAGCGAGAGCAGCCCCTTCTTCCTTCCTCTCCAGAGACTGTTAGGACGACAGAAAATGCAGATACCGAAGGAGAGGCCAGCCAGGAAAGGGAGAAAGGATGGCCACAAGCTCCCACAAGGACACTAAAGTGGCCTCTCCAGCTGTCAGGGGAGGCTGACCCCTCCCACGTGGCTGCCCAGGGTGGGAGGCACACCTGTGCCAGGTGACCAGAGGGTGTCTCAAAGTTGTTCACTCACAGACAGCTCCTGGAGGGGCTTCCTAGTGCAGTGAGGGTTGAGTCCCTGGTTTATCGGAATCTCCTGGGAAAGAATGTTTAAAGTCCAGTTTCCAAGGCTGTGCCTCTGGTCTGTGACTTCTAAGGCTCCACAGGTCATTCTGATCCTGAACTCAGCCAGGGATCCCAAAGGCCCAGCGTCCAGTGAGCTTTCGGGAGGAGAGAGGCTTGCTGACAGGTACAGGGTAGCCCAGAAGAGCCGTGGCACCCCCTGCCCCAGGCCCAGGAAACACATCACTTAAGTTCCCTGGGACCGCATTGCAGTGGAGGGCGGCAGAGGGGCTGGCGAGAACTGGAGTCTTTGAGGTCTTCCGCCATCCTGGCTTCTTCCTGCTTGGTCTTGCCAGGGACCAGGTGTGCACACCCTGAGCTGAGACTGGGTCCTAGGTTCCGCCATCATGTTAGCTTTTGCTAAATGGTACTAACAAGGATGATAAAGGAAACCCACAGGTAATCCAGACATCTCAAGGAAGTAATGGTTTGTCTCCTGACCCACGATTATTATCAAAAGCATTTATAGGCCGGGCGCAGTGGCTCACACCTGTAATCCCAGCACTTTGAGAGGCCGAGGCTGGCGGATCACCTGAGGTCAGGAGTTCGAGACCAGCCTGACCAACATGGAGAAACCCTGCCTCTACTAAAAATACAAAATTAGCCGGGCGTGGTGGCGCCTTCCTGTAATCCCAGCTACTCGAGAGGCTGAGGCAGGAGAATCACTTGAACTGGGGGGCAGAGGTTGTGGTGAGCTGAGATAGCACCACTGCACTCCAGCCTGGGCAACAAGAGTGAAACTCTGTCTTGAAAAAAAAAAAGCATTTATAAACTATTGAATTCCACCCTATGAGCTGTGATCTTTGCTAGAATGTCTTATCTGAAGCACTTGTTTGGCTTCAGGAAAAAATGATTGTATCACCAGAGACAAACAGTAATAAGTGAAAATGCATCATTGTAATGGACAATTGTTTAACAATTGAAGTTTTTAAATATTCAAATGTTAAGCTTAAAGCATTTAGCCTGGCACTCTTCCTTTCTCTCTGATATTTTTCACTCTATGTATTTAAACAATTGGCCCTCCCTATTTGTGGGTCCCACGTTCACAGAGTCAACCAACCTCAGATTGACAATATTTTTATTTTTTTAATTTATTTTTTTGAGACACAATCTCGCTCTGTTGCCCAGGCTGGAGTGCAGTGGCACAATCTTTGCTCACTGCAGCCTCCACCTCCTGGGTTCAAGTGATTCTCTTGCCTCAGCCTCCTGAGTAGCTATGATCACAGGTGTGCGCCACCACAACCAGCTAATTTTCGTGGTTTTTTTTTTTTTTTTTTGAGACAGAGTCTCACTCTGTTGCGCAGGCTGGACTGCAATCTTGGCACAACCTCCGCCTCCTGGGTTCAAGCAATTCTCCCGCCTCAGCCTCCCAAGTAGCTGGGACTACAAGCGCACACCACAACGCCCGACTAATTTTTTGTATTTTCAGCAGAGACGGGGTTTCACTGTGTTGCCCAGGCTGGTCTCTAACTCCTGAGCTGAGGCAATCTGCCCGCCTTGGCCTCCCAAAGTGCTGGGATTACAGGCGTGAGCCACCACGCCCAGCCTAAGTTTTGTATTTTTTTAGTAGGGATGGGATTTCACCATGTTGACCAGGCTGGTCGTGAACTCCTGAGCTCAAGTGATCCACCTGCCTCGGCCTCCCAAAGTGCTAGGATTATAGGCATGAGCCACTGCACCCAGCCTGAAAATGTTTTTAAGAAATAAAAAATAATAATGCAACAACAAAAAATAATATAAACAAAAAGCAATACAGTGTAACAACTACTTATATCACATTTACATTGTATTGGGTATTATAAGTAATCTAGAGATGATTTAAAGTATTTGGGAGGATGTGTGTAGGTTATATGCAAATACTATCCCATTTTATATTAGGGACTTGAGCATTCATAGATTTTGATAGATTTTGATATCATGAGGGTCCTGGAACCAATCCCCCAGGGGGTACCCAGAGACAACTGTACAAGCATCTGGGTCCTAATACATAACTAACATTAGCATCCTTTGTTAATTGTTGAGGTTCCTGAGTATGTTGGTCAATGAAATGGTTCATAGAAAATAGCAGTCACTGCCAGGCTTGGTGACTCACGCCTGTAATCCCAGCACTTTGGGAGGCCAAGGTGGGTGGATCATGGGGTCAAGAGATCGAGACCATCCTCACCAACATGGTGAAACTTCATCTCTACTAAAAATAAAAAAAAAAAATTAGCCGGGCCTGACGGTGCACGCCTGTAGTCCCAGCTACTCCGGAGGCTGAGGCAGGAGGCAGAGGTTGCAGTGAGCTGAGATCGCGCCACTGCACTCCAGCCTGGCGACAGAGCGAGACTCCATTTAAAAATAAAATAATAATAATAAAAAAGCAGTCAGCTTTAATGCTAATTAGACCCTAACATTCCTCCATTCCTAGAAGTCCTCTCCAAGACTTCATGCATTGGCCATAATAAAGAAGGTGAGGGCCAGCCATGGTGGCTCATGCTTTTAGTCCCAGCTACTTAGGAGGCTGAGGCAGGAGGATCACTTGAGCCCGGGAGATGAAGGCTGCAGTGAGCTATGATCATGCCACTGCACTGCAGCCAGGTGACAGAGCGAGACTCTATCTCTAAAAAGACGTAATAAATAAATAAAGAGGATGATATAGACAAAGGTGATTACCGAAGAGATGGAAATTATATCCAGTGACTTTTTGCATTTCATGTTTCAAATTATGAGCCTTGAACGCCTTTGTGTTCTGACAGAAGAATGAACAGATAAATACCGTAGGTCTGTATAGGCTTAGAAAGGTATTGGAGGTGCTGATTTTCGTGCCCCAAACCTGAGTCGATAGGAGAGTAACAGATAAGGAGAGAACAGGGCAAGAAGGAACTAGCCTGGGAGAGAGAAGCACCATCTAGTCACTTTGTCCTCCTGCAAAGTACTGATGATCTCTTGTACACGCATACTCCTATGTCCCCCTCCCCTCAGCTTTTTTTTTTTTTTTTTTTTTTTTTGAGGCAGGGTCTCACTCTGTTACAGCCCAGGCTGGAGTGCAGTGGCATGATCTTGGCTCACTGCAACCTCTGTCTCCTGGGTTCAAGTGATTCTCGTGCCTCAGCCTCCCAAACTGCTGGGATTACAAATATGCACCACCACACCTGGCTAATTTTTTGTGTTTTTAGTAGAGACTGGGTTTCACCATGTTTCACCATGTTGGCTAGGCTGGTCTCGAACTCTTGGCCTCAACTGATCTGCCTGCCCTCAACCTCCCAAAGTGTTGGGATTACAGGTGTGAGCCACTGTGCCCAGGCCCTCTTCCCCCACTTTTAATTTTCCTTTTGCCTTTCTTGTAGCTTGATAACATGACCTGTATCCCCACCTGCCTGTTTTATTCTTGGGCTGACATTTGTGGTGCATTTTAAGCTGGAATTTCTGGAAACAGAAAGCTACAAGATCCACAGCAAAAGCTACAAAATGCAGTGGTGGAATTTCAGGCACCAGGGCATCGCACGGAGGAGACATTCCAGGGCCCCAGAGTGGGTGGGGAAGCTGCTGAGATCCTGAGAGCCTTCCAGTACCTTCAGACCCCACCACCCTGGCAGCAGCCTGCCCAGAGTCCACTCCCTTGGGCGACTCTGCTTAGGGCTCCCCCATCATCTAGCCGGTGGCAGGCAGCCAGGAGCTACTCGCCTTCTTTAATTTAAATGTACATCTGGGTTTGCAGTAAGTTACAGGGACAAGGGTCTCCAGGAGTGGACCAGGGAAGGCCCTGCCCAGGTAACCAAGCCCATGTCAAGCAATCCACAGTCCTCAGGATTCTTCCTCCATGGGTGGGGTTTTGATTGTGTGTTTTAAAGATGCCTTCATTGTAACAATTAAAGGATCAGAATAAATCTGACCACAATCAGTACTTTAAAACCTTCTTGCTTTGCACTTAGAGAACCCTTGGCATGGCCCTGCTTGCCACAGTGACTGACAACAGTGACCCAGACAGACAGAGGACACTCACTCGCTACAAATGCTGAGCACATAAATATTTACTTAGGCACAAGCAATGGCCTGAGTGCCTTTTATGCGGTGGGGAGACAGGAATGAATCATGCAGGTTGGCAGCTGGAACAAGACGGGGAGAGGAAGGGGAGTCTCTTCTCTGGGGAGCAGCTGTCTTAAGAGCTGCCAGAAATAGGAGAGGGAGGACTGGAGCTGGGGGAACTTGAACATGGAGAGCCCTGAGAGGATGCGAGAGAGGACGACCGGTGGGCAGCCCTGGGAGGACCCCACCTCTGCCTGGGAGGAGCCTCAGGCTGTTGTCTGCCAGCCAGTGCCAAGGGCTGGAGGGGCCCCGGCGGAGTCTCACCACTGTTTGGAACGAAGAGTAGTAGAATCCCAGCCCTGCTCCCAGAGGGCGGAGGACGGGAGGCAGGGACGAGCACACCTGGTGAGGCGGGGTTCACCACGGGGCCCCACGGAACTGCCAGGGGCCTGCAGTTCTGCCCTACCCAGTCCTGGGCTCCAGAAGCCATCTGCCAAGACGGTGGGCTGGGTGTGCACCGTGCTGCAGGGGTGTGTCTTCTCCCACGCCAGGAGCACCGTCACCCCTGTTCACACCCCGCCCCCAGCCTAGACCTGGTTTTTCCTACAAATCCCCACCGAGACGTTATCTTCCATCTCACTGGGGTCAAGGAGTGGCTGACTGCCCGGTAGCAACAAAGGACGTTTTGAGCCGCGGAATCCACAGGTATCAACTTGGATCCTGGGGCTGGGAACGGAAGTCCCAACACCAGGTAGGGGGTAGCCCGTGGACATGCAGGAGGCAGCCCCAGAACCAGGGAGGGGGCGGCACCAGGACAAGGTGGGGGCAGCCCAGTGTGCATCCCTTCCTGTCTAACCCTTCGTCACTCGGCTGGTCCACCAACAAGAACTGCTTAACCTGGGGCTGATTCTGTGACTCCCCATTTGACCACTTCTCTGCCCTAGAGGGCAGCTGAGAGAGAAGGAAGGAAGGAAGTAGATTCTCTTTGGTCCTTGTTCCCGGCTTGGGTAAGAGAAAGGAGGTGTTCGCTCCTCCTGAGCCAGGCCCTGGCCACCCCCTTTCTGCTGTCCCTCAGTAGACACCTGCACTGTGATCCTAGGCATGGTGGCTGTGGTGGAGGTGGAGGTGACGGGGTCATGGGAGGGAACATCTCCAGCACAATGCAGCTTTAAAACCACTGCCTCTGCAGCACGGACTCTGGAGTCCAGCTCCCAGGAAAAGCTTCAGATTAGGATATTTCTATTGTTACTACATGTAGGCACTTTGTCAGTTGCACTGTAGCTTTTCTATACTGTACTGGCATGGGGTGTGAGGAAGTTACGTGCAGGGACAGCAGCTCCCACCCAGGACTAACTTCTGCAGGAGAATTATGATAGCATCAGGAAAACAACAGTCATAATCCATTCTAATTGAGAGGTTATGGTGTACTAAGGAATTTAATCCTTACAGCAACACGATGAGGTTGACTCTGTTATCCCATTTCACAGATGAGAAAACTGAGGCTTAAAGAGGCCAAATTACCTCCCACAATCACACAACTAGCAGGAGTCCAGGTCAGGCTTCACACCCAGTTGTAGAAAAGCCTGTCGGGAGAGAAATCGGGAGACCCTTGCTGCTGTTTAGGCCAAATTCTGCCTCCACCTACCACAAACTGGGAATTGGTTCTTTATTCCTACTTTTCAGAGCCTACCTTCCTACAATTACTCAGGACAGGAAATCTACCATGCTGGCCCTAATTCTATAAATAGTGGAAGAGGATGCATTGGCTGGAAAGCTTGAGAGAAATGTATAAGACGAAGTGCTTTTTATTTAATCTGTTCAAGTTCACAGTGAGGCAGGAAACCAATTTTCCCCAAACTGAGAACTGAGGAAAGGGCCATCCTTTGATTCTTACCTCCCTTTCTCACCCCTGTGGCCAGAGAGGTGTTGCTTTTAATAAAGCAATTTCCAGGTGGTGCTTGGAACTCCACAGAACAAAAACCCACGAGAAATGGCTTGGGGGGTGGGGGCTGCCATTTCCTTCATTTTTCTCTGTTTTCCTTTACTTCCACCAAGCTAGAGATCACAAAACAAGCCAGAGACCCCACCAAATCCCAGGGTGGGGAGCTCCCCCTAGTGGCCCAGTGGGTCCCCCTGTAGACCCCCCTGGGGTCTTGACGAAAGAAGGGAAAGGAGCAGATGTTTGAACAAGTCTAGAGTCTTGTATAAGAGAGAATGATCCACTCCTGGGCATACACCCAAAGAATAGGGCAGGGACTCAAAGAGATATTTGTACAGCCATCCATAACAACGTTATTCACAGTGGCCAAACAATCCAAGTGTCCATCAGTGGATGAGTGCATAAACAAAAATGTGGTATAACCACACAATGAAATATTATTCAGTCTTAAAAAGGAATGAAATTCTGCCACAGGCCACAACATGGATGATCCTGAGACATTATGCTAAGTGAAGTAGTCAGACACCCAAGGACAAAAACTGCATAATTCTACTTATATGAGGTACTCAGAGTAGTCAAACTCAGAGATACAGAAAGTAGAATGGTGGTGGCCGAAGACCTGGGGGAGAAGGGAATGGAGAGTTATGGTTTAATAGATACAGAATTCCAGTTGGGGATGATTAAAAATTTGGGAGCTGGTGGTTGCACAACAATATGTGTATACTTAATGCCACTGAATTATACACTTAAAAATTGCTAACATGCTAATTTTATGTTATGTATCTTTTATCAAACACAAAAAATAAAAATAAAAAAGAGAAAATAGTTCCACCAATTTTTGTGGAAAAAGCACATCTTTTTCCAGGTTTCTAGAAATTTTGCCAAATCACTCAATTTAGGTTGAAATTCTGTGTATTTAGTCTCAGCCTAGAATGAAATCTAGGGTAAATATTGTATTGAAATTTATTTCATTTAGGAGAATAAAATGTGGTCTTAGACTGGGCGTGGTGGCTAACACCTGTAATTCCAGCAATTTGGGAAATTTGGGAGGCAAAGGTGGGTGCATCACTTGAGAGCAGGAGTTCGAGACCAGCCTGGCCAACATGGTGAAACCCTGTCTCTACTAAAAATACAAAAAAAAAAAAAAAAAAAAAAAATTTAGCCTGGTATGGTGGCATGCACCTGTAGTCCCAGCTAGCTACTTGGAGGGTGAGGCAGGAGAATTGCTTAAAACTGGAAGTCAGAGGCTGCAGTGAGCCAAGGTCACACCACTGCACTCTAGCCTGGGCAAGAGAGCAAGACTCTGTCTCAAAAAAAAAAAAAAAAAAAAGAGTCTTAGGGAAGGATAGACAGGTCAATGGAACAGAATAGAAAACCCAGAAACAGGCCTACACAAATAATGCCCAACTGATTTTTGTCAAAGGTGCAAAAGAAAATCAATGGAGGAAAAATTGTCTTTTCAACAAATGATGCTGAAGCAATTATACATCCATAGATTAAAAATATGAATCTCAATCTAAACCTCACATTTTATACAAAAATTAATTTAAAATGCATCATAGATTTAAATGTAAAATATGAAACTATAAACTTTTAGAAAACCAGGGGAAAATCTTTAGGACCCAGGGCTAAATAAAGAGTTCTTAGACTTAATACCAAAAGTATGATCCATAAAAGGAAAAAAATCAATAAAGAAAAAAGCCCTGTTAAGAGGATGAAAAGACAGGTTACAGACTAGGAGAAAATGTTTTCAAACTATATCTGACAAAAGTTTATATCTAGAAAATAAGAACTCTCAAGACACAACAGTAAAAAAAAAAAAAAAAAAAAGAAAAAAAGAAAATGGGCAAAAAACATGAATAGGTATTTCACTAAAGAGGATATATGGATTGCAAATAGGCACACAAAAGGACATTCATTGTTAACCACTGGAGAAATGGAAATTTGAAATCACAGTGAGATATCATTACACATCTATTAGAACAACTCAAATAAAAATAGTGACAACACCAAATGCTGGCGAGGATGTGAGGAAACTGTATCTTTCATATATTGCTAGTGGAAATGTAAAATGGTTCAGCCACTGAGGAAAACAATTTGGCAGTTTCTTAAAAAACAGTTTCTAAACATAGACTTACTATATGATCAATTAATTGCACACCTGGGCATTTACCCCAGAGAAATGACAACTTATGCTTACACAAAAATCTATACTTAAAAGTTCATAGCAGTTCTATTTGTAATAAGTGAAAACTGGAAAAAGCCCAGATGTCCTTCAGTGGGTGAATGGTTAAACAAACTCTGGTACATCCATATCATGGAATACTACTGAGCACAAAAAAGAAAGAAAGAAAGAAAAAAACTATTGATACACGCAACAATTTGGATGGATCTCAAGGGCATTATGCTGAGAAAAGCCAGTCTCCAAAGGTTACTGGATGAAAGATACTCTGTATGATTTTTGTAACTTCCTGTGAATCTATAAGCATTTCAGAAACAACAAAGACTGGGATAAAACCCACTGCAACTCTGCAAGACAAGGAAGAGAAGGGAAGTAAGCTTATGAAGAATTTGCCCTGTGCCAGGAGGTCCAGGATGTCCAGGACACGGGCCAGGCAGTCTGCATGGGTCATCTCATTTGATTCCTTCAGAGCCCTGTGAAGTTATGCAGCATCCCATATTACAGACAAGGAGATCAAGGCCTCAAGTGTTATAATTGTGTTTCAAACCAAGTCTGTCTGACCCTAAAGCCTCCTCTCTTTTAGGGAGTCGAAGTGTATATGAACTTTTGAAGCTAAGTAGTCACGTCAAAGAAAAATAAGTTTTGCGTTGTCTGCCAAAGTTACCACCATCTCAGAAGTGAGCCTGTGCACTTTATTTCGATCAGTCATCATTGATTGAATGGTTCATCTCCAGTTTATTCTGTTTGATATCATCCACACAAGCTAATCACAACAAAGCCCTGCCTTCTGATAGTTTATGTCTTTCCTTAAATGCCACTTTTGTTATGTCACTCTCTAGCCAAAAAATCTAGGTAACTATTTTTTCTTTTATTGATACATAGTATTTTATATGTTTATGGAGTATATGTGAGTGTTTGTTACATGGACAGAATGTGTAACGATCAAGTCAGGGTGTTTGGGGTATTTATCCCCTTGAGTATATATCATTTCTATGTGTTGGTGTCATTTCAAGTCCTTTCTTCTACTTCGAAATATATATAATATTGTTGCTAGTCACCCTATTCTGCATCAAACATGAGAACTTATTTCTTCTCTTTTTTTTTTTTTTTGAGACAGAGTCTCGCTCTGTTGCCCAGGCCGGACTGCAGTGGCGCCATCTCGGCTCACTGCAAGCTCCGCCTCCTGGGTTCACACCATTCTCCTGCCTCAGCCTCCCAAGTAGCTGGGACTACAGGCACCCACCACCACGCCCGGCTAATTTTTTGTATTTGTTTTAGTAGAGACGGGGTTTCACCGTGTTAGCCAGGATGGTCTCGATCTCCTGACCTCTGGTGATCCACCCACATCAGCCTCTCAAAGTCCTGGGATTACAGGTGTGAGCCACCGCGCCCGGCCTTATTTCTTCTATCTAACTATATGTTAGTACCTATTAAACAACCTCTCTTCATCTCCACTTCCACCGACCCACCCTGCCCATTCTCTGGTACCTATCAATTCTACTCTGTATGTCCATGAGATCAAGTTTGCTAGCTCCCACAAATGAGTGAAAACATGCGTTACTTATCTTTCTATACCTGGCACATTTCACTTAACATAATGACCTCCAGTTCCATCCATATGGCTGCAAATGACACGATTTCATTCTCTTTTTATGTCCAAATAGTATTCCATCGTGTGTATATATGACATTTTTTAATTCATTCATCTGTTAATGGACATATAGCTTGTTTCCTTACCTTTGCTATTGTGACTAGTGCTGCAATAAACATGTGAGTGAAGGTATCCCTTTGATATACTGATTTCTTTTCCTTTGGCTAAATACCCAGTAGTGGCATTGCTGAATCGAATGGTAAATCTATTTTTAGTTGAGAAATCTCCATACTACTTTCCGTAGTGGTTGTACTAATTTACATTCCCTCCAGCAATGTTTAAGAGTTCACTTTTTTTCCACATCCTCCTTAGCATCTGTTATTTTTTTACTTTTTGATAATAGCCATTCTAACTGGGGTGAGATGATATCTCTTTGTAGTTTTGGTTTACATTTCCCTGATTGTTGGTGATATTAAGCATTTTTTCATATACCTGTTGGCCATTGTATGTCTTTTGAGAAATGTCTATTCACCTCCTTTGCCCATTTTTTAAAATTATTTTATTTTATTATTATTACTTTTTAAGACAGAGTCTCGCTCTTGTCGCCCAGGCTGGAGTGCAGTGGCACGATCTCGGCTCACTGCAACCTCCGCCTCCCGGGTTCAAGCGATTTTCCTGCCTCAGCCTCCTACGTAGCTGGGATTACAGGCGTGGTGTGCCATATGGTCTATCCTGGAAAATGTTCCACTTACCGATGAGAAGAAGGTGTATTCTGCAGTTATTGCATAAATGTTCTGTAAATATCTTTAGGTCTATTTAGCCAAAAGTCCAGCTTAAATCTGATGTTTCTTTTTAAATTTTCTCTCTAGATGATCTGTCAAGTGCTGAGAGTGGGGTATCAAAGTCCCCCACTATTATTGCATTGGAGTCTATCTCTCTCATTAGATCTAGTAATATTTGCTTTATGACTCTGGGTGCTCTAGTGTCAGATGCATATATATTTAGAATTGTTATATCCTCTTGCTGGATTGATCCCTTTATCATTATATAATGACTTTCTTTGCCTTTTTTTTTTACTGTTTTTGACTTAATGTCTGTCTTATCTGATATAAGTGTAGCTACTTCAGCTTGCTTTTGGTTTCCATTTGCATAGAATATCTTTTTCCATCCCCTTACTTGCAGTCTTTATGTGTCTTTACAGGTAAAGTGTGTTTTTTGTAGGCAGCATACAGTTGGATCATTTAAAAAATCCATTCAGCCAATCTATACCTTTAAGCAGAGAATTTAATGTATTTACCTTCAAGGTTATTATTGATATGTGAGGTTTTGTTCCTGTCATATTGTTAGTTGTTTTCTGGTTGTTTTATATGTTCTTTGTTCCTTTTTCTTTTATTGTTTGTCCTTATCGTTGATGGTTTTCTGCAGTGACACCCACCACTTGAGTCTTTTCTCTTTCTCATTTGTGTGTTTGTTTACCGGTGAGTTTTATATTTTTATGTGTTTTCATGATGGTAACTGTTGTCCTTTGCTTCCAAGTGTAGTGCTCCTTTGAGCATTTCTTGTAAGGTTGACCTAGTGGTGATGAATTCCCTCAGTTATTGTTTGTCTGAAAAAGACTTTATTTATCTTTCATTTATGAAGGGTAATTTTGCTAGATATAGTATCCTCTGGTGGCATTACTTTCCTTTTTTCTTTTTCTTTTTTTTTTTTGAGACAGGGTCTCACTACGTCGCCCAGGCTGGAGTGCAGTGGTGCGATCTCGGCTCACTGAAACCTTCACCTCCCGGGTTCAAGCCATTCTCCTGCCTCAGCCTCCTGAGCAGCGGGGATTACAGGTGTGCACCACCATGCCCTTCTAATTTTTTTATATTTTTAGTAGCGACAGGGTTTCACCATATTGGCCAGGCTGGTTTTGAACTCCTGACCTCAAGTGATCCGCCTGCCTCAGCCTCCCAGAGTGCATGCTCAACATCTCTAATCATCGGGGAAATGCAAATTGAAAACACAATGAGACATCACCTCACACCTGTGAGAATGGCTATTATCAAAAAGACAAATGATAATTATTAGTGAGGCTGTGGAGAAAAGGGAACCCTTGTACACTGTCGATGGGAATGTAGGTTAGTACAGCCATTCTGGAAAACAGTATGAAGGTTCCTCAAAAAGATAAAAATGGAATTACCATATGATCTAGCCATCCCATTTCTGGGTATATATCCAGAGGAATTGATATGTTGCAGAGATATCTGCACTCCCACATTCATTTCAGCATTATTCACAATTGCCAAAATATAGAAGTCATCTAAGTGTCCATCAGTGGATGACTGGATAAAGAAAATGTGGTATATACACAATGGAGTACTACTCAGCCTTTAAAAAGAAGGAAATTCTGTCATTTGTGACAACATGGATGGAACCAGAGGGCATTATGCTAACTGAAATAAGCCAGGGACAGAACGACAATACTGTGTCATCTCACTTACATATGGAATCTAAAGAATTGATCTCATAGAAACAGAGAGTCGCAGGGCTGGGAATATGAGGGGGAGGGATGGGGAAAGGGAAGAGGTTGATTAAAGGATATGAAGTTTCAGTTAGACTGGAGGAACAAGTATTGGTGACTGTTCTGCACAGTGACCTCAGTTAATAATAATGCATTGTATATTTCAAATTGCTAAAAATAGATATTTAATGTTCTAACCACACAAAAAATGATGTTAGTGAGGTGAGGGAGTGTTATTCAGATTGATTGAATCTTTCTATAATGTACAGATAGATCAAAATATCTCATTGCACCCCATAAATATGTACAATTATTATTTGTCAATTAAAAATAAGTAAAAACAATCTTAAAAAGGAACTGAAGTCTCTAGCACACAGTAGGCACTCAATACAGGCTTGTCGAATAAGTTCATTATGAACCTATCACATATGGCCTTTTATTCGCATTCAATGTGTATTTATGAATTAGTTTTACCTTTCTAACCAGAGGCTAAGTTCCTTGGCTCACACTGTTTTATATTCTCAACAGCCCTTAGCCCAAATTGTTAAATGATTTTAAAACAGCCGCTAATAATGAGAGCTCATTCTCGCTCTGCAGCTGAGTATCCATTCTCACTGCAGTCATCTACGTGGATGACCTTGCTTTAGACACAGTCACTGCTGGGGTGCTGGTGGCCTTGGGGTCCAGCTGCCACTGACTTTCTCCTTGTTCCTTCTCTGCTTTTGTGGAGAAGTTTGAGTTGCCAAGGTCCCAAGACACACAATCTCTCAGCCATAGCGCATCCATCCACCTCCCTCCTCAGTATTTCCTTTAGCAATTATAACCTTCCTTAGGGGGCTGACTTGGCTCCTTCAGTTTCAAGCCTGCATCTGGAATGAACTCTGACACCAGAGCTCACAGCCCTGGTCATCCGTCTCTGGGGATGAGCAAATCAGGAAGGAGCATGGAAAGCGTAACTGAAGAAGAATGGGTTAGAGGCCGGGGAAGGGGCTGAGGCTGTTGCCATGGGTGGGCCTGACCTCACGGCCTTTCATAAATCACATTCACTGGACTGAGGCTTGAGAGAGACACGCCAGAGGGAGGAAGGTGTTTGGGAAACTCACATGACTGTGGAGAATGAGCTTGTGTCAGAGACAGTGAGTGGGAAAAGCTGCCTCTCCTTTCCGTTACCCAGGTTCTCTGAGCCAGCATCACCGAGCTCTGGGGACCCTCCTGAGCCGGTTAGACCTTGAGGGCATCTGCTCAAGGGGGGTCTTCAGAGGGGTGTTCTGAGTGTTCTTGAGCCTTGGAGCACAGGAGTCGGGCTGGGTTTCTGGCATCCAGCCTCATTCCCCAGGAAAGCACCATGGGGTCCATGCAAAGGGGCTCTGGTGAAGGACTCGGCCATGTGTGTCTTGCTGCTGAGTCTCCGCTCAGGCGGAGGAGGAGAACCAGGATCGTAACCTTGGAGACCACAGTGACTCTGTGTAGTGAGAGAGGAATGGGAAGGGAGTAAATGGCTGGACTTCCGTCTCTACTGTGATCATGTGGGTCAGGTCCAGGGTGTCAAAGGAACAGGTGCTGCCGCAGGTACATTTCCCTCCTCTCACAACAGTGTAGACACAAGCAACTCTTGGTTACTGCTAACACCTCATTCCTGCGCCCCAGTGGGGCAGCACGTTAGCATCAACTGTGCAGAGCAGGCTTGGTAGGTCCCCAGGGGTCTGAGCCACCACGCAGAATTGCAACAAGAGGAAAGTTACGGTATGCCCAAATGTTTCTTTAAGGCAGGGGTTGGCAAGCTACGCCTCCCCATCCAAATCCAGCTCAGTATCTATTTTTCTACAGGCTGCAAGCTAAAATGACTTATATTTTGAAGTGGTTGGAAAAAAATTTTTTTAAGAATAATATTTCATGACGTGAAAATTATATGAAATTCAAATTTCAGTGTGCACAGTTTTATTGCAACATGTGCAATCTTTTATACGTTGCTTTAGCGCTCTGATAATGGCATCGGAGACCGTATGGGCTTCATATGCTAAAATCAAGACTGGCCACGTAATTCGAGATACAATATGCAAATGTAGAGCCCCTTGTTTAAAAAAAAATTAAGAATTCCATGATGGCAATAGTTGAGGACTAAACCAAGTGTGGTCCCTGAACCCAGAGTCCTGGGTGACTGCCTATGAATCCAGCCCTGACTAAAATATTTACTCTCTCTCTGGTCCTTTACAGAAAAAAATTGCCAACCTTTGCTGTAGGGGCTAAAATACCAACAAATGTTTTCTCTTTTCTCTTTTTTGAGATGGAGTCTCGCTCTGTCGCCCAGGCTGGAGTGCAGTGGCGCAATCTCGGCTCACTGCAAGCTCCGCTTCCCGGGTTCACGCCATTCTCCTGCCTCAGCCTCCCGAGTAGCTGGGACTACAGGCGCCCGCTACCACGCCCGGCTAATTTTTTTGTGTTTTTAGTAGAGACGGGGTTTCACCGTATTAGCCAGGATGGTCTCGATCTCCTGACCTCGTGATCCGCCCGCCTGGGCCTCCCAAGGTGCTGGGATTACAGGCGTGAGCCACCGTGCCCGGCCATGTTTTCTCTTTTTTTCGTACTATTAATGTTAATCTCCAGCAAAAAATCCGGGGGAAATTATTAAGGTATTTCTAGATACTTTGAAAAGGAGTTATTACATACTAGGACCCAATACGGGTTGAGTAAAAATAAATAATTCCGAATTAGAGTCATTTTCTTTTCTGACAAAATGACCTATTGGGATGGGAGGGTGTGTAAGGCTGAGCAGGCGAGTGCCATATACCCGTGTATATGCTAGTGTGCTAGCGGGTGTCCAGGTCACCCGGGGCCAGGGTGCCCCAGCTCCGAGATCTTTTGCGTGCTACTGGCGGGAGCTTGGGGCCGAGGAGCAGGGTCTGGGTGCTGCCATGCATGGCCATGTGACCTTGAACACAGGGCCACATATTTTGAGGCCTCCTTGTGTTTAGAATGAAGAGACTGGACAGGATTATTTCTAACATCCTTTACTGCTCTAACCATCCATGAGTCTCTAAGGAAGACTTTTTTACATAAAAAATCTGTTCAAAAACAGAACTGGGCTGGGCATGGTGGCTCATGCCTATAATCCCAGTACTTTGGGAGGTCAAGGTAGGAGGGTCACTTGAGGCCAGGAGTTTGAGACCAGCCTGGGCAACATGGTGAAACCCCGTCTCTACAAAAAACACAAAACAAATTATCCATGTGTGGTGGCATGTGCTTGTCATCTCAGCTACTAGGGAGGCTGAGGCAAGACGATTGCTTGAGTCCAGGAGGTCAAGGTAGGATCGTGTCACTGCACTCCAGCCTGGGTGAAAGAATAAGACTCTGTCTAAAAAGAAAAAAAAAAAAAAGACTGGCTGCCTTCATGAGGTAGAGAGGATGGATGCACGGAGGGGATTTTTTCAATCAGAGGGAAGTTGGGGTGACCCCCACTGCCCTCCTGCCGTACCCTTAATAGAAAGCAGACTTTTCTTTATTCTTATATAAAATGAGTTTCTCAGGAGGTTTGTGCTCTAAGTCAAACAAATAGAATAAAAAGTCCTTTACTCAACCTCCTTGTGCCCTATTCCCCATTCAGAAAACAGAAGATATGTTCAGAGATGCTTGTTGACTAGGCGAGAGGGAGCCAACGCAGTGGCTCGACAGCCTGGGTCTGCAGGGCTGGGGAGGTGCTGCCTCCGGACTGCGGGAAGGGCTGGGCGGGGCATGGGGGCCAGGAGCCTCTCAACAGCCCAGGGACACCACCCTCAACCCAGCCCAGGGTGGGTACCAGTGCTGGCAGGCCCAGGGGTGCAGGGCCAGAGGTCTGTCGGGGGAGAGGCCTTGGTGCTGGGCTAGCAAATTGGCTTTTAAAATTAATTAATTTTTTTTTTTTTTGAGATGCTGTAACCCAGGTTGGAGTGCAGTGGTACAATCTTGGCTCACTGCAACCTGCACCTCCCGGGTTCATGCGATTCTCCTGCCTCAGTCTCCCAAATAGCAGAGATTACAGGTATGCGCCACCACGCCTGGCTATATTTTTAGTAGAGATGGGGTTTTGCCATGTTGGCTGGGCTGGTCTTGAATTCCTGACCTCAAGTGATCAGCCTGCCTTAGCCTCCCAAAGTGCTGGGATTACAGGGGTGAGCCACTGTACCTGGCCAGAATTCATTACTTTTTTATTGTGGTAAAATGTACATAATATTTATCATCTTAGCCATTCATAAGTACACAAGTACACCATGAATACATTTAATGCTGTGGCACTAAACTCATTCACGATGTTGTGGAAACATGACCACAGTCTGTACCCAAAACTTCGCCCGTCATCCCTAACAAAAACTCTACCCTTCAACCAATAACTCGCCCTTCCTCGCTTCCCCTCACTTGCTGTCTCTAGCTACCTTTCATTAAGTTTTTATTGTGAAAATTTGCACAACACGGAAGTTATCACTGTAGCCATTTTTAACTGTACAGGTCAGTGGCATCAAACACATTTACACTGTTTGCAACCATCACCACCCTTCATCTCAGAACTCTTTCATCTTCCCAGATTGAAACTCTGTATACTTTCAACCCTAACTGCCCGTTCTGACCTCCCCCAGACCCTGCAGGCAGGGGTTAGATGAGGCGAACATGGGCAGAAAGACTCCTTTGCGTCTCTGAATTTGCCTGTTCTAGGTCGCTCGTCTAAGTGGGATCATACAATATTTGTCCTTTTGTGTCTGACCTGTTTCACTCAGCATGTCTTCGAGGTTCATTTTTGTGTGGCGTGTGTCGGAACTTCAACCCTCTCTGGAGATGGAATAGCATTTGTATGTCTATGCCGTAATTCACAAGTCCGTTCATCTGTAGCTGGACACTTGGGTTGTTCCACCTTCTGGCTGCTGTGAATGAGGCTGCTATGGACAGGGGTGTAAGGATCTCTCTGAGACCCTGCTGTCAATAATTTTGCATATGTGCCCAGAAGTGGGATTGCTGGACCACAGGGTAATTCTATGTTTGATTTTTTTTTTTTTTTTTTGAGATGGAGTTTCGCTCTTGGTGCCCAGGCTGGAGTGCGATGGCACAATCTCGGCTCACCGCAACCTTCACCTCCCGAATTCAAGCAGTTCTCCTGCCTCAGCCTCCCGTATAGCTGGGACTACAGGTATGCACCACCATGCCCAGCTAATTTTGTAGCTTTAGTACAGACGGGGTTTCTTCATGTTGGTCAAGCTGGTCTCAGACGACGCCCGACCTCAGGTGATCCGCACACCTCGGCCTCCTAAAGTGCTGGGATCACAGGCGTGAGCCACTGTGCCCAGGCTGTTTGATTTTTTTTTTTAAGGAACCACCATATCATTTGGGGGTGGTCTTTGAAAGAGCACCACAAGCTACACCCAGAGAAGCTACCGCAGATGCTCGGAAGGTGGCGAGGAGGAGCTCTGGCTTGGGGGCAGGAGGCCTGGGCTTCAGTCAGCCTGGCCACTGCTGGGCTGCCTGACTCTGTGTAAGTGGCGTCGCTGCTCCGGGCCTCAGCTTCCCTCATGTTCATTTATGGAAAGCATTTTTATTGAACACCTAGAATGCTCCAGACACTCTCCTAAGCACAGGGATGTACTGATGATAAAGCAGATGTGAGCCACGTTCTCATTCAGCTTTGCATGGAAGGTGGTAACGGATGGAAAGGGCAAGCTCAGCCCTGACCCATCATCAGACCTTCAAGAACTCGGAAGCTGGGAGGGCGTGTTGGTTGATCAAAGATGCTGTATGTTCTCATATGAACAACCTCCTGTCGTGGTTTTCATATCAATAACTCCCTTCTAATTCCCAGTTTTAAAACTCAGAGAGGGCCACTGTGAAAAAACACAAACAAATCTATGGGGTGCTTGGTATGGAGCGAGGAGTCGTCTGTGTGAAGGCGCTGGGTGAAGACCACAGCACCTCAGGCACAGCCTGCCGATGCTGGCCGCCTCCGTCCACACGGGTGCGAGTGGCGGGAGGTGGCAAGGTGGGGGCCGGCTGGCCCGGGCTTGTTTGGTCACTAGAGTCCCTGACAGTGCAGTGACTGATGCAAACCTGGGACAAACACACACCAGCAAACCTCAAAGGGCATCTCAACAAAAGCTAGGGAGGGACACAGAACGTAAATCATGGGGCTTGGGTCAGGAAACTGCCACCAACCCAGCCCAGCTGCAGACAGCTGCGATTTTTGTGTCCTGGAGACCCAGGAGAAATTCCTTCCAATCTTGAGACCCGTCCTGATCAGCACCCGAATAAGGAGAACTCTGGGCTACAGGCCCCCACAATTTCCACCCTGCGGTTTCCTGATCCCAGTCGCTACAAGTGGAGGAAGAGAAGAAAACATTTTTGTGGTGAGATCTTTTTGCGCATAGGAAAAAATAGAAGAGAAAGAAAACAAGGGCAGCTCTGGGCAAGGGCCTGACAGATTTGGGGTTGGAGATGCATCCCTCGGAGCCCAAATGGCAATTAGCGGGCAAGGGTGGGTGCAGGTGAGGCAGGCACGGGCGAGGTCATGCAGGTGAGGCAGGTGCAGGTGAGGCGGGTGCGGGTGACGGGGGTGTGGGTGACGGGGGCCAGGGTGCCGAGGGAGGGCAGGCGGAGCATTTCTTTCCTTGCTGCCACCTCAGGAAGGGGCGTATTCTGCCAGGGTCAAATGCAAGTACGAGCAGCCACTCCAGCCTGTGTGAGCTGTCTCGAGTCTCTTGCTATTAAGGAAGAGGAATTAAGAGGAACTCAGGAAGAGGTAGTTCACTGAATAGAAGCCTGTTTTGCAGATGGTGATATCCAGTCAGGAGTATTTTTAATCACTGTCTACAGAGACACCTACATACACACACGGGTGGGGAATGAACCCAAAGTTTTTAGGTGAAGTCTCTCAGGGCCCACCCCGTGCCACAGACCTTCCTCGGTTGCAGAGATTCTGGGCAAAGCATCCGTGCTCTCATGAGATTATCCTGGGGAGATTTAGAAGAATTTTGTGGCCAGTCCCAAGCTGTGCTGATAATTTTTAACACCTAATGCTACTACCAATACTTTTGTTAATACAGGAAAGACTGGCTGGGCGCGGTGGCTCATCCCTATCTCTACTAAAAAAAAAAAAAAAATACAAAAAATTAGCCAGGCGTGGTGGTGCATGGCTGTAATCTCAGCTACTTGGGAGGCTGAGGCAGGAGAATTGCTTGAACCTGGGAGGCAGAGGTTGCGGTGAGCTGAGATGGCACCATTGCACTTCAGCCTGGGCACCAAGAGCGAAACTCTGTCTCAAAAAATAAAAATAAAAAAAAAGTAAAAAATAAAATAAAACAGGAAAGACCAGTGGGTCTCCTGAAGCCATTTGGCCACTGAAGTCTAGGTGGCCAGAGAAAGACCAGCACAGAGCTGCACCCACCACCAAGGCGCCCTCCCTCCTTCCTTCATCTTCACTGCCTCCCTCAGGCCGAGGAAATCAGAGACGCCAGCTCCACGGAGGGACAGCTTTGTCACATGTAGGATGGGGTGGCCCCTGTCCCGGGTGCCACGAGGTCCTGTCCTTGGCAAGCTTATGTCGGATCGTGGGGATGAGATGCAAGTTCAGTGACGCAGAATCGCAAAAGCCCCTCGTGGTGCGGAAACGTCATCAATTCCAAGCCTTCTGGAGATGAACCGCCGAGGGGGTGACGCTGAGTGGGCGTGGGGGCAGGTGCCTGAGGTGGCAGGGCACTTGCGGGGAGTCGTGGAGCCCAGTCGGGGTGTAGGTGGAGCGGGCTGTTTGCAGTGTGAAAGCTTCTCTGGCTGGTCTGCCACGCTGGGTCCTGTCCTGAGCCCCGTGCTCACTGTGGAGTCGTGTCTTCATTCTGATTCCTGCCCTGGGTGTGGCGCCCTCACAAGCAGGGCTTTCCCGTGTGTGTCTTGTGGGAGGCTGACATGGTCCCTGCCCCTGCTGGAGCAGCATCTTGTGTTTGGAGGAGGAAGGGTGCCTCTGGGTGGGGGGTAAGGAACGGGTGTCCTTCGTCGGGGGTACCCACTGGGACTTCGCTCTCTTGCTAGTCTAGCAAGTGGGCAATTCTGGCCAGTTCTCAGTCTTGCAGGGGTCGGCCCTCCTCCCCCTGCCTTGCTCTGGGCCCTTTAGGCGTGAAGGAGGCTCCATTTGCTAAGGAAACAGTGTGAGGAGAGCAGAAGCAGGAACAGCTTAGAGGTCTTGCCAGCTCCTGCGCCACCCTGCTCTGGCCACGGGGTGGGTGGCTGTGTCGGGGCTGTGCCTCCCTCTGCCTCTCCTGGCTGGACGCGTGGGCTCACCCCCACCCTGCTGTCTTCCTCCACTCGATTCCTTCTGGATTAGCTCCGTGTAGCATTACCCCAAAGACTCTGTCCAAGTTGGCAAGAATCGCACATTGGGCTGTTTGGCTTTTAATAAAGTTTATGATTTAAATCTTGTGCTCTTAACACCTTCTTTGCAAGCCTCAGAGGGAAACAACAATGTTGAAGTTGTTTACTCATTTCCTTCGTCACGTGGAGACCCTCACACTTGGCCAGGGCCCGTGTGTGTGAACAAAGAGTCAGGTTGTGTGGCTGTACACACACACACACACACACACACGTGCACTCAGAGGAGCGGAGGAATCTTTGGGAAGACTGGCTGTATTTCAGTACCTGGCAAATTTCCAGAACATCAAATGAGCCCTTAAGCAGGAAGACTCCTCTGCAGAACTAACACCTGCAGTAGATTCTGAGCGTTTGCCTCCTCACCAGACTCAGTACTGTTTCCCTGGAAGTAAAGAAGGAGACTTATCAGGCCTCTTGTGTGCCCCTGGGAGGAAATACAAGTTCGAAGCGCACCAGAGGACCTGTGTGGAGATTTCAGCATAGGGGAGCGAGGAGAGGAGAGGAGGCCGTGGTCGGATCCTCACACAGCTGCTTCCCTCCCTCCTGGCTGCTTGCACTGGAGATGCAGTCAGGCCCGGCACCAAGGCAGCTAAGGCTGCGGCAGACCCTGCTGTCCTGGACCCTGGCCTGGAAACAAGGAATTCCGCAGAGGCAGCAAGTGGGATTCCCCTTGACATCAGGTAGCCACCGCGCAGGCTTGCTCTGACCTGTCCCGCCCACAGGGAAAGCTGGGGTCGTAACGGATGTCCAGGCTAATATTTTCAGGCCCGACACATCTCCAATGACGTGGGCTAGAACTGTGCCAGCTGCAGAAAAGAAGGTCCTGGAAGACGAAGCCCTGGGAAGCCTGCAAGTCATCAGATCAGCGCTGATCACTTGGCAAGGTCAGTGTGTGCACAGGCATGCTTGACTGGGTCTGCAGGGGACCCAAAAGCAGGAACAGACACATGCCCTGCCCTCAAGGGGCTTGCAGTCAGTGAGGGGACAGGAGAAGGAAAGCAGGCTCCTGTTTTGGGTGGGAGGCAATGGAGATCTAAGTGCTCTCTCACCGCGGAGGTTGCCTGGGGACTCTTCAAGGGGCTTTTGTGACATTTAGTCCATGTAGGAGAGTTCAGAGATACCGGAGCCAGGGATGGCTTGCATGCTGCGGCTTGAACCCCATGACGTGACATCCTGGCAAAGGATCCAATGTTGGGCTCCAGTCTGCCTGGGTCCCCTTTGTCACAGTGACTGACAGGCAGGGCAGACAAAGCTCTCATTCAAGAGAACATCCCAGCCAGGTGCTGTTGCTCACGCCTGTAATCCCAGCACTTTGGGAGGCCGAAGTGGATGGATCACCTGAAGTCAGGAGCTCGACATCAGCCTGACCAACATGGTGAAACCCCGTCTCTACTAAAAATACAAAAAATTAGCTGGGCGTGGCCGCAGGCACCTGTAATCCCAGCTACTCGGGAGGCTGGAGCAGGAGAATAGCTTGAACCCGGAAGGCGGAGGTTGCAGTGAGCTGAGGTTGTGCCACTGCACTCCAGCCTGGGTGACAGAACGAGACTCCATCTCAAAAAAAAAAAAGATTAAAAATAAATAAAAAATAAAAAAGAAAATAAAAAGAGACCATCCCTGCAGGAGGATGACGCGGCCCCAGATGATGAGGCTGGTGGATTGGCATCTGGGCTTTTTTTCCCTCCTCAAGCAGAAACAATCTGATTGTTGGTATCTGACCTCTTGGGGATGGGGTGGGCACCACAGCCCTGCCCGGAGTGGTCTCTCAGGAGGGCAGGCCCAGAGGCCTCTGTGAGGGCTGGAGGTGGTCTTGGAGCAGGGGTAGCGTGAAGAGGCCGGCAACGCCCTCACGTCTCCAGGAGAGCTCCCATTGCAGGCCTCAGTGCTCCCATCTCTAGCTGGTTTCTACACCCACGGAGGATTTTAGACGCAGGAAATGGCCTTGGAATAGGGTCTGGTCAGAGGGGGATGACCTCTATAAGGGTGATGGTCCTGTTTCCAAGATCCTAGGCTTTAGGACAAACGATATGAGGGTTTCCTCACAGCCCCTGGGAATAATGCCACCGACTTACCGCAGACACCACCCAGCAAGTTTCCAAGCAGGAGCCAGCCGGCCAAGGCCGACCGAACGCAACCATGGGTGCCGGGCCCTGCCGTGTGCACGTCGGGCCTCACGCGGTCCCCTAGTCCCTCGCCCACCTGCCTTCATGTTCAAGGCCCACAATCCAGGCCCCACTTTGCCCTGAAATGGAGAGCTGATTCCTTGCCATTCCGCAGGACAAGCGTCCTGTCTCCTACTGCCCCGTAGGCCCCACAAAGGCTGTGCTCGGGGAGGAGCGGTGAAGCCGGAGGCAGCCTCCCCTGAGAAGGTCAGTCCCCCTGCAGCCAGCCCCATGGGAGTGCCCAGGCGGGACAGTGGGAGGAGGAAGGCCAACTGGCTTCCTGCCTAAAGGGCCAGATGGCTCGTCAAAGCTGCCGAGTCATCCTGACATCAGTACTTAGGATAAAAACCAAGAAGAACTTCGGGATGGAGAAACGTGGCACGCCTCCCGTCACCTGGACCTGCCCTGCTCGTCTAGGGTCACTGCCTGTGTCCTGGGGTTTACTGCTGACCTCAAGGCCCGGGCCTGGCTGCTGCGGGAGGCGTGGTGGTGGCCGGGGCACCGTCGCACGGAAGTCCTTGTTCCTGGGTTGTGTTCCCGGCACGGGAGCACTGCACAAATGCAGAGGGAGGAGTCCAGGCACATCAGCCCATTACATCCTGCACACGGGCCAGGTCCAAGTCAAGATGCAGATTCCCACAACCCTGAAGAATAAAATCATAGTAATAAAAAAGTGTAAGCCCAAGACAAACCAAGCAGGAACCATCTTTCGAGCGTGAATTCTTTCAGATGCCAGAGATGGCTTTTTGTTATGGAAGTTTCTCAGACATTCGATGCACTTTTTTTGCCCACATCTGACTCTCCCTCTTCAGAGCAGCGCGGCTCAAGTTCTTGACTCGCACGAACAAGGCTGAGCCGACCAAGTGCTGTGGAGACCGAGACTGAGGGGCCGGGAAGGTGCCAAGGCGGCCAAGACAGAACTGAGCGTTAACTTGGGAAGGGAAAGATGAATGTCGCACGCTGGGAGCAGCAGGAGGAGTTGGGAAGAAGAGTGCTTCACGGCTGAACCCAGCCGAAGGCACGGATGTCCCAGGTCACCCTGTAAGCCATTGCCTATGGCAGGGGATGGCTTCTTCCCCAGACGACACGGCAAAGGAATGGTCCCTGTGGACAGGGAGGGCTGGAGTGGCACTACCAAGCTGCAAACCTCATTCCTGTCCCATTGAGGGCCTGGAGGAGAGAACATTCATAGGGCTTCATCGCCTCATTCCCAGGAAATCAACTGCCCAGAGCCAAACGGAGCCTGAAATCCTGACGTGACTCACATCCACCGTAATGGTGACCAAGCCACGCATGTTATTTTCTCTTTCCTCTGAAACCCCCAGCCACAGTGTGGCCCTGATGCCTCAACCCCTCTGAGGCTGTCAGGGAGTCTGGGGCCAGAGAAAGGTTTGGCAGCGATGGACCCATTCTGAACCCAGGTCCAGTTAAGTTGCTGTATAACTCAGGGCAACTTAATCTTTCATTTCTAGTTTCTCTGCCAGAAAAGCAGGTGAAGGGAGGCAAAATACAGACCTCATGTTGAGTAACTGAAGATTGAGTGATGCCCTTTCTAAAGGGCCCACCTGCCTGGATGCGGTAAAAACAATGTCCCATGTCAGCTGGTGCTTTGGCTAACACCTATATCCCAGCACTTAGGGAGGCTGAGGAGGGAAGATTGCCTGAGCTCAGGATTCAAGACCAGTCTGGGCAACATAGTGAGACCTCATCTCTACAAGAGTTTAAAAAATTAGTTGGGCATGGTGGCACACACCTGTTATCCCAGCTCCTCAGGAGGCTGAGGCAGGAGGATCACTTGAGCCCAGGAGGTCGAGGCTGCAGTGAGCTATGATTGCAGTGCTACACTCCAGCCTGGGTGACAGAGCCAGATGTGTCTCTCAATGTATCAATAAGAACATCCTCCTTCCCTTAGGAAAGCAGAGTCCCCTCATGTAGCTTCTCTGCACGTGGCCTGGGGAGCCTCCCTCAGGTCACACGCTGGCAGCTCCAGAATGCATGTGCCCAGGGGTGTTTCCTTTGCTTTTTTATATCAGCCCCTGGGGAGGCTTTTCTTCGTCGGTAGCTGGGGAGGGGTCGGGACCACTGGGGCTGTGAGATCGTGTCTCCCAAGCTGGCCTCCTTCCTAGGGCACTGGGGATCCCCTTTCATGCTGCACCTGCGGCCACGGCCGCGCCTCGTCGCTCTGAAGCCAGGCAGTACGCATGTCCTCTGTCCACACTGGCCACTTGCTGTCCCAAGTGCCCTCCTCGTACTTTCCTACCTCCCTGGTCTTGCTCATCTGTCTTTTTGGCTTCCCTTCACCCCCTTTTCCGGCAAAATCCACCTGTTGAAGTTGTGTGACGAGCACTGCCTGCTCTCGTGCCCCACTGCACTTCACTGGGCTTAGCTGTCCCCAGCAGACTGTCCTCCCCGGGAGGTGGCCACAGCAGTGGGCTGAAGAACACACACTCTGGAGACAGAGTCGGGTGTGAATTCCAGTCTCACCACTAACATGCTGTGTGGCGCTGGGAAGGTCGTGCGTCCACTTTGTGCCTCTCCTGTAAAGTGGGATAACAGTACCCACCTTGTAGGACTGCTGTGAAGGTGAACCGACACCAAACCTGTGCAGTGCTCAGAACTGAAGCTGGCAGGTGGTCCACATGTCACTAGCTTTTATTATTTGTAGCCTGGAGTCTAGAACACAGGGAAGTACAAATTCTGAACGGAGCGCTACGGTGGCCCTTTGTGAATGCAGAGTGCTTGGATCTTCGGAGGAAGAGGCCTGTATGGGCAAGTACAGTTGAAGGATGTGAATATTTAACTGATTCAGGAAACATTCAAACACAAGAATAAGGAGAATGGACTTACAAACCCCATGCACGCAGTTCCCCAGCTTCATAATTACCGACCTCTGGCCCATCTTTTGTCTCCACGCCCTTGCTCCTCCCCGACAGACATGCTTGATTATTTTTAAGTGAATCGCAGATGTTAAGAAAGCAATTTATGCTCTGTAAAGAAAATTTCAAAAAGGAAAAAGATTATCCTACGGCACCTTCATTATGACCTAGGCTGGGGACAGGGATGAAGGAGGCATTCTTTCAGAGGTGAAGAAGAGGCTGGGAGGTCAAGCGGCAGCCCAGGGCTGCAGTCTGCGAGTCTGGGCCCTTTCCAGGACACCTGGGAAGGCTCACAAACCTCACACCAGCTTCCCCCCAGCCCCAGAGCCTATTTATTTTTTTTGAGACAGGGTTTCTCTCTGCACCTCTAGGCTGGAGTGCAGTGGTGTGATCACTGCAGCTCACTGCAGCCTCCATCTCCTGGGCTCAAGTCATCCTCTTGCCTCAGCCTCCAAAGCAGCTGGGACTATAGGCACATGCCACCATGCCCTGCTAAATTTTTAATTTATTGTAACGAGAGAGGTCTCACTATGTTGTCCAGGCTGGTCTCGAACTCCTCGCCTCAAGTGATCTTCCCACCTTGGCCTCCCAAAGTGTTGGGATTAAAGGTTTCAGCTACAGCACCCAGTCCCTAAGTAGCTCCTAATCATTTTTGAGCCAGCCTGAGATATTCCACCTCAAAAATAAAGTACTAGTTATCTTCTCTCAGTTCCGAAAAAAAATTAATGGATGGAATTCTTAAAAGTTTTCACATATTTTCTTTAAATCTATTGTCGGTGTCCACTTGCCTGCAACTGGGCACTGGTAGAATGCAGGGTGAATAAATAGTAAAAAAGATGAATGGGAAACCTTGGAAACAGCTGACCAGTGTAATCTGACAGCTTTCTGTGGACACATTTGCTTGTGGTTGTGATTTTATATTGTGCAGAATAATACATGCTCGGCTAGTAAAATTGTTCCTGCTTCATATGATGAAAGTACAAGCAACCTCAGCCCTGCAGCCGTGTCCACAGCGCCCTGTCTCCCGGGCACGTCTCCCCTGGCAGAGCTTCCCAACAGCTGCTGTGGCTGCAGAGAGCGAGGCCAGGGTGGGACCTGGGCACTGGGAGGGCCGACCGGGAAGAACGAGTTTGGACTCTCTTGCTACAATTCCCAAGAGCCAACACCCAGCGTGTGGCAGAATTTACACGGGAGAGGGAAGGAATGCAGCAAGCTGGCTTGATTCCTCTCTCGGGCAGACACAGAAGTGTGGCTAAGCAGAAAAGTAATTCTCATAAAAGAAATCCTCCAGAATAATTTCTTATTGAGCATAAAGCCCAAGACAAATCCCAAAGCTGGAAATGACAGCCGCGTCCAAGCACAGGGTTTCTCGGCTCCTTTTACTCTTGGCACACACACTTTCTGTTGACCCAGCCTGCACGCCCCAGAGTCAGTGCATCAGAACGCGCCCTGCTGAAGCTTGAGTCCCAGTCCTGGGCAAAGCCCTCCCTTGGTGGCCGCCCTTCTGGCTCTTCTACCTTGGTACAACAGCAGCACCATCCCTCAGCGCTGGGCACCTACTCTAAGCTCTGGAACAGTGAGACCTGATACGGATAACCTGGCCCGGGGCTGAGGGTAGAAAGAAGGAAAAAGGGAACCGGGAATTGACTTTAAAAGCTGCAAACCCGGAGATCAGGCGGGAAGGGAAAGGAGGCTCATGCCCGTCAGGGCTGTGATGACTCCCACACCCACCGTAAATCCTGGGACCCCTGGCCCTCGGGCTGCCTGCCATTGGAGTTGGCCTCTTGGGCACTGCAGACCTTGTCCATCTTTTCTAGCATTTGGGGACACACCTTGCCTGGATGATCAGCTGGGTGACACTCAAAGAAGGACACAGCACGGTTTTTAAATAACTTTATAATTTCCTGGTGGATTTAGTTTGTGAATAAAAAAGAAAAAATGAACAAAGTGTTTACAATAATTATCAAGGCAAAGTTGAATATAACACAATTTCTTTGTAATGTCATTATCCTGTCAGTAACACAACTCCAGCAGGAACACACACATACAGCTGAAGGCAGCGGGTGCACGTGCATCCCAGACACCACCATGGAGGCTGCTACTGTTACCAAAAGGAACTCAAGCTACAAGGGGGCAGGTGCTCCTCAGCTCCTCCACTAAAGTGCAACACTTCTCTTCTGACGCATCAGGGAGCAGTCACAGGCCCCACTGGATATCCTGCAATGCCCGGCAGGTGCCTGGGCTAGTCCTGCGATGGGCCAGCAGGCCAGAGTGGGTGGTGCTGCCCTCAGGATGTGTAGCTGCAGTAGATGGATGCAATACTGGCGTGGTGTGGAATGAGGGGCTGGACCCAGAGGGCCTGCTTTGGCCGGGGTGAATTCTCTGGCTTCAGTAGGGTTCACTTCCTTTCCTGACAGTGGCTTCTCTGGGGTCAAGAGAGAGCCTGGGCCTAGGAGATCTAGGGTCTAAAAAAGCTCAAAGGGAAATAATTGAGGGCCTGAAGCCAGAAGGAACTGACATGGAGGACAGTCTGTTCCACCTGGATTGCAGGCTCCAGGCTGGCCAGTGCTCACCCGTGCTGGGTGGTCACTGGAAGAGATAGCACCAAGTGGGCAGGAGAGGTCCTGTGGCCTGCCAGGCAGGGGCTTCAGGGTCAAGCCCAGGTTACCATGCAGTATTAGGCACACTGAGCTAGAACCCACGTCGGGTGAGGGTGGTTATGGGGTCACAAACTGTGAAACCTCTACCCAGAGGTCCTGAACATGTATAGGAAAATCCTGGCACAACTGCGAGGCTCTGAGCCCCAGATTCTCGTTCCTTTTGCTCGGCAGGTGTCTCTTGCCCAGGCAGGCACTACCCTAAGTGTGCTCCATGCTTCCTAAGCCGCCAGCCCAGGGCCACCTATGCCAGCCTGGGAGGAGGGGAGTGTGGCTGCCCCATAGCTTGAATTCCTTTATTAACAAGATATTGGTTTGCATTTTTAAAACACAGCTGTTTAATTTTTCATTTCTACAACTACGTTTTAATCTTTTAATAATCTCAACAACAGACACAATGTAACTGCCCCAATTCTCTGAATCACACAGACAATATCGACAAGCAGAGAAAGAAGAGAGGAGGTGGGATGGGACAAAAACCCGCTCCCCCAAATCAATCCCTAAAACCACTTCTCCCCCAAGAGTCAGGAGAAGTACCTACAACAGGGCCACAGCACTTGCCAAACACATTGGAAAAAATCAGGAGACAGTTGGTTACATTTTTGACACTAAAAAGTCTGGAGACGGTTTTTGCTGAAGAGTAGGTGAAGATAGCCATTTTGTTCAGAAGGATTTCCCTGTAATGTATGTCTTTTCTTGCAAGAAGAGTAGGTGAAGACAGCCATTTTGTTCAGAAGGATTTCCCTGTAATGTATGTCTTTTCTTGCCTAATTCTTCCCTAATTTGCATGGGGGAAACTCCAGATCCTCTTTAAGACATTCCTTTGAGTGGTTCACGTCCCCTCCTGAGCAGCCCAGGGCTGGCAGTGATGGACGGGCGGCCTCACTCTGCAGAGGGTGCCTGCTGCATTGCAGTCTCTTCTCATCCTTCCTCCTCAGTTCCGAACCCAGGCAGGTGAAGAGGAGGCCAGGAGCAGATGTTAAATTACTGGTATTTGCTGACACAGGGTCCGCTGGGCTTGAGAAATGCCATGTGGTGTCACACTCCACGCAGCGGTCTTCTCTGCTTGGCTCTTTCCTCAAAGACTCTGAGGGTCTTGACACCGGGCCTACACTCAAGTAACATGGTCAACAGGAGGGCGGGATGGTTCTGGGAGGAACAGGACTCTGGCAGCAAATCCAAATGCCAGTGGATGGGCGGCTCAGAAACATTTATATTTTGGGGTGACACATGATGGTTGCCTCACAACCCTGACCCTCAATAGCGGAGGGATTAGTTCAGCAGGTGGCTAAGACCGTGTCTGTGATGACTTCGCCTTCCTCTTCTCTCACTCTGGGGGTGGGTGAGCCCGCAAGTTCCTCATGGAAAACCAGACTTCAATGGACAGAAATTGAGGGGCAAGTCACAATGCCCTTCTTGACACTGAAGGCGGCCTTGGGTCCAGTCTGCTTTACAAGTTATTTCTAAAACCCAAGTGTGAGGAAGTCTGAGAGCCACAGGTAGATCTTTAGATTGTAAAGTGCAAGGACAAAGGTTAAAAGGTTAGAGCTGAGATGAATTTGGTGATTCCCATCCATATATATATATATATATATATATATATATTTTTTTTTTTTTTTTTTAAATGGAGTCTCTGTCACCCAGGCTGGAGTGCAGTGACACGATCTCGGCTCACCGCAGCCTCTGCCTCCCAGGCTCAAGCGATTCTCCTGCCTCCTGAGTAGCTGGGATTACAGGCGTACGCCACCACGCCTGGCTAATTTTGTATTTTTAGTAGAGTCGGGGTTTTTGCCATCTTGGCCAGGCTGGCCTCGAACTCCTGATCTCAGGTGATCCGCCTGCCTCAGCCTTCCAGAGTTCTGGGATTACAGGCGTGAGCCACTGTGGCCGGCCCCATCCATATTTCTTAAACATGTTAAAGCCCGTTCAAAATTTTTCCATTTCAAATGGTATCAAAGTCCTTGCAAATCTCAATTGAGATACCTCATCAATGATTCAATGAGTACCGGGGGTTAGAGGTATATGAAAAGATGAGAAGCTCACACTGGGCTTCTTCAGTTACAAAACCCCGTTGGGATCACACCCACTCTTCTTCGTGCCCTCTTTATGGTGACATTGGTTTGGGGTGCAGATCTTTAGGTGCTAAAGGGCAACTAGACTTGCCGATGGAGGGGTTTGGGGAAAATTAAGGGCAACCTGCACTGAGTTTTCAAGGCTATATAACTTCAGTAGCAGTTGTATGCCCATATGAAACCATGACCACTAGGAGAGGGGCATGGAATGACAAGTCCTAGTGTGATGGGAGTGGGACATTTGGTTAAGTGTTGGTTCAATGATCTAGACTCAATGAGACACTCTGAAAGCTACAAACTGCATCCACTCTGCCCTACAGCACGAAGGCCACGTTTATTACTGAACTCCTAGCCAGCCTCCAGTGCCCAAGAACGGTCAAGAAGATTCCTTGCTGTTCACAGAGACCAGACAGATGATATCGGTCCCGGAAATGCTTCTTCTCAGAAGCAGTGTCACAGAGGGCTTCCTTCCATCCGTTTTTCTGGAGGGGAAGTGATGGAGAATGCTGAGATGAAGAGGAGAGTGACACACCCAGTGGCTGAGAGTGGCAGGCGCTGCACCTGATGAGAAAGTCCACGTGGGTGGGATCTGGGCCACCTGCTTGGAGAGAGCAGCTGGCCAGTGCCCGTGCCAGACCACTTGTTTAGGCATGGCCTCGCCTGCTGTCTTGGTTCCACCGTGGCCCCGTGAAGGCTGTTATCACACCGCAGTTCTTTACGTTATGGTGGATAAAGCGAGATGCTAACACTCCTGCCTTTCAGTGCTGGGAGCTTTCTACATGGTTTACGGGCACTGCAATGAACAGAATTGAGGTAACTGACCACAAACGACCACCACTTACTATCTAACCCCTGCACCCCTCTCTGGCCAGCCTGGCTATCAGGAAGCATCTCAGTAAGAGGTTTATGAGCAGAGTCCATTTAACCTTCGATAAGAAACGCTCCACAGTTTCCTCTCACAGGGAGAGGGATTGTTTCACAGCAGGGAGTAGGGGGAGCTGGAAATCTGACCATGTCAGTTAATGGGACAGTCAAGGGCTGGTGGTGGGAAGTTCCTGGACTGATGGGGCTGTGCTGACTCTACAGACTTTAAATTCTCTGAGTAAGTGGGGAAGGAGAGGAGAAAATGCAAAACAAAAACATCGAGTCCAGCAACTCTTATCAGGAGATGTGAGTGTCTGCTGGGTTCTGGTGGTAGAGGTGGTCAAAGAACTAGATTTGGGTTAAGTTCCTGCCTAATTATTTATGACTGCTGTTGTCTACGCTACGTCCTTAACAATGCCAATACCTTCATTGATTTGCAGTCTTGGGGTCAGCTTTCTGATTTGCAACATGAAGCTGGCTGAATTCCACGAGGTACATGCAGATGTCAGGAAATGGCCACCCACAAGTAGATACTCAGAGCCCCTCTAAGGGCAATAACAAACAGCAAAAATCCAGAATCATCAAATGGAATCCTACAGGCAAGCGGGTGACTGAGACCCCCAAACTCATGAATTCCATTAGGGAACTTTTCTAGAAAACACACCTTAAGATCGGGGAGGGGAAGGACATGCTATTTACTGCTTCAACTCCAGCAGGTATGTCTCACAGAATCCACTACATCTCTCCCTCACTGAGAAGTGGCCTTTTCAAGGATGGATGACTTGCACACAGTAGGCATTTCATAAATATTCTCTGAATGAAATAACCGAGGAAGGAATGTGTGTAGGAGGAAAAACCTTCATTTATGCTAGAAGAAGGTTCCAGGCAATGCACGAGGCTGAGGTTCAGAGAAGACGAGTCAAGGGCAAAGCTAGCAGGGTGAGTGAGGGATCACAACTTCAGCAGCCACTGGGCTGCAGGAGCTCAGGACACGGGTGCTGGCAAGGCAGGCAGCCTCTTGGAGGTGTTCAGGGGAAACCAGCCCAAGAGCAACGGGCATCTGTTACTGGGGCAAAGCTGCAGGCGGGGACAACAGGGTCTCATATGTCAACTTTGTATGTTCTCTTTTTAATTTTTTGTAGAGACAGGGTCACGCTATGTTGCCCTGGCTGGTGCTCTTTCAACCTCACATGTTCTTCAATTAGAGATATTTGATCTAACACCTCAGTATGATAACGTCAACAGTCTCAAACAGGAGAGACTGGTGGAGAACACCTCACACCATCTTCTTGTTAACTGGCCGAGGAACAGAGTGAGGAAGGCTGCGACAGACAGGCAGGGCTGGATGAAGACTCAGACCTTGGGAGAACGAGTGCTCCCAAGCCATCGTGAGGCCTGCTCACAGCTCCCCGGTACAAAGCATCTCATGTGGAAAGTAAGCAGAAGAGACAGTAAAAAGAAGAGTCGATTTTCTCTTCCCTTCCCCCCTTCTCTTTTTCTAATCTTTTTGAGATTGTTTTTTGCCCTTTTAGGAGAAAGCACCTATTGTGATATTAGAACACTCAGCTCTCTGGTCCATTGGAGGCATCCTCTCAGCCTGTTGAACTCCAAGTCCATTCCTGGTTTCATTCTCATGTCAGAGGACAGGAGGTGAGAGGCTCCTCTGCTCCATGGCTCTCTGTCAGGGCAGAGCCACCAGCTCCCACAGTTCTCCACTGCTGATGACCAGGTGGCAGTTCTTCAGAGAGATTCGACCCTTTATCTACCCTGGACATCAAGAAGGTTAGTGTAGAGACCACATCCAAAGCAGAAAGGCAGAGTAAGATGGCAGATGTAGAAACGGTGCTGGAATCACACTTCTTCAAGTGAGCAAGTTGGGATGAAGTTTGTAGTGTTTGGTGCCAAGAAGGTTCCGGGCACCTGTTCCTCGTAGTTCTCTTTTCTTGGCTCCTGGGTTGACTACCTCAGGCTTCCCCATAAAGCAGGGTCAAGAGGACTCTTCCAGGGCGTTGACCACTTGCTCTAGGATGTCGGGACAATGGTCTGCTATCTGCTGAAGAATGGCGTTGGCAAACTCCTGCAGTTCTGCATTGTCCCGTTCACCTTTCTCTAACTCATCCTGAAGCTGAAAGGGAAAGGAGAGATGGATTTCAGATACAACAATCCCATTTGCACTGAGCTAAGAATTATTTTTCATCAATAAATGACAAAGGCACTCTGTATGTGAAGTCTCTCTGCATCAAAATTAACCATAAGAAAAGTGTAAAAGCAAATATCAAATGCGTCTTCATGAAAGTGAGGCCCAAAAAGTTAGTCACTGGTTCTAGGCCGAAAGCTGATCATTTTTGCAGAGCTGTGACTTCAGTCCTGGCCTCTCACTGTAAACAGAATGTTCTCTCCACCAAGTCACAGGCTCATGAACGTGCATGAGAGCAGGAGAGAGGGGCATGGTGATCTCAGAGAGGATCCTAACCTTGTGGAGCGACCCTCGCCCTAAGGGAACTTAGAATTTAAAGGACTTCTCCATTTGCCGTGTATCGCTTTCATCCGGTACATTAGCCTACCCACCTGAGGCCTGCTAATTTAGCTGAAGAGATTACTTTGAGAAACACAAGATAATCCCTTTGCTTAGAAGTAAGTATATTTCTAACTTCCTGTTGTTTTTAACAGCCTCTTTCACATTCCTTCAAGCATTTTAACCAACCTTTATTGAGCGCTACTCTGTGCTGGGTGGTGAAAGCTGATGGGATTTGGTCCTTGTCCTGAAGACACATTTAGGTTAATGGAGACAAGCATGTAAACAGATAAACGACCACCCAGCAGAGTGAGGCCGCAGCTGAGGCTTGAGCATGTGCTGTGGCAGCCCTAAGAGTGTCTGCTCACCCTGAGGAGTCTGAGGAAATGCTACTAAAGAGGCGTGGGGTCTGGATCTTCAGAGCTGACTAGAGTCCGTCTGGGAGACCAAAGACAAAGGAGGCTTAGCGCAGAAGAACAAAGGCTGATGCGTGGGGCTGGGACAGGCCTGGCCCAGATCTTGCGAAAAGGGAAGCCTCAGGATGGCAGGAATGTAAGGCACAGGGAGTGGGTGGAGAATGACAGGAAATGGAGCTGAAAACACACGCGAGGGCCAGACTGAGCACGTGAAGTGAGGACGTTCCAGCGTGATCTGCCTAGAAACCAAACCACAACCACAAAAAAGGAGTCCACGCAGTTTTAAATGGTACAGTGACATGAGCATCGCCACTTTCTCAGACTGAGCAGAAGGAAGAGTCCACCAAGGGCAGCTCCTGCTCGCAGCCCAGGTGGGGGTTAGGCAAGGCTGATGCAAGGGAGGGCCAGGGACGTGGAAAGGAACACACAGGTCTGAGCCTCTTCAAAAGGCAGGACTAAAAGGAGGAGGTGTCAAGTGAGGGAGAACTGGAGAATCATTTCTGACAATTCTAGCTGGGGATATTGGACAAATAAGACCAAGAACGAAGGAGACAGCAGGTTTTAGGAAAGAAAGGAGGAAAATTAAAAATGGAATATAAAGTCTAGTTAAGAACATAGGCTCTGGAGTTAGGCTGCCTGGGTTTCAAGGTCAGTTCTGCCGATCAGTTCATCTGACCTTGACTTGTCTGAGTCTCAGTTTCCTCATCTGTAAAATGAGGCAATAATAACCATGTCAGGCCAATGTTTTAAATTTTAATTTTTTGGAGAGATGGGAGTCTATATTGCCTACGCTTGTCTTGAACGCCCAGGCTCAAGTAATCCCGCCTCTGCCTCGGCCTCCCAAAGTGCTTACAGTCGTGAGCTCCTGTGCCCTACCTTATAGGGCTGTTTTAAGGATTTAATGAGATAGTCATATAAAGTGCTTGACAAATATTAGGTGTTCTAACTGTTACTAAATGGGTAAGATCACCCAGCAAGAGCATACAGATTAAAAAGCAAAAAGGGAGCTGCGTACAGTGGTGCATGCCTGTAATCCCAGCTACTTGGGAGGCTGAGGGTGGGGGAATCGCTTGAGCCCAGGAGTTTGAGTCCAGCCTGGGCAAGGTAGTGAGACCCCATCTATCTTTTTTTTTTTTTTTTTTTTTTCTGAGACGTGAGTCTCGCTCTGTCACCCAGGCTGGAGTGCAGTGGCGCGATCTCAGCTCACTGCAACCTCCGCCTCCCAGGTTCGTGCCATTCTCCTGCCTCAGCCTTCCGAGTACCTGGGACTACAGGCGCCTGCTACCACGCCCAGCTAATTTTTTATATTTTTAGTAGAGACAGGGCTTCACCGTGTTAGCCAGAATGGTCTAGATCTCCTGACCTTGTGATCCGCCCGCCTCGGCCTCCCAAAGTGTTGGGATTACAGGCCTGAGTCACCGCGCCTGGCCTTTTTCTCTCTTTCCTTTCTTTTCTTTTCTTTCTCTCTCTCTCTCTCGTTTCTTTTCTTTCCTTCTTTTCTTCCTTCCTCCCTCCCTCCCTCCCTCCTTGCCTCCTACCCTTCTCCTCTCTCTCTCTTTCTATTAATTTGAGACAGGGTCTCCCTCTATTGTCTGGGGGGAGTGCAATGGTTTGATCAGGCTCACTGTGGCCTCGACCTCCTGACCTCATGTGATCTTCCTGCTGCAGCCTCTTAAGTAGCTGGGATTACAGATGTGTACCACCATGCCTGGCTAATTTTTGTATTTCTCTTTTCTTTTTCTTTTTTAGAGGTGCGGTCTAACTATGTTGCCCAGGCTGGTCTTGAACTCCTGGCCTCAAGGGATCCTCCTGCCTCGGCCTCCTAAAATGTTGAGATTACAGGTGTGAGCCACCACACCCAGCTGAGATTCCATCTTAAAACAGGCAAAAAAAAAAAAAAAAAAAAAAAAAAAATCTAGATGCTTGGCACCATAAGACAGGGCAAGAAAAAGAAAAGAAAGAATCTAGATGCTCTGAGTCAAGAATGAGCACAGTGCTTCTTAAATATATCAAAGAGTTAAGAATAGACCTAGCAATCTTCCTTCTGCTAAATGCTGACTAAAAGACCAGGACACTGAGGGGCCCGATTTAGACCACGCGGCCTTGGTGCACCCCAAACTCTGGCTGTGTCACATGAGTAAGAATCTCTTCAACGGGGAAAGCTAGGAGGCTGGGTACCTTGTAAATACAGCTGCAGAGAAAACAACCCAGGAATGCTGCTAAGTGAAAAGGCTACAGACCCTAAAGTCTCAGCAGAACTGACATCAACCAAGCTACAGAAAAGGTTATGGGGTGGTGTTGCTTCAGTATCTTGATTCCAGCTGGATCCTTCCCAGGAATATTCCAGACAATTCTAGTTTATATTCTGAGCCAGGTAACTCTTCTTCAGTCTCTACAAGTCACTTATTTATTTCCCATGAAATAGTCTTTATTCTAATTGGGCTTCTGTTATGTTAAGTAGATAATCATGAAGTTACTGAAGGATATAATTTAGTTTAAGAACATTTTTTTCAGGAGTTTTCCGCAATTTAAAAAGTGCTTCACAGCCGGGAGTGATTTCACAGCCGGGTGCGGTGGCTCACGCCTGTAAACCCAGCACTTTGGGAGGCCGAGGTGGGCGGATCCCTTGAGGCCAGGAGTTCAAAACCAGCCTGGCCAACACGGCAAAACCCCGTCTCTACTAAAAATACAAAAAATAGCTGGGCATGCTGGCACGTGCCTGTAGTCCCAGCTACTCGGGAGGCTGAGGCATGAGAACTGCATGAAACTGGGAGGCGGAGGTTGCAGTGAGCCGAGATCGTGCCACTGTACTCCAGCCTGGGTGACAGAGCAAGACTCTTATCTCAAAAATAAAATAAAATAAAATAAAGTAAAAAGTGCTTCACAAATATTGTAAAAACTTTCGAAAATAAAGAAAAAAAAACAAGAAAAAAATCACCTAGAATATTACCATCATCTAGAGATAACCACTGCTATATATTTTATCATGCATTACTTGAGGCTTTATGTATGTGTGTATTTGTGTGTATAACACATTTCCAAACAAATCCTAAAGGTTCTTTTTGGAATTTGATAATGGAGTCTAACATTTATACTGAAGTATAAATATAGAGAAGAGTCAAGAAAATATTTTAAAGAAAGAAGAGTGATGTTAAGACTTGCTTTACCAAACAAAACATGCCATAAAAGTACAATAATTAGAAGAGTGTTGGGTTGATACCATTAAATGACTGGGATTTAGGATATGACCAGGAAGCATATGAAGTCAATGAACTGTACGGGGTCAACTAGGCCCATTTATGGTTGTATTCTTGCTTATACCATACAGCAACATAAATTCCAAACTGGTTAAAGATGTATATTTAAAACCTATGCTGTGAAAACACTGAAAGTAAATTTAAGAGCATATTTTTTATAATCTTGGGATGGGAGACAGAAAAGTATTTTTAGCTTTATTTTGGAGAGGAGGGTAAGTGCTTTTAAATTCAGAAGTCATAAAGGAATAAAAGGGTAAGTTGGGCTATTTAGAAATTTAAAATGTCTGTATAGAGACAGAAGAGCTATACATTTAATTGAAGTACAAATGACGGCTTGAAAGACATAATAAACACAAAACAAAAAGACAAAGGATTGACATTACTGTATTATGAAGTGGTACCATAAGCCTAAAAACCTATAACCTAATAGAAAAACAGGCAGAGAATATGAACAAAAAACTCACAGAAGAAATACAAATGGCTAACAAACACAAAAATAATACCCAATTTCATTAATAATTAAATATGGCCAGATGCAGTGGCTCACGCCTGTAATCCCAGCACTTTAGGAGGCCAAGGTGGGCAGATCACAAGGTCAGGAGTTCAAGACCAGCCTGGCCAATGTGGTGAAACTCTGTCTCTACTAAAAATACAAAAACTAGCCAGGCGTGGTGGCGGGCGCCTATAATCCCAGCTACTTGGGTGGCTGAGGCAGAAGAATTGCTTGAATCCAGGAGGTGGAGGTTGCAGTGGGCTAAGATCACGCCACTGCACTCCAGCCTGGGTGACAGAGCGAGACTCTGTCTCAAAAAAAAAAAAAAAAAAAAAGAAATATAAACTTGACCAGGTTTGGGGACTCACACCTGTAATCCCAGCACTTTGGGAGGCTGAGGCAGGCAGATCACTTGAGCCTAGGAGTTCAAGACCAGCCTGCGCAACACAGCGAGACCCCATCTCTACAAAAAACTAAAACAAAAAAATTAGTCAGGTGTGGTTGTGCGTGCCTCTAGTTCTAGCCGCTCTGGAAGCTAAGGTGGGAGGAACTCTTGAGCCCAGGAGGTTGAGGCTGCAATGAGCTATGTGATTGTATTGCTGCACTCTAGCCTGCGCAACACAGCGAGACCCTGTCTCAAAAAAAGAAAAACAAGACCCAGCACGGTGGCTCACGCCTGTAATCCCAGCACTTTGGGAGGCTGAGGTGGCAGGCGCATCACGAGGTCAAGAGTTCGAGACCAGCCTGACTAGCATGGTGAAACCCCATCTCTACTAAAAAAAATACAAAAAATTAGCCGGGCATGGTGGCGTGCACCTGTAGTCCCAGCTACTCAGGAGGCTGAGGCAGGAGAATTGCTTGAGCCCGGGAGGCGGAGCTTACAGTGAGCCGAGATCACGCCACTGCACTCCAGCCTGGGCGAGAGCAAGACTCCATCTCAAAAAAAAAAAAAAGGAAAAGAAAAACTCAAAACAAACAAACGAACAAGAAATATAAACTACAGAGTTGGCTAGGGCATGGGAAGTGGGAACAGCAGAGCAACGACCTGTGGGACAATTGTAGGGAGGTGAGCAATTTGGTCTCATCAGCCAAATTTAATTGTATATGTCCTTTGACCAAATAATTCTACTTTTAGAGTATGTTCAACAGAAACACCAGTAAGAAATTTAAGAACGTATGTACAAGTATGTTTACTAAGGCAATTTGTAGGAACAAAGAATTTTTTTTTTTTTTGAGACGGAGTCTCGCTCTGTCACCAGGCTGGAGTGCAGTGGTGCGATCTCGGCTCACTGCAAGCTCCACATCCCAGGTTCACACCATCCTCCTGCCTCAGCCTCCCGAGTAGCTGGGACTACAGGTGCCCGCTACCACGCTCGGCTAATTTTTTGTATTTTTAGTAGAGATGGGGTTTCACCATGTTAGCCAGGAAGGTCTTGATCTCCTGACCTCGTGATCCGCCCGCCTCAGCCTCCCAAAGTGCTGGGATTACAGGCGTGAGCCACCACGCCCGGCTGGAACAAAGATTTTTTAAAGACCTCATTGAAGCTGGGCGCAGCGGCTCACGCCTATAATCCCAGCACTCAGGGAGGCCGAGGCAGGTGGATCACGTGAGGTCAGGAGTTTGAGGCCAGCCTGGCCAAAATGGTGAAACCCCGTCTCTACTAAACATACAAAAAAAATCGGTCACATGTGGTGGTGAGTGCCTGTAGTTCCCAGGTACTCGGGAGGCTAAGGCACAAGAAAAGCTTGAACCCCAGAGGCGGAGGTTGCAGTAAGGCGAGATCGCGCCACTGCACTCCAGCCTGGGTGACAGAGCAAGACTCTGTCTCCAAAAAAAAAAAAAAAAAAAAAAAAAAAAAAAAAAAAAAGCTCTCAGTGGCTGGAAGGAGTTTTGATTTTACTTTTACTTTACATACTTCTGTACTGTTTATAGCACAAGCAACATCAATTTTGCAATAAGAAATATACCAAAATATATAACATAAATACCTTTTAAAACTGTATATACTTTTAAAGGCATAATTCTGATACTCTACGACCTTAAGAAGGGAAAAATTGAAGTGTATAAAATATCCACTCAAAAAGTATTAACCAACTGGCCAATAAAAAGGAACGAAGTTCTGACACGTGACATTATGTAAAGCTACACTATGTAAAGTATATAAAAACATTACATTAAATGAAAGAAGCCGGTCTCAACAGACCACGTCTTGTATGATTCTATTCTTTTTTTATTTTTGAGACAGGGTCTCATTCTGTTGCTCAGGCTGGAGTGCAGTGTCAGGATCTCAGCTCACTGCAACCTCCACCTCCCAGACTCAAGTGATCCTCCTGCCTTAGCCTCCCAAGTAGCTGGGACTATATGCACATGCCACTACACCTGGCTAATTTTTGTATTTTTTTGTAGAGATGGGGTTTTGCCATGTTGCCCAGGCTGGTCTCGAACTCCTGGGCTCAAGCGATCTGCCCACCTTGGTCTCCCAAAGTGCTGGGATTACAGGCGTGAGCCACCATGCCCAGCCTGATTCCATTCTTGATGAAATTCCAGAGTAGCCAAATCCAGAGTTGGGAAGTAAGAGTGGCAGCTGCTTGGGGCTGGGGTAGGATGGGGTGATTGGCAGTGACTGCTAATAGGTGGGGGCTTCCCTTTGGGGTGACAAAAATGTTCAAAAATTGACTATGGTGATGGCTGCACAACTCTGAGAACACACTAAATCTACTGAATTATGTACTTGCAATGGGTGAGTTGTATGTATGTAAATTATATCTCAGTAAAACTATAAAAAAATTGGCCAGGTGCAGTGGCTCACGCCTGTAATCCCAGAACTTTGGGAGGCCGAGGCAGGTGGATCACTTGAGATCAGGAGTTCGAGACCAGCCTACCCAACATGGTGAAACCCCGTCTATCAAAAATACAAAAAAATTAGCCGGGCGTGGTGGCAGGTGCCTGTAATCCCAGCTACTCAGGAGGCTGAGGCAGGAGAATCACTTGGACCCAAGAGGTGGGTGTTGCAGTGAGCCGAGATCGCGCCAGTGCACTCCAGCCTGGGAGACAAGAGCGAAACTCCATCTCAAACAAACAAAAAAAACACAAACAAAAAAACTCTTTAAAAAATTGACTGAGTGCTCTATGCAAAACACTGTGTAGTAACTGCCACAAATAGGTAGAGATAAAATGCTACTGCCTTCAGTAGTCTGGACAGAAAGGAAGGCAGGGTTGGGGGGGTGGGTATTTTCTTGACAGCAGGGGACAGAAAATGGTCAGTTCAAATGGAAACACAGTATGAGGTGAGGCACAAAGGAGGAAAGGCACTGGGCTGCTCACTGCAATTCTGGAGCACAGGAATCGCCGGATCTTGATGGAAGCGATTCCAGCTCTTCAAGAGAGACAAAGGCCCCCGGGCTGGCCAGACATGGGCATCACTCCTCAGCAGACCGCCATTCCATTACACAGTTTCAGCGAGGCCACACCTAAGGGCACTGTGTTCCGTTTCAGACACCTCATTACCAGAAAAATTGAGACAAACTGGAGTAAGTTCAAAGAAAAATGGCAGCATGACTAAGAAGCTGAAAGAATCATTTTATGGGCAGGATTAGAAAACCTAAACATGGAGACCCGAACTAAGTAAAAACAAAGGGCAGGGAAATGTGATTATTACCTACACATGCCAGGAGGGTGTAAACAAGAAGGGGGACAGTGATTTAGCGCTGGAGGAGGAAGTATAACAAGAAATGGTGGAATAAGATTAAGGAGAAAAAAAAACCAGAGGCAGACTACAAGGCTACGCTTTTCCAGGGTCTAACGTATGCTATGCCTGGGAAAAGGTGTTTAAAAATAGAGGGAATCACAGAATCGAAAAGTTTAGAGAAGGAAGTGTTCCTTCACTAGCTGGAGTTGCTTTCCATCTGGGAGGCCTTTCTCTGTTCTCCAGGGATTAGGCATGGTTCAAATTTTATCTGAAAGCAGTATTACATGTGGGCACAGCTGAGCAGGGACAGATTTCATTGGCGCTTGATCCATTCTATTTTTTCTTGGCTTGAAAGAATCTCAAGGATCAACTTCTCTTGTGTAACCGTGATTACTTTTAAAATGCGACTTTTATTTTGTTGACTTTGATTGTAAAGCTTTAGTCATTCTGAAGTCAAAGGAGTACAGGCATGTGTTGTTAAAACTTTTAGATTGCTTAGGAAAGAGAGGCGATGTGAAGAAAGCAAACTAAAAACTTAGATCAATGTGTTATACAGCACAGGTGCGAAAGCACAACCTGAAATGGATTATTCACAACCTCCTTATACTAAAATACGGCGGCGCCCCCTTGTCCATGGTTTCCCTTTCCACGGTTTCAATTACCCTCAGTCAACTGCGATCTGGAAATATTAAATGGAAAATTCCAGAAATAAACAATTCATAAGTTTTACAGTGCATGCTGTTCCGAGTATTGTTATAACTGTCCTATTTTATTATTAATCTCTTACTGTGCCTAATTTATAAACTAGACTTTATCTCAGGTATATATGTATAGAAGAAAACAGCATCTATAGGCTTCAGTACCATCCACAGTTTCAGCATCCACTGGGGAGCTTGCAACAGACTGCCCAGAGTAAGGGGGACGTCTGGGGGCGTCTGCATTTCCTTACCATGAGCATCACATGAAAAAAGGCAGTTTTTCCATGGCTTTGGGATGCAACGGATTCTGTGGATAAGTTGGGAAAGATGTATTTTAGTGTCTGAAACTTCCCCTAAAAGGTATTACTCGAGATATTCTTGCTCTCTTCAACCCCCTGCCCACTACCCACACCCCCTCCCACACCTGCTTATCTTCCTCACCTCCTCAAGGCAGGCCCCTTTAGGCTTAAAACCAGAAAAGAATTTCCGAAAGAATACAAATTAAATTGTGACTTAATGAAAGTGCTCATTACATTCTAGTTACCATGAATTGATTCCTTCTTTCCCCTTCCATTTATTGCCTTGTTAAGACTACAAATCCAAACGCAGTAATGTAAGGAGGAGTAATCCAATGAGATTTTCCATTTCCCATTCTCCATTTTCTAATACTGGCAAGTAATCCCACCACTGCAACTATTACAGTGAAAAATACTGGCTTCTTGGTTACTTTCTTAGAAACACCATAATTACGGGCAGCACTGAAGTTTACCCAATCAGCTCCCTAGATGTGCAGATGCCATCTTCTGTGCGTGTGCTGAAAACCTTGTATCTAAAAACAAACAATAACAAAACATCGAAAAACACTTCCAGAGTAAACCGATTTTCACTAAACTGCAAAACAAGTTTGCTCCCATGAATTCTGCCAGCCCTTTCTATAACTTAAGCACGAAGTCTCATATCTCAGCACCTTAGTTTCCTCCATATATAGTATTTCTACTACAAAATATTCCTCAAGCCTCCTGGGCACTGCAAGATTTTATTTAAAAAAAAAAAAAAAGCCCCTTTCCACCAAACCTTACTTTAACCAAGATACTCTGGAGGAAAGGACTGTTGGAATGACACATGTACAAGTATACACCTTCGGTAGAGAAAATGGAACATGCTTTGTTAAAATAACATGTGCTGTATTCCAGGGGCTTAGAGGTGTGGATGAGGACAGGCGTGAGGGCAGCAGGGCTTGCTGCTGCTCTCAGTGCAAAGGGCACGGCTCACGACAGCTCCGTGCTGTTGACTACGTGGGCACCCGGGGAGTCTGGATCCGTCCTGCCTCAGAGTGACCCCACCTGGCTTCTCCAGGCGAGCAGGGTTCCACACGCCTCAGGAGCACCCACACTCCTGAGCTAACTCTCCATGTCTCTGTCCCTTCAGTGAACTCTGTTTCCAACCCCTCCCTTGGTTTTTCACTATGGCTTCTGAGGGCACTGAATCCTGCCCGTCCTGAAAAGACTTTTGGAATCTGCATCTCACAAGCTAGTAGCAACTTTTCTCTTCCTGTAACCAAATTTCTCAAAAGAATAGTCTACATGTGTTACCTGCATTTCTGAGTTCTCTCCTTAATAACTGAGAATTTAGTTTCTGCTATTTCACTGAAATTGCCCTCTCGAAAGATTACAGAAGCCTCTATATTGAAACCATAAAATATTTGGAGAAGTTAAAATGTCTTAAATGGAGGAATAAACATGATTAAGGATTGGAAGCCTCATTTCTGTAAAGGTGTGAATTCTGCCTCAACTAATCTATACAGTCGATGCAAGCCATATCAAAACTGGCAGGTGTGTATGTGAATAGACGAGCTGATTCCAAAGAGTAAGTGGAAATGCAGAGAGCCCAGAACAGCCAAGACGGCCACCAAGAACAAAGCTATACAAATGCTCCTCTCTGGAAGAAGGCTGTCACTGCAAGGCGGCAGCAATGCACACACATAGCACTGGCACGAGAGCAGACACACAGACCAATGGGACGAAAAGAGAACACGGAAAAACCCTACACGTATATGGCCACTTGACTGTGCACTGGGAAAAGATGGTCTTTCTGATAAATGGTGGGGCTATATGCAAAACACATTTGGATTTCTACCTCATGCCATTAACAAAAATCAATTCATGATGAATACATATATAAATGTGAAGGGTAAAACAATAAAGCATTTACAAGAAAATGTAAGAGACCATCTTTAGGGAATGTAAAGATTTCTTAAACAGAACACAAAAAGCAATAATCACAAAGAGAAAAAATTGATAAACTGGATCTACATTAAAATTAAGGATTTCTGTCTCTCTCTCTCTCTCTCTTTTTTTTATTGAGACAGAGTCTCACTCTGTCGCTCAGGCTGGAGTGCAGTGGTGCGATCTTGGCTCACTGCAAGCTCCACATCCCGGGTTCACACCATCCTCCTGCCTCAGCCAAGTAGCTGGGACTACAGGCGCTCGCCACCACGCCCGGCTAGTTTTTTGTATTTTTAGTAGAGACGGGGTTTCACCGTGTTAGCCAGGATGGTCTCGATCTCCTGACCTCGTGATCCACCCGCCTCGGCCTCCCAAAGTGCTGGGATTACAGGCGTGAGCCACCGCGCCCGGCCGGATTTCTGTCTCTTAAAAGACACCATTAAGAGAGTGAAAGGGCAGTCCACAGGAGAAGATACATATCTGATGTATGCATATCCATAATATATAAAGAACTCCTATAAAGCAGTAACAACAGTTAATAATGAAAAATAGGCAAGACACTTGAATGACCACAAGAGTATACTGAAATGGTTAACAGACATATAAAAAGGTGGATAACTCATTAGTCATCAGGAAAATACAAGTTAAAATCACAAGGAGATACCACTAAATGACCACCAGAATGGCTAAAATTTAAAAAGACAGACAGTATCAAGTGCTGACAAGGACGTGGAACCACTTGGCCTCTCCTACACTCCCGGTGGGAGTGTAAATGGCCATAACCACTTTAGAAAAACATCTGGCAGTATCTACTAAAGTTGAATGCCAAGCTGAACAAGTGGACTTGTAGGTACATGTAAATTCACCTGAAGACACTGATAAGAGTATTAAAACCTGGGAACAACCCAAATGTCCATACTGAATGATAAACAGACGATAAACAATTTGTGGCACATTCATACAATGGAATATCATAGAGCAATGAGAATGAATGAACTATATGTATAACAAAACAGATACAATTCGTAAACATGATGTTGAATGACAGAATCCAGACACAATAGAGTATGGTATGATTCCAGGCATAGAAAGTTTAAAAACAGGCAGAACTAATCTGTGGTGTTTGAGGTCAGGTTATCCTTGGAGGATGAGGAGTGACTGGAAGGAGGATGACAAGGGGCTTCGGCACTGGTAACATTCTGCTGCTTGTTCCAAGAATTTGCTATATGAGTGTGTAATTCAGCTATATACATAGGATTTGTTTACTTTTCTGTATGCAAGTTATAATTTCAAAACTTCAGAAAAAAACCCATCAAGGACCCCCAAGGATTATCTAACTGTACGATCCAATCTGACCCTGAAAACACCTGCTAGGCTGTCTGCCCTAGAGGCCCCCAACACCCACATGTTTCTGGCTCTCCTCTGCCTGCCCCAACATTTCTTCCCTGTCCTGGTGTTGTTCTTCTTTCTGCTCAGTCTCACACGTGCAGGGGTTTCCTGAGGTCTAAGGAGACTGTCCACTGTTCTCTCTTAGATCCTCTGCTTAGCGAAATGTGTTTACCTTTAGCTTTAAAAGGGGGGAGGGTGATAATAACAGCAACTAACTTACTGGGCATTTATTATGGGCCAAGTATTATTCTAAGTGCTTTAGTGATTAACACATTTAATCCACTTTCTTTCAAATTTATTTCTTTTGAGGTAGGTGTTCTTTAAATTTTTTTTTAATCACAGAAAATATCACATGTATAATAACTAGCATAATAACTCTTCTATGTCCCTCATCTAAACATAACCATTATGAAGGTGGATCTACACAATTATAACTCTAGCTTCTTTTTCTACTGAGTTTCAGACTCACATCTTTCCAGTGCCTGATAAACATCTCTTGGTGAATGTTCCCTTTACACATCAAATCATACTGTTCATACTATTTACTGAATTGTTCTTTTCACCCAATAATTAAACAGCTTTTCATGTGATAAAATATTCTTCTAAAATAATTTATAATGGGCTGCATTGTAATCCATTTTATTAATATATTGTAATTTATTTAACTCCAATAGACATTTAGTTTGTTCTCGTTTTCATTACTATAAATATTAATGTATTACATTTTCCCATACATAAATCTTTGCATGTCTATGATTTTCTACTTAAAATTCCCGAGTCAAAGGGTATAGACCTGTGTAAAGCTTTTGACAAGTAACCAGACCATTCTAGAATAGCTGTACTGATATTCAGCCCATAAGCAAGAAATAAGGGTGCCATTTTCCCACTCTCTGAACATACTGGGGACTCCAACAAACCAACCAATCCCAACCTTCCCAGTATGACAGCACTGTTTTCATTCGTAGTTCTTCCCATCTGTAGTGAAGCCAAAAACTGGGGTAAAACATTAAAAAATATATATTTATTGGCCACTTCTTCTGTGAGTTTCCTATTAATGCTCTTTCCAGATCATGTTTCTTCTAATTTAGTTTTTTCTTTCTTTTTTTTCTTTTGAAGAGAAAGAGTCTTGCTCTGTTGCCCAGGCTGGAGTTCAGTGGAGTGATCATAGCTCACTGTAACCTCTAACTCCTGGCCTCAAGTGATCCTCCTGCATCAGCTTCCCGAGTAGCTAGGGCTACAGGAGAGTGCCACCACGCCTGGCTAAGTTTTTTTTTTTTTTTGAGATGGAGTCTTGCTCCGTCGCCCTGGCTGGAGTGTAGTGGCGTGATCTCAGCTCATTGCAATCTCTGCCTCCCGGGTTCATGCCATTCTCCTGCCTCAGCCTCCTGAGTAGCTGGGACCACAGGTGGCCCCAGGCTAATTTTTAAAATATTTTTAGTAGAGACGGGGTTTCACTGTGTTAGCCAGGATGGTCTCGATCTCCTGACCGTGTGATCCACCCACCTCGGCCTCCCAAAGTGCTGGGATTACAGGCATGAGTCACCTTGCCCAGCCTTTTTTTTTTTTTTAAAGAGATGACATCTCACTATGTTGCCCAGGCTGCTCTTCAACTCCTGGCCTTAAGCAATCCTCCCACTTCAGCCTCCCATAATGTTGAAATTACAGGTGTGAGCCACCACATCTAGCCTAGTTTTTTCATTTCCGATATCCTTGTTAACAATCCTAATTCAAGCTCTCATGTTCTACCATCTTGCAATAGCTTCATAACTACTTCAACCCTGGTGTAAGAGTAATCTTTCTAAAATAGGCTGGAACAGTTCCCTCCTCCTCTTCCAACATCTTAAATGATTTCCTTCCTACAAAATAAAAGACTAAGCTTTTTGGCATGGGAGCTACTGCTTCAATTTCATCTCCTGGTACATACCTGCCATTCCCTGTCTTTGCTTTTCCTTTCCTCTCATTCTAGAATGTGGACAATCTTACTTCCTACACATCTTTCTTCTCTATCTTTCTTATCCTTCACGGTTGAGCCCCTTTTCTCTGTAATGCCATCCCTGGTTAGAAGTGTAAACTGCTACAGTATTCATTTTGTCCCCTTTCAATAGTTGGTTTTATGTTTAATTCCCCAACTGTTCTTCAAGCTCCTTGGTGAATTCTTTTTTGTATACCAATATTGCCTCGTAACAAAAGGCCTGCACGTAGCAGACAATCTGAAAATGGTGAATGAAATAAAGGAATAGATATTAATTCTGGGGAAAGGCCTCGATAATGTTCTAAAGAGCTATTTAAGTTCAAATTTGAAGCATGTCCAAACCAAAACAATCTGATGATACAGGCCCTTTGGTAGACAGCAGGGCACATAAACCATACAGTGTAGCACTCCACTGTGTTTAAAGTTCTTAAGGGATGGAATACGGGACAAGTATAGGATACGAAGGTGGCCTCTGGCAGAAATTCTCTGGCTTTTTTGTGTGTTGAATGTTATTAAAATGCATTCTGTTCTTAGTAGCTGTTCCAGCCCTCCCTGAACTCAGAGTAGTAATATGATTTCTAGAGGGACTTGAGCCAAGAATCACAAATGCAAGAGCAACTCAATCTGAATGCTCAAAGCAACACAGGCTGGAAGCGTATGCAGCAGAGGGAAGGGGAGAATGCCTCACCCTACCACTGTGCAGGGAAGAAACGAACGGAGGAAGCTCAGCAGAGCGGGAACATTTCAGAGATGAGGCTCTCCAAGCATATGGCAGACAAAAGCATGGTTACGACTGGCTACAGGGAAAACCACTCAGGCCCCCTTCCCTCTTTGAGTGTTAGGATAACTGCCAGAGAACAAGCTGACAGTCTAAAGAATAAGGAATGCGAGGGGGCTGAATGGAGAAAGAGAAGCAGAGCTGAGGGGCGGGCTGCTTGATTCAGGGAGACTGCCCCAAACATTTACCGCTCAGCACAAGTCATGATTTTAGAACAGAAACAACATTTTCTCTCTAGTAAAGATGTTAGAGAGAGCTACCAGAACTCCGTGAAATAAATTTGTAAAAGAGAAAATACAGTTAAAAGTTCTGTGGACTTGGCCTGATTTCAAGGTAAACAACTCTATTCATAGTCACAAAGCATGAGGTGAAAGGGAGGATGTATTGATGGGTATAAAGAAGGGACGGTTACAAGAGGGGTCAGTGAATGAATTCCTCTGTGGTTGGCAGTGACTCAGATTAATTCCTTTCTGCAGATGGTTTGGTGGAGGGCAGGAAATTATTCAGAAATGCCTAGTTTGGTTTAAGCAGACAAGAATCTAAACTTGAGGTTCTAACAGCTAAGTCCCAGGATGTGTCACAGGCCATGAGGTCTGAGCTGTAATCTGGCATGATGTTCGGAGCCTTTTGGAGCTGACAGATCAAGTGGAAATGGTGCTCGTCCTGGCCAGGTCTGGCCCACAAGCCCCTAACTTGAATCTGCAGGCTTCTTAGGAGATACGAAGACATAAAATAACTTCCTAGTTTGGAATTTCACACAACTGGAATAAATGGAAATGTATTTTGCCGTAAGAGCATCTATTGAATAAGACATAAAACTTACACAGTCAGAGGGATCTGGAATCCCTCTAACCCTCTACAATCCCTCTAAACCTCAATCTTTTTTGCCCAGGGATCTATTTTTCTACAGGCATCTGGTCACTTCTTGACTCTACAGAATCCCTTTAGCACTTAGTACCAGGGAAAACTAAAATTGCTCTTGAAGAATTTATCCTATGTTTATTTCCCACTCATTAAAGTTAACTCCAAAGTCCTCTTTCCTTTCAAGTCTGCACTTGCAGAGACTGTGCAAGTGGGCCGGAAGTGGTAATGGCTGTGAGGCTGCTGTGGGGACTTCTCCTTCTCCCTCCCTGTCCTTTTTTTTTTTTTTTTTTTTGAGATAGAGTCTCACTCTGTCCCCCAGGCTGGAGTGCGGTGGCGAGATCACAGCTCACTGCAGCCTGGAACTCCTGGGCTCAAGTGATCTTCCTGCCTTAGACCGCTGAGTAGCCGGGACTACGGGTGCGCACCATCACACCCAGCTCCCCTTCCTACTTTGTGATGAACTCCCTTGCCAGGCAATGTATGAATTTGTTTTTACAGGAAGGAAAGGCTGTTGCTTAGACCAAAAGTAAATAAGATGTTACTGCTCTCCCATAACTAACTTTGAACAAAATGGCATAATAAAAACGAGAGTTTGGGCCGGGCGCAGTGGCTCACACCTGTAATCCCAGCACTTTGGGAGGCCAAGGTGGGTGGATCACGAGGTCAGGAGTTCAAGACCAGCCTGATCAACATGGTGAAACCCTGTCTCTACTTAAAAAAATACAAAAATTAGCTGGGCATGGTGGTGCGTGCCTGTAATCCTAGCTACTCAGGAAGCTGAGGCAGGAGAACTGCTTGAACCCAGGAGGCGGAGGTTGCAGTGAGCTGAGATCGCACCACTGCACTCCAGCCTGGGCAACAGAGTGAGACTCCTTCTCAGAAAAACAAACAAAAAACAACAAGAGTTTGGCTCCATTCGGGTCTGTCTATCCAAAGTCAAAATTCCACTGCTTAACAATTTGATAGTTCACAGTCATCTCCTCCAGATTCAAGTGGTGATATAAAGGGACTTCCTCCTTTCTTTCCCTCATGATAGAAGATGAGATTCCCTGGATGGGAGGGAAACTCAAGTATGTAATTACTTTCTTGTATTATCAACAACACTTTATGCCTGGCATGTAATAAGTGTTCATTAAGTATTTACTGAGTGAATGCTAGCCATATGCCTTAGGGTAGCTAGATTTATCTTCCTTCCTCCCTCCTTCCCTTCCTTCCTTTTTTCCTTTTCTTTCTCCCTTCCTTCCTTTTCTCTTCTCTTTTTTTTTTTCTTTTGAGACAGGGTTACACTCTGTTGCCCAGGCTGGAGTGCAGTGGTGTGATCACGGCTCACTGCAATCTCTACCTCTTGGGCTGAAGTGATTCTCTCACCTCAGCTTCCCGAGTGGCTGGGACTACAGCGAAATGCCAGCACACCCCACTAATTTTAAATTTTTTTTGTAGAGAGGAGGTCTCACTATGTTGCCCAGACTGGTCTTGAACTCCTGGCCTCAAGCAATCCTCCCACCTTGGCTTCCCAAAGTGCTGGGATTATAGTGGGGAGCCACTGTGCTTGGCCTAGATTTTTTAATGTTAGGTCATCACATATTTCTGCCATTCATTTTCAAAGGTTAAAAACAAAACAAAAACAAATCAAGAGCTTCTCTGCTTCCCAGCTATGGCACTGAAAACTCTGCAACTGCACTGGCAGCCCCCAGCCCTAAAAGAAATAAAACAGTTAAGATTTCTAGTGAATCTATATAAAAACATAAATTATCATTTAGTTTTCTACCCTGTCCCCTATCCCCGACCTGCAGCTCAGGCAAATACCCAACAATGGAACAACGAGACCTACAAATGCTACACCCAAAACAGGCCAATTCTGAAATTTAGACTCATCAGCCCGGAAGGGAGCTACAGGAACTACTAGTCCCATTCTCTAACCTTACAAGTAAGACAGCTGAGGTCTCAAGAGGTACAGGGCCAGGTACACAGGTTAGACTGATAGATCTATCTGTTGTAGGAAAACTTAATATGTATCTATCACGCCTGGCCAGTGGTTAGTGGATCAGGCTCTACTGCATCCAGGTGCACAAGCTCTCCATGGAGAAAAAGAGGAAGTCTCCCCTACCTGAGAGGAAAGCTTTACAAGGAATCTGGTCTTGCTAGCTGTCAGACCTCTTCCAGCTGTCACCACTCACAGTTGTTTATTATTCTTTGCAAGGTTAGAGTCAACCATTATTTTGTGAAAGTCAACAACTGAGAGACCAAGTAACCCCAGCAAAGGTGGACAAATGAATTGGGTCAGTGGCAATCTACAGGACCAAGAAACACGTGTTGCTAACACCTGTCACTCCAAATTAACCTCCTCATGTACAGCAGGAGCTGGAACCACGCACTACAATAGATACAACACTTCAGTTTTAAACCGTTATCTGGACAAAATCCAGAACAAATGTTTGCTTTCTGATGATTATATTTTGTATTCGCAGATGTCACCAACATACTCATATCTTAATTTCTAACTTACTTATGTCTAGACACTTCTAAAATTCTGGCTGTCTTCCTGCCTAAAGCATTCTTCCCTAGCTGAGATAATTTCAGTTTTTTCTACGTGATAGTCTGTGCCTACAGCAACTTTCCAGATTATCCTCTTTCCTGAAAAGTTATACCTCTCTAATTTTTTAGAGAAAGGGTCTCGCTGTGTTGCTCAGGTGGGTCTTGAACTCTTGGCCTTAAACGATCCTCCTGCCTCAGCCTCCTGAGCAGCTGGGACTACGGGTGTGTGCCACCATGCTCAGCAGGTTTTATCTTGATGTGGGTGTTATACCTTTTCTGAACAAGCTGGGAAGGGAGCTGAATAGCACGGGAGTTTGGCAAGAGAACAGAAAACATGACTATAAAAGACAAAAATGGGAATTAAAAAAATAAAACTCAACAGGAGATTTACATTGGTCTGATGAGCCTCTATACACTAAGAAAACAGGGGACCATCTCTTGTATAGAAATGTCCCTGGAACACCAAAGGAACTGTGACGTGGTATCCCACTCAAAGAACAAGCCAGTTACCCTTCTGTGTGGAATGCTTGGACGAAGTACAGTCCTGAAGCAAGAGATGGACGGATGGACTCTGGAAGTCTTTATCAGGCCAAAGATTTGCAGATGCAGGCTTGAGAAAGTGTGGAGTATTCTAAACAAAGAAGCAGATTTCCCAGTGAGGCAGATTTTTAATCTGGTTGTCTAAGCTGATTTGGTAATATCTCACATTATTTCTTACAAATCTATTAACTGAAGTGAACAGAGACGTTCAAATTAAGGGCTCGTCGTTATAAAAATGGAGAAAAATTTCCCTCCTTACCAAAGGGACCCATCAGAGCAGCAGCAGGGCTCTGGGAATCGCAGACACAGCCAGGTTAGCTAGTCCGCCTAGCGTATTTGGTTTGGCTCTCAGAAATGAAAAGTGTCAAAAGGGAGAAGATGAAGAAAAAAAAAAAACAAAAAAAACCCCAAACCCAAACAACTAATAAGAAACCTAATGCTGAAACTGTCAGGGTGGTAAGAACAAGGCTTTGTTGCAGTTAAGATTTAAGTGCTAAACCAGCACAAAGCCTGATCCACGTCCAGGCAATCTCTCAGGCCAGGCAGGAAGAGAGAAGGAAGTTTCCCCCCAGCCACAGTGGCACGTGCTCAATGCACCCTCTACGTCCAGGGTTGCACTCTGCTATTTCCAGTGCGTGGTATCTGATTCTAGGGCCACTGTGACAGGGAGAAACTGGAATGGCTCCCACAGAGAGCTATGGATCTTGCTGGATTTTTTTTTTTTTTAGTATAAATCTGATACATTCTCTGGGTGGTATCTCCTGACTCCCTTGTGAGATGACGAAATGACCCTTTGATGTGATACAAACTCCTGGCCCCGTAACTCACAAGGGCCATGGAAGGGGTTCCACGACTGCCAGAGCTCTAGGGTCCCGTGGGCTGCTCTGAGTGACCCCGGGGCATACCTGCCCAGTTCATGGCACACCACAGGGACATGGCAAGTTGTGTCTGACTTGGCTGGCATTGAGGAGGATGGGGGTGGGGTGGGGTGGGGCCTGGAGTTGCATGTTACTAGTTTTGGATTGCTAAAGGGAAAACAGTACTTTATGTGATTTGAAAGCTCTTGGGGAAGGTTGGGGTTGAAAGAAAAATATTCCCACAGCCCCCTAAAGCTCAGAGAATTTTGTTGTGTGTTTACTTAGGTGAAGAAGGGTGAGAATGAGGGACTCCCGGGACGTTTCCAGTCCAGTCTGGCTCAACGAATGCTTAAGGCTCTCCATACTTGTGAGTGCAGTTCCCCCAGAAAGTGTGGGTGAAGCCACGGAGCTCCAGGACCCACATGGCTTCACACAGTTTATTCCCACACGGAGGGGAGGCGAAGCCCACACCACAGCAAGCACTCTGGAAGGACCGCCAGGTCCTTCTTCTTTGCCTCTCTTTCTGAGAAAACAGCTGGAGAGGGCGGTGGGCCCACCCCTCCGAAGGAGCCAAGGGAGAGAGTGAGCTCCACACAGACCAAAGGCATGGAATCACCCACTGAACACAGCCCGTGGAGGCTGCTCCCAATCAACAGCTGCCCCAGCTACTCCCATGTTGCAGCACTTTCCAACGATCCCAATGCCCGTATGACAGCTGCTGGCAGCCTGCAGGGTGCCACACCAGACAGTGCTCAAGAGCTGGGCTCAAGGCTCCCACCAGCAGGACAGGGAGAAGAGAGCTGCGTGGAGTCACAGCCCTGCAGGAGACTCTTAATAAGATATTGTTAGTTATCTACTCTTCCTTTTTCTCCCTGCAAGAAATCCATAGTGCTTGGTTAGTGCACAACACCTAGCACAGACATGTATCTATCTGCTGTTATGCATTCCTGAAACACTCTGCTTGCACTAGAAGGCAAATGTCCCTGTGGCATCCTGCAGAGGAGTTAACATTCGTGAAGGAGAACAGTTACAGACAGAGATGCCTCTGACAGGCTAAGAGGACTTTCTTCCCAAGGTTGCACAGGGAAGTAGTGGGAAAAGGTCTGAAATGGAAGAAATGTCTAGTTCTAACTCTGCCACTTAGCTTTACCATCTTGAGCCTCTCTGTCCTCAGCTTCATTATGTGTATAAAGGGGAGATTAGATGATTTCTAAATTCTTTCCAGATTTAATAATCTGTGGCTAAATACAGCTCATCCCTGGTTTGCCTTATAAAATAACAGTAGAACAGTGATCCCTGAGAGCCTGCAGGCTCTTTCTTTCCTTTCTTTTCTCCTTTCTTTCTTCCTCCTTTCCTTTCCTCTCTCTCTCTTTTTCTGTCTTTCTTTTTTGATGGGGTCTTGCTCTGTTGCCCAGGCTGGAGTGCAGTGGCATGATCTCAGCTCACTGCAACCTCCACCTCCCGGGTTCTAGCGATTCTCCTGCCTCAGCCTTCCAAGTAGCTGGGACTACAGGTGTGCAACACAATGCTGGGCTAATTTTTGTATTTTTAGTAGAGATGGGTTTCACCATGTTGGCCAGGCTGACCTTGAACTCCTGACCTCAAGTGATCCACCCACCTTGGCCTCCCAAAGTGCTGGGATTACAGGCGTGAGTCGCTGCACCTGGCCCCTGCAGGCTATTTCTAGTTGGAGTTTTTTGCTTTCGTGAAGCCTTCCCCCTGCAGCTTTTCTGTCGTATCATACAGTGCTAAGAAAACTCATTACTCCATCTTTTCCATGAGTCTTTACCTTCTTGCTAGTTGTATTCTGACATCTATCTGTGGCTTACTTACTTTTAGAAGTAAGTATTTTTTGGTTCAAATTTAGGCTCAATCCTTGTAAAAGGTTGATGTGATTTCTCACATACTGTAGATCGGGAGTCTCCAACTCCCAGTACTGGGTCCGTGTACTGGTCCAGGCCCTGTTAGGAACTGGGCCACACAGCAGGAGGTGAAGGGCTAGCCAGGAAGCAAAGCTTCATCTATATTTACAGCCGCTCTCCATTGCGTGCATTACTGCCTGAGTTCCGTCTCTTGTCAGATCAGCTGAGGCATTAGATTCTCATATGAGCGCAAACCCTATTGTGAACCACGCACGCGAGGGATCTAGGCCGCGTGCTCCTTATGAGAATCTAATGCCTGATAATCTATCACTGTCTCCCATCACTCCCAAATGGGACAGTCTAGTTGCAGGAAAACAAGCTCTGGGCTCCCATGGATTCTACATTATGGTGAATTGTATAATTATTTCATTATATATTACAATGGAATAATAACAGAAATAAAGTGCACAATAAATGTAATGTGCTTCAATTATCCTGAAACCATCCCTTCCCTGCCACTCCCCTGTCTGTGGAAAAACTGCCTTCTGTGAAACCAGTCCCCGGTGCCGAAAACGTTGGGGACCGCTGCTCTAGATGTATCAGGTAGCCTAAAGTTGGAGAATCCTAAGAATAAAGATGCTCAATCATCAGGCCTGGGATACAATGAAGAGGTTAAGCTGGTTTTTAATCTGGCCATTGGGTCCCTCCCTTTTTTGAACCCTCCTTTTCCCAGTCTCTTCCTGTTTGTATCATCCTAGATACACTGGGCACGCTAAGGAGAAACTGACAACACACTGCCCTTCCTAGAAAACTTGCACTTAGAAAGGCAGTGCCTCAGAGAGATGCCTCATTCAAAGGAACAAACCGAACCACTGAAATTTCAGGCACGCAGGTCGGAGCCTTATCCAATATCCCATCACACTTTTCTGTTAAGTTGGCAATAAGATGTTAGTGTCCGAAGTTTGCTTTAGAGCTTACATTAGAAAAGAGTAAGATGTTTCCAGTCTGATAACATTAAAAACTACTATTTATCTTTAACAAGAACACCATGAGAAATCCCATCAATCACAACCTGATCTTTAGGGCTATTAAGCATCATTGCACTTTACAGCAAGATCTGTTATCTTTAGTGTTAAAATTAAAGACTCTCTTTCACTCGTTCAGACTATGCTAGGTAGGGGCACTTCCTTTTGTGCCTAGGTGGTCTTTTGTATAAAAAGAGGTAAACAAAGCAGGAAGATAGCATTTATACAGTGTAGAAGAATACCATAATCTTATCTCCGGAAAATTCCTGATTTCATTCAGTCGCTAAACAAGCACCTACTTCATATTTTATGGCTTTATGTCTCTTACACAACTCTTTTAGAAAGGGCCAGAGACTCAGTGCTTTTCTTACAGCATTCTTTATTGAAGTAACCAGCAGACCCTGAATGGCCCCTAAGGGAGTATTCAGTAATTACTGGACATAACAGATTCGCCAGGACCTCCTACCTTTTAACAGGCAGAGCCCCACAGTTTATTTGGAATGCAGTTTCCAGAGCTTGTTTGACAGTCAGTTATTTTGAAACCCTTAACAATTACCCAAGCAGTAGTTAGGTTCGGAAGTTGTTGCCATGAGCCTATTTTACCCATAATGTCTGTGGTGGGCTGAGCTGTGTCCCCACCAAATTCATAGGTGGAAGCCTAAATCACCAGAACCTCAGAATGATGTGACTGCATTTGGAGACAGGGCCTTTAAAGAGGCGATTAAGTTAAAATGAGGCAGGCAGGGTGGTTCCAAATCCAGTATGACTGGTATCTTTGTAACAGGAGGAAATCTGGACATACAGAAAGACACTGGGGAGCACAGGGAGAGAGGATAGACCACGTGAGGACACAGCGAGCAGGCAGCCATGTATACACCAAGGAGAGGGGGCCTCAGGAGAAACCAACCCTGCCGACCCCTTGATCTCGGACTTCCAGCCTCCAGAACTGTGAGGAAATCAATTTACGTTGCTTAAGCCACGCGGTCTGTGGTATTTTGTTACGGTGTCCCGAGCAAGGTAATACAGTGTTGGTGTGCAGTGCCACAGGACCTAACCACCATTTCATATCAGTTTATACACTGGAAGGCGCCTTCTGAGATCCAACTCCAGACATCAGGATATGTCTTCACTTGTCTCAGTGGCAACAGAATTAGCCTGGTCCCATCTTTCCTACTTGGCACCAGAAGGGGGTCTGGGAGAAAACCCGCGACTGTGGCAGTGGCCCCAGCATCAGCACATTCTCACAGGGCATGCAGGAGATTCTCTAGAAGGCTCAGGGAGTAACAGCAGCAACAGCAAGGAGGCCTCACTAGTGCTGCCGTGGAGGGCTGGGACTTTTGGGACCAGGTGGTACTGCGGGGAGAGAGGCTGTGGCCACACTGCCCCCACCTCTCTAGGGGAAGCGGGGCTTTCAGGCATGGGCACAGGGGAGTCAAGTGGAGAATGGCAGCAATGTCTGTCTGCAAACTGGAGATGGTTCATATTTCAGGGTTCCTGTCTGATTTTACACCTGGGCAGTTATGCCCCACTGGAAGAAGGGTGTGTGGTCTCACACCTTTTTGTTTAAATTTACGTTGGTTGTCTAGAGATTACTGTTGTACAGAGCTACTGTTCCTACAGGAGCTTCACATCCTTCAGGTGTGCTGAGTGCCTCTGGCATGCAGCATTGTAGACACTCTGTAAGAAATTTACGTTACTTGTATTTCTAGGCCGTCTCAGTAAGATTGGTACCACCAAACCTTTTGTAAACAATTTAAAAGTTTGGAAGAAAACTGTGGGCAATTTATTTCAGATGCTCTGACCGGACCGGAAGACTGTCATTTCCACAGTTTCTAGTCCCACTGGCTTTAGGTTTGCAGCATTGGTGCAGGTCACATTCATGTCTCTTTGGCATTCACAAGGACTCATTTTCTTCTCAGCTTAGTTGGGGGAGCATCATCTCTGGAAGATGACACTGGCGATGACAGACCCGCGTTCAATGACCTGGATTACAGTAATTGTCAAGACTCATTAAAATTCCAGGATGGTAAATAATTCTTCCTGCAGGAGCTCAGGGACTCAGGAGGGTGAACTTTCTTCTCCCATGGGAATACGTTCAACACAAAGGAAAAAAGCAATTAGGGCAGCTAAAATACACTAAGATCTCCATAAATGCTGAGCTTTTTATAAAATATTTTTATAAAATATTTCATATAATATTCCATATTCATATTTTAGGACTCTTTTTTAAAGAGTCCAGTGTGAGGCCAAGCTAATAAAAACTAGATTAAAAAAGGCTTTTGTGGCCATGCACCGTGGCTCACGCCTGTAATCCCAGCACTTTGGGAGGCTGAGGTGGGCAGATCGTGAGGTCAAGAGATCGAGACCACCCTGGCTAACACGGTGAAACCCTGTCTCTTACTAAAAATACAAAAATTAGCTGGGCGTCATGGTGCACACCTGTAGTCCCAGCTACTCGGGAGGGTGAGGGCAGGAGAATTGCTTGAACTCGGGAGGGGGAGGTTGCAGTGAGCTGAGATCGCTCCACTGAACTCCAGCCTGGGCAACGGAGCGAAACTCTGTCTCAAAAAAAAAAAAAAAAAAAAAAAAAAGGCTTTTGCATTCTTTGCTGCAAAGCTGAAGGTACATGAGAACTGAATTCACAACAGGATGTTTTTATGTTCAGTTTTATTTAGACCTGGTGAGTTTGGGGTAGGTACCAGTAATAAGGATCAAGAGCTGCCGTAGTTTAGAGGTGAGGGGAAGACCTGATAGGCGAGCCACGAACACCAGAACTCCCCTTCTCTGAGATAAGCTATGGAAGGAAATGACTGGAACAATCTTTTGTATCATAATGTTTTGGTCTACAGAGGTCTCCTAATATTTTCTCTTTCCTTCTCTTTCTGCACAAACAAGATTATTCTACATTTAGCACAAGGTCCCACATATACACCAAAACTCCATGAGGAGTTCTCACATCCATCGGGAGTGAATTGCAAATAATACTTAATATCTGTGTCATTGCAACTGCGTAAAAGAGTTCCTTATCTCCCTTACACTCACACTCCCATTTCCTCTTTCTTTTCCCAACTTCATTTGAGGGGATTTTATCAGAAGCAGGGCAGCCATTCTGCATTGTAAGGTCCAACTTAGTACCCTGTCTTCCCCCGGACCTTTGGTATGTCTGCCCAACCTTCCCCATATTCCCTGCCTCTTTTTTTTTTAAAGCAAGCTTTTCCTTGCCAGAGATTTCAACATCCAATTGGCAAGATACCCTTGTCTTCGCATTAAAAAGTTAATGGCAGCTGTCACAGAAGAAGAAAGTGCCAGACTGTGTGTGAGAGCAGAGAGGAGAAAACTACTCAATAGTGTTTCTCATCAGTTTGTCAAGACACACACACACACACACACACACACACACACACAGTCTTAGCACCCCAACCCCTCTCTTCCCGTTCTCCAGCGCAGTCCTGATACGGACACACATTTATCTTCACAGTTCTGCAATTCTTTTTGCTGGATTGCTGGACTTGCCTCCCACAGTCTCTCACACTATGCTGCCCTTAGGTTTTTTGGACAAGAGTTCAGCATCTGAGTTGAGGAAACAAGTTCAAACATCACAAAAAGAAGAAAACCAGATCAGAAACATTCAGGCTGGGAACCAGAAGAAAGTTTGCTGCCCCACAAAGAACCATTCTTCTTTCTTTCTTTGTTCTTTTCTCTCCCTGCTGCCCCTCAGGCCCTGTCCCCCAACAGCTACATCCATTTGGCTACTTGAGCGATACACCCATCTGTGCAGGCGCGTTCAGGAGGGAAAAATGAACTGTCATGTCTGTGACTGATGATTGATGCGGTCCCGGAGTGAGGGAGATGACTCCTAGGTTCTGTGCCTAACACTGCCCCAGCATTAACACCCCCTAATCCACCACCTTGGAAAAAGAGGGGTGCAAGTTAAAGAGTAAGTGAGCAAAACCGAGAAAACAAATGGAGAAAGGAATCCAAGGAGAGGATAAGTCTGAGCCAAGTTTTGGAACAATACTTCCTGAAAATTAAAAATGGGACTAAGTGCTGGGAAAGGGACCTGGAATCCAAAGCTCAGTGAGCCACAGAGGGGCTGGCTGATGAAAGTTGATTCCACTGTGGTTCAGCCTCTGATGGGAGGCTGGCATTTACGGTGGAAAAAAAAAAGAAATTTGTACTCTAGAGAAAAATTATATTTTTAGCTTTTTAGCAGAATCTGCCTATCAGTTGTACTACTTCAAACAGTTCAAAAGGAGACTGGAGGCGGAGTATTTTTTTTAAACGTTGCCATATAACAAAATGTACAGATCTTTAGGTGTACAACTGAATGAATTTTGATGAATTTATCTACCCACATGGCCATCTCCCCAGTCAAAATATAGGACATTTTCATTACCCCAGAAGGTTCTGTTTTATCCTCTTTCAGTCAATTCCTATAAGTAATCACTGTTCTAATTTTTACCACCATAATTTATTCTGTTCCTGAATGTCATATAAATGGAATAATACATTTAGTACATAATTTTTTGTGTGTGTCTGGCTTCTTTTGCTTAACACAGTGTTTCTGAAGATTCAGTTGTTTGTATTAGTAGTTCATTCTTTTCTATTGCTGAGTAGTATTCCATTAATGATATATGATCATTTAAAAATACCTATTCTCCTGTTAATGGACATTTGGGTTGTTTCCACTTTTGGACTTTTTCCAGTAAAGCTGCTATGAACACTCTTGTACAAGTCTTTTTGTGGACATATGCTTTCATTTCTTTTGAGTAAGAATAGGATCCCTGGGTTACAGGATAGATGTACATCTATAAGAAACTGCTTCTCAGTTTTCTAAAATATTATGCCATTTTACCCTCTCATCACAGTGTATCAGAGTTCCAGTTGCTCCATATCTTCACGAGCATTTGGTACTGTCAGTTTTGTTAATTTTAGCTATTTTAGTGATACTGTAGTACTATCTCTTTGTGGCTTTCATTTGCATAAACACTTATTCATGTGCTTACTTTGTATATTTGGAGAGTCTGTTCAAGTCTTCTGCCCATTTAAAAACTTATGTTGTTTTAAGTATCTAATAGATACTAAATATCTATTAAATATCTTTTGTTACTGACTTTTAAAATATCTTCTCAATACAAGTACTTTGTCATGTGTGTATGTGTTTTTGTGTGTGTATGTATGTATTTAGTGAATATTTTTTCCCAGTGTTGATGAATAGAAGTTTAAAGTTTGATAAAGTCCTATTTACCATTTTGTTCTCTTAAGTTTAGTGTTTTATGTCTCTATGCCTGCTGAATTGGGGGTAGTTTTAGCAATATATGTTAGGTGCCTTTTGGTTAATATCTGGAATTAAAACACATTTCTTTATTAAGGCTTAAAACAACCACCCATTGCTACAAAGGCTCAGTTTTATTTTATTATTATTATTATTTTTTGAGACAGAGTTTCGCTCTTGTCTCCCAGGCTGGAGTGCAATGGTGCAATCTCAGCTCACGCAACCTCTGCCTCCTGGGTTCAAGCTATTCTCCTGCCTCAGCCTCCCAAGTAGCTGAGATTACAGGTGCCCACCACCACGCCAGGTTAATTTTTGTACTTTTAGTAGAGACAGGATTTTCCCACATTGGCCAGGCTGGTCTCGAAATCCTGACCTCAGGTGATCTGCCTGCCTCAGCCTCCCAAAGTGCTGGGATTACAAGTGTGAGCCACTGTGCCCGGCTCAAAGTTCAATTTTAGAGCCAAAAACGTTGGCTTTATCTAAAATTCCTGGGCGACAAAGGTTTTAAAAACGAAAGCTGCACTTTCAAAAATATTCAATCATTCAACATACAGGTTATACATGTCTCATATTCATATATAATCCATATGGCTAATTGTATGAGATGATCTGTATCAAATGGGTACAATATTGACAAGTATGGTGAGGTTGGGATGGGCACTAAGTGATGGGGAGTCAACCTTAGTTTTTAAAACTCTCCAGAAGGAAATTCTACAACATTCTTTTGAATTTTTTCCATGTTGCTTAGTTTTATAGTCAGACAGCTGTTCCCTATGTTTAACTAAAATATTTCTTTTGTAATTTAATATATTATCTTGGTCTATCCTAAGTGGAACTAGAAAAATGAAAAAAAAAAAAAAAAAAAAAAAGGGCCTCCTCATCGTTTAGGCAAGTCTTTATCCTATGAAAACTGCCTTTTCAAAACAATTGTTCATTTTTCATTCCTCCTTTCTTCCCCTTTTCAACTATTTTACCTAATTTATTTTTTATGGAGTTCAAGTTAGGATGTCACATTCAAATACTGTCCTAAAACTGGGAGGAGGGGGCTATTATACATCCCTGTTATACTAGATAATAGACAATCAGGGTTAGAAAAACACCACCACCACCACCTTAGAAACAAGCTGACTCAAATCATCTTGCAATCCTGAATCCTTTTTATAACCCAACTGAGTAGCTTCTCTCCAGTCAAAAGGACTTATTTCAAATATGGCTGCCCATTCTTTTTGTGGAGAGATCTAGGAAGTTTCACTTTCTGTTAAACTTAAACCTGCCTTCTTGTAATGTTTACAATTAAACACTGTAATGGTAATGAAATGGATGTCGCATTCAAACGTATTTACCTCTTGTAATGGTGCAGCGATGGGTGGAGCTTGGTGTAACTGGCAGCACTGCTCATGGGGTAACACCGACTCAGCCCACACAAAGCTCCACCTGCCACGGCACCATTTTGCGGCTGCCTGTGGGTGTTACCTTGGGGTTGGCTATTTAGGCTAATACTTGTATTTTCAATACTCCTGTGCCTCTCAATTTTCACAAGAGGATTAAAATCTTAATCCTAGTTTACTGATTTAAGTTTTTAAAAACTTTTTATTTTAAAATAATTTCAAAAGAACATCTTATACCAGAAAGTAAGGAAGTTTTCCAAGAGTAGTGGGCATATATTAGAAGGATGCGGGAAACATCTTGGAGAATTTGAGCATTGAAATAAATGATTATAAAATATTATAACTCACTGAATAAAACAGAAATCTTTAAGTCTATTCTGGTATAAATTTCACCTGGATTCCTTAACTGCTAACATTTTACATTTGTCATATCATTCATTAATTAATTCTCTATCTTGATAAATATACATGTGTATACACATCTGTCTCTATCTGTATCGTTATCTGTATCTCTATCTATATCACTCTATGTATGTTTCCTGGTGTTAAATTCAGGTGATTGTTTGGCAAGAGTACCACCTGTGTTCTTCTCTGTGCCTATGATGAAGAGGCACACATTGACGTGTCCCACTACTGGAGATGCTAACCTTAATCACTTGGTTTAGATGGTATGTGTCAGATTTTTCCAATGTAAATTAACTATAAATACTTTGTGCTAATTAACTGACATACATTTTTGTGTGTTTGACGAGATACTTTCAGTCTATGCAAATAGTCTGTTCTTAGTCAACCTTCACCTGGTGTTTTCACATTCATTGATGATACCTGCCTAAATCAGTCACTACTATAATGGTGCCAAATGCAGATTCTCTAATTCCATAATTCCGTCTACATTATGCTGGCATTCAACCACAGGGTGGAGTTTTCCTTTCTCCCCCATTTACTTGTTCATTCATTCATTCATTCATTCATTCACTTCTTTATACCATCACAGACTCAAAGATTTCTATTTTATTCAATAGAATATTGATTATTTCTAGTCCAGAGATCTGAAAGAAATTTCTCCCCCTGGGTCCTCATAAAAAGTCTAATTGTAAGCAACATCTTCAGCATCCTTTCATATATATAGCCATGAGGTTCAGAGATTTCTTTTTTAAAAAAAATCTCAGCAATATCATAATGTCAAAGTTCATTTCATAGAAACCATTTTCTAGGAGACCCTAAATTAAATATTGCTGCCCAAGTACTCAGAAACCTAATGTATTATTTGATATAGGAAATAAATTTTCAAGTCTTTGGAAAGATTTAGGCAATACTCTCTCTATATTAGTTGTTATAATCTGTTACTATCTTTACTTATTTTGATGCTCGAATTCCTCAAGATTTTCCCCATGTTGTTTTGATACATCCCCACCACTCTTGGAATGCTTCCTTACTTTCTGGTATAAAACTGTTCTGGGATTATCACGTGCTTTCCCACACACAGCCCTAGACTCAGTCATTTCCCCAAAGAGCTCTGGTTCCTTCTGGTGGGAAAAGGCATCTAGACCAACATTTGAGTAGTAAGTGAGCTCTCTGTTACTGGGTGTCACTGCTTCCAGGTCCCTTCAGCAGATAAGGTTAGAAAATACATACATGCTTTGGGAAGCCAAGGTGGGTGGGTCACCTGAGGTCAGGAGCTCAAGACCAGCCTGACCAACATGGAGGAACCCTGTCTCTACTAAAAATACAAAATTAGCCGGGCATGGTGGCGCATGCCTGTAATCCGATTCAGTTACTCGGGAGGCTGAGGCAGGAGAATCACTTGAACCTGGGAGGTGGAGGTTGTGGTGAGCCAAGATCGTGCCATTGCACTTCAGCCTGGGCAACAAGAGCGAAACTCCATCTCAAAAAAAAAAAAAAAAGAAAATACATACATGTGTATATGTGTATACATACACATATACACATATATAAACACACATACACACAGAGAAATCTAAATCTATTTATCTGTTAAAAACCATGAATTCATATCAATACCTCTAAAAACAATCCAATACGATAGGATTTGTCTTTACTCTTTCTATATCTGGTACTCTTATCTCCTATAATAACAAACACACTATCCTCAATATATTAGCTCCAATATATTTACTCATTTGCTTGATCTCCTGGTATGTAACCAGTCTCTCAACCATGTGGGCCACTTTCTTGGCCCTGGCCTGCTATTTCCACTCATGCTAGCTGAATCCTCAGCCCTCGCCTCCCAAAAATGTTGGCCATGTGGGCTGGCTTCTTGGTCTCAGCATGACAAACACACCAGCTATGCTAGCAGAATCCATGGTCCTGCCAAATGCCCAGGGCATGATCCTGAGGACCAGCTCCACTACCAAATATGCCAACCATGCTGGTCAAACCCAGTGCCTTTGTCCTGCCAGTCATTTTGGCTATATCAGTTGAACACTTGGCACCAGCCTCACTGACCATGCCAGCTGATTCCTCAGCCACCATTAAGGGGAAGGGGCAGATTGACTAACTTTTTTTTCTTTTTCTTTTTCTTTTTTTGAGACAGGGTCTCGCTCTGTGGCTCAGGCTGGAGGGCAGTGGTGCTATCTTGGCTCACTGCAGCCTCAACCTGCTGGGCTCAAGTGACCCTCCCACTTCAGCCACCCAAGTAGCTAGGACCACAGGCATGCACCACCATACTTGGCTAATTTTTTTTTTCCTTTTTCGATTAACTTTTAAAGTGTATGACTCTATACTTGAACACTGAATAGCTGCATTCTGGTATCTGTCAAAGACTAGATCCTAAACATATTGCTGCTTAATGTATAAAAAAATGGTTGAGACAACTAATATTTAGAGAGTACTGCCTAAATCTTTCCAAAGACTTGAAAATTTATTCCCAATATTAAATAATATATTAGATATTTGAGTAGCAATATTTACGGTCTCCTAGAAAACGGTTTTTATGAGATGAACTTTGGCCTTATTATATTGCTGAGATGTTTCTTAAAAAAAGAAGTCTTCTGAACCTCACGGCTGTACATATGGAAGGATGCTGAAGATGTTGCTTACGATCAGATTCTTTATGAGGACCCATGAGGGAGGAATTTCTTTTTCTGTTTCTGTTTTAATATCGTGGGGTACTATAAACTGCATACTACAGACATGTCACTTAATGGTGGGGATACATTCTGAGAAATGCATCGTCAGGAGGTCTTGTTGTGGGAACATCACAGACTGACTTACACAGACCTAGGTGGTATAGCTGCTACACACCGAGGGTGTCTGGTACAGCCTATTGCTCCTAGGCTACAAACCTGTACAGCATGTGACTGTACTACGTACTGTAGGCAACTGGAACACAGTGGTATTTCTGGATCCAAACATATCTAAACATAGACAAGGTACAGTAAAAATATGGTCTTATCATCTTACGGGAGCACTGTGGAACATGGGGTCCGTCATCGACTGAAATATTGTTATGTAGCACATGACAATAATTAAATCTCTGACAATGCCTGCGAGCTCACTCCTGGCTTCACCTTATTTTTTCTCTCTTCATTTTCTCTAGATTATTAGAATTATGGGGATGGGAATGCAAGAGAACACAGTTCTTCTGGTGATTCTGAGGGCCCCACCCTCTCTGAGAGCTGCCACCCTCTTTGAGAAGTACAGCTCCAGAACCACTCACTGCATCTGGAGTACTGTGAGACTCAGATCCGAGCTTCTGCTTGCTTATTCCATCTTCTGATGTGTGCTCCCCCTTGGCCTCACATTACAACAATATTATAAATATAACTTCCAATTTTATATAATTCAAAAGAAGTAAAAAACATAACATGAACTAGATAAGAAAATTACCTTGAAGAGATAAAATAATGGCTGTTCTTCAATGTATACAAGATATTTAGAAATAATATCTTCTTGGTCATAGGGTGTCTCAAATCTGACCTGACCCAAGTTTACTCAGCTGCTGGAACTTGACAAGATTGCAGCTAGGGGTAAGGTGGCCCTGAATTCATTATTTCAACAACATACGCTTGGTAGAATCTACAGACAGGAAACCCAAAGAAACAGAAACCAAATACTTAAGCCTTCAAAAAATACCTGCAAACCAAAATATTTAAAGTGTGTAGAATTAACTACATATAGTTAGCCAAAACCAAATCTATTTAATCAGACTATCTGACTTTGGCCAGTTGGTGTAAAATCACGATACATAAAATTTCTTCAAATTAGGATACTTTGACTGCAGAACAATATTACGCCCCAAATTGGTCACCACGTTCACTTTATAACTACATGAGCCATTGCACTGGTGACAAATTGCAAAGTTGAAGTTTATTGTTGCAGGGAAATTGTGTTACACAGCACAGTGGTGAATGAATAAGAGAGCCATAGGAGGCCCATAAATGTTTCCTCACCTCATTGGAAAGCTGAACACAGTCACTTGCAGCTATGAGAAAGATCATACACCTGAGTGTGGTCTTTCCAATATCTGCACCTGTGGATATCGAACTTTCCCACTCCGTCGCATCTTTCGAAACTAAGGAATTAATGTGTAGCACATGTTCAGTACTGCCTTTTAAAATCATACACAGTGTTTATGTAAAACTCACTGTTACCCCTCTCAAAGGAAGCAGGACTCAAATCCTTGAGTTCTATGAAAAAGTTTGAAATTTTGAAAATGAAAAACGGTTCGCATTTATATACAAGGGAAAGGCGACTTGTCAAAAACGTTCTCATTGAAGTTTTCTCACAATTTTCATGGAGTTTCTTAAGAGCCACTAACGCAACTCCCTGAGTAGATGTTAGTTCTACGTGAGCTAATGTCAGTGCTGGATTCATGGAGGCACTAACAAGGCTTCCTGTCCCACAGACGGCAACAGGGCTTGGCGGTGCAACCAGCACATCTTATACATGAGGAGAAATTCTAAGCGCAGTGCAGAACCCCTGGACCTGGAATTTCAGTGATCGGCGATTCTGAAAGCTAAGTAACAGTGGTCAGATACGGGAGCATCCTAAAGTAAACAGAGAAGATGCTGAAATCTAAAACTGAACTTGAGAGGCCAGGAAGGGGGTTGGGGCGTGCTGAAGAGAGGCTGATTAGTGGGTTAAAATATAGTTAGATAGAAGTAAGACCTAGTGTTCCACAGATCAATAGGGTGACTACAGTTAATGTTAATCTGTTGTACATTGTATGAAGATTAGAAGAGAATTTCAAGGTTCCTAGCATTAAGAAAGGAAAGTATTTAGGGTGACAGATATCCCAATTATTCTTATTTATATTTACACAGCATATGAATGTATCAAATTATCCACACTCCAAAAATAAGTATTTCTATTGCGCAGCAATTTAAAAAACTCCTGAATTTAATAAAACCTTTTTCTTAGTGCTGGGTCAAGACACTTCGTACCATAATTGTGTTCCACCTTGACATTACCTCAATCTATTTCCTTTAAAGAAGGCTTCTTTAGGGCTTAGGCCCCTAAAAAAATGGTCTAAGAATCACCCTCTCTGAAAAATGTCAAGAATATGTTTTCTTCTATTATCAAATGACTAGAGGGCCTGAGTTCAGTAAGTAATAATGAACTGACAGCCTAAGTAGTATGAGACGATATATTTTAAATTTATATCACACTCAACAGTATTGTACATTGTTTATGGAAACATATATGTATTAAAACGCTAAAAATATGGACTGTAAAAATGCACACCAATTTAGGATGGTGGCTGTGCCACTGTAGTTGAAAAAAGAAAAATACAGCTGAGAAGAGATACAAAGAAGACTTTAATTATTATTAGAGGCAGGAAAAAACAAAGTGTTTTTCCTAATCTCACAGAGTCGGCACAACTCTCCTGACCCAGATTCTCCAGCAGACGCCAACCGGGTGTCCTAGAATTTAATTCTGACACTAGTTACCTGGAGACAGTGTCGGACTTCACAGATTAAGGGCTCAGTCCCACAGTATCCACCCTCCAGCTTCAGATGCCAATCACAGGTTGTGACCTGTGCTTCTGACTGACCAGCTATAAACCGGAGTTCTCAGGATCTCTTCCTCGGATTAGGTTAATTTGATAGAATGGCTTATGGGACTTGGGGAAACACTTTACTCATGTTTACCCATTTATTACAAAGGATATTTCAAAGGATAACACAAATGAACCGGCAGATGAAGAGATGCACAGGGCAAGGCACATGGAGAGGGGTGTGGAGCTTCCGTGACCTCTCTGGGCACCTCCAGCACCTCCGTGTGTTCGGCTGGCTATCTGGAACCCATCTGGACACTATCCTTTAGAGTGTTACGGAAGATTCATTAAGTAGGCATGATTAATTACATCATTGGCCACGGGCAATCAACTCAACCTGCAGCTCCCCTCCTCTCTCTAGAGGCTGGGGTGTGGGCTGGAGAGTCCCAACCATCTATCACAGGGTTGGTTCCCTTGGTAACCAGTCTCCATCCAGAGCTCCCAGCCACCAGTCATCTATTAGCATTAAAAAAACAAACACGCATCACTCAGGGGATTCCAAGAGTTTCAGGAGCTGTGTATAAGGAACTAGGGACCGAGACCAAATGTGTATTTCTTATTATATCACAATATCATACTATATTTAGCATTAAAAAGGATCTGAAGAAGATAAGACAAAGTAATATTTGTTAATTCTGGGTATAAAGGTAATGTTATATTAATCTCCATATTTTTCCAAATGTTTGAAATATTTCATTAAAATTAATTTGATACAATCACACACAATAAAGAAAAAAGCCTGGGGACAAAAATAGAAATTATATATAATGTAAAAAATGGTAAGAGAAGGTTTTCACAGAGGAAACTTTCTTCTGGAATCCTCTGCAAATAATTTTTTGTGACTCCTAAAATATGCATGTTTAAGATTGCTTTCTTCAATCACAACATGGACACAGAATGACAGGGAGCTTGACATCAAGAAAGCCCGGAAGTGAGAAGACATAAGGCCAAATTTTCCATGCTCAACATTTTAGAACAAGGGAAAAGCTGTGTGCTTCTGGGGGTAGGGCAGCAACCTTCATGGCCTCTATTCCTAGGCTAGAGAATTGGTACAAAATCTACCCTACCTCTTGTGCTGACATTAGGCAAAAGCAAACTGTTGCCAGGAAGGAGACAGGGAGTCCAGTAGGACCCCAAATTATGAATGGATTCAAACTAGAAGTCTGCTGCTACTGGGGAAGGGGTAGGAAATCAGCCGACAGTCTAGACCTGTGCTGAGTAGGGGGGAGATGTTGTCTGTCACTGGGGGTGGGACAGAAGTACCAAGACCAAGACTGGAGCAGGAAAATGAAGAAGCCACTCCTGCCCGACCCTGAGTCTTCACTGAGTAACAAGAACAGTCTACTGCTTAGAGAAGAACAAGAGCATGGAGAGAGGCCCTCTGCGGTGCAGGCATGAAGGACATGCTGAAAGCTGAGAGAGAAGCATGAAACAGAAACATCGGCACCACAGAGCTCACATTAAACGTATGAAAGTGGCAATCCACCACTGAAAAGCTCAAGGCCTGTGGCACCATGAAGGTAACTAGAGTGGAAAGAAGCCCAAACCCAGCTCAATTAGTGAGTTATTTGATTCAGTCCCCAATGCTAATGGCCTGACAGAAGAAGAGGAAAGTATATTTCCAGACATAAGTTTTATTTACCTTGGTTTCCACTGTTCTTTTTACTTAGACTATTTAACATTTAATAAAAAATTATGACACACACACAAAAAGAAAGTGAACTTAAGTATAGATCAATATAAATTATCCAAACTAATAACAGAAAACTTCAAGTATAATAAGAAAATATAGAAAACAAAACAAAACAGAAATCCAAGAGATATGGGACAATATCAAATGATCTAACAAATACATAATGGTAGTTACAAAGGAGAAGAGAGAAGTGGGCAGAAGATATATCTGAAGAGATAATGGCCAAGAATTTTCCAAAATTAATGAAAGACAACAAAACACAGATCCAGAGCAGGGGCTCAGAGAATTCCAAACAAGATAGATATACAGAAAAACACAACTAGGTACATTATCATCAAATGGTTGAAAACTAAAGATAAAGAGAATATTTTGAAAGCCTCAGGAGAAAAAAGAACATGGTATATCAACCAACCAACCAACCCACTCACCCCAAAACAAAGCTACATGAATATAGCAGACCTCAACAGAAACTATACAAGCCAAAAGAAAATGGAACCACATCTTAAAAGTATTAAAAGAAAGAGGAAAAAAAAAATCCCTGTCAACCAAGAAATCTGTGCCCAGAGAACATCTCAAAAACAAGGTGTACAGTTTTCTAGGGCTGCCATAACAAAATACCAGTCTGGGTGGCTTAAACAACAGAAGTTAATTTTCTCACAGTTCTGGAAGCCAGAAATCCAACATCAAAGTATTAGCAGGTTTCATTTCTTCTGAGGCCTCTCTCTCCTTGGCTTACAGATGGCCACCTTCTTGCTTTGCCCTTATGTGGTATTTTCCTGTGTGTGTGTACCCTGGTGTGTCTCTTAAAAGGATATCAGTTACAATGGATTAGGGTTCACCCTAATGGCCTCATTTTAACTTAATTATCTCTTTAAAGGTCTTATCTCTAAATATAGTCGTCACACTTTGAGGTACTGAGGGTTAAGACTTCAACATAGGAATTTTGGGAGGGGGGACACAATTCTGGCCATAACGGAAGTTGATAAAAATACACTCCCTCATACAAATAAAACATAGAATTAATTACCAGCAGATGTGTACTACAAGACATTTAAAAGGAAGTTCTTTTTTAAAATTTATTTTTAATTTATTTTTAATTTTCTGAGACAGGGTCTCATTCTGCAGCCCAGGTTGGAGTGCAGTGGCGTGATCATAGCTCACTGCAATCTTGAACTGCTGAGCTAAAGTGATCCTCCCACCTGGGCCTCCCGAGTAGGTGGGACTGCAGGCACACACCACTGTATCCAGCTAAATTTTTTAAATTTAAATTTAAATTTTTGTAGAGATAAGGGCTTCACCGTTGTCCAGGCTAGTCTTGAACTCCTGGCCTCAAGCAATCCTCCTGCTTTGGCCTCCAAAAGTGCTGGGATTACAGGCATGAGCCACTGCTCTCAGCCTCAGTAAGTTCTTTAGAGAGAAGGAATATGATGACAGATGGAAATTCAGACATACACAGATAAAAAACAAAGATTTTTGAAAATGGTAAACATATGAGAAAAATATTATTTTATAATCTTAATCTCTATAAAATATAAATGATTAAAATAGACAAATGGGACTTCCTGAAAATAAAAAAATGTGTGCATCGAAAGACACTATTACCACAGTAACAGTGAGAAGATAACCACAGAACGGGAGAAAATATTTGCAAATCGTATATCTGATTAGGGATAACTATCTAACTATGTAGAGAACTTCTAAAACTCAGTAACAACAACAACAGAAAACCTGATTTAAAAATAGGCTGAGAACTTGAATAGATATTTCTCCAAAGAAAAAACAGAAATGGCCAATAAGCACATGAAGAGATGCTCAACATCATGAATCATTAGGGAAATGCAAATCAAAACTATGTGATGCCACCTTACACCCATTAGGGTGGCTACTATTTAAAAAACACACGAAAGACTACAAAATAACAAGTGTTGGCCGGGATATGGAGAAACTGGAACGCTTGTGTACCGCTGGTGGGAATGTCAGTTGGTACAGCCGCTGTGGAAAACAGTACGGTGGTTCCTCAAAAAATTGAAAATAGGGTTAACTCATAGTCCAGCAATTTCTCTTCTTTTGATTTTATACCAAAAGAACGGAAAGCACAGTCTCGAAAAGGTATTTATACACCCGTGTTCACGGTAGCACTATTCATGAGAGCTAAAATGTGGAAGCAACCCGAGTGTTCATCAATGGAGGAATGAATAAGGAAAATGTGGTATATAAAACAGTAGCCTTAAAAAGGAACGAAATTCTGACACAGCATTTCCTTAAACAAGGTGCAACACAGACGAACCTTGCTACATGAAATACGTCAGTCACAAAACGACAAATACTGCCTGATTCCATTTATACGAAACCCTTACAGGAGTAAAATCAGAAGGCAGATGGAATATGGGGCAAGGGAGAATGGGGAGTTACTGTTTAACAGGTATGGCGTTTCAGTTCTGCAAGATGAAAAGAGCTACAGAGATAGATGGTGGTGATAGTTTACGTTATGAATATAACACTGAACTGTGCACGTAAAAATTTTTAAGATGGTAAAATTTATGTTGTGTATGTTTTAGCACAATAAACAATAAAAAAAGATAACTGATTTAAAGCAAAAACAGTAACAATGTACTATGGCTTTTATAATATATGGAGGAATAAAATGTATGCCAATGATAGCATAAAGTTTGAGACAAAGGAAATAGAAGTATACTATTGGCAGATTCCAATACTATACCTGAAGTGGTATACTATATTTTCAAAATTTGACTATGATAAGGTAAAACTGTACACTGTAAACCACAGAGTAATCACTTAAAAGGGGTGGGGAGTTGAGCTTTAAGCCACTAGTGGAAATAAAATAAAATAACAAAAAAAAATTACTTTAAAAGAAAACAAAAACAGAGGAAAAAAATAGATGAAACAAATAAATATAAAGATGATAGGTTTAACTTTACTGTGTCAATAATTATATCAGGTGCAAATATTCTAAACACTTCAATCAGAAGACAATTACTGATTTGATATATGTTCTCTACAAGAAACCCACCTTAAATAGAAAGACATAGTGTGTCAGCCCATTCTCACGCTGCTATGAAGAAATACCCGAGACTGGGTAATTATTAAAGAGGTTTAATTGACTCACACTTCTGCATGGCTGGGGAGGCCTCAGGAAACTTACAATCATGGTGGCAGGAGACAGAAGTGCCAGGCAAAGGCGGAAAGGACCCTTATAAAGCCATCAAATCTCATGAGAAGCCACCCACTATCATGAGAACAGCATGGTGGGTAACAACCTCCATGATTCTATTACCTCCCACTGGGTGCCTCCCATGACACGTGGGGATGATGGGAACTACAATTTAAGATGAGATTTGGGTGGGGACACAGCCAAACCATACCATTCTGCCCCGGCCCCTCCCAAATCTCATGTCCTCACATTTCAAAACACAATCATGCCTTCCCAACAGGCCCCCAGCATTAACCCAAAAGTCCAAGTCCAAAGTCTCATATAAGGCGAGGCAAGTCCCTTCTGCCTATAAGCCTGTAAAATCAAAAGCAAGTTAGTTACTTCCTAGATACAATGAGGGTACAGGCATTGGGTAAATACACCTACTCCAAATGGGAGAAATTGGCCAAAACGAAGAGACTACAGGCCCCAGGCAAGTCTGAAATCCAATAGGGCAGTCATTAAACCTTAAAGTTCCAGAATGATCTCCTTTAACTCCACGTCTCACATCCAGGTCACGCTGATGCAAGAGGTGGGCTCTCAGGGCCGTGGGCAGCTCTGCCCCTGTGGCTCTGCAGGGCACAGGCCCCTTCCAGCTGCTTTCATGGGCTGACAACTGAGTGCCTACAGCTTTTCCCGGCGCAAGGTGCAAACCAGCGGTGGATCTACTGTTCTGGGGTCTGGAGGATGGTGGCCTTCTTCTCAGAGCTCCACTAGGCAGTGCCCCAGTGGGGACTGTGTAGGGGCTCTGACCCTGCATTTCCCTTCTGCACTGCCCTAGCATTGAAAAAGACAAAGTTCTTGTCCTGTCCTCATGGCGGTGGTGTTGGTGGCAGCATGGTGGCAGTGAAATGCATTGGAGATATGAGGTGAAAAATGCAAATGTCAGGAGCAGAAGGCTCTGCATCACAAAAACAAAACTACAAAACTATAAACAAAACACGCACACAAAATAAACCAATATGCATATTTGGCAGTGACTCACATCTTCTGTTTCTTGGCCGTTAAAGCTGAAGTCAAACTCTGATCACAATACTTTCATAGGCAAGTCATTTTGTATTGTTAGACAGCCTACATTACTTCCTTAAATTCTTACTTGGGGTAAGGAAGCACGAAATGGGTTGGTTTCTCCACCAACCTTTAGAAGCTATGAAGAAGCTTATAGTAGGGGTTGTTAGTTACTGTATTCCTCTGTAGATGACCCAGGTCTCTCGTTTCGCAGGGACTGTTGGGGAGAATACAATTTCACACACCTCAAACAGTAACTTCAGTAACTGAAGTACATTCTCAATTAAAGGGAAACATGACAATATTAACGGAAGTCATGTGTGTGAGCACAATTGTTTGGATGAGTGCAGTAGCTTGACTGTAACACAATCTGCAATGGGAAGTCTATTAATCAGGTTTCATTCACTCAAAACTTGCTGAAAAATCAGTTTGAAATTTTCTATCTTGGTATCACTCTGAAGATTTTTTTTTCCCCTTGGTAAGACTGAGTTAAGTCCATCTAGGCATATTGAAAATACAGGACTGAGCAAAAATATCTTTTCCATTTCAAAGACAAGCTGGGCAGGCATGGTCACTCATTCCTGTAATCCTAGCACTTTGGGAGGCCAAGGCAGGCCGTCTGCCTGAGCTCAGGAGTTCGAGACCAGACTGGGCAACATGGTGAAACCCCATCTCTACTAAAATACAAAAAATCAGCTGGGCACGGTGGCGCGCGCCTGTAGTTCCAACTGTTCGGGAGGCTGAGGCACGAGAATTGCTTGAACCTGAGAGGTGGAGCTTGCAGTGAGCTGAGATCGTGCCACTGCACTCCAGCCTGGGTGACAGAGCGAGACTCTGTCTCCAAAACAAAAACAAAAACAAAAACAAAAACAAAAACAAAACAAAGACAAACTGTTTTACAAAGGAATAATTTAATGCCAGTTAAACTTTAATACATTAATAAGCACTGGGTTTTTTTTTTTTTGTTGTTGTTGTTGCTGTTTGTTTGTTTTTGAGACGGGGTCTCACTCTGCCACCCAGGCTGGAGTACAGTGGCACGATCTCAGCTCATTGTAGCCACGACTGCCCGGGATCAAGCCATCCTCCCACCTTAACTACCTGAGCAGCTGGGACTACAGGCGTGTGACACCATGTCTGGATAATTTTAATTATTTTTAAAGACGAGGTCTCTCTATGTTGCCCAGGCTGGTTTTGAACTCCTGGGCTCAAGGGATTCTCCCACCTCAGCCTCCCAAAATGCCGGGATTACAGGTGGGAGCCACTGTGCCCAGTAGCACTGCTTTTAAGAAGCATCGTTTTTCTGCAAAATTCTGAAGCAAAAGTCTCTAAAATGAATAGCCATGTGCCTTGTTTCCAATGGGCTTTTGGTTGCACTGTAGTTGTGTATGTATTTATTTCCATTACATTTTTAGTATATGGTTATCAATATCAAAAAGAGCTATTAGGAATTGAATTTAATACTGTCCTTTTTTTTTTTTTCGTTTTAGAGACAGGGTCTCACTTTGTCACCACCCAGGCTGGAGCACAGTGGCACAATCATAGCTTACTGTAACCTTGAACTCCTGGGCTCAAGCAATCCTCCTGCCTCAGCCTCCTGAGTAGCTGGGACTACAGGTGTGAGCCACAGCACCTCGCTGAATTTAATACTGTTCGTTACATTTTTTTCCTCTTTCAAGAAAGAAAGAGATTAAAATTCCTATGTCAACACGCTAAATTTGAGAAGTTGGCCTTGTCTTCACACATCAAATAAATGATGGGTAACTAGTTAGGCTGTGAAATATGTCCGTGTATTATTAGGCAACATCCACATCACGGGAAAGTAAGTACAGCTCTAAGGCTCACCAGTTTGCATTTCTTGACTTGCGGGTTTTCACTGTCATCTTTAATATCACACCACAGGAAGTTCTGTATTAAATACAATTTACCTTCACACACGAGTAAACAAACAATATTTAAGAAATAGAAAGTATTTAGCTAGAAATAGTAAGTAGCTTCAAAGTTCTGATGAAGAGTTTTAGTAAGTTTACACCACCTGTGCCTTTCTTTAGCCTTCTGTTGGTATGATTGAATCTATAGGGGGTAAGGAATATCACTGACTTCTATCAGTAAACTAGGAGCAAAAGGAGCTTTAAGTTAATATTTCAAAAACTGACCTATTTTTCTCTTTTTCTGTTTCTATGTCTCAATGTTTATTCACTTTTTCTTTCCTTCACTTTCCATGTCTGTACTGTATGCCTGTTCTCATCCTGTCTTCTGTTTCTTTTATTCCTGATTTTTTGTCTCCAGGCTAGCCTTACCCTGTCTTTTACTGCATTAAAAATCACAACATGTAAAAAAGAGAATCACTGGATTTTTACAAGTGACAGTAAACAGAAAATGTCGTCTAGGGAGTACTATAGATGGAATGTTTACCCTCCTCCCCTCAATTCATATGGTGAAATCCCAACCCCCAACGTGATGGTATTAGGAGGTGGGCCTTTGGGAGGTGATTAGGTCATGAGGTCAGCAGCATGCGACAGGACACAAGGAACCAGAAACCAACCATGCTGGGGCCCTGATCTGGGACTTCCAGCCTCCAGAACAGAAAGCAATAAATGTCTGCTGCTTATAAGCCACCCTGTCTGTGTTACTTTGTTTTAGCTACCTGAATGGTCTAAGACATGGGATTAACCTAAACTACTCAGACTTTCCTTCAGTGGCTACCGCTTCATGGAATAACCGATGGCAATGTTAACAGATCGTCCTTAGCCTTCTCCCTTATAAATCAGCCCTTTCGGATACTTGAGTAAGTTACACTGAGCCAAGAATCGTACTTCCTTCAAAAGGTAATTCCAAATATCTGTTCAAGACTATTCATTGCCAAGAAACTTGAATCGAAGAGGAAAATGGTGGTTACCAGGGGCTGGAAAGATGTTGCTGAAAGTTACAAAATATCAACTAGACAGGAGGATTACCTTCAGGAGATCTAGCGTACAACTGGCCGGGCGCGGTGAATCACGCCTGTAATCCCAGCACCTTGGGAGGCCAAGGTGGGAGGATCACTTGAGGTCAGGAGTTCGAGACCAGCCTCGCCAGCTTGGTGAAACCCCATCTCTACTGAAAACACAAAAAACTAGCCGGGCATGTTGGCACGCGCCTGTAGTCCCAGCTACCCGGAAGGCTGAGGCAGGAGAATGGCTTGAACCTGGGAGGTGGAAGTTGCAGTGAGCTGAGATCATACCATTGCACTCCAGCCTGGGCAACAGAGCAAGACTTCATCTCAAAAAAAAAAAAAAAAAAAAAAAAATCTACTGTACAACATGCTGACTATACTTAATAATAATGTATTGCTGAGAGTAGATTTTAAAGTGTTTTCACCACACACACACAAAAATGGAAAGTATGTGAGGGAATGTATATGTTAGCTCTATTTAGCCATTCCACAATGTATACATATTTCAAAATTACATGTTGTACATGAGAAACATACATTTTTAATTGGTGAATTAAAAAAATAAAACAGTAAAAAATCAATTAAAAATCAGTTTAAAAATTATATCTGGAAACCCCTCCCCACCCCCCAAATCTTGAATCTAAACATGGAATTCCCCAAGGTAGCTCCCACTGCATGAACCTACACAGCAACGGGATTCCCCAAGGTAGCCCCCACTGCATCAACTACACGGCAACTGGATTCCCCAAGGTAGCCCCCACTGCATCAACCTACACAGCAACTGGATTTTCACAGGCTCTTTTCAAAGTTTGAGTGAGAGGCTCACCTGCCCCCGGGTCATCTTCTGCAGCTCATTCTCCCAAGCCGCCTGGTCATCGTCCAAGTTATAGGAAGCTGGTGGAGTGAGTCCACGGAGGATCAGGGGGTCTCGGTCATGGCAGAGGGTTGTCAGGTGTCCAATGTACAACTTTAATTTACTTCTATTTTGGTCAAGTTCTAAGAGGGGCTGGATGATCTAAGGCAAAAAAATAAAATAAAATAAAATAAAATGAGGAAAGTCAAGGTCAGTCTGAAATGAGAGGTTCAAATATTCTTTATGCTTTCCAAGTCAAAGAAAATTGACCAAAGACTAAAGCTCTTCTAATCACTACTGAAATCTTCAGGATTACAGAAACATTTTCACATACTGTCACACATTTACGCTGTCACACGCAGCCGCCCTTCTGGGAGACAGGAAGAGAACGCTGGCTTCATATATTCACACCAGACGGACAGCTCTGTATCGAGGCAGGAATTAAGCACAGGACTAACTTGTTTTTACAGAGATGCTATTCCTGATACAGAAAGACTCCAGTTACCTCACAGTTTCTCTTTTCACTTATTTATGAGTAGATTACAAAAAACTGCTAGTGAAACTGCTCATCTGAAAGCCTGGACTACATATACTCCAAGTGTTCCTCCACCTCCTAGAATGGAAGAAAAATTCTGCCTCTGGAGAAAGTGCATGTTTTTCTTGGCCAAGAGATGTGATGAGGGAACTCATTACGAATTCTGTCTCATCCTGGCTTATGCTCTTCTCATTTATTTCACAGAGGTTATCCGATATTCTTCTGAACCAGTGACTGATAAATCCCTATATAACACCAAACACCTGACTCACAGCCAAGGACTCTGAAATTCTTAGTTGTAACATTGGTTCTGTGTTTTTCTTAAGTAACAGACTTGCTCTACGTTTTTTCTTTTCTCATTCCTTTCCCCTGCTTGAACAGCTACTCCTTTGATTCCTTCTGGAAGCACACTAAATGACTGATGACTCCTGCCCCAGGATTTCATTTGGCAGCTCTCGTGACAATAGTCTGGCCAGGTATTTGGTAGCTGGTCAAAGCCTGGAGTGCTGAGGAAGAGAGTGGGGCCAGACCTCACCATCACAGAACACTGAAGCATTAGAGCAGCCCCTGCTTGACACACAGCAGCTGTGAGCACTGCGAAGCACCGCCAAAACGCTGGCAGATCTCAGTGTGTTCCCAGGGCTCACACAGCAGGTCTGCACCTGTTGCATGTCACCGGCCTGGCAATTTTCATGAACAGGACACCTCTGGCCTAACTAATGAATTGGGAGCTCAATAATCTTCAAGTCAACAGAAGCAAGGCCTGGTATTACTTTCCACAGTAACACTGATTCCTCCTTGGACCCCCTCAGAGGACTGCTCCTGCCACGTTCCTTTATTTCTTTTTCAACAAGAGTTTTTTTAAGAAATAAAGTTTTATGTTTTTATTATGAAAACAATATATATTTTACTCCAAAAAATTGGGGGAAAAAAGAAAAATATAAAGGAAATAAGACTTTTGCATACACTTCCATCAAGAAGTAATTATTTGGCCGGGTGTGGTGGCTCACGCCTGTAATACCAGCACTTTGGGAGGCTGAGGAGGGCAGATCATGAGATCAGGAGATCGAGACCATCCTGGCTAACATGGTGAAACCCCGTTTCCACTAAAAATACAAAAAATTAACTGGGCGGGTGCCTGTAGTCCCAGCTACTCGGGAGGCAGAGGCAGGAGAATGGTGTGAACCCGGGAGGTGGAGCTTGCAGTGAGCCGAGATCACACCACTGCACTCCAGCCTGAGCGATAGAGCGAGACTGTCTCAAAAAAATAAAAAAAAATAAAAAAGAAGTAATCATTTGTAACATTTTGGAAATTTTCCTGCCAAGTCTTTTAATAAATTTATATAAATCAGCTTCTAACAGTATCACACCTCACATTTTGCTTGATACATTATCTATTTAACATTATATTGTCAGTACTGTTCACTACATTATATATGACCGAAACTATGTTTTTCATGGCTGCATAATACATATAGCACATTTCCTTTGTTTCTAATACTATTTCCAGGAAATAATTAAAAGAGAATAAAGAGCAAGGGCTTAGTGGCTAAAACAATCTTCAGCTTGCTAAAAAGATCAGAGTTCAGTTTAGGCCTATACAGTATATTACACAGAAGCTGGAGCCTGGCTAGACAAACCAGAGAAAATTAATCAATTTAGCATTACTTTTGTTTTTAAAATTCTCTCTCTCTCTCTAAGGATAAACGATAAACACCAAAGTTCTGCTGTGGAAGGCTGCTGGGCTCTGTAAGAGACTCCTAATCAGCAGGTTTACGGTACCAGTTCTGGGCTGGAATTTCCTACCTATGACAGGCATGTCAACACAGCCAGTCACAGAAGGAAGACAGTGTTTCAATCAAGTAGAGAATTTAGAGTGGGGGAGCTGGATAGTTTTTTGCAAACAATACCAACTTTTCAAAAATATTGTATTTTATTTCTGGGCATACATGTATACTTGTGGTCGGGCATGGTGGATCATGCCTGTAAACTCAGCACTTTGGGAGGCCAAGGTGGGCAGATGACGTGAGGTCAGGATTTTGAGAGCAGCCTGGCCAACATGGTGAAACCCTGTCTCTACTAAAAATACAAAAATTAGTCGGGCATGGTGGCGTGCGCCTGTAATCCCAGCTATGTGGGAGGCTGAGGCCGGAGAATCGCTTGAACCCGGGAAGCGGAGGCTGCAGTGAGCAGAGATCACACCACTGCACTCCAGCCAGGGCGACAGAGTGAGACTCTGTCTCAAAACAACAACAACAACAAAAAGTATACTCATTGTGGAAAATTTACAAAGGATTCCAGGTGCAGTCTTCAAAGGTAAAATTACTTTAAATGCAAGCACACTCTGTGCGCCAATGACGAAACCGTCTCATCACGGTTCTGTTACTACACCCCCATGATGCCAAGTAACATATCCCTATTTCATTCCTCATTTTTTAAAAGCTTGGTTTTCTCTATCTTCTTTCATGAATACATTGATTTAAAAAAATCACCTTTGGGATTTTCACTGGATTTGTGCAATTTATTCCCATTCTTTTGGTGCACACGCGCATGTTTGTGGGTATAGAGCTGCCATCACAAATGCCACATCTGGGCTGCAAAGGCTGAAAGAGCTGCTTATCTTAGGTAATTACTTTTGACTGACAAAACTGGCAGAAAAAAGTATGACCACGAAGAAAGGGGGCAATGTGATAAATGGTCATATTGAGAAGGTCAAATTCCTTATAGTAAAACAGAATTTAAAAAGATATTATTAGCTCACTCCTACAACCACTATGACTGCGGATGCTGACTTTTTAGATCCTTATTCTTAATAAACAATCAATTTCAGCCGGGCACGGTGGCTCATGCCTGTAATCCCAGCACTTTGGGAGGCTGAGGCGGGTAGATCACTTAAGGTCAGGAGTTCGAGACCAGCCTGGCCAATACGGTGAAACCCCATCTCTACTAAAAAAATACAAAAATCAGCCAGGCATGGTGGCGCATGCCTGTAATCCCAGCTACTTGGGAGGCTGGGGCAGGAGAATTGCTTGAACCTGAAAAGGGGAGGTTGCAGTGAGCCGAGATCGCACCATTGCACTCCAGGCTGGGCATTGCAGCAAGATCTGTCTCAAAAAAAAAAAAAATTTTCAAACAGATTTAAATGCATTTTATGCTGATGGCTAATTGATTAAATAAACATGATGGCATCTGGTATTCTGAAAAATTTCAGAGTCCAATCGAAAACTTAAAAAATAAGGCTGAGGTCAGGTGTGGTGGCTCATGCCTGTAATTCCAGCACTTTGGGAGGGCAAGGTGGGTGGATCACTTGGGGACAGGAGTTCGAGAGCAGTCTGGCCAACACAGTGAAACCTTGTCTCTACTAAAAATATGAAAAGTAGCTGGGTGTGGTGCGCACCTGTAGTCTCAGCTACTCAGTAGGCTGAGGCATTAAGAATTGCTTGAACCTGGGAGGTGGAGGTTGCAGTGAGCTGAGATCACACCACTGCACTCCAGCCTGGGCGACAGAGTGAGACTCCATCACACACACACACACACACACACACACACACACACACACACACACACACACACACACACACACACACAAAAGGCTGAGGCAGGGGGATTGCTTAAGGCCAGGAGTTTGAGACCAGCCTGAGCAACATAGCAAGACTCTGTCTCTATTAAAAAAAAAAAAAAAAGGCCGGGCGCGGTGGCTCACACCTGTAATCGCAGCACTTTGGGAGGCCAAGGAGGGCAGATCACGAGGTCAGGAGATCGAGACCATCCTGGCTAACACGGTGAAACCCCGTCTCTACTAAAAATACAAAAAAAATTAGCCGGGCGTGGTGGCGGGCGTCTGTAGTCCCAGCTACTCGGGAGGCTGAGGCAGGAGAATGGCGTGAACCCAGGAGGCGGAGCTTGCAGTGAGCCGAGATGGCACCACTGCACTCCAGCCTGGGCGACAGAGCAAGACTCTGTCTCAAGGAAAAAAAAAAAAAAAAAAAGAGAAAGAAAGAAAACTTAAAAAAGAATGAAATTCTAAATTGTTTATCCGGGATAAAAACTCATTTTACAAAGAAAAGATAAATGTTTGAAGTGATGGATTACTCTGATTTGATCATTTACATTGTATAGAGGTATCAAAATACCACAAATACTCCCAAAATATGTATCATTGTGAAAGCATATGAAACTGCCCAACTAGTATAGTCCCCAAATCTATCTGTAAAAAAACTACTTAAGCCTCTCGGAACACATGAACCATGTCAATCATGTGGGAAATGCCCTTATCTCTTCCCTTTTCTCCCTATCTAATTTGAGCAGTCCACTTAGAAAAGAAACTGTGTTTCCCACAAGGTAGAACTGCCACTGCCTAATCTCAAGAGGGAAGAGGGACATTTGCCAAGTAGAAAGAGAATGCCTTACAGGACCCGTAAGTTATAACTTTTTTCCACATGCGACCTCAATACATTGGCAAGGGGTCCTACTAAAAATCATCAGATATGTGGTCAGGCCAAATTGGTTGTACAGCTATAATGAACTGTACTTAAATATACTTTTCTGCACTAGGAAAAAAGAAGTTAAAAAATGAACTCGTCATGATATTTGCTTGTACCAAATATGATGCCAAAACGTCATTATGGCCCCAATGCTACATTTACAAAATTGTTGAGGAAATTTAAATTATAAAAAGGGATGAGACATTTTTGGTTAAGTACTAAGAGCTTTGTTTCTTCTTGTAAGAATTTATTTGTTTATGTATTAGATTCTCAAACAGGCTTCAGAGGCCAGCATTTCATGGCATAGTGACAAGACCAGTAATCTTCCAAAGGTGTTTGTTTTAACCTAGTTTCCACTTCAGTGAGGTTGGATAACTGATGGTCTTTAGGAAGACAGGTAAGTTGTTCCTGTATCATTCAATACAAATAGTAACAGAAGATTCTACAGCATTCCACTTCTGCAACTCACTCATCTATGAGATCCAAACACACTTTCTTGGGCCATGTGACTTCAATACCTGGAAGAAATGTGCAGAGTGAAGCGTCTGTCCAGTAGGCTCTTCTCTTCCCACTCTACTGCCTCTGTGCCAGATAGTTACTCTAAGAACCATTCCGAGAGGCATAACACAGCCTCCTCATAAAGCCTAGATGAACAGGTACTGAATATTATTTGGGGCTTAAGGTATTTTCTCATGGGGTACTAATCTTTTGTCCGTTGAAAGATGTCATTTTTTATATATATATATATATTTTTTTTTAAATTGAGACAAGGTCTCGCTTTGTCACCCAGACTGGAGTGCAGTGATGCAATCACAGCTCACTGAAGCCTCAGCCACCTGGGCTCAGCGATTCTCCTACCTTAGCCCCCAAAGTAGCTGGGACTATAGGCATGCACCACCATACCCGGCTAATTTTTTAAATTTATTGTAGAGAAAGGGTCTCACAATATTGCCTAGGCTGGTCTTTAACTCCTGGGCTCATGTGATCCTCCTGTCTCAGCTTCCCAAAGTGCTAGGATAACAGGCCTGAGCCACTGCACCCAGCCCGAAAGATGCCATTTTTTTAAAGCTAACATTTATTGATGACTTATTGTCTTCCTGGCAAATTATTTTTATATCTACTACGATTCTTCTGTGGCTAGCTCAGAGCCCTGAAGTGGCTACAAAATCTTTTTGTTCTTTTTACCTGCTGAAGTCTTCAGAGGCAGGTTCAACTGTCCATATATTAACTGCATAAATGTTAGTGGTAGTTTTGATTTCTTATTGGACTGTCATTGTACTGCTGTCTCTCAACATAGACTACATTAAGAAAATCCCAGAATAACAGATTAACTTTCCATAAATATTATCATCTTAGAATGGCATTCTTATCCAGAGGCCCCAGCGGAGAGCTAAACTCTGAAAAGTAAAAGATGCGAGAAAATAAAATTCATTAATTCTGCCTCAAAGTCTTTACCCTCAATAACTAAGATATCTTCTTAGTCAATAATGTACTTCAGGGTCAGGAAAATGAAGGATAGTGTGTCAAGCCTTGTCACAAAGGTTTGGAGCAATGTGTTATGTTCTTATTTAAACACAGCTATTTTGTGAAAGAATGGAGTTCACAAAATCATATAATTCAGTTACCACTAGGAGTTCAGGTCCAGGGACCACTAGTCACTGAGATGAATAAACGTTAATCAGAAATCTCACTACTAATAGAAATATCTGGTTCTAAAAGTAGAAACTCTCTCCAAAGGTTTCAGATTGAAAGGGTTTTATGGTCTGTCAAAGTGTAAATGTGCCTATGAAAACCACAAAAGACTATAGGTTTTGAAATGCAAAGAAACATGAGAATCATTTTTGAAAATAACAAATGATCATTTCTTCTTAGTTTTACAGCTCACAAATCTGTTGCCAATTTTTCTTTAAGGATGCATTACCACTCTAGCAAACAAAACAAAACAAAACATCCTTTATTTCTGGATTCAGGTATGAAGAGAAAACATTATGTCCTCAAAGCTGTAAGGAGATATGGAACAGCGTTCAGAATAAAATAAATCTTGAAATCTCAACTACAGAGCTGCTAACTGCATTCTGCCTATTCAATCTTCATTCAGTTAACATCTCTTTTACCTTATGCATTATAAAAAATGCTACTCAAACGAAATCTAAGGGAGTGCATAGGGAACAGACTGTTAGGGGCTTGCCTACTAGTAAGGGAAGGACATCTCTGGCTGAGCATATCTATGTGTCTCTCCATGTGCTACAAAAGGATGTCAAGACTGTAGGCATCTCTATACTTGCTTTAGTACTCGGAAATTTGTAAGATACATTAAAACCAGGTCATTCACCACCAGGTGGGTGAACATGTATATACAGATGAGGACAGCACATAGAAATGGGGTGAAAAGTGAAGAGAATGCTACTAGGAGGCACAGAAGCTATTATTACAGGCCAGCCAATCAAGGGTACATACAGTATGCGCCCTGAAAGGATGGCTGCTGAAAGTCGATGAGATAACCAGAATCAAGAAGTCAAGAAAGCCACTCAGAAAGCCACTTACTGCTGCACTCAGAAATTCCAGGAGCAGAAATGTGTTCCAAAATTCTTTCTTGCTGTTAAGAGTTAACAAAGACGAGAAAACACTTTGAATTCAGTTCTTGGCTTGAGGCTTGGCTCCCCACACAAATCACTCATTGTGTTTTAGTGAAAAATGGAAGAGTTAAGTATAAGTACATATATATATATATATCTGAATGGCTTCCCTACTGTACAGTACAGTTCCAGGGCTACAGATTTATGAATGAGACATTAGGGGCAAAAATCTAGGCATGTGGAAGAAACATGAGGCAAAAGAGGGAGAAGAGACAGTCATACTTTTTGAGCAGGCCAGCCCTACAAGGACTGACGCTGGATTTCAAAGGAAAAGCTAGGCGGGCAGTTGGTCACAGGGAAAAATGGTGGCTTTTAACTCCCTGCATGCCCGTGTGAACACATAAACATTGAAATTGATAACTCACACTCTCTTCTGACCCTCTGAGGCCTGGTGCCTCACGTGCTGTAACTGCTGCAGTCAAGCACGACACCACCTTTTGGCATTATCACATGTCTGCTAGACGGATGGATCTGAAAAACAACAATACGCTTGTTGCCTAGGGGGCAAAAGAGTATAATAACCTCATAATCACATTTTATCTTCTCCTTTCTCACCTATGGCATTGGGAGTGGAGGGGAAAGGCAAGCGGAGTTACCCAGGGTCAACAAAAGGGACCTCCTGACCTTGATAGCATCTCAACAAACAAGGAACAACATAATAAAGATGTGAACATGTCAAAGATGTGACCTGAACTGAAGAGGAACACATTTACCGGCTCCTTCTCAGTCCATAGGACTACAAAAAAGAGCCAAGTATGACTGTCTAGTCACTATGAGATTTGATAGTTTATCTGTACAAAGGCTCCCAAAGACAGGCCAGTCTCTGGAGGAGACTCTTCTGTGAGTGGTAGCTATTTCAAGGTCAGGATAAGAGGGCGTGCGTGCACGTGTGTGTGTGTGTGTGTGTGTGTGTCCGTCTGTCTGTACATGGAAGGGCTGGGGGAGCAGGCAGAGGCAGTTTGCAGTTAGTCACCTTATTATTTGAACTCTAGCGTCAAACCAAACACAACAGACTATGCAGATATAAGTCTACTGCTGAGTGCTCACAGCTAGGCTATAGCCACTGAGGGTCTCATCATGTGTCTAGAGCCTGTGGTAGACGTAGCTTCTCATTAGAGTGCTTAATAAGAACATGGCCTGAGAGGGTACAGGTGGCAGGGAAGAAGAGTTAGCTATTACCCGAAATCCAAGAGAAACTATAAATATATCTGTAGCTGTGTGTAAATATCAGAAATGGGCACCTTTCCATTGGAGAAAGGCAAGTCACATACAGAAATCTGATCTTTAATGCTAACATCGGAAACAGCCAGAAAACTGTTTCTCACTTCAGCAGGTGAGAAATGGTTGTGATTTGGTGTTTAAGAATGCACGGGGGCACGAAGTCCAGATGGGAGGAGAGATCTGAGCAAAATGGCCCTCAGCCAATATTTCCAGCTTAGTACAGCTTAGTTTTCTCTGAAAATAGTGGCCCAAGAACTTTGTATCACCAAGAGGATGAGGAAATGTTTCTGTATATCATAAAAGAGCACTTCAAGAATGAAAACAGTACCAGGACAGAAGGCACTAAAAGGGTGCCTCCCTAGCTTCTTCCTCTCAGTACTATAAACTAAAATAAAGCTGGTTTTTCAGGGGGACAGCAGCTAATTCCAGGAAAGCCAGGGGTATATACCTGCCTCCCCGACCCTAGCAGCTTTGGTTTGTTTCTATGTCCTATTATTCTCTTCCTTTCTTCTCCTAACTCCCCTCTCTCCTTCTGACCTGCCCACGGGAAGAATCTTTACTTCCACTCCACACACGCACTAAAAAATCTCATACATCTGAGAAGCTAAGAAGGATCCTGGCTGCTCTGACAGAGTTGTACTTCCTGGATTTATGTTTGCTATAGTCAATCAGGAAATCATATTTAAAAGGCAAATTCTTTCTGAAAATTTTATATACCATGAATAGATCCCATGGATTAACAATTTCCAGACATCAACCCTCTCACCTTGGGAGTAATCCAGACTTTGGGTGGAAAAAAAGATTTGGGAAAAACAAACATGAGGAAGACGGCTTTCTCTACCAACTTCCTTTATTTGAGAATAAAACCTCCCATGCAGTGATTGAATTATTCTCTCTCTCTCGAAACGTTAAGCCGTGTAGCACAACACAAACTCTGACGGTCATCACCACTTCAATATTCATAGTTGTGGACGCTTAAGCAAAGCTTTATTATTTGAAAATATACAATTGACTATGACGAAAGAGGCTCAGCATGGTAAACACCAGAGATACTACAAATGGTGGCTGATGTTTCAAGATTACACAACCTGGACCATGACTAGCCTAAGGATCTCCAGTCAGACGACCCTTTGGGTGTATGTAACACCCATCTCTGGAAGAAGGACCCACGTGCTCTGTTTCCCTCTGCTCCGAACACAGGATCATTAAGCAGGGACTGGAGATCAATTCTGAAGGGTAGTGGCAAAGGGGGGCAGCCCCACTGGGAAGTGGGAAATGGAATGAGCGCAAAGAACAAACCCTAGCATTTGACAGAACGGACTGATACTCATGGGGGAACAGCAGAGCGCCAGCAAGCGGCCACAGAAGGAAGTTCCAAGGGGTACATGGTGTACACATCTAGACTGAAGCACAGGTAACTACACGAGTCAATAAAGAGTAAGTAGGCTCCTAGTTTAGCTGTAAAGTGACTGATAGTAAAAAAGAGAAAGGAAAAAGTTAAGCTTATATAGAATCTTCATATATCTATTTTTTAATCTCCCAGGCTCTCATACCAGTGCCACCTTTTAGTACTCACAAAAAAGCTACTGCACAAAGGAAGCCACGTCCAGTTTTAGTGAGGAAATCCAGAGGATGGAGACCACGTTTTTGATATAATCAGAGAATCTAATATATTACGGGTGTTTAGAAAATAAGAAACAGATTAAAGAGTGAAATGATAAAATCTAACTCTAGAAATCAAGCAAAGAAAAGGGACAAGAGGAAGCAGAACATGCCTTTTCTGCACCATGTTAATCTGCTCTTGTTTGTAGCTGCTTTTCCCTGGTTCTCCTACCAGGGAGTACACCTTTTTTTTTTTTTTTTTTTTTTGAGACAGGGTCTCACTCTGTCGCCTAGGCTGGAGTGCAGTGGTGTGATCACAGCTCACTGCATTGCAGCCTCAGCCTCAGGGAGTATACTTTTGATAGCACAGACACATACTTTAACAGTAGCAATAGCTCTCTTCATGCTTTAACCAGTCTGCCCAAATATACACAACATACAATTTTGAGGAATTCTCCATACTCAGTTGCCTTGTGGGCTTCAGCAACTGTAATCTTCTTGCATGAGATGCTACTGCTGACAGGAAATAGCCTTTGCTGGACCATTCAAAGGGAGTAAAGTCTCCGCCATCTTGTTCGTTTAAGCAATAAGATCTCATGCCATTGGTCAGATACACTTCTAATTAACAAACCAGCCTCCAGCTAGCAAACCATCCACACATCATTTCCCAGATGCAGCATTTCAAGGAATACTGCAAAGCCATTCTAAGGCAGGTGTGTGTGCCTCCGACAACCTGTGAGTTCAGTGCTCTACATTCTATGTATGTGAAGGTTTTCAGCTCCCCGACTTCATTAGCGCATTCTGTCTCAATGATCATATATTTCTGTACACCAGAAGAAAGCATCAGGTTAACACGCTACTTAAAACATACACGTGCATAGAGCTATGAAATGTCTGATTGGCTGGAGCCAGGCTCCTCTGAACTAGGACTCCTACCTCTGCCATCTCTTGGAGCAATTACAACTTATACCTTCCAGGAAAGCATGCTGTGTGCCTGCATGCTTGCCCTTATCTGCTCTCACGTCAGTTACTTCCCTCAGGAAATTTTTTAATTAGCCTGGAATTAAATTAATTTAGGCGATCCTCTGCATCTTATAATCTTAACTAAGAATTGCATCTACCTAAACATTTCTTTGGCAACGGCTGCTGTGGCATCACAGCACCTTACAGTACTACACTGGATGCAGACACAGTAGTCCATCCTTTAGTACCAGGGCAGGCAATGTAGCTCCCGTGGCTATGGCCATTCAAACACCGCACAGCCAGGAGGATGCAGGCGGTTGGCTGGTGACATCACGTTAATGACTGGGTATTCAGTTTCAGAGACTGTGGTGAAAAAAGTTTTTTTTGGTTTTTGTTTTTTAACCCAGAGGCTACGCTCACTAGAGACAGATGTGTATCACTTATGTGCTATGACATCTTTGCACTGTATTGATAGTTCTGTGCCACAGAGCAGAATTACACACAGAGTGATACAGTGGTGAAGAGCATGGGCTCTGGAGACACACTGTACGGCTTGATTCCAGGGTCTGTTACATTCTAGGTAGGAGACCTGGAACAAGTTGCTTTGGTAACAGTGTATTAATGGGTTTGTGATAATCTATGTGCCTGCCACATAGTTAAGTTCTTCAATAATTATTAACTACTATTATTTCCAATAACCTGTTTTGTCATCTGTAAACTGGGAATAATTATGCCCATCCTTGTGAAGATCACGGTACATGTAAAGACAAGTTATCCTTGGTAACTACCTGACATCCTCACCCTGAGGACATTTTAATGCCACCACATGCTTGGCCTCACCAAGGCCTGTGGATGGCTAGTGAAGGCATGTAAAATGACAAGAAGCACAACAAGAACCAGATAAGCAACACAGCACTACAGTCCATGAACCAAATTCAGCTCCGCCTTCTTCGTACAGCCCATCAGCTAAAAATGGTTTTATATGAACATGAGATTTCAGTGTCTAAAGTTTGTTAGTTCATAGCCACAGTCATTCATTCACATATTGCCTATGGCTGCTTTCACACTACAACAGCAGAGGTGGATTGTTTTGGCAGGAAGTACACAGTTTGCAAAGCCTAAGTATATGCTATCCCAGCACTTTGGGAGGTCGAGGTGGGAGGACTGCTTGAGCTCAGGAGTTCGAGACCAACCTGGGCAAAACACAGAGACTCAACTCTACAAAAAGTTTAAAAAGTCAGCAGGGTAAGGTGGTGCATGCCAATAGTCCCAGTTACTCAGGAGGCTGAGGTAAGAGGACTGCTTGAGCCTGGGAAGGAGGTTGAGGCTGCAGGGAACTGCGATTGCACCACTGCACTCCCTGTCTCAAAAACAAACAAAAACCAAAAGTGTAACTATACACTATTTACTATCTGGACCATTAAAAAATGTTTGCCAATTTCCATAACAGACCAATCTCAGATAACAGGGTAAATATAATATTAAAGAGGAAATTCTTATAATTTTCCAACAGATTATTGTAAAAAGGAATAATAATTACTATCTTAAAAAATCCATTCACAATGAAAAGTACTTGTATCAAGAATAATATTAACACAAAATAAAACATTGGCTAAATGGAAAATTGGATTTGGCAATAGGCATAAAATGAAAACTGACAGTTACAGGAAGTGATAATTAGTAAAATCTATGTAAAAACTGATAAATAAAATCGTTATGCAATTTAAATATGAAAAAGTGATACTAATTAAAATGATTCCATAAGATAATTTAAAAATCTGAACATTTTCAACTACATGTATAAATTGATCAAGATACTAAGTTAACTTAGTTTCAGCTCCAGAAAACGCTCAGTTAAAAATTCCTTGATACTGATACAACCTGAATTAAATATCTGTGAATAGGTTAAATGTTTCTATTGGGTCCAATGTTTTCAAGGTTAGACAAGTCTAAAACACTAATTGGTTCAAAACAGCATCCTGTACTCATTTTGAGTACAGAATACAAAAGATGGAAGGAATTTTAGAGATATCTGCCCCTGTCCCCTGCCTAACTTTCTGAATGAAAAATTCAAAATCCTGAGGGGTGACTTGATCTGTAAAGATGACCAGCAGCTAAGTTCTCAGTCGGCATCAGCGCATCACAGCTCGTGGTTCTCCCCGGAGCGGTTATAGAACTTTCAGGCTTTATTTCATTGCTTTTCCCTGAGTAGTTCCTACGGGCAAGTTAACTTTCTGAATTATAACTGGGCATTCAGACGGTGTTCTCTATTTTCTCAACCAAGAGAGACTAGAAACCATTTGGGACATTTCCTATAAGAACCAGAGCTTCTTGATAATAAACATATTCTCACTTATAAACTCTTCTATCACTGCACCCCTTCAGCCCCTCAGCATCACTCTCCAGGACAAAGTAGCAAGCTCTGAACTGGCTGTCCTGTTTCCAGTACTCTGCCCCGTATACCTCCCTCTCCACCTGTCCAACCTCTACAGATTGCAATGGCATGCTGAGGTCTTCACGATCCACCTGCTGCTGACTGCAACCACCTAATGGCTTGTTTTTCCCTCTCTGACATCCCATAGTAATTGAAAAAATAAACCTGAGGCTGGGTGCAGTGGCTCATGCCTGTAATTCCAGCACTTTGGGAGGCCAAGGCAGGTGAATCTCTTGAGGTCAGGAGTTTGAGACTAGCCTGGCCAACATGGTGAAACCCTGTCTCTACTAAAAATACAAAAAAATTAGCCAAGTGTGGTGGTGCATGCCTGTAATCCCAGATACTCGGGAGGCTGAGGCAGGAGAATCGCTTGAACCCGGGAGGCAGAGGTTGCAGAGAGCCGAGATCAAGCCACTGCACTCCAGCCTGGGCAACAGAGCGAGACTCTGCTGCCAAAAAAAAAAAAAGCCTGAAAATTATTTAGCATTCCTCCTTTCAAAAAGTGGTGCCTAAGCCCTAATACCCCACTCAGTGTGGGATGGTCTTAGTGACTCACTTCTAAGGAACAGAATGTGGCCGAAGGGATGTTGTGTAACTTATGATTCTAGGTCATAAAAGGCATTGTGGCTTCCTTCTGGCTCTCATCTCTTGGATCACTCATTTTGGGTGAAGCTGGACTCCATGTCACCACATCCAGGAGCCCAATGGAGAGGTTCCATATGGCAAGGAACGGAAGGTTCCTTCCAATAGGTGGCACAAACTGTGGGTGAGCAATCCTGGAATTGGCTGTTCTATCCCCAGGGAAGGTTTTAGATAATTGCGGTCCCATGAGAGACCCCAAGTAAGAACTGCCCAGCTAAGACGCTGCTGAATTCCTGGCACATAGAAACCACTGAGATGAAAATCATTTATTGTTGTTTTATGCTGCCACACTTTGGGGTAATGTGTAATGCTGCAACAGATAATTGACATACACCCGAACTACTATGTATAATGAGCTGCCAAGAATATACTAAATTTGTTATGCTGCTTATGCTTCTATATCTTTGCAAATGTCCTTATCTAAAATTGTATCTGCCTGGCAAATGCCTACTGCTCCTTCAAGAGTTAGCTCAAGTGTCACCTTCTTTGTGAACCCCTAAATCTCTCTGGAGACCTGGGTTTTTCTATTGCATCTTGTATAATTTTTCTCTGTTGGAGAAAATCCATCATTTAGCAGTTGTTTCAATGTCTTGAAACATGTATTTTTTACCACGTACCTAATGCAGTGTTAGGCACATGGCAGACGTCCCAAAAATATTTTTGAATTAATCTTATTTCTCATTTCAGTTTTAAACCAAAATAATAAAAGTTTCACATCACATAGAATTATTCTACATGAACTTGAGGATTCAGATGTAAATGATAAAGGAGTGTGGAGAATGTACTTTTCAGTTAAAACATGAAATCAGAGATAAACATCCTGGTTCAATTCTTAGAAGACAAAACAATATGAGTACTAGATTTTTAAATAGTGACCCAACAACAAAATGATTATGTGACCAAATGTAAGATGTTTTCATTTGATTCTAGAATACCAACAGCAAAATCTTAATAACTTATTTCATATTCACATGAAGACACAGACAATCTAATACCTTTCTAGGCTTGCCAAATCCCTCCTCCTGCAAAAAGTTTGTGATCCTAGTCTTGAAATACAGGAAGAAACAGTGCTATGTGTTCAGTAGTGACTATCTATCAATGAAAAGAAATGAAGTTTTGCTAACAAGTGTTTTGCCTTAAAACCTGAATTTTCACCAAAAAAAAGCCATCTGTTTTGAATATTGTATAGAGCAAGCCTCTATTTGTGCTCTGCTTTGATCTCCTAGCATAATAGGAAGCCAGGGATACAGTGCAGCTACCCCTCAATCAAGTGTGCTCATTTAATTTATCCCAGAAATGCCGAGCCAGATCCAGCTGGAAACTTTAGCCTCATCATCCTAGGATCAGGAAGAAGAAGGAAGGCACATCAGGGAGAATAGCTCTTTTATTTTGGTTGATAATGCAGTTCTGTGTCTAAGAACTGCAAAACAGTTAACCCAAAACAGATAGTAATCCTGAAGAACAAATCAGCGCGGAGCTGAGGACAAGTGAATGAAAGCAGTACTGCGGGGTCCTATCGTAAAGGGTCTGCTGTTTAATATTTCAGATAAAATGTGAGTTGAACCATATCCTCCACAACGTAACTCTATGAAATCAAGATGTGATGGAATACACAAGTGTTAGGCCTGTCTTCCAAAACTGGTATTAAAAAAAGGTCAAGTCGTAGGCTAACTGAGGGGGGTGAGTAACGAACTTCATGATATAACATTCTAGAAGGCACACTAGGTATTTACTGGAGCTAAGATCAGCCTGGGACACTAATACACATGAACGGAACCCAATTATAGGATAACCTATTAGGGTGCAGGGAGAAACCAAAAGATTAAAAATAGCTACTACACTGCAGAAAACTGTAAATAACATACATGCAACTTTTCTTTAGGGTAAAACTCATCCACGTTTTATTTAAATAAATATTTGTTGAGCCCTGTCGGGTGCCCACATTTTCAGATGACTGTGTGGGAAACAAGTAATACGTGAAGAGTTTTATTTTGTACAAAGTACAAAGATACTTTGTTGTCCAGGAAGAATGTCTAAATCACAAATAATACCACAAATAGGGGAAGATAGCTCTTCCTCATTAGTAAAATGCCCATAATCATTAAGATATGAACCCACGGATCTGAGTGCATATGTTCCAGAGATGCTTCAAATGCTATATAATTTTCAGTCTAATAAATAAATCAAGTGAGTCCCAGGACAAATGCCACCTTAAATCACTCAACAGAAACCACAGAAAAGCAGGATCTACCTGTGAAACACTATAAATGATGTCTTAAAATACATTAAGTAAAAGGTTCTACCCCAAATTACTTACAATGCACTCATGTAGCCTAAGAGGTCTCTGCCTCAATGTCACCCTCACTGCCATTTATTGAGCACGTCCTATATGTCAGGCAAAGGGCTGAGTGCACTGACTACATTATTACATTTAATTCCCACCTTAACCTTTGGCATAGGTTTTATGATTGCCATTTAACAAATGAGGGACCTGATGCTTAGAGAAGAAGTGACGTGACTTGTGGGCAGTTACACGACCACCACGCTGGATTCAAATTAGGTCTTAGGGCAAAGACACTCTTTATCACCAAGTTAAAAGGCCCTCAAAATAATACAAACGCCCTGTAGGGGAAGCAAAAGAAAATATATCTTGCCAGTTTTACAGGTGGGATGCAATATATTAAAAAAAAGAAAATACGAAATTTATAGTTGCACTACTGTCATGTATCACAATTATGACAACAGCACATAAGAGAAACAGTAATGCTGATCTGTGATATTCACTGAGATTGCATCGGGGTGATGGGATTATGGACGATTCTTTTTCTTTTCTGTTTTCCAAGTTAAGTGGTTACTGTTGACTATAAATCTCTCCTCCAATCCAACTTCCTCATGTAAAAGTTCTGATAGGCATCGAGGCACCCAGGTTTCACACAAAGAAGGCCCCCAGCAGTGCTTTACACAGTATGTGTAGTGTCTGCCAGGTAGAGAGCACACATTATAAATCTAGGAGATATGGTGAGACCTACTCCTTTCTTGTCTGCTTGAGTATGCTTTTGTCTTGATGGTCATCTGGTTCTGGAAGGGTCTGTCTGGGATTTAAGAACACAAAGAGCAGATGAAAGCAGGTCTGAGACACTTCTAGGCTGGTGTCCAGTTATCAGAGAAATTCTAGTTAAGAATAAAGTATATATATCTGCCTGTAGTGTCCCAGGCACTGCAGCTCTCCAGACATATATGTTCTAGTGGGCCACTAGAAGGAGGGCAGACACAGCTGTTTTGAAGGAATTCCAAAGGTTTTGATACTTCTATGGAGAAAAAATGGTTTTTACGAAAAAGGTGGAAGATGGAATGTGGCCCAGTCACAAACCACTCTAAATTATGAAGAAAAAAAGAACGACACATTGAATTTAGAGGTACAAAGACAGAATGGTAAGACAACCTGGGGTAGAATTAAGAAATAAAAGCAGCATTCCAGTGATATGATAATGTTGACAGAGCTTTCAAATCTGCAATAGTATGCATTACTATACCACACTAGACGAACTACTGTAGTCCACAAAACGTACAATATAGTTGTAGTCTAAATTTGGCAAAAGCTGTATAGTCTAGAGCAAAGATCCTAGAATTCTGGGAATTTCTGCAAGTTATTCAAAAGTAATTGAGTTCTAGAGAATATTAATGTTTAACAAAAGAGACTAACCCTAAAAATCCAGAAATCTGGTATCTTCCAATATTAGTAAACGACTACACCCTGCTCCTATTGACATTCCTCTAACTTACTTGTAAAGAATGTTCTAAAGGCCGGGCAAAGTGGCTCATACCTGTAATGCCAGCATTTTGGGAGGTTGAGGCGGGTGGATCACCTGAGGTCAGGAGTTCGAGACCAGCCTGGCCAACACGGTGAAAACCTGTCTCTACTAAGAATACAAAACTAGACGGGTGTGGTGGTGCACGCACTTGTAATCCCAGCTACCTGGGAGGCTGAGGCAGGAGAATCACTTGAACCCAGGAGGTGGAGGTTGCAGTGAGCAGAGATCGCACCATTGCACTCCAGCCTGGGCAATAAGAGCGAAGCTCCATCTCAAAAAAAAAAAAAAAAAATCTAAAAACTCCCTGTGTTAGACTTCAGATACTATGCAAAAGCTATATAGAAGTACATGGTGGCTACCTACAGGTTAGTAAACAACAGCTATTAATTGTATGGCAAATTATGGATTTACAAACTACTTTCACATTCATTACATCGGTGCCTCAAGAAAAGTAGGATAGTTATCATCACTTCCATTTCAGAGATGAATAAACTGAGGTACCAAGAGGTTAATGGATTACTTTGAAGTCTCTGACCCTGATTCAATGCTTTTTCTATTACTTTAAGTAGGTGTCTACATTTTTCTTGGATAATTCATGTTACGCAGAAAAACAGACATATCTGAACCTTGAGGAATTTAATAGCTCTGTGCATTAGGGCCAGAAAAATGATAGTTGATCCTAATACTAAGTCTGTCAGAAAAAAAGTAAGTTTGGCCATTAAAAGGATGTGCTGAAAGCTCTAAGTGACGTAAACAGATCAACATTGTCTCACAGTCATTCTGTGAAGCCGAAAACACACTGAGGAGAAATGACTGCGTGAGACCTTTGTTCACAGGGGAATGATGATTACTGTAACCAGTTCCTCCTCTGTTCCAGTCCTTGCTATGAGGAAAGGCTGCACAGGTACAGACAACTGGCATGTCTTAGGACAGTCAGAGATTCAGGAATTTGGGCTGGTGAGAATGCTGGTACTTAAGTTTGTTTCTCTGCTCTGTTTGTCAAGAGCTTCTACAAGTCTGTGGGGAAGGGGAAGAAAGCAGAATGCAGAAGAGGTCACCATCCACTCTAACAGGAAAATATTCCTGTCCCCACAAGAGATGTGGCTATGCCATCACACTAAAAAGTGCTCTCACTGCCAACTACCAAGCACAATCCAGCATAAGTGCCTACTAAAATTATGTATGTGCTTTATGTTCCAGGAAGCAGATAGTTTTGTTTACACAACAGAAACACAAATTTAAAGGAAATAATACTCCTGGCAGCAAAGAATTCTAACCCTGTTCTACTCTAAGCAGTAGCATGCTATTCCAACCCCTACTCCCCACAAAAAATTAACAGGCAACTGAACAATAAGAAAAGAAAAAAAAAGGTTCTTAGGTTTTAAGGATTTAAGAAAAAGCTTCTTGAGGTCTCAAGCCACTCTGACATCTCCCTGGCTATGCGTTAGTGAGCTATTATCGACCTGTGGAGTAGAGACAGATTATCTATCTATCTATCTATCTATCTATCTATCTATCTATCTATCTATCGATCTATCTATCTATCTATCATCTATCTATCTATCTATCTATCTATCTATCTATCTATCTATCTATCTATCATCTCAAGCTCTTCTCAAGACACACTTTCAGCAGACGGCTGGGTAGAGAGAATCACAGGCAAT